>NC_000003.12:189955574-191205574 GCF_000001405.40 Homo sapiens | reverse complement strand
TAGATATAAAATTGGTGAAGACAAAATACGAATTTTTGATAATAAGAATTTTCAGATCTCTACAACCTCCACCAGCATCACAAATGTGTGTGATATTAGTGAAGGTTTTATATACATATATATATATATATTTTTTTTTACTTGACGTGACTCCAAAAATTCTCTGTCAATGAAAGAATAAATATTCAAAAAAATATTCAAACTCTTTCAGACAATATACAGATATTCAGCATTATGCTGGGGAAAAACTCAGGCTCAGACTTGAAGGACAGGAATAAGAGGTTTAGCTGTGCTCCTTAATGGGCTAATGATCTTGAACAAGACTCTAAAATATTCAAAACTGTCTAATGAAACTGATTTTCTTCACAAAATGTAAGTTATTTAACTTTAGTTAATCTTAATTTACAAACAGCACAAATTATGGAATTGGCTTAGAGTTCAAATAAATAAGCCTTTTAAGTTTATATTTAATATTGTTTCCTAAAAATATATGAGGATATAAATTTATCTGTGAGAAAACTACACCTTTTTAATTTGTGTTTTATTATAACTAAAAACTTTACAACGGAAACTAAAATAGTATGTAGAAACACTTTGTAAACTATAATTTGAAAATATTATGTTTTTAAAACATAATTAAAAAAATTGTTTTGAAGTGATTGTTATGAAGCTGAAGGCAGATGTTTGAAGCCAATTTTTTTCTATGAACACAAAATTTACACCCAACAGTCACTTAGGGAACTTACAGCCATTCATAGGGACAATCTGCAAAACTTATATTGAAAAAACCAAAAGGATAAATTATAGTTTGTCATTCTATAGGTAATCTCGATATTTCAATAAGTGACAATATTTGAACAAAGTTTTAAAGAAGGTTTTTCTAGCTTTCTTTGATTAGGGAAGCACCCAGATGATTGAGAGACTTACCTGCTGGAAAGCAAAGATTGGGACCTCCAGCCATTGCGGTCTCTTTTTTTATTGAAACTGCGATTCCAGTCTCTGATGAATTTTGCCTCACAAACCAGATAACTGAGTGTGGCTGTGTCACTTAGAAGCTTAGAAATGGGTAAGAAGTTTGGGATCTTCATAAACTCAAATTCGAGATTTAAAATCATTGAGGATTTTCACCCAAGAGCAATTGAAAATTGCTAGTGGCTTGTAGCTTCTGTCAGTGTCACATATATCATCTATATTATCCTCATAAAAAATACATTTGAGAAATACTCGTGGTGCATAGCCATTTATTTAAACATTTCCTTCTGAAATTTGCTATTTTTAATAAATTGTGTAATGGGAATTTACTTTATGTTTTGGATTCCTGAAAAAAAGGAGCAAGCTGACATTGAGAAATTTAACATTTCCCGTTAAAAAAAAATTAAAATATCAGCTGGGCACGGTGGCTCACGCCTGTGATCCCAGCACTTTGGGATGCCGAGGTGGGCAGATCACCTGAGGTCAGGAGTTTGAGACTAGCCTGGCTAACACGGTGAAACCCCGTTTCTACTACAAATACAAAAAAATTAGCCAGGCGTGGCGGCAGGTGCCTGTAATCCCAGCCACTCTGGAGGCTGAGGCAGGAGAATCGCTTGAACCCAGGAGGCGGAGGTTGCAGTGAGCCGAGATTGCGCCATTGCACTCCAGCTTGGCCAACAAGAGCGAAACTCCATCTCAAAATAAATAAATAAATAAATAAAATATCAGGAATGTGTTCTTCCCATTTCTCAGTGCTCTTCAATTGGCAGTAGCAAATTTTCCAAAGTCACAAAGCCAGTTAGAAGAAGAGCCAGAACAACAACTTTCATTTTCAGACTCCCAGTTTCATGCTCTTTCGAGTATAACCTATTTGTGTAAGTGTAAAACCCTTTTCTATCTCCCAAACAAATTTTTTATAAAGTAATATTTTTATGGATGCAGTGTTATTAATGTGGCAGATACCTACATTTTAAAATGACTGTCCCTGAAGGCAACAAATTAGGAAGAATGATAAGTTACTAGAACATGTGTTAACTGATTTTATTCTATTTGGCACCATTTTCACTCTTTTTTAGATACTTTGCCTTCCAAAATCTTAAAATTTTATTTTTAACTATCTCTGTCTGTTTTTTTCCTCTATTTGGATTTGTGATTAATGCTACTAATCTCTTTCTTGCAAAAATTAAGAAGCCAGAAACCTACAATGCCACCTTAGAGAAAGATTCCATTATTATTTTAAACCCCCAGATCTGGATGTTTAACAAAGGGTTTAGTTGTTATAAACTCGTTTAGGGCAGAGACCATGTCATGTTCACCATTGCATCTCAGCACCTTACAGAATGCCTGGCACAGGGTCAAATGTGTGTGTTGAATGAATGCATGGAGCAGCCTTATGTGGAAGGTAAACAGGAATGCGGGGCAGATACTAATATCCCAGCTTTCTTGATACGAAAACCAAGGTAGAGGGAAGATAAGAGATTAGCCTATGTTTCTACAGCTACAGTAAAATGTGATGAAGTTCATGCTGGAATCCTGATACATCCATTAGTATTTAACATCACAGATTCTCATTCTAATGAAAGTTACATGCATCACTAACCTCAAATAATCATTCCTCTAAACTTTAGGATTTCTCCTTTTCATACATTAATCTGTACCTAAATCCCCAAATAACTAAATATTTCTTGATATAAAACTATGTTACCTAAAAATAGAAAATAACATTAGTATATAATTGTAGGCAATTCTGTTAATGAAATTTGTTGTTTAATTCTAATGCTCACTAAAGGGAAAATAGCTTTAAAACTGTACATAGGGAAAAGCTAATAGAGTTGCACATATCGGCTGGCCGTTCCATACATAGGCAACTTTTTACGCAGCATTAAAAGGCTTGCAGAGGGTAAAATTGGATAAATTAAGTTAAATATAGCATATTTAAATCTGAAGTTAATGTGGAATTTCACGACCCCCTTCACTGTTTACTCCACTTTGTACTTATATAAAATATTTGATCAAAATCTTACATCATAATTACATTAAGCTAGCCAACATAATAAATGGAAAAGTATCTCTAACATTAAACAAAGGGGCAAAAATATAAATTTTATACTACTCAAAAACAGGATGCATTTATTAGGCATACACTGCATGTCAGATACTGGGGATATAAAAGTAAAGAAGATACTTTCTCTGTCTTCCTGTTGCTCACAGCCTGGTTCAGGTGGAAACTCCTCAACCGCTTGTCCTGTCTAGGGATTTCCTTCTGCAAGAGCAGATCCTTTCTGGAATGCTTCCACTTTCTTCAAATAGAATTGTCATACATAAACTTTTGAAAAAATAACATTTGCATAGTGTTTTACTATCTTGAAATTAATCTCCTGTCATCCTTACAAGTCATGTTAGACCTATACAGAAAACATTATAATTCTATTTTTTAAACATCTGTGAACTGAGACAAGCTGAGTTACTTTAGAAATCTGGTCTCCTAACTCCTAGTATTGTATGTATACTTTGTAATACAACAAAGTGAATTAGTAGAAACAGGTTGACTCTTAAGTTACATAGACCTGGATCTGAATCCTGATTAGGCATGTCATTTAGCCTTTTTGTTTTAACTTCTCCTTCAGAAAAATAGGGCAAAGACCTAATTTGTAGGCTTAGTATGAAGATCAGAAGTAATCTGGGTAAATCAGCAGGCATAAATTAGTTACTCAATAAATAACAGTTATCATTATCCTGATATTGCCTTTGAAATATGGCAACTTTTCAAAATGTTTTTACTACTTTTTAATTTTTATGAAAAAATATTTTTATCCTTCATTTTAACGAACAAAATTATTCCTCAAAATCTAGAATTAAGGCAGAGTGATAGAAAATATAGTAAGAAAAATAATATTGAATGGGGGAAGAAAATTTCACTCTAGAGAGTTATAAATAGAAATCACTCTAACATTTGGTGCATTATCATTATTTTGAGTCATAATATTTCTATAAAAATTGCTTCCAACTATAAAAAATGTAATCCTGGGAAAGAAACAAAAGAAAGCTCAGCTGTACTGAAGGCATCATTATTCTTCTAGCTCTAATTGTGCCACCTAAAGTGAACTTTTAATACCATTTTATATAATATTTTAAAAGTGGAATTTTCACATATTTATAGCCTTAGGTACCCTGGGAATATAGAATTTTAGAAACAGAGGAAGCAATCATTAAAAATTGTCAAATTTAATATCCACAATTAATAGATGGAGAAAGTGAGGCTCAGAGAGAATGAACCTGCTCAAAGGAGGGGAAAGAAGATAATAATATAGAAATTGTTGAAGAGGAAGAGAGAGCAGAAGGTGGTGGCAGAGGCATTGTTACTGGAGGGAGGAGATGGTTTGTATTAAGGTCTGAGCTGATGGAGTGGCAATAAGGAAGAAGGCATCACTGCTCCAGGGATGTACCGTGACACTTATCTGAAGAAAGAAGAGAAAGAGCTAGCTAAAAAAAATAAATAAATAAATAAAAAATGAAGCCTTTAATCTGAGAGATCTTAAGCCATTTGGAGAGTTGGTTCATTTAAGAGAGATACCCAGAGTTAGCACCTTGTTGTAGCTTACTTGTTGTATCCCCACAAGCTCCTGAGGGGAGGAGAATAAAGCTTCAGGGAAGCTGAATGGTTTGTCCATAAAGCTGTCGAAGTCAGAACTAGAATTAGAAGTCTAGTTTTCTGCCTCCAAAGCTTGTATTTCTCTGACTGAACTATTGAATCTAAGCAAAAGTTGTCTGGTAGGTAACAGTCATAGTAAATGAAATATTGGCAAAGCAGTTAAATTAGCTCTAAAGATTAGTCCTAAACTTCTGTGATACTGAGGTTTTATTCTCTAATATAGGGAAAATTGACTGACATGGGGGCTTCCTCAAATATTTTTATACTCAGTATCCCTAGCACTTCTATTTTTTTTTGTCCTTTTCACAAGGACAAAATACAATATTATCAAGCCTTAATTCGTGCTTAAGGCTTGCCTGCAGTTGTATAGGTGGATTATAGCAGAGCTAGAATGATATATTAGGATTTCTTACTTCGAGTTCTTTATTTTTGAGACAAGTTCAATTAATCTAATTTTATTAATCAAATGTTCAAATCATTGAGAGTATTTGTAAAAGAAGTTAAAATTATAGCCCTGAGGTTCCCGTGCCCAGTCAACTGAAGATATCTGCTTCTCTACTGCTCATTATTCAGTATATAAGAATCAGTTAAAAATCCTGAGAAATAAGGGGGAGAAAGCAAATGTCAACCTTAAACACTCTGAATAATTTTTGAATGAAGCCATAGTAAAATTCACTGACATGAAGGAGACCTGAACTGTTATCTACAGAAAGTGCTCCTTAGAAAAGTTCTGTAAGCGTGCTGAAGAGTAGTACCAAAGTAAGAGAAAACACAGAATGTCCCTGGTGTTTTTGGTATAACACTATCAATTCTATAACTTATATAGGCATTAAAATTACCATAATTCATTCTCAAAAATGTTAAATTTTTAGAAGGAAAACTCATAAACAAATAATAATCACATTCCTAAACCTATAGAGTCTGTTATTCAAAGAAACAACATTTGAATTGTTAGAACTGAATTCACTGAGTGCACACTAAACCTGAAATAAAATTTTAAATTTCTTCTCCAACAGAGCTCAAATGTATGTTTCAGATTAACTCTCAATTCAATCATTGAATAGCAAGAGCACTACAAATACTGAAGAACAGGCATACTCTAAGTCTACTCCAACTATGTTATTAATATCATATTTGCATATTTGACATATAAGGAGAAAAACAGAAGATGCATTAGGTTTTAAGAACATAAGAGATAGAATTTCATTAGTTTAGGGATGTTTCTTAAGCTCCAGTTTTGATAGAAATAATGAGGAAAAAACCTTTCTTTTTTACCTAGGTTGTTTAGACCACTCTTTTATATTAAACATTTTTCTAATATTACACAATTTTGAGGAAAGCAAAATAACGCTAATAACATATATATGTATAGAATTATTATTTTGCATTCACTTTCTGTTTGTTTTGAAATGGAAGAGAAAAGCAATCTTATAAATATGAAATATCTGAATAAGCAATTAGTTCTACCTTAAGTTTGCATTACAAAAATATCTTTGATTTTCTACTCATTTTAGAGAGGGAAATATTACCACTCTAATTTTAACAAAATCAAGATATAATCAAAACATTTAAAGAGTCTGTGAAAGTAAAAATAATAGTTAAAAGAAGCATTAAATCTTTATCAATTTTTACATATAACTTACCTCGTGAAAGATCAGGAGATTCTAACTTTAGAGTACTGTCTCTGCAGTTTCTCCAAAACTCAGCCCTGGTGGTGAGTTTTCTCTCTGAGTTTTTATAGTCTCAGTTATACACCCCTTACTCCAATCCCTGCCTTTGCTTTCTCTTACATCATTTCTACAGATTTTCCACTGAACATTTTCCCAAGCCTCTCTTCGATCTCTTTCTCTCCCTCCCTCTCCCTTCCTTCTTCAGTTTCTCCCTCCCTCCTTTCCCTCCATATTTAGTCTATCTATTGCTTTGATCATGGCATTTAAATAACGATGGAAGTATAGGCTCTGGAAAATTTGAATATAGATTTAGTATTGTGTTCAGCTTCACACCCATCACCTCTTCCTGAGGTTTTAGTCAAGCTCTGATTATTACAAATCATATTTGGGAAATAAAATGCACTAAGATTTGTTAAAAAGTCACCAGGGAATTTCAATGTACGATATAGAGAGATTGTAATCAGACACAAACGGATTTATTGGTGTAATTTTTGGACCTTTAAATGATCAGCTATGGAAATAATGAGTACTTTCAGCCTCCGTCAGGTGCACAGTGCTGTGTCAGTGAAACACAATGACAGCTACTTCGTAATTAACATTGCTATACTGGGAAGGCTGTCACTAACAAACCTATAAATACTGAGCTGTGACATGTGAGCTATAAATGAAGACGTTGTAATCATTTTTGTCTTGCTCTTGTTCTTCAGTACTTTGATTTCTTTTTAACCAAAATATTTCTGCCTTTGGCTGAAGGTTTTCTTTCATTCTTATCTCCTACTAATTATATTTGCATCCTTACATACACAAATTATTTTTTAAATGAATTATTAAGTTATAAAGGTAACATGTTATGTTATTAGATCGTTAATGGCTCATTTGATTCACCAGAGGGTCCCCATCTGACAGGTAAAGAGGCCAAGGCTCAGATAAATTAAGTGACTTTATGAGATCACACACGTAAGAAGTAGTCGCAGAGCTGGATTTCAAATGCAGATCTTCCTAATTCCATATCCAGTTCTTTTCCCACGACTGCATTCTATCTCACTGCTTTAAAAGCTAGAAAAGAGAATCCAAACCAGATTATATTTTTGCACAAAAAGCAATAAATTTATTCTTTTTGGTTTCCCTAAAAAGGCCATTTAAAATACTAGTCACTAGTATAAGGACAATTACATGGTTAATTTGGATCTAGATGGGGAAACTGACCAGAGCACACAGAATTAGTGGGACAGTAAAATGCTTCATTTTTATGATGGGTTTCCAGGGATAACATATGTCTCAACAAGCTTGAAATTTGAGTAGTTGGCAGAGACAGTTCACAAATCAAGATAAAAATACAGCCTAATTGTGGACCCTTGTTTAGACATTACTGCCATAAAACAATTATGTTAGCTTGAATCCACATGATGGAAAACTCTCAATATAGAATTAATGGATGCATCATAATGCTACCAGAAGCCAATATTATTGGCATACCTTCTACCCTTATTTGAAATGCCGCTCTTAGCATGCCGACAAGTGATATCTGTGGCTGATTTATTCCAGATCTGTCCCTGCTTAGACAGTCCAAAGATTCCTCCCTATTTGTGGATTTTGTTGACCTAATTCAAAAGTTTGACTTAACTGTTCTGCAGCAGTTGAAATAGCAACAGTTTATTCCAGGAACATCCATGGTACATTTAAGCCATTTTTACAGCCTTCTGTATATTATACACCTCTATATGATTTACTTATGCATTTACACATGATAGAAAAATTCCATTACCTTCAAAAGAGAGAGGAAAAATGGGAACATGCAAAGAAATAAAAAGATAAAGAGAATAAATATTCAGTGTTGGATGGGGAGAGTCTAAGATGAGAAAGGGAGAAAATATTAATGAAAACTTTTTCAGCTAGCGTGTCATGATTTAATTCCCATAACAACCTTGCCAAGGAAGTATACTTTTTCAAATATAATGAATAGAAAACTAAAGCTCAAATCTGTAAAATGGGTGGCCCAAATCTTCTTAGCTTAGAAGTGACAAGACAAAGGGTTGAACCTTATTATCTGTATCTGTCAGAATCTGGCAGAAAAGAGATGGCACATTCAAATTGAGTAATTTGAAGAGAATGAGATGTGAACATCGTGTAGAAGAACCAGAAGGGATCATGTGGTATAGTAAACCCTAGTCCTGAAGAGTCAAGGATAGTTACAGGGACGCAGAGACAAAGGGATCCTGAGTAGAGAAAGTTGTCTGGCAGAAGTGTGACATTTCACAAAAGGACATGGCAAGTCAAGAGCAAACCAGAGGGCATGGAACCTATGAAATAAGCACCAGATTTCACTCTACTTCTTTTCTTCAGTCTCCTGTGGTGTTTCCCTTTGCTGAAACCAAACTGGAAAAGAGATTGAAAGAGGGGAGATAAAAGGGACCCAGTACATCATTTAACCTCAAAACTGTGCTCCGAGAAACACAAATTGGGTCCTTTGTAAAGACCAACATGACTGCAAATGCCACTGTTATTCACATTGTTGTCTAATATTTCCTGCTGTTTTTTTCAAGTCAGGTTTGTTGAGGTAAAATTTACATACACAACATTTACTCTTTTAAACTGTAGAGTTTGACGAGTTTTGACAAATGCAGATGCTATGTATCTTCAACTACAATCAAGATACAAACATTTCTATTATTCCCCAAATTTCCTAAATGCCTCTTTGCAGTCAATCCCTCACCCCACCCCTAGGTCCTGGCAATCACTGATTTGATTTCTGTCCCTTTTTGTGTCTTTCCTAGAAGCTGTAGGAATAAAACATATAGTATGTAGCATTTGGGATCTATTTCCCTTAGAATAATGTTTTTGAGTCTTTTTTTTTTCTTTCTTTTTTTTTTTTTTTTGAGACGGAGTCTCACTCTGTCACCCAGGCTGGAGTGCAGTGGCATGATATCGGCTCATTGCAACCTCCGCCTCCCGAGTTTAAGTGATTCTCCTGCCTCAGCCTCCCAAGTAGCTGGGACTACAGGCGCCCGCCACCACGCCAAGCTAATTTTTTGTATTTTTAGTAGAGACGGGGTTTTGCCATGTTGGCCAGGCTGGTCTCGAACTCTCGAGCTCAGGCAATCCACCCGCTTCAGCCTCCCAAAGTGCTGGGATTACACGTGTGAGCCACCACGCCCAGCATGTTTTTGAGTCTTATCCATGTTGTTAAAGGTATGAGTATTGTTTTTTGTTTGTTTTGTTTGTTTTTGTTTTTGTTTTGAGACAGAGTCTTCCTCTGTCACCCAGGCTGAAGTACAGTGCCGTGACCTCAGTTCAGCTCCCGGGTTCAAGAGATTCTCCTGCCTCAGCCTCCTGAGTAGCTGGGTCTGAGGCGTGCACCACCACAACCCTGCTGTTTTTTTTTTTTTTTTTTTTTTTTTTTGTATTTGTGGTAGAGATGAGATTTCACCCTGTTGGCCAGACTGGTCTTGAACCCCGGACCTCAAGTGATCCATCTGCCTCGGCGTCCCAAAGTGCTGGGATTAAAGGTGTGAGCCACCATGCCTGGCCATGTATAAGCATATTTAAAAGGATGACTGTTCTATTGGATGAATGTACTATAATTTGCTTATTCATTCACCAGTTGGTGAAAATGTGGGTTGTTTCCTGTTTTGAACAAATATGAATAAAGCAACCATGAACATTAATGTAGAGTTCTTTGAGTGAATACATGTTTTCATTTCACCTGAGCATATACATAGACATGGGATTCCTATATCATGTGGTAAGCATATATTTAACTTAATAGGAAATAGTTAAGCTGATTTCCAAATGGTTCTAACATTTTGCCTTCCCACCAGCAATGTAGGAGCGTTCTATTTGCTCAGCATGCAGGTGAGCATTTGATATTGCCATTAAAAAAATTAAGTCATTCAAAAAATTGTATAGGGGTAAAACATGTCATTGTATTTTAATTTGTATTTCCCTAATAAGTAATGATGTTGAGAATCTTGCCATGTACTTATATATCTTCTTTGGTAGCCTCTGTTCAAATGTTTTTAAATATTGAGTTGGGAGATTTCTTTATATATTCTGGATACAAGATTTTTATAAGGTTTGTGTTTTGTGATTTGTTTCTTACTCTAGATTTTTTTTTCATTTTTATGACAGTTTATTTCACAGAGCAGGCATTTTTAACTTTAATGAAATTCTATTTATTAGCCCCTTTTTAATGGGTCGTGTTTTTGTGCCTTAAGAAATAATTCCCTCACTCAAGTTTGCAAAAAAATTTCTCTTACATTTTCTTCTAGAATATTTTCAAAATTCATTTGGCTATTTTAAGCCCTTTCATTTCCATATAAAGTTTATGATCAGCCTATCAATTTGAAAAAAAAGAATCTGCTAGGATTTTGATTGGGATCTCATTGAACTTATAGATAAACTTGGGGAGAATTGACGTCTTATCAGTATTCAGTCATCCTATTCATAAACATAATATATTGCTTTTTTTTTTTTTTTGAGATGGAGTCTCACTCTGTCTGCCAGGCTGGAGTGCAGCTCTGCCTCGCAGGTTCAAGAAATTCTCCTGCCTCAGCCTCCCAAGTAGCTGGGACGACAGGCCCATGCCACTACGCCCAGCTAATTTTTATACTTTAAATGGAGATGGGGTTTTGCCATGTTGGCCAGGCTGATCTTGAACTCTTGACCGCAAGTGATCTGCCTGCCCTCAGCCTCCCAAAGTGCTGGGATTACAGGTGTGAGCCACCACACCTGACCAATATATTGCTCTTTTATTTAAATATTTAATTTCCCTTAATGTTTTTGTTTTTAGCATACAAAATTGTACATATTTTGTTAAACTTTTCCCTAATTATTAATTATTTCATGCTTTGATACTCTTGTAAATTATAATTTTTAAAATTTCAATTTTGGAGTGGACACTCCTAGTATATAAAATATGACTGATTATTATATATTGATCTTTTATTCTGTGATCTTGGTAAACTTACTTTTTATTTTAGTAAGTTTCTTTAGATTATACATGTGTAAAAAATCATCTTGTTTGGAAATAGAAAGTGTTTATATCTCCCTTTTGAATCTGTATGTCTCTTACTGGTTTTTATTCTCTATTGCCTCAGCCAGTTCCTCCAGTGCAATATGGAATAGATGTGGAATGAATGAACATCCTTGCCTTGCTCCTTATCAATTGGTGGTGTTGAGGGGAGAAATTAATTCTTTCACCATTAATAATAATAACAATAGGGTTTTTGTAGATGTCTTTTTTCAGGTTGATGATGGTTCCTCCTATTATTAGTTTCCTGAAAGTTGTTGGTGTTTTTTTTTTTTTTTTTTTGAAGGAGAGTCATAAATGAAGATTCAATTTTGTCAATTAAAAAAGTTGTTTTCAATTATTGAGATTGTTTTGCTTTTTGTATATTAATATAATGAATTATAACTTTTTTGCCAAGATAAACTCCACTTGATTATGACATATTATCTGTTTTCTTTATTGCTGAATTTAAGTGCTGATATTTTTTTAACAATCTTTATTCATAAGAGATATAGACCTTTTGTTTTTAGAAAGTTCATCTCTCATGTATAGTATCAGGGTTATGCTTATCTTGTAAAATGATTGAAGAGAATTATACCTTCATCTATTTTTTGGAAGAGTTTTTGTGGCGTTTGCATTATTTCTTTCTTAAATATTTGGAGAATTCACTAGTGAAGCCATCTATGCCGTTAGTTGTCTTTGTAGAAAGGTTTCTAGCTAAAACTTTAAATGATTTAATAGATATAGGGCTAATCACTTTAGCTATTTTTTTTTCTGAATGCACTCTTATAGCTTGTATCTTTTAAATATGTCCACTTCATTAATTATTAGAGTGTATTCATACTATTTTTATTTTGTCCTTCTGATAGCTATAGGATCTGTAAGTGATGTCCCTATTTCATTCTTAATTCAGTATTTTTTAAAATTTACTTTTAATTATTATGAGTACATGATAGTCATACATACAGTATTCTTCTTTAAGCTTTTTTCTTGACCATTCTAGTATTTTATCAAATTTATTTATTCAAGAAATCAATATTTGCTTTAATTAATTTTCTATATTATTTTTAACATTTTATTTTGTTGATTTTACTTTGTATTATTTCTTTCCTTTTGTTTCATCTGGGTTTAGTTTTCTCATATGTTTTTATTTTCTTAAGGTAGATTCTTAAATTGCTGATTATAGACATTTCTTGTATTCTAATATAGGGATTTATTGCTATGATATGGTTTAGTTTTGTGTCCCCACCCAAATCTCATGTTGAATTGTAATCCCCAGTGTTGGAGGAGGGGCCTGGTAGGAGATGATAGTGTGTCTGGAATTGGTTCCTTCCGGTGGGTTCTTGGTCTCGCTGACTTCAAGAATGAAGCCGCCGACCCTTGCGATGAGTGTTACAGTTCTTAAAGATAGTGTGTCCGGAGTTTGTTCCTTCAGATGTTCAGATGTGTCCAGGGTTTCTCCCTTCTGGTGGGTTTGTGGTCTTGCTGACTTCAGGAGTGAAACTGCAGACCTTCGCAGTGTGTTATAGCTCTTAAAGGTGGCGTGTCTGGAGTTGTTCGTTACTCCCGGTGGGTCTGTGGTCTTGCTGGCTTTAGGAGTGAAGCTGCAGACCTTTGCAGTGAGTGTTACAGCTCATAAAGGTAGTGCAGAACCAAAGAGTGAGAAGCAGCAAGATTTATTGTGAAAAGCAAAAGAACAAAGCTTCCACACTGTGGAAGGGGACCCCAGCGGGTTGCCGCTGCTGGCTCGGGCAGCCAGCTTTTATTTCTTTGTTTGGCCCCACCCACATCCTGCTGACTCATCCATTTTACAGAGAGCTGATTGGTCCATTTTACAGAGAGCTGAGTGGTCCATTTTACAGAGAGATGATTGGTCCATTTTTACAGAGTGCTGACTGGTGCGTTTACAAACCTTTAGCTAGACACAGAGCACTGATTGGTGCATTTACAATCCTCTAGCTAGACAGAAAAGTTCTCCAAGTCCCCATCTGACCCAGAAGCCCAGCCAGCTTCACCTCTCAATGCCCCCTCTAAACAGGACACCCCAACTGCTGTTGGGAATTGGGCAATGACTGTTCTAGCTACTTCCTGCTGGATAGGGGCGAAGAAGGGGCCCTGCAGTTGTAGTGTCCTCCAAAAGGGAACTCTTTAGGCCAGTGAAAGGGCCAGCAGGTCAGTCCAGGGGTCCTCGGTAGAAGTTGTTAGTTGAGCTCATTTGGGGTTCTTTTTGTAAGACCATCTGTAGCTTGATGGACTTGATTCTAGAGGAAACAAATTTGACAAGGAGGTTAAAAATACAGGGCCCGAAGGTGAGTAATAGCAAGATGGCTGCCATGGGCCCTAGAAGGGGGAGAAGCCATGTTGCCCAACTCCAGAGGTTAGTATAAGAGTTGTGAAAGGCGTTGTCTGATTTCAGAAGCCTTTTCCTGTTAACACTGGGTGGCATCTTGTACTATCCCTGACTTGTTAGTGTAAAAACAACACTCTTCCCCTAAGAAGGTGCAGAATCCTCCTTTCTCAGCAATGAGGAGGCCTAGACCTCCGCAGTTTTGGAGAGCCACTGCTGCTTTTTCCTTAATCACCCGGGAGGACCCATCTATTGTCCTGTCCTGAAGGGAGTTCCTCCTATGTCTGGTTGGACTTTTGTATGGTAATGAGATTTAGATCTCCTGTTAGGAAACCTGCTGGGTTAAGGATTTTGGATAGGAAGGCTATGGGTTGTCAGTGGCCTCAGTGCTTTTGGGCTATGCCCTTGTTTGTACTGACAACAAGGTGGTATTGGAGTGTTACAGAGAAGACCTTCAATTATCAATTATAGGTTTTAAATTTACTCTGTTTTAAAGGAATAGGGTACACTGTTTTTTTCTTTACCACTTCTATCTCTTTCTCTCTCTTTGACTCCTTTGTCTCTTCCTCTCTTTCCTTCTCTCTTTGACTTTCTGTGTCTCTCTCTTTCTCTCTCTCTCACTCCCTCTTTCTGTCTCTTCCTCTATCTCTTTGTCTTTGTCTCTTTCTTTCTCTCCGATTCCCTCTTTTTCTCTCTCTTCCTCTGTCTCTCTCTCTGACTTTCTCTTTCTCTCTTTCCTTTCTGCTGGTCTTTCCCTGCCTCTGCCAGCCACTTATGCTGCTGTTCTCCCCTCTCCTTCCCCTTTTTGATGGCTTTGACAGTGTAAGACTGCCACCTCCTTGGGTTTTTGCACTGCATGCAATAACTCCATGGTTTCCTTGTGGTATTTAATGGGGTTCCCCCAGAGGTTAGGAACTCCCTTTCTTTCCATATTGCAGCATGGACATGTAGGATTAGATAAGCATACTTTCTACTGTATACACATTTATTCTTTTTCTTTTTCCCAGTTCTAAGGCTCAGGTAAGTGCCACTAGTTCTGCTAATTGGGTGCTGATCCCTGGGGGAAGAGGCTTACTTTCAAGTTTGGTTACATCACTAACTATGGCATAACCTGCCCTTTGTATCCCATTCTCCACAAATGAACTTCCATCGGTATATAGGTTAAGGTCAGGATTAGCTAAGGGGACTTCTAAGAGATCATTTTGGGCGGCATAAGTCTGGATTATAATTTGTTGGCAGTCATGCTCGATTGGTTCCCCATCCTCTGGGAGAAAATTGGCAGGGTTGAGGGCCATGCACGTACGTATTTGAAGCACTGGTCCCTCAAGGAGTAGTGCCTGGTATCTAAGTAGGCAGTTGTCTGATAGTATGCCATTTACATCATGAGTAGTCTGGACAGTGAGATCCTTTCTTTGTATTATTTTGATAGCCTCTGACACTAAGATGGCCACCACCACAAATACCCTTAAACAGTGAGGCTAGCCTTTTGCTACTACATCAATTTCCTTACTTAGGTATGCCACTTGTTGTGGGGTTGTCCCATGAATCTGAGTAAGGACTCCAAGAGCTATCCCTGCTCTCTCTGTGACGTATAAAGAGAAGTTTTGTCCTGTGGGAAGGCTTAAAGCTGGCGCTTGTACTAGGGCCTGCTTTAAGGTTTTGAAGGCTGTTTCTGCCCCTGGTTCCCATTCTGCTAGATGAGTATTTGCCCTCTGGGTCTCCGTGATTAGAGTATAGAGGGGCCTGGCTATCTCGCTGTATCTGGGGACCCATAGTTGGCAAAAGGCAGTGATTACAAGGAACCCCCACAACTGTTTTAATGTCTTAGGGTGAGGATAAGCCAGCATAGGCTGTATTCGTTCCTTGCTGAGGGCCCTCGTTCCTCTGGCTAAGATTAGGCCTAGATATTTGACCTGCTGTAGGCAAAACTGGGCCTTCGACCTAGACACCTTGTACACTTGATTAGCTGGAAAGTTCAAGAGATCTAGAGTAGCCTGCTGGCATGAGGCTTCTGCACTGGTAGCCAAAGTAAATCATCCACATACTGAAGGACCAGAGTGCCTGGACTTGAGAAGTGGCCTAGATCTTGGGCCAGTGCCTGACCAAACAGATGAGGGCTATCCCTAAACCCATTGGGCAAGACCATCCATGTAAGTTGGGACGTGTGGTCTGTGGGATCCTCAAAGGCAAAGAGAAACTGGAGGTAAGAGTGCAGGGGAATACAGAAGAAGGCATCCTTGAGGTCCAGAACAGTGAACCATTCTGCTTCCTCTGGTATTTGAGAGAGCAGGGTATAGGGGTGGGTTACAACTGGATATGGAGGAATTAGTGCCTCATTGATAAGTCTAAGATCTTGCACTAGTCTCCACTGACTGTTCAGTTATTGTCCTCCTAGAATTGGGGTGTTGCAGGGACTGCTGTATTTCCTTACTAAGCCTTGAGCTTTTAAATGTTTAACAATATCCGGTAATCCTTTATGAGCTTCAGGCCTTAAGGGATATTGCCTTTGATAAGGAAAAGTGGTGGCATCTTTTAGCCTGATTTGGACTGGGTGGGCATTTTTTTGCCCTTCCAAATTGTCCTTCCAATGCCCAGACTTCAGGGTTCATTCCCTCCTCAAGTAGGGGACAACAAATGGTAACTTGTTCCCCATATTCATGTAGATAATAGCTCCAGCTTTGGCTAATATATCCCTCCCTAATAAGGGTGTGGGACTTTCAGGCATAACAAGAAAGGCATGTGGAAAGAGCAAAGTCTCCCAATTGCAACTGAGGAGGTGGGAGAAATACCTGGTTACAGGCTGTCCCAGGATTCCTCGGATGGTAATGGACCTTGAGGACAGTCGTCCAGGACAGGAGATTAACACTGAGAAGACCACGCCAGTGTCCAGGAGGAAGTCAATTTCCTGGCCCTCAATGGTTAAATGTACCCGGGGCTCAGTGAGGGTGATACATGAGCTGGCACTTGCCCTGGGCACCCTCAGTCGTGTTGTTTTGGATCATCTGGTTGGGGGCTTCTGGCCCAGAGAACCTTTGTCCTCTGCGGCAGTGTGCCTTCCAGTGATTGCCTCGCCATAGTGGACATGGATGAGGGGGCGGCTTGTTTCTCATTGGACAATCTTTTTAAAGTGTCCTTGGCTGGGCGCAGTGGCTCACTCCTGTAATCCCAGCACTTTGGGAGACCAAGGCAGGTGGATCATGAGGTCAGGAGATCGAGACCATCCTGGCTAACATGGTGAAACCCCATCTCTACTAAAAATACAAAAAATTAGCCAGGCGTGGTGGCAGGCACCTGTAGTCCCAGCTACTCAGGAGGCTGAGGTGGGAGAATGGCATGAACCCGGGAGGCAGAGCTTGCAGTTAGCCGAGATCACACCACTGCACTCCAGCCCAGGTGACAGAGCGAGACTCCATCTCAAAGAAAAAAATACAAATAAAAAATAAAAAAAAAAATGTCCTTGTAAACCACACTAATAACAAGCCCTACCAGGTGTTTGGCCTGCTTCATTTTCTGTCCTCTCTGAATCACCAACGTTTGTTTGTCTGAGGGCCATGACTAAGGCTGTGGCCTTTCTCTGATCTCGCTTTTCTTTTTGGGCCTGTTCCTCTTGGTCCCTATTATAGAACACCAAGGTTGTCAGGTTTAATAATGCCTCCAAATTTTGTTCAGGGCCTAGGGCTTGCTTTTGGAGCTTTCTCCTGATATCTGCAGCTGATTGGGTAATAAACTTATCTTTTAGAATCAATTGAGCCTCAAGTGATTCAGGTGACAGGGGAGTATATTTTCTTAAGGCCTTCCATAGTCACTCAAGGAAGACAGAAGGATTTTCTTCCTTTCTCTGAGTTATGGCGGACATCACTGAATAATTCATGGGCTTTTTCCTAATTATCCTTAGTCCTTCTAGAACACAGGTGAGCAGATGTTTATGACTCCAGTCTGCATGATTTGAGTCGAGGTCCCAGTGGGGATCCATACTGGGGACAGCTTGCTGACCAGTAGGGAATTTGTCCTTTGGTTTGGCTGTCATTCTATTATTTACTTGACTAAGATACCAAGTATCTCCAAACTCTTGGGCTGCAGCTAAAGCCGCATTCTTTTCATTAAAGGCCAGGGTTTGATCTAACAATGGCATGACATCTCTCCAAGTGAGATCGAAGGTTTGCCCTAGACCTGCAGGACATCTATGTACCTATCAGGATCATCCGAAAATTTCCCCAGGTCTGCCTTGATCTGCTTTAAATCAGAGAGACAGAAGGGGACATGTACCCGGGTTGGGCCAAATTCCCCTCCCCCTACAGCTTGAAGGGGACATAGCCGATAGCCTCGGGGTTTTTGTGGTCCTTTGGAGGTTTCTTTGCTTATTTCCTTCTGGGCAGGGGAGATTAGAGGAGGCTCATCATTAATAGGAAGGGGAGCTATAGGGAGGCTAGGATATGGGGGTAAGCTGAAAGGTCCTCCTGTGGGATGTAAATTGCAAGCTTTGCAATTTGTGTATTCTCCTTCAATGAAAAGAAAGCTTGGACATAAGGTATTTCACTCTATTTGCCTTCTCTCTTACAGAAAAGGTCAAGCTGCAGGATAGTATTGTAATTTATACTTCCCTCAGGTGACCATTTTTCCCCATCAGAGAGAGAATACTGGGGACAGGCCATAGTGCAGAAAAAAATGAGCCACCTCCTTTTCAGAGTTTGCAGGTCAAATTGGTCCCAATGGCTTAGAATACATTTCAAGGGTGGGCCTATTGATGCCTGAGTGTTTCCCATCTGAAAGACAAAACGTCTCGCAGTTTTGGTTTGTTTTGTTTCTCCTCCTGCCCAAGAACCCACAACGGTCCCTGGATCCTGCTGATCGGAATAGTTGTGTGCACTGACGCAGCAGCAGAAACCCTAGTTTTCCTCCTAGACGACAAAGATGACCAAGGAAGGTTGGATTTAGTAGCCCTTACCGATGCATTCTCAAAAACCTGCACCCTTGCCTGTCCTCTTAGACCACAAAGAGGACTGAGAAAAATTGGATTTAGTGGCCCTTACTGACGCATTCTCGAAAACCTGTTAGAGTCCTAAGCATTCTCCTGTTAGTATTGGGACTTTACCCATTTCCTATAAAGATGTTATGCCCCAAAAATGAAGTGGAGGGCCATACCCTGAGGGAGGGGAGGGATCTCCAGAGTTGGAAGAGTGATGTCTTTTTGCCCTCACTTATATGAATAGGAAGGATACAATTTCTGAGGCTCCTCATATCCTAGCTTCAGGAATAGCTTTTGTTATGCCTACTTGTCTGAGGAGGGATCCTAAATTTCCAGATATTCCCCCCTATGATGGGGCTTTGGGCAAAAATTATGTCTTTCTGATTGGTGAGCCCAGTTGCCTAAAGAAGGTAACAGAGTCCTGAAATTTATACTAGAAATCATTCTTATAGGAGAAACTAGAAAAGCACCAGAGACAGGGAGTGGTTTTTAGAAGCAGCACTAGCCTTGGAGAGGAGAGGCGAGAGGAATTTTGTCTGGCAGGTGTTAGGATCCAGGGGGCAAGGGTTAGGATAGATAGGATAGATGGGCGAGTCTCGCTTGGGTGACATGTCTTTGAGAGTTCCGCTCATGGCCACAGGGTCAACCAACTTGTTGTCAGGACCCCGGAGCTGAACGGCTCTCCTCTCTGTAGATCCTCAGCTCAGCCCAAAAGTACAGGAAAAGTGGAAGCTGGTTCCAGGCAAACCAACGCTCCCAACTCCAAAGAGTTGGGAGTTGTTAGAGAGTCCTTTCCTAGAAAGCCTGACACCCGTGTCTTTAGTCCTGTGGACGTGCTAGTAGCTTTTAAATGGCCAACAGGTGCCTGGTGTTTAGCCCCTGAATTCTAAGGACAGAATAGCAAGTGAAATGGGTCCGATGGTACTCACTGCTTGGCGATAGTCGATAGTCCCATCTGAGTTGCCAAAATGTGTCTGGAATTGGTTCCTTCCAGTGGGCTCTTGGTCTCACTGACTTCAAGAATGAAGCTGTGGACCCTCACTGTGAGTGTTACAGTTCTTAAAGATGGAGTGTCCAGAGTTTGTTCCTTCAGGTGTTCAGATGTGTCCAGAGTTTCTTCCTTTTGGTGGGTTCGTGGTCTCACTGGCTTCAGGAGTGAAGCTGCAGACCTTTGCAGTGAGTGTTGTAGCTCATAAATGGTAGTGCGGACCCAAAGAGTGCGTAGCAGCAAGATTTATTGCGAAGAGCGAAAGAACAAAGCTCCCGCAGTGTGGAAGGGGACCTGAGTTGGTTGCCCCTGCTGGTTAGGGTGGCCAGCTTTTATTCCCTTATTTGGCCCCGCCCACATCCTGCTGATTGGTCCATTTTACAGAGAGCTGATTGGTCCATTTTACAGAGAGCTGATTCGTCCATTTTACAGAGAGCTGATTGGTCCGTTTTTACAGAGTGCTGATTAGTGCATTTACAAACCATTAGCTAGACACAGAGCGCTGATTGGTGCATTTACAATCCTTTAGCTAGACAGAAAAGTTCTCAAAGTCCCCATCCAACCCAGAAGCCCAGCCAGCTTCTTCACCTCTCAATTGGATCTTGGGGATGGGTTTCCCCCTTGCTGTTATTGTTATAGTGAATGCGTTCTCAGGAGATCTGGTTGTTTAAACGTATGTGGCACCTCCCCTCTCTCTTTTTCCTCCTGCTCTGGGCATATGAAAATATGCCTGCTTCCCCTTTGGCTTCTGCCATGATTATAAATCTCTTGAGGTCTCCACAGCCATGCTTCCTATACAGCCGATGTAACTGTGAGCCAATTAATCTTCTTTTCTTTATAAATTATGCAGTCTCATGTAGTTCTTTATAGCAATGCAAAAACAGATTTATACATACTATAAACTTTTTTTCTAGGCACCACCCTGGCTATATCCAATATGTTTTTATATTTTCTGTTTCGTTTTTATTGAATTTGAAATAGTTTCTTTTTTGTTTTGTTTTGTTTTGAGGCAGAATCTTGCTCTGTTGCCAAGGCTGGAGTGCAGTGGCATGATCTCAACTCACTGCATCCTCTGACTCCTGGGTTCAAGTGATTCTCCTCCCTCAGCCCCCGGAGTAGCTGGGATTACAGGTGCTTGCCACCACGCCTGGCTAATTTTTTATTTTCAGTAGAGATGAGGTTTCGCCATGTTGACCAGGCTGGTTTCGAACTCCTGACCTCAGGTGATCCACCTACCTTGGCCTCCCAAACTGGGTTATTACAGGCGTGAGCCAACACGTCTAGCTAAATTTGAAATATTTTCTAATTAAAAAATTTACTATTGGTCATTTAAACATAAGTAATTTATTTTCAAAATAATTGACTATTTTCCATATTTTTTCCTGTTATTATCTTTTAGTTTAATTGTTTTATTATCAGTAAACATACTTTGTATTTTGCCAATTCTTTTAAATTTGTCAACATTTGTTTTATGGTCAAAATATACCATAGATTGGTGAAGTTTTATGTGGACTTTAAAAAGAATTTTTATTATTGAGATGATTGTTCTATAGATCTTAACCGTTCCATTGGTTCAAATGTTCAAATCCATATTTTAATGACCTTTATCTACTTGCTCTCCCAATTACTGAGGAAGGATTGCTTATGTCTCTAAGTACAATTGTAAATTTCTCTATTTGTTTTTAGTTGTATCAGCTTTTGCTGTATGAATTTTAAGCTATTGATTAGGTGTATATCCCTTCATCATTATGTAATTTATCATTTTATCCCTACTAAAATTATTATTTTTATATTAATTTGTTCACTACAGCTTTCTTTTTATTATTATTGACATGATATTCATTCTCCCCTATCTTTTTACTTTTAGTTAACCTATGGATTTTTCAAAACTTAGTTCCCATAAAAAGCACAGAACTGGATTATGCTTTCATTTCCCCAAACTGACAATCTCTAAATTTTAACTGTATATTTTGATTATTTGCATTTAATGCAATTATTGGTATACTTAGACTTAAAACTGTTATTTTATAAGCTTTTTTTTCCCCATCTGTTCTTTGTTCTTTCTTTCCTGTCATTCTGTCTTACTTTGGATTGTTACTTTTACCTCTGTTTTATTTTTAAGTTGCTGCTATAGGTTTACAATATGCACCATTATGTTGCTACAATCTTCCTTCAAATCATAATTTTCCACTTAATGCAACAATCTTTCAATAGCAAATATCTATTTTCTCTTTATCCTCTGCAGTATTATTGTCATATATTTTAAGTTTACCTGTCATAATCCCACATTTTTTCATTTTTGCTTTCTATAGTTAACTATTTTAGCAATATAAAGGATTTTTAAAATTTTTCATGTTTACCTACATTTATCATGGCTGATGCTGCTTTTTGTGGGTGTTTAGATTCACATTTACATGTAGTACCTTATCATTTTGCCTGAAGAAACTCCTTTTTTTTGTAGTATTTTCTCTAATAAGTGTTTACTTCATCTGTATTTTTGAATGTAAATTTTGTTCATTATAGAATTCTGAGGTGACAACTTTTCTTCTTTTAATATTTTAAAATTAATTATATATTTGATTTTGAATTGCCTAGTGTGTGATGGGAAGTCAGCTATCATCTATCTATGATGTGCTTAACTATACTTTACTTTGTATTTATCTTGTTTGGGATTCTCTAAGATTCTTGGTTGTTTTCTTTCATGAATTTTGGGAGAAAACAGCCATTACCTTTCCAAATTTTTTTTTTGGTCCCATTCTCTCTCTTTTCCTTTTCTGTTACTCCAATTACTTATATGTTAGCTCAGCTGATATTTCCCACACCTCTTGGGTGGTCTAATTTTCTCTGCATTCCTTTTTCCTCTCTATATTTCAGTTTAAATTATTTCTATTGATTTAGTTTCAACTGAATTTAGTGTTTCCTATTCTGAATCTAGCCTCTGATACTGTGCAGGTGTGTATCTTTATTTTTAGCCTATTAGAGTTCTGACATATAAATGTGCATTTTACTTATGTCTGGGGCTCCCAGGAATTCTAAATTCTCATGCTGACTGCACACTTACTTAAAAAATTTGTTAAAGTTTCAACTTAAAAAAAAATTAACCTCTTTAATTTAGCTAGAACACCACCATAAATCACTTCCTTAAATGCTCTACCAAAGGTGAAACAGTTTGTATGCTTCCTTCCCTCATGGTGCATTGTAACTATTTTAAGTTTAGTACCCCTGGTTGTTTAGTGACCTCTCAGATGGGTTCAAAGAAAAGTTAGTTTTGCATAATTTTGTGAAATTGATATTGTTGCACAGCTGTCTATGTACTAAATGGAAACACAATTCTCATAAAAATTCTAAGATTTTTATGCTTGTTTTGCAGCATAAAAATATTTTGATAATTCCTTTCTACTTTTTTCTAACAATATAGTTTTTGTTATCATCTTAATTTTGTAAATATAAAAAGGGTTGAAAGATCTCACATTATAGAAATAAATGTAAAGTATGTCATTCAGCTAAGTCCAGTCTTTCCCACTGCATTTTCGTCTCTATAAATCATCCCTCCAATGATGGAGTTCAGAAGTTTGAGAACTGCATTCACAAGTCTTCTCATGTTTTCCCCTGTATTTATCCTGAAGTGAACACGAGAAAGCCACATTTCTATTCATCTTGATCTGCCAGGTAAAGGGGCTGATTTCAGAAACCTCCAGATGACTTTAGGATTGCTCATGTTACTCTGACTTTGTACTGATTTTTGATGTATTCCACATATGGGCTCATTCTGCCTATGTAGCTGCTATGTTGTGGGCTTTTTCAATAGACTAGAGATTTACATATTACCTTTGAGCCACTAGCAGTTTACAGATTAGCTTTGAGCCAAATCACATTAGCTTTGACCTTTATTTTTATAGGGCTGGAGCTGCAATTATTCTTGTTGGCCTTTTTTCAAGAACTATTTTCACAGCCACACTTTTTGCTAATCCCAGTGAAATGGCCTTCCTATTTGATCCTCCACCCTTTACACACTTTTCCTATTAAGATCATCCCTACTAGTTACAATAACTACAGAATTCTAATAGATAAATTCTAGTAGGTCATAACTTACCTTAAGTTTAAGGGCATGGAAATCCTCAGGACACAAGAAGCCACACTAGAAGATCAATGGTCATATATCCCCAATTTATCACATAGACATACACATACACACATATTCTATGCCTAAACATAGAGTGATGTAACAAATGTAGACATTGGGTCCTCCCAAAGAAAAGCATTTTCCTACAATGAGGCACTAATATAATAATGATAACCTATTACCATACAACAATCAAAATTTATAAATCTTTTTACAATTTATATCACTGCCATAGTACCTGTTTGCTTGAGATACAATTCTCTTATTTATTTTTTAATGGAGCAGCTATTATTAAGATTATTATACAAATGAAGAAAGTAAAGTTTAAAAAATATTTATTTTTCCTATTTGATGTGCCAGAAATTTTGTTGGGTGTATAAAAATAGTGACCCTGCTCTCTAGATGCCTATATTCTAATGGAGAAGGCAAAATTGAAATGCAAATAATGCCAGAAAGGCCGCTATATTATTCTGTGTGAAATTCTACTGTCCTATTTGAGCTCTTATAGGAATTATTTTTACAATGGTTTCTCTCAGGTTGAGACAGGAATTATTGTCTTAAGTTAAAGTTATAAGAAATTGTAGGGGTGGGCACTAGGAAATAATAACCATTTATCAATTACCTGTTTGAGACAGTATTGTATTTTTTTACAGTCATTATAATAATCAACATAATTTATTGAGAACTTACCACATGCCAGCTATATGTTGTTAAGTCCTCATTTCTATACAGTAAATGAGAAATTATGATCATCATTCACAGAAGAAAAAAATTGAAGCTTTACTAAAGTTAATATGACAGCTAGTGGTAAAGCCAGGATTTAAATAAAAAATTTTTGACCTGAAAGTCTACATTTTTATCAACTACACTATATTGTCTCTCCCGCTAATCCTAGAAACCATCTTACTGTATAGGTATCATCCAAAATTAAATTCTGGGGAAACTAGGTTTGGAACATGTTCAAAGTCATGCAGTTATAAATGTCAGATATGAGATTTGTTTTCATGAAAGACTACTACAAAACCTTTTCACTAAAACCTACTCAACATCTCTATCCACCCTACTACATCAATGGCACTGAGAAGTCAACTCAACAGCTCTGGATATCCTTGACATTCCTGGTGTGCAGCTATTTAGGCTATCAACTTTCATCATGGTGAAGGAATAGTGTCTCTCTAAGTTACATATTCTTTAAACTCAAATTTCTGATTTCTCTCTGGGGAGGATCTTCAGGCTCCACAAAATAAATAAATTTTGCTCAATATATCATGCTTACTAAGATAGGATAACTGGATACACTGAAGTAAGTACAAAATACTACTAACAAAGTCGCTAAATTCCCTAAATATCTGGTGAAGTTTATGGACCCAGTGCAAATCAACACCACTATATGGATGCCTAAAAATGTTAATATAACTATTAAACACTGACTGGAGGTCTGTGTAATATCCAAACACTGGAAGTAATAGTCCTAGTCTACTCTGTGCTGGTCAGATTATATCCTTGTATTAGTCCGTCCTCACACTGCTAATACAGACATGAGACAGTAATACATAAGACAGTAATACATGAGACTGGGTAATTTACAGGGGAAAGAGGTTTAATTGACTCACAGTTCAGCATGACTGGGAGGCCTCAGGAAACTTACAGTCATGGTGGAAGGGGAAGCAAACACATCCTTCTTCACATGGCAGCAGGAGACAGAAGAATGAGAACTTATTGAAGGGGGAAACCCATTATAAAACCATCAGATCTCATGAGAACTTACCCACTATCACAAGAATAGCATGGGAGAAACCATCCCCATGATTCAATTACCTCCTACCAGGTCCCTCTCATGACATGTGTGTATTATGGGAATTACAATTCAAGATGAGATTTGGGTAGGGTCACAGCCAAACCATATTATTTTGCCCCTGACCCCTCCCAAATCTCATGTCCTCACATTTCAAAACACAATCATGCCTTTCCAACAGTCCTCCAAAGTCTTGACTCCTTTCAGCATTAACCCAAATATCCAAGCCCAAGGTCTCATCTGAGACAAGGCTATTCCCTTCTACCTATGAGCCTGAAAAATCAAAAGCAAGTTAGTTACTTCCTAGATACAATGTGAGTACAGGCATTGGGGAAATAAACCCACTCCAAATGGGAGAAATTGGTCAAAACAAAGGGACCACAAGCCCCATGGAGGTCTGAAATTCAATGGGGCAGTCATTAAGCCTTAAAGTTCTAAAACAATCTCTTTTGACTCCATATCTCACATCCAAGTCACACTGATGCAAGAGGTGGGCTCCCATGACCTTGGGCAGCTCCACCCCTGTGGCTTTGCAGGTAAGTTCCCCCACTGGCTGCCTTCATGGGCTGGCGTGGAGTGCCTGTGGCTTTTCCAGGCACATGGTGCAAGCTGTTGGTGGATTTATCATTTTAGGGTCTGGAAGATGGTGGCCCTCTTCTCACAGATCCAGTAGGCAGTGCCCCAGTTGAGGCTCTGTGTGGGGGCTCCAACCCCAAATTTCCCTTCCACACTGCCCTGGCAGGGGTTCTCCATGAGGGTCCCAACCCTGCAGCAAGCTTTTGTCTGGATATCCATACATTTCCATACATCATCTGAAATCTAGGCACTGGTTTCCAAACCTCAGTTCTTGTTTTCTGCACACATGCAGGCCCAACACCATGTGGAATCTACCAAAGCTTGGGGCTTCCACCCTTTGAAGCAATGACTGGAGCTGTATCTTGATGGGCACTGAATAAAAACTTATTTTGATTGGCCCAACATGTCTGGCGACCACACTAGGGTATATGATTTATAGTTAAAACCTCCATGTGCTAATAACTTTGATCAATGCATGACAGATTATCTAAATAAGCCACTCTTTATCAATTTGAATGTAAGTAGGTATCTAATTTTTATTTTTGTTTATAGGTTACAAAGCATGGAATGACTTTATTAGTTCCTTTTTTTTTTTTTTTTTTTTTTTTTTTGAGACAGAGTCTCGCTCTGTCGCCCAGGCTGGAGTGCAGTGGTGTGATCTTGGCTCACTGCAAGCTCTGCCTCCCGGGTTCATGCCATTCTCCTGCCTCAGCCTCCCGAGTATCTGGGACTACAGGCGCCTGCCACCACACTCGGCTAATTTTTTGTACTTTTTTAGTAGAGATGGGGTTTCACCGTGTTAGCCAGGATGGTCTCGATCTCCTGACCTCGTGATCCGCCCGCCTCGGCCTCCCAAAGGGCTGGGATTACAGGCGTGAGCCACTGTGCCCAGCCTATTAGTTTCTTAATCTCCCCTCCCACTTGACATGACAATCCTTTCTTCAGCATTCCTGACATATCCATTTTTGCATAAATGCTTTTAGATGTAGGGCCTCATTCTTCTTTGAGAAGAAGAGTTTCATTACCAAAGAGTATTAAGTAAAAATATAATTGATAAATAATCTTGTTTCTGATGAATTCAAATTTGTGTTCCTACAATTTATATCCCACGATAATTATTTTTCTTCAAACTAAATATACCCATACTTCTAAATGGTCCTTAGGTTAACTTGCTTCTAATTCCCACCTTATGCTGTGTTCCCATTTTGGGACACACTTGTTTGTCTGTATCTCTTTCTCATAGTAGGATTGATATGATTTGGCTATGTCCCCACCCAAATCTCATCGTAAATTGTAGTTCCCATAATCCCCACATGTGGTGGGAGGGACTGAGTGGGAGGTAATTGAATCGTGGAGGCAGTTACTCCCATGCTGCTGTTTTCATGATAGTGAGTGCATTTTCATGAGATCTGATGGTTTTATAAGGGGCTTTTCCCCCTTTGCTCTGCACATCTTTTTGCCGCTGCCATGTGAAGAAGGACGTGTTTGCTTCCCCTTCCACCACCATGATTGTAAGTTTCCTGAGGCCTCCCCAGTCATGCTGAACAGTAAGTCTATTAAGCCTCTTTCCTTTATAAATTAGCCTGTCTCAAGTATATATATATATGTGTGTGTGTGTGTGTGTGTGTGTATGTATGTATATGTAAAATTTATTGAGCACATAGTATGAACTACATGCTGCTCAAGGGCATTTTACATATACCAGTTTATTTAATCATGAAAATAATTCTATAAGGAGAGTTCTTTTGTTATGTTCGTTTTGAAATGGGTACATGGCTGTACAGAGGTTAGTTATCAGATTCTATTTGGTAGCAAGGCCAGATGCCTGGCCATTGCCCTTTACTGATAAAGTGCATTGGGTAAAGCTGGGACAAGTATCAATCTTAGGTAGAATAGCAGTAGGTTTTATTCATAAAAATAGTCAAGAATTAGTCAAGGAAGGACAAGTGACAATCTTAGCTGGACTAGCAGTAGGTTTTATTCATAAAAAATAGTCAAGAATTAGTGAAGATAAGTTTCCTTTTTAAGTCCATATTTATATCTAAATGTTCTTATATTTATTTTTAGATTTTCATATAATTATTAATGTAATTTCCTTGAGAATATTTTCTTATCCAAATCTCTTTGTTTCCCTTTCTCTTACACGCATATATACACACTAACTTTTTTTGGTTTTGTGCACATTTTATGATTTTGTGCCCTAAAGGTGCATATATATTTAGTAGTGGCACCAAGTCGCCTTTTTCTTCATGCAGAATTTTTACATCTCATAGCCTTCTGCAGAACTGGACCTTTGGCTGCCAGCCGTGAATTAAATTAAGAGCAACCCACAGGTCTTCCCTTTGCAGATTACAAGTAAGATGTTCACTAGAGCAATGACTCTCTGGCGCCCTTTGAGTCTCCATGGACAAAGACTGCTGTAATTTGGATCAGGAAGTAAGAATGGAACTCTGTTGTCCTGTGCTGGTCTTGGAAAAATCTTATATTTTCTAGGCTTCCCTAGGTTCCTCATCTGTGAAATAAAAAACTTATCCATATGATCCATAAACATTTTTCCACTTTTCAAGTCTCTGATTTCCTGTCAGACAACTGCCATTTGAGAATGTGTCCACATGACTACATTATTGTGTGTTTCACTTCCACAAATACTTCCCCAGAGTCTTTTGTGTACCTGGTTTTGAGAAAGTCATTGTGTACAATAAAGAGTTTGTAAGGAATTTTTAGCTGTATATTTAAGTAACTCAAGGTTTCACAGAGAAGAGTGTTAATTTTAAAAATAATGGCACTTTGATGTGATTGGTGCTATACAAATGGTATGAATTTTTTTTACGGAAGCATATTTTAAACTTGATTTGAAAGATTTACCTTCTGTCATATTATTTTAGTTGCCAGGGTGCGTGAAGAGTGGCTGACAGATCTCACGCTAACATTAAGTATGTGCACACATGTTTTTTGAATAAGGATGCATCTTACCATTTACAAGCCAAAACTAGAAGAAGGCTTTAAGGCCCACAACATTAAAATTATAAATGGACAAAAGTAACATTTTGTTTTACATCCAAGGCTCACATTCTCTTTCAGCTTCCATGAATGTTAAAAAAATAATTGAAGCTATAAATCAAAGTCCAGGCTTAAAAAGATCTTGCCTACAATTATCACCATGAACTATTTCCTTGAATAGAAATCACACATGCTTAGCCTGTTTCTCTATATTTCTTAGAATATAAAAGACTTCTGTTTCCTACTCTTCACATTGAGCCTTTGTTTCAGCATTTGTACTGATCTTGCTCATAACCTGAAATAAACTCTCACTCATACATCTGCCAAGTTACTAGAATTCATTGACCTGCCAAAGTGAAGAATAACAATATACCTCAATTAAAATGTAACTTTTAGCCTTAAACCTAATTATAAATGTGGATATGGTAGCATAAAATTAAACGTAAGCTAGAGCTTAACCTTGTACATATTTGCCACATGGAAAGATATATGGGTGTAAGAAAAGCCATCCTCTTCTCTTTTCCTCCTACAATACTTTCTTATTTTATCCATCCTTTCTGAGCAGCACTGTAGTGCTATCAAAACTTATTCAAGTTTTGCTTATATTTCTTACACATACCTAAATTCAAACATGAAATAACAAAAATATTAAGTATTAAATTATTGGAAGAAAAATTAATTTCATTATAGACATAAAACAAACAGAATGAAGTAAAGAAAGTACTCAGAACAATACCCATTGAAGTGTAAATATGTGTATAAATTACTTAATTGCTTAATTACAAATTAAAAAGGATAGATCCAGCTAGTTCTTCATTTATTAAAACTTTTCAAATGCTCTCAAAGATTCTGAGTTCATTAAATAACCAAACTCCCAAGAAAATGTTTCCATGAATTATTGTATTCATGCATCCTTTGACACACTATTAAATAATTATGGTTTATTGAACCTTGTCTCATTGAAAAAAACGTGTCTATTTATTTCTTTGGTTATGATTATCTGATCTAAACAACTTCATAAGCCTTCATTCCTGTGAACTGGAGAGTGATATTTGGGTTAAGGTGAAAGAAACTGAAACACGGAATGATACATTTACTTCCATATTACCAAAACATGAAGTCGAGTAACAATAACAGTAGTTACCAACATTTATTCAGTGCTTACTCAGAGCCAACACTCAGCTTTCACTGTTCATTCATTATCTTCTTTAACCCTCACAGTCATTCTATGAGCTGAGTATTACTATTAATTATAAGTTTAAAGCAAGGTAACTGTGGCATAAAGTGCTTGAGTGATTTAATAGAGGTTACCCAGCTGGAAAGTGGCCGAGATGGGCTTAAGCTTGATGTCTTAAAAGCCCACATTTCTGACCATTTCTAACCATTTCTAATTAGATATCACATGCCTTCTCAATAGAATTAATTTCTATTCATCCTTTTTTAATTAGAAGAACTTACCTAGAACTTCACACCTATGTTTTTCTTTCATTCTTTATTTTTTTCCAGAAACCATCTGCTGGAATGAAAAAATATTTGGAAAAATTCAGAGAAAATACACAGAAGAGAATATGCTGGCACATACATGTGTAAAAATCTCTCTTTGGGAGCAAGGCTGGCCAGATTAAGGAGGAAGAGTAAAGCTATAGAATCTGGCCCAGTATCTATTGCTTTAATACAAAGAATTCAAAATCCCAGGGAGATAGCTCTTTACAGAATTGGGGATTTAAAGTGCAGGAGTTATTGACTTATTGGACTATCCTGAAACAGCTGTCTGTTGGAAATGCTTTTCTATATCAAATGTCTTAAAATTAAAGCTTCATCCATTTCTAAAAGCAAGCCAAAATTGATTTCTTTAATTCAGTACTTTTATATGACTTAAAATATTGATTCTGGGTATAAAATATAAAATTATATGCTTACGTTAATGAACATTAAAAGTAGTTTTAAATATGAAAAGCCATACAATTCTTTTGTTAGCACCTTGATTAGGTCACTTTCAAAAATTATCTTACACTTTCTCAAAAGCATTATCTTCTCTTCTATATGAGAGAGAAAATGTTAGTTTATCAAATGTTTCTCTTCAGATAGGTTTGTATCTACTACAAGAAGAGATTTGCTTCTGTTCTGAAGACAGAATAGGTAGATTTAAACTAATATGTGGAAACTGAAATTCAAAAATGTGTGGCTTCATTTCTGGCATATATTGTTTGTATTTTCTGGCAGAAAGGGACGAGTGCTCTTTCTCTCTTTCTCTCTTTCTGTTTTGCTCAGGGTCTGTCAGGTGTCCGTGACCTACATAATCCACACATGGCTTGGGTTTCGCTTCTAGAGGCATCCTTATGCCACTTCAGGAAATTCCAGATCACTTTCTTTTTGTTCACTACACTGTTTTACTCTTAATTTTTCTGCTTTCTTAAATCACTAGTTTGTTGCTGACTCCCACTGGCACTTTACTACTTGGTTTGACTTTTTATATATATAATTGCCATTGGATTTAAATTTTTGGTGCATGAATTCTGGCATTTGTTCTCTGTTATCAAGTTATCGAGATAAAAGGTTCCTACTCTGAGCTCAATTTCAGCCCTATGAAATATGTCCTAAATGGCATTGCCTCTCATGCACACTCCACCTTACAAAGAAAGAGAAATTATTATTTTCCTTTACCAAGATGGAGTAGGATGAGTGGAGGATGCAGGGAATGGTGGTTGGAGAGAGAAGTATCTATGGAATCCATGTGAAAACTTAATGTATTCATTAAATATTAAATTAGAATCCTGAAATTTAGTTAAATATTAAATTAGAATTATGGAATTTCACTTAATTTCATAACTAATTTATTTTCAAAGACACTATTTTCATTTCTTATGTTTTATGGTGAAAAGGGAATGCTTATCCACTGCTGGTGGGAATGCTATTAGTTTAGCCATTGTGGAAAACAGTTTGGCAATTTCTCAAAGAACTTGAAACAGAACTATACTCAACCAGTAATCCCATTATTTGGTGTATATCCAAAGGACCATACATCGTTCTACCATAAAGACACATACATGTGTATGTTAATCACAGTACCATTCACAAGAAGCAAGACATAGAATCAATCTAGATGTCCATCAATGGTAGGCTGAATAAAGAAAATGTGGTACATATACACCATGGACTACTATGTAGCCATAAAAAGAATGAGATCATGTCCTTTGCAGAGACATGGATGGAGCTGGAGGCCATTATTCTAAGCAAACTAACACAAGAACAAAAAACCAACCACACATGTTCTTACTTATAAGTGGGAGCTAAACATTGAGTACACATGGACATAAAGAAGGGAACAACAAATGCCAGAGCCTCCAGGGTGGAAGGTAGGAGGAGGGTGAGGATTGAAAAACTACCTATAGGTTACTATGCTTATTACCTGGGTGATGAAATAATCTGTACACCAACCTCCCGTGAAAAGCAATTTACCTTTGTAATAAACCTACACTTGTACCTCTACACCTAAAATAAAAGTTAAAAAAAAGAAAAAAGAAATTAAAAAAGAAAAAGGAAACTAATTATAGTTAATTTATATTCCAAATTTGGCTGAATTTCAGGAGGAAATGCAAAACACCATCTAAATCTTTCTCTTTATAGTTTTGGTGCTGCCTGGGGATATACTTTTAAAATTAATTATGAAATAACATATCTCACTGCTAAAATTCTGATGATTAAAATGTTTTGATCATATAATGACAGCACTTAAAGTTTGTCTAGAATTTAGATCCCATTTTTGGGACACATGTCTTTTGGATACCCATTAGCTAGAATATAGTATCTCAATATTTTTCAAATAGACTCGATCCTTAAGGTGTTATTTTTAAAGTACATGACAACATTATGTTTAATGCTCCCTATTCCCCCTCTGTCAACTATTACTCATTTTCCAAAGATCACATAAATGTTACTGCTTCTGTGAGTCTTTTCCCAATCATTCCCATTGGAATTAGTTATTTCCTATTCTGTCATCCCATATTACAAGTATTTTTGTTTCATTCCATTTATTAATTTTACATTCCACTGTATTTCTGATTCATCTATTATTCCATACTTCACAGCAATAGCAGCATCAAACCATCTTTACTTTCGTTTCCGCAGTGTAGCTCCATACCTGACTTGTATTAAGGTAATGGTAAGTTTTCCCTCCATTGAACAAATGATTTGTTTTAGCTTCACCAGGATTACACGGCCTGTTTTGAGGTTCCATCTCATGGGTCCTTTTTAGTTATTTGCTAAAATTAGCTTTGTAATTATTTTGTTAAATATACAAGCTCCTATAAAAGTTGATTGCTGGCTTATTCCTTTAACAACCTTAGTATTAAGCTTGATTAAAATCCAAACAACGGGGCCGGGCACGGGGGTGGCTCACGCCTGTAATCCCAGCACTTTGGGAGGCCGAGGTGGGCGAATCACGAGGTCAGGAGATCGAGACCATCCTGGCTAACACGGTGAAACCCCGTCTCTACTAAAAATACAAAAGAATTAGCCGGGCGTAGTGGCGGGCACCTGTAGTCCCAGCTACTCGGGAGGCTGAGGCAGGAGAGTGACGCGAACCCGGGAGTCGGAGCTTGCAGTGAGCCGAGAACGGGCCACTGCACTCCAGCCTGGGCGACAGAGCGAGACTCCGTCAAAAAAAAAAAAAAAAAAAAAAAAAATTTTCAAATAACAGAATGGTCCTATCTCCCTATTGCATTCCACTTGTTCACTTACCATATTTCAACTAATTGGCCAGATTACTGTACTAGTCATGTTTTCCCTAATCCTCTGCCCCAATACACACACACGACCATGACTTTGGGTAAATTTTCTGTACAAGGTAGATACCATTATATATTCTGTAAGGCTACAGGGATGATTAATATTAATATTGTATGGAACGCAAAAGTAAATGCATAAGGTGGTGACTATCATCACAGTTCCACATCCGGTTGAACTCTATAGATAGCTATGTTTTTAGGTGGTTATTATCATTATCATACTTTTGTATTTGAGGGCTTCAGACAAAGTGAAGTGACTGGGTTCGAATCACATCTCCAATAAAGTATAGAGATTGTATTGAAGTTTGAATAAATTATTCTCTTATTCTCAGATAATTTGCGCATTGGAAAATATCAGACACAAGAATACAAAGAGAAACAAATGTTTAGTTTCTCCAGATTTGAAAGTTAAAATAGGACTGGGTTGTGATGTCAATGAAGATACTCTGGTAGATGTTCTGGCAGCTGAGGCAGTTCTGAGGAGTTTTCAAAATACAACAGGGAACAACTCTTCCACCTTATATGCTATGAATATCTTCTGTCTCATCCAGGAGATGAGCAATGCAGGCTGATACACATCTTTGAACAAAACTACTGTAATTAAAAATGTGAAAGTTTTTTTTTTTAAATAGCGAATAGTTCTCTATGTCTGATGCATAATAAAATGCATATATGGTCCTGGAGTGAGGGATTATAGGCGGTAAGATGTAGAAGGCAGGTTGGCTCATTTAACAAATCACTATTTTTCTCAGCTATGTTCCAGAATTGTGCTAAACATTAGAGCCCTAAAAAGAGCAAGACATGTTACTCTTGCTCCCAAGAAATGCATTCGGAGACAAGAGGAAGAAAAATAAGCATGTTATAGCAAGCACAAAGGCTGCTGTCAATTTCGTGAGCACATGAAGAAAGCAGTCTAACTGCCTCTATCTGGGAGAGTGGAGAAAGGTTTCATAAAGAAGGAGTATTTCAGTTAAGACTCGAAGAGTGTGTAAAAATATTAAGGGATGAGTAAACACTATGTGCAAAGGTATTCCTGGATAAAATTGCATGTTCTAGAAGTAAGTGTTATATTTAAGCAGAATATGAAATAATTGGGGACATAATCTTTCAATCTTGAAATTAGAAAAATTTAAAAAATACTATCTCAAAAAGTAACAAGATGTAGTATATTTAAGATTAAAATAATGCAGTTCCCCTATCATGTTCAGATTTCACTCACACTCACTTCACGCCTATTATTAGAACATTTTATAATAGACACAGGCTTTTACACCAACACATTAACCAAATAGAGTTAATAATCACAGCTTGCTTATTCTCTTTGAGCTATTAAATATACCCCATTCTGAAGTACAGAGATTAGAGAAGTGAGCTATATATAGTCCAAAAGACTGAAACCTCAGTAACTAGAACAGACATTTGCTTATTGGCATAAGTACACTGAAGGATGTCCTCTCCGCACATTACTAACATGTCAGGATTTTTAACAGATATTATTAAGACACCACAGTAATGCAGAGATGTATGTAAGCTGAGAGTATAATCACTATGAGGACTGAAGGCTGATGATTTAACTGTGTTGAAATTACTCTGGTGTCCCTCTAATTTGTCACATGACTTAATGTTTAGCTTCGTTATATGGTTTTAAAATCTAAGTCCTTGATGATTTCTTTTTCCTTTTCTTTTCACAAAGTAGATGATGATTTGTAAACTGACTCTTCATGTTCCCAAACCACTGAGCATTTTAAAAATTAGTTTCCATGAAATAGAAGTGGTTTCAAAGGAAGTCTTGGCTCAAGCAGCTTCTGTTTGGGGACTTTGACTGCCAGGATATCCATTCAAAGAAAGATGGTGATTTCTAAATTATTCTATTTTTACTTTGATATCCTCCCTGTAACTCTACAATTTTCTCCATGCTGCTTCCCAGGATCTTCCTCCTGTTTGTCCTCAAGATATGTTACCATTAGCAACTGCTATTACTGGCCCTGTGTGTTCCATCAGCTACCAAATGTTAGTGTAGAAGTGGAAAACCTTGCAAATATAATAGTTTAAGGAAATATTTCCACACATATTACAGGGGGTGATCTTTAGGGTTCTTTTTTTACATTTTAATACATGAAAGGCAGATTAGAATCAAGTAAATTATCTTGGTTATTTTGAAGAAACTAGAGCACAATGATTAGCCTTAATAATATGAACACAACATTAGATTTTCCTTTACATCTTTTGACTTGTTACTCCACGTCATTTTTATGCAAATTTGAAAAACAAACGGTAACTAAATGCTTATTTGTACTAGACACTGTGTTAAGGGCTTAGAAAGTGATTAGAAAACTCAGAATGAAAATTCTACTCTTCAGAAATCTACCAGTTAGAGAAAGAGACACATAAATCATGATTTTTGTAAGGCGACTGGAAGAATTCACATGATGCAATGTTAAATTTCCATTTTTTTTTCTGGTGGAAACACAAACTTGATTTTTATATATTAGGGGCTCACAGATTTTGGCATTAATTCTCCCTAGAGGATTTAGATGTTTGGACATGCCTAGAGGCTCCACATTGGAGAATTACCTGGACTTTCTGTGTATGAGACACCAAAGAGCTTTATGGGAAATAATTCCAAGTAGTAGAGTAGGTTGACATGTATAAATAAGAAGTCCATATCTCACTGGAAGAGAGAACTTTTATTTGGCCCTCCTTTTGCAGACATGTACTTAGGTCCTAAGGAGAGAAAAAAAAGAAGAAAGAAAGATCTGAGTCTTAAATCTCTGTTAAAGACATGTGGCGCACAGTGTATATGCAATTCATGATTGTGGTAAACACAGTAGCCCAAGTGGACAACAACGTCCAGCAAATGGGCCAAGATAAAAGAAGAGAAATACGTCACGCTTTAGCACTTATGGACAACTCTGTCAACACATGGGCATCATGTCATCTTCTTCATGGGCACAAGCAATTTTGGCCTGGGCACTGGGAGCAGTGGCTGTTTTGGCATTCCGTGGTGATTTTGGCATTCTCAGAAGTAATCTTTTTTCCATTCGTCTGGATCAATAGAGGATAAAAATGTCAGATAATATGTGATCACTGAGAAAAATTATATTATTGTGAGCACATGCGTGACACCCTTTGCAAATGCTAAACACTAGGTTGGTAGAGTTTGAAGAGGCCTGGAAATATTCGCAACCCTGTAAAAAAGCAGAACAGAGAGCATTATTTGATAATGCTATCATAACACCATCTGTCCCTTTCAGGGGATTAATTTGTTCTTTCAGATGATTTTTTTCTAGAGAAAAATAAACTATAATTAAAATTTTTTTATTCTAAACAACATACATCTCCCTCTTCTATATTTCTAAACACTATCTTATTTTCAACTTAGATTAGGAAAAAGCAGATAGCCTGCTCCTCAAAAATTTAGCCTTCTGCCAGAAAAATGCCTTCCCTGAATCTAGTCTAAACTTATGACCTAAATGTTAATTGAGTCCATTAAAAAAAGTTATAGAAGACATTCATGTATGCTGTATTAACTTGTTGTTCCACAAATATGCCAGATACCAATCGATCGTTGCTCACATTCATATCCACCCATCTTTGCCCCACTTAATGGTACTGAAGTTGAATATTGTGGTTCTTGACAGCTAGTGGAATTAAGTCTTCATCAATAAAGAGTGCAAGAGTGAAGCTGCAAGGTGATGGAGGAAGGAAGGCTCTTTCCTCCTGGTTTATCATCCATTATTATTATTCAGCAAGGGAACATCACTTTTATCCTCAGACCATATTTCCCTAGAAGAAACCACTTCCAAGCAGCTCAGTCAGTGATTAAACACATCAGCTCAGGCCTATCCCCTCTTTGCATTGGCAGTCCGTTTCCACAGACCAGTTCTAGGCTGAACTCTCTGTCAGGTTTCTTTGCCATGGGCAGACTTGTGTGTTCATGTGGGAGCCGTGCCATGATACTGAGGTCTGAATTTCAGCATTGGGGCCAGAGCCCTTCTTCTAATCCTTTGTTCTTTTATTGTGTGTGCTCCTCAGGCTAGAGGTGGTAACTACTTTTTTTTGCAGCTATCACTTCTGCACCTCACAAGAATTCTCATTTACTTCTAGTACTTAACCATTCTTTATGTTAAATTTTTTTGTTCAAATGTCTGTTGTGATTTTAATTTTCTGATTGGACTCTGATGGATATATCCCTCTTTATTTTATGGTATTCAAAATAATATATAAATATCCAAATGACAAATTTAGCATCATGAATAAAAAATAATTTATTTTTACCTTGATCATAAAATTCACCGTTTTATTTTTTATTTTGGTGTCTAGGAAATTCTGAGTACACAATAAACATTATTGAAAAATATTGGAATCCTTATATAGGCTCGCTCAACTTTTCGTATAAAGAGCCAGAGAGTAATTGGTTAGGTTTTGTGGGACATGCAGTCTCTGTTGCAAGTACACAACTCTGTTAAAGCAGCCACAGACGAATGAACAGGAGTGGCTAGGCCCCAGTCAAACTTCATTTACAAAAATGGAAATCTGGCTAGATTTGGCCTTAAGGCTGTAGTTTGCCGATCTCTGCTTTAGATAATCTCAGTACACGTATTCACAATAAAATTATCATATTTTAAATATAATTTTAAAATACATTGTTCTTTTTATAAAGCTACGAAATTATACAAAAAATGCATAGAATCTAATGGACCTTCAGGTTAATCTAAAATAATGTTTTTATTTAGGGAATGTACAGAGCTTGGTAGGTAGAGTCTTAGTTTTGGAATCACACTTTATTTAAATACTGACTCTCATTTCCTCTCTGTGTTCCTATGAGTAGTTTAATTTATTTAATTTTATTTTCTTTTCATGCAAAATGAAGATATTATCAGGTTGGTACAAAAGTAATTGAAGTTTTTGCCATTTAAAAGTAATGGTTTTGCCATTTAAAACTAATGGCAAAAACTGCAATTACTTTTGCACCAACTTATTTTGCCTTAATAGCCTATGACTATGGTTAGTATCCATAAAAATTTAGTGAATGCCTGGTTTATGGAGTATATTATTTTAGAGAGTAGAAACAACAAAAACTAAGAGTTAGGTATGAATCTTGCTTTTAAGGAAAAAAATGCTGATTTGGGGAAATAGAACAGTTACATATGAATAGTTGACATAAGGAACAACTCAGTTATGTAGGTGTGTTATCGAGCTTACTATTTTAACACTAGTTCAGTTCAGTATTATATCCTTGAAATTTTTGTTCAATGTTAATTTAGAGGCGATTCTGAATGCTCTGTAGAGGAGGCATCCGAGCCAAAGAAGGACAGCTGGTGCTATATCCAGTCTAACTACCCAAAATAGACTATTTTAAAAAAGAAGAGAATGAAATACCTTTATTTGTGAAGGTCAAGTGTGGTCTATTATCAGTCGTCAGAGGGACTTGATAGTACATTGCATTCAACTACAGAAATAAAGTTAAAATTTTTCATACTTCAATATCTGACTAGATACAAGTTGAGTATCCCTTTTCTGAAATGTTTGCAGCCAGAAGTGTTTCAGATTATTTTTTGGATTTTGGAATATCTGTATATCTTGGGGATGGGATCCAAATCTAAACAAAATTCATGTATGTTTTATGTATACCTCACACACATAGCCTGAAGCTAATTTTTTTCCCTTGGAGACACTGAATAAACTGTGTGTTGTGCATTTGCATTTTGGCTGTGACGGGTCACATGAGGCCAAGGCCAAGTATGGAGTTTCTCACTGTAGCTTCATCTTGGTGCTCAAAAAGTGTAGAATTTGGGAGTATTTAGAATTTTGGATTTTTTGGATTAGAGATTCTCAATCTGTATATATTTTTCATACTCTAATTTCTGACCACACACACACACACACACACACACACACACACACACAGATGAGCCTTGACTTGCAATAGTTCAACTTAATGATTTTTCAACTTTACAATGGTGCAAAAGCAATACATGTTCAGTGAAACCATACTTTGAATATCCATGCAACCATTCTATTTTTCACTTTCAGTATAGTATTCAATAAAGTACATGAGGTAGTGAACATTTTATTATAAAATAGGCTTTGTGTTAGATGATTTTGCCCAACTGTAGGCTAATGTAAGAGCACACTAAAGGTAGGTTAGTTCAAGACATGATTATTGGTAGTTTAAGTGTATTAAGTCCATTTTTGACTTAGAATATTTTCAACTCATCACTTTACTGGGATGTCACTTCATCATGTGTTGAGGATCAACTATACACACAATGTATACATATACATATGTATATGTATGTGTATATATATAATTATACATTCCCACATATAATTCTAATTTATAGCCCACATATGGAAAAGAACATAAAGAAAACATATTTGCAGAGGTCGACGATCACAAAGAACACCTATGTAATCATCACTCAGTTCCAGAAACGGAATGCTGCCAACATCTATTTCATGTCCCCTCACTATCCCTTCCCTTTCAACAAACATAACAATAATATTAATCTGTAATATTACTCTTTACTTTTACCTTCATTACTCTTTATTTTTTAAAATTTCTTAAACATGGAAACATACAGTATGTATTTGACTGAGTTCTTTTGATTAGCATTAGGTGAGTGATATTCTAATATGTTGGTATGTTTAGCTGTGATTTATTTTCATTACCATGTAGTATTCCATTGTATAAATATTCACTCTTCTGTTGATGAACAGTTGGGATTTTCCCAGTTCTTGGCCATTGTGAATATTGCTGTTACGAACAATTTTGCATATCTTTTGGTGCATATATGTATATACGTTTTTTGATACATACTGAGTGGAATTGCTTTGTTGTAAGGTATTTATGTCTTCAACTTTAGTAGAACGTGCCAAGACATGTACACTAAATTATTTTGGCTAGTCATTGTCTATGAATATTCCATGTGTTTATTGAAAGAATGTGTATTGTGCAGGTGTAGGGCACAGCGTTCCACATATTTCAATTAGGTCAAGTTTATTAGTCATAGTTCAAATTTTCCCCATCCTTACTGATTTTTTTCCGCTTATTCTATTAGTACATGATTAAGCTGTATTGAGATATCCCTCTATATGGATTTACCTATTTTTTCTCATACATTTTGAGACAATGGCATTAGGTATATACAAATGTGTCTTTTATATCTTTATACTATACAAGCCTAATGGATTAATGTTTTACCATTTGATGTGTCTGTCTTTATTTCTGATAATAGTGTTTTATATTAAAGTTTACTTCAATACTGGTAGACTTAAAAACTTTTTTCAGTTATTGTTCATATTCTACCACTTTTTCCAGTCTTTAACCTCAACTTCATTGTATTCTTATAGTTTAGACATTTTGGTAAGTCATGTATCACTTTTAAAATTCAGTTATATATTTCCTTTAATCAGTCTAGTTGTAGGTAATATGATTATTGATATATTTGTATTTAAATGTATTATGTTTCTATTTTGATTTCTATTTATCCATCCTCTCTCTTTTCTTATTCCTCATATTCATAATCTTTTGTGTAGATTTATGTTTATTTGGTTCTATTTTCTCACCTCATAAGTAAAAGTTATTTTTTTATTATTCTCTTTGTATTACTTTGGGAATACAATATTATTGACTAATGCAATATTAATTGGTGTTTTTACATTATGCTTAAAAAATACAAGGAATTTATAACACTTTAAATCTTTTTACCCCTACATTTCTAGCTATTGTTTTTATTGTTGTAATATATTTTAATTCTTTTTACATATATTATATATGACTATGTATTATATATTATATATTATTCCTAAGACAGTGTAATTATTTTGCATAGTCAATGTTTATTTATATTCACCCTGATATTGATTGCTTTTATTGCTCTTCATTTCTCATACATCTCTGATCTTTCATCTGAGATTCTTTTCCTTCTTGAAAAATACTCCTTGTAATTCATTTTGTCTGTTGGGAAAAATTCTCAATTTTTATTAATACGAAGATAAATTTATTTCACATACATTACTTGAGATCCTTATTTTATTATTTTTCTTAGTATGGAATTCTTGATTCATATTTATTTTATTTCAGTATTATAAAGATAACACTTAAAAATGTATTATTTCTTTTGAGCATTTAGCTTTGTGTCAAATCGTTGCCCTTTCAATTTTTTTGTGTGTTTTTAGCTTCCTTTACATACTGTTATTGTCTGGTATTTACAGGATTATTAGTAAGATATGAATATAAAACAGTTTGCTGTTTATCTCAAAGTATTTCTTGAATGCTTTTGTCTTTCATCATTGGATAATTTTCATCCTTTATCTCTTTACATATTGGTGCTGCTTCTTTTTCTCTTTTTTCTTTTTCTGAGATTCCAATTGTACCTATGTAAGACTGTCTCACTATATCTTATGTTTTACTCAATTATTTTGCCTTTTCCATTCTTTTTCCTCCATGACTAATTAGTATGTTTCCTCTGACTCATCTTCAACATCATTGATTGTTTCTTCAGCTATGTCTAAACCTACAGACATATGTCTAAACTTAGAGACATAAACTTACATTAAATCTTATCATTAAATTATCAATTTCAGTTTTTATATCTTTCAGTTACAGACTTTTTTCTCTGTTATACAGAGGAGATCTGGCAACTCTAATACTTACAGCTCCTGTCAGTAAGCTTCTATTTTATTTTGTTTCTGCTACATTTCCTTCATGTAGTCTTGTCTTTATGTGTTCCTGGCTGTTTTGGCTTATGTTTATTTAAAACATTTTTAGATCATTTGAAGATTATTTGAAGTTGATCTGTAGTCCCTGAAAGTACCAGTCTATATTCATCCAGTTCACACTTTCTCCTGGGATATATTGTTTCCAAATTTGAACCAAAAATATGCAGAGGCTTACCAGCAACCTGACATGTTAGCAGATCCTCAATTCTAATTTTTATCCATTCAGCCTTATAAGATTGTCATAAGTGTGACTCAGATTATCTTTCTCTTAGGAGCTTTTGGCAGATAGCCCCATAGGCAGTGTTTCAAATGTTGGGATCACTGTCCACAGCCTCATTTTCCTTTTTCTTACATCAAACAGGCATTTTTTCATTATTTTGTTAGCTTGCCAAAAACTCTCCAATAGATCTGTCTGCCTGTCTGTCTATCTATCTATCTATCTATCTATCTATCTATCTATCTATCATCTATCTGTCTATCTACATGTCTACCTCTCTACCTATTCTAGCTTCTCTAGTTATTTTTAGTAGAAAGCTTTATCTAAATTAACTAATACGCCTTAATGAGAAATGGGCTATTAATTAGCAAGATGCTGTTCTTTCTCATACTACTTTGAGCAGTCAATGTACAGGATGTTGTATCATGCTATAGTACAGTTTAGCTGAAAAATTACTTTTAAAAAGCATGATGTGGCTGGGTGCGGTGGCTCATGCTTGTAATCCCAGCACTTTGAGAGGCCAAGATGGGCAGATCAGTTGAGGTCAGGAGTTCGAGACCAGCCTGGCCAACAGGGTGAAACCCCATCTCTCCTAAAAATACAAAAATTAGCCGAGTGTGGTGATGCATGCCTGTAATCCCAGCTACTCAGGAGGCTGAGGCAGGAGAATTGCTTGAACCTGGGAGGCAGAGGTTGAGGTGAGCCGCGACCACACCACTGCACTACAACCTGGCTGACAGAGTGAGACTCTGCCTAAAAAAAAAAAAAAAAAATGATGCTTGCTTCATTTTTTATTTCTAAGAACAACCATCTAATTACAAGTATAGTTTACATTGTTAAATTGGAAATGAAATAAATTCAAATGAATTTTAGATTTTTTAAAAAGATAAATTATTAAACTTGATTTTTATTATTTATTAGTGTATGTTTCCCACTTAAAAGGATTCGTTTTAAGTACTTTGGATAATAAGGATCTCCTATAATTTGAAGTCAACAGTATATGTTAGCATAAAATTTACATATACAGTAAATATATGTATTTATTTACAGTAAATATAAACATATTTATATATACTTATTTGTTCAAATGTTACTTGTTTAAATTTTAATTTAAATATTTGACTAAAAAAGTCTAAATTAAAAATTCTTTGATTATTAAAATATTACTAAATTAATATTACTAGACTATCTTTCTAAGAACCACCTCAGGTAGTATTAGGTAGAGTAATGACTACTGAAAGATGCTGATACCATAATCTTATGAAACTTGTAAATATTTATTTTACATGTCAAAAAGTATTTTGCAAACTTGAGTAGGGGCACAGACTATAATAAGAGATTACCCTGGATTATCTGGGAGGGTCTAAATTAATTGTAAGCTGTTAAAAACAGAGAATTTTTCCCAGATGTGGCTAGTCAGAGAGATACAATGTAAGAATGAATTAACCTGGCGTTGCTGGCTTTGAGGGTAGAAGAAGAGCCTGTGAGCCAAAGACTGTATGAGGCCCATGGAAATTGGAAATGGAAAGAAAACATCCAAGAGCTTCGAGAAATAAATACAGCCATGCCAAATACCTTAATTTTAGCTCAGTGGGATTTATGTCTGACTCCTGACCTATCGAACTAAAGAATGATGAATTCGTATTGTTTTAAGCCATTAAGTTTCACAGGGCAGTAGTAGAAAACTGATACATTCTCAAAATGAGTTCACTGTTTCTACTTTCCTTCATAGCAGTATTTCTGCATATTATTCCAGTGTGATCTTTTAATTATGGTTATTGAAGAAGGTATAAGATTATGTCTTTACAATGTAAAAATACCATTCAGTCAACCTGGTACAGTAGATAATATATTGATATACAAACAGAAGTCTACCTGAGAACACACTGTTATAAGCAATTATTATAAATTGGCTTAATTTTCTTGCAGAAAAATGAAAAGCTTAAAAAATTATATTATCAAATTAGGATGGAAATATTATTGCATTACACTTATCAATGATTCAGAAATGTTGGCATATTCTCCTATATCAACTTAGGCAATTACTTTAGATAACACTCATACATTCAATCAACAAATTTATTAACATTTATTAACATGTGCCATATACTGGGCCATGTTGATTCTGTCTTTAAGAGGCTATTTAGCAAGCAATTTGTACAAATTAAAATAATAGTGGTAGAAAATTGTAAAACATTTTTATAACAGGAAAGTTCTTTTCTTTTTTAGGAAAGTTTGATGATAGAGGAAATAAACATAAAAGATAAGTGATGTATACAACCAACATTTAGAGGCTCACGGGAGGCAGTTATTGCCAGAGGATAGCTTGAGAGGAGGTAAGTGGTTTCAGGATGTTAAAGAAGAGGCATGCAGAGAAAAGATTTTTAGAGCCTTACTGGTCATAATAAGGAACTGATGTTTTATGGTAACAGCAATGGGAGTTTTAAGCAGAGAGAGATGGTTCAATAAGTGATTTATAAAGATTACACAGCTGGGCAGAAAATAAATTACAAGGGAAATATACTGGATACAATGACACCCTTTATAAAGTTGACATTATGGGGAAGATGTTAATGACTTGAACTAGGATAGTGGAAGTAGAGACACAAAGTAGTGGATTGACTTGAGGGCAATTTAAGAAATGAAATGATAGGATAAGGTGATTTATTGGTACAGTGGATGCCATATCAGTGAAATTCACACTTCAGGGAATGTTGCTGCTAAAAAGCCTCACCTTTAGCTGGAAAAATCTCTTTCCTGAGATTGCACACCTTCCTGGAGTGGCACATATTGAATGACAATTCATCATGAAGTTATAGCTGTCTTTTCAGGAATAAACGTGGGGTTAGCTGAGACTTCCATTGAGACTGCATCTCAACTCAACTTTTCCCTTTACCCAATACTGCATATTTTCCCCCTTCCACAGCTGTTGATCCCAAGGGTACTTCCTAGTAAACTTGTGTATACTAATTTGTGCTTCAGAGTTTGCTTCTTAGGGAACCCAATCTATGGCAATTGCAGATGTGGTGGGATGTGTAATGAATAGTGGTAATTCAATAAACTCCCAGATTTCTGCTTTGGAAACTGGATGATAGGTATGCCATTTGATGAAACAGAAAATCTCAGAGGAAAGGAATATTTAAAGAAGAAATAAAAAATTTTAGGTACCAATGTGACATCTAAGTGGAGCTCTTCAGGCATCTCTTAACTCTTCTGAGAATAAGAAGGTAGGTATGGGAGTAGAGAACTGAATGTTTGAAATCATGATTGTGTAAGTGGGAAAATAAATTGACTAGAATATAAAAACATATTATAAACCCCAAACTTTACCATGAAGAACCATTATCTGGCATGTTTTATGTGAATTTTATAAAAATAAAAGAGGTTATGAAAATATATCACGGCATTCTACCTCCTTTTAACCCGAGACCTAAAGTTCAATTCATTGATGAGAATCTCATCTATGTTATACTGTCTTAAGAGCAGTTGATAATAGTTCTACAGAGCTCAAATTTAACTAGTTAAGAGAGACTAAGAAAGCATTTTAATTTGCTTGACAGATTTGTAACAGAAAGAATGCACACCAAAATAATGTCTTCGGATGAAAAAAAAAGCATTATAGTACAGTGGAGTTTCATCCTGTCCTTTAAGGTCAAGAGCATATTTTGGCTTTTGTTTGATCCTCAATTCAAAACATCTGTCCTTATTAATGATGTGGTAAAAAGGGTCATGTAATATTTGGCACCAAAGGACTGGCTTCTCTAGAAGCCAAGAGAGAAGACACTCTTCAGCTATTTCTTTGGCTCTGCTTTGCAGAGAAATAAATTCATCTTTGCTACACTGAGAATTGCATGGTCAGAAAATTGTTGCAGAATAGAAAACTCAGTTATTCATGACTTATTTTGTATTGACCAGAAACTAGATTATAAACCCAATTTTCTAACTCAGGGAAAACAAAATAAGATCTGTGACTGAGAATCCTTTATCTGAGAGTGGAGAATGTCATTTTTCATTTTTATTTGAAAAGATATTTGATATAAAGAAGGCAGAGGCTATAATTATGGATCAAACAGAAGCTCAGAATCAACACATTGCATTTATTAATACAATACATCTTTATCTGAATACCATGGAAAAAATTGACATAAACCTTATCCTCCCAGTTATAAGAAGTAAAGTCTTTGTGCTGAAATCTGTTTGTCCTTCCAGAATCTCTACCCAGCTTTTTCTATCTGCACTTTGCTCAGGGAGGCTCACCTTGTAAGCTGAATCAATTGGCTCCTTTGTCTTCTAGCATTCAGTTGTTTAACCAATACAAGACACTTCCACGAGTTTGGTGAGTGTGAGGGGAGTGAAGTCAGAGTGTTATTCTCCTATTCAGTCTTTCACAAGGATTGTTAAATGCTGACTTTCTGGATGGAAGGTCACAATTTCTGTCAGGTAGACTTCTCTCTCTCTCTCTCTTTGGAAAACTATTTCTTCACTTCACTCTCAGTAGGCTCCGGATGGTAGCAGTGCTTCATTGTTAGTAGTCCTAGGGTAGTGAGCAGTTTGTTACAGTTTTCCTACACAGAAAACATAGTATTGCCAAAAGAAAGGCTTTATAAAACCCTCTTCTAATTTCCAGTTTGAGTGTGCCATTTTGTGTGTGTGTGTGTTTTTTTCTAAGCCTCTAAACTGAATTCCTCAGGCCAAGCAGGTAAAGCTTAATGCATTATTCTTAACCGTTCTTCAAACCTCCTCAAAATCATATTGTCATAAAAGGTAGAATCAATGAACTTTGAATGGTATTTAAAAAATCTTTCACTTTCCTTTACCTAGGCTTCTAAATACATATGAGGTGTCTTCAAAGTTCATTAAAAATGCATAGTATAAAAACACTATGCATGTATTTCATTTTTTTTTTTGGCAACAAAATAAACTTGTACTAACTTGTCTTAACATGTCTGAACAGGATCTCATTTGTGGCACTAAGGATAAGACACCAACTTAAAAAGAGCCCCTGTCAGACAGCAACACAAATTCTGCTAAAATTGAAGCAAGAACAAACATCAAAGGTTTGCATAAGTTTGAGTGGAGGAATGGTGAAATCATTAGTTCTTTACAAAAAGTTTATGGGGACAATGTCCCAAAGAAATCAGCAGTTAACAGACAGATAATTCATTTTAAGAAGGGATGAGATGATGTTGAAGATGAAGCTCACAGCAGCAGACCATCCACATCAATTTGCAAGAAAAAATTAATCTTCATGTCCTAATTGAAGAGGATTGATGATTAACAGCAAAAACAATAGCCAACACCATAGACATCTCAAGTGGTTCAGCTTACACAATTATCCCTGGCCTGATTCAGCTCCTTCTGACTTCTTTTTGTTTCCTAATCTTAAAAATCTTTTAAAAGAATCTTTAGAGGGCACCCATTTATAATTATGTAAATTATGTTAATAATGTAAAATAGACTGTATTGACATGGTGACCTTCCCAGGGCCCTCAGTTCTTTAGGGGTGAACTAAGTCACTGGGATGATCACTTACAAAAGTGTGTTGACTTAGATGGAGTTTATGTTGAGAAGTAAAGTTTAGTTTTTTTAATTTGTATCTATTAATTACATTTTCCATGATCTTTTTGTAAGTTCTCTCATATATTCATTATAAATTGAGCATTTTTAAATTTTGTAATGCCTACTGTATGCATGGAACTGGACACAAAGGTGAATCAAATATTAAACCAGCTCTTGGGAATAGGAAACAATAGTATGTCACAGACAGAAAATGTGAGCTGGAAAGTGTATTAAAAATATGAATGGTGGGCTTTGGAAATTCAGCACATTTTCTATATTTAGAACTAATAATTTTATATTTGACTTTGTTTTCAGGGCTTCTTTTGATCTCCTTTATAGATTGCATTTGCTTTCTTTAGCATGCTTTGGTTTTCATGTTTCTTTTTTTTGCAATTTAGATAGCTGTGTTCTGATTGCATTTATAAAACTATTTCCTAATTTATAAGCTTTGAAATTTATTATCTCTCCATTTGAAAGAATGAGGATGTGTACACATACGCCTTCCTACATTCTATGCTTGCTTTCATCATCTTAATTCTTAATGAGAGGTAGTTATTTATCATAAAGATATATCCCTTTATATCTTCTTCACTAACCATAATTATTTGAATGACAAAAGCAAAGTGGCAGAATAAAAATTTTCTACTGCAATCTCCAACAGAAGCATAAATTTTGACAACCACCTACAGATGAGAATACCTTTGTAAGAGTCCAGGAATCCAGCAGAAAAGTTCAGCACAGAGCTGGAACAAAAAATCCAGGAATAGACATATTGAAAAAGAGTAAGAAAAACAGTTTCACTTCATTTGCATTAACCCCTCCCTAAAACAGGACAATGTGATACAAATAAAAGACTTTTCAGCCCATGATTTCACCCATATGGGAAAGTGAGAGAATAGTGAAAAAGCACTTAGCTTCCACAGATAAGTGGAGCGCTGCCCAAAAGGCCCACTTTTTTCTCACCGTACGCAGAACACTGGGGTGACTGGCACAGTGGAGTGGTGAGGAGAGACTGGGTTCAGGGACGAGAGATAGGCAATTATAAAAATGAGGACTCAGAACCCAAAAATGGATTTTGGATTCTACTAACTACTTCAGACACCCAAACAGCCTTTTGGGATGAGCCACTTGGAATTCTTCACCTGTAGATGGACTCAAATGGCCCAAGAACACCCTAATGCTTCATGTGTCTTACCCATGCTACACTGTGGCAAGCTTCCTATGTAAGCTCCCCTAAAATGTTAGTGCAAGCCTCTGCAGATGGCTCATAGACATGGGAAGACACCTGGTTCAACTCTGCAGAATTGTGAGGAGGCACACAAACTTGGACATTTTAGGAGGCCACTCTAGGAAAAACAAATAGGTGGCTATCAGCACCCAGAATGACTTTTCAGGATCAAGAGAAGTCATATAATCATAAGAATTGCCCCCACCTCCAACTCCAAGAGGGAAGAAGAGTTGTGTAGGGAATACATTTATAGGAAAGGTCTTAGGGAACCCCAGAATTCCTAGTAGGGTTGACTGTGAAGGTGTTTTTCTCCCAAAGCCAGTAATTAAAAACTAGAGGATATGATTTCTTCAAATGCAAAAGTATCCCAATTCTACAAGGAACATGAAACATCAAGGAAACATGACACTACTAGACAAATGCAATAATTTTTCAGTAACTGAGCTTGAAGAAATGGAGATCTATGAAGTACCTGACAATTCAAAATAATTGCTTTAAGGAAGTTCAGTGAGCTACAAGAGAACACAGGTTCAATAACATCAGGAAAACAATACATGAACAAATGAGAAGTTTATCATTTAAAGAACCCAGAAATTTTGGACCTGAAGAACACAATGAATAGAATAAAAATGCAATAGAGATGATCAAGAGCAGATGTTACTAAGAAGAAGAAAGAATCTGGAGAAAAGAGACAGAATGGGAAAGAAATCTTATTTTTGAAAAATGGCTGAAAACTTTCCAAATAAGAGAAAAAATGTAGACATTCAAGCACATGAAGCTCAAAAGTTTCCACACAAGATCAATCCAAAGATGAGTTTACCAAGAAATATCATAAGAAAAGTGTCAAAAATCAAAGACAAAGAATATTTAAAACAGCAAGAGAAAAAAAGATTCATCACATACAAGGGAAACTTAATAAGACTATCTGAAGATTTCTCAGGAGGCACTTAACAGGCAAGGAGAGAGTGATGCTATATTCAAAGTGCTGAAAGAACAACCAACCAACCAAAAATATTTTATGCAGAAAATCTGTTTTTCAGAAATGAAGAAGATATAGTTTTCCAGACCAAAAAAAAAAAAAAAAAAAAAAAAGCTGAGAGAGTTTATCACCATTAGATCTGCCATGAAAAAAATGCTAAAAGGCATTCTTCATGCCAAAAAGAGGAATGTGTATCATTGCAACATATCAAAGTATAAAACTCATTGGTAAAAGTAAATACAAATATTTCCAAATTCAGAATACTCTAATACTGTAATGGTGGTGTGTAAATCACTTTTAACTCTGGTATAAAAGTTAAAATACAAAGTATTAAAAATAACAGTAACTACAATAGCTTGTTAATAGATACACAGTATAAAAAATGTAAATTGTGACATCAGAAACAAAATGTGGAGAGGGGTGTAAAAGTGTAGAATTTTGTATGCAATCAAAATTAAGTTGTTAACAGCTTCAAATACACTGTTATAGCTATAAGATGTTTTATGTTAGCCTCATGGTAAAATCTACTATAGATGAAAAATCTACAGTAGATACAGAACGCAAAAATCTATAGTAGATAAAAAAATCTATAGTAGATACAAAAAGGCAAAAATCTGTAGTAGATACAAAAAGATAAGCAGAAAGGAAACAAAGCATACCATTGGAGACAATCACTAAATAAAAAAAGGATGACAGCAAGAGAGGGAGAAAGAAACAAAGGAACTAAAAACAGCCAGAACAAAATTAACAAAATTGATTTTGTTAGTAGTAAGTTCTTGCCTATTTTTGATTACTTTAATTAAATTCTCTCAGAAAGTGACATGGAGTAACTGAACGAATAAAAGAAAACAAGGCCCAACTATATGTCGACTACAGGAAACTCACTTCAGCTTTAAGGACACACATAGGATGAAAGTGAAGTGAAGAAAAAAGAGATGCCATGTCAATGGAAATAGAAATAGAGAAGGGGTGGATATATTACACAAGACAAAATAAACTTTAAATAAAAAACTATAATAAGAGACAAAGAGGGTCATTACATAATAATAAAGTAGGCATTTCATCAAAAGAATGTGGAATTATAAATACATATATGAACTTAACATCAGAACAACCAACTATAAAAATCAAATACTAACATAACTGAAGGGAAAAATAAACAGCAATACAGTAATGTAGGAAAAGTAAATACCCTATTTTTAACAATGGATAGATTATCTAGACAGAAAATAAAAAAAAGAAACAATGGACTTGAACTACACTTTAAACCAAATGACCCTGTCAGACATATACAGAACATTCTATCCAGCAGCAGGACAATACACATCTTCTCTAGTGTGCACAGAATATTCTCCAGGATAGTTCATTTGTTAAACCACAAAACAAGTCTTAGCAAATTTAAGAAGACTGAAATCATATCAAGCTTATATTTTTCAACCACAATGGTAGGAAGCTAGAAATCAATAATAGGAGGAAAACTTAAAAATTCACACATATGTGGAAAGTAAACAACATACTCCTCAACTAATGGGTCAAAGAAGAAATCAAAAGGGAAATTTAAAAATACCTTGAGAAAAACAAAAATAGAAACACAATATACCAAACTTAGGACATGCAGCAAAAACAGTTCTACAAGGAATTTTATAGTGATAGATACTTATCACACATTAAGAAAAAACTCTAATGGCCGTGTGCGGTGGCTCACGCTTGTATACCCAGAACTCTAGGAGGCTGAGGAGGGTGGATCACCTGAGGTCAGGAGTTTGAGACCAGTCTGGCCAACATGGGGAAACTCTGTCTATACTAAAAATACAAAAATTAGCCAGGTGTGGTGGCATATGTCTGTAATCCCAGCTACTTGGGAGGCTGAGGCAGGAGAATTGCTTGAACCCAGGAGGTGGAGGTTGCAGTGAGCCGAGATTGCGCCATTGCACTCTAGTCTGGGCAACAAGAGCAAGACTCCGTCTCAAAATAAATAAACAAATAATAAACAAACTAACTCATAACTTTTAAGGAACCAAGTCCAAGGTTAGTAGAGGAAAAAAAGAAACAAATATTATGGCTGAAATAAATGTAATAAAGACCAGAGACCAATAAAAATAGTAAACCAAATTAAGAACATTACTGTAAGGAAAACAAATACTATGGCTGAAATAAATGTAATAAACACCAGAGACCAATAAAAATGGTAAACCAAATTAAGAGTTTATCTTTGGAAAGGTAAGCAAAATTTACTAACTTTTAGCTAGATTAAGAAAAAAGGCTCCTCAGGAGGCTGAGGCAGGAGAATTGCTTGAACCTGGGAGGTGGTGGTTGCAGTGAGCCCTGATCACGCCACTGCACTCCAGCCTGGGCCACAGATCAAGACTCCTTCTCCAAAAAAGAAAAGAAAAGAAAAGAAAAAAGAGTGAAAAGAAAAAGGGAGAGAGAGAAGACGTTACAAATGATATTACTGGAAAAAAATAGTAAGAGAATACTATTAACAATTATACGCCAACAAATTGCATAACATAGAAAATAAAGACACATTCCTAGAAAAATACAACCTACTAAAGCTGAATCATAAAGAAATAGAAAATCTGAACAGACCAATAATAAGGAAGAAGATTTAATCAAGAATCTCTCAGTAAATAAAAGCCCAGGACCAGATTACTTCACTGGTAAATTCTACCAAACAATTTAAGAAGACATAGTACCAATTCTTCTCAAGCTCTTCCAAAATATTAAAGAAGAGTAAATATTTCTAAACTCATTTTACAAGGCCATCAGTATCCTGATACCAAAACTAGACAAGGGCAGTACAAGAAAAGAAAATTATAGGCTAATATCTTTGATAAATATAGATGCAAAAATCCTCAAGAGAATACTAGCAAACAAAATTAAACATCACATAAAAGGCTCACATGCCATAATCAAGCAGTGTTTCTCCCTGGGATACAAGGATGATTCAACAAATGCAAATTAATTAATGAGATATAGCACATTAACAAAATGAAGGATAACAAGCATATTATTATCTCAACAGATTCAAAAAAAGCACTTGACGGAATTTAACATCCTTTGAGACACAGCCTCTCAACACAGGTCTCTGATAATGACTAATCTTTATGGAGAACCTACCCTATGCCAACTACTGTTCTGAGTACTATACTCAACTGGTTCTTACAACAACCAAATAAAGAAGATACTGTTTTTAATTCTTATTTTAGAGAACAGAAAACTGAAGCACAGAATGGTGAGTACTAGGCCAAGGTCACATAAATAAGTACTAGAACCATGTTTTGGGATATAAGCAGTCTAGCTCTGTTATCTATGCCCTTAACCCCAGCATTCTACTCCACTTTATTTCACATGTGCATTAATGTTTTTCTAAGTTCTCACTCAGGTTTTATTGGTCTAGTTATTGAACTAGTTTCATAATATTTTTAAAACTCCTGTGCTTTTTGATATATCCCAATATTGGGAAGGATGAATATTTGTTCTTTCTACAAATTAACCATTGTGTATTTTTATACTTCAAGGTAAAATTTTAAATAATTTTACTGGGTTCCAGAAAAAAAACCTGTTGGATTTTGACTCAAATTTGATTTGAATTTATAGACTAATTTGGGGGAGCATTGGCACGTTTATAATGTTAATCCATCCATAAACATGAAATGAATTTCTTTATTAGTTCATGTTTTATATTCTTTATAATCTTTAATATTACTTTTTTCTGTATAAATTCCTAGTGCAAGGTAAATTTTTGTCAAGTGAATTCCCATTTTTTTCTATCACAAAAGGTATCTAAGATATAACCTAGTAGGATATTATTAATGTAAATTTTTTTAAAAAAATCTAAAAATGTTTTGCATTTTGTAAATTCATCTTGAATTTAGAATCCCAGATAAATTCCATAATTCTATTTTTTTTTAGTTCTATTGCAATTTCAGTGTAGTCAGTTCTATCGTCTGCAGATAATGCCAGTTGTGTCTCTTCCCTTGGTATCTCTATACCACCTGTTAATTTCTTCCCCTGTTATACTCCTGTGTTAACTGGACCTTTTTATCTTATTCTTGACCTTAAAGAAAATATAGGCTGGGTGTGGTGGCTCACGCCTGTAATCTCAGCACTTTGGGCGGCCAAGGTGGGCAGATCACCTGAGGTCAGGAGTTCAAGGCCAGTCTGGCAAACATGGTGAAACTCTGTTCCTACTAAAATAGAAAAATTAGCCGGGCTTTGTGGCATGTGCCTGTAATCCCAGCTACTAGGGAGGCTGAGGCAGGGGAATCGCTTGAACCCGGGAGGCAGAGGCTGCAGTGAGCTGAGATCGTGCCACTGCACTCCAGCCTCAGCAACAGAGCGAGACATGGACTCAAAAAAAAAAAAAAAGAAAAAAAAAAAAGAAAAATATATCTAAGTAAATATTTTAAAAATAAATCCTGAGGTTTCCTAAAAAGGTTTTGGCTAAATTAAGAAAGTTCTAGTGTATTTCTAGCTTTATATGCTTTTTTTCTAAACATAGTACTTAATATTTATTCTAACCAGCACAAATGGAATAAGAATACATGACTCAGTCACCAATGCAGGGTCCTCTGTCTTGATTCCCTCCTTTGTGAAATAACAGAACTGAACCTGATAGTCCTCAAGGCTCATTTTTATTGTTCTAGAAATAGATTATGCTTTGGAAAAATTTATATCTAGAACTCTGAAATATCAAAAGTTAAAATATAACTCTACTAATTTCATAAACTATAACTATAAATGCCAATCACAAGACTCCTTTGTGATTAACAAGTATTACCACCCAGATCCTCTACTTAACTCATTGTGTGACATTGAGGGGTGGCTTCATCTTTGTATGTCTCAATTTTCTCACCTGTAAAATACCTTTTTTTTTGTATCTATTGAATAATCCCCCTTATTCTGCTTTGGGGCTTAGAATCATATGGTTTAGTAAAATGAATTACATAGCTATTTCTCTTTTTATTTTTATTTTTATAACTGTGTTTAAGGAAAGTTTAGTATAATTGATCATAAAATTGTTTGGGTTTGGATATTTTCTTTTTAGAATCTGATGATTATATGCCTTGGGGATAATCTTCTTGTGAAGTATCTTACTGGGGTTCTCTGTATTTCCTGAATTTGAATGTTGTGCTCTTTATCTAGGTTGGAGAATTTCCTTAAATGTAAATGGGATAAAAGCCACAATTAAAATACACAGACTGACAAGCTGGATAAAGACCCAAGATCCATTGGTATGTTATCTTCAAGAAACCCATTTCACGTGCAGTGACACACACAGGCTCAAAATAAAAGGATGGAGACAAATCTACCAAACAAATGGAAAACAACAAAGTAGATGTTGCAAACCTAGTTGCAGACAAAATAGACCTCAAACCAACAAAGATTAAAGAATGCAAAGAAGGGCATTACATAATGGTAAAGGGCTCAATTCAACAAGATGAGCTAACTATCCTAAATATATACGCACCCAACAAAGGAGCACCCAGATTCATAAAGCAAGTTCTTAGAGAACTTCAAGGAGACTTAGATACTCCCACAATAATAGTGGGAGACTTTAAAACTCCACTGACTATATGAGACAGATAAGTGAGACAGAAAATTAACAAAGATATTCAGGACCTAAACTCAGCATGGGATCAAATAGATCTGGTAGCTATCTATAGAACTCTCCACCCAAAAACAACAAAGTATACATTCTTCTCAATACCTCATGAGAAATACTCTAAAATGGATCACATAATCAAAAGGAAAATACTCCTCAGCAAATGCAAAGTAACTGAAATTATAATCATCAGTCTCTTGGAACCTAATGCCATCAAATTAAAAATCAAGATGAAGAAATTCACTCAAAACCATGCAATTAAATGGAAATGGAATAACCTGCTCCTGAATGACTTTTAGGTAAATAATGAAATTAAGATAGAAATCAAGAACTTCTTTGAAACTAATGAGAACAAAGATACAACATACCAGAATCCCTGGGACATAGCCAAGGCAGTGTTAAAAGGGAAATTTATAGCACTAAATGCCTACATCAAAAAGCTAGAAAGATCTGAATTTAACAACCTAACATCACAACTAAAAGAACTAGAGAACCAAGAGAAAACAAACCCTAAAGCTGGAAGACAATAAATAACCAAAATAAAAGCTGAACTGAAGGATACTGAGACATGAAAGACCACTCAAAAGATCAACAAATTCAGGAGCTGAATTTTTGAAAAAATTAAAATAGACAACTAGCTAAACTGATAAAGAAGAAAAGAGAGAAGTTTCAAATAAACACAATCAGAAACAAGAGGAACATTACCACTGACCCCACAGAAATACGAACAACCATCAGACAATACGATGAATACCTCTGTGCACATATACTAGAATCTCTCAAAGAAACAGATAAATTCTTGGACACATACTCCCTCCCAAGAGTGAACCAGGAAGAAATTGAATCCCCAAACAGACCTGAGGCAGTAATAAATAGTCCATCAAAAAAAAAAAAAAAAAAAGCCCAGGACCAGATGGATTCATAGTGGAATTGTACCATATGTAGACAGAAGAGCTGGTACCATTCATACTGAAACTATTCCAAAAAATTGAGGAGGAAAGACTTCTTCCTAACTCATTCTGTGAGGCCAACATCAGCCTGACACCAAAACTTGGCAGAGATACAACAACAACAAAAACAAACCAAGAAACACTTCAGGCCAGTATACTTGGTGGACATGGATGCAGAGCTCTCAGTCACATACTAGCAAACAGAATCCAGCAGCGCATCAAAAATCTTCTCCACCATGAACAAGTAGACTTTATCCCTGGGATGCAATTGGTTCAACACACAAATATCAATAAATGTGATTCATCACATAACAGAACTAAAGGCAAAAATCACATGATTTTGTCAATAGATGCAGAAATGGCTTTTGATAAAATTCAACATCCATTCATCATGAAAACTCTCAATAAACTATGTACTGAAGAAACATACCTGAAAATAATGAGCTATGTATAACAAACCCACAGTCAACATCATATTAAATGAACAAAAGCTGAAAGCATTCCCCTAGAAACCAGCACAAGACAAAGATGCCCTCTCTCGCCATGTAGTTTTGGAAGTCCTGGCCAGGACAATCAGGCAAGAGAAAGAGATCAAGGGCATCCAAATAGGAAGAGAGAAAGTGTAACTATCTCTGTTTGCAGATGAAATGATTCTATTTTTAAAAAACCCCAATAAGGCGGAGGTTGCAGTGAGCCACGATTGTGCCACTGCACTCCAGCCTGGGCGACAGTGTGAGAACCTGTCTCAAAAACAAAACAAACCAAAAAACCCTAATAGTCCTAGCCTCAAATCTTAAGCTGATACACAACTTCAGCAGTCTCAGTTTACAAAATCAATGTGCAAAAATCACTAGCATTCTTTTTTTTTTTTTTTTTTTTTGAGACGGAGTCTCGCTCTGTTGCCCACTAGCATTCTTATACACCAGCAACAATCAAGTTGACAGCCAAATCAGGAATGAATTCCTATTAACAGTTGCCACAAAAAGAATAAAATACCTAGGAATACAGCTAACTAGGGAGGTGAAGAATCTCTATGTGAAGGATTACAAAACATTGCTTAAAGAAATCAAAGATGATAGAAACAAACGGAAAAACGTTCTATGCTCATGCATGGAAAGAATCAATATTGTGAAAATGGCCATATGACCCAAAGCAATTTATAGTATTCTGGTTTTTGTTTGTTTGTTTGTTTCTGTTTTTTGTTTGCTTGTTGTTTTTCTTTGAGATAGAGTTTCGCTGCTCTTGTCACTCAGGTTGGAGTGCAATGGCCCGATCTTGGCTCACTGCAAGCTCCGCCTCTCGGGTTCAAGCGATTCTCCTGCCTCAGCCTTCCAAGTAGCTGGTACGATAGGTGCCTGCCACCACGCCCGGCTAATTTTTGTGTTTTCAGTAGAGACGGGGTTTCACCATGTGGGCCAGGCTGGTCTCAAACTCCTGACCTCAGGTGATCCACCCTCCTCAGCCTCCCAAAGTGCTGGGATTACAGGTGTGAGCCACCGCTCTCGCCCCCAATGTTATTCCTATTAAACATTTCACAGAACTAGAAAAAATGATTTAAAAAAATCATGTGGAACCAAAAAAGAGCCTGAATAGCCAAGACAATCCTATACCAAAAACAGAACAAAACAAAGCTGGAGGCATCATGCTAACCTCCTTCAAACTATACTACAGGGCTAATGTAACCAAAAAGCATGGTCCAGGTACAAAAACAGACACATAGATCAATGGAAAAGAATAGAGAACCCAGAAATTAGACTGCACACCTATAGCTTTGTGATCTTTAACAAACCTGGCAAAAACAATCAATGGGGAAAGGATTCCCTATTCAATAAACGTTGCTGGCAGAATTTAGCCATATGCAGAAGATAAAAACTGGCCCCTTCCTTACATCATATACAAAAATTAACTCAACATGGATTAAAGACTTAAATGTAAAAACCAAAACTATAAAAACTCTGGAGGACAACCTAGACAATACCATTCAGGAAATAGGCATGGGCAAACATTTCATGAAGAAGACTTCAAAAGCAATTGCAATGAAAGCAAAAATTGACAAATGGGATCTAATTTAAAAACTCAGCTTCAGAGATCATTAGAGAAATGCAAATCAAAACCATAATGAAATACCATCTCACACCAGTCAGAGTTGCTATTATTAAAAGTCAAAAAACAACAGATGCTATTGAGGTTGTGGAGAAAAGGGAATGCTATACACTGTTGATGGCACTGTAAATTGATTCAACCATTGTGAAAGACAGTGCGGCAATTCCTCAAAGATCTAGAGACAAAAATACCATTTGACCTAGTAATCCTATTACTGGGTCTACACCCAGGGGAATATAAATCATTCTGTTATAAAGACACATGCACATGTATGTTCACTGCATGCATCACAAAGACAAGGAATTGACCTAAATGCCCATCAACGATAGACTGGATAAAGAAAAGATGGTGCATATATACCATGGAATACTATGCAGCCATAGAAAAGAATGGGATCATGTCCTTTGCAGGGACAGGAGGGAGCTAGAGGCCATGATCCTTAGCAAACTAAAGCAGAAACAGGAAACCAAATACCCCGTGTTCTTACTTATAAGTGAGAGCTAAATGATGAGAACACATGGACACAAAGAGGGGATAACACACACTGGGGTCTATGGGAGCCGAGTGGGTAGAAGGAGGAAGAGGGTTAGGAAAAGTAACTGATAGGTACTAGGCATAATACCTGGGTTAGGAAATAATCTGTACAACAAACCCCGATGACACAAGTTTACCTATGTAACAAACCTGCACAGGTTCCCCTGAACTAAAATAAAAGTTAAAAAAATTATAAACTATAATGCAAGATAGTATGAGCTAATAAATTGAAAAACTCAATAAGGAGGCCATTTTCTTTCAAGTGTTTTTGCTATCACTTCTTGTTTTATCTTGACAGATGTTAAAATGTTAAATGTTAAAATATTAACATAGTTACCATTTAAAAATGGTACCTGGTTAGATTTCATTAAATATCCTTAGAGAACGACTGAGTTCCTTTCCTTTCAGGTTATTTTCCTTTTTACTTGAAATCCATCATTTAAAGATGGCAATTTTATTAGCACTTCAGTGATAAATTGATTTCAGTAAGAGATTATTAATGATTTTATGATTCAATATATATTTATGGATATATAGATTATTAATGATTCAGTATATATTTTGGGAATTGTTTTCCATCAAAACTTTCTTTGTTTTACCTTTATGTGAGTGAAAAAATAATTTGTCTCACTTTAGTATTTGATATGCCAGAACTGGAGGTCGAAACTTCACATCCTGTGACATAAACACTTTTATGTATAGTTAGACTTGGTGTGAGCTGAGGTGCAATTAAAAGAGCACTGGGTGGGAGGCCAAGGCAGGCGGATCATGAGGTCAGGAGATCGAGACCATCCTGGTTAACATGGTGAAACCCTGTCTCTACTAAAAATACAAAACAAACAAACAAACAAACAAAAATTTGCCGGGCGTGGTGGCGAGCCTGTAGTCCCAGCTACTCGGAGGCTGAGGCAGGAGAATGGCTTGAACCCGGGAGGCGGAGCTTACAGTGAGCCGAGATCGCGCCACTGCACACTCCAGCCTGGGCGACAGAGCGAGACTCTGTCTCAAAAAAAAAAAAAAAAAAAAAAAAAGAGCACTGGGTAAAGGAAGTCGTGTTTTATTCTTAGGTCTGTAATAAATGACTGTGTAATCATATTCACCACTTTCCCCTTCCTAGTCTCAGTTTTCTTATACAAAAAATATAGAGTGGGTCAGATTGTGTCTGATCCTATTCTGCTTTTAATTCTTTGGATCCTTGAGCTTAGGGTATAAACACTGACTTCAATAAGAAAATAAAAACTGTCATATTTTCCTTGAAAATTTAGTGGCTATCATTTTTATATTGAGTGTACACGATTTCAAGTTAGCAGGCAATTGCCTGGAACATTTAACACAGTTTTAGCTATCAAACTTACATGATGAGATTTTCCTGGAATAAAGGCCACCTAAATAAATTTCCAAAGCACTCTATGGGATTCTAATCTGATGTCTATAAATTATTATACAGACGTAAGGGTTTAAGAGTCCAAGTTATTTTTAAAAGTTGAGTTGACATTCAAAAGTATGCTGTGCTGTCAAACCAGGCAGCTCAATGAACAGTGGCATGCACTGGATTCTTATTAACCCCTTTGATTCACTGTTCAGACCACCAAAACACTGGCATCCTTATACACTTGACATTGTAAGTCAATTTTGAAATCTTTTATTAGTATAAATAATGACTGCCTGAGTGAAAACATAAAAGTTAAATTGGGCTTCCTCATAAAATCACTTTTTGGGGTTGACATGTTCTCCTGGCATCCAGAGACCTATCATATAGACTGACAAGCAAAACTAACTAGGCATGAGGGACTGCTCCAAGTAGATCTCCAGCCCAGCAACGTTATAGCTAATTGAAGAACAAGGACAGGGTAACTTCTCAGCTGTTTCTAAAATTACATCTTTATTGTTTGAAAACATATGCATGATCTGTAACCTGTGTCTGGTGCAATCATTTTGAAGTCACCTGATGGGAACAGGACAGAGTGAATACTACACCAGGTACTTTTCTGGCTTCTCAAATATGGGATAAAATGATAGTAAGGTAAAATAAACCTAATGTAGCCGAATTACTGGCTTTTTTCCAAAGGAATTTCCAGTTCATGTTGCCCTATATGATAAACAAAGACACCATAGACTGAAAAAAAGTTTTAACAGGAATTTAAGCTTTTAGAACCTCTAGACAGTTAAAGAATCTTTGAGATTATCACTTTAAATGATGACCTATGTAAGGATAAAGTGATGTACTTAAGGTCAAACACTAAGTTTAATCATCAGAGGTGTAACTACAATTTTATCTTGCCTTGGTCAAATATTCTTGGACACTTAGACTGAAATTATTGCCCAAGACTTGCACAGGTCTGAGCAAATGCATGCTGTCCTCAGCCAGTGGCCCTGCAAACGTCAAGACAATGGGCTGTTATTCCTTCCAGTCCATTGTCTTGGTGCTTACAGGTCACTGGCTGATCTCTGAATCACTCCTTAAATCCAAATTTGAGATCCAGTACTCTTTGTCCTTCTTTAAATCTCCTCCAGGTTCACCCCTTCTCATTTAGTTTATTACAGAAAAAAGAGAGAGATTTTAGCTTATTTTCTGCCATCAAGAGAGGGTTCAACTGTTAACATTTCCTAGAAATGATTTGCCTTTATTCTGAATTAATAAGGCCTTGGTCCTTAGAAACACAACAGCTTGTATTTTTTCTATGGAGAAAAGGAAAGTATTTTGTTTCTTGAGCTCCTCCTTTTTAGTGTAAGATGGAGCTGAAATATATTGTTGAGAAGAAATTAAGAAGAAATTAGCAGCAATAAAGAACAGGAAAGGGATTTCCAGGCACAGGACATAATACCTGTAAAGACTGTAAGATAGAAAAAGAGTTGAGTAGATGAGAAGGAGAAAGAAATCTGTAATGTCTGGAACATAAAAAGTGAGAAGAAAGTTGGAAGGAAATAGGATTGGAGGAACAGTATAAGGATTGGCATTCATGGTGCTGTAGAATAGGGTAATGATTTACTTTTTTTTAGCCTAAATGAAATGAAAAGAATATTGATGGCTTCATGGATACAGATAGATCATTTATAATTTTAATAAATATCCCTAATGTAATGGAAAATTGATGAGGAGGATGAAACAGTAGAAGAGGAAAAAGATCTAAAGAGATTATTGTAGGAATCCTAGTGAAAAAGAATAGTGGCTCAGATTAAGGTGACAGCACAAGAGATGAAGAATAGTGTATATTTTACATATTTAAAACCAGTGGAGGTAAAATCAACAGGATCTGTTGGTGAATGGATATATTTTAGAAAACTTGATTGATGGTGCTGGGGATTATATTTGACGAGGACATTTAAATCTGAGATGCTCATGAGATATTTGCTTAGAGATTTTAAGATGATTACATATTTTATTCTTTTCTAAGTGTTACAGAATTGCCATAATGCAAAACTCTCAAAGAAAATCATTTTATCATTTTTATATCTTCAGAACTGAGCATGGTACATAGCTCATATTAGGTAATCAGTATATATTACTGTTTATTCTATGAACTGTTGAAGTATAGGATCCAGATCTGATTTCTTATTTAGAGAATACTAGTGAATATAACTAATGGTAATGGTATCTAAGAAAATTATAAATTTAGAGAATGGAAAGAAGAGAGATGAGAAATGAATTTGGTGAAGTAGTAATCTTTGATCTTGAAGGCCTCATACGTGACTTCTCAATGTTGGTGGTATTGTTACCTTAAATCCTTATACCCTTGACTATTGCTAACCTTGGAGTTAACTTAAATCTGCTAATTTGTATAAGGATTACATACTGAAGCCAGTCATCCTTAGGGGAAGTCGGGAAATCAAACAGTCACTTAGGAGCTATTTATAAGTGTTTGAGCCGAATGATATCCTGAATACATCGCAACATGACTTCCAGGATATGAGTAAGAAGGCTGACTCATTTAGTCATATTTGGGTGCCACTTACATTTTCTTATTTCATGCCATGTCCTGTGAGGCACTTAAATTTTTCAAGAGAAAAAAATAATTATTTCCCCTTATTTTAGAATCCTTTACAAATAACAACCCTAAAAGGAATTTATCACTATTATAGAGAAGAGACTGATCAGACGGTGGTAGAATCTTGGCCTGGGAAACTAAAACAAATGGCAATGACGCTAACATTGGTCTTACAGCTGGGTTTCTGACTTTAGTTATACGCAGGGTGATTGTACGCAAATTATTTTGCTTTTTTGAGTTTTAGTTATTATAGGTTTATGTGATACATGATATATATGTATATGTGTCTATAAGAATATATATGTAATGCATGTATATTTATTTTCTTAGTTTCTTAATAATGAATATATATGAATATATATGTATGTGTGTATATATATTCATTATTAAGACATTTTAGATTCCCAGATTATTTTGTTTTCTATGTCACTACTAGATTCCAAGTGACTAGACATTATTTTGAAATCTTATGTCCAGGGGATAGTAAAATTTATCTTATTATTCTTTCCTGGTTGAATAGGTGATAAGAGACAATAGAAAATTCGGGGTTTTTAATACCACATGTCATAGTCTAAATGTTTGTATCTTCTTCAAATTCATGTGATAAAACCCAGTCCCCAATGAGATAATACTAGAAGATAGGGCTTTGGCGGGTGAATAGATCATGAGGGCAGAATCGTCATGAATGGGATTTGTGCCCTTAAAAAAGAGACTCCAGGGAGCTAGCTAGTCCCTTTCACCATGTAAAGATGCAGCAAGAGGACATCCTTTATGAGGAATGGGCCCTCACCAGACACCAATATGCTGGTTTCTGGATATTGGACATTTCAGCCTCCAGAACTGTGAGAAATATGTCTTAATTGTTGATAAGCCACACAATTTTTGGCATTTTTGTTAAAGCAGTCAAAATGAACTAAAACACCACAATAATACAAATAGTTTATAGGGCAATATTAGAGAACCTGTCAAACCAAAGTGCTCATTTCAGATCTAATTCCAGTTTAAAAAACATGGGAAGTAGTGCTATTTCTTCCCATATTTCCGGGCCTATGATAAAAGTACCAATGTAGAGAACAGATTGTGGCACTCAAGAAATATTGCTCACATTTTAGGATTTTTAATGGGTAGTGCCCCTAATATTCAACACAGGATTACATTGTTCACACATTGGATGTTTATAAACAGGTAGTTAAGATAAAGATTGTGTTACAGATAAAGTTTTAGGAATTTAAAGAAATCATAAACCTCAAGTAAGCTATGTGACTTTTCCAAGTCTTTGAATCTCTGACACATATTTTGCCCATTTATAAAATGAGGAGATTAGATGATCATTAGATAATCTACAGAAAAGAGTGACATATTTTGCCTTTTTATAAAAAAATGGGGATTAGTTGATCATTAGATCATCTACAGAAAGGAGCGTAGTATGCATGCAAAGTGTTATACGAGAACTGAATTTGAGTTGCATCATTAATGATGAGGAGTAATGAAACCGATGAAAGGAAAAAGTAGTTTCACTAGGGGATATAAAAGAAGCAGAATGTCAAAGTGGATATAAGCACGGTGTTTGTAGAACAGTGAAAAGACTTCAACATGATTAATCATCAGGTTCCATGAGTTTGGTCAACAGTTGACACAGTTTCCTCTGAAATCTACACATATTTCACCCAAATCCCTTGACAATTTAATCCTTTACTGGTCTTGGATTAAATCCTAATTCCCACTGAAGACAAATTTCATTCAGATCTTTGCTGATCCTTGAAACACATCATTTTGGTGCTTTGCAAAGACGAAGACATTGAACAGCGGTTTTGTTTTGGTTTTGTAATATGACATTTGGTAACTTCACCACTTCTCACATCTGGTTCCAGTTTGAGATGAAACCACTTAAACCTCCATGCACCCACTGAAAGCTGTGGTTTTGTCACAACACTTTGTCACAAAAATTGTATAAACATATAAACAGGGAAATAGCATGCTGGCTTTGTTTTAAAGTTTTGACTTATTCCTCTGAATTCAAATGAAATATATTCAGTAAGAACTGAACACGAACAAAATTATGCTAATCAGACCAGCCAGCAATGTTCCATGCTGCCATTAAAAATCTGTTTATATGTACTAGCATTCAATATGATTGTTTACTTCAGAGATGTTAACATACTAGTGGTTTCACCACTTTCTCTTTTGAAAAACTAGATTTTACCTTTTATTCCTGAGTTGGAAACAAGAGGAATAGCCACTTTAGTTTTGGATATGTGTGTATTCATAGCTAGACTTTATTAATATCAATCACTTTAACATCTTCACCACCTCTGGCTCACTAAATTTATGTCCCATCTTGTCCCTCTCAAGCTTAGAGTCCATCCATGCATCATACTGGCCTTCTCATCCTACTAATCTTACAAAACTGAAGTTGATTAAACTCAGGGCTCCTCCTATGTTGACCTAAAGTCATGCTGGAGGAAAACATACACACATTACTTAATGATACCCCTTAAAATGCATGCCTACTAATCTCAAGTAGACATTTTGTTCTGAACCAGGATCCATTTAGGGAAAAGTACTTCGTTCTTTATCTTTCTCCTTTAGAGGACTCTTAAAACTTCTCTCTCCTCAAACTACCACAATCACTTCCTTCCCAGGCTAACTCTCAGCTAATAAAATTGCTTTCTCTTTCACTGAGAAGAAAAAAGGAAATGGAAAAGAATTTCTGCAAGTTTCCATTACCATATCTACTTACCTGTGAATGTTAATACAAATACATTCTGCTTTCCATCTTATAAGTATGAATAAACCATTAATGCATTAGATACCAACTTTTATACATAAGCTTTGCACTCAATACATCACTTCTGCAATTCTCCTTGTCTCATTTCTCTCAACTGGGCCATTGCCAACAGCCTACAATTATATTAACCTATCTCCTGTCTCAGACAAATCTTTTATTGTCCATTTCTTCTTTTCCAGCTACTCTCCCATTTCTTTGCCACTTGTTATGACCCCGAAGGAGTTAATCTTCACTAATTCTTCTCCAATTTTTCTTTCTTGGCCCTACTTTCCTGAACTTTTAACTTTTACCAGTCTATTCAGACTCCTCTTGTTAAGGTCACTAGTTACTTCTCCACTGCTAAATTTAATGATCACTTTTCAGTTCTCAAATTACTTAAGAGTATTTGTTATAGATGACCACTTTCTCTTTGCTTCACTTAGTGTTTGGGATTCTAATTCTTTTGACTCTCCTATTACTTCACTCTTTACTGGCATTTCTTTTCTCCTTTGCTCATTCTGTCTTTCTTTCTGAACTCTAAATTTTGCAGTGACACAGGGCTCAATTTTAGGCCGCCTTCTGTTCTCTACATAGACTTTCCCCATTGTTCATATCATCCAATGACAAGGCATTAAATAGCATGTATCTCCTGATGATTTTCCAATTTTTATTTTTAGCCCGGCCATTTTTCTTGAGCTCTAGCCTCACATATCACTCATATAATCCAGCTGCCTATTCAAAATCTCCACTTAGTTATAAATAGGCATCACAAACTTACTATGTCTTTTATGAACTGAATGTTGATGTCCCTTCAAAATTTATATGTTGAAATTCTAATCCCCAATTTCCTGGTGTTTGGAGATTGGGCCTTTTGTAGGTAAGTAGGGTTGGATTAGGTCATGAGAATAAGGCTGTCATGATAGGATTAATGCCCTTATTAAAAGATCAGACAAAGTTACCTTTTTCTCTGCTTTCAGCCACATGAGAATACAATAAAAATATTGCCATCTACAAACCAGGAAGAGTGGCCTAACCAGAAACTAAAGCCAATAGTTCCTTGATCTTGGACTTCCCAGCTTGTAGAACTGTGAAATGCAAATGTTTGTTGTTCAAGCCATCTGTGGTTAACTTATTTTAGGTGTCCAAACTGACTAAGACAATGTCTAAAACTGACATCTAGTTTGCCTAACAAATACTTGTTCTCCCTCATCCAAAAGAATAGCAAGTCTATTCTTCGAGTTACTTTGGCTACAAAACTTGGTGTCAATCTTATTCCTCTCTTGTGCATTATTTGATTCATTATGAAATCCAATCAGTTTAAAGTACATCCAGGATTTTAACCATTCTCATCACTTCCTCCATAAACTCCCAGCTCCAAGTCACCATTACCTCATACCTGGAAAACTTCAGTAGCCCACTATTTGGTCTTTCTGCTTTTGTCCTGGCCCCGATTTCTTTGACTCTTCTCGACACCATAGTCATAGTGTCCCTTGAAAATAAAAGTCAGCTATTTCTACTGTTTTGTTCATTATCGTCCAATGGCTTCCCATTTTGCTTTTTACCTACACGGTACTGAGTGTCTATATCTCCTCCTCCCACTCCACCTCTCTGACCTCATCTCCTGTTACTTGTCTGCTCCCTTCTAATATTTAAGTTATAAAAGTCTCTTTACACTTTTTTTTTGTTTTTGAGATGGAGTCTCGCTCTGTTGCCAGGCTGGAGTGCTGTGGCGCGATCTCGGCTCACTGCAACCTCTGCCTCCCGAGTAGCTGGGACTACAGACGTGCACCACCACGCCCGGCTAATTTTTTGTATGGGGTTTCACCATGTTAGCCAGGATAGTCTCGAATTCCTCACCTGGTGATCCGCCCGCTCCGGCCTCCCAAAGTGCTGGGATTACGGGTGTGAGCCACTGTGCCCGGCCGTAACATTCTCTTTACGCTTTTTTTTTTTTTTTTTTTTTTTTGAGACGGAGTTTCTCTCTTGTTGCCCAGGCTGGAGTGCAATGGCGCGATCTCGGCTCATCGCAACCTCCGCCTCCCAGGTTCAAGCGATTGTTCTGCCTCAGCCTCCCGAGTAGCTGGAATTACAGGCGTGTGTCACCACGCCCGGCTGATTTTGTATTTTTAGTAGAGACGGGGTTTCTCCATGTTGGTCAGGCTGGTCTCGAACTCCCGACCTCAGGTGATCCACCCGCCTCGGCCTCCAAAGTGCTGGGATTACAGGCGTGAGCCACCGCGCCCGGCCAACACTTTTTGTTGAACATTTCCGGTGTTTTCCCACTTTAGGGCATGCCCACCTACTGTTTCCTCTGCTTTGATGACCTTTCCCCGGATGTTCACACGAGTCCCTCTGTTATGTCCTTCAGGTCTCTTCTCTAATGCCACTTATTAGAGAGACCTTTATTGACCACCCTTCGTAAAAGTTTAACCACCTACAATATCACGCCCTTGTATTCTATACTCATTTGTTTATTATCTGTCTCCCCCTGCTGGACTGCTCCATTAAGAAGACAGATTTTAATTTCATTCAATACAGTTCACGAGCAGCTAGGATGGTTCTTCCCATAGTACTTGCTCAATAAATATTCACTGAGGGAATGAATACATTTTCTGTCACTACCTCACATATACGGACTGTATTATCAACACATGGATAAATGAAACTCCCTGTATTCCATAAAAGGCCTTACATTTTTCCTTCTGTCTTTATTTTTAGTACCCTACACTTTCCATTTCAACATGCTCAAATAATACCTATATTTCAAAGCTAAAATTACATGATATATCATATACAAAGATTTTACACAATGGAAGTTATATCCCTTCTTAGAATATCCATAATACTGAATAAATGTATGTACTTAGGGAATTTAGCACTTCCTTTTCTCTCACTCTATAAATTCTTAGAGGACAAACACCAAGTCTGTTCCTCTCTACCTTCTCCCTCAACTTCAGACTCTGGCATGTAGGAGTTCCTTAATCATTGCTTCTTGAATCAATATAAAAATAAAGTTTTGTTTCACTAACGTATGGTGAGGGTATACAGAAATCCTTATCATAGGCCGGGCGAGGTGGCTCACGCCTGCAATCTCAGCACTTTGGGAGGCCGAGGCGGGGGATCACGAGGTCAGGGGATCGAGACCATCCTGGCTAATGCGGTGAAACCCCATCTCTACTAAAAATACAAAAAATTAGCCTGGCATGGTGGCGGCGCCTGTAGTCCCAGCTGCTGGGGAGGCTAAGGCAGGAGAATGAGTGAACCCGGGAGGCGGAGGTTGCAGTCAGGCGAGATCACGCCACTGCACTCCAGCCTGGGCGACAGAGCCAGACTCCGTCTCAAAAAAAAAAAAAAAAAAAAAAAAATCCTTATCATGGCTTCAAATCAGTCTTTCTAGAATCCAAACTGTTTATGTACACTGTGCAAACTTAAATTATCTTCCTTACGTGATCTTACCAATTCTTACAATTTTATCTTGCAACACCCCCATTTTGGTCACCATGCCTCTGTTATACAGATCTTCTTGCTTTTTCTAGAATCCTCCAAGCTGGTTTCCACCTTGAGGTCTTTGTCTTTGCTACTTTACTGCTTGAATTTTTATATGTCTTGCTGTTTGTAAGTTGATAATTTAGGAATCAGGCCAAATATCACTTCCTTATTTTATCTCTCTTCTGTGCTCATTCTTGGTCAGCTCAGTCTGCTATAATGAAGTACCATAGACTAGGTAGGTTATAATCAATAGAAACTTATTTCTCATAGTTCTGGAGGCTGAGAAGTCTCAGCTCAAGGTGCCCACCTTTTTCCTGGTTCATAGCTTTCTAGCCGTGTCTTCACGTGGTAGAAGGGTGAACAAGCTCTCTTGGGCCTATTTTATATGCGCACTAATCCCACTCAGGAGGGCAGAGGCCAAATCACTTCCCAAAAGCCCTCACCTCCTAATACCATTGTGTTGGGGGTTGGGATTTCAACATACAAATTTACTGGGGGTGGGGGCGCAAACTTTTGGGCTATAGCACCCACCTAGTATAAGATCTCTACCAATTTCATCTTTATCAGCTCACCCTAAGTTATTGTCTTCATAGCACTTATCACTATTTGAAATTGTTTTAAAATGTGTTTCCTTGTTAATTACATGTATTTTATTTCCTCTTTTCTCCTACCTTTTGCCTCCTCTCTCCCTATAATCCATATCACATACATCCAGAACATGAGATATGCAGAGAATGCGGACCTTGTTTGCCACTTTCATTTCTTTATCTACCTTGCCTAAAACTGTAGCACCTTGTAGAAACTAAATAAACATTTGTTAAACTATATTAAAAATCCATCGTTTTGTTTGGCTTTTCAAATAATTACTATTTTGTTTCATGTATCCTTCATTAATAGCAAAATTCCGGAGTTAATTAATTGAAAAGGATTTGTTCATTGCTTCTCCCCTTCTCAAAGGAATCCACATATACATTTAAAAAGGAAAGCACACTTTCTGGAGTATGTCTTTCCAGAGATACACTAAGGGCAAGAGCAGTCCTGAAATGAACAGGCATTAATTCATAAAGTTTCCATAGCACTTTAAGTTTGTGAAAGACAGAACAGAGTTCCGAAAATAAGCACTTCTCTTACTACTCATGAAACTATTTACTGTTGATTAAGTCATACAGCATCAATTGTTTCTAAGGAGAAAATAGTCTGAAAATAATTTCCCAAATCTCTAAAAACAAAGAGCTAGTCCATGCTGGGAATATACATGGTAATTCCAAATCATTAATATTTAAGAACTTTGATATTTTGTGGTAAATGTGGTTTTCAGTGCTGTTGTGTGTGTAGAGTTATTGAAATCTTCATAAGATCAAGGAAAAAATCTATATAAACATATAGAATTGACACCATGGAAACAGATCCATGTTGAAGAATTTTGTCCTTAGTTGTCTTAAGGCATTCTCATTGTGGTTGACACTTGCTGAAGACAAATGGAAAAATCTTGTTTTAACGTGAAGCTTTCTGGGATCTTCCCAAGCAGGAGAAATCTCTTCCTTTTAATTCCAAAGCCAAATCTTTTTTTTTTTTACAATGTCACTTTCTACCTTGTATTATAGTTATGCTTCATTACTCTTAAAGAATGAAAATTCTTACTAACCTCTATAACTAACCTCTGTATTTTTCCATCACTTTCAAATGCCTCCTATACTTTGAAGTACATGGAAGTTATACAATAAATGTTCATGGGATATTTAATAGCAACATTTGTGTATACTGTTTTTTCTTACACTTTCAGAGTAAAAATTCCTAGAAGAGGCTGGGCACAGTGGCTCATGTCTGTAATCCCAGCAGTTTGGGAGGCCGAGGTGGGAGGATCACTTGAGCTCAGGAGTTCAAGACCAGCCAAAGCACCATAGCAAAACCTCGTCTCTACTAAAAATAAGAAGAATCAGCTTGGCGTTGTTTCATGCACCTGCGATCTCAGCTACTTGGGAGGCTGAGGTGGGAAGGTTGGTTGAGCCCGGGAGGTCAAGGCTACAGTGAGCTGTGGTCAAACCACTGCACTCCAGCCTAGGGCACAATCTCTTTTTTGAGATTGTCTCAAAAAAGAAAAAGAAAACTAAGAAGAAATAAAATGACAATGATTTTTTTTTTCAGTAAACTTATTTTCAGAAAAAAAAAGAAAACTTAAATAGAATCATGCAGATATTTCTAGATTCCTAGGAAGCTGAAATGATGGCCTACCTCTCTATTTGTAAGCTCTTAAAAAATACCTTGAGGTATTTAGTATTAATCTATAAATAAATACTAGGAAGTCCACCAAAGTGTGTACATCTTTTTCCTATATCTAGTACAATGCTAAGTAAGATGGTTATAGTACATTTATATGTTGAAGAATGAAATTTGTATGGAGTTGCATTATAGTAAGGAAAAATGGTATAAAAATAGGCCTAAAGATTGGAAATTTTAGGGTTTGTTTAGAAGTGGCAAGTTTTTTGTTTTATATAGAGATGACAGTAAATTTAAAAACAATTCAGAGAAAGAAATTGTAGATTGAGATGGGTCCTGGACTATTTGAGTGAGGTGTTTGAACTTTTTTTGGAAGTCAGTAGGAACTCTTGACAGTTTCTGTGTGGCCAGTAGCATGGTCAAAGGTGTGCTTTAGAAAGAATAATTAGAAAGTACATGCTTGACAGGTTGGCTAGAGATAACTGAGGAGGAATCAACCTTTTTATTAGAGACTTTTTCTAGGTAAGTTTTCTCTATAGGAAAATACATAAACTAAAATTGTACTGCTTCTTGACACCTTAGGGGAAAATAGATCAGAGAATGAATGGAACATATATATTCAATCTTCTCTATGTATTTATGTACGTATATATGTACATTATACGTATATTTCTCAGACATGTCATTGACTATTTAGATTTATAAACTAAAGCACTTGACAGTGTGTCAGTTTGGTCTTTCAGATTCCAGATATAAACACAGGAATGTTTTGTTTAATTATATCATATGCTTCAGAGCTCTGGTCACAAAATCAATTTTAAATTTCATTTGATTTTCTTAAGGGAACTTCCATTAGAGACGTACTAATAGCAATTGATTTAGAATAATTTAGCTTAGCATGTCAAATGTGATGTCCACCCTCAGAATAAAGGATTTTCACATGACTTGGGGGAAAAGTTGAAAGAAAACAGGCAAGAAGATGGCAGGTGGCAGGCAAGAAGATTTAGCTCACCTTGAATTGTCAACTTTCTCATACAGGATGGTAATATTTAAATGTTCTCTCATGAAGGTTTTGTACACATTAAATATGGTTGATTTTAGTTATTTTGAATCCCCCACAGCACAGGACAGAGATCCTGGCACATTAAACCCTTATTGAATCACTAGTATATTCTAATCTCTTGTTGGGCATAAAGTGCAATAGAAATCTTACTAATAAGAATGTAACAGGGACTAGGGGATAAGTGATAGCTTTCTTGTTAGGCTTACTACATTAAATTGCTTTTTTTTGCCCCATCAATGTATATATCAATCATTGTGAGGGCATGCAGGGCATGTAGATTGTCCTTAGTCCTCTAATCCTGACTTTAAATTTATTAAATATTTTTATTTATAGTAAAATATATATAATATAAAATTTACCATTTAAGGATGGGCGTGGTGGCTCATGCCTGTAATCCCAGCACTTTGGGAGGCCAAGGCAGGTGGATCATGAGGTCAGGAGATCGAGATCATCCTGGCCAACACGGTGAAACCCCGTCTCTACTAAAAATACAAAAATTAGCCAGACGTGGTGGCACAGTCCCAGCTACTCAGGAGGCTGAGGCAGGAGAATCACTTGAATCTGGGAGGCAGAGGTTGCAGTGAGCCGAGATCGTGCCACTATACTCCAGCCTCAGCCACAGAGCGAGACTCCAACTAAAAAAACAAAAAACAAAAAAAACAAAGAAAAACAAACATTTAATCATTTTTAAGTGTACAGTTCAGTAGCATTAAGTATATTCACACTGTTGTGTAACCAACCATCAGCAATGCTCATCTCCGGAACTTTTTCTTCTTCTCTAACTGAACTTTGTATCCATTTAAATGCTAACTCCCTATTTCCCCTCCTCTCAGCTCCTGGTAACCACCATCCTACTTTAACTACTCTAGGTGCTGCATATAAGTGGAATCACACAGCATTTGTCCTCTTGTGACTGACTTATTTCACTTAACATAATATACTCAAGGTTTAGCCATGTTGTGGCATATGTCAGAAATTCCTCTCTTCTTAAGGCCAAATACTATTCTATTGTCTGTATATACTATTTTTTGTTTATCCATTCATCCACTAACGGACAGTTGGGTCCCTTCCACCTTTTGGCCATTGTGAATAATGCTGCTGTGAACATGAGTTCAAAAACATTTGTCAAATCTCTGCTTTTAATTTTTTTTTGGTATATACCCAGAAATGGAATTGCAAAAATATACGGAAATTTAATGTTTAATTTCTTAAGGAAGCACCATACATTTTCCACAGCAGTTATACTATTTTATATTCCCATCAGCAATGTAAAGGGTCCTAATTTCTCCCACATCCTCCCTAACACTTGTTATATATATATATATATATATACACACACACACACACACACATACATACATGTACATATATATATATATATATATATTTATTTTTGACTGCCATTCTAGTGAATATGAAGTGGTATCTCATTACAGCTTTGATTTTTCTGCCCCAGTAGTTATGGAAGTGGCATGTGTTGGCAATAGCTTTACTTGCAATATTCTCATTGGCTTTCATTGGTTTATGAGCTGTGTTCTTCAGCAAAAGAAGTTTCCAAGTAGGAGCACTGCAGCTTTTATCACCAGTTTTGATGACAGCTCCAGGAAGTTCCCAAATGATGCTTTGTCTGTCCCATGTTTTTAGATAACCGGCGTTCCTTTGGATTGTCTTCCACCCAGCTCCTCAATAGCTGGCTAGCTGAGCCTTGTTCGTTTAGTGCTTCTCCTGGACCTATGTCTTTGGGTTTTCACTGAGCTCACTAACACCCTTAATAACTTATTACTGAACTATCATAAGTCACAAATAGCCTCCAGATTTTGAGGTCAAATACCTCTTTTACTCTAGTCCTTGATTGTTCCTACTGATTTAGCTATTAACCAAAGTCAGTTACATTCTTATAGTGAATTCTGAGCTAAGTATGACGGTAGAACATCATCTGATCTGATATTACTAACAAAACAAAAATTTAAACTTCTATACCATGTAGATCTTAGAGTTATTTTTAGATTATTTTCCAAGGAATTTCACACTGTAAATGATTAATAGGTGTTTTTGAAAATGGCAAAACAGACTGCTGCTATACAAAATTACTAGGACCTCGGGGCAGGGGGAAAACTCGTTGGTTAAGAGCTAATAAAATAGATAAAAGCCTTACTATTCAATAAAATTTCAGTAAGAAAAACTTTCATTTTGCACAAACCAGTTTTAAATCTAATAAAAAAATTTACTAGAAGACAAAGTACTAATGGAAAAAAATAGAAAACCATGATTTGAAAAACATACAGTCACTCTTCAGCTAATATAAGCCCCTTTCTCTTTCTTTCTCTCTCTTTCTCTTGCTCTTACTCTTGCTCTTACTCTTTCCTTTCACCTCCCTGCCTCTCTTCCAACAGCTCTTATAAGTATTAGGTTAGGACCTGGACTCACGGTTGATGCAAAGGGTGGAAGGATGAGGGACAGAAGCCTAAGTGGAGGCATCTGAAAAATAATTAGACTAGATCCTGTGATCCTGGAAATCAAGAAACCAAACAAACGAAATCCTCCTACTCTGGCTGCTTCTACAAAAAAGGGTCTAAAGTGCAGATGGAAGATTAATACTGGAAACAGAGACACTTCTATTTCTTATCAGATAGCAGATTAGGTACCTGACTCTCATGACTAAAACAACTAAAATGCTGGAGAAAATATATATTTGAAACACACACATTTTAAAAACTCACTTTAAGGTGGCATAAAAATGGTGGTATGACAAACAATATACAAACTAATCAACCAGGAATCATGGAAGATACATGATGGACCAGCTGGCTTTCACCTAAGGATGAAGGGCATTTGAATGCCAAATCTTGGGGAGTGCATTTAGATGAGCAGTTGATATGGGGGCAGAAAATCAAACTCAGGAATAACCATGGTGATCTCCCAGATAAAACAGGGTCCCAAAGAGTCAATAAAAGTTTAATAGCTTAACACAGATAGGAAAATTAAAGAAACTTGCCTGCCTAAGTCTGGCACTAGATGGAAGAGAAGAAAAAAATTTGGTTTCTTCTAGAAATTCTTTACAAAAGTTGTTTTTTTTTAATTTGAGACTAAGCTAGCAGTAAAGTGCACAAATCTTACTAGCCCAGATACATAAATTTTGCATATTTTTACACCCATCTATCCAGCACAGAGATAAAGACACATTACTCAAGATCACCTCGTGTTCAATCCCAGTCAATAGAGTTCTCACTCTTGAGGTGACCATTGGCCTCTAGCATCATTGATTAGCTTTAGCTGTTCTTTTTATTATTTTTTACTGTTACTTTTTATGATTTTTTAGCTTTTTATATTATCCTTTTAGTAGTTACTCTTGAAATTATAGAATATATTTCTAATTTATCAGTATACTTTAAAATATTTTTTAAAAAATCAGAAGGCAAGAAGCATAGAATTCTTCATAGAGTTTGAGGTGAATTAGTTATAAGTTTTGGCGTTAGTAACTCTCAAGTCGATAGTTCAGTCAAGCAGTATTATAAAAGTTAAACTGATTTAAAAAAAAAAAAGAAAAGTCTGTATTCATACTGTCTTTATCCAGTACCCGGCACAGTACCATCATGCTGAGTATAAAAGAAATGACCATAATTGTTTGTAGAGTTATAATTAAATTGAAATAAAACAGGTCAAAGAAATAGTACTAGAAGTTTATAAAAACAAAAACAAACAACTGTTCCCAATACATTTGGATAGTATGAAATCACAGAACTCAAAAGATGATCAAATTGGTTGCTGAAAGTGCATGTGTAGCAATGAGAGGCAGAATGCATTTACGACCCTTAAATAATTTTCTTACACCCAATATAGTTCCTCTCAAATCGCTTCTTCCTAAAGTGGCCAGAATAAGCCAACGTGCAATTTTGATCATTTCAGTCCCTCATTCATTATTCACAATAATGAAATGCAAGGTTTTAAGATCATTGTTTAGGCTTCTGTACCCCAACTCAACCTCATCTTTCATTACTTTTTGGCTCACACTTTACACTTTAGCAATATTAAATGTTGGGATTCTCATATATACTTTTATATCTTTTTTATGATGTTGACTTTTCTCAAGATACTTTTCCTGTCTCCATTTCTTCATTGTCAGTAAGCAATTGCTATTCACTTCTTGGTTAGGCCTTGGTCTGAATCTTTTCCTTCCTTCTGACCACCACATTGGATTAGGTATATTTGTTAATCCTACATGGTCCTTGTAAGTGTTTTACCAAAGAAAATATCCCAATAAAACTTTCTGCATACAAATCTGTTTCAGTGTCTATATTTAGGAAACCTAGAATAGGGCAACTGTCCTAGAAAAAAAAAATCTAAATGAGATTTTGGAGCCATGTCCCCTACTGGCATGGTGTCATTGAGGACCACATCACTGTTGGTAACTCAAGTGTGTATAGCCCCCAGATATAGTAATGACGCATTTGTTAAAACTTTCCTGGTGGTGAACTGGGATGGAATATTGGTGGAAGAGAATGCATTAGTTAGTGTAAATCTCAGACTTTCAGAGTTACATTGGAATCAGTAAATATTGACTGAAATCGAATGGCTGTTGCTAGGCGCTATCAATGCATTAAATAAACACAATGAAAAACTGAGGGTAATTCATTATCAATTTAAGGTTATGTGCAAAAATCAAAGTACCTCCACGGAGGTTAATAAAGAGACTTAGCCATTGTAGAATCAGGGAAGACTTACCAACATCTGAGTCCCAATCCCATTCGAGAAGGAATGAGACCCTGGTAATGTCACCTGGAATGGTGACATCTGGATTGATGCATTAAAAATTTTTGAAATGCAATATCTGTGGATTTTTGGGACACGTAAAATTTGCCTTCTTATTCATCCTAAAGGCTCACTACTTATTTGAAGTTGATACAGAGGCTGCTGATTGATAAGGTACCATGTGCCATTACCCTAAGGCTTTAGTCACACCTCCCCTCTTGGTCGCCAGATAACTAGGGTAGGGTAACAAAATAACCAAGTTAAGCAAGTTTTAGGCTGCTAAGGGAGCAACAGGACTGTGTATTAAAGGAGTTACTGGCAACCTGAACTGGCAAGGAAAAGAAGAATGTGTATGGAATTAGATACTGAGGGTGCTGGGTAAAGGGGGGCTGCAAAAACATATATTTATATAAGGACAACATATAAATATGGGACTATTTTGCTGAAATAGAGAATTAAACACTTTGGCCAAAAATTCAGGGGATAATGCTATGTACCACTTGGATGATACTCGCAAGCTTGCAAAAAGTGATAGCTCACACTAAATTAAATGAAAATGTCAGAACTACTATGGCAGATGGGAGAGGAAGTTATTAAAAGGCTCAGAGAGGTTTACATATTAGAGTAAATTAATATATGTATAATGTACATAAATATTTTTCATATATATATCTAGTTGGCTATGTATATATTCCATCTATATCCCATATACATAGCCAACTATGTTTCATAGGAAGATAGAAAATCTGGAGGACATGCTATCCATTCTGGTAAAGGGCTATTAGCAAAAATATACTATTTAGTGGTGGCAGTCCTTTGTAGGCAAGGGTTGATAGTAGAGAATATTCTTAGAGACCTGGAAAATGTAAATTACAAGATCCAAAAACCATAGGTCTTAACCATCAGGAGCATGGTGGAATAATTGTCATAATGAACAGCACGATCAAAGGGATCTGGAGGGAGGGTTGTTCCACAGAGAGCTATTAGAAGTATTTTTAGGGGAGGTGTACACTGGCATCAATAAGAATATTCCTTAACGAATTCAATAAAATATCAAAATAATCATGTCCATACTGACCGTCTCTAGTCCCTTCTCCTGCTTAGTAGCGGGATGAATGAAAGACTGGGTAGAGAAATAGTGATATAAGATCGCATAGCAGACATGCTCCCTAAACTTAGCAAAGAAAACTTTAGTTTCCTTGTTCAAATCTGTCAGACTTTTCTCACATAATCCTCTGTGACATTTGAATAATATGAGCCATGTTAAAGCCAATTATGATACTTTTCACTTGCTCCTGGTTTTGACCCTAATTTCTTCACCCTCCAGTCTTACCAGAATGACCTTTGTAAAATACAAATCTCAGTAGTTTAGACTCATGTAAAACACCTAGAGATTTTCATTGCCAAAAGTAATAGTTTCCAAAAGGAGATGCATATTCTCCAGAGAATATGTAAGACAGATTCATTAGATACCAATAAAAATGTGAAAATTTATTTTTATTAAATATTATATTTTTGACTTTTAAAAATTTATATTTTTGTGTATAATTAAGACATATAATATAAAATTACTACTCTGCCTATATGTTCTACAAATAAATGCATATAAACATATATTGTTATACATCACACACTTTACTAATAAATGTTCCCAATCAAAATAATTTGAGGATCACTGACTTACAAGAAAAAAAAAATCCTCCCCCTCCCCCTCCCCCTCCCCCTCCCTCTCCCTCTCTCTCCACGGTCTCCCTCTGATGCCCAGCGGAGGCTGGACTGTAATGCCACCATCTCGGCTCACTGCAACCTCCCTGCCTGATTCTCCTGCCTCAGCCTGCCAAGTGCCTGGGATTGCAGACGCACGCCGCCACGCCTGACTGGTTTTCGTATTTTTTGGTGGAGACGCGGTTTCGCCATGTTGGCCGGGCTGGTCTCCAGCTCCTGACCTGGAATGATCCGCCAGCCTCGGCCTCCCGAGGTGCCAGGATTGCAGACGGAGTCTCAGTCACTCAGTGCTCAATGCTGCCCAGGCTGGAGTGCAGTGGCGTGATCTCGGCTCGCTACAACCTCCACCTCCCAGCCGCCTGCCTTGGCCTCCCAAAGTGCCGAGATTGCAGCCTCTGCCCGGCCGCCACCCCGTCTGGGAGGTGAGGAGCGTCTCTGCCTGGCCACCCATCGTCTGGGACGTGAGGAGCCCCTCTGCCCAGCCACCCAGTCTGGGAAGTGAGGAGCGTCTCTGCTCGGCCGCCATCCCATCTAGGAAGTGAGGAGCGTCTCTGCCTGGCCGCCCATCGTCTGAAATGTGGGGAGCGCCTCTGCCCCGCCGCCCCGTCTGGGATGTGAGGAATGCCCCTGCCCGGCCGCGACCCCGTCTGGGAGGTGAGGAGCGTCTCTGACCGGCTGCCCCGTCTGAGAAGTGAGGAGCCCCTCCGCCCTGCAACCGCCCCCTCCGGGAGGTGGGGGACAGCCCCCGCCCGGCCAGCCGCCCTGTCCGGGAAGTGAGAGCCCCTCTGCCTGGCCGCCACCCCGTCTGGGAGGTGTACCCAGCAGCTCATTGAGAACGGGCCATGATGACGATGGCGGTTTTGTCGAGTGGAAGGGGGGGAAGTGTGGGGAAAGGAAAGAGAAATCAGATTGTTGCTGTGTCTGTGTAGAAAGAAGTAGACGTGGGAGACTCCATTTTGTTCTGTACTAAGAAAAATTCTTCTGCCTTGGATGCTGTTAATCTATGGCCTTACCCCCAACCCCTTGCTCTCTGAAACATGTGCTGTGTCCATTCAGGGTTAAATGGATTAAGGGCAGTGCAAGATGTGCTTTGTTAAACAGATGCTTGAAGGCAGCTTGCTCGTTAAGAGTCATCACCACTCCCTAATCTCAAGTACCCAGGGACACAAACACTGCGGAAGGCGGCAGGGCCCTCTGCCTAGGAAAACCAGAGACCTTTGTTCACATGTTTATCTGCTGACCTTCCCTCCACTATTGTCCTATGACCCTGCCAAAATCCCCCTCTCCGAGAAACACCCAAGAATGATCAATAAATACTTAAAAAAAAAAAAAAAAAATCAAAGCTCATTAATAGGGATTAAAGATCTTTTTTTGACTTAGCCTCTGCCTGACTTTCTGTGCTTTTCTCTGCCATGGTTAGGTTCTCCTAAATGCAGGTACTAAGATAGAACCAGTGAGGAAAAGGTTTATTGGGAAGTAACACTTGTGAAAGGTAGAGGGAAGAAACAGGATTGGGCATGATGAAGACCCTACATCTCTGCCAACTCAACAACAGGAGTTAGACGAGCCCTGGGTTTGGCAGAAGTGACTCTGCTTTTATACCACTGCTTTGCTGATTTATTGGCCAGGGTCCAAGTCGAAAAGAGCATGACCTCAGCTAAAAAGCTGAGGTGGACCCTGAAGGAACAAATGGCTGGTGGCTGTAAATACCAGCATCTTAAAGGAGGATATGCATGGCACATCTCCATGTCTATTGACTACTCTCAAGTGCACTTCAACACCCTCACCCCCAGACATACAAAGTCACCTCAGTGACTCTTTATATATTTTTTTCTGCATGAAAACACATGCCTCTCAGATTCTTGGTGATTAAACCATACTGCTTGGGTTCTAATCTTAATACTTCTTAGTTCTTTGAGCTTGGGAAAATTACCACACCTCTCTGTGTATTTATAGATGATTATTTAAGTTTCCTCAACTGTAAAATGGGAATTAAAATAGAATATAACTCAGGGAGTTGTCATGTGAAGGTTAAATTGTTGATACATTAAAATGTTTTAAACAGTGCCTGCATGTACCGGATACTCAGAAAATATTACCTATTATGAAATCTCATCACTTATTCAATAAAGTATATAATTAGAATCTCCCTCAAAGTTCCCTTTGAGTATTAGGCAAACCATTATTGTAACACTTAAAAGACTGAGAGATATGCAATTTGGAAAGATATCTGGGGCTAGCTGTTTCTGCTTTATATAACATCAGCTGGTTTGGCTACTTTCAAGATGGCTCACTCATATGTCTGGCAACTTGGTACAGATTGTCAGCCTAGAGGCCATCCAGGAATGGGCTTGGAGCTTGGTTACACTCCATGTAGTTATTTCTGTGTGCTGATTAACCTTTCTTGGGCATGAAATCCCAAGAGAATCAGGCAGAAGCAGTATTGCCTTTTATGACTTAGCCTTGGAAGTCATGTAGAGTTATTTCTGCTGTAGCTGTAGAGCTGTCCTACAGGCTCCCCTACAAGGGAAGAAGTTTCAAAGTCACATTATAAAAAGAGGATTTTGGGATTTATCACTGAAGCCATTTTTGGAAAATGCAGTTTGCCATAGGTGTGGTGTGGCCATCATCTTGTTGGTAGTTTCCCAAATTTCATAAAATAACAACAATGACAACAACAACAACAGAAAACCATTGAGTATCATTGCAAGGAAGTAGGTGATTAAGTGATGAAATCATTGAAATAAACAAAATCTAATATAGGAAGAGGCTTAAATATAAAATGCTGGCCAAGTGCAGTGGCTCACATCTGTTAATTCCAACATTTTGGAAGGCCAAGGCAGGCAGATCACCTGAGGTCAGGGGTTCGAGACCACCCTGGCTAATATGGTGAAACCTCATCTCTACTATAAATACAAAAATCAGCCAGGCACGGTGGTGCATGCCTGTAATCCCAGCTACTCGGGAGGCTGAGGCAGGAGAATCGCTTGAACCTGGGAGGTGGGAGTTGCAGTGAGCCGAGACTGTGCTTCTGCACTTCAACCTGGGCAACACGGCGAGACTCTGTCTCAAAAAATAAATAAATAATAAAATAAAATAAAATAAAATGCCTAGGGATGCTGACAAGATATAAAAATCTCTTCCTGGCTGGGCAAAGTCGCTTATGCCTGTAATCCCAGCACTTTGGGAGGCCGAGGGGGGCGAATCACCTGAGGTCAGGAGTTCAAGACCAGCCCGGCCAACATGGCGAAACCCTGTCTCTACGAATAATACAAAAATTAGTCAGGCATGGTGGTGGGTGCCTGTAATCCCAGCTACTCCTGAGGCTGAGGCAGGAGAATTGCTTGAATCCAGGTGGCAGAGGTTGCAGGAAGCTGAGATAGTGCCATTGCACTCCAGCCTGGGCAACAGATTGAGACTCCATCTAAAAAAAAAAAAGAAGAAAAGAATCTCTTCCTCCTTTTCTTTGACCCTATGTGCTCTACCTTGAAGTTGTGAACAGCGTACATACGAGGTGGCTATAGTGAATTTTGTTGTATGGCAGCAAATGAAAAGCATCAAAAGTTCATGATGACTACACTAACAATACCCACACAGATTGCTGTGCCCATTTTTCCACATTTTGTTACCTGAATCTCACCTAAATGCATGATCCACTGAAACCAACCAAAAATGTAAATAAATGTGAATGAAACATTTCCATATCTCTACATAAAAGATAAGGTAACTGAAACTCTGCTAGTTAGTGAAAGAACCAGTCATAGATAAAACATCTTTTGATTTCTAAACTTTGCTATTTATACCTTACCACTTATATGATTATAACCTTCTGTTTGTGATTTTAAGCCCCTGTATCCTGGACTCTTAGTTTAACTATTTGAAATAAATTTAAAAAATTCCATTACCAATTGTTTCTAATAGTGACCTCTCACGTCACAAAGTGTCTCTCTATTGTGGCACTTAATTCATTTGACTCGTTATCATTGGTTGTACACATCTGCCTCAAATTTCACTGTAAATTTTCTGACAGAGAAATTGTTCTTTGTAAATCATTTTGTGATTCCACAGAGTGAAACACGGTGATTAGCACATACATTTATTATATTGATTTGCTAGAAGCTCAAATTAAAAATACATTATCAACTGGTTTAGTTCAGAGGCTTTAGAGGTATGATCCGTTTTTTAAAACTTGTTGTTTATTATCATTATTTCCTATATAGCATAGTAGTTAAGGCACAGAACATGGAGTTAAAATAGCTGGTTTGCATCCAGACTCTGCCACTTACTATCTGCGAGACTCTTAGAAACATTTCTAAACTTTTTTTGCTTAGGTTTTATCATTTGTAAAGGAGCAGTTATAACAATAGCACTCCACATGTTGTGAAGAGTAAATGATTTAATGTTCGTAAAACTATTAGGACATTATGTGGCACATAGTTAAACACTTTGTATTGCTATTTTAATTGCTGATTTTTTCCTTGGCATCTCTAGAGAAGTCACAATGCTTCCTATGAACACTTCAATGATACTTGTTCCATGGCAAGAGTACTGGTTATATACTTGTGCTTAACTTTTTAAAAAATAATCTTATATACTGGGCTTTCTTTTTCTTTATGCTCCTTGTGGCTTCTTATTAACAGTGAGGTCTGGAAGGTACGTGCATATCTCAACCAAAGGTTACTAATTGATGGGGAAGCATTTGCATCAAGATACTGGTTCTAAAAACTGTGTGTTTAGAGGACATGCTGCTTTCTCCATAATGGAGCCAAGTGACCTACATGAGACAAATAGTTATCTACATTTCCCACCTATTGCTGTTTTTGATTGCTTTCCATTTTGCTCTTTTGCAGGAAGCCTTTCCAGTTTGCTCTTTTGCAGGAAGAGTAAGTTTGCAAAAACCATCTGGCAACAGCAAGGCTTTCCCTTGTTTAATGGAGTGTTAAACACAGTCTGAGCTGGAGGCTTTGGAAAAAGATAAATTCACCATATGAAATAAAAAATGGGAAACTGGCTCACTTTCTGGGTGAGGGAAATGATTAACTCATTTATTTGGTCACCATACAAAATAAAAAATGGGAAATTGTCTCATTTTTTGGGTGAGGGAAATGATTAACTCATTTGTTTGGTCAGTCTTTCAGCAAGCATGTTTTGAATGTCTGCTCAGAACTTCTCTTGGGTACAGGGGTTGCCGGATTGGATACATATTATGAAGGCTTTCCTCCCAAAAAAATTATTTTAGCAAAGGAGATTTTAAAAATTCTCTCATATAATCTAGCTAAGATATATCCAAATGCATAACCTCTTTGGTCAGACAAAAACCTGAGATTTCAATTTGGTGCAAAAATTGAACAGGGAACTGTGATCAGGCAATTATGTGTTTGGGGGTCAATTACCCCACATTTAAGCTGGGCTGCCTACTTGTGACCAGGTAGAAATTTATCAGTGTCTCGGGACTGTAAAGAAACATAAAGAGATTATGGAGTCCAAACTTAAGTAATTCACTATAAAGTAAAATAAAATAAAAAAACAATCAAGCCCCTCTTCTTAGAATGCTAAGATCTTTCTCTTTCCCCTTTCAAGCCCTCATTCACAGACACACGCCTTGCAATTTTCTTAATCCCTGGTGAGCGGGCTTGTGACATTGTTACTGGGCTCCTGACCTAGAAGAAAGGAGACACATCACTGAAACTGTCACACATCACTGAAACTGTCACACACCAGAGAAACTATTGAGTTTACCAGAGACAGTAATATTGATAATTGGAAGGAACACTGAACCCTGTGTCAGGGTGAGGTTCCCAAGAGGCAAAGTTAAGTAGTAGAATTCTGTAAACTACCTTCGAAGGAAAATGAGTCTTGATTTGGTGTGTGGGATATAAAAATTTGGGGACAGAGCTAGATTGCTCAGAACAATAGAGTGGCTACATGCTTCTGTGAGCATCCCACAGAGAGAACTCAGCCAACTTCTGAAAATAAATGGCAATAGGTATCTCTGACTAGCATTAACTAAGTAGCAGAAACTGTTCTAATGTTTTACATGTATTTACCCTTTCAATCCTCACAAAAAATAATCTGTGAGGTAGGGGTTATTGTTATCATTCCCATTTTAAAAATGAGAAAACTGAAGCCCACAGAGTTTAAATAACTTGCTCAAAGTCAACATGGCTAGTGAAGGCAAAGTCTGAATTTGAACCTGAGCAATCTGGGTCCAGAGTCTGAGCTCTTAACCACTCAGGAAGTTGACTGTAAATGTTGTCAAAAATTTAAACAATGTTATCTTGAAGGAGTATCCAATGTATTAGCCTATTCTGAAAATCAGCTTCTATTTATGCTTTAAATATGAATTGAGGTCTCTCCTACTTGAAGATGTGCTTCTTGGACCATTTCAGGTTACATTAGGTATAACCTAGGAAGAATAACCTCCTTTCATTCTGGCCAGAAGATCTAGAATGTCTTGATGTCAGGACTGTTACTTACCTATTTGAATTTTTTATACTTGACGTAGCATTGGGAACTGAAAAACTGTCTTCCTTTCATGGCTAGATAGAGCACTGAGAGCCAGTTGACGTAAGTTAGATTGAATTGAATTTATGCTTCCTTCTGAGTGTGATCAGCAAGTACCCCTAAAACATTTTCTAGTTTTCCCTTGCTTCATCTTTCCTATATTATGATTTTTCAGTTAAGACAGAATTATGGGCGTGGTGTTTAATCTTGCTCATTCTTATTTTCCATCATTAGAGTTTTACTCAAATACCAGATGATCTCTTTTCATAAGCACTTTATTCTATGATCTTAATGACCTTCCTCTCTCTGTCTCTCATCCACTCAAATGCACATGCATGCACACAAGCACACACACTCACACGTCCAACTCAGTCCTTTTTAAACATAACCATTTTAGAGTCATTTACTTTATTAACCAAACAGTAATTGAGCATGTAGTATGTGAGAAACACTACACTGGGGTCTATAAATGAAGTTGAATAAGACAAGGTTCTTTATCCCAGAGGTGAGAGTAGGGAACAGAATTGAGGTCTTGCATCAGCCTTGAATTTTAGAAAGGTAACTCTCTTAGAAGCGTAAAGAAGTGATTGAACCATATATACATAGAGAGTGAGGGGCAGGATGGGGAGCTGTGAGATCAGGAAAGTAGTTATGGTAATAAATCAGGTAAGAGAAAAACTTGGCCTCAAGGTAAAGCTCTCAGAAAATGGAGTAGGGATGGCTCCAATAGCTATTTCACAATTGGATTTATATTCTACATATTCTTTCAGATTTTTATGTTCTCATATATCAAGTATGTCATTTATGAGCAGCACAGAGCTGTCTTTTAAAAATAAATTTAATAAAAAATATATTTTTATTAATGATAATAATACATCAGTAAGTACTGGTATATTTAGACTTGATGCTTATCTTACTATTTTTTTCTACTTGTTTCATATGCTTATTTTTACTTTCATTTTTTCTTTTTTATTAAATCAAGTTATTGTTTCTTATGTATCCCCATTATCCATTAGTGACTAGCACAAAGTAGTACTCAATAGCTCTTTAAAAATCTTTAAGTAAACTCTTTATTGGAGGATAATGTATATACAGACACCTGCACAAATGATAAAGTTACTACTTGAATGATCATTGGTTTTAACGCTTTTCATTGTCTTCAGTTTTCCTGTTTAGATATAAACACTGTATTTAATCATGATGATTTTCTCAAAATGTAAATCTATCACATCGTTTCCCTTTTTTTAAGCATCGTTCTTTTTATCATTTGTGGGACAAAGTCCAATTTCTGTAATGTTAATTATAAGGCACTTCATGATCTGATGTGCCTCTGCAATCTCAACTTTATCTGCATGATTTTGTTTTATAAGAATAAAGATCATTTAAAAAATGTCTTCAGTAACCTTTTCCAGAATATGAGCCTTTGTGTTTGCTGTTCTGTCATTCTAGACTAATCTATCTTTCATAATACCTTCCTATTTGTTTTAATCTTCTGACTCCTATTCAGATATTATTATAACGGTCAGTTATTCTGAGATACTTTTCTTTACCTAGTAACTAAATTTTTTCCCTGCTGCAAAAGCATTTTACTCTATCCTTTTTCTGATTACACCTTATAAAAATTATTCATCTAGTTGGCTGTTTTCCCAGACTAATATATTTAATGTCGGAGATTGTACCTATCTTGTTCAACATCACCCTATTCTTAGAGGCTAGCATAGTTCCAAGCACATATAAAATATTTGTTCATGAATGAATGTTGAAATAATAAAAGCTCCCAGAGGCAATGGTTTCCAAAGTTAGATGAATCCAATATAAATTATTACATTTTCAAAGTCTTTTTATGTTAATAGTTTCAGGAAACCATTTTAATTGAAATGTCTAATTTAGATTGCAAATATAAAGAGCTTTGGTGGGAAAATAGGCCAGGTTAACATATAAAGTTCATGGCTCTACAAAGAGACTTGAAACTTTTAGTTAGCAGTTGCTGACTACCACATGAATTCGACTAGATAAGATTACCAGAAAAAGACATGTTTTGGTAAATGCACTCTGAAAACTTTGAATCTAGAGGTAATTAAAGTCAGTAATTGTAAGTGGGCCTTCTTGTACATTGAAAGCATTTATAATCCACTTAAACATGCTTTTAGATTTTTAAAATCTATATATTCTAAAGTTTTCATCCATAAAATTGCTTTCAGATATTCAGAAAGCAATAAGCCAACTTTGCAAAACCTTTGAAAAGGACATTGAAATTTTTAAAGTTATAAATGGGATAAATTTATATAACATTTACATAAATTACCTTAAAAAGGAACTTTTAAGAAGGAAAAATGTTCTGTTTTCAATTAAATATTGAAATGATATCAGATTAACTGATATAGTTAACTTAATTTGAACTATATCAGCTTAAAGTCATGACTCTTTTCTACTCCAAAGGCCACTGTCACTGCCTTCATAATCTGCCTATTTAAAATTAACAACATATTTGGATGAATTTTAAAGTATCTTACATACCAATTCACTATCTTACTTTAGCATAATTTATATGAATATAATTTTAATTTAATATTCTTTGAATGCCAATTATGCTTATGCTCTGGGCAGAAGCACACAGATCTATAAAATATAGTACCTGCCCGCAAAAAATTGATAAATCTAGTTCAGAAAAATGTATGCCTTGTATAAAGAAGACAAAATGACTAGGGCAGAGAATGATAAGAGTGGCACTGATAGTGTCCTGGTTTATGCATTTTAAAATAATGATTAAGTCATATATCGATATCAAATGTTCATTTGTATCAGTCAGAGTCCAAGAAGGAAGCACATTCCAAAGGTTAATCCGAGGAAAGCTTAATGAAGGACACATTTATAAAAATGTGTGCATGGAAAAGGGAGCCAATAAAGAATGACAAAGTACCCAGATACTAGCAACAGTGGGAAAATCTCGTAATCTCTTGGCCTGAAGGGTCAAGGGTGGAAACGGTTGCTGTCAGAATCTGGAAAGATAGCAGTGAAAGAAAGTTCCCTAAGAGGAGCTGGTAAAGAATTTAGGCACTGCTAAATCATCACCTGGCACACAATTGTGGGATGTAGAAGCATAAATACTCAGCACTCCATACCCTCCTGAACCTTGCTTTCTTGTATTTCCGTTGGTCAATTCAATAAGAAGCAGAGGTCAAGGAAGCCCAGGAGATATAGTTGGTTGATGTCAGCTTCTGAGGGCATATGGCAGGACCAAGAAAAGTAGAGAATGGATTTGGAATAACACATCCTTTTATGAAAACTGTGTGTGTGTGTGTGTGTGTGTGTGTGTGTGTATATACATACATATATATATACATATATACACATACATATATACATATATACACATATACACATATATACACACACACAGTTTTCATAAGTGTTTATGAACACAGTGTATATATGTATATATGTATATATGTATATATGTATGTGCATATATGTATGTGTATATATGTATGTGTATATATGTGTATGTATATACATATATATACACACACAGTTTTCACAAAAGTGTTTATGAACACAGTGTAAAAGTGTTCACTTTTCATCATATCCTTGCCAACACTTGCTATTTCTTGTCTTTTTAATAGCAGCCATGCTAATGGGTGTGAGATGGTATCTTTTCGTGAATTTGATTTGCAATTCCCTGGTGATTAGTGATATTGAGCACCTTTTCATTCACCTGTTGCTCATTTTTATATGTGCTTTAGAGAAATGACTATTGAGGTCCTTTGCCCATGTTTAAACCACATTACTTTTTTTTTCCTATTGAGTTCTGCGAGTTACTTATGTATTTTGGATAGTAATCCCTTGTCAGGTATATGGTTTGCCAATATTTTTTCACAATCAATAGGCTGCTTTTTAATTTTGTTGATTGTTTTCTTTGCTGTGCAGAAGCTTTTCGGTTCGATGTATCCCCACGTGTTTGTTGTTGTTGTTGTTGTTGCCTGAGCTTTTGGTGTACATATATTAAAAAAAAATAAATCATTGCCCAGGTCAATGTCAAAGAGTGTTTCTCTTATGTTTCCTTCCAGGAGTTTTATGGTTTCATGTATTGCATTTAGGTTTGTAATCTGTTTTGAGTACATTTTTGTGTGTAGTGTAAGATTAAGGTCTAACTTCATTCATATGCATGTGGATGTCCATTTTACCCAATACGGTTTGTTGAAGAGATCATCCTTATCCTGTTGCGTCTCCTCGGTGCCCTTATCATAAATAAGTTGACCATATATGTTCAGGTTTATTTCTGGGCTCCATTCTGCTCCATTGGTCTATGTCTGTTTTTAACCAGTAACCATGCTGTTTCGACTACTACAGATTTGCAATATAATTTGAAATCAGGAAGCGTAAAGTTTCCAGTTTTGTTCTTTTTGCTCAAAGTTGCTTTGGCTTCTTGAGGTCTTTTGTGGTTCCATATGAATCTTATAATAAATATTTCTATTTCCATGAAAAGCACCACTGGAATTTTGATAGAGATGGCATTGAATCTGTATATTACTTTGGGTAGCATGGATATTTTAATAATATTAATTCTTCCAGTGCATTAACATGGGATATCTTTACATTTTTGTGTGTTTTATTTAATTTCTATCATTCACATTTTATAGATTTAAGTGTGTAGTTCTTTTATCTCCTCGGTTAAATATATTCCTAAGTATTTTATTCTCTTTGGTGCTATTATAAATGGGATGCTTTTCTTGATTTCTTTTTTAGATAGGTCATTATTGTTGTAGGGAAATGCAACTGATTTTTGTATGTTGATACTGTATCGTGAAACTTTACTGAATTTACTTAATAGTGCTAACAGTTTTCCTCTATGTCTTTTCAGGGTTTTTCTCCATAATATAGTGTCATCAGCAAACAGGTATAATTTTACTACTTCCTTTTCAATTTTGATGCCTTTATTTCTTTTTATTGTCTGATTGCTCTTGCTAGTACTTCCGATACTACATTAAATAGCTGTGGTGAGAATGGGCATCATTTCCTCATATTGGATATTATATGAAAAACTTTCAGTTTTTTCTTATTGATTATGATGTTAGCTAGGGATTTTTATAAATGACGTTTATTATCTTGAGTAAATTTCTTTCTATACAGAAATTGTTGATAGTTTTTATCAATAATGTTGCTAAACTTGTATCAAGTGCTTTCTCTGCATCGATTGATGTGATCATTTGGTTTTATCTTTCGTTCTGTTAATGTGGTATATCACAGTGCTTGATTTACCTATGTGAAACCACCCTTATACCCTGGGATAAATCCCACTTCGTGATACTATAGAATTTTTTAATGTTTATTTTTATTGAATAATTTAATCAATTTACATTTGAGGTAATTATTCACATAAGAACTTAATATTGCCATTTTGTTCATTGTTTTCTGACTGTTTTGTAGATTCTCTGTTCCTTTCTTGATGTCTTCCTTTGTGATTCAGAGATATTTTGCAGTGGGCATGCTTTGATTCCTTTCCCTTTGTCTTTTGTGTATCTATTATAGATTATTGCTTCGTGGTTACCATTATGCCTACATAAAATATCTTATAGCTATACCTGACTATTTTGGGCTGATGATGGTTTAATTTCAATTGCATACAAAAAACTATACTTTTGCTTTCTCCCACATTTTATGTTCTTAATGTCACCATTTACATCTTTTTATACAGTGTATCCAGTAATAAATTATTATAGCTACATTTATTTTAAATAATTTAATCTTTTTACCACTATACTAGGGTTGTGTAATTTGTACACCACCATTACGGTATTATAGTATTCAAAATTTGACTATATATTTCCCTTTATTAACGAATTAAATAGTTTCATATGTTTTTATGTTAGTAATTAGCCTTCATTCATTACTGCTTGAGGAATTTTCTTTAGTGTTCCTTGTGAGACAGTGGTAGCGAACTCTCTTATCTTGTGTCTGTCTGAGAAGCAAGGCATATCTTCTTCATTTTTGAAGCATGTCTTTGCCAGATATAGTAGTCTTATTTATTTATTTAGTTAGTTCATTATTTTATAGAGATAGGGTCTTATTCTGTTGCTCAGGCTGTAGTGCACTGGTGTGATCATAGCTCACTGTAGCCTCAAGCTCCTAAGCTTAAGTGATCCTCTCACCTCAGCCTCTCGAGTAGCTCGGACTACAGTCGTTTGTCACCACACCTAGCTATTTTTTTCTTTTCTGTAGAGACAGGGTCTCACTATGTTGCCCAGGCAGGTTTCAAGCTCCTGACCTCAGGATTCCTCCCACCTCAGCCCGCCACTGAAGAGGCTTTTGCTATGAGAGGAAATACACTTAATCTTTTCAGTGACGTGAACTTTAGGAAACCAAAGCAATCATTTCTAAAGCCTCTGAGAGGGGAAAACCTCATAGTGAGATAGTGGCAGAGCCATGAAAAGCATCACAATATTCTGACTCTGTTTCTAGGATTTCAGAGTGCATATAGATTTGAAAAAGATCTCTAAAAATTCTGTCAAATAGTCAATCAGTTATTAAGCATCTCTGCAAGGTCAAATGCTTTGGGCTTTGGGACATGGACAAAAAGATTATTGCTGGTTTTGAACAAAAATCCTAGATCCTAGAGACTGCTTCTCAAACCATATTACTTCAAGATGCAATGACTCAGCTACACTGATATATATATATATATATATGTGTGTGTGTGTGTGTGTGTGTGTGTGTGTATATATGTATATATGTGTGTATATATGTATATATATGTGTATATATATGTGTGTATATGTATGTATATATACACAATGTTATATACTGTATATATGTGTATTTCTGGATCAATCAGTGAGTACATTATATTTTAATAAGGAAGCATACTTTGGAAATTGATTGTCAGAATTTTGCTTGATAAATACAAAGCCACCACAGAGAACATGATATTAAAAGAAGCCTTCAATAATGCTGACACCTAATAAGGAAAGATTTGCCATGGCTCATTTCCTGTGACTCTGACTTATTGTTACTCTTGGTCCCACTTTTTTCTAATTATCATGTAATAGAAACTTCTACCATGACAAATGCCTTCCTTTCACCACGAATTTGGAGATAAGAGAAATAAAGTAGTTCTTTAGCTTAAACTAACAGATTCAGCATCTGCTGGATGAGGACAGAATGTTTTTTAGGCTTAAAAACTCAAATGTAATAATACACTAAGACACAGAGGTAACATAACAGAACAATATTTAGAGAAACAAATTTTATGACAGCACCATCATGCAGAAAAGAGGAGAGAAAAAGAGACATGTAATCAGATTTGACTGGTGTATGTGTGTGTGTGTGCATGTGTGTGTACGTGTGTGTGCATGTGTGTGTTTTTGTGCGTGCATGTGTTTGTGTGCATGTGTGTGTGTGCGTGTGCATGTGCATGTGTGTGTGCATGTGTGTGTGTGTGTGCTCATGCACATATCCACTGACAGTGGGTGCTGAGTATCTTCCTTACTGCAAGGACAGCAGGTGTGCAAAATATATTAAAATCAATTTATCATGGCCTATAAGCTAGTCCTGAGTCTAAATAGAAACTAGCTACTTAAAAAATCATCTACCAAAAATTACATAACTTAACAAATTATTCTGTTGGCCAACCTTGTGCATTTAGTTTGTAAGAGTTGAAGACCTATTAATTCTAGTCTAAATAAACAATATATTTATCAGTCCTCTCAGAGACTGCTTTTTAAACACGTGTATCTATATTCTTGGTCAATATTTTCTTTACTATTTTAGCTCTAAAAAGCAAACTCTAAGAGTGGTATAATTTTTGAAGTCAAAATATAGATATAATATATTTTTCAGTGAGTCTGAAGACAGTGTGTTTATAGAACATGGCACAGAATTTATAAATGTTGTGCAAATAAATGTGGGGTTAAAAGCTCCCTGGAGTCAGTTGTTGGGAGAAAAGTCCAGGTAATTTTATAAATCTTTCTCATTTTTATTTCTAATTAATCTAGCATGTTTCCTTTTCCTTAACAGGCATTTTTTTTTCCAGTACATTCTACTGGAAATTTATATAGAGAAGAAGCATAACTGAGGACAATTCCCAACTGGCCTGACTTCCTATTAAAGAGGAAGAAGAAACATTTGCTACTTTTGTTTTATAAGATAAATTAATGCTCCAGACCTATCTATGTAGCCTGTGTTTTCACTCAGTGCCTCTGACATGAATTTCCTTTAACCAGATTTGAAATTCCTTTATTTCACTGTGTAACATCTTCAGGTGTTGATTGAAACATGTATTTGGATGGAAAATGAAATGGGATGATTTTGGCCAAGCCAATTACCTCTTTGCACAGAAACACAATTCAATTGTTATTGAATCAAGCATACCAAATGGAAAATTTTACAATGATTGATAATAGAGTTAATAGAAAAGTTAAGTTTCGGGCTCTTAAAGAAAAAGACACCGCACCTCTTTAAAGGATAGAAAAAAATGCTAGAAAAGTGCTTAAGTCCAGACCATCTTTTTGCCAACTAAAAGACTCACCTTTTCAGCAAGGCAATTGTATGTTTAATATATCTAGCAATACTGTGGATTATTTGATGCTCTACATCAGAATCTAGCAGTTATATAGAGGATGACCCCTGAGCTATTAAGCAGTCTGCAAATTCTGCCATGTGAGGGAGAATTTTAGAAAGTAGGGATGCCTCAAAAGTAACTTTCAACATTGTCCTTTTAGCTTCACTCATTCTCAACATTTTAATTTAGGTCAACATTATCTTTGACTTGGACTTTATAGTATCATGCTATTTGTCTTTCCGCCTCTAACTTCGCGGTATCATCAGTCACTCACTTTGCTATTTTAGCTATCTTTCTTTTTTTTTTTTTTACATTTTTTTTTATTATACTTTAAGTTTTAGGGTACATGTGCACATTGTGCAGGTTAGTTACATATGTATACATGTGCCATGCTGGTGTGCTGCACCCACTAACTCGTCATCTAGCATTAGGTATATCTCCCGATGCTATCCCTCCCCCCCTCCCCCCACCCCACAACAGTCCCCAGAGTGTGATGTTCCCCTTCCTGTGTCCATGTGTTCTCATTGTTCAGTCCCCACCTATGAGTGAGAATATGCGGTGTTTGGTTTTTTGTTCTTGCGATAGTTTACTGAGAAATCTGTTAAAATTACTTCTCTTGTTGTAACTGTTACATGGCAATCTATTAACTTTTAATGAAAGTGCTGTCTCCTTTGCATGATTGCACAAGAGATTCCATAATTTGCTTTCCATCTATATTGCTAGTCTATTCTTCCTTCTTTATTCTATCCTCCAGTAATATGTAACTACCTGTTCTTTGACAAATCCTCCGTGCAAATGCGTGTCCCTACTTTCTGTGTCTGAAAAAAACTTTAAATACAGAAAAGTGTGAAATACAACATAAAAGAAAAACAACAAACTAACCATTAATTCCACTGACCCTTATATAAGGGTATAACACTTATATATGGTACGCATAACATATATAGATTAACTATATATATAATATATATGAGTTTAAAGGGCAAAATGTAGATTATTTTACTCCTTAAGAAAACATCAATATCCTTAGAACTATATTAACACTGAACATCTCTGACTTCATTTCTATTATTTTCTGTCATTTTATTTCTATATTTTTAAACATAGTTATAGTTAATGTTATTATTCTTCAACAAGGATTTACTAAAAATCATTTTGGCTCCTGATTGTTTTATGGATTTTAAAACGTTTCTCTATGTTCACTATTCCTTTCTTCTAGAATATATCTTTTAGTAGTTATTATAGCAATTATCTAATAATCATCATCATTCTTACTTTTGTATATCTAAAGGTACCATTTTTTGTCACTAATCCTTGACCGTTTAACAGGGACAAAATTAAAGATTTGTAGTAGTTTTACCACAGGTAAAAAATCTCACCTCAATGATCTTTTGACTAATAAAAGGGTATGTGATTCTAGATTTGCAATGATTTTGCTCAATGACATTGAGACAACATTTCTGAGATTAGTGAAACTTTGTCACGATTTATTATCTTCTGTTTTTCATACATTGTTGGATTCTATTTTCCAGAATTACGGGTGGTATTTTTACATGTACATTCTTGAGGGGGAATGGACTGTAATTGCCTTTTACTATATTGTCAGTTTGGTTTTGTTATGAAGTTTACAATGGTTACAAAGTTTTCAAAGTAATACAAGTTATGTGAGAAATTAAAGTACAATAAAAAATTATGTGTTAGTCTGTTTTACACTGCTATAAAGGAATACTTAACACTAGGTCATTTATAAAGAAAACAAGTTTATTTTGGCTTACACTTTTGCTGGCTGTGCCAGAAGCATGGTGTCAGTACCTGCACCAGTTGAGGGCTACCAGAAGCTTCCAATCATGGCAGAAGCTGAAGGAGGAGCAATCATGTCACATGGCAGGATGGGGAGAAAGAGAGAGAAGGGGGAGATCCCAGTCTCCTTCACACAACCAGATCTCGTGTGAGCTAATGAGTAAGAACTCATTACCAAGAGGATGATGTTAAGTCATTCATGAGAGATCTGCCCGCATGATCCAATACCTCCCACTGTGCACCACCTCCAACACTGGAGATTATATTTTTAACATGAGATTTGGAGGGGACACACATCCAAACCATAACATTCCATCCCTGGTCCCCCAGATCTTATATAATTCTCACATTGCAAAATACAATAATCTTTTCCCAACAACCCTCCAAAGACTTAACTCATCCCAGCATTAAGTTCAAAGTCCTGAGTCTCATCTGAGACTCAAGCAAAGTTACTTCCACCTATAATCCTGTAAAACGAATATGAATTATTTAATCCCAAGACACAATAGTGGTGCAGGCATTGAGTAGACATTCCCATTCCAAAAGACAGAAATTGGTCAAAACAAAGGAGCAATAGGCCCCATGCAAGTGTGAAAATTAGCAGGGCAGATATTGAACATTAAAGTCCAAAATAATCTCCCTTGACTCCGTGTCTCACAGCCTGTGCACACTGGTACAAGGACTGGGCTTCCAAGGCCTTGGGCAGCTCGGTCCCTGTGGCTTTGCAGGGTGCAGCCCCTATGTCTGGTGTTTGTTCCCCAAACAAATGGATTGGAGTTGAGTGCCTTCAGCTTTTCCAGTCTCAGGATGCAAGGTGCCTATGGCTCTACAATTCTGGGACCTGAAGGGTAGCAGCCCATTTCCCACAGCTCCACTAGGCAGTGCCCCACTGGAGACTGTGTGGGAGCTCTGACCCCACATTTCTCCTTGGCACAGCCCTAGTAGAGTCTCTCTGTGGGGGCTCTGCCCCTGCAGGAGGCTTCTACCTGGGTACCAGGGCTTTCCAAAACGTCTTCTGAAATCTAGGGGGAGGTTGCCAAGCCTCTCTCAGACTCACATTTTGTGTGTCTGCAGACTTAACACCATGTGGAAACTACCAAACCTATGGCTTGTGCCATCTGGAGTGGCAGCCTGAGCTGTTCTGGGGCCCTTTGAGCTGGAGCTGGAGCTGGAGCTGGAGCTGGAGCTGGAGCAGCTGGAGCTGGAGCAGCCAGAATGTGGGGAGCAATGTCTCAAGTATGAGCAGGGCAATGGGGCCCCAGGCCTGGGCCCTGAAACCACTCTTTCCTCATAGATCTCTGTGCTTGTGATAGGATGGGCTGTCTTCAAGATCTTGGAAATGCCTTCAAGGCCTTATTCCTACTGTTTTGGATATTAGCACCTGGCTCCCTTTTACTCAAGCCAATCTCTCTGGCAACCGTTGCTCTGCAGCCTGCTTAGATTCTTCTCCTGAAAAGACTCTTTGCTTCTCTATCACAGGGCCAGGCTTCACGTTTTTTCAAATTTCTATTCTCTGCTTCTCTTTTAAATATAAGTTCCAACATTAAGTAATTTCTTTGCTCCAATATATGATTGTTGGCTGTTAGAGGTAGCCACACAGCATCTTGAAAGCTTTGCTGGTTAGAAATTTCTTCAGCCAGTTACCCCAAGTCATCCCTCTCAAGGTCAAACTTCCTCAGATTCCAAGGACATGGACATGATGCAACCAAGTTCTTTGCTCTGGTTCCTAATAACTTCCTCATTTTCATCTGATCCCTCATCAGTCTGGCCCTCACTGTCCATATTTCTATCAGCATTTTGGTCATAACCACTTAACCAGTCTCTAAGATGTTCCAAACTTTCCCTCATTTTCCTATCTTCTTCTGAGCCTTCCAAACTCTTCCAACTTCTGTCTAATACCCTATTCCAAAGACGTTTCGCATCTTCAAGGACTGTTATAGCAATATCCCACTCCTTGGTACTAATTTTCTGCATGAGTTTGTTTTGCACTGCTATAAAGGAATACCTGAGACTCAGTCATTTATAAAGCAAAGAGATTTATTTTGGCTTATAGTTCTGTATGTACCTGGGCACTCAGGCGTTCCTCCTAGACCTCTGGTCCTGTGATGGGAGGGGCTGTCTCCATGGTCTTGGAAATGCCTTCAAGGACTTATTCACATTGTCTTGGCTACTAGGACTTGGCTCCCTTTTACTCATGTTAATCTCTCTAGCAATGGTTGCTACGCAGCCTGCTGGCACTCTTCTCCTGAAGATGCTCTTCCCTTTTCTACCACAGGGACAGGCTGCAAGAAGCATAGTAGCAGCATCGACTCCTGGTGAGGGCCTCAGGACACTTCCAATAAAGGCAGAAGACAAAAGGGGAGTCATTTTGTCACAGGGTAAGAGAGGGAGGAAGAAAAAGAAAGGGGAGGCCCCAGGCTCTTTTACACAACCAGATCTTGTGTGAAATGAGTGTGAACTCAATCATTACTAAGGGGGTGGCACTAAGCCAATCATGAGGGATCAGCCCCATGATCCAGCACCTCCCACTAAGTCCCACCTTCAACATTAGAGATTATATTTCAACATGATATCTTGAGGGGAAAAACATCCAAACAATATCAGGTTATGACACTTTCACAAAATAATTTGGAAGCTATTCTTTTTTTTTCTGTGTTCTGTAAATATTTTTATAAATTGCAGTTATCTATTTCTTAAATGTTTGGCAAAACTTACCTGTAAAGCAGGTTATTACTTTTATTGTTATTACTGTTTTTATTAGTTTCTAACTTTTAAAATGAACTTCCATTGATTTATTGTATTGTGGTCACAAGATGTGGTTTACATGATGCCAGTCTTTTGACATTTGTTGAAACTAGTTTTATGGCCAAGTACATGGCATATTTTCCTAACAGTTTCTGACATTTTAGTAGACTTTGTGTTTTCCAATAAAAGGACTCAAGGTTTTAAAAGTGTTCACCAAAAAAAATTTGTTAATAGAAGTATTCACATCTTACATATCCTTATTCATTTTCATCTATTTAGTGTGATTATCCCTGAAAGAATCATGCTAAAATTTCTTACTAAAATGGTGGTATTGTTGTTCACATCTCTTTGTTGACCTGTCAATTTTTACTTTAATTTGAGGTTTTGTTATTAGGTGCATATTACATTAAAATTGCTATGTCAATCTGATCATTGCTGTGTAATCCTGATGATTCAGTCGTTTATCTTTATTTCTAATGATGCTCTTTACCTGAACATCTGCAGTCAGCCGTCTGTGTCTGTGGGTTTTGCATCAGTAGATTCAACCAACTGTGGGTTGAAACCTGCAGATATGAAGGGCTGATTGTGCTATGCCATTTCATATGAGGGACAAGATGTGATCACCCTTGATAACTGATGATGTTCCTCAGGAAACATCAGGCTCCTCAGAGGAGAGAAAGTACCATCCCCCAGGTGAGAGAAGGAGCCAGCTGGGCTTCCTGGGTCGAGTAGGGGCTCAGAAAGCTGTGAAACTCACTCATTTCTTGCATCAGGACTTCCTTCGGTCCTGGATGAATAATATTGAAGATATATACTTAAAATATTCCTAACACCAGGATTTGTGCATGTGTTTTCTTCCCCAAGAAAGCTATAAACAGTAAAAATTTTGCTCTAAGTTTCCCTGTGTCCTCTCTCCCTCTCTCCCTTCGCCCTCCCCTAAAACTAAAAGGAATGTTAACTGCACATTTTTCTGTGACCAGCAGACCTTATCTATGCTCCCAATTCCAATTCCTTGTGAACATACTTTGTAAAGTCCTGTAAGATCCTGTCTCCTTTGCCAGGCTGCTGCAAGGTCATAAAGTAAATAAAACCTAAGTTATAATTCTGGTTTTCCTCAAAATCTAAGACATGTCACAAAATAATTTACTGCCTTTGTTTCTCGCTCTGGTAACATCTTCCCTCTGCACATATTTCCCGCCTTAAAGAGTTTAAAAGGCAACTGCATAATTGAACTCTGGCTACCCACTCGGGACCCCTTCCACGCTGTGGAAGCTTTGTACTGTCACTGCTCGATAAAGCCTACAGCTTTTTCTTCTCTTGGTCCCTGTCTCCACCACTCGCCGCGGGCAGCCGCCACACCAATTCTTTGACTAAGGCAAGAACCTTTGGCATTACACAGGTGCTGTCCAATCACCTCGACGTGCTGTCAGCAAGACTCCTGTTAAATTGTGTTAGCCATAATTTCCATTAACCCTGTTTTCTTTTAGTAATTTTCCATCCACCAACCTTGATATGGTTTGGATCTGTGTCCCCACCCAAATCTCATGTTGAATTGTCAAATTGTAATCACCAATGCTGGAGGTGGGGCCTGTCGTGGGGGTGAATTTCCTCCTTTGGTGCTATTCTTGTGACAGCATTCTTGTGAGATCTTGTTGTGTAAAAGTATGTAGCTCCTTTCCCCTGACTCTTCCTCCTACTCTGGCCATGTGAAGTTCTTTGCTACCCCTTTATCTTCCACCATGTTTGAAAGTTTTCTAAGGCCTCCCTAGAAGCTGAGCAGATACCAGCATCATGCTTCTTGTAGAGCTTGTGGAACCATGGGCCAAATAAGCCTCCTTTCTTGATAAATTACCCAGTCTCAGGTATTTCCTTATAGCAATGCAAGAACTAGTAAATACAGACCTCTACACTGTTCCTTTGCTATAAATTCCCACTTGCCCATGCAGCATTTGAAGTTGAACCCAACTTTTACCCACTGCAAAATCCTGTTGCAGCAATCCCTATATCTATCCTGAAGGTCCTGAGTAAAATCTGCCTTACTGTATTTCGAAAAGTGTCTAATTTTTTCCTTAACGTCTCAAACAGCAACCCAGTCTTGGCTGTTTGGTGCACCCTCCAAATAGCCCCTCAGCCAAAATGGGGCTTAGGGGATTCAAACTAACTTCACGTTCAAACTTGCATCCTTTAGTTAGATTGACGTAGACATAAAAGATAAGAATGATTATTACTTGGTTGAAATATGCTACTTGCTGAATACCACTAAGTAGCATACAAAGGCCACAATGGGTGACATTATGGGTTTATGTAAGTTTTATAATGCCTTTGTCCCTCTTGCATTTGATGTTTCTTGACAAGTCTGGGTATGAGCAGGTGATTATTGAAAAAATATTTTTATAGATAGAGCAGTGGGGCACACAAATTTTGTGGCAGGGAAGGTAGAATAATAACCCAGGCATCTGTAAAAGGAACACTGTACGCCAGACGTGCAGCAGAAAGAGGTATATTAATTTTCTTTTTTCTTTATGACTCACCACTGGAGTCTTCCTCATGATGGAAGATGCCCTGATATGTTCCTCCAAGACTAACGAATTTAAGGAATAAATTCAATAATAAATAAATTTAAATTTAATAATAAATTCAAAAATAAATTTATTCCTTAAATTCAGTGGAAAATCATGATGAGAAATTTGCCTCTGAATGTAGGTGAAGCAATTGTTTGGGGGGCCCATTATTTTGCCTATCAAAGTGAGTGAAGAAATTCAAACACAACACTGAACATACTATGTGATTCTATGTACATGAAGTTCAAGAACAAGCAAAACTAATCTGTAATGCTAAAAGCCAGAATAATAGTTACCTCAGGGATAGAGGACGTATTGACTGGAAAGATGCATGGGGAAATTTTCTGGGGTGATAGAAATTTCTGTATCCTTTCATCTTACCTGTTTTATTTAAATGCAAAATGCAAATATCTGTATATTTTCAATTTTTGAATTTTAATATATGAAAGTTACCTTCAATTAAAAATTTATGAAAGAATTATAGGGGAAGATTACCTTTTTTTTCTTCCTCTTCCACTTTGTGGCAGAAATGAGAGGTCAAATTCTGTTCTTTTTTCTTCCTTTTTTTTTTTTTTTTTCTGAGATGGAGTCTTGCTGTGTTCCCCAGGCTGCAGTGCAGGGGTACAATCTCTGCTCACTGCAACCTCCGCCTCCTGGGTTCAAGAGATTCTCATGTCCAGATTCACCACACCGGCTAATTTTTGCATTTTTAGTAGTGATGGGGTTTCACCATTCTGGCCAGGCTGGTCTTGAACCCCTGACCTCAAGTGACCTGCTGGCCTCTACCTCCCAAAGTGCTGGGATTATGGGTGTGAGCCACTTCGCCCAGCTTAGAAGGTCAAATTCTTTCCTTACTTTTGTCTGTCACTCATTTGCTTTTTATTTACCCTTATAGTCTCTGTAGAGTCCTTTGAGGTCCCAGTTTAGCTGAGGGATGTCAACTTAGGAATTTCCCAAACTTTATCTTCTTCTGTCATATCACATGTAGTCATCAAAGTACTTTTTCCACTTTGATGGAGGTTTGGTGGACACCCTCAGAATGAAGGCTGGCTGTGCAATCCTCCATTTCTCAGGGTACCTGTTTTATTTGTGTATTTTGCTCATTGTGTCTCTATTTTAGTGAGTCTTAGAAGATGTGTTTGTTTGTGCATGTCTGTGAATGTGTGGACCCTTACAACATTTTATGCAGCATTATTATAGCTTTAGTCAAGACGGTTACTCTATCTAATCTACTATATGGTAGGGAAAGTGTGGTCCTCTTAATTTTAATTGTCCTTCTGGGCTTTAAACCTTTTGCTTGTGGTCTCATTTTGAGTAGGAATTTTCTTTTGTTGTTGTTATTTTCTTAATCTCTGTACCAATTGGATCCAGTGTAGCTATTTTGCAGGATTCCTATCTCCTCATTCTTTAGTCCAAAACCAGATCTAATATTTACAACCAGGTGCTACTCTCCTGTGAGCAAAACTGTGGAAAGGATTATTCCCTCACCAAATCCCTGGTGGCTTGGCTCATGTCATAAGGTGTATGGCTTGTTTCCTTTATCTCATCATCCCATACGCATGATTTTACCAAAGAAGTCACCACAGCAATAGTCGCAGCTTTTTAGACTTCTTTCACAGTTTGGAGCAGCCCATCCTGGCTTCTGATTCAATGTAATAAACATGGCTTATGTCACCTGACATACATACACACATACATATCCTGTAGTAGATTAAATTAATTGCCTCAGTCTCTTTCTGGTACTAGTCTAGAAGACATTGGCTGCAGTCCACAGTTGCCCCTGTACATTTTTGTTCTGGTCAAATACAAACATGGTACTATCTCAAATTTTATTTTTGAAAGTGTATTTTATCTATCGTTGCAACCCTTAGAAAGAAGAGAGTAATTCATAGCATGATTTGACAGAGTGCTGTCTGAACTTAAGTATCTACCTCTGGATTTTTGTAATCACTTAGTCCCGCTGCAAAAATATGAACAGTAAAACAATCACTTATTTTCAACACCTGGGCTAACTGAGATCTGTTTGTGACGCCTTTATTCTCTCCTTTTCGTAGGAAGATTGAATAAATCTTTTCCTCAAGTTTTTATTGCATTTAAACATGCAATGAAACAGTTGTATATTACAGTTCTTGTCATACTACGGGGCACTGTTTTCATGCCTCTCTCCCTAAGAGACGGTGAGTTCCTTGACAGCGGGTCTCCTATCTTTTTTCAAATCTGAACCGTCATTACACAGCATTGTGCCTGCCAAATTAACTGTTCGATGAAGCATTACAATTAATTAATTTAACACCTCAAAGTAATATTTAGGACTTTATAATCTGAGTTTACCTGAGCTCTTCTGGCTTTTCTTCCTACCGTTTGTTAACAACCACTCACCACACCATCTAAGCATATTGTTTCATGCTTCCCAGATGTGCGGTGATAGGTTCATTCTTATCTTTGGGCTTTTCTTGTACTTGGAATGTTGTCCCCTTGCTTTGGAAATTGGTGGTAGTATATATGTGGTATATTTAGCAGCTCTCTTTTTACAGCAATATTCTTAAATCATAAACTATAATGACCAATGTATATATTTTTAAAAGACATACAAATGAAAAGCCTCAGAGAAACTGTAGGGGAATCCAGGGGAAGTGATTCAAACCTAGGTGACATTAAACATAAGTTCATGTTTCATTCTGATTGCATTGGTCTGAATTTCACTGAACTGTCTGATATATGCCAACATTTTAATGGGTAACATAGAAATACATCTTACAATGTCTGATGTGCATCATGCTGCAGCTTGCTTTCCAGAGGTTAGAGGGCTAAGGAGCTTATTTGAACTTTGCTGTTGGAAAACCACACAAATATTATGCTGACGTTAGACCCTACAATTTGACCAAAATGTGTATTTAAAAAACCATGTAGATGTTCCGTCCGAACATGATATTAGATCAAACAAGTAGCACCAGAACAAGTTTGGACGTGTTTAAAGAGGAAATCATCATAGCATGTGGATTTACCCAACAAAGTTTTCAATTCACTATTAAAAGTGTAGCAGATTAGAACAAAAAAATGCAATTTTGAAAGCTGAATCTGTTACTGATATGTATTTTTCTGAGTGATAGGCTTAAGATAAAGAATAAAGAATGTTCCTCCTTTTCCTTTAAATATATCATATGGGAAATTCAAAATAATTATTAGTAATTAAATTTGTTTCTGATTAATTTTACTAGCTAAACTTAATGAAAGCCACCAAAGAAATTAGATAATTTTAAAAAAATTTAATTTAAGCTTGATTAGTAAGAAATGCCTGAGAACATTGGAAAATAGGTAAATTAGATGTTGGGTTAAATGCCTGTTAATCATAGATGTGTAATCAATATTTATGAATTGACTATTAATTAATCTGATCAAAAAAGTCCCTATGATCAGTTTTAGATATAAACAATATAATAAAGCCATAATAGTAAAAAATGACTTACTATAACAATATATTATAATCCTGATTTAAATAACCTCTTAGTTGCTCAAATTAAAAATGGTCTAACAGCAGTTTTAATCTCTCACCTTTAAAGGCACTCTGGGTCACAGTTTATTTTTATGGCACCTCAGTGATATGCAGTGAACAGTGAAATTTGTTTCTTATCATTGAATCTAATTGTGATTTAAGTAATTGATTCTGGAGAAATTTAAAATTGAGTAAGCAAAAATTATTGTAAGGATGGTACCGAGTAGATTTATCTATTTATCTACCTAGCTACATATTTATTTCTGGAGCCTCAGATAGAACAATGCTGAAATGGTAGAAGGAAAGACTTACGTCAGAAATAAGAAAGTCCTAAAGCAAGTAAGCCCTGAGATAGACTTTTGTTATGGGTGTGAAAACTTCCATGATGACTTTTTAAGAAAACAGCAAACAACAAATATTTGTAAAATAGCTGCAATAGAGAAGGCTTGAAATTGAAGCTTTGTTTTTTTTCTATATTGGAATTAGCAAATAGAAATTTTGGAGTTTCTTTGGTTTACAATGCTATGTTATATCACATAGTACACAGTCCCTTATACAAGTTAATAAAAACTAATTTTATAAATAATTTTCATGCGCTAACACAAATATGTTTCTAGGTTTTGGAACTGTCCCAAATGTAAGTGTGTTTGTTGTTAGCTTACTGATTAGTTTAATTTTGAAATATAGGTATATGTACTTGACAATGTGATTACATTGAATTGTTTGCTAGCCCTAAATTTAGCAAAATGTTTGCCAGCCTTGTGAAATAGATGATAATCAATAGATAAATATTATAAAGAAGCATTATCATAAAGACAGGCTATTTATGTCTTTTTAAACCTTAATTTCCTGGCCGGGAGCAGTGGCTCACACCTGTAATCCCAGCAATTTGGGAGGCCAAGGCGGGCAGATCATCAGAGGTCAGAAGTTTGAGATCAGCCTGGCTAGCATGGTGAAATCCCGTCTCTACTGAAAATACAAAAAGTAGCCAGGCGTGGTGGTGGGCAACCGTAATCCCAACTACTCAGGAGGCTGAGGCAGGAGAATCACTTGAACCGGGGAGGCAGAGGTTGCAGTGAGCCGATATTGCGCCACTGCACTCCAGCCTGGGCGATAAGAGTGAAAAACAAAAAACAAAACTTAAATAAATATTGAAAATGGCAATAACTATCTTATAGGTTATTTCTGATTATTAAATAAGAATATTTGTACAGTATTGTGTGCTAGGCATGATATATGGTAAGCATAAAGTAAATGTTAGCTTTTAAATTTGCTGTAATTATTTATAATTGTTATTTTAAATACTTCTATTAATTACCATAATGACACCTTATTATGCATATAACTGGGCCGGTTTTGCAAACAAAATTATAAATCAATGAGCTTAATATCATACTTCAATAGATTTTTACTGATTACTATAAACACACTGAGAATACAAGTATGAAAAAAATTGAGTTAGTTAAAAATTTCTCCTCCTCTAGGGAGCTTTTTCTGTTCTGATATATAAAGATTTTTAGATGTTTTCCTAACAATTTTTGTCAAGATATTAGACTGTAGTAGCTAGAAATTAAATTGATATAATACAATAGAACAAATATTCATTGTCTAGGACAAAAGATAATATAATATCCTTTTTAGGTCAAATTTTGAAAACAAACATTATAAGTATACTGTGGATATAACATTGTAACATTGTAACACCGTGGATATAACATTTTTAAAACATTGTATGCCTAACAGATACACCCACATCTTTGGCAAGAATGACCACATAATGTTTAATAAACAAAACAACCTAAGCATTACGGTATTATTGGCAAATACAAAATTTAATTTTCTCATGAATTGCTTTCACTCCAGTTACAGGATATTTAACTTTCTGAGACTAAAATCAGCGAGCATAAAAAAGCCATTTGCAAATTTCATGTGATTCACTATTTTAAGAGCAAAAGCTCTTTTCACTCTTACTTTCACTCATTTGCATTAGCTTAACTTGGAAAGAAGGTAGTTATAATGTAATGGTTCAATATAATCTGATATATACTAGGTCTTTCATTTCCTAGGGTGAGTAAGATATGAGACTATCATAAATAAAACTGATGGACATAGTTGTAGCTCCTTAGCAATTAAAGGGTATGGCAACAGGGAAGGGAATTACTTGCACAGAAATCAAGTTTAGTTTTCAAACCTGTATTTATAATTTTGAGAAGAGCCAAGAACAGAAAAATTTTAAGTAGCTATTAGGGGTTTTATGGAAACTGAATAAATGAATGGTTCCAATGGGAAGCCAAATGTAAGTATAAAAAAAGATAATTTAACACTGGCAGGAAATCTTCAGATCTTGAAATAATATCTTTAAAAATGAAGACACCAGTTTTCCAAAAACAATGACAAAGTCAATCAAAAATAATGTCTCCATTCTATGCCTCTTCAGGATTTTAGGGTCCTGCTTCTCTGTTGGCTTTTTGTTTGAATCTTTATTTTAACATTCAACTTCATAGGGTGTATAGAAGAAATGCTTTACTTCTTTTATTTTTTATGTTCCACTTTTTCATTGAAACGTGGTTTAAAATCTTAAATATTCAGGGAGCTAATTCTTTTTGTCAATTATATTCTTATAATCTATAACATTATTTTGCTTGATTTACCTAAATAACATATATTCAGTATCTGTCATGCGGCAATCACTATATTAGGTGCTGTGTAGAAATAGAAACAGTTGCTATCCTGCCAGAAACTCAAAACCAAGGGGAAGGAATAGACATAAAGATAAATTACACACACATAGATATCTAAATGGATACACATGTAAGTACATGAAGATATGCATACTCAAGATGGAGATGAAGGGGAAAAAAGAAAATAGTGAATTGGGAAAGTTATTAAGAAACATAACTTTAAACAGTGCCCTTCAACTCATAGAAAGAAACTGTAAAAAGAGCCAGCATTCTGGGGAATTCTGGCAGACTGTGGAATCAGGAGATCTTATTGCTAAATTGGAACAGTAAAAGGTGTAGGAGGGTGAGGGGATGGCCAGTACTGGTGGAAAACTATTTGAAGGATACACTTGATTGGCTCACTAGGGAATGAAAGAGAAAAAGAAATTTCTGATAAGTAAAATAGCATGGAAAGAATATAATTTCCTTTCAGAGAGTAAAGGCAGAGAAAAAATCCATTACTATACAATTCTTTGCATTTTAAAAAACTTCAAAAAATGCAAGCAAACACTAATTAGAGAAGGGTCGAACATACTAAAAAGTACCGTGGTTAAAAAGGATCCCTTTGATTATTTTTCTTTTTAGAGACGAGGTTTCACTTTGTTGCCCAGGCTGGAGTGCAGTTGAGCTATCATAGCTCGCCGCAGCCTCCAATTCCCAGGCTTATGGGATCCTCCCGCCTCAGCTTCCTGGGTAGCTAAAACCCCAGCCATGTGCCACCATGCCCAGCTAATTTTCATAAATTATTGTAGAGATGAGGTCTTGCTATGTTGCCCAGGCTGGTCTCAAACTCCTGGCTTCAAGCAATCCTTCCACCTAAGGCTCCCAAAGTGTTGGGATTAAAGGGATGACCCACTGCACCCGGCCCTCTGAGTTTTTTTCAAAGTGATACCTGTAGACTAAAACAAGGCTTTTCTTAGCATTTGCAGGGCCTGGGCAAAAGTACCAATGAAGGTCCATGTCCTATACAGGGAAATGTTCTCCTACAATTACCTAGAATGCCAAGTTCAAGCTTAGAATGATCGAATTGCTAGAAAGGTGATAATGCCTGAAGAAGAGCCCCTGGCCCCTGAACAATAGAAAACTCCTTTTTCTGCCTCAACTCCCATTGACCATGAGAGACTGTTTACCAATATGGACTTGCCAGCCTCACATATCCAAGATCTCTCTATGCCCACAAAGAGTCACACAGTACTGTGGTCCACCTTTGGAAGGAAGGACTGGGGAAAAGGCTCAAATAAGCTCAGGTAATTTGGGCAAGAAATTCTAAGATCTTGAGTGCCAGCATCATTGTCTAGAAGTTGGGGTGTGGTTCTGGTTAGGCATGTTTCCTAAGTCCTTCAGATTCTTATCCCTGTGGAGGGCGGGGGACATGGCTGGAGGAGAGCCAGAGTGGAGAACCTCTAAAACAGTGCTACTCAAAGTGTGGTCCTCCAATGGACTTCATGAACTACTGACTACTAGTTCATGATGAGATAAGGAGTGTCACCAGAATGTAAACAAAGTATATCACTAAGCATGCTGTTTGTTTATTTCACCTGATATTTTTCTTTTTTCCTTAGGATAACTTGCTGAAGAAACGAATATAAATTTATATTTTGATATAAGTTCATTACCTTGTCAGGGACCCAGTCATGAAGTGATACAGGTCTAAAGCATGAGGCTAAAATTGGGGCCACTTCTGACCAAGTTTAGAGGATAGTTACAAGAGATCAGCAAAAGCAAACAAAGTGATTTTTAAAATACCCAATAGAATTTCTATTGCAGGGCTAAATATCTTCCTTAAGACAGTGCTGTCAGAGACAAAGACAAATCACTATTGAATTCATATTATATTCTTCCTAGAAACAGTATCAGTTTAATTAGATTTAAAGTACAAAATGTGAAGACTCTAAACACTAAATAATTATTTTAATCCATAAAGTAAGATATGCCCATTAAATGAGTCCTAACTTTATGTTCTCTTTTATTCCCAAACTAGTGCTATTAGTCAAAATTATATGCAATGGTTATAAAAAATGACTTTGGTAATCTAATGTAAAGACATAGATGTGAAGAAAATTAATAAACATTTTCAACTTATTCTTATTTACTCATAATAGAATCACAAAAATAATGAGTTGCAAGGATCCTGTAGACAGTGCCTGAACTCTTTAACTGGAAGTTTTTATTTTAGTACCATAGAAAAGATCAGGTTAAAGTTATAACAGATGTTTCAAGCTCCTCTACTTTAAAAAGATCAGAAATTTTATCACTCAAATTTAAAGAGTTTATTAATTAGGAGTTATATTCTAATAACTAAAGATATTTTTTCTTAGGTATCCCTCTAAGGGAAGACATTTAATGTATCTCTCTGTTTCAACAGATATAACTAATTCATAGAGAGGTTGGTTATCAAAAAAATTTAACCTCAAAAGCATTTGCCTTGACAATTAACCAGCAATAACACTTATTTAATCTTTGAAATGGCAATAGAGTTCCAGTAAAAATCAATTTAACATGCACATTTATTTTGCACACTTTTTTAGAGCATAGGTTTAAAAAATAACAGAAGTACTGATAAAATGTTAGATTTAATAGGTTATTATTAAAAAAAAGAAATCCACTAGCAGAATCAATGTAAGATCATTTCAAAAAAAGTTAATTTGAGCTCAACAGCTGTAGAGTAGCATTTCATTCTTACATGGGCTGAAGTGTACGATCCAGGAAACAGCAATGGGGACATGTTTAAATTTAATTCCTACCTCTTGACTCTAAAGCTTGTTGGCTCCAGGGATGATCCAGATGTTCAGGTTCATTTTAGGTTAAAACTGAATGAAATCTAATAATAAAATTCAAGAATGCTCTCAGCTACAAGAGGCTATGGAGATTGGCTTGTTGATCACTTTCTTTTTATGGATACAGAAACCGTGAGTTCTGGAGAGGGTAAGCAATTTTTTCAAGACTCATAGAAAAACAAAATGATGATTTTCTTTTTTGAATCAAGAAGCACCCACTGTCACTGCTGCTCCTAAACCGACTTTATCAATTATCTTCCTCTAGCCATCCAAGCTTACTAAGAATAACTTGTTATTGAGCAAGAAGCTCATTCTGTCTAGTGTGGATCATCCAGTCAACTTTTGATACATAGTCACATCATTTATTTATTCATCCAGCCAAATATGTGCTGAGTAATCTCTATGTGCAAAGCATATTTGGGAATGATGAATCACAGAGAGATGATGAAAACATCTTCAGTACTCTTACTATTATTAAAATCTCACCATGTAATAGAGGTGATAAGAAATAGACACCAATACCAGATGTGATATTTATTCTAATACAAAAAAGTGCCATATTCTTTGAGGATCAGTTTAAAGGTAATTAGAGGAAGTAAAGAGGATATCCTATGGAGAATGGGAATCAAGTAAAGCTTCAAAAACTAAATCGTGACTGCGATTAAAAAAAAAATCCCTGGGAAGAAACAGAAATGGTGGCAAGTCACAAGGAAAGCTGGCAGCTAAACGATGTAGCAGAAGTGATTATAGAAGGTAGATACTGGCCGGGTGTGGTGGTTCATGCCTGTAATCCCAGCACTTTGGGAGGCCAAGGTGGGCAGATTTGAGTCAGGAGTTCGAGACCAGCCTGGCCCACATTCTGAAACCACATTTCTACTAAAAATATAAAAATTAGCTGGGTGTGGTGGTGGGTGCCTGTAATCCCAGCTACTCGGGAGACTGAGGCAGGAGAATCATTTGAACCTGGGAGTTGGAGGTTGCAGTGAGCCGAGATCGCACCACTGCACTCCACCACTCCAGCCTGGGCAACAGAGCGAGACTCTGTGTCAAAAAATAAATAAATAAATGAAAAAGAATGGAGATACCAGAGCCTGGTTGAGAAGGAAAGTTGATAAAGAACCAAACTAAGAGAAGAAAAAGGAAAAGAACCAGTTCACCACAACTATTACTCAAGAGAATCTGAACTGAAGTATTGTTAGGGTGAAGGAACTTCTTGGTCCATATCATATTTATTTGGAAATGACTGGCAGGCTCTTTCTTATTGCTATGCTCTATTCCAGGTATGCATGATTGAAATAGGGAGGCAGCATTCAGTGATGATCACAAAAGCCTATTCTTCTATTTCCTATCTGACAAAGATCACACTGTAAAATGCCTATCAAATCCAACAAATAATGAATACAGGCAGATCCCACTTGAGTCCTGTTCTACTGATTTTTTTTTGATAAAGTTCTGTAAGAATTTTATTGTAATATAGTTTTAAAGGATAAACTCTAAAGACAGCTATATTGTATTGTATGATCTTATGTGTTTATCTTAATTACAGAGAATTTTTGAAAATATATAGAAAAGAATAAAAATAATATCACTCATAATTCACCAATATGGAGGCAAATAACTACTGCTAATATTTTGATTTTACATGTGTGTGTAAATACACACACACATAAAATACATATATTTGTGTACCTATATACACATGTATATGCATATATGTGTACCCATATACACATGTATATGCATATATGTGTACCCATATACACATGTATATGCATATATGTGTACCTATATACACATGTATATGCATATATGTGTACCTATATACACATGTATATGCATATATGTGTACCTATATACACATGTATATGCATATGTGTACCTATATACACATGTATATGCATATATGTGTATCTATATACACATGTATATGCATATATGTGTATCTATATACACATGTATATGCATATATGTGTGCATATACACAAATGAGATTAAACTGTAACTTTTAGAAAATATTTTATTTTATGCCTTGGAAAAGCAAGAAAATAAACCTCATTAGTAACCAAAGAAATACATTTTTTAAAAATAGGAAACTTTTTTTTATTTAGCAAAGTAATAATGACAGACAGCTTATGACAATATTCAGTGTTGGCCAAGGTTTAAAGATATATGGACAGACATTGTTGATAGAGGCGTAATTGACTTAACATTTTGTAGAGCAATCTAGTTATGTATGTTAAAAGCTTTTGAGATAGGTTTTACTCCAATCAGAAATGTTTAAAAAGGAAGTGACATAAATACACACAAGGCTTTATGAATTGCATATTCACTAAAATAGTATTTCAAATAGTAAATAATTTGAAACAATGTAATACTCAATATGAATTAAATTATAATATAGTTGCATGATGTAATAAGATGCAGTTATAGACAGTCATGAAGTAGAACATGATTTAAACATGTAGTAAAATACTCATAAAATATGTCGAATTTTACAAATTCTAAAATGTGTGTGAGAATGTGTGTGTGTGTGCAGATAGAGAGAGGGAGAGATTTACATCAAGTCTTCTATAACATTAATATTATTTGGTTGAGATACAATTTTGTCAAAATGAGAAAAACTGAAGTTTTATATGGAAAAACTTTCCATACTTTGTAAAGATATTCCAGGATCATAATATTCTCTTAAACACATAGTATGGATTCAAGCCAATGATTAAATTAAATTAGATTTAAAATATTCATAAAAATAAAATTGCTGATCTGAAGGTCCTGAATAGGGTATCCTTTGGCTTTTATGTGGTAAATTGACAATTAAATATTAGTACTTTCATTTCTCTGGAATTAATAGATTTCAACCTTGGTGACCTGAACTCTTATTGTAAGGGTGTCCAGAACTCATACACTCCAAGAATTGCCAACAGAATGAATAAATAATATGATGGCATGTACATATTCTACAGTTATAAATGTACTTCGATCCTATTGAAATTAATAAAACACAAATTCACTTTAAAAAGCAGTTGAATTCATAATAGTAATTTATAATTTTACATTTTTCCATCAGTGAGATAATGTACAACTTTTAGTAATGTGGACAAATGACAATTTGATGTAAAGCCACTCTTTCAGGAGTAGATATCTATATACCCAATACTCTAGTCTTGAATTTTTGTTTACTACTTTTGTGTATGTGTGTGTATGTGTATGTGTGTGTACTTATATTAGTTTCCATATAGGTGATTGAGCTATTTCCCACACTTTGAATCTGTGTTGGACTCTCCACTTCATTTGACCAGTACAATATTGTAGAGTTGATGCTTTGGGACTTCTGAGCCCAGTACGTAAGAGTTGTTGGATTTCCTTTGCTCAGAAGGGATGAAGACACAGTATAAGATGCCTAGGTTACACATTGAGAGACAGGGCATGTGGAAAAGAACTGAGGCCCCAGATATATACAGGAGTCCTGCTGACATCACAGAAACAGACCCATTCCTCGCAGCCACGTCCAGCCACTGAAGTCATCTCAGTTAAGGGGCCATTCAAGTGAGTGAGGCAATTTTGAACATTCTAACTGAGCAGAATACAACTAAAGAGGAACTGTCAGCACATGAGGAGTGACAAGCTATCCTCAGTGATTGGCCAAATTTCTGACCTACAGAGGAAACAGATGATTGTTATCTTAAGCCACTGCTTTTTCAGATTTATTAAGGCATAGTTGACAAGATCTGTATATATTTAAGGTGTAGAATGTGATGTTTTGATATACATATGTATTGTGAAATCATTACCACAATCTAGGTAATTAACTTATTATCCACTTGCATAGTTCCCTTGTTTAGTGTGTGTTGGTGAGAATACTTAAGATCTAACTTCTTAGAGAATATCAAGTATACAATATGTTATCATTAACTATAGTCACCATGTTGTATATTAGGTCTCCAGAACTTACTCGTCTTATAACTGAAAGTTTGCACCCCTTGACAAATATTTCTCCATTGTCCTCATGCCCCAACTTCTGGCAACCACCCTTACAGTCTCCATATCTGTGAGTTCGACTTCTTTAGAAGAACACAATAAGTGTTCAATTTAAAATTTATGCCTTAAACTTTAACGGAGTCCAGACTTGGTATACCTGATTAAATAGAAACTTAGATATCAACAGGTCTCTCCCCCTCTGTTTAGAGACGAGGAGTCAGGGACCCAGAGAAGTAAGTGGCTTGCCCAAGCTATATTCCCACCACCTCAAATTATTAGTAGAAGCATCACTACGAGTCCGGGATCCTTTCCTGCAATTCAAACCTCTTTCTCATAAACACGTCATGGTCAGCCTTGATAAACTGCAGTTAGACTCAAATCCCACTTTAGTTTGTTAACTGATTTACCTTATATTCTGTACAAAGAATAGAACATCACAAGCCATAAAATACATTTCATTATGTTGTTATTAAAACATGACAATACTATATAAGCAAAATGTTATAAAATGACACAAAACATTAGCTTGATATATACATATATACACGAGATCATGCAGGATTTCTCTTTCTCCATCTGGCTTATTTTGCTTAGAACAATGTCCTCCAGTTTCATCCATTTTCATCCACATTACAGATACCAGAGTTATCTTCTTTAAAATAAAGTCTAAATAATATTCCATTGTCTGTATAAGCCACAAAGTTTTCAGTTGCCAAATATGCGGCACAATTAATTTAAACAAGAGTGCCTTGTGTGCCATGAGAAACATAATTAGTACCTAGTAAACTAGTACTAAACTAGGTAACTAGCATCTAGAAGCATAATTCAATATTACGACTAGTCAACTAAGACCCTTTCAAAGGCAGATCTCTTGACATGAAAATAAATTGCCACTTTCTATACATATTTTTTCTATACATGCTATGTCTTATAATAATAGGATTTTACACAGAAACTAATGTTTTACATGTTATTTTATAACATTTTGCTTATATAGTATTGTCATGTTTATTAATAACAACATAATGAAATGTATTTTATGGCTTGTGATGTTTTATTCTTTGTACAGAATATAAGGTAAATCAGTTAACAAACTAAAGTGGAATTTGAGTCTAATTGCAATTTATCAAGGCTGACCATGACATGTTTATGAGAAAGAAGTTTGAATTGTAGGAAAGGATCCTGGAACTGTAATGATGCTTCTCATAATTTGAGGCAGCGAGAAAATAGCTTGGGCAAGCCACTTACTCCTCTGGGTCTCTGACTCCTCATCTCTAAACAGATGGGGAGAAACTAGTTGATATCTAAGTTGCTATTTAATCAGGTATACCAAGTCAGGACTTAGTTACAGTTTAAGGCATACATTTTAAATTGAACACTTACTGTAGTTTATCTCTTCAACATATTCCATGACACAATAAATAGAAATCAATATAGTTTTTAAATTTCTAGCAGCTAATTTATGTAATTACATATGATAGCAACTGGAGAGAAGATTTTCATGATTGCTACTAGGTAATTAAGATTGATTCTCTTTGTCTGCAAATTAGTTGTAAAACCTAGAAATGAGCCAAAGCTTTATGAATAAACCCACTTTATAGGACATGAAGACTCTGCATTATTTTACAGCAGTATTGCAGTGCAAGTACCCTAAAAGATGAGAATCAAGCTGGACGTATGCAGGAAAGAATGATTAGGATGGTGAAGTACTTGTCAGGTGAAAAAAATTGGAATATTTAGTCTAGGAAAAAGATGGAATATGAGGGTGGCTATGACCAAGAGGATGGATTATTATTTGTGCCCCTCAGAGAAAGAACAAGAATGAATGTGTAGAATTAGAAAGAAACTAATTTTGACTCTATTATCTGGAAAAATAGCTTAAGAATTTCCTTTGTAAGGAGTTATTCAAGCAGAAATAATACAATCACTTGAGCAAAATTCCTCCAAGAAAATTTAAGAACTAGTTTTATTTTCTGATTAAGACTCTAGGTGATCAGTTTATATACAGAGAGATACTTCTAATTTTAAAAAGAAATTTGGGCATAGATTGCTCCTTCTGAGTATGGGGTAGTGGGAAGGGGAAAGGCTCAATGCTGCACTTTGGGGATGGTTAATATTGCCGTCTCTTCAGGAACAGTAGAACCAACTCCCAGGCAAATAGCCCCATTACAGGTCTGAAGAATTTCCAAAGTTAGCCAACCTTCAAAGACAAACACACATTTCTCTAAATGCTCCTGCACCAAAATTACATTAATGTGTTCTTTAATTCTTGTGTCTTAAAACCCATGATTTTCTTGTGGTGAGAATTTCAGAGCCACTGGAGGCCTCGAGGATGAGGACTTGCCAAAGCCAGTTGTGGCCTAAGCACATGTGCCAGCTGGATGGTGATACTTAACTTTGGGGTTTTTATTTTCCTTCTTCTTGCAGCTTTGAGTAAAGGACCCTTTCTTGGCTCTCTTGGGTTCGCAAATACTAGACTCCAGACTGCAGCAATCTTCAGAACTAGGCTGTCACACCTGAGGGAAAGTAAAATTTGTTTTTCTTTTTAAGGGATTTGAACAAAGCCATTTATCTTCCTCAGAGATACTCTTAAAAATTCAGGTCACTCTTTTTGATTATTCATAGTTCTAAAAAGAAATAAAAGCTTAAAAAAACAATGTTCATAGCTTGAATGTATGTCCATGTTAATGACGCAGGCTGTTACTATGTCCCTGTGCTTCCATATATCGGATAAGCTGCTGATGCACTGAAATGCAAGCTACAATTACACGTAAGAAATAACCAGTATCAAAGCTTTACTAATTTTGGCTTTTCAGACTGGAATTTTAGATCTATTGATTTTCCTATATTTTCTGTCAAACAATGGTAGAGACTAGAGCTTAAGGATTCAGCTTTGTAGAATTTTCCCCACTTGACCTAGAGTCATAGAATCCAAGACAGGAAGGACAAACCTTTGAAGTCGTATATACAAACTCCACATTTCACAATAGAGAAGATATTTTCCCTAAGGTGTCGAATGATTGAGTTTAGAAGGCAAGTATATTTATTCTTTGCCAAGCGCCCTTCCAACCACACCCTTGCCACCAACTACCTCACTACATATTCATAATATGTGTTGTCAGCCTTCACAGAACTCCAAAGTTCTGACTAACTTTCTGGCTTCTATAGTAAGGAAGTGTTATTTGGTTGGATATTTGGTTGAATTATTTGGTTATTTAGTTGAATACTCAAATGTAAGCTTACTTTCCTTCTAAATTCCAAATGGGAAAAGTATCAAGAAAATAAAATTGTGCCATATGTATAACATGTAAGAAAGAAAGAATATTGTTGACTGGCATCTTTGAATAAAAGAAAAAATACAAGCAAATCTTGTTCTACTGCAAGGGTAGTGTGACCATTGTGACTATAAGACATAAGGTTCATTTTTATGTGTGAATTTTAGAAATCAGTTTTGCATGCAAATATGTTAACCATGATTAAAGTTTTGTATATTTTCTGAACGTTTCTATATCATATCAATTTCTAGCACTCAAGTTTTTATTTAATATTTTGTTAGCTTTTTTCAACCAATACAGATATAGATCATTGTTTAGATCTACTTTTATGGCAAAAGTTAAAGTGTTAAAGTGTTGATGCGGATTTTCAGCTCTTAACTTAGGACACCAATACATGAGTTTAAAAAAGTTGTGTTTTCTTATCTTTGGAGGACCAATTCAATGCAATACACATCGCTTTAGTGCTGCTTTATAGTCTGCTATCTATGTCTAGAGGCTAATTAAGTGCTGCTTTGTAGTCTGCTATCTATGTCTAGAGGCTAATTAAAGTTATAAAGAAAAAATGATATAGTAACATATATATCAGAACAACATGATATATATGTGCATAGAGGCTGGGAAAAGCAGGAGGCGTTCAGGGATATGTGAGTGGTGCCTTACGCCTGAAGTCTGTACAGTGTCAGTGAGAGGCAATATGGCAAAGATCAACCTGAAAAACTGAGACAAGAACAAGTAGTAAAGGGCTTGGATTTTTTTCTGCCCTGTGAATCCTACTGCCTATCTTTAGTAATTTTCAAAAATATTGAGATTACAAATAATATTAATACACTCAAAAAGTGTTAGGATACCTTAGCTATGGAAATTAGCCTGGTTCAAACCTTGGCTCCTCTACTTCTTCTGTAACTTTGCTTCTCCCCGCCACAAGTCAAGTATTTGTCAATTGGGGATACTAATGTTAATAAGCTGCATTAAGTTCTTATGGGGAATAAATGAATTGATGAATGTAAAGTATTTATATTAAGAACTCAGTACATTTTGGCTACTATTACCATGATCATTGTTATTACTATCACACCTATTAGTGTTTGACATTTTAAAAAACCATAATTCATATTTTATTTAATTAAATTTTATTTTATTTAAATAAATTTTTTCAATTTCTGGGAACATAGTTCTTAATGTGAAATATTTGTTTGATTTTAATAATATTCTCTATTGAGGTGTATGTACTATTTTAAATGAATTTGGAACAGTGGAGATAAGATTGTATTGTGAAAACAGGGAATAGAAACTAACTTGTTTATTTCAGAACTTTGTACTAAATACTGAGGATTTGATAATGAGAAAATAAATTCTCAGAGAATTATTTTCTTGGTTTTAAGTGGGAATAGAAATCACTGATAAACCAAAAAAAGAAAATGAAAAGTAGAAATAAGTACTGTTACCTATTTAACATATTTCTCTCAGATCCTTCTCCCAGAGGCATATATATATTATCTGTTAATTTTAATACAAACAGGTTCTTATTGTACATATTTAAATATTTTTATTAAATTATGTATTAAGAACATTTTATGACACTTTATATATCTGCAACATAATTTTTCCTTCTTCACAAAGCAATACATATATGCCTATCCCCAGATACAATAAAACCTCTGAGGGATATGTTCTAGTCTGTAATCCCAAGTTGAAAAAAAGAAGCTTCCGAAGCACTTAATAGATGCGTAATTTGGGATATGTCCCTTATTTTGTAGCTATAGTTTTGAAAGAATTGGATTACTGGATTTGTAAATCTCTTACAACTCTATAATTTCTGTTCTGTTCTATTTTATTCTCTTCTATTTTAAAACACTAACTGGTGACATCCTATTAAATTCAGTATGCCATAAATGTATTCATCTGATTATACTTAGAAGAAAACTGGGACAGAAAACAGTTAAGTGGCTAACGGTGAGAGCCAGGGCTGGGAACAGAACCTCAAGTGCCTCGCTCCAGTATGCTGAGTTCTGGGCTACTCAGCAGAACCACACTGGTCACCCCACCCTTCCACTCTGAAATATGAACTTACCCAATCTGAACCTCTGAGGTTTTTGAGGTTTCAACATCACTAACTTTTATGGGCAAAAGCCTGCTTTCCAACCCCAGTGTGGCTTCCTTCTGAACATCCCTCCTTTCCAGGCCAGGATTCCAGCTCAGCATTTGCAATAAACCTCTGCATTCTGGATCCAAGAGTTGTATCTTGCCTTGTCGTCAGATCCCATTTTAAACTTTTGTGACTATTTTGTTGGATCACAGTACAGAAGTTGATTCCGATACTATATTCATTTTGACTTTTCTTTTGCAGACAGTTTTTGTCACAGTGTAATTTGTTTGGGGGCAGATTGGAGTCTCTGATTATAGACTAACATTACATTAGTCAGTGCAAACCTTGGCATTTACAGCTGTTTCTCTTTTGTGGTACATTTTTAAGGTTAAGTTTTATTAAATTTTCATGAATATACAATATTCACATATGGTAAATAATAAAGAAAGGGAAAAATGTTCCATGGAATTCGTGATCAATATATGAACTAAAATGAGTAAATCCAATGTTGATTTTTTTCTGATTAGCAGTTTATACCAATATTAAGAAAAAAAGAATATCAGAAGTCTACAATTGGAATGATTTTTTTTCGTTACACATAAATTCTACTTCATGCTAAATCATCCGTATTTCATAAAGTACATCAAGGTAGTTATTTTTAATTTCCCTAGATGATAGAAGAGACACAACTAAATAGGAAAAAGTAAAATGTTTTCTGAATATGTTTTCTGAATTGCTCGTATGCTTGTAAATAAGATGGCGGTGTTCTACAGAGCTGTTAACAATTATTTTAAGTCTTGGTTAAAAGTTGGGTAATCAAAATACCTTTAATAAGCAATTGTGCTCATAATATTTGATGATGGATATTTACAAAGTTTTATTATGAATAGTAAATATTTTCCCTTTAAAATATAAATACAAAAATGTAATAAACCAATATTTATTTTTCCAAAAAAAATTTTTACTGAAATTTTTCTTCTTAAATAATAAAAAGACATTCAAATGTTTATTCAAATGTTTTAACTTCTAAGCTGACCAAACATTGAGCTAACATTCAAATCTAAACTTTCTGGACATCTTTACTTGGAATTCCATAGTCACTTCACACTAAATGTAATGTAACAAAATTTAATTTCCTCGCCTCAAAAAACCTGTTACTTCTCAGTTTCCAATTACGGTCAATGACATCTCCCTTATTTTATATGTGTCAAATTTTATACCATTTTGAATTTTCTCTGTGTTTTAACAATCATGTTCAATAAATATCTGTTGATGCCCCCTCTTTCCCAATCCATCCCACAATTTTGCGTATGACTTGATAATCATACCTAAAACTCAGGATATTTGACATACCATAACCCTAAATGATACATAGAGCCACACGAATATCTTCTTAGAGCAGGACAGAGAGAGAAAAAGAGAGAGGTTTCCTTGAATTGTATACTATTTAGTTAAAAATGGTGTATTCTCAGGCCAATATCTGACAATTTTTAAATATTAATACCTTTTATAACATTTATAATTAAATGAGGCATTTTGCTCCTTATTCACCTTTTCAAGACTTTTGACCTACTTATTATTAAAAGTTATATGTCATGCTTTTATTCTGCATTACAAAAGCCATTTTATATAACTTTTTAAAGCTAACAATTCATTAAAAAGGATTCAGGGATATTTAATCTAGTTTAAATATATCAAAATAATTTTAAAAGAATTACTATCCTGGAATTTAATAAAAACTTTTCATATTGTGTGTGTGTGTTTTATTACCCAGTACAAGAAATATGTAAAATATTCAAAAGCAGTACTTCAATAAAAGTCAATCAAGACTGATTAAATAGGTATTACTCTGAGAAGAGTTAAAAATTATACTAGAGATGGATATTCAATGACATGGAAAAATTTTCATGATACTGAATTTAATAAAAATAGTATAAAACCATGTGTGCAATACAAATTTGTTTTAATTAAAGTAAATATGGATACACTTCTAGGAAAAGTACCTGGGAAATGTATGTCACACAGCTTTACTAATAATAAAGCTAAAAATTTTATCTTCATCAGTTTATGTCTGTGCTCATTTGTAATATTCTTTTCAAGTAATGTTCTTGACTAGTTTTGGTAACTGGGTTATGCTGACACATAAAAAGAGACGGGAATCCAGCCTATTTCTCTATTTTCTAAAAGAGGTTTGCACTTTCTTGGAATTTGTTTTTAATTTCTAACTTTAAGTTCAGCCGTACATGTACAGGATGTGCAGGTTTGTTAGGTAGGTAAACGTGTGCCATGGTGGTTTGCCGCACAGATCATCCCATCACCCAGGTATTAAGCCCAACATTCGTTAGCTATTCTTCCTGATCCTCTCCCTCCTCCCACCCCCTGCTCTCTTACAGGCCCGAGTGTCTGTTGTGTCCCTATATGTGTCCATGCATTTTCATAACTTAGCTTCCATTTATAAGTAAGAGCACAAGATATTTGGTTTTCTGCTCCTGCATTGGTTTGCTAAGGAAAATGGCCTCCAGCTCCAACCATGACCCTGCAAAAATCATGATCTTGTTCCTTTTTATGGCTGCATAGTATTCCATGTTGTATATGTACCACATTTTCCCTATCCAGTCCATCATTGATGGGCATTTAGGCTGATTCCATGTCTTTGCTGTTTTGAAAGTGCTGCAATGAGCTTACACATGCATGTGTCACTATAATAGAATGATTTATATTCCTTTTACATACTCAGTAATGGGTTTAGTAGGTCAAATGGTATCTCTGGTTCTAGATCCTTGAGGAATTGCCACACTGTCTTCCACAATGGTTAAACTCATTTACACTCCCACCAACACTGTAAAAGTGTTGCTTTCTCTCCACAACCTCACTAGCATCTATTGTTTTTTGACTTTTTAATATTAGCCATTCTGAGTGGTGTGAGATGATATCTCATTGTGGTTTTGGTTTGCATTTCTCTAATGATCAGTGATGCTGAGTTTTTTTTTCATTGGCCGCATGCATGTCTTATTTTGAAAAGTGTCTGTTTATGTCGTTTGACCCCTTTTTAATGAGGTTGTTTCTTTTTCCTTTTGTACATTTAAGTTCCTTATAGATGCTGGATATTAGACTCTTGTCCGAAGCATAGCTTGAAAAATTTTTCTTCCATTCTCTAGGTTGTCTGTTTACTCTGTTGATAGTTTCTTTTGCTGTAGAGAAGCTCTTTAGTTTGATTATATTCAATTTTTCAATTTTTGCTTTTGTTGCAATTGCTTTTGATGTCTTTGTCATAAAATCTTTGCTCACGCCTATGTCTTGAATGGCATTGCCTATGTTTTCTGTTAGAGGTTTTAGAGTTTTGTGTTTTACATTTAAGTCTTTAATCAATTTTGATTTGATTTTTGTGTATGTTGTAAGGAAGGTGTCCAGTTTCAATTTTCTGCATATGGCTAGCCAGTTTCCCCAGCACCATTTATATAGGGAATCCTTTCCTCATTGCTTGTTTTTGTCAGGTTTGTTAAAGATGAGATGGTTGTGGGGTGCGTTGTCTTATTTCTGGGTTCTCTCTTCTGTTTGATTGGTCTATGTGTCTGTTTTTGTACCGGAACTGTGCTGTTTTGGTTACTGTACCCCTCTAGTATAGTTTGAAGTTGAGTAGCATGATGCTTCCAGCTTTGTTCTTTTTGCTTAGGATTGCCTTGACTATTCAGGCTCTTTTTTGGTTCCATATGAATTTTAAAATAGTTTTTTCTAGTTATGTGAAGAATGTCAGCGATAGTTTAATGAAAATAGAATAGAATCTATAAATTTTTTGGGGGGGGTACTATGGCCATTTTTGCAATAGCAATTCTTCCTATCCATGAGCATGGAATGTTTTCCCATTTGTTTGTGTCATCTCTAATTTTTTTGAGCAGTGGTTTTTAGTTCATCTTGAAGAGGTCCTTCACTTTCCTTGTTAGCCATATTTCTAGGTATTTTATTCCTTTTGTGGCAGTTGTAAACGAGAGTTCATTCATGATTTAGCTCTTGGCTTGCCTGTTTTTGGTGTATAGGAATGCCACTAATTTTTGCACATTGATTTTGTATCCTAAGACTTTGATGAAGTTGCTTATCAGTATAAGAAGTTTTTGGGATGAGACCATGGGGTTTCCTAGATATAGGATCATGTCGTCTGCAAACAAAGATAATTTGACTTCTTTTCTTCCTATTTGAATACACTTTATTTTTCTCTTTTGCCTGATTGCCCTGGTCAGAACTTTCAATGCTATGTTGAATAGGAGTGGTGAGAGAGGACAAAGTTGTCTTGTGTTGCTTTTCAAACGGAGTGCTTCCAGCATCTGCCCATTCAGTATGATATTGGCTGTGGCTTTGTCATACACGACTCTTACTATTTTGAGTTGTGTTCCTTCAATACCTAGCTTATAGAGTTTTAACATGAATGTTAAATTTTATCGAAGGTCTTTTCTGTGTCTATTGAGATAATTATTTGATTTTTGTCTTTAGTTCTGTTTATGTGATGAATCATGTGTACTGATTTGCATACGTTGAATCAGTCTTGCATCCTAAGGATTGAAACCTAGTTGATCATGGTGGATAAGCTTTTTGATGTACTGCTGGATTCGTTTTGCCAGTAGTTTGTTCAGGATTTTTGCATTGCTGTTCGTCCATAATGTCGGCCTGAAGTTTTTTGTTTGATTGTTTGTTTGTTTGTTTGTTTGTTTGTTTTTGGGGGGGTATCTCTGTCAGGTTTCGGTATCAGGATGGTGCTAACCTCATAGAATGAGTTAGGGAGGAGTCCCTCCTCCTCAATTTTTTGGAATAGTTTCAGTAGGAATGGTACCAACTTCTTTTGTACCTCTGGTAGAATTCTGCTCTGAATCCATCTGGTCCTGTGCTTTTTTTGGTTGGTAGGTTATTTGTTAGTGCCTCAATTTCTGTCTCATTATTGGTCTATTCAGGTATCCAGTTTCTTCCTGGTTTGATCTTAATAGAATGTGTGTGTCCAGGAATTTATCCATTTCTTCTAGATTTTCTAGCTTATGTGCACAGAGGTGTTTATAGTAATCTCTAATTGGTGTTTGTATTTCTAAGCATTCAGCAGTAATATCACCCTTATCATATCTGATGGTGTTTATTTGAATCATGTCTCTTTTCTTCTTCATTAGTCTTGCTGGTGGTCTATCTAATTTATTAATTTTTTTTCAAAAAACCAGTTCCTGGCATTGATTTTTTGAAGGTGGTTGTTGTTGTTGTTTGTTTGTTTGTTTTGTCTCATTCTCCTTCAGTTCAGCTCTGATTTTGGTTATTTTTTGTCTTTTGCTAGTTCTGGGGTTTCTTTGTACTTAGTTCTCTAGTTCTTTTAGTTATAATGTTAGGTTGCTAACCTGACAGCTTTCTAGCCTTTTGATGTGGGCATTTAATGTTATAAATTTTCCTCTTGACACTGTGTTAGTTATGTCCCAGAGATTCTGGTATGTTGTATCTTCATTTTCATTAGTTTCAAGGAACTTCTTGATTTCTGCGTTAATTTCATTATTTACCCAAAGGTTATTCAGGAGCAGGTTGTTCAATTTACATGTAGTTGTGTGGTTTTGAGTGAATTTCTTAGACTTTATCTCTAATTTGATTACACTGTTGTCTGAGAGACTGCTATAATTCCAGTTTTTTGCCATTTTATGAGGAATGTTTTACTTTCAATTATGTGATCATTTTCAGAGCAAGTACCATGTGGCAATCAGAAGAATGCATATTCTGTTATTTTTGGGTGGCGAGTTCTGTAGAAATCTGTCAGGTCCACTTGATCTAGGGCTGAGTATACGTCCTGAATATCTTTGTTAATTTTCTGTCTCACTGATCTATCTCATATAATTGGTGGAGTTTTAAAGTCTCCCACTATTATTGTGGGAGTATCTAAGTCTCCTTGAAGTTCTCCAAGAACTTGCTTTATGAATCTGGGTGCTCCTTTGTTGGGTGTGTATATATTTAGGATGCTTAATTCTTGTTGTTGAATTGAACCCTTTATGTAATGCCCTTGACTTTTTTGATCTTTGTTGGTTTAAAGTCTGTTTTGTCAGAAACTAGGATTGCAACCCCTGCTTTTTTTCTGTTTTCCATTTGCTTCGTAAATTTTCCTCCATCCCTTTATTTTGAACCTACGTGTGTCTTTGCATGTGAGATGGGTCTCTTGAAGACAGCATACCAATGGATCTTTGTTCATTATCCAGCCTGCCATTCTGTCTTTTAGCTGAGGCATTTAGTGCATTTACATTTAAGGTTAGTATTGTTACGTGTGAATTTGATCCTGTCATCATGATGTGGGCTGGCTAATTTTGCAGACTTGTTAATGTAGTTGCTTCATAGTTTCACAGGTCTCTGTACTTCAGTGTGTTTTTGTAGTGGCTGGTAATGGTTTTGTTTTCTATGTTTAGTGCTTCCTTCAGGAGTTCTCACAAGGCAGGCCTGGTGGTGTTGGAATCCCTCAACATTTGCTTGTCTGAGAAGGATTTTATTTCTCCTTCGCTTATGAAGCTTCATTTGGCCAGATATGAAATTCTGGGTTGGAAATTCTTTTCTTTAAGAATGTGGAATATTCGTCCCCAATCTCTTCTGTCTTGTAGGGTTGTTGCTGAAAGTTTGGCTGTTAGTCTGATGGGCTTCCCTTTGTAGGCGAACTGGCCTTTCTCTCTGACTGCCTCTAACATTTTTTTTCCCTTCATTTCAACCTTGGAGAATCTGATAAGTATGTGTCTTGGAGTTGATCTCCTCATAGAGTATCTTATTGGGGTTCTCTGGATTTCTCGAATTTGAATGTTGGCCTCTCTTGCTTGGTTAGGGAAGGTTTCCTGGATGATATCTTGAAATATGTTTTCCAAATTGATTCCATTCTCCTCATCCCTTTTGGGTACCTCAATTAGTCATATATTTGAGTTTTTTACATAACTCCATATTTCTTGGATGTTTTGTTCATTCCTTTCCATTATTTTTTCTCTATTCTTGTCTGCCTGTCTTATTTCAGAAAAACAGTCTTCAAGCTCTGAGCTTCTTTCCTTTGCTTGGTCTATTCTGCTATTAATACTTATGATTGCATTTTGAAGTTGTTGTAGTGTGTTTTTCAGCTCTATTACATTGGTTTTGTTTCTCTCTATAATGGCTATTTTGGCTGTAAGTTCCTGCATTGTTTTATCATGTTTCTTATCCTCTTTGCACTGGGTTACAATGTGCTTCTTTAGCTCAGTGAAGTTTGTTTTTATTCACACTCTGAAGCCTACTTCTATCATTTCAGCCATCTCAGCCTCAGACCAGCTCTGAACCCTTGCTTGAGAGGTGTTGTGGTCATTTGGAGGAAAGGGGGCACTCTGCCTTTTTGAGTTTTCAGCATTTTTGTGTTGATTTTTTTATCATTTTGTGGGCTTATCTACCTCCAATCTTTGTGATCGCCAACCTTTGGATGGGTTTTTTTTTTCTGTTTTGTTGTTGTTTTTGTTGTTGTTTTCATTGTTGTTTGTTTATTTTTCTTTTAGCAGTCTGGCCACTCTTCCATAGGGCTGCTGCCATTTGCTGGGGGTTCACTGCAGAGTCTAGTCCCTTCAGTTTTTCCAGCACCTGGTGGTATCACCAGTAAAGGCTGCAAAACAGCAAAGATGGCAGCCTGCCACTTCTGGAAGCTCCATCCCAGGGGGATACTGACCTGTTGCCAGCCTGAATGCATCTGTAGCAGGTGGCTAGAGACCCTGCTTGGGAGATCTCACCCAGTCAGGAGGAATGGGATCAGGGACCCACTTAAAGGAGCAGTCTGGATGCATTTGGTAGAGCAGCTGTGCTGTGTTGAGGATCCCTTCAGTCCCCAGTTGTTTTGGGATCTCCAAGGTCTGTAGACTGAACCTGCTGAGATACACCCAAACAACTAAGGTGGTGGCCTGCCCTTCCCCTGAGGCACTCTGTCCCAGAGAGAAATTAGAAGACTGCTGGCTATAGAATACAGGTGGGGGTGGCTGGAGCCCCAACTGGGAGGGCTCACCCAGTGAGGAGGGATAGATCAAGGTCCCATTTAAAGAAACATTCTGGTCACACATTGACAAAACAGCTGTGCTATGTTAGGGAACGGCCTCTGCCCCCCATTGGCTTGGACTCTTCAAAGCCCACAGTCTGGACCAGCTGAGTCATCCAAAGAGCCAAGGTGGCAGCCCTCCCCTCTCCAGGCACTCCATCCCAGGAGAGATCAGAGCTCTGTCCATAGAATACAGATGGGTGGGGGTGGCTGGAAGCCCTAGCTGGGAGGTCCCCGTCAGTGAGGAGGAATGAATCTGGGTCTGTTTAAAGAAGCAGTCTGACCATGCCTCCACAAAACAGCCATACCATGCTGGGGAATCACCTCTGCTCTGGTGGGCTTGGACTCTCCAAAGCCCACAGGCTGGAACAGCTGATTCATCCAAACAAGGTGGCAGCCCACTCCTCCCCTTAGGCACTCTGTCCCAGGGAGAGATCAGAGTTTCATTTATAAAATGCAAGCCAGTGGGGGTGGCTGAAGGCCCCCACTAGGAGGTTGCACCCAGTGATGAGGAATGGATTGGGGTCCCACTTTCTGGCAAAGCAGCTGTGCTGCTCTGGGGGAATCCTTCCTCATCTGGGTCATTTTGACTCTCCAAATTCCACAGTCTGGAATGGCTGAGTTGACCAAATAGCAAAGGTGTCAGCCTGCTTCTCCTCCTGGAGGCTTAGTCCTGTCTCAGGCAGGCTCTACCCTGTTGCCAGTGGCTGGCTGGAATTCCAAGCCAGTGGGTCTTATCTTTTGAGGTAGTGTGGAAGTGGGGCCCTCACACTACCTGCTCATCCCTCTGGATGTAGCCCCCTTTCTAGGAGTATATATGGACCTCCTACCTTGCCAGGGATCCTAGGGCCAGAGTATGTAAAGCTCCTGGGTCTCAGTGCATCCTTGTGCAGCGAGCCACTGAGAGTCCACACAGCTCTGTGTGTCGGACCCAAGACCTTTGTGGCATGGGCTCATGAGGGCCTCTCTTGATCTGAGGGTTGCAAAGATCCATGGGAAAAGGGTGGTTCCCCAGGGTTGCATATTCACTCATTACTTCCCTTGGCTGGGGTTGGGATTCCCTTGGCTCCATGTTGCTCCCAGCTGGGCCTTCTCCCCATTCTGCTTTTCTTCATTCTCTGTGGGTTAATTTGTTTTCCTGATCAGTTCCAATGGGACTACCTGGATATTTCAGTTGAAGGTGCAGTATTCATTTTCCCCCTTTATTCCTCTCTATGAGAGCCACACACCATAGCTGCTTTTAATTGGCCATATTGGCCCACTGTGGAATATTTTTCTTCTTTAAATGTTTCATAGAATTCATCATTGAAGCCATCTGGGCCTAGAGTTTTCTATGTGAGAAATTTTATAACTATAAATTTATTTAACATATATATTTCTACTCACATGTTCTGATTATTCTTGTTTTAGTTTTGGTAATTTGTGAAATAAAATAAAGCACATCTTGAGCAAGAGAGGGAGAGAGAAAGAGAGGAAAATTGAAACTACAGGTATTCTTGTCACTGTTGAAAAAAAGGACCTGAGATAGAATAAGACAGGCTGGAAGTGTGTGTTTTCTGTCTAACTAGTTAGGAGCATTTGGCATGGGTTCTATGTGTATTAACAAAATATATTAAAAAACTACTTCATCTGAAATGAGTTAAATAAAGTACTCAGAATGTCTTAAGAGTTCAAAAATTTCTGCATTTCTGATTTCCAAGATTAAACTCAACAACTCCCAGGTGTTAAAAGTCAAATTCATCTGTAACTAGAGGATATTTTTAGGATAACTGTGACTTCCAACAAAGTATAAAGAAATTATAAGTCATCTATTTCAAGTCATCTATTATATTTAAATTATAAGTCATCTATTATATTTAAAGAAATATAATTAATTTTCAGTGCTCACTTTCAATTAAGTTGTGTGTGTGTGTGTGTGTGTGTGTGTGTGTGTGTGTATACTAATGGATATAAAGGCAAAATAAAGTCTGTGGTTTGTTTTACAATAATTTGGGATAAAAAATTAAGTATAGATGAAGCAAATGTGGTAAACCCATAAGAAATCACAACATGTAATAGCAAAAGTCCCAAAATAGGCTTTTAGTGTTTAAAGATTAGGATGGAAGGAAGTTTCACCCAGGATTCAGTCTGTCAGTTAGATCCATTTCTTTTGCCTGAATACAAAGAAAGACTATAAAGTTACCTTTAAAAAATATGGTGTAAAAGTCTTGAGGTTAGATTTTCTATCCTAGTTGAGGAAATGTGAGCTTTGGAAAGAGAAATAATAATCTGATCAATTCCATACACTTGAAACAGAAGCCTAATTTTTTTAGTTGCTTGCCTCTTGTTGATTTTAAAAAAAAACTCACGTTGCTAAAAGCCAGGCTGCTAAACGCTATCACTTAGCCTTCACTAGCATCCTTACAGACAACATCTCTGGCATCTATGTCACTACAGTAATAATTGTTTACGTTGTTTTTGAAGAACTTGGGGCAGTTCTTGTCGAGCAGAAGACCAGTTGAGACCACTGACCCTTCAGGTAGCCTGTACAAACGCCCACAGGGTGACCTTATGACGTCATAGGGCCAAAAGCTCCTCACTCAGATCATGCTAACACTGCCATTTTCTGAACATGCATCCTATGAAAATCCATGAAACCCAAGTATGTTCACACAGATCACTGATTACCTCATTTTATCCTGCCAATCACTTTTCACTTTATGTACCCATAAAGATGAGAAATTAAAAATTAAAAAAGCAGTATTTTCTACCTTAAACATATTTCTTGTGCACTGGATAGACCATAGAATATATTAGAATAAAGCTTTCCAGGAAGAAGGGATATCTTGAAGAAGAAAAAATACTGGGCAAGTAGAAGGAACAGTTTATCTTGTACACTGGGTTGATACAGGACTTGTTGCTTAAATATCATCCTTGGCTTGTCTTAATTTTATCTCTGACACCCTTGAAAATAACAATACTGTTTATAGTTCATTTAGAAAGTGTTGTAAGTTTACAAATCAGTTTTACCCTTATTATATTAAATTCCACTGATAATAGCACTATGAGAAAGACAAGAAAGATGATCATTCCTGTTTCACCGAGGTTAAATGATGTTTCCCTATGTGGCAGAGAATCTACATTTCCTGTCTCTAATTCTACCATGCTTTCCACTACCCCAAACTGCTGCAGAGAACCCAGCGGTTTCTAAGATGAATGACTTGCTATCACCACCCTGACACATAGCCTATCTATCGCCACAAATTGGCATAGATTACAAAAATGGTGGCAGCCCGAAATATACAGTCCCTCTCCTAAAGAGCACAAACATAATTATATAATAAATAACATGTTCATTTAGAATCTCATTAGAGGGTATTGAAATAATTTTGCTACTTCCAAATAGCGTCAGTGGTAGCGGGAGAAGAAGAAAGAGGGAGATGATAAGAGTAATAATCGGACTTAGGTTCAGAGTCAAATTCATCACAGAAGAATCAAATACATCCCTTCCCCGCTTGGGGGCTATCTATCCATCAAATGAAGCTAATCAAACTTGACAAATGACTTCATTTGCAAAGTGCCTTGGTGAAGAATGGCAAACGTGCAGAGAGAGTCAGAGAGGACATACGCATGCTTTTTTATACCCACTAAATAGGCTACTTAACTATGGAAAGGGGCATTTTTAAGGAAGAGCCTGGTTGGGCGCGGTGGCTCATGCCTGTAATCCCATCACTTTGGGAGGCCAAGGCGGGCAGACCGCCTGAGGTCAGGAGTTCGAGACCAACATAGCAAAACCCCGTCTCTCCTGAAAATACAAAAATTAGCCTGGCTTGGTGACGCGCACCTGTAATCCCAGCTACTCGGAAGGCTGAGGTAGGAGAACCACTTGAACCCGAGAGGCAGACGTTGCAGCTAGCTGAGACCGTGCCACAGGAAAAAAAAAAAAAAAAAAGGCCTGTATCCCTTTATTCAGAGGAGAAGCTCTGACAGCAGATGTTGTCTCTTAGCATTGCTTTTTATAACCATTTAACTCCTTTAGGTCTAGAGCAGGGGATACATTGTACCTTGAGTAGGTTCAAGCAACCTTAAAGGTCATGTAAGGAGGTCAATTACTAAAGCAAACGAACTTTACTGTTATTTTAAAAGTAACAAGAAGACAGCATCCTGTGCCTGGCTCCAATGCTGATAAATTATGTAGTTATCAACAAGTACTTTAAATATATGGCCTTTTCTGTACCAATAAAATGAGGCAGCCGTACATTCTCTCTATTGTAAGAAATGTTCCTGGCCATACAAATATCTGGGTTCAAGTCAAAGGCATGACTGCATTGTGAAATCTTGGACAGTAATTATACATATACTCCTATTGAAACGAATTCCCAATTGCAAAATGCCACAATTCGATTAGTCTTTTTCAGGTGGAAGTTTCTATGGGACACTGACTTAGAAACGTGATGTTGTGAAGAACTATTGAAAAGCACATATGAAGGTACCGTAGTAACTAAACTAGAAGAATTGAAGCAAGCTCTACCAATTACTCTCTGTAAATTAACTTTATTTAATGTCATTCAAAAATAATTATATAGCATCCTTATTATTTCCCTTTAATAAATATTCATTGCCCTTGACCTCAAAAGGCCGACATAGTATGGAAAAGGAAAATAAACCTTACAGGAGTGAAATAACAGAATGCCATGAGAACCCAAGGGAGAGATGGATACAGTCTGCAGCTGTTTACCAATTATAGTGTGAAGTCATATATAGAAAGATATTTTCCATATTGTTCATTACGTTTCATGTCTGATAATTTCAGGATTAGCCACTTACTTAGTCCAAATCTGAATAGAAGGTTTATCATTTGAATGACAAAATCATATTTTGACCATTAACTTTTCTAATAGTAAATAGTATAGGAGAAGTTAGAAACTAGACTTAAACTTTAAACTTGGCTACACTAAAAAAGGACAATACCCAGTGCAGAGAAAAGAGTCCTGGGCTAAGAGTCAGAAAACTTGGATTTCACTCCATATCTGTCAAGAAGTAAGTCTTGGGCAAGTAACTCTCCAACTCTGGGAGGTCAGTAGTAGTTTATAATCTATAAAAAAGTTCTATAAGATTATTTGAAAGATGCCTTGAGTTCTACATCTATAAACTAACTTATAGGTTATTATATCCATGTTAATAGGCCGATACTCTAAATCAATATAATTTAATGTTTATAACAAGCAAATACAAGTCAACATGCTTAGTATTCTGAAAGTTTTACACAGAGATAATATTTTTACTTCTTCAGTGAGTAAGAGAATGTCATAAAAAGTTAAATCACGATAAATATCCATTATTCAATGTAAACTGAGGGTCATATATTTCTGGCAAGAAGAATTAGGAGGAACTCCTCCCTGTACAAACCCATCTGCATCACCATCTGTTTGGCGGGGGGAAAAAAAAAGCATTTCCTGAGAAGAAAAAGAGCCTGAATACTGACAATCTGAATGCTCAGACTAAACCTACATATTAAATACTTTCTGTGGTTTACCTAGCACCACTGAGTTTCAAGAATAATCAGACACACTGATACACAAGGACATCCCTGAAAAAGTACAAATACAAAGCGAAATGGTGGAACAGGGGGTAGCCCTAGAAATAAAGGTTAAGGAGGAGTGTTGGTTTTGAGTTTAGGGGAGTGCAAACACAGAAATAATTCCTGACTCAGACATACCTGCAGCATGTGTGTTTCCTGAGGAATAATGGTGTGTATTTAACCGGAAAGACCTATACCATTGAGAGATGTAACACATTAGTGCCCACTTGCTTGGGTTTTGCTGGGAGACATTCAGATAGACAAAGTGGTAAAATATTCTCCTCCTGTCACTAGAGCAACTTTAACTTCAGCAAATTGGTGAGTATTTGCACTGTGAAAGCAAGTACCATAAGCCAGCATGAGAGGCATTGCATACTTAGAGCTGTTGGAATTACGAATGGATACTAAATGATCTGTGTTGAACTGCTGAACTCATGATCATCATCAGAAGCGAGTTCCTAATTTATTAACTGGTAGCATTAACACTGAAAGATGACTAAGACTGATGGAATCAACACTGAGTTTCCTGAAACAAACACCAGGGAGAAATCTACTGAATACTGAAATTACAAGTAAAGCATGTGGAAACTCACAGTTATAAAATGGACATTAATACAAGTGGATGCATATTAGTACTAGCGAAGCATGATTCATTCAGGTTATACAGAATGAAGGGTAAATGTGAAATGGCAAGGAAAAAGTCTTGTGACTTTGATATCTCAGAAGAATTTAAGTGGATTTGGCATTGAGCCAAAGGTCCAGAGGAAGGGCAGGAAATTGACAGGCAGAAATGAAGAGGACACACGTGGTTGAAGGCTAAATAAGCAGAGTCAGGGAGATGAGAGGTAGAAAGCACATTTGGCAAAGTCTAGAAATAATTTTCATTGTCAAAGCTGATGAGTGGGGGGTGGTTTGGGGGAGTGGGTGACTGATGTCTAGTGGGTAGGGGCCAGGGATACTGCTAAACATCCTGTAATTCACAACATAGCTCCTCACAACAAATAATTATCTGGCAGGAAATACCGACAGAGCTGAAATTGAGAAACCTTGCTCTAATACAAACTCTTCTACTGACTTAGTATGCCAGTTCACCACTGGGAACGGTTTTAACCATCTAAATTTAACAACTTAACCATCACACTGCTACTTTATGCCAGAGCTCTCTGTGCTCTACCTGCCACCAGTGATGGAGTCATTGTTAGTTGTTGGGGGTTGGGTCATCCAGCATGATGATCCCATATCTATGTCTGCTCTCTCCAATCACTTCTGGCCCAACCGTTGCAGCTTGAGTTTACTGTGAAGCATACTCTGACTCAGAGATTAGTGTGAAGGAAATTTGTTAAGGAACGTTCTTGTGGTCAACCCTGTAGAAGGAAAGTAAGAAATCAGGATTATGCAGAGAAAGAAACTGAAATTCTGATATAGTTACAACAGAGGCCTCAACCAAACTACATGAAGTTCTGAAATGGAGACAATAGTTCATAGATGTCCTGAGATGGGGTGATAGGACAGAAAGAATCTTTATACTCGTGTATCAATTAGTTATTGGAAACAGGCTGTAGGAAGAAAGTTGCATGACCTTGTATGAGGTGACTCTCTTCAGCCTAGGCAACTTTTTAAATGTGCTGGAAGCTGGAAAATTTCTTCTGACAGTATTTCCAGGAGCTGAAGTAAGTTAATTATCTTGAAGGGAGATATGACTGTGAATTACTGCATCTACCTCATTGCCTTAGGTACTTTAGTAAATAATTACAATCTTTTCCTATACATTTGTTTAAAGGCAAATGAAAATATTATAATAGCAATTCTAATGATGCTCTGACAATTCATTGCCTACTTTCCTCATCTCCTTTTTCTTCCCTTAAATGTGTATGTCATCTAATAATTGCATGAAATCCATTCTTCTTTTTCTTCTTCAGGAGGGAGGTGGAATCATCTGAAAATTCTATGTGCTGATCAATCTCAAATTTCCATCTTTAAATACTTTCCCACATATTTAACTGCACTGAATCTTATTATACTGGTGGAGAGAGAGAAAAAACAACAACAACAACAGCAACAAAGAAAAAACAACCCCTGACATTGAAATGCTGACTTGGCACTCTCAGCTAGCGATATAATTCTCCTATTAAACATAAACAATTTTACAACATACTAATTCCAGAGAAAGGGTACATTGAGGCCATGATAAGATGAGAAAAAGCAAGGCTACTTACGTCATCATTTTGTCTAAGCACAGACAAAAACAAGATCACTGTAATATCTATCAAAAACTCAACTCCTCCTTTCTTGTCCTAAAGAAATAACCTCTATTTTTTACCAAGGATAATTTTATCATCATTCTGGTCTTCTCTCTCTGTCTCTCTCTCTCTCTCTATACATATATCAGATTTGTTAAGATGCGCAATCACAGAATTACCCTGCTTTCTGAAATTCCCACTTCCTTTCACCTTCTCCTAAACTCTCTTTCAAAACAAAGTCTAAACCCTATATTAAGTTCTTTCTACCACCGTCTCATGGAGACACACCATGATTCCCCATGAGACACGTCATGATTTCCCATTGCAATGAGTAATAAAACTAGTTTGTTCAATATAGATATGCTTCTGGTGTTTTTCTGGCTGAAAACATTGACAATAGACAGTTTGCTTACACTCACTGATGCTGAAAGCTTAACTGATATGATCCCTTAAAAGGACTGGACTTTTGCAGGAGAGAAAAGCCACTGAAATTAGATTCTGATAATTTGGCTGGACATCGTTTGTTTAGTTTTTATAGCTGTGATCATTCTGGCAAAATACTAGTTTTCTCTAATTGTTGGTTTCTTAATCTATTTGAAGGAATATTATTATATGGCGAGTTATTAATGTGGTTAATCCAGGCATTAACAAATATTTAACTCATGTCACCTTATGTAAGATTCTGTGCCCAATATTTGAGATAAAATGGAGAGCAAAGCAGACATGGACTTGCCCTCACAAAGATTAAAATCTAATGAAGGAGACAAATATTACTGAAATAACTGCCAAAAGCACGTGCAAAATTACAACCGTGGTAAGTGAAGCAAAGGCTAAAGCATGATTAAAGCATCTAATAGATAAATCCAACCTGGTTATAAAAAGAAAAAAACCTGAGCTGATGATATCTTATGGAAAATTAAAAATTAACTGGTGACATGAAGTAGTGGAGAAGACCATACTACACAGATAATAATGTGCAGAGGTTTATGCTGAGAGGACTCTGAGAAAGGATAAACATGCCACTGTTGCCCAAGTTGAGAGAGCAAGGGGGTAGGATCCAAGATAATGTCTAAAGGACAGGCAGGCAGGGACTGATTACATAGGCCATGTTAAAAATGTTGGCCTGTATCCTACCAGCTAATTCCTAGGAGCCTCTGGGTATTCTGGGTAAATTGCAGGACTCAACGAATAGTTGTTCCATTCTATTTGTATGTCATCTATGCTTTTCAATTCCATTTAAAACTGATAAAACTCATTCTTCTGAACTGGAATTGATGCAGCAGAGTTGGTCAGACAGCAAAGACAATTTCTGAGGACACTGCTTGATAATGTTTTCTGTGTCTTTAGGAAAAGCCTCTGTCTTGTAAAGGCATCTTAGTTCTGTCCACTCAGAAGACTCAGTAGCTATTGTATACGTATGTTCAAAAGGAATCATTTTTTCTATCCATTCACATTAATGAATTTAGAATAGTAAATGGACTTAAAAACTTTAGGGAGTCTTTGGACAATTTTATCTTTTACCATCCTACTCCAAATTTTATATTTGGGAAATTCAACCTGAATAATGAATATGTAGGGCAAAAACCAGGTTAGGATTTGGCCACTAATTCCCTTCTGAAAAGAAATGCATTGAAATTTAAGGAGTATATCAGGTGCTGCTCTACCCTAGTAGTTGGACAGGTATCTAACATGAAGCCTTGGAAATCAGTGCCATATAAAATGCCTGAATACAATTTAACAAATGAAACAGCAAATTAAATTAATAATAACAGAGAGAAGGCTCTTCATATAGACAGCAAGGGTGTGACTGGCATTTTTACCATATTCTTTCCCTTCTATCTTGATTAATTTTTCTTTTGCTGAGAAAAATTTTGTAATTCACATGGAGTCTTATGTTGTTTTTCACAACAAATTCTGCCCAATACAGTAATGTGACATTATTTTTTCCAGAACAGCAGAAGGTAGCTTAGATGTCTTATTCTCAATTTTCACAGTTTGTTTTCTCAGGATCGTAAATGTATTTTGCATATGAGAAAGATTTAAATGCTAGAGTTGGCTGTTCTTATTATTTCGTTGAAAACAAAAGAACGTTTGGATGTTCTATGTTTTTCCAACTTTACAGCTGTTTGCCCTCCTTTTGTTTGGGTCATTTCTTATAAACTCATCAAAATAGGGAAGAGGTAATTATTAAAAATGATTCCCCCATATATTTTAAGATAATCAATAAATCGGTTTTTTATCCACAATGTGTCTTGGTAATTCTGAAGGCTGTGTAGTTGGAGCTATCTAGGTGGGTTAGTGCTTCCTAAATCTGGTGACATTAACTGAGTTGAGGTCTAGAATTTTTCAAGCTGCAAAAGTGATTTAGATATATAGCAAGTCATTAGAACCAACAGACCAGAAGATCAAGTTACTTTCCAATTCTGAAATTGTATGATTCTAAACTATCAGCCTATGGCAGGGTTCATTTTAAGATGTCAAATTTTACTGTGATGTTCTGGTTTTGAGTTCCCTTTCATGGGAGAGTGCATGGTTTCCCAGGCGTTACAATGTTTTAACACAGGTACCTCAAAGAACATCTTGTTAAGAAAGTTTTAAAATGACTAACAGGAAAACTGTGCTGAGTTTATTAGTCACTGTGCCTTGTAAACACTATAATGATTCATTCTAGTGAATAATTCCAAGGTTTAAACTCCTGGTATTCCAGGAGTTGTAGGTATGAGTTGGAGATGGGATAACCTAAAAAGAAAGGCAAAATTATAATTTTCACAATTTGGGGTTATAAAGTACTCTGATCTCTCAGTCTAGCCACTATAAATCTACCTTTGCTTGGATTTAATTGATTACTTCATAATGGTTATCTTAACCATACTAAAACCTGTGAAATCAGACATCTTAAAACGTGTTCCAAGAAACATTTCAATTCAGTCTGAAAACCATCTCAAATAGTCTCAGAGATGTGATTTCTACTCAGAACCTTGGCCTACCACTGCCCATACTCCTCCTCTGACACACTTACAATATTGCATTGCTTTGGTAGGGTGCTAGTGTGCATGATTTGTCTTTCTTTTACAGAGTCAGTTTTTTAAATGCTTGCATTGTTCCTTTTTTGTTTTTTGTTTGATCTCTACATTCAATTAAATTAAACCAGAAACCAGGTTCTCATCTGAGCATCTGAGTTCTGTGAATAATTTCCTATGAGGCTCTCAGAAATTAATACTTTAGTCAAAGCTTTTCTTTGCAAGCAACAAAATTATATATGACTAATTTAATCTGAGAAAGGATATGAAAACAAGGATATTCTATATCTCCAAGAAGACACAAGATCTAATGTTAGAGCCTATGAAGCCAAAACAAGCCTGAAACCATATCACAGAATGATTCTCATGATAATACTAGGATTGTACCATTAATGCCATCCATACTGGACACTGGGTTTACTGTTACCTGAAAGCCTCCCTTGCCAGCATGATTTTCTTCTCTCTTCTACATAGCTAGTTCCTGAATCCACACTTGAAACAATATACAAGTTTATGTGCCTATACTTTCATCCGTTTAAGAAAGGAGGACAAGGAAATCAGTATTTGGATTTTTTCTTTTTGCTTCCCTTTATAAGGGGAAAGATTCCCTAGATATAGAAAAGAAGATGTGATTTTGGGTAGAAAATAGTCTACTCTAGACATCTTCTTTATTGTTCAAATTCAACATATAACCTTCGGAAACAGTAAAATTATTTCCCTAGCTATCATAAGGCAGCTATATCTTATGCAACAAACGATACACTTCTGCTCTATCAGCTAAATTCTATTTCAGTCAGGACGCTTTTGTCTGTGAATGACAAAGAACTCAACTCCATTGGCATGAGACAAATGAATTTATATTCTTACGTAACAACACACATAGAGATAAAGCTGTTTGTTAATTTAGTAGCTCAGTGAGGCCAGAGAGCAGGAGAGGGATAGCAAGAGAGGGAAGGAGAGAGAGAAAGAATGGTTTCATATCTGAGAAAGAACAGTTTCATATATTTGTCCAGGACTATGACTTTTGCATATGCCTAAATGAATCACCAGCAAAAGACATGGAGTTACACTGATTGGTTTAGACTTAAATCACCCTCTTGAGGCAGTAGAGGACTCATCATTCCTGAGCATATTGTTGTTCAATAAGTAGGGCGGGGGTAGTCAGAGTTCTGAAATGTAAAACGGTATCTTTGTAGGCAGTGTCTGCCACTTTTGATGCTACATTTTTTTTCAGTTTTCTGGATATACAAAAGAAAGAGAGTGACCAAAATTTTCTCTAAAATTTCTTAAATATTTAAGTAGGCTCATTTAAGAAAAATACATGGGTGCAATCTTTAAAAGTCATTAAAATCTAATGAGGGATATAGACACATGATTCCAATTCAAAGCAGAGTGAGGTATAGACTTTATAGAGATACAGGTTATAATGGGATTATTATATTAATGATGGAATATATAATTGCCTGTATACCATAAGTGCTTAATAAATATGAATCAAAAGTAAAAAGTTTCATAACATTAAGGATATGGTATGAAGATCATACAGGACTTTAAAAATCACTGACTCTGATTAGATTGAAAGAATGTTCCTATTCCTTTCATTTTAAAATTTATAAAATAACTGATGGCAAAAAGATTTTTTGGGTTTATTTTTGCTACGAGTCTTTTTCTTAGAATTTCCACTAATACATACTCAAAACAATCTAACCCGTGTTGCAGATTATTTACAATTATTTTTATTTTGAATGGGGGTATCATATTTTGCATTTTGATACCAAATACTTCTGAGGTGTTTTTTTTTTTAATTAATTAATTTATTTTTTTGACTGTTCTTGCTGTGTCACAGGCTGGAGTACAGTGGTGCTATCTCAGCTCACTACAAACTCCGCCTCCCGGGTTCAAGCGATTCTCCTGCCTCAGCCTCTTGAGTAGCTGGGACAACAGACGCGTGCCACCATGCACAGCTAATTTTTGTATTTTTAATAGAGACAAGGTTTCACCATGTTGACCTGGATGGTCTTAAACTCTTGACCTCATGATCCACCCGCCTTGGCCTCCCAAAGTGCTGGGATTACAGGGGTGAGCAATAATATTTTTAAAATAAGAACTACATTTATCCATCTATTTATTTAATAAGCATTTATTGAGTGCCCAGTATATGCCTGGATTGATTGTCCTTGACATTATTCTAATACTGACTTTGCAGAGGCACACAAAACACACAAGTTTCCGTCATCAAGGTAGATAATGATCTCCTCAAAAAAAGAAGAAAATTTCTTTGAAAAAAGAGTGAAGAAAGAAATAGATAAGATAAATTGAGAGTCCTGTGCTGGACATGAGGGGAACTAAAATGCGTAGGCCAAAGATCTGTGACCTCATGAAGATTTAAAACCTATGAGCAAATAGAAGTTCAAAGCAGGCAGGTACCACATGGCTTTTGTTCAACAATGTGTTGCAAACACCTAGCATATGCCTGCAGATAGTAAACATAAAATAAAAAATTAACAAGTGAATAAATGGAAGAGATGATAATATATACATTTAAATGTTTATGATCAAAATTTTGATTTCTATATTTATGATTCCTCATCTTAAGTAAATAAATTGTTGAATTCATGGTTGAAAGTGTTAGTAAAACTTTAAAAAGGGTAACTCTAGTGCTTGAAAAGTCAAATTGGAGAATAGAAATAAATGACTATTTTTCATATTCTTATTTTTGATCCATATCTATTTTTACATTTTATTCATCCCTTTTATTCAAAAATATTAATGTGTTAGGAAAGGTTATTTTCTTTGAATTCGTTCCATGCCACATTTTGTCTTGGCAGAGGAAAGAGTGCCTCCTTATGTGGAAAAATATAAACCCTAAGCAAGAATGAATTTTTCACTCAAAGACCATGATATTAACATTATAGGAAATTTGTTATGCACATTTGCAGGGCAAAGCATATAGTACTTTCCTTGTGATAACTGAGATTGCTATAAATAGTGAACCATCTTCTCTACAGGATTATAAAAGTCATTCTGTATATTTAAAAGTTCCAAGTAGAGGAATAAAGAAGAAAAATGGAACAAGAATAAGCATTTAGCTATCATTGTTCTTAGGATTCTGTGCAAATTATAAAGCATGAAAGCAGAGATCAAGTAGGGAAAATCTCACCGATTTGCCATGAAACTTATTTTCATTGTATTCTCTCTTATTTGCAATAAAAGGCATACTTTTTATTTTAAGGTAATTGCAGAAAATAAAAAGTTTATTATATACAATAAAATAATATATGTGTGATATTTAAGTAATAGTTTTCTTACAAAGAAAATATCTGGTCAAAATTTTTTTAAAAGTAAAAGCAAAATCTCTCACCCTGGAAAATCTTAGCAAGCTTTATCAATCAGAATATACATATAATTTTTTTTAGTATTTAATTTTTGTGGGTACATAGTAGGTATATATATATTTATCGGGTATATGAGATATTTTGATACAGGCATACAATGCATAATAATCACATCAGGATAAATGGGGTATCCATCAATTCATGCATTTATCCTTTCTTTGTGTTACAAACAAGCCCCTGTACTCTTTTTTGTTATTTTGAAATGTTCAATAAATTATTGTTGACCATAGTCACCCTGTTGTGCTATCAAATACTAGATCATATTTATTCTAACTACATTTTTGTGCCCATTAACTCTCCTCCTTCCCCCAACAACCCTTCCCAGCTTCTGGTAAATATTGTTCTACTCTCTATCTCCAGGAGTTCCATTAAAAAAAAAACAGCTCTCACAAATAAATGAGAACATATGAAATATGACTTTCTGTGCCTGGCTTATTTCGCTTAACATAGTGACCTCCAGCTCCAACCATGTTATTACAAATGACAGGATCTCATTATTTTGTATACTACATTTTTTCTGTGCACTCCTCTGCTAATGGACACTTACGTTGCTTCCAAATATTGGCTATTGTAGACACTGCTGTCATAAACATGGGAATCCAGATATCTCTTTGATATACTGATTTCCATTCTTTTTGGGTATATACCCAGCAGTGGGATTGCCAGATCACATGGTAGCTCTATTTTTAGTTTTTTGAGGAACTTCCAAAATGTCCTTCATAGTGGCTATAATAAGTTACGTCACCACCAACAGTGTACGATGTTTCCCTTTCCTTCACATCCTTACCACCATTTGTGATTGCCTGTCTTTGGGATATAAGCCATTTTAACTGGGGTGAGATGCTGTCTCATTCTAGTTTTCATTTGCCTTCCTCTGATAATCAATTATGTTGAGCACCTCTTCGTATGCCTGTTTGCCATTTGTATGTCTTCTTTTGAGAAATATCTATTCATATATTTTACACATTTTTAAGTTAAATTATTAGACTTTTTCCTATAGAGTTGTTTGAGCTCCTTATATATTATGGTTATTAATCCCTTGACAGGTAGTTTGCAAATATTTTCTCCCACTCTGTGGGTTATCTTTACTTTGTTGATTTTTTCATTCACTGTGCAGAAGCTTCTTAACTTGATGTAATCCTATTTGTGCATTTTTGCTTTGGTTGCCTATGTTTATAGGATATTACTCAAGAAATCTTTGCCCCATTCCATGTCCTGCAGAGTTTCTCCAATGTTTCCTTTTAGTAGTTTCGTAGTATGAGGTCTTACTTTTAAGTCTTTAATCTATTTTAATTTTATTTTTTATATGACATGAGATAGAAGTCTACTTTCATTCTTCTGTGTATGGACATCCAATTTTCCTGACACCATTTATTGAAGAGACTGTTGTTTCTCCAGTGTTTATTCTTGGTAACTTTGTTGAAAAAGAGTTAACTGTGGATGTATAAATTTATTTCTGTGTTCTCTATTCTGTTCCATATTTCTGTCTGTTTTTATGCCACTACAACATCGTTTTGGTTACTATAGCTTTGTGGTGTAATCTGAAGTCAGGTAATGTGATTCTTCCAATTTTGTTCTTTCTGCTAAGAATAGCTTTGGCTATTTTGGGTCTTTTGAGCTTTCATATAATTTTTAGGATTTTTTTTTCTATTTCTGTGAAGAATGTCATGGGTATTTTGATAGGGATTGCATTGAATCTGTAGATTGCTTTAGGAAGTATGAACATGCTAACAATATTGATTCTTCCAATCCATGAACATTGAATATCTGTCCATTTGTTGATGTCCTCTTCAATTTCTTTCATTAATAGTTTTCATTACAGTAATCTTTTACTTCTTTAGTTAATTTCTAGTTATCTTAGTTTGTTTCTATCTAATGTAAATGGGATTACATTCTTGATGTATTTTTCAGATAGTTCATCTTTACATAGAAATGCTACAGATTTTTGTATGCTGATTTTGCATCCTAAAATTTTACTGAACTTGTTTATTATTAATTCTAATAGATTTTTTTGGTGGAGTCTTTAGGTTTTCCCAAATACAAGATTATATCTTCTGCAAACAAGGATAATTTTACTTCTTCCTTTTCAATTTGGATGACGCTTTATTACTTTCTCTTGTCTAATTGCTGTAGCTAGGACTTCCAGTACTATGTTGAATAACAGTGAAAGTGGGCATTTTTATGTTCCAAAGAGGAAAGGTTTTCAGTTTTTCCCCATTCAGTATGATATTAGCTGTGGGTCCTTTGTATACAGCTTTTATTATGTTGATGTATGTTCCTTTTATACCTAGTTTTTGAAGGTTTTTACCAAGAAGAAATATCAAATTTTATCAAATGTTTTTCAGCATTAATTGAAACAATCATATGCTCTTCGTCCTTTATTCTGTTGATATGATGTATCATGTTGATTGATTTGTACATGATGAAACACCTTTGCATCCCAGGGATAAATTTCACTTGGTCATCATTAGTAATCTTTTTAATATGCTGTTGAATTTGGTTTGCTGGTATTTTGTTGAGAGTTTTTTTTGCATCAATGTTAATCAGGGATATTGAGTTGTAGTTTTCTCTTTTTGATGTGTCTTTGTCTGGTTTTGGTGTCATGATAATGCTGGCCTCACACAAGGAATTTGGAAGTAGTGCCTCCTCCTCTGTTTTTTTGGAATAGTTTGAGTAGGATTGTAATTAGTTCTTCTTTAGATGTTTGATAAAATTCAGCAGTGGAGGTGTTGGGTCCTGGGCTTTGCTGGGAGATTTTTTGTTACAGCTTTGATTTTATTACTTATTATTGGTCTGTTCAGATTTTGGATTTTTTCCTGGTTCAATCTTGGTAGGCTGTATGTGTCTAGGAATTTATCCATTTCTTCTAACTTTTCCAATTTATTGGCATATAGTTGGTCATAGTAGTCACTAATGATCCTTTGAATTTCTGTGGTATCAGTTGTAATGTCTTCTTTTTCATCTCTGATTTTATTTACTTAAGGCTTCCATCCTTATTTATTGGTTATTCTGGCTAAAGTTTTGTCAATTTTGTTCATTATTTCAAAACTTCAACACTTTGCTTCATTCATCTTTCATATTGCTTTCATTTCAATTTTGTTTATTTCTGCTCTGATTGTTATTTCTTTTCTTCTGCCAATTTTGTGTTTGGTTTGCTACTGCTTTTCTAGTTCTTTAAGATGCATTACTTGTTGTTTAATGAAGTTTTTCTGCTTTTTGATGTAGGTGCTTAAAGACATCAACTCTTAGTACTGCTTTTGCTGTATCCAGCTTTTGGTATGTGGTGTTTCCATTATTATTTGTTTCAAGAAAATTTTCAATTTCCTTTTTAATTGACACACTGATTATTCAGAAACATATTGTTTAATTTCCATGTGTTTGTATAGTTTCCAAGATTCCTTGTGCTATTGAATTCTGTTTTTACTCCACTGTGGTCAGAGAAGATACTTCATATAATCTGAATTTTTTGGATTTTAAAAGCCTTATTTTGTGGCCTAACGTAAGTTCTGTCCTTGAAAATGATTGATGTGCTGAGGAGAAGAATCTATATTCTGTAGCCATTGGATGAAACGTTCCATAAATATCTATTAGGTCCATTTGTTATATAGTGCAGATTAAAACTGGTATTTGTTGATTTTTCTGTTTGGAAGATATATCCAATATTGAAAGTGGAGTGTTGAAGTATCCAGCTATTATTGCATTGGAATCTATGTCCCTATCTATAATATTTGTTTTATGCATTTGGATGATCCAGTGTTGGGTGCATATATATTTATAACTGTTATGTCCTCATGCTGAATTGACCCCCTTTATCATTATATAAGAAAGTTTTGTCTCTTACGATTTTTGTCTTGAGATCTATTTGGTCTGATATAAGTATGGTAACTCCTGCTTTTTTTTTGGTTTTCATTGGCATGGAATGTCTTTTTCCACCCCTTTATTATCAGTCTGCATGTGTCTTTACAGGTGAAGTGTGCTTCCTGTAGGCAACAGATCACTGTGCCTTGTTTTTTACCCATCCAGCTACACTATTTATTTTAATTGGAATGTTTTATTTGTTTACATTCAGTATTACTATTGATAAGTAGGGACTGACTTCTGCCATTTTGTTACTTGTTTTCTGTTTCTTTTCTGGTCTTCTCTTTCTTCCTTCCTCTCTTCCTTTTAGGATGGTAATTTTCTTTGGTGGTATAATTTAATGTATTGCTTTTTATGTTTTGTGTATCCACGGTAAGTTTTTCAATTTAATGTTCCCATGAGTCTTGGAAGTACTATCTTATTATCCATTATTTAAAATTGATGACAACTTAGCACAAATACCATAAACAAACTAAGAAGAAAAAACTACTAAAAACTCTAGCTTTTACTTTGTCCTCCTGCTTTTACACTTTTTATTGTTTATATTTCTACTTTATTGTATTGCCTGTGTTTTGAATAGCTGTTGTGGTTATTATTTTTAATCGGTTCTTTTTGTCTTTCTATTAAAGGTATATGTAGTTTACACACTAGAATTATAGTGTTATGATATCTCTGTTTGTCTGTATACTTAGTATTACCCATGAGTGTTGCATCTTTAGATGATTTGTTATTGCTCATTAACTTTCTTTTCTTTCAGATTGAAGAACTCTCTTCATCATTTCTTGTAGGACAGTTCTGCTGTTCTTGAAATCATTTAGCTTTTGTTTGTCTGGGAAAGTCTTTATTTCAGCTTCATGTTTGAAGGATATTTTTGCTAGATATACTATCCTAGGGTAAAAGGTTTTTTTTTTTAAAAAAATAGCACTTTAAATATGTCATGCCACTTTCTCCTCTCTCCAGGCCTGTAAGCATTCCACTGAAGTCTTCTGCCAGATGTATTGGAACTCCTTTGTATTTCTTTTCTTGCTGCCTTTAGGGTCCTTTTTAAAAATCGTTGATTATTGGGGGTTTGATTATTAACTATCTTGAGGTAATCTTCTTTGGGTTAAATATGCGTGGTGTTCTAGAACCTTCTTTTACTTGAATATTGATAACTTTCTCTAGGTTGGGAAGTGTTCTGTTACTTTGAATAAATGTTCTACCCCTATCTCTCTTTCTGCCTTCTCTTTAAGGCCATTGATTCTTAGATTTGCCCCTTTGAAGATATTTTCTAGATCTTGTAGGTATGCTTTATTCTTTCTTTTTCCTTTTTATTTTGTCTCCTCTGCGTATTTTCGAATAGCCTGTCTTCAAGCTCATTCATTCTTTCTTCTGCTTGATGAATTCTGCTGGCAAGAGAATCTGAGAAGTAAATCCAAAATGATAGTTGAAGTTTACAGACTTTTCTGTAACTAATGAACATGACATAGAAACAGAAAATTTTAATATTGTGAGACATTGAACAACTTTACCAACTTGACCAAAATCTCCTTTATAGGTCACTCTGTCCCACAATAAAGAATACCAAGCTTTTCATGTGCACATGGAACATTCACCACGACCTATTTTTGGCCATAAAACAAACTTCAATAAACTTAAGAGTCTTTAAGTCATACAAAAATATATTCTCTGGCCATAATGAAATGAAAGTAGAAATCTCTTTGGAAGATATCTGACATGTTCTTAAATATTTGGAAGTCAAACAATACCTTTATATATAACTCATGAATCAAGGAAGAAATCACAGATATCATTTAATATGATACTAAATGGGATTAGAATAAAAACACAACATAAAAATTTGTAAAACAAAGCAGTAAGTAGAGGAAGACTTACAGCATTAAAATACTTGTGTTAGTAAAGAAAAAGTTCCAAAATAAATGGCACAAGCTTCCACCACAAGAAACTAGAAAGATTAAAATTATGTATGAAGTAAGCAAAATAAAGAATATAATAATCATCAAAGAAGAAATCAATTAACTGGAAAACAAAAATACTAATATAATGTATGAAAACAAGAGCTGATACAAATAGCAATAAAATCAATACACTTTTAGCCAACAAGAAATGAAGAGAAGAAAACACAGATATCAGGAATAAAGGATTTAATATCACTGGCAATACTATGGACATTAGAAAGAAAATAAAGGAATTTTATAAACAAATTTGTGACAATGAATTCAAAGATTGAGATTAAATGAACAAATTTTGTGAAAGACACAAACTACCAAGACTCACTCAACAAAAATACAAAACATGAATATCTTATCTCTACTAAAAATTGAATTTTTATCTAGAAACATTTTGAGCTTACAGTTAAAAAATCAAAATAAAATTCATAGTTAAAAACTTTCTGAGGCTTTTTACTTCAGTTCGAAATGACTTCAGTTTGTTTCAAATACTTAAGGAGCAATATCAGTCAGCCCAAACTTCCAGAGAATAGCACAAAAAAAAAGCTTCAGTGAACTTTTAACAGGCCAAGATAAATCTAATACTGAAAAGAGAAAGACATTAAAGGAAACCTAGAGACCACTATTCCAGATGCATATAGATGAAGGAATCCTTAAGAAAATTTTAGCAAATCAAATTCGACAATTTATGAAAAGGATTATGATCAAGTTGAACTCATTTTAGGAATTAAGAAGGATTTTTAACTTAAAAAAATCAATGTAGATTGTCATTTATACTGACTAAAGAAAGCAAAAACACAATCATCTCAAGAGACACATAACAATATTGGACTAAGTTTAATGTCAGTTCAAGACTGAGAAGAGAGGAGGTTTCTTCAATCTCATGAAGAATATCCATGACAAACCTACTTTTAACATCATACTTAACAGCAATAGAAAGATTGATTTTCCCATAAGATCAGGAACAAGCGAAGGATGCCTGCTCATCACTTGTATTTAACATTACAGTGGAGGTAGATACAGTGCAGTATGAAAAGTAAAAGAACTAAAAAACATTCAGAGAGCAAAGTTAAATTTGAACCATCTTTTACCAAAGACAACCTTGTTGCCTAAGAGGCATAGCCTAAGAAGGCTACAAAATAGCTACCAGAACTAATAAGTGAATTTAGCTGGTGGCAGGGTATAGACGGATACACAAAAATCCATTGTGCTAGAAAGAAATAATTGGAAACTGCAATGAAAAATGCACAGTAGCACCAAGAAATACGAATATTTATGATTAATTTGAGAAATTATGTTAAAGGTCTGTACACTTAAAGCTAAAAAACATTGCCGAGAGAATTTAAAGACAAAATAAATGTAGATATATAAAAAGTTCATGGATCAGAACACTTGACACAGTTATGATATCAGTTCTTCCTGGTTGATCTATATATTCAACAGAATTCCTATCAAAATCTCAGATTTTTTTGTAGAATAGGCAGAAAGAGTTTGAACAAGAACAGAATACAAAATGCAAAAAATTAGCGGGCGCCTGTAGTCCCAGCTACTCGGGAGGCTGAGGCAGGAGAATGGCGTGAACCGGCAGGCGGAGCTTGCAGTGAGCCGAGATCACGACGCTGCACTCCAGCCTGGGCGACAGAGCGAGACTCTGTCTCAAAAAAAAAAAAAGCGAATTTTAAAAGCATTATGCTAAGTGAAAGACCCCAGATACAAAATATTACATATTATATGATTCCATTTATATGAAATTCCAGAACACTAAAAACTCTAGTGACTGAAAGCATGTATCAGTGGCTGCCAGAAGCCAGATGATTGGTTGAAAAAATTACAAAGAATCTTTTGAAGGGATAGATGCTATACAATTATTTTGTTGATGGTTACAAGAGTGCAAACATTTATGAAAACTTATTGAGTTGAACATTTAAAATTGTTGAATTTTATTGTAAGTAAAAATTATACCCCAATAAACTAATTTAAAATTATAAAAATCAATCCCAGAAAAAATAAAAATCTGTGAGCCTGTTTTAGATCTTCACTTTCAGTAAAAGTCTTCTAGGATTCTGAGAAGTGGAAAATATAGTCACAGTGAGTATTTTTCAATGTAACTTGCCATTGGTGTTGTAGACTGCTGTTTGTAAAGCAAAGGTGAAGTGTGTGACTTGAGAAAATCTCTCTATATTATAGAGAGTATAGATGGTGATGCCTTCTGCGGGTATCTTTTTAATTTACTTCCATGATCTAAATGTGCTACCTAATTATATTATCTAGTTGAATTTCCTTAGGAGTAGGTGAAATATTTATCTATGCAAAATATATTGCACTATGTAGTATCTGAAATATTTAGGCAAAATTAAAATTTGAAAATAAAGGTGCATTTAATTATTTAAGGTGGTGGGAATCAGCATTATTTATTAATATTTAGCTGGGTTTCTTCATTTATATATTTTAAGGATATGATATAGATATTACCTATAAAGGAGAAATATAAAGAATAAATTATACAAATTATAAAAATTGAAAAAGTTTTCCCAGAAGAGGTAACAGTGTTTCTTTATGGAAAGCACATAGTTTTGAAATGGGAATATATGGTTTCAGGAGAGAAGATTTCAAATTTTCCTTCTCATCTGAATGATACTGAATATGCACATGAATATTACTGAATTTTACCCATTTTTCTCGGTCATCATGAAAATAAGATGAAATAATGTTTCTGGAAATGCTTTGTGAGCTATAAAATAATATGCTGAAACTTAATAAATTGCCAATATTTGAATTGTTGTTTCTAATATTGTGATTTCACAAAGTTCAACTTGATATTTATTGATTTATTTATTGTAGAGACAGAGCCTCACTATTGCCCAGGCTAGTCTCAAACTCCTGGCCTCAAGCGATCCTCTCACCTTGGCCTCCCAAAGTGTTGGGATTACAGGCATGAACCACCATATTTGGTCCTCAAATTGATATTTAGATATTCGTTTTTTATTACTGAAGTTGACCCACCCAGCACAGGAAAAGCTGGGAAACAGCAACAAGTATACTTCAGATTTTAAAAAGAGCAAAATCAAAGGCTTAAAGTTGGAGGAGAAGAATATGGAGATGTGATTAGGGAAGCTACTGAGAAGGAATGTAGGAGAAATGCTGTAGTCATTCTGAGAAAAGCCTTGAGAGCCAGGCTGAAGAGTTTTATCCTAACTGAAAGGCAACGGCATTTTTGAGGAGTTGTGTAACATGATCAAGGGTTTTATGCAAAAGTTTACCCTGGCATTGTAGAAAAGAGAGTTTATAGAAAGCTGGATGTAAACCACTTGGAAGGTGCTGCTTTCATCCTTCACAACATACTGGGAATTATTCCTGATGTTGCCACCTGTATATATGCATGGAGTCAGGAAAGGTCCAACATTTGGAAAAATCAGGAGAAAAAAAAATCACGGAACTCTGTCTTTATTTTTATACCATAAGACTTACCCTCCATAGTAGAGATGATTTCACCCACACCCTCCTCCTCCAACTGCCCTCCCATATTTAAGCCCTATTGCAGCCTAAATAGCAAGACATTTCATAGTACGCTGTTTCCATGAGGCAGTTTCGTAAACATTTGTTAAGCAACTGCATTTCTGTTTGTTCAGCATCTTCTTAATGAGTTTGTGAAGGACTTAGTAACCTTTGAAAATCAATTCAGAGTCTTGTTTTATATCTTTTTTTTTTTTAATGGATGCAGTTGTTACATTGGACACACTGTAAGCAAGACAAAGAGTCATCTAAAGAAATCACAACTCGGGGCAATCAAGTCAGCATAACTCTGCGTCCCATATCTGACTGCATCTAAATTTAGAAGTTTTCGTTTTGAAGACAGAATTTTGTTTTTAGCTATTTTCATGTTCTTACCCAGGAAACATCCATGAATCCTTTCGTGAGTATTCAATGTAACCCCATGGTGATATTTGAAATATTTGTATGACAGTTGAAAAGTGCCTCTCTTGAGTAGGCAATGTATATTGACAGTGAGAATACATTGTGGGAAACATAACAAAAAATAATTCCAATCTTTTGTTTCAGATTTTCACAATTTAAGTGCCAGAGCAATCCTATTTATTTATTTATTTATTTAGAGATGGAGTCTCGCGTTGTCGCCCAGGCTGGTGTGCAGTGGTGCAATCTCAGCTCACTGCAACCTCCGCCACCTGAATTCAACCGAATTCTCCTGCCTCAGCCTCCCGAGTAGCTGGGATTAAAGGCGCCCGCCACTACGCCTGGCTAATTTTTGTGTTTTTAGTAGAGACGGGGTTTCACCATGTTAGTCAGGCTGGTCTCAAACTCCTGACCTCAGGTGATTTGCCCACCTCGGCCTCCCAAAGTGCTGGGATTACAGGCCTGAGTCAACTGTCACTATGAACTGTACATATAAAGAAACTGAGTTTACTCAGTTTCAATTGAACAACAAAAAAAGACATGCCCAAAGTCATACAACTAGTAAATTATAGAGTCAGAATTAGAAACCTGGCAGTCTTATTTCAGCGCCTACAGGCTCAATTTCCATAGTGTTCTACCTTGCATTGAACAGAGTTCTAACTTCCGTCATAAGTCTTACTACTCTGTGCACTGAACAATGGTTAAATGTGTCTAGATCTCTCTTTCCAACAAAAAAAAGGTAATGGTATGTAAAGAGCTTAGAATAGTGCCTGACAAAAACGTTTAATAAATGATAGCTAAAATTAATATAATTATTAAAATAGAGAAAGACGAATTTCTGTCTGACATTACCTAGAAGAGCCTGAACAAAGGGACTTAAAATATGAGGAGAATTTTGATGGGTAAAATTTAGGAGGAAGAATAGCAAAGGTTGGATTCAAATACATGCAGGTAGAAGGGAGGAGACTGGGCTTGCAGGAGCTATGGCTGAATCAAAGGCGGAGTGTTGGGAGAATATAGTGAGAAACAAATAGAAGAGAATTCGTGTGTTCCATTTGCAGTGGAAAATCCATTGACAGGCTTCTCAGGAGGGAAAGGACCTGAATATTTGCACTTTACAAAAATACCTTCGGAAGCAGAGTGGAGGGTGAGTTTGAGAGAGGGAATAGTAGGAAAACAAGTAGAGAGATCTATAGCTAGTTGTCCATGATAAAAGACTGACATGTGTAGTGTGCTTATTATATGCCAACCACTATTCTGTGCTCATTTAGCACCTTAACTAATTTACTTTTTATAATAAAATTGTAAGATAAATAGGTACTTGTGCAGGTTTCCACTTCACTCTCAAAACTGTCCTGGTTTGCACAATACATTTTATGATCACCCATTCACGTGGCACTTTTTTCCTGAGTAAAGGTAGCAGGAAGCAGTAAGGTGAAACGGCTATAGTGCAGCAACTACAGTACTCAGTTGATGTGTTGGGAAGGTTTGGAAGACAGGAGCCTTGAATATAAGCTCTAGTTCTCTTCTGGAATTGATTCTTTTATCAATTATTCCTGATCATGGGAAGCAAAGATTGTTATAGGTAGAAGGGATATAGAGAGTATCTATTCCAATAGGTATATATAATATACTTTACCTGTATGTGAACACATACAGAGCGTAAGTAATATTTCAGGAGGTTATAACACCCCCACCCCAACCTTGCAGACAAACTTTGGAATGTGCTTTTTTTTTTCTGTGAGAAATAATACATCATTGTTTTATCATATTATCAGGGTTAGGGGCCATTTATCTAGGACAACCTATAATAAACAGAGTCCCAGAGAGGAAAAGTAAGTATTTTTACAGTTACTTACAGAGCCATAACTAAAGCCTATTTTATCTTGCTTTATTGTATCTAATAAAAACAACTTAAAAGATGTGTTTTTATGATTATTTTAATGTTAGGTATAGTCTGCTACTCAGCCATGGGAAAGATAAACAGTGATCATGAGATCCAAGGAGCCGGGGATTGTATTAGTTTCGTTGACAGTGTTCTCAGTGCAGAGAACATAGCCTGACACGTAATAGGCTAGGTTAACATTTGCTGGATGAATAAATAAAATGACACTAATTTGATTAATTTTATTGTTGTAGTGTTAGGTTTCTGTAAATAAAATATATTTTTCAACCACATGGTGGAGCCATTTAACAGTTACTCGAAAAGTAGAGCTGAAGAGAAGGCCATAAAAGCCACTGCATCTTTCTTCTGAGAAAGTGATTTAAATCCAGAGGATGAAATAAAATATTTAGATAATTTATCTGGCTTATCTCTTACTTAGAAACCTATACGGAAAGTAAATTGGATACAGGACTCGAACTGTGGATAAAAGGTGGAAATGCAGCACATATGCAGCTTTTTCCTATACTGGTGTTGTGTGGGGATTGTCCTAATCCAAAGGACATTTGCTTGGTGGCTGTTAGGCACCACACTAAAGCATGCTTTTGGTCACTCAGCACCTTTGGGAATAACAAAAGCACACAGGACAGCTGAACCAAGATAGAGATGCTACCTGATGTCTAAAAGTGCTGATATGTGTGCTGCAAATGTCTCTGACGGAGAAAAAATAACAACTTGTGCTTCTCCAGATGAAGGTAAATAAAGAACTGGGGATTAAGAGAGGTAGGACATAGCGTTTTGTAAGTGAGATTTGGTTATAAAGCTAGGGGGAGGATGGTTAATGAAGTCTACTAACAGTGGATGATTCATTTAGTTTAGCTTTCCCATTCAATAACGGGGGAAAGGGAACTAGTGAAATTCACCCTCTCTACTCCACACCATTTCAGAGTTGGCATTCCGGTTGTCGTCTAATGCCTCTAGATTCTCTGCACTCATTCTATTCCTATTTTCAATACACACATACCCTTCCTCTTATATACACACATGCATATACGAACTCATAAATACTCAAGGCTCCAGCTGTGGCCACCAGCCTCATCCTCTGCATCGTGCCCTAGGTGACAGGATGATATGTGACCAACTATTAAAACACCACTTTCTATGCACATCTTTATGTAACTGAATTTAAGCTATTTTCTTTTCCTCACAGTTAAGTAACCTGACAGACTATCTTTCTGAAACTTCCCTAGACAGATAGATCTTGAACTGGGATAGATAGTGGGACGATTTTTCTCCTATAAAATATCCTTGTCACACTAAGGAAAAGAAACATAAAGACAGCCCTAGGACAGAGAATAGAGCGTAGCTGTCATAGACTCAATTTTGAAGATTTTCTTTGAAGATTTTCTCAAAAGCCTGTTCTAAGCCCCTTGTCATACTTTAAAAAAAAACTCTTTTAATTTTTTCATTTCCCAAACTCTCACAATTTTAATGCAAACTTCTTTTCATTCCAAACACTAAGATAAACATGCCAAAATCCTGCTACATCAATCTAGTAATAATGGTTCAAAATCCAGTTTTTTTTACCCAACCATGTATAAATGCCATTTTCTCAATGCTTCACAAGTATTATGTGAGAATATCCATCTTGTCAGTGAAACCCCATTGACATTTTCAGGGGTTTGCCAACTCAACAAATTTCATTTTAAGGAGAATTTGAGGCTGATGGGGAAGTTTTTGTGAATATGTGTTCATGTGCCTGTGAAAGTTGGCATGATTTAAATAAATTTATCTTCCTCTTTAAATGTTTTACAAAAGAATATGAATGGGTCATCTGGAGCTGAGACCTGCAACTTTTTTTTTCTTTTTATTTTATTTTTTTGAGACAGAGTCTCTGTTGCCCAGACTGAAGTGCAACGGCATGATCTCAGCTCACTGCAACCTCTGCCTCCCGGGTTCAAGCGATTCTCCTGCCTCAGCCTCCCAAGTAGCTGGGATTACAGTCTCCCGTCACAACACCCTGCTAATTTTTGTATTTTTAGTAAAGACAGAATTTCACCATGCTAGCCAGGCTGGTCTCAAAATCGACCTCAGGTGACCCACCTGCCTTGGCCTCCCAAAGTGTTGGGATTACAGGTGTCAGCCACCACTCCTGGTCCAACTTTTTTTTTTTTTTTTTTTTTTTTTAATGAACAGCAGGTAAAAAGCCAAAGTACAGGCCAGCTAGCTTACCAAAGAGAACTGTGGAAAGAGAAAGCTAAGAAGAGCCTTTGTGGGGTCAGGACAAATACCAAAGATTAGTCTCAAAAACTACCTCTATCTAGATTTAATTGGACCAGGATTAATTGCATCCTTTTTAGGCCTGGTGCTCTGTTGAAAACAATAGAGCAATCAGCCAGCAATTAGAGAAGCCTAACAGATGAGTGTAATATCAAAGAAGACAGTTTAACAAAAAGATTAGAGAAAGTCAAAGGGAATCCTGCTAAAACTACTGTCATCTCGAGTGAGACTTCGTCTCAAAAAAAAAAAAAAAAAACCTACTGTCATCTCTGGGTGACTGTGCATATGCCTAAGGCTGTACCCCCCCGGGAGGGGCAATATTAGAAGGTATACACTGATGGAGAAATAGACTTTCCTAAAATAATCCAGCCAATTCACCAATTAACAAACAATAGCAAAGCAACTCCAGAAGAGAGTGAGGAGAATCAGCATCCAGAATTAGCACAGTATAGTACTTAAAATATCATACTTTCAACAAAGAATTATGAGACATAGAAATAAACAGGACAATAAACTTTTCCTTAAAAGTAAGGAAAGCTAAGATGATAATATCTCATCAAATAGTGAATCTAATAAAGAGACAGGAATTATAAAACAATCTATTGGAAATTTCAAAATTGAAAAGTTTAATAACAAAAGTGAAATATTTACTAGAGTAGATTTAAACTGGAAGAAGAAAAAATCAGTGAAGTATTAAGTGGATTGATATGGATTATGTTATCTGAAGAACAGTGAGAATAAATGATAAAAACAAAGAGATTCAGAGAAATGTAGAGCACCATAATCACACTCACATAAGCACAATGAGTGTATCGGAAGGAGAGCAGAGGAAGGAGGCAACAGAAAATAATATTAGAAAATTATTAGCTGAATAATATTAGAAAATATTAGCTGAAAATTTCCAAATCTGATGAGAAACATTAATCTACACAGTAAAGAAAGTCAGCAAATACCAAGAAGGATAAATGCACTTACACACACATCATAATAGAAGTTCTAAACACCACAGACTAAGAGGGAATTTTTAAAGCAGCAAGAGAAAAATGACTCACTACATACAAGGAAACCCTAACAGAAGAATTAGCTGGCTTTTCATTAGAAACAGTGGAAGCTAGAAAGCAGTGAGGTAACATTCGAAAAGTACTGAAACAAAAACATCTACCAAGAATCTTATATCTAGGAAAACCATGTTTCAAAAATAGAGGTGAATAAAGACATTCCCAGAAAAACAAAAATTGACAGAATTCTTTGATTAAAGAACCAACTAGAAAAACTAAAAGAAGTTCTTCAGGCTGAAAGCAGATGACTCCACACATTAATTCCAAGTCACATCAAAAAATAGAGTAATAGTATAGATTATCATGTATTGGCAAAAATATCATAAATATTTAAATAGCGTATTTCTTCTCCTTTATTTCTTAAATGATTTCAAAAAACAATTGTATAAAATGAGGAGCATATAATGCAATGTTGAACCTATAACATATACAAAAATATAATACATTTGGCAAAAACAACACAAAGGAGGTATTTGGGGGCAAAGTAGTATTGGAACAAGAAAATGACACCAGACGGCAAATGAAATTCAAAGGAATAATAAAGGCGAATATAGCAGACACTATAAATATATATTTACTTCTTCTCATCAGCTTCTCTAATAGACATAAAACTATATAAATTAGCAATTATAGTGATGTGTTATTGAGCTTGTTACAAATGTAGATGCATCATGCATAACGATAACACAAAATGAAATGGTATAAAAAAGTGGATGCCAACAAATTACATGAGATGGACAAATTTCTAAAAAGACACAAATTGTTAAAACCGGCTCAAAAAGAACAAAATTCTGAACAGGTATATAATAAATAAAGCTATTAAATTAGTAATATTAAACAGCCCATAAGAAAAGCATAGACCCAGAAGCCTCTCCCATTGTATTATCATAGCACGCTCTTTAAAAGTCAATTGACCATAATGTTAGGGTTTGTTTCTGGATTCCCAATTGTACTCCATTGATCTATATGTCTGATTTTAGTGATGTGACATGATATTGTGTTACTGGAATAAGGATAGACATATAGATCAATGGAGTAGAATTGATTATTCAGAAACAAATTCTTATGTTTATAGTCAACTGACTTTTTTTAAAAAAAATTAATTTTATTTTAAGGTCTGGGATATATGTGCAGGATGGGCAGGTTTGTTACTTAGGTAAATGTGTGCCATGGTGGTTTGCTTTACCTTTCAACCCACTCCCTAGGTATTAAGCCCTGCATGCATTGGCTGTGTATCCTGATGCTCTCCCTCACCCTGCCTCCCGACAGGCCCCAGTGTGTGTTGTTCCCCTCCCTGTGTCCGTGTATTCTCATTCATTGTTCAGCTCACACTTATGAGTGAGAAATGTGGTGTTTGATTTTCCGTTCCTGTGTTAGTTTGCTGAGGATAATGGCTTCCAGCTCCATCCATGTCCCTGCAAAGGACATGATCTCATTCCTTTTTATGGCTGCATAGTATTCCATAATGTTTATGTGCCACATTTTCTTTATCCAGTCTATCACTGATGGGTATTTGGGTTGATTTCATGTCTTTGCTATTGTCAACTGACTTTTGACAAGAATAGTAAGACAATTCAATGAGGAAAGAGTACTCTTTTCAACAAATGAAGCTGTAACAATTAAATAGCTGCGTGCAAAAGAATTAATTTAGACCCCTGGCTTATACCATAAAATTAACCCAAAATGAACCAAAGATCTAAATTTCAAAGCTAATACTATAAAACCCTTAGAAGAAAATGCAGGCATAAATATGTTTGACCTTGAATTATGCAATGGTTTATTATACATGATAACGAGAGCACAAAGAACAACACAAAAATACATTGGGCATCTTCAATATATAAGAAATTTTGTGCCCCAAAAGATCATCAAATAGTGAAAAGACAACATGCCAAATGGGAGAAAACATTTCCACATCATAAATGTTTATAATGAACTTATACCTAAAATATATCGTTAAAAAACTCTTATAATTTAATAATAAAATTGAAATAACTAAAATTGGGTAAAGGATGAATAGACATTTCTCCAAAGGAGATATACAAATGGTTACTATGTAAATTAAAAGATGCTCAACATCACTAATGATCAGGAAAATGCAAATCAAAACCACAATGGCAAACCCACATCACACCAACTATGATGCCCACCATGAAAAAGACACATAGAAACAAGGTGCGGATGTGGAGAAATTGGAATCATCTTACACTGCTTGGGGGAATATAAAAAGTTTGAGCCTCTTTAGAAAGCAGTCATCCAATTCTTTAAAAGATTAAATATGGATAGATTAAATATGGATAGATAGCTGCTATCTAGGTCTTGGCTGGCTAGGCTATATATTATACAAGCATACCACAGACATATTGTGAATTCAATTTCAGACCACTGCAATAAAGTGAATAACAATAAAATGGGAGTCACACAACTTTTTTTGTTTCTTGCATAGAAAAGTTATGTTTAACTGTACTGCAGTCTATTAAGTGTGCAACAGCATTATGTCTACATACCGTAATTTAAAAATACTTTATTGCTGAAAATGCTAATAATCATCTGAGCCGTAAGCTAGTTGTAATCTTTTTCTAATGGAGAGCCTTGCCTGCACGTTGATAGGTGCTGATTGATAAGAAGGGTGGGTGCTGAAGATCGGGGTGGCTGTGGCAATTTTTTAAAATAAGACAACGATGAAGTTTGCTGCATCAATGAATGCTTCCTCTCAGGAAATATTTCTTTATAGAATGCAATACTGTCTTACAGCATTTTACCCAGGGTGGAACTTCTTTCAAAACTGGAGTCAGTCCTTTCAAATTCTGCTGCTGCTTAGATGCTAAACTTATGTCATATTCTAAATCACTTGTTGTCATTTCAACAATATTCATAGTAGGAGTAGATTCCATCTCAAGAAATCACTTTCTTCCAACAATATTCACCAGGAGTAGATTCCATCTGAAGAAATTACTTTCTTTGCTCATCCAATAGAAGCAACTCCTCATTCATTCAAGTTTTCTCATGAGATTTCAGCAATTCAGTCACATATTCAAGCTCCACTCCTCTTTCTAATTGTCTTGTTATTTCCATCATATGTGCAGTTACTTTTTCACTAAACTTTCAAACCTCACAAAGTCATCCATGAACATTGGAATCAACTTCTTCCAAACACTTGTTAATGTTTGTATTTTGACCTCCTCTGATGAATCATGAATATTCTTAAGAGAATCTAGAATAATGAATCCTTTCTAGAAGAGTTTTAGTTTATTTTTCCCATATCCATCAGATAAATAACTATCTATGGCAGCTATAGCCTCATGAAATACATTTCTTAGATAATAAGACTTGAAAGTCAAAATTACTCCTTTATCTAAAGGCTCCAGAATGGACGTTGTGTTAGCAGGCATGAAAATAACATTTATCTCTTTGTACATCTCTATTGGAGCTCTTGGGTGACCAGGTGTATTGTCAATGAGAAATAATATTTTGAAAGGAACTTTTTTTTTTCTGATAAGTGGGTCTCAACAGCAGGCTTAAAATGTTCAGTAAACCGAACTGAACTGGCAAAACGAATCCAGCAGCACATCAAAAAGCTTATCCACCATGATCAAGTGGGCTTCATCCCTGGGATGCAAGGCTGGTTCAATATATGCAAATCAATAAATGTAATCCAGCATATAAACAGAGCCAAAGACAAAAACCACATGATTATCTCAATAGATGCAGAAAAAGCCTTTGACAAAATTCAACAACCCTTCATGCTAAAAACTCTCAATAAATTAGGTATTGATGGGACGTATTTCAAAATAATAAGAGCTATCTATGACAAACGCACAGCCAATATCATACTGAATGGGCAAAAACTGGAAGCATTCCCTTTGAAAACTGGCACAAGACAGGGATGCCCTCTCTCACCGCTCCTATTCAACATAGTGTTGGAAGTTCTGGCCAGGGCAATTAGGCAGGAGAAGGAAATAAAGGGTATTCAATTAGGAAAAGAGGAAGTCAAATTGTCCCTGTTTGCAGATGACATGATTGTATATCTAGAAAACCCCATTGTCTCAGCCCAAAATCTCCTTAAGCTGATAAGCAACTTCAGCAAAGTCTCAGGATACAAAATCAATGTACAAAAATCACAAGCATTCTTATACACCAACAACAGACAAACAGAGAGCCAAATCATGAGTGAACTCCCATTCACAATTGCTTCAAAGAGAATAAAATACCTAGGAATCCAACTTACAAGGGATGTGAAGGACCTCTTCAAGGAGAACTACAAACCACTGCTCAAGGAAATAAAAGAGGATACAAAGAAATGGAAGAACATTCCATGCTCATGGGTAGGAAGAATCAATATCGTGAAAATGGCCATACTGCCCAAGGTAATTTACAGTTTCAATGCCATCCCCATCAAGCTACCAATGCCTTTCTTCACAGAATTGGAAAAAACTACTTTAAAGTTCATATGGAACCAAAAAAGAGCCCGCATCGCCAAGTCAATCCTAAGCCAAAAGAACAAAGCTGGAGGCATCACACTACCTGACTTCAAACTATACTACAAGGCTACAGTAACCAAAACAGCATGGTACTGGTACCAAAACAGAGATATAGATCAATGGAACAGAACAGAGCCCTCAGAAATAACGCCGCATATCTACAACTATCTGATCTTTGACAAACCTGAGAAAAACAAGCAATGGGGAAAGGATTCCCTATTTAATAAATGGTGCTGGGAAAACTGGCTAGCCATATGTAGAAAGCTGAAACTGGATCCCTTCCTTACACCTTATACAAAAATCAATTCAAGATGGATTAAAGATTTAAACGTTAGACCTAAAACCATAAAAACCCTAGAAGAAAACCTAGGCATTACCATTCAGGACATAGGCATGGGCAAGGACTTCATGTCCAAAACACCAAAAGCAATGGCAACAAAAGCCAAAATTGACAAATGGGATCTAATTAAAATAAAGAGCTTCTGCACAGCAAAAGAAACTACCATCAGAGTGAACAGGCAGCCTACAAAATGGGAGAAAATTTTCGCAACCTACTCATCTCACAAAGGGCTAATATCCAGAATCTACAATGAACTCAAACAAATTTACAAGAAAAAAACAAACAACCCCATCAAAAAGTGGGCGAAGGACATGAACAGACACTTCTCAAAAGAAGACATTTATGCAGCCAAAAAACACATGAAAAAATGCTCATCATCACTGGCCATCAGAGAAATGCAAATCAAAACCACAATGAGATACCATCTCACACCAGTTAGAATGGCGATCATTAAAGTCAGGAAACAACAGGTGCTGGAGAGGATGTGGAGAAATAGGAACACTTTTACACTGTTGGTGGGACTGTAAACTAGTTCAACCATTGTGGAAGTCAGTGTGGCGATTCCTCAGGGATCTAGAACTAGAAATACCATTTGACCCAGCCATCCCATTACTGGGTATATACCCAAATGACTATAAATCATGCTGCTATAAAGACACATGCACACGTATGTTTATTGCGGCATTATTCACAATAGCAAAGACTTGGAACCAACCCAAATGTCCAACAATGATAGACTGGATTAAGAAAATGTGGCACATATACACCATGGAATACTATGCAGCCATAAAAATGATGAGTTCGTGTCCTTTGTAGGGACATGGATGAAATTGGAAATCATCATTCTCAGTAAACTATCGCGAGAACAAAAAACCAAACACCGCATATTCTCACTCATAGGTGGGAACTGAACAATGAGATCACATGGACACAGGAAGGGGAATATCACACTCTGGGGACTGTGGTGGGGTGGGGGAGGGGGGAGGGATAGCATTGGGAGATATACCTAATGCTAGATGACGAGTTAGTGGGTGCAGCACACCAGCATGGCACATGTATACATATGTAACTCACCTGCACAATGTGCACATGTACCCTAAAACTTAAAGTATAATAAAAAAAAATAGAAAAAAAAAGAAAACAACAACAACAACAAAAAAAATGTTCAGTAAACCAAGTTTACTGTAAACAGATGTACTGTCATTTGGGCTTTGTCATTCCATTCATAGAGCACTGGCTGAGTAGACTGAGCATAATTCTTAAGGGCCCTAGGATTTTCAGAATGGTAAATGAGCATTGGCTTCAACTTAAAGTCACCAGCTGCATTAGCCTCTAACAAGATAGCCAGCCTGTCCTTTGAAGCTTTGAAGCTGGGTATTGATTTTTCCACTCTAGTTATGAAAGTTCAAGATAGCATCTTCTTCCAGTAGAAGGCTGTTTCATCCACATTGAAATTCTATTTTTAGTGTAGCCACCTTCATTAGCTATCTTAGCCAGATTTTCTGAATAACTTGCTGTAGCTTCTACACCAGTAGTTGTTGCTTTACCTTGCACTCTTATGTTATGGGAATGTTTTGTTTCTTATACATCATGAACCAACCTTTGCCAGATTGAAACCTTTCTTTTGTAGCGTTCTCAACTCTCTCAGCCTTGGAATTGAAGAGCTTTACTCTGAATTAGGTTTTGGCTTAATGGAATGTTGTTGTTTGATCTTCCATCCAGACACTAAAACTTACTCCGTATCAGCAATTACATTTTTTACTTTTTACTTCTTATCATTATGTTTCCTGGAGTAACAGTTTTCCTTCAAGAACTTTTCTTTTGCTGTCACAGGTTGGCTGTTTGTTGCAAAAAGCCTCGGTTTCAGCCTATCTTAGCTTTTGACATGCATTCCTCACTGAGCTAAATCATTTCTAGCTTTTGATTTAAAGTAAAAGGTGTGTTACTCTTTGTTTCACATGAACACTGAGAGGCCACTGTAGGTTTATTACTGTAATTGGCCTAATTTCAATATAATTGTGTTTCAGAGAATAGGGAGGACTACTAAAGAGAGGGAGAGAGAGACAGGGGAGTGGTTGGTCGGTGGAGTAGTGAGAACACACACATTTAGGGAGAGAGATGGAGCATGATGGAGGAATGAAAGGCTCCACAGATTGTTCCCCCAACAGGGACACCAATTTAACAACTATCAACACAGGAAAACACCTTTGTAAGAATCAAAAATCAGGTTAGCATGCATAGTACCTGGTTTTATCTTTATATTACTGAAAGAGTCACTGAAGAAATTTTTTTAAAAAGTCTTGAATTGCTGACACCACCCCTTCTACACCCTCCAGCAGCAGCAGCTTGGTGCGGAAAGCATCGCTGGGTTCTGGAGAGGGAGAACACAGCAACTGTGAGGCATTGAACTCAGTGCTGTCCTATTAGAGCTGAAAAGATACAGCTTAGATCACAGCACCAAGCCCTTTCAAATATCTGGAAAGCCTTCCCAAGACGGATGACTACAAACAAGCCCAGACAGTGAAGTTTACAAAAAATAACTAAGTCTTCAATGCTCAGGCGGCAAAGAACATCTAGCATCAATGCCATCCAGGAAAAGATGACCTCACCAATTGAACTAAATAAGCCACTAAGAACCAATCCTAGAGAAACAGAGATGTGTGCCTTTTGAAACAGAGAATTCACAATAACTGTGTTGAGAAAATTCAAAGGAGTTCAAGATAACACAGAAGAAATTCAGAATTCTATCAGATAAATTAACAAAGAGATTGAAACAATTAAGAAGAATCAAGCAGAAATTCTGGAGCTGAAAGATGAAATTGGCATACTGAAGAAAGCATCAGAGTCCTGTAACAGCAGAAATGATTAGGCTATAAGTGCCCACATAAAAATTGAGGAAAAGATTCCAATAGGCAATCTAATGATGCATCTTAAAGAAGCAGATATGCAAAAGCAAATCAGACCCCAAGTTAGTAGAAGAAAAGAAGTAATAAAGGTCACAGCAGAAACAAATAAAGTTGAAAGGAAGAAAACAATACAATAGATCAGTTAAACAAAAGGTTGTTTTTTGAAAAGTTAAACAAGATTGACAACCTTTAGCGAGAGTAACTAAGAAAAAAAGAGAAGATTCAAGTAAATAAAATCAGAAATAAGAAAAAAGAGACATTACAACTGATACTGCAGAAATTCAAAGGATTGTTAGTGACTACTATAAGCAACTCTATGCCAATAAATTGGAAAATGTAGAGGAATTGTACAAATTCCTAGACACATACCACCTATCAAGATTAAGCCAGGAAGAAATCCGAAACTTGAAGGAACCAATAACAAGTAAGGAGATTGAAGCTGTAATAAAAAGTCTCCCAGTAGCGAAAGTCCAGGACCTGATGGCTTCACTGCTGAATTCTACCAAACATTTAACAAAGAGCTAATACCAACCCGACTCACACTACTCCAAAAAATAGAGGAGAGAATAGTTTCACACTCATTCTACAAGTCAGTATTTCCCTGACACCAAAATTAAACAAAGACACTACAAAAAGAAAACTGCAGGGCCAATATTTCTCTTGAGAATTGATGCAAAAATCCTGAATTAAATACTAGCAAATTGAATTCAACAATATATTTGGAAGATCATTCATCATGACCAAGTGGGATTTATCCCTGGGATGGAAGGGTGGTTCAACATATGCAAATCAATCAATATGATACATTATATCAACCAAATGAAGGATAAACATCATATGATCATTTCAATTGAAGCTGAAAAAGCATTTGATAAAATTCTACATCCCTTATTGGGAAAATATTTTAAAACCTGGGCATAGAAGGAATGTACCTTAACATAATCAAAGCCATATACAAGAGACCTACAGCTAGTATCATACTGAATGAGGAAAAACTGAAAGCCCTTCCTCTAAGATTTGAAACATAGCCCACTTTCACCACTGTCAGTCAGCATAGTACTGAAAGTCCTAGCTAGAGCAATCAGACAAAGGAAAGATATAAAGGGCATCCAAATTGGAAAGGAAGGAGTCAAAACACTCTTGTTTGCAGATGATATGATCTTATATTTGGAAAAACCTGTAGACTCAACAAAAAAATTATTAGATCTATTACATTCAGTAACGTTGCAGGATACAAGGTCAATGTACAAAAATCACTAGCATTTGTATATACCAATAGTGAACAATCTAAAAAAAAAACCATAATACCATTTACACTAGCTACAAATAAAATACTTAGGAATTAATTTAACCAAAGAAGTGAAAGATTACTACAATGAAAACTATAAATCACTGATGAAAGAAATTGAAGAGGACAGAAATAATGCAAATATATTCCATATTCATTATTTGGAAGAATTAATATTGGTAAAATTTCCATGCTACCCAAGGCAATCTATAGATAGTACCATTCCTATCAAAATTCCAATGACATTCTTCACAGAAATAGAAAAAACAATCCTAAAATTTATGTGGAACCACAAAAGACCAGAACAGCTGAAGCTATCCTGAGCAAAAAGAAAAAAAAATGGAGAAATCACATTACCTGACTTTAAATTATGCTACAGAGCTAGAGTAACCAAAATAGCATTGGTCTGGTATAAAAATAGACATAGACCAATGGAACAAATGCACACACCTACAGTAAACTCATTTTTGACAAAGTTGCCATGAACACACACAGGGGAAAAGACAATCTCTCCAATAAATGGTGCTGAGAAAATTGGATACCCATGTGCAGAAGAATGAAACTAGGCCCCTGTCTCTCACCATATACAAAAATGAAATCAAAATGGATTGAATACTTAAATCTAAGACCTCAAAGTACAAAACTACTACAAGAAGTTGTTGGAGAAAATCTCCAGAACATTGGTCTGGGCAAAAATTTCTTCAACAATATTCCATCACACGAAGTTAAAAAGCTTCTGCACAGCAAATGAAACAATCAACAAAATGAAGAGACAACCCACAGAATGGGAGAAAATATTTGAAAACTACCCATCTGACAAGTGATTAATAATCAGAATATATAAGGAGCTCAAACAACACTATAGAGAAAAATTTAATAATCTGATCAAAACAATGGGCAAAAGATTTGAATAGACATTTCTCAAAAAAGACACACAAATGACAAACAGTCATATGAAAAAGGTGCTCAACATCATTGATCATCAGAAAAATGCAAAACAAAACTAGAGATAGCATCTCGCCCTGGTTAAAATGGTTTATATCCAAAAGTCAGGCAAAAGTCAGGTGAGAATGTGGAGAAAAGGGAACCCTTGTATACTGATGTTGGTAAAGTAAATTAGTACAACCCCTATTGGGAACAGTTTGGAGGTTCCTCAAAATACTAACAATATAGCTACCATATAATCCAGTAATCCTACTGCTGGATATATACCCAAAAGAAAGGAAAGCAGTATATTGAAGAGATATCTGCACTCTCAGGTTTGTAGCACCGTTTACAATAGTTAAGATTGGAGGCAACCTACGTGTCCATCAACAGATGAATGGATAAAGCAAATGTGATATATATACACAATGGAGTACCATTCAGACATTAAAGAGAATGACGTCCTGTCACTTGCAACAACACGGATAGAACTAGAGATCATGGCCGGGCGGGTGGCTCACGCCTGCAATCCCAGCACTTTGGGAGGCCGAGGAGGGTGGATCACGAGGTCAGGAGATCGAGACCATCCTGGCTAACACGGTGAAACCCCTTCTCTACTAAAAATACAAAAAATTAGCCAGACATGGTGGAGGGCGCCTGTAGTCCCAACTACTCGGGAGGCTGAGGCAGGAGAATGGCGTGAACCCGGGAGGCGGAGTTTGCAGTGAGCCGAGATCGCGCCACTGCACTCCAGCCTGGGTGACACAGCGAGACTCCGTCTCAAAAAAAAAAAAAAAAAAAAAAGAACTAGAGATCATTGTGTTAAATGAAATCAGCCGGGGCACAGAAGGACGAACGTTGCATATTCTCACTTGTTTGTAGGACCTAAAAATCAAGGCAATTGAATTCATGAACATAGAGAGTAGAAGGATGGTTACCAGAGGCTGGGAAGGGGTGGAGGGTGGTAGGCTAGATGTGGGATGTTTAGTAGATAGTTAGAAGGAATAAGTCCTGCTATGTGATAGCACAACAGGGTGATTATAGTCAATAATAACGTAATTGTATATTTTAAAATAACTACAGGAGTGTATTTGGATTGTCTGTAACACAAAGGATAATTGGTTGAGGAGATGGATACCTCATTCTCCGTGATGTGATTATTTCACATTGCATGCCTGTATCCAAATACCTCATGTACCCCATAAATATACATATACCTACCATTTACCCACAAAAATTAAAATTAAAAAAATTTAAACAACAAACACACACATTTATTAAGTTCACTGTCTTATATGAGCATGGTTCTTGGCACCCCAAAACAATTACCATAGTAACACCAAAAATCAGTGATTACAGATCACTATAACAGATGTAATAATGAAGAAGTCTGAATATTGGAAGAATCACCAAAATGTAACACAGAGACCCAAAGTGGACATACATTGCTGAAAACCTGGCATTGATAAACATACTGGACACAGGGTTGCCACAGACTTTCAATTAAAAAAAAAAAAAAGCAATACATCTTGAGCACAATAAAGCAAAGCACAATAAGACCAGTTGTGCCTGTATTTCTCTCTGGAGCTCTGGGTCATTTCCTAAATTGACATAGTTATTGGTAGAATTCATTTTCTTGCCATGTGACCCTCTCACAGGCCCTCTTACAGCATGACAGCTTACCTCTTCAAAGCCAGCAGGAGAATCTCTCCAGTCTTCTAAGATGGCATCTGAGAGTCACAAGATTGACCATTGCATCACCTTTGCTAGAAGTTACTTAGTTTCCATCCACAATAAGCAGAGAGGATTATTTAAGAGTTTCACTTATTTGAAGGTTATCTTGGAATTCTTCCTACCATAGTAGACACCATGATAAGCCTCAGAAAGTTCATTCTCCTCTTGCCTTTTCAAAGCAAGTCAACTTTCATAAAACATGGCAAAAAACTAAGAAAGTGGGAGTCATGATATAAAAGAGGAGCTATATACCAGGAGAACCATTTTAATAGGATCGTAGTCAGTAGACTGGTGTCAGTTCATACAAGATCATGAGAGCTGATAACATTTCAAGAATTTTGCAGATCAGTTGTTAAATACAGTATTGGCTGGGCACAGTGGCATGTAATCCCAGCACTTTGGGAGGCTGAGACAGAAGGATAGCTTTAGCCCAGGAGTTTGAGACCAGCCTGGGCAAGATGGTGAGAATCTATCTCCACACATACAAAAAATAAAAAACTAGCCAGATGTAGTAGCCAGTGCCTGTAGCCCCAGCTACTTGGCAGGTCTAGGAGGAAGGATCACTTGAGCCTAGGAATTCAAGGTGGCAGTGAGCTATATTGTGTCATTACACTCTAGCCTGGGCAACAAAGTGAGACCCTGTATTTAAAAATATATGTATAGAAAATAAAATTACATAAATTTACAATCAAATAAATTACATTTAGAAACAGAGGCAATGAGTACTCAAAATGTGTCTTAGTTATTTTAATACATTTTATTCCTATCAATGCTTTTGAAATTATTTACCTCTTTTGTATCTTTATGTTAGAAATAATTCATACTATATAACAGTGAACTACTGCACATCTCTTTACAACTTTGCATTCAGTGACTCCAGTGTGACAAATTGAAATAGTGATTGTATTTAAGCCACGGAAATTAGCTACTATTACTAACAGGGGCTCAGGTCAGCATCACAGAATAAATTGTTAAATATCTATCAGGCCATCACTAGTTGCAGGGAGAAATTTTAGATTTCAAGGCACTCTATTCAATGACAAAGTGGCAAGAGTTGGCTCTTTATAGATATGAACTTTGAATGATACAATGACAGTATCATTGTATATATGTATCTCTGAATGACGGAAAACATTCAGAGAATAAGGCAATGCATTCAGATATGGATCTGGCATAGCACTCTGACTCCAAACCCTAGCCTAAGCCATCCACTTCTTTCTTTTGGAATGAGAACTTCTTAACACATTTGGTGAGGACTGCTCTTCATTACTCTGAAGGATATTAGCCACTATATAGGCCAGGGAGTAATATCATTTTTTCTGACCCTGTGAAGCAACGGAGAGAGTAAAAATAGCTGGCCCAAATGAAAAACACATTTATGATATCGGTGGTCCAGTTTACATCATATTCCTTTAAGCTTCACCTTCATTTAAGTGGAAGATAATTATAGACAGGGGATCACCCCTACTTGAGAATTGTATACAGTAGTTGCCCCTTATTCATGGCTTTGCTTCCTTCAGTGTCAGTTACCCATAGTCAACTGCGGAGAAAATATTAAATAGAAAATTTCAGAAACAAGCAACTCTTAAGTTTTAAATTCCATGCTATTCTAAGTAGCAGGATGAAATCTCATGTCATCCTGCTTTGTCCCACCCAGGTAGTGAATCATTCATTTGTCCAGCATATCCACACTAAACACGAACCACTTTTTAGTCAATTAGTGGCCCCTCAGTTATTAGATGAACTGTCACAATATTACAATACTTTTGTTCAAAGAACCCTTATTTTATGTAGTAATAGCCCCTAAGCACAAGATTAGTTTTGCTAGCAAGTCAGAGATGCTGTGCAGAAGCAGGAAACTGCCTTCTTTAGGGAAAAAGGTGAAAGTTTTTGACTTAATAAGGAAAGAAAAAAATGTTGTATGCTGAGGTGGCTAACATCTACATAAAAGTTAATCTTCTATTTGTGAAATTGTGAAGAAGAAAAAAGAAATTCATGCTAGTTTTGCTGCTGCGCCTTAAACTGCAAAAGTTATGGCCGCAGTGTGTGATAAGTGCATACGTCCAATGGGAAAGACATTAAATTTGTGGATGAGACACAAACAGAAATCATCATTGGTGGCAACATGTGCCAGATTAGCTTCATATTAATTAAATTAAATGTCATAGGTGCATATATATAAGAAAAAACACACTGTATATGGGATTTGGTACTATTCGTGGTTTCAGGCATCCATTGGGGGTCTTAGAATGGATCCCCTGCAGAGAAGAGGGAACTGCTGTATAAGTCCAGGATAAGCCTTAGGCAGAAGAGGTGCTCAGTAAATATTGCATGTAGATTTTGTATCAAATTGAATCAAATGAATCTATCTGGCATAGAATTAAAGCCTATGTCCAGTACTTTACACAAAAAATGACTCAAGTATCATAGAATGTGCTTAGAATACATGCTTATAACCAAAAGTAATTTGATGATCTCTAACATCTTTATGAAAATATTATCTGGAAATTGTATATGAAGTGAATCCCAGAGGCATATATTAATTCATACTTAAAATAGGGAACATTAAAATTTAAAGGACTTTCCTTATGTAAATAAAGGAAAAGGAGTGTTGACAAAATCAAAATATTTGTTGAAGTGTTTCATTCTTCTGGTAGTATCTCAATGAGTAATTGAACCCAGTGTTTCATGAATATATATGCTGGTAATTTAATAATTCAGTTTTCACTGTATAGGGTGAAGTTTCTGATATACATCTGGGAAGTGCTTTCCTTCATTATGTCTCCAGTTTACAACACCTCCAATTTTTAAATCTCTCTGGATTATTATTCACCACTAAATTTTGAGGTTGTCTATACAAACAAACCCTGACCTTGTTATTTAATTTCATTCAACATGTAATGACTTCTTACAGGTATTGTGCATTCATAATGTTTCTTCAAGCAAGTCATGGCTTCTAAACTTTGATACTTTTATATTTTCGTTATCCATCAGCCCCATTTTATCTTCATTTTCCCTCTTGGCCAGCTTAGATTCCATATTTTACTATTGTAGTCATTTATTTGAAGACACACAGTATTCCATTCCTTTTTCTCTCTCCATCATCATTTCAAAAAGAACGCAACTATCTATCATCTCTGTGCCTACACCTGGAAAACATTATACAGCTGGATAGAATAGTGTATTCGGTTCCTAAGGCTACTGTAACAATTACCATAAATTTGGTGGCTTAATACAACAGAAAATTTCCCTCTCATAGACCTAGAGGTCTGAAACCTGAAATCATTATCATTAGACTGAAATCTAGTTGTTGTCAGAGCCATTCTCCCTCCAGAGGCTCTTGGATAGAAGATGTTGCGGACTCTTCCAGCTTCTGATGACTGCTGCCATTTCTTATCAGGTGACTGTATCACTCCAATTTTTGCCTCTGGGGTCACATTGCCTCCTGCTGTTTTGTGTGTCTAAACAATCTTTGCATCACTCTGATGCCACCATGAAGATACTAGTGATGACAATTAAAGCACGTGGATAAACCCAAGATAATCTCATTTTAAGATTCCAATGATGAGTTCATGTCCTTTGTAGGGACATGGATGAAGCTGGAAACCATCGTTCTCAGCAAACTATCACAAGGACAAAAAACCAAACACCGCATGTTCTCACTTATAGGTGGGAATTGAACAATGAGAACACATGGACACATTAAGGGGAACATCACACACCGGGGCCTGTTGTAGGGTGGGGGCAGGGGGGAGGGATAGCGTTAGGAGATATAAATAATGTTAAATGACAAGTTAATGGGTGCAGCACACCAACATGGCACATGTATACATATGTAACTAACCTGCACGTTGTGCACATGTACCCTAAAACTTAAAGTATAATAAAAAAAAAAAAAGAAGACGCTCCATCTAGTGGCATTTTTTTCTTTCAATCTCCAGTATTAAACACCATGCCTGACACATCGAGGGCAAAAAAAAAAAAAAAAAAGATTCCTAAGGTGATCACATCTGCAGAAAATTTAGCATGTGAGTTAACATTCAGTTTCCAGGGATTATATCCTGATGCGTTTAAGAGACCATTTGCCAACCTACCACAAGTAGTTTCACTTTAAATTCATAATCTCAAAATTCCAGTAGGTTCTCAACATCGCCTAAAACTTTTATGGTATCTACTGACTTCCCAAGATGACTACACATCTCCTCTTCCTCAAATCTTTCATATTATCTCTCTCAAACCTTTGTTAGCTAAAGACCCTGGCTACGAGTTTACACATCATGTTTTCCTTTCTTATCTGTCCAACTTCATTCTGTGCCACTTCTTCCATTGCTCACTATGGCATCAGCTACAGTCCTATCAACACATATAACTTTTTCTTAACTCACAGCATTTCATGCATACCATTAATTATTTCTGACATGCTGGTTTCCACTATTGTTTCTCCTTTCATCCTTCCTCCTGTCCAGAACAAGACTGTCCTTGCTTATTCCTCTGGTGTCAGAAAACCTCAGTTTACGTTGGTCTTTTCAGACAACTCTGTTGTTTTCTGTTTCCATGTTTTTCCCGCTATCTTCATACTTTGTATATTTAAATTAGCTAGAGACTACGATTGTTTATTCACCATTATATACCCAGTGTTTAGTCAGGTATTTGTAACATAAACTGGACTCAGTTATTTCCTAAATGAACTCATTGCTGCAGCACAAATGATAACATTTCAGTTTTATGTTGGAAAGCATTATGGCTGGTAATGGCAACTTGTGAGTGAGAGACAACTGCATTTCAGTTCTGGATTCCCTATGTTTTGGCTGAAAGAACTTGGGAAAATTAGATAGTATCTCTATATTTACCTGCTGTTTCTTCAAAAACTGAGTCAAATTATGATTCTACATCTGACCAGACCTGTTACTGTGAAGAACGAATTTACCTTGTCAGATCTCAGTTTCTTCCATTTTCAAAGGCTGGGCTTAGACCCAGTGATCTCCAACACTGAAGTTGTGTCTAATATTTTTTAACTCCTTTTTTTTGTGTGCGTGTGTGTGATCCTAAAACTAACAGAACAGACAGAGACAAATTTCATAAAATTTCTAAGAAAAGTAGCATAACTATGCTGAATGTTTATGACCTTGTAAACTTTCCTGTGTTTTTTATAAGTGAAATACAGTATATAAAAATGTTGGCCATGACAACATCTATCATTTTAGATTTTCTTGTGCATGATTGAGGAGTTGACAAGCCACACTATTTGCCAATCATCTTTCATCTTCCTCATTTGACAGGTTTGAAAGCTGTGACAAAGAACTCATTTCAGTTCAGCTTGGGTTATTCTTGGCAACTTTCAAAGAACAAGATAGATGTGTTCTATGTGAAACAGATGAGAGTTTTGGACAACCCATTTGTGAGGCGGATAGCTGAGAAACAGTGTGAGTTCACTAAGAGAGCTTTTATTTTGTATAATGTCAGAACACAGGGAAAAAGAATTAACCTCTTTGGTACAATAAGGCGATATGATATATATAACTCACTAGTTACTAATCAGAAAAAATATTTCTCAAATGATTTCAGGTAATCTTTCAGGTAAGGACTGAAGGCAAGCAAATATGGATAATAAACCCTTTATATTAGAAAAAAAAGGATATTAAAAAATTATGCACTGCCTAATGCAGAGGAAAGAACAATGAAATCGGAATGAGGATTATCTGGATTTTAGCACTGGCACGGTCACAAGCTTGCTCCACAACAACATATCATATGACAGCACATGATGCCAAAGGTTTTCTCCTACGCTAGAATGTATTGACTCAAATATTCTTGCCAACTCTCTAAAATATTTGTAACAGTTAAAAATAATCTCATGCAAGTAACAGAATACTCAACTCAAACTAGCTTAAACAATAGGGTTTTGGCATTTCCTATAACAGAAAATTCAGTATTAGGGTGGGTGATGATTGGTTGAGTCAGTAAATCAATGAAATCATCAGGGGCTCAGGTTCTTTCTAATTATAAAGTCTCATCCCCTCTTAGTTACAAGATGGCTGCAGAAGTTAAAAAAACTATCATCTTGGCTGGGCACATTTGCTCACACCTGTAATCCCAGCACTTTGGGAGGCTGAGGAGGGTAGATTACCTGATGTCAGGAGTTCAGGACCAGCCTAGCCAACATGGTGAAACCCTGTCTCTACCTAAAAATACAAAAATCAACTGGGCATGGTGGCAGGCACCTGTAATCCCAGCTACTCAGGAGGCTGAGACAGGAGAATTGCTTGAACCCGGGAGGTGGAGGTTGCAGTGAGCCGAGTTCGTACTATTGCACTCCAGCCTGAGCGACAAGAGTGAAACTCCGTCTCAAAAAATAAAAAATAAAAAAAATCTACTTATCACACAACTCACAAGAGCTAAAAGAGATGACATTATGTCCTTAGAAAATGAACTGAAAACATTTTTTTGAAATTTCATAACATATATAACAGAAAGAAAGGGGGAGTGTATATGTGTGTGCACAGAAATGTATAAACACAGAGTATTTGATAACAGAACATTTTTGTCAAACTAGTAAGTGTAATGAGATTGAAAAGTTACTCCTAATTGTGCTAGACAAAGTGAAGAAAGAAAACAGTAAGCTCAGGAATTCAAATTGCTAGCTCAAGCACTTACATAAATGACCTGAAAATTTTTACTTCCTCCCTGAAAGAAATCCATATATCCTATAGCAGCAGAGCTGAGATTGTTGAAAAACAAACCCATAGCCTCATTCTGCAAGTGGCTGAATTATAACACAAATTGGATTCTCAACGTCTCAGGTTTTTGCTGTTAAAGCAAGGGTATTTGATTGGCTTAGGATGGGGTCCTGAAAATGGGAATAGGGACAGATGTGAAGTTTCTGATAAGACCAGAGACATTAAACTCCTAAATTTGGATGTGTTTTATGTGTCAGTAGAAGCTGCCATTCTACCCCTGTCTCAGGAGATTAACTCTGGCATTCCCGAGAAATGTAGATGGTTTCCTCTTAGGCAGTTGCCTTGCAAAACACTGCTGAGTCTCCTCAAGACCCATCCCTAATATCCCTCCTTCCTTTTTAGGCCTATAACTAGACTCAAGTCCCAGCAGGCCCTGAAAGGGCTTTTCTAATTTATGTAGATAGATATCCAGGGAATATTTGTGGGAATGAATATTGAAGGTGTGGGACAGTGGAGAAAGGAACATAAAGTTAGATCAGGTAAGTTTATTGATATGGGTATACTAAGCAAATATTCTGGATATAATGTTGTAGCTTGGATGATTAGAAACATCTCTAACATTTTGTGTGATTGGCTGGCTGAAACGTGTATCAAAAGGTGGCCTACACGAAATGAAACTGAAATGCCAGAGCTAGCTTAGTGTTCAGAGAATGAATCCACAGGCTTAGGGACATTGGAAAGTTAGAGAGGATTGATCACGCAAGGCTGCTCACTTCCTCCTCGAGTGTCCTGATTTCACATCTTTCACCATGGCTGAGAAATAAATTTGTGAGAGGAGCACCAGCATCCTTGAAGAGCTTTTCTGTAGGTCAGAAATTAAATTGAGAACTGCTGCCACTGACTTGGGAAATAGAAATGCAATAGAGATAATCTTATCCCAGAGTAGCAGAGGCCTAGTAGCAGCACTTGGTCACCAAAGGTGTGGTTACAGTAGAGTCAAAGTACCAATTGGAAGAGGCTGACTCCTAGAGACTCATGGCACAGGTTAGTTGATCATTGTATTCCAAGAAGTGAAGTAGAGGAATAATCTATTGAATTGTTCCTTGGTCTATATAGCAGAAAAGTTCTAGATCAACTGAACTAAAGTCTAACATGTATCATAAAACAGATCCACGGCCAATAAATTGCCAAACTTAAGTCAGTTTACAGACCCAGGACCCTTTGAATAAAGGGGAGACCAGATCCTCTGGAGGATGAACTTTGCTGTACTGCCCAAAATTTCTATCATTGACCTTTACCTCAGTCTTCCTAAAAGGGGCCTATGGCTTTTGACAAGGGTAACTGAACATTGGGGTAAAGGAAATCTTAAATTTTTCTGAGACTACCAGACAATGGCTCCAAACTGACACTAAATTAAGGAGATTCAAAAATGTTACTGTGACCTACAAGTCAGAGTAGTGGCTTATGAAGGTTAGATGATCAATGGAGTTTTAGCCTAGATGTATCTCACAAAGTATTCAGTGGGTTCCCAGGTTCTGTGGTTATTTCCTCAATGTTGGAATTCATAAGTGGAATAGACATATCCAGCCACTGGCAGAATCTCCACATTGGTTCCTTGACCCATGGAATGGCAACTATTATGGTGGGAAGACCAAGTGGAAGCCCCTAGAACTACCTCTACCTCTAAAAAATAATTACCCCAAAACAATACAGCATTCCAGAAGGAATTACAAATATTAGTGCCACCATCAGATTTTAAGGATGTAGAGATGCTGATTCCCACCACATCCCATTCAACTGACCTGTTGGGTTTATGCAGAAAATGTGTATTTTGGAGAATGACAGTGGGTTTTCACAAACTTAACCAGGTAGTGAATCCAACTAAAATTGCTGTTGCACTGCTGAGCAAATTAACACATGTTCTGGTACCTGGTTTGCAGCTATTCATAAGGCAAATGCATTTTTTCCCTACCTGTTAGCAAAAAGACATCAGAAACAGTGTGATTTCCATTGGCAAGTTCAGCAATACCCCCTCCCTGTCCTGCCTCAGAGGTATATCAACTCTCCAGCCCTATGTCATAATTTAATTTGTAGGGATCTTGTCTGTCTTACCCTTCCACAAGATATTGCACTGGTTTATAACAATGATTATGTTATGCTGATTGGCCCCAGAAAGTAAGAAGTAGCAACTACTCTAGACTTATTGGTAAGACAGTTACATGTCATACGCTGATAAATAAATAAATCTGACATAAATTCAGGGAACTTTTACCTCAGTAAAATCCCTGAGTCCAGTGGTGTGGCACCTGTCAAAATGTCTTTTCTAAGGTGAAGGATAAATTGTTTCATTAAGCCTCTCCTACAAGCTAAAAGGAAATACAATGTCCAGTGGAATTCTTTGAATTTTGGAGGCAACATACTTAGATATGCTACTGTGGCCCATTTACCAAGTGATCTAAAAAGGTGCTTGTTTTTAGTGCAACACAGAACAAGAAAAGGCTCTGCAATAGGTCTAGCCTTCCTTGCAAGCCACTCTGTCACTTGGATCATATGATCCATCCAGCAGATCTAATAGTGCCTGAAGTGGCAGTAGCAGACAGGGCCACTTCAGAGGCTTAGGCATGTCCCTAGATGTGAATCACAGTGTAGACTCTAAACATTTTACACCAAAGGCCTACTACTCTGTGGATTCTTACTCTCCTTTTAAGAAACTGCTTTTGGCCTGCTACTAGGCCTTAGTAGATGCTAAACACTTAACCACAGAGTTACTATGTGACCTGAGCTGCCTATTTGAACTGAATGTTGTCTGACACAACAAGCCATAAAGTTGGGCATGCATGGCAGCAATCCATGATGTAATGGAAGTGGTATATGTGAAACTGGACTCAAACAAGCCTCGAAGGCACAAGTAAATTACACTAAAAAGTGGCCTAAGTAACTGATATGTTTTGGCTCTGTGTTCCCAACCAAATCTCACATTGAATTGTAATCCTCAATGTTGGGAGAGTGAATTAGTGAAAGGCGATTGGATCATAGGGGTGGATTTTCCTCTTGCTGTTCTTGTGATAGTGAGAGTTCTCATGAGATCTGGTTGTAGGACGTGCCTGCTTCCCCTTCACCTTCTGCCATGATTGTAAGTTTCCTGAGGCCTCCCAGCCATGCTATGTGCACAGTCTGCAGAATGATGAGCTGATTAAAATTCTTTTCTTTATACGTTACCCAGTCTCAGGTATGTCTTTACAGCAGTGTGAGAATGAACTAATAAACATTATCCCTACTCCTGCTTTATTACCTTTTTTCTTCTGGCCTGTATCTATGGCCTCATGGGGAGTTTCCCGTATCAGTTGATAAAAGAAGAGAAAACTTGGGCCTGGTATACAGGTAGCTCTGAGTGATATATCATCACCACCCAGAAGTGAACAGCTACAGCACTATAGCCCTTTTCAGGGACATCCCTGAAGGACAATGGTGAAGGAAAATCCTCAAAGTAGGCGGAACTCAGAGCATCTGGTTGTTTATCTTGCTTGGAAGGAGAAACAGCCAGGTGTGTGATTGTATACTGATCCATGGTCTGTGGTCGATGATTTAACTTGTTAGTCAGGGAGCTGGAAGAAAATTGATGACAAAGAGATCTGGGGATTGCATGTGTTATTAGGTGAAAATAATGATAATATTCGTATTTCATTTGAATGCTCACCAAAGAGTGACCTCCGAAGAGGAAGACCTTAATCAAGTGACTAGGAAGACTAGTTCCGTGAATACTAGATAGCCTCTTTCCTTAGCCACTCTTGTAATTCCCCAATCAGCTCATAAACAACATGTCCATGGTTGAAGAGATGAAGGTTATGCGTGGGCCCTAAAACATGTATTTGCAGTGGCTACAGCCACTGCTGAGTAGGCAAACTGCCAGCAACAGAGAACACTGGGTTCCTGATGTCACACCATTCCCTGTGGTATTTAGTCAGCTACCTAATTGCAGGTTAATTAGATCTCATTGGCAAAAATTGTATTTTGTGTCCATTTTTAAACCATTAAATGGCTAAGGGAATGAAATCACCAGAACTGACTTAGACTTGTTAAAATTATCCCCATGGGGCTGGAGAGGGGTTTAATTTCCATGTAGATCTTGATCTGTACTCCGGATACGAGAACATTTCTTGTAGTCACTCAAAAATATTTAATAAATGCAGTGAGAGATAACACTGGAAAATGATTGATTAGAAACAAATTTAATGGGTATTTTTAGTTCTAATAAAGATTTTGGATTTTATATCTGTATTAGGGTTTGCCAAAGAAACAGAACAATAAGATGTACATGTTAGAGATTTATTATAAGGAATTGGCTTAATCAATTATGGAGACTGACAAGTCCCAAGATCTGCAATGAGACAGGAAGCTAAGCATTCAGAACTGATGATGTATTCTAGTTCAAGTTTTAAGGCCTGAGAATCAGAAGACCCTATAATGTAGTTCTAGTCCAAATGCCAGCAGGATTAACACCCAGGAAAAATCAATGTATTGGTTAGAGTCCAAAGGCAGGAAAAACCCAATGTCGCAGTTCAAAGGCACTCAAGCAAGGGGAATTTTCTCTTACTTAGTGAAGGGTCAGTCCATTTGTTCTATTCAGGGCTCCAACTGACTGGATGAGGCCTACTCATATTAGGGAGGGCAATCTGCTTTAATTAGTCTATTGATTTAAATATAAAGCTCATCCAAAATCACCCTCACAGAAACATTCAGAATGATGGTTGACAAAATATCTGGGCATGCCATGGGCTGGACAAATTGATGTATAACCTTAATCATCACAGTATCTTTGTTATTTGAAAGTCATTGAGGGCTTACAAGCAGGGGAGTGTTCTATTCTCTATATTCTCACCCTCAAACTTTTTCACTTTGGCCAAAATATGTATATTTCCCCGTTAAACACCACGAGAATTCTTTCTCATTGCTGATGCTCTCTCTCTTACAATAAACTATGTAGTTCTATCTTTACTTGGAGCCCCCTTTCTCTTTGAAAACTCCTGGGGAAAAAAACATGTCTTTCTCTCCTATACTCCTGTGGTATGTATATCTTTCTACATCTATATCTGTAACTATACCTATATCTATATATAATTTTTTCATTAATTACTTAACTTGTAAGAAAGTCTGAACAGTATTTTGCTTTTGTGGCACTTTCTTTTTTATCCTGTTAAAGCAAACTTATATTGAGTAACTATAATGTGCTAGCCACCATATCGAAAGTTTCACATGCATTATTTAATGTAATATGACAACTGCATTATGAACTAAAATTATTATTGCTATTTTACAGATGAGAAATCTGAGGCTCAGGCATGTTAAATGTATTTCCCCATGGCAAGGGGAAGCCACGACTCAGTTACAGTTCTGTTTGACTAAAAAGTATTTTCTGAATATCACCATACTACACTGCGACTGATGTTTATCTTCTTCATACTACCTATTTATCACAGTTTCCTACAGAGAGCAGAAGCTTAATAAATGATAATTTTTTGATCTTCACAATATCACATAAGTTTTCAGTTTATATTGGCATCTGGTGAGTATGATATGGTAGATTCTCTCCTGGCTTTACTGCAAAATAACACCATGGAGGCATAGAAACAGACAGAGACTCACAGCCCTCAAAGCTTGGATGGAAAACCATCATATTGCTATTGATTCTTCTAACTGCAAGAACTATGGAAATGAATCGAGAATTGTGATTTACCCCTTATAAAAATGCTAATATGTTATGGCTAAAGGTGAAGTGCCTTGTAGCTTTTTATTTTAATATAGCATTAGTTTTGAATCATCTGACATAATTTTGTCCATCTCTTAGATGCTAAGGATATGTAAAAATTAATAACTACATAGCACTTATACATCAGGCACTATTCTAAATAATTGCCTTAGTCCATTCTTGCTGCCATAACAAAACACCTGAGACTGGGTAAATTGCAAAGAAGAGAAATTTATTTTAATAATTCTAAAGGCTGGAAGTCCAAGATCAACGTGTAGGGGAATTTGATGTCTTGTGAGAGTCTTCTTGCTGCGTCCTCTCATGACAGAAGGGATGAATACCATGTCCTCGCATGGCACAAAGGAAAAAGAGAATAAGGGCAAAAGGGACTAGCCTGCTTCATTTTATAAAATTGATAATCCCATTCATGAAGATTCTGCCCTCAAGATTTAGTCACCTCTTAAAGGCCCCCACTTCTTAATACTTTCATATTGGGTTTAAATTTCAACATATGAATTTTAGAAGGACACATACATTCAAATAATAACAGTACTTTAAACACATTAACTCATTCAATTCTTACACTGACCCTGTGATGTGAGGGCTAATATCCTTATATCTATTTTACAGATGTGGAAACTAAGCTACACAAACACTTAAGGAGCTTCTTAAGCACAAATAGTAAGTGGCATAGATGGGTTTGAAACCAGAATCTTAGAGATTAGTCTGATAATATTCTTTATGTACACTCATGAGATAAGTAATCTCATGCTGTCTCTCTGCTGATCTATCTCATGGCTTTGAAATGACTATATAGTATACTCTTAAATTTATATACCCAACTCGGACAAATCTCCAAGCTCTGGAATCATTTATCTAGCTGCCCACTTGATATTTTCACATGATATGTTAAAGATAACTTGCTGATTATCCTTTATAAACCCATTCTCCACCATCCCTTTTCATCTTAGAGATTCTTCCATTTGAGCTCAGTTCAAAAACCTTGCAGTTAACCTTGATGTGTTTCTGTTTCTCACACAGTAAGTCCAATCCATCACAAGATATTTCTGGCATTTTGGCATAACCTTCAAGTATTATGTGGAACCATATGAAATTGTCAATCTTTCACCATCTTTAACCTATAAAAACATTCATTTCAAATGGTTCAACTTAATATATATCCAAAATCTAAACACTTTCTAACCATCTCTACCACTACGCTCCTTGTTGAAGTCACCATGATCTCCCATCTGGAGTTACAGTAGCCACTTGGCGGGGTGCTTCCATTCTTGCCCCCTACAGATCGTTTTCAACCAGCAGGCCTAGAGATCCTTGAAAAGAATAAATAAGATCACATCTCTCCTTTGTGCAAAATCTTCCAGTGGTTCACCATCTCATTCAGAGTGAAAGCCAAAGTCTTTACAAAGCCATACAAGGCCTTCTGTGACCCAAGCTCTTTGCACTTGTGCCTTTACACCCACATGTCCCCATGCCCCTGACCTGTTCCCCTCCAGCCACAGTGGCTCCCTCCTGTTCCTCAAAAACAGGAAACATGCTTTTAGTTCTTGGCATGCACCTGCTCCATCTGTCTGAAATTTCTTGTTTAGACATCAGCATAATTTGTTCCCTTGGTTCTACTGGGTTTCTGCTCAGATGTCACCTCATTAGAGGAGCCTCTCCTGACCACTCTAAAATGTTATAATCCTATCCCTTCCTTGCTCCCTTATATTAATTTATTTCTCTCCACAATATTGTCACTACCTATTACATTATGCTTTTATCACTTTATTGGCTTATTGTATGAGTTTATACATTCTATCAGGTAGGAACTTTGTTATGTTCAATGCTATATCCTCAGGCTGGTTCATCATATGAGTTAAAAATAAATATTTCTGAAAGAAAGGAAGGTAACAAGGGAGAGAGAGACTTAGAGAGGTGATTAAACTAGCAGCTTTATTTGAAATAAAGAATATACCTAAGGAGTGTATTTCCCTGAGGCTTCTCTTTATCCTCCCTGCAGAACACCCAAAGTTAAGCTGAAGATGCTGTCTGCTAGGAGGCACATATCAGTTGGATTAGAGCCAGCTAATGAGTCCTCACTTAGTTATCACTCAGTAGGTTGTAATAAGATCACAGGACCTAGAAAAAAAATGCTCTGTTATAGTCTCTGGCGTTCTCATCAATAGTTATTTCATGTTCTTTGTATTCCAGAAATTGTAAAAATCAATAAAGACAGTACATATCAAAGTACATCATGAATTGCATTGTTCCAGGCAAATTTGTATGGCTTATAATACTTAGAATTTCACAACTGAAATATAAGAATATTGTACAAAAATATCAAATTATTCTTCCCATTGACTATATGAAATATGCCTGAAATAATCCATATAGTATATCATTTATCCTCATACTACCTCTGTTCAAAGTAGAATAATGTGTATACATTTGATGTTTAAAAATTTAACTATAAAAACAATTATAATACAAGAGTATTTGCATAGCTGTACTTCCTGGGTTCAGAGATCTTTTCCCAAAGATAGTGATTTCCCAAAGACAGGTGTCCAGTAAACATTTGTCAAAATTGTAATGGTTTTTATTTTTTTTTCCTGTGCATAACCAAGATACAACAAGGATTCACCAGGGCCTGACTTTTTTCAAGGCTGGCTGACCAGAAACATATATATAATAAAGTGAAAATCAAATGAAGTGTTTGGATATTTTCTTTCTAAAGTTTCTCAGGAAACCATGAGAGTATTTGGAAACGATTCATTGCCAGCTTTGGGCAGGCTGACATTGCATAACTGTGGTCTAAATGCCTTTCTAAATACAATTCTCTGTTTTTCAGGGGTGGAGAGAGCGGGACTGTTAGAAGGACTTTTTCATAAAGGCTAGCAGAGTGGGTTAAGACCTTCTCTTACTTGTTCTAGAAAGTACCATCTGATACTTCTATTGGTTTTACCCTCAATATGGCTTCAGCCTTTCAGCTGTGTCTTTGGAGCTCTTTTTGTTTGTTTATTTTTAACTCTTCCATTTTGTTTTAACATGGAATTCTTTGGCATAATGAATGCCAAGAACCATGGATTTTACCCTTGAGGCTAAACTTTGCTCTGAAGCCCTCACACTTTTTTTTTTTAACACCATCAGTTGCATTCACCATTATTTGAATAGAAATTTCTTACCCCCTACACAGCCACTGGCAGTGACTGCCTTGGCCTACCTCAGCTTTTGAGACTCAAATTCATTTCACAGTAGTTCCTTGAAAAAATATAAAAATAAAACTAGAGTCCTAATGTGGGGAAAGCTGAAGGGATTCAAGATACTGATTTAAATGTTGCCTATCAGATTATTTTTCTCAGCTTCTATTCTGGAGAGACTCATGTACACTGGATGAATGAACCAAGGTAGTGGAGTAAGAACAGTGAGAAACCTGCTGTTATACTCTCCGCAGATGGAGTGATGACTTATCTCAGAACTGGAGCTACAGACGTGGGCATCAATATGCTGCTGGCAAAATGCTCCCAAATTGCTTTACGCCTGTCCAGTAGTTCTAATGCTACTTTCTTAAGTATTACTTAGCAAATGAACTAATCCAAAACCACTTAAATTTTGGCTATTTACATACTCATTCCCTTTTTATGAAGAAAGGGGGTATGTTAAATTACTTTTCAAAAAACAGTGTGGTGGTGCCAACATACTTAGTTGTTTAATTTATGTTTAATAAGAAAAAGAAAAGTAAAACAAATTGTCTTTATATTCCCACTCCCCGCATACACTCCATGCTTCATACTTTCTCCTGACTTTGGGATTATTGAAAGGGAAAGAATTTTCATGGAAAAGTTATTGCTATAATGTGCTGATTGTTACATTAATTCTCTCCCCACCCCCAGCTCTATTGCTTGGCAGGAATTTTGGACTTTACTCAGGAACTGCTTAGTGAGCTTGTCGGTGGATGGGATTAGTTTAATCTCCTCTCACAAGCCTCTAAGCACTGGGAGAGGTTGGCGTGAAGGAGAAGCACTGGTAAAATGGGGAGGGCAGGGATGAGGAAGAAAGGTTGCCGATGACCAATGCCAAACTTTATTTTGTGTTAGAACTAAATTTGAATAGTGCGAAGAAGGGAGGCAGGAAGAGAAGGAGATGGCAGGCGTGGTGGTGAATAAGAGAGTTAAACTGGGATGGGTGGTGGTGGTCTCTTCATGATTTCATTGTGCCTGGAGTGCCTCCAAGCCCTGGGAGCAATGCACAAATGGGAGGGAAAGGTGGGGGTGTAGAATGACGATTAGAATCTACAAATAAAATACACTAAGAGATTCTGCATAGCCTACTCCCTTGCTTCCTTCATGTTCATTGACCTGTGTAGTAAGAACCATTATAGTAAAAATGGTCAGGTGAAAGTCTCTAAAACTTGTTCCCCCAACCCCATATATCCGAAGCCAAGACAGTGAAACAGGAACAATATTGTATCCCGGGAATAACTGAAGAGATTAGTGCCACCAACAAAAACCTAAAAGATATAGACATGAGAGTCCTCGTCATATACCCACTTCAGTTGCTTTTGTTTGGCTCCTACAAAAAACGGTTGCATTTGGCAAATCATGGTAGACTAACAAAAACTCAAACAACTGGCAGCCTCAAATGTGGTTCCTCTGGTAAATACAGTGTGTTTACTGAAATAGATCAACAAAATATCTGGCAATTTATATGTGACTAATGATCTGGAGAAAGCATTTTTATTAAGGCCCATCAGATCATGTTTATATGGGAAGAAAAGATTATACATTCATTGTTTCCTCCAATGTCTAAATTAATTCCTGTTCTTTGTCATGCTATAGTCTGCAAGACTTTGGTTATCTTGACTTTCTACAGAATATATGCTGTACCACTATATTAATGATAGCTGATAGCTTAATCAAACTTTTGGCAAATATCCTAGATGTCTTAATATGGTATATATATGATATATATACCCCCTACACAGCCACTGGCAATAACTGCATCTGCCTACCTCAGCTTTTGAGACTCAAATTCACTTCAAAGTAGTCCATATATGACATATATATATATATATATATATATATATATATATAAAATATATGACATATACATATGGTAAGAGGTAAGAGATAACTGCATAAATATTCAAAGGTCAACTACATCAGGAAGTATTTAGGGGTCCAGTGGCCTGGAGTCAGCTGGAATATCCATTTGGGACAAATTTATTTGGATTCTGGAGGCAGCATGCTATGGTATGAATGTTTATGTCCACCCCAAATTCATGTGTTGAAATCCTTATCTCCAAGGTGATGGTATTAGAAGGTACTGGGCCATAATTCAAACTGCTCCTTCAATTGGGCCATGTGCCTCAGCATACCCCATCATACTAAATAAAGAAGTCATTATATGACAAAGACACATGCACACACATGTTTATAGAAGCAGAATTCACAACTGCAAAAATATGGAACCAACCTAAATGCCCATCAACCAATCCGGGGATTAAAAAAATGTGGTATATTTACACCATGGAATACTACTCATCCATAAAACACAATGAAATAATGGCCTTTGCAGCAACTTGGATAGAGTTAGAGGCCATTATTCTAAGTGAAATAACTCAGGAATGGAACCAAATATCATATGTTCTTGCTTATAAGTGGGAGCTAGCTATGAGGATGCAAAGGCATAAGAATGACAGAATGTACCCTGAGGACTTGGGGGCAAGGATGGGTTGGGGGTGAGTGATAAAAGACTACATATTGGGTACAGTGTATACTGCTGGTGTGATGGGTGCACAAAAATTTCAGAAGTCACCACTAAATAAGTTATCCATGTAGCCAAAAACCATCTGTACCCCAAAAACTATTGAAATAGAAATTGTTTTTAAAGTTATATACTGAAGCTCTAAAAAGGCCCTATAGGAAATTGTAGTACAAACTCTGAGTTTCTGAAACAAGCCATACCTTCTAAAGCAGAGAACTACTTGTCATTTGAAGACTCTCTTTTGACATGTTGACAAGCCCCTTCCAAACTAAGCCACAGATTCTGGAAACAGAATTGCTAATCGTGAGTAATCTACTTTAAGATGCATCATGTTATAAGGTCAGGTGAGTGCATCAACAACCTGTTGTAGAAGGGAAATAACGCATGGAAATTAGGCCTGAGTATGTACGGAGAGGCCATATTCCCAAGTCACTTACTTGTGTTGCCTGATGCCACTCCCTCAACTTACCTCTGTGGCCCCATTGAATATTCCCTATATCAGACTCATGGAAAGAAAGTATTTCTGCCGGTTTTATAGATTGATTGCTTTTATACCATGGGCCTTTGAAGAAAAACAAAATTAAAACTCAGTAGACAAAGTTATGAGTTATGAACTTGATTATTTACATTTAAGTGGGAAGAGGCCTGAGGTAAAAATATGCAATGATATTTGGCAGTGGCTTGGCAGGATGTTCTGGAAAGAATGAATACGGGATACTCTTCAGCCATAATAAAAGGGAATTCTGTCATTTGCAATGACATGGATGAACCTGGAAGATATTATTCTAAGTGAAATAAGCCAAGAACAGAAAGACATGTATCACATGATTTTATTTATATGTGGCATCTAAAAAAAGTTGAACTAAAAAAGTACAGAGTAGAAAGGTAGTTACCAGAGATAGGGGTTGAGAAGGTGCAGAGGAGAAGGGAATGGGGCATTGTTGATGAAAGGGTACAAAATTTCAGTTAAGAGAAATATGTTTTTGAGATCTATTGCACACCAGGGTGATTAGAGTCAACAATAATGCATTGTGTATTTCAAAATAGCTAAGGGTAAATTTCAAGTTGTCACCATGAAAAATAATTAAGTGAGCTGATGGATATAATAGCTTGAGTTAATTTATTTTGCCCCATTTTTGCCCCAGTGAGTCTCAGCTGTCACCTCCTGAGCGCCCTGAAGCTCTGCCCCTGCATGTCTACAGACCTGGAATTAAGAGCGACTTAGCATACCTGAGCCACCTGTGAAGCAATGGGAAACTGAATCCAAAGGATTATAAATACTACAAAATAGTTTTGCAAAGTGTAACAATTAAGACTCTTACCATCAGTGTCTGGAAATTACCATTTAAATACATTTTGGGCAAAAAAAGTATCATCTGTCTTTTTAATTTTAACATTTTTGGTGAGAAAGAGAGTGTGTGTCTGTGTTTGTGTGTGTGTCACATTTTGTTTTAACTTACATTTTCTTAATCATTTGTAATGTTTAAAGTCTTATATATTTATTGGGCATTTGGGTATTCTCTTTTGTGAAGTACCTTTAAAATCTTTTTTTCATTTTTCTATTGAGTTGTCCACATTTTTATACTGATTTGATGAAGATATTTACATAGTATATAGGGGAGTCTTTCGTGCTTGTTTGTATTATAATCTATTATTTTACCTTAAGGGTGTCTTTTGATCTGTTTGGGAGGTTCCAAGATGGCCGAATAGGAACAGCTCCAGTCTGCAGCTCCCAGCGTGAGTGACGCAGAAGACGGGTGATTTCTGCATTTCCAACTGAGGTACCAGGTTCATCTCATGGGGGTTTGTCAGATAGTGGGTGCAGCCCATGGAGCAGGGTGGGGCATTGCCTCACCCAGGAAGCGCAAAGGATTGAGAAATACCCTTTCCTAGCAAAGGTAAGCTATGACAGATAGTACCTGGAAAATCAGGACACTCCCACCCTAATACTGCACTTTTCCAATGGCCTTAGCAAATGGCACACCAGGAGATTACATCCCGTGCCTGGCTTGGAGGGTCCTACACCCATGGAGCCTCGCTCACTGTCAGCACAGCAGTCTGAGATTGAACTGCAAGGTGGCAGTGAGGCTGGGGGAGGGGCGGCCCCCATTGCTGAGGCTTGAGTAGGTAAACAAAGCAGCCTGGAAGCTCATACTGGGTGGTTCCCACCGCAGCTCAAGGAGGCCTGCCTGCCTCTGTAGACTCCACCTCTGCGGGCAGGGCATAGCTGAACAAAAGGCAGCAGAAACTTCTGCAGACCTAAACGTCCCTGTCTGACAGCTTTGAAGAGAATAGTGCTTCTCCCAGCACAGAGTTTGAGATCTGAGAACAGATAGACTGCCTCCTCAAGTGAGTTCCTGACCCCCAAGTAGTCTAACTGGGAGACACCTCCCAGTAGGGGCCGACTGACACCTCATACAGCCGGGTGCCCCTCTGAGATGAAGCTTCCAGAAGAAGGATCAGGCAGCAACTTCTGCCATTCTGCAATATTTGCTGTTCTGCAGCTTCCGCTGGTGATACCCAGGCAAACGGGATCTGAAGTGGACCTCCAGCAAACTCCAACAGACCTGCAGCTGAGGGTCCTGATTGTTAGAAGGAAAACTACCAAACAGAAAGGACGTCCACACCAAAACCCCATCTATATGTCACCATCATCAAAGACCAAAGGTAGATAAAACCATAAAGATGGGGAGAAACCAGAGCAGAAAAGCTGAAAATTATAAAAATCAGAGTGCCTCTTCTCCTCCAAAGGAACGCAGCTCCTCGCCAGCAACAGAAAAAAGCTGGATGGAGAATGACAAGTTGAGAGAAGAAGGCTTCAGACTATTAGTAATAACAAACTTCTCCAAGCTAAAGGAGGATGTTCGAACCCATCGCAAAAAAGTTAAAACCTTGAAAAAAGATTAGACGAATGGCTAACTAGAATAAACAGTGTAGAGAAGTCCTTAAATGACCTGATGGAGCTGAATGAAATGAAGCGAGAAGAGAGGTTTAGAGAAAAAAAGAGTAAAAAGAAATGAACAAAGCCTCCAAGAAATATGGGACTATGTGAAAAGACCAAATCTACATGTGATTGGTGTACCTGAAAGTGATGAGGAGAATGGAACCAAATTGGAAAACACTCTTCAGGATATCATCCAGAACTTCCCCAACCTAGTGAGGCAGGCCAACATTTAAATTCAGGAAATACAGAGAATGCCACAAAGATACTCCTTGAGAAGAGCAACTCCAAGACACATAATTGTTAGATTCACCCAAGTTGAAATGAAGGAAAAAATGGTAAGGGCAGCCAGAGAGAAAGGTCAGGTTATCCACAAAGGGAAGCCCATCAGACTAACAGCTGATCTCTCGGCAGAAACTCTACAAGCTGGAAGAGAGTAGGGGCCAATATTCAACATTCTTAAAGAAAAGAATTTTCAACTAAGAATTTCATATCCAGCCAAACTAAGCCTCATAAGTGAAGAAGAAATAAAATCCTTTACAGACAAGCAAATGCTGAGAGATTTTGTCACCACCAGGCCTGCCTTACAAGAGCTCCTGAAGGAAGCACTAAACATGGAAAGGAACAACTGGTACCAGCCGCTGCAAAAACATGCCAAATTATAAAGACCATCAAGACTAGGAAGAAACTGCATCGACTAATGAGAAAAATAACCAGCTAACATCATAATGACAGGATCGAATTCACACTTAACAATATTAACCTTAAATGTAAATGGACTAAATGCTCCAATTAAAAGACACAGACTGGCAAATTGGATAGAGTCAAGACCCATCAGTGTGCTGTATTCAGGAGACCCATCTCACATGCAGAGGCACACATAGGCTCACAATAAATGGATGGAGGAAGATCTACCAAGCAAATGGAAAACAAAAAAAATCAGGGGTTGCAATCCTAGTCTCTGATAAAACAGACTTTAAACCAAAAAAGATCAAAAGAGACAAAGATGGCCATTACATAATGGTAAAGGGATCAATTCAACAAGAAGAGATAACTATCCTAAATATATATGCACCCAATACAGGAGCACCCAGATTCATAAAGCAAGTACTTAGAGACCTACAAAGAGACTTGGATGCCCAGACAATAATAATGGGAGACTTTAACACCCCACTGTCGACATTAGACAGATCAACAAGACAGAAAGTTAACAAGGATATCCAGGAATTGAACTTAGCTCTGCACCAAGTGGACCTAATAGACATCTACAGAACTCTCCACCCCAAATCAACAGAATGTACATTCTTCTCAGCACCACATCACACTTATTCCAAAATTGACCACATAGTTGGAAGTAAAGCACGCCTCGGCAAATGTAAAAGAACAGAAATTATAACAAACTGTCTCTCATACCACAGTGCAATCAAACTAGAACTCAGGATTAAGAAACTAACTCAAAACTGCTCAACTACATGGAAGCTGAACAACCTGCTCCTGAATGACTACTGGGTACAAAATGAAATGAAGGCAGAAATAAAGATGTTCTTTGAAACCAATGAGAACAAAGACACAACATACCAGAATCTCTGGAACACATTTAAAGCAGTGTGTAGAGGGAAATTTATAGCACTAAATGCCCACAAGAGAAAGCAGGAAAGATCTAAAATTGACACCCTAACATCACAATTAAAAGAACTAGAGAAGAAAGAAAAAACATTTTCAAAAGCTAGCAGAAGGCAAGAAATAACTAAGATCAGAGCGGAACTAAAGGAGATAGAGACACAAAAAACCCTTCAAAAAATCAATGAATACAGGAGCTGGTTTTTGAAAAGATCAACAAAATTGATAGACCACTAGCAAGACTAATAAAGAAGAAAAGAGAGAAGAATCAAATAGATGCAATAAAAAACGATAAAGGGGATATCACCACCGATCCCACAGAAATATAAACTACCATCAGAGAATACTATAAACACCTCTACACAAATAAACTAGAAAATCTAGAAGAAATGGATAAATTCCTGGACACAGACACCCTCCCAAGACTAAACCAGGAAGAATTTGAATCCTTGAATAGAGCGATAACAGGTTCTGAAATTGAGGCAATAATTAATAGCCTACCAACCAAAAAAAGTCCAGGACCAGATGGATTCACAGCCGAATTCTACCAGAGATACAAAGAGGAGCTGGTACCATTCCTTCCGAAACTATTTCAATCAATAGAAAAAGAGGGAATCCTCCCTGATTCATTTTATGAAGCCAACATCATCCTGATACCAAAGCCTAGCAGAGACACAAGAAAAAGAGAGAATTTTAGACCAATATCCCTGATGAACATTGATGCAAAAATCCTCAATAAAATACTGGCAAACCAAATCCAGCAGCACATCAAAAAACATCCACCACAATCAAGTTGGCTTCATCCCTGGGATACAAGGCTGGTTCAACATATGCAAATCAGTAAGCATAATCCATCATATAAACAGAACCAAAGACAAAAACTGCATGATTATCTCAATAGATGCAGAAAAGGCCTTTGACAAAATTCAACAGCCCTTCATGCTAAAAACTCTCAATAAACTAGGTATTGAATGGGACGTATCTCAAAATAAAAAGAGCTATTTATGACAAACCCACAGCCAATATCATACTGAATGGGCAAAAATTGGAAGCATTCCCTTTGAAAACTGGCACAAGACAGGAATGCCCTTTCTCACCACTCCTATTCAACACAGTGTTGGAAGTTCTGGCTGGGGCAATCAGGTAAGAGAAAGAAATAAAGGGTATTCAATTAGGAAAAGAGGAAGTCAAATTGTCCCTGTTTGCAGATGACATGATTGTATATTTAGAAAACCCCATCGTCTCAGCACAAAATCTCCTTAAACTGGATAAGCAACTTCAGCGAAGTCTCAGGATACAAAATCAATGTGCAAAAATCACAAGCATTCCTATACACAAATAAAAGACAAACAGAGAGCCAAAGCATGAGTGAACTCCCATTCACAATTGCTTCAAAGAGAATAAAATACCTAGCAATCGAATTTACAAGGGATGTAAAGAATCTTTTCAGGAAGAATTACAAACCACCTCTCAACGAAATAAAAGAGGACACAAACATATGGAAGAACATTCCATGCTCATGGATAGGAAGAATCGATATTGTTAAAATGGCCATACTGCCCAAGGTAATTTATAGATTCAATGCCATCCCCATCAAGCTACCAATGACTTTCTTCACAGAATTGGAAAAAACTACCTTAAAGTTCATATGGAACCAAAAAAGAGCCTGCATTGCCAAGACAATCCTAAGCCAAAAGAACAAAGCTGGAGGCATCACACTACCTGACTTCAAACTATACTACAAGGCTACAGTAACCAAAACAGCATGGTACTGGTACCAAAACAGAGATATAGAAAAATGGAACAGAATAGAGCCTTCGGAAATAATACCACACATCTACAACCATCTGATCTTTGACAAACCTGACAAAAACAAGAAATGGGGAAAGGATTCCCTATTTAATAAATGGTGCTGGGAAAACTGGCTAGCCATATGTAGAAAGCTGAAACTGGATTCCTTCCTTACACCTTATACAAAAATTAATTCAAGATGGATTAAAGACTTAAATGTTAGACCTAAAACCATAAAAACCCTAGAAGAAAACCTAGGCAATACAATTCAGGACACAGGCATGGGCAAAGACTTCATGACTAAAACACCAAAAGCAATGGCAACAAAAGCCAAAATTGACAAATGGGATCTAATTAAACTAAAGAGCTTCTGCAGTGCAAAAGAAACTACCATCAGAGTGAACAGGCCACCTACAGAATGGGAGAAAATTTTTACAATCTACTCATCTGACAAAGGGATAATATCCATAATCTACAAAGAACTTAAGCAAATTTACAAAAAAAGAATCAAACAATCCCATCAAAAAGTGGGCAAAGGATATGAACAGACACTTCTCAAAAGAAGACATTTATGCAGCCAAAAGACATGAAAAAATGCTCATCATCACTGGCCATCAGAGAAATGCAAATCAAAACCACAATGAGATACCATCTCACACCAGTTAGAATGGCCATCATTAAAAAGTCAGGAAACAATGGGTGCTAGAGAGGATGTGGAGAAATAGGAATGCTTTTACACTGTTGGTGGGACTGTAAACTAGTTCAACCATTGTGGAAGACAGTGTGGTGATTCCTCAAGGATCTAGAACTAGAAATACCTTTTGACCCAGCCATCCCATTACTGGGCATACACCCAAAGGATTATAAATCATGCTGCTATAAAGGCACATGCACAGGTACGTTTATTGCAGCACTATTCATAATAGCAAAGACTTGGAACCAACCCAAATGTCCATCAATGATAGACTGGATTAAGAAAATGTGGCACATATACACCATGGAATACTATACAGCCATAAAAAAGGATGAGTTCATGTCCTTTGTAGGGACATGGACGAAGCTAGAAGCCATCATTCGGAGCAAACTATCGCAAGGACAGAAAACCAAACACCGCATGTTCTCACTTATAGGTGGGAATTGAACAATGAGAATCCTTGGACACAGGGTGGCGAACATCACACACTGGGGCCTGTCATGGGGTTGGGGGAGGGGGGAGGGATAGCATTAGGAGATATACCTAATGTAAATGATGAGTTGATGGGTGCAGCACACCAACATGGCACATGTATACATATGTAACAAACCTGCACGTTGTTCACATGTACCCTAGAACTTAAAGTAGAATAAAAAATAAAAAAGAGAGTCTTTTGATGAATTAACTGTCTTTATTTTGACATGTCTGAATTACCATTGTTTTCCATTATGCTTAGTGTTTTTTTTTGTGTCCAAATTAAGAAATCTATCTATTGTAAGGGCATAAATATATTCTCTCGTTTTTTTTTAAATCTACAGTCTAGTGTGAATGCATTTAAGGATGAGATATAAAGCAGGATTAGATTTATTTTTGTCTTTATGTGGGTATACAATTGACAGCATCATATATGAAAAAGGTTACCTTCATCTCATTGCTCTTCAGTGTCATTTTCTAACATTATAAATCAAGTCTCCATGAGTGGGCCTCTTTTGGAACTCTTGTTCCATCACATTTTTGTCTATTCTTCCATAAATACTACATAGTCTAAGTTATTATTAGTTTTGCAATAAGCTTTGATGTATGCGAATGTAAACAGTTCAACTTTGTTCTTCTTGGAGATCATCTTTCCCCTTGAAATTGCTATATAATTTTTTTTTGATACAGATTCTTGCCCTGTTGCCCAGGCTGGAGTGCAGTGGCACAATTTTGGCTCACTGCAACCTGCGCCTCCTGGGTTCAAGTGATTCTCCTGCCTCAGCCTCCCGAGTAGCTGGGACTACAGGCGTGCACCACCACGCCAGACTAATTTTTGTATTTTTAGTAGAGACGGAGTTTCACTGTATTGGCCAGGCTGGTCTCAAACTCCTGTCCTAGTGATTTGCCCACCTCGGCCTCCCAAAATGCTGGGATAACAGATATAAGCCACCATGCCCAGCCTTTATATAAATTTTGACTCAGTTTGCCAACTTAAAAAAACATCCTCTGCTAGAATATTGACTTAGAAATGAACCTGTAAAACATTTTGGGAGAAATGATGTCTTTGTAGTTCTGAATGTGGACTCTTCCTTTATTAACTTTTTGAAAAACTTCTTGCAATATTTTTTGTAGTTTTTCTTGTGAAGAACTTTTACATATTTTTAAAAATAATTATTCATAGGTATTTGAGGGTTTTTTTCTATTTCAGGTGGTATTTTAAAGTTTTTTTTCTTCTGGTTGCTGCTATAGAAAAAATATCATTGATTTTATATGTCAATTTCTATCCATTAAAATGTTAAAATTACTGATTCTAATTTTTTCTGTAGATCATTTTGAATTTTTAATGTGTACAGTCTGTTGTCTAATAATACTATCTAGTTTTATTTTTTCCTTCCAAACATATTTGTATTTTTTCTTGTGTGTGTTTTTTTTTATTGGCCATAATATTCTATACACTGTTGAAGAGATGTACTGATAGCAAGCATCTTTGCCTTTTTTTTAAATCAGGGAAAAAACTTTCAATGTTTTATGATTAAGTATGGTTTTTTTCTGTAACCTTTTTTTTAAATGAATACTTGGTTAGTTAAGCAGTTAGGGAAGTTATCACGTAGTCCTAGCTTCATATGTCTCTTTTCTTTTTAAGACATGGGTGGGATTGAATTTTATCAAATCATTATTCTATACATACTGAGATAATATTTTCTGCTTTTTTCTGTTAATGTGTTAAATAACATTGATTTTTGAAAATTAAACCAACCTTGTACTGAAAAACAAACTCCACCTGATTATTTTCTTACCTTTCTATATAAAAATGGACCCAATTTTCTTATGTTTTGAAATGAAATCTATTTCTTAGTTTTCTTACATTTAAGTATAACATGCATATAATAAAAGGGACAATTCTTATTAATTACTGTTAACACCACCCCTAAAATAAGCACTCTTCTGACCTCTATCATCGTAGATTAGATTGGATGGTACTTGAACTTTGTAGACAAAAATCATATGTATATCTGTACAAGGTGCACTCTCATGTGTCTGCATTAATTCATCCAATGTTATGGCTGCCGTTGAATGGCAGCTAATCTGTATTTTACATTTATGAATAGTATTCCATTGTATGAATTTGCCACAGTTTGGTCTCCAAGTTTGGGTATCATGAATGAAGTTGCTATCCATATTCTCATACCTTTAGTGCATATGTCACTCATTTCTATTGAGTTTATACATAGAAATAGAATGAACAAGTCATATAGTATTATATATCCAGGTTAGTAAATACTGCTAAATCTTTATCAAGGTTGTTGTATCTATTCAAAGTTTCATTGGAAGTATACGAGAGTTCTAGTTACTCCACATCCACCATAACACTTGATGTGATTTTTTTTTTTTAATCTTAGACATGCTAGTGGGAGGGTAGTGGTGGCTTATTGTGGTTTTAACTTTCACTTTCCTGATAACTAGACTTAAGCCATTTTGACAGGCTGATTGGGCATTTGTATATCCTGTTTTCAGAAGTGACTGTTTATTATTTTGCCCCTTCCTTCCTTCCTTCCTTCCCTCCCTCCCTCCCTTTTTTTATTATTATTATACTTTAAGTTTTAGGGTACATGTGCACAATGTGCAGGTTAGTTACATATGTATGCATGTGCCATGCTGGTGTGCTGTACCCATTAACTTTCTTTCTCTTTCTTTCTTTCTTTTTCTTTCTTTCTTTCTCTCTCTCTTTCTTTCTCTCCTTCCTTCCTTCTTTCTTTCCTTCTTTCCTTCCTTCCTTCCTTCCTTCCTTCCTTCCTTCCTTTCTTTCTTTTTCCTTTCTTTCTTTCTTTCTTTCTTTCTTTCTCTTTCTTTCTTTCTTTCTTTCTTTCTTTCTTTCTTTCTTTCTTTCTTTCTTTCTTTCCTTCTTTCTTTCTTTCTTTCTTTCTTTCTTTCTTTCTTTCTTTCTTTCTTTCTTTCTTTCTTTCTTTTTCCTTTCTTCCTTTCTTTCTTTCTTTCATGAAGTTTTGCTCTTGTTGCCCAGGCTGGAGTGCAATGGAGTGATCTCGGCTCACTGCAAACTCCACCTCCTGGGTTTCAGCGATTCTCCTGTCTCAGCCTCCCTAGTCACTGGGATTACAGGCGCTCACCACCACGCCTAACTAATTTTTGTATTTTTATTTGAGACAGGGTTTCACCATGTTGGCCAGGCTGGTTTTGAACTCCTGACCTCAGGTGATCCACCTGCCTTGGCCTCCCAAATTGCTGGGATAAGTGGGTTTTATATCCTTTTATTATTCATTCATAAGAGTTTTTTATGTGTTTCAGTAGAAATAGGACATGTGTATTGCAGATATTTTCCCAGCATTTCAATAAATTTTTCTCACCTTTAATGTCTTTTAATGAACCACAATTTTCAATTTTAATAAAGCTTGTATTAAATATTATATGGTTAATGTTTAAGAAATCTGCTTAAGAAATCTTTGAATACTACAAGAACATGAGATTTTCTTCTGTTATTCTAGAAGGTTTTTTTCTTCTTGTTGTTATACTGTTTTCTTTTAGATCTGCAATTCTTCTGGTGTTGAATTTTGGGTATGGTGTGCGGTAGAGTTCCATTTCATATCTTTAAAAATATGGATATTCAATTAAACCAGCACCATGTGAAAAGCCCATATCTCTTGTTTTACAGTAATTCACACACCAAGTATTTATATATGTATAGATGTGTTGTTTTCAGTCTGTTGCTCCTTCAATTTTGCTTCAAATCAATATTTTTTAGTTATTTTGACCCTTCGCATTTTTACGTTTATATTTTAGAATATTTGTCACTATCAGATATCACCTATTATGCAGTTTTCAGCACATTCTATTTACCCTTCAATACACTGCTTAAGTTCTTCCTCCACGCCCATTTTTTATAACCATCCCCTCTCATAACAGCTTCTTTCAATATCTGTGAAATTTAATTTTTTTAAAGCTTACTGATTCATTATAGTGAAAGGCAGAAAGAAACTTGGAAGACTGATAGGTAGACAATCTTATTTAACAATTTAAGGGATTCTGAGACATGGAGAATGAGATAAATGGGAATAACATGTGATTTTATGTTGTGTATGTTATTAAATATGTTCATTTAACATACATACATGTTTGAGTTACATCTATACATATACACTAATACATATTTATATATACATAACATACACGTATATAATACACTCTCTTAGTTGGTCACTTTCTTGAAATTTTTCTTATCTCCTTTGGTTCTAAATATACAATTTTCTTTACTTACCAAATATATTGAATAAATTTGGAGAATTTTACAAAGTAATTATATAGAGACTCCCAAACTATTAATAGATAGCATTTGCAAATCATTCTTGTTAGCAAAATACTAATTTAAATGTACTCCTTCAATTTCTTAATTCTCATTCTCTCTCTCCCTCTCTGTCTCTCATCAGGCTTGAAAATAAGAAATGCCAATAGAACATGCTGAGGTTTAATAGTATTGATCCTGTTCAGAATTTTGCAGAATAGTTTAAGGATCCAAGAAAAGAAAAGAAACATTCTTGCTCCAAGCATAACAAAATGTCTAGGTGGTTTGTCAAAGAGCAGTTAAATTCCCCTCTGAATGGAAACATTAAAAGTTCTTCCCACTGTGCCTTTTAAAAGCCTCTTGTGTGTGAGGTTGGACTCTGCTGCCAGACTGAGCTGGGACATTCCTCATCTCTCACCACTGAGATTCTCGAAATGTCTGTCAGCCATTTGCAGCACTTGCTGAATAGGCCAGCATTACCTCATGCTCTCAGAAAAGGTGGCAAAAACAGGCTGGTTGTCTGTTTCTTCTGCTTATTATTTATTTTAGGCAAGTGCGAGTCCTTGGGTTTGAGACACAGTGCTGGTGGTAACTAGAACACAGAATAATAGGCTAAAAGAGGTGAAGGGGAGTGAAGTCGGGTTGGCAGCCAGTTCTCATTTGGGAAAGCTTGAGGAGGTGGTATGTGGGGGTGAACAGGGGAAAAACGTGAGTTAAAAGAGAAGTCCAAGTGTGCGTCTGGGATCCTTTAACAGAAGCATAATACTGACTAGTTGAGCAAATTAAGTCTTTTCAGGGGCGTCCAGATAAACGATTGGTTTGCGTTCAAGCAGAAAACATCATTATTTCTGGCTTTGTGTAGTGCAAATTAGAGAAAAGAGATGACAATTCCTCCTCTGTAACCTGAATATATGAAAGAGATAAGAAACGTGCAGGAAAGTGAAGGAGAGGTACTGGGGGCTTTTTCTTTTCCCTAAAGTAAGGTAAATTTGTTGAAGACATTTTCAAAAATACCAAATTAATGAAAAGTGGAAAGATATATGTGTGTGGGTGTATATATGTATATATATATTCACTTGCTATGTCAAACATCCACCCTACATTGTGCAGAAGGTATGGTGAAAAGCAAGAAAGTCCTCAAGCAGGGGATCCACCCCTGTTGCATGTTTGCAGTCCTGGCTCATTCGAGCAGCTGGTGGAAGCTGCTGGCACTTTGGATCAGTTAGTGTCAGAATTTTGATATTTTATTCGAACCTGAATCTCTTTCAATAACCTGAATCAAAGCAATCTGTTAAAGAATCCCCTTCAATAATTAGAATTTTTGAAGTAGAACAAAAAGTTGAAAGGTGATATTTGTTTGTTGAGAAGAAACTCGTTTCTCAACATGCTGTAATGAGGTGATGACAGAGAAAGGCAAACACATTCATTTTAACCCCAATGGAAAAAAAAAAAAACACAGAAAAGGGCAATTTTAGATATTTATACGGTATATGTGAACTTAGTATGCTAAAATTTCAGTATTAGTTTTAAAACACTATGTTTATGTGTGTTATGGCTGTTAGATTCTAAATTAAAAGGAAAAATTAGTCTCTTTAAACTTCAGTAGACTTTGGTTTACATTATCAATGGCTTGTAAGAACAATTTTTTCTTTATATCTTTATGGTCTATGAGATAAACCATTCTATGAAGTTAGAGACTGAGTTAACCACAGATGTACATATTAAAGATTCAGTTAGATCAATAAAAATAGGTTTTTATGTAAAAAATGTGAAAAAGAGAGGGTGTGAGAGAAATATACACACAAACAACTGTACATATACATTTAATAGGCATAAGATGCAGAATACACATATAATATGCATTTTAAATATAAAAATATATTTCAGTATATTGTGGATATGGATTTGAATCTTGGTTTTATTGAACTTGAAGTATTTAATTAGTATCCCTAAGTTACAATCTTTTTCTAAATAAAATAAATATAATAATTCCTATCTCAGAGGGTTCTTTAAATGATTAAATCAAATGATATCACATACATAAAGGACTTAGTACTGCACCATACATGTGGTCAATATTCAACTGCTTTTTGATACCAACAGCTTAGTTCTCTGACTTTTGGTTGTCTACTACTTAATAACCCATCCATTAATAATAAAATTATTCAATGAAAAACATAAAGTGGCTTCACCATTCAATGACAAAGACTAAAGAGATTGTTCACACACACACTGAACATTTTATCAATATTAGTGCATGTAAATAAATATGTGGAGGGAGGGATGTTTGTTTTAATGTCCACAAAAAGACTATTAAATTTCCACAAATACAAAAACCTTTTAATTTTTTCCCCTTTTGTTTACGCAAGTACAATTTTGGACCAGGTTTCAGTTGTTAGAGACTCTACCCATCATATGCACACGAAAACCTGCACATTGCCGTGGTAATAGGGAAGGCTGGCCTGGATTCCTTAGAGTGAATGCTTCAAAACAAACAAACTTAAACCACGGGCCCACACACCCTGTTTTAATCAGCATTAATGGCTCTGACAACCAGAGGCTCCTTTATATTCTCTGTTTGCAACGATTTGCTAATGGTAATTAAAAATGCCTGGTGTTTGCCAAAGATTCCAAAGCCACCTTCTTCAACACAAAAAAGATAAGAGTAGGGAGAAGTCTAAGAACAGTATTCACATAAACAATTTTGACTGGGCAGTCAAAGAAGTTTAAAAGAAAAGTAGTGCAGAAGGATAAAATGGCCTTAATTCTGGGTGAGAGGTAATAACACATTAAATTCAAAGGCCTCCAACCTGTGGCTGGGAGAGAAAAGATATTTATATATAAAAGTTGTCATGGAATTGTTTAAAGATCAGCATAACCAGCCACTAGAAAAATTAACTGATGTGGAAGTATTTTATATTATATAAAGCTATGTAGCAAGGATTTCTGAACTAGATAATGAATGGGGTCTTGAAGGCATATATACTCCTGAAGTTCAGGCAATTTTGTGAGTTTGGGCCCATCTTTGGTACTTTTTCTGGATTAGAGATCAATAGCTTTTAACAGATTTTAACATGGCTTGTTATCTATAAAAATATTATTATCATGGTTTTTGTTATTCAGTCTTTGCATTTTACCAGGTGGTTGAATTTTAAGGTTATTACATTGGAGAGTAATTTTAAAACATATTTCAAAAGCTGAGCTGGGCATAATGGCTTTTGCCTATAATCCCAGCAACTCAGGAGGCTGGGGTGGGAGGACTGCCTGAGGCCAGGAGTTTGAAATCAGCCTAAAGAACATAAAGAATGATGCAGAAAACCAAACACCCCATGTTCTCAATCGTAAGTGGGAGTTAATAATGAGAACACATGGACACAGGGACGGGAACATCACACACCAGGGCCTACTGGGGTGTGGGAGGCTAGGGGAGAGATAGCATTAGGAGAAATACCTAATGTAGGTGACAGGTTGATGGGTGCAGCAAACCACCATGGCACGTGTATACCTACGTAAAAAAACTGCATGCTCTGCACATGTACCCCAGTACTTACAGAATAATAATAATAAAAGAACATAAAGAGACTCCACCTCTTAAAAAATTAAAAAATTTTTAAAAAGAAGGGTGTGGTTGTACATGCTTGTGATTCCAGCTATTTGAGAGGCTGAGATGGGAGGATCACTTGTGCCCAGAAGTTCAAGGTTGCAGTGAATTATGATCACACCATTGCTCTCCAGGCTTTGTGCCAGAGCAAGACCCTGTCTCAAACAAAAACAAAAAACAAACAAAAAAGAACAAGCAAGAGTAATAACCCTGCTACTGGGAATTTATTCTAAATAAATAGTACAATATGATAAGTTAACAAACAAGTATCTGTCAATTAGCATTTAGCTGTCAATTTAAAAATAGATTAAGGATTTGTCATCATGCATAATAGGAAGTGTAAAGACAAGAGTTACATGGTTAGTTAATTCAATAATTAGCTTGTCCCCCCCTTTTTTTGCTGTTCCTTTTTTTTTGTGTATTCATTTATCACTCAAGGCTGGGCTCCCCAAGTATCAGAACAACTGCAGCAGTTCTATAAATCACATGCACACAGCAATGTCCAGAAGCAAGAAAGCAAACATTTTCTTCATGCCTGTAATCCCAGCACTTTGGTAGGCTGAGGCAGGAGGATCACTTGAACTCAGGAGTTTGAGACCAGCCTGAGCAACATAGAAAGACCTCATCCCTACAAAAACGAGCAAACAATAAACCAACCAACCAACCAACCAAAGAAAACAAAAATTATCAGGCTGTGGTGATACACGGCTGTAGTCCCAGCTACTCAGATGGCTGAAGTGGGAGGACTGCTTGAGCCTGGGAGGTTGAGGCTGCAGTGAGCCAAGATTGTGCCACTGCACTTCATCCTGGATGACAGAGTAAAGCCCTGTCTCAAAAACAACAAACAAACAAACAAACAAAAGTAGGCATCTGTTAGCTAGAAAAAAGATGAGCAATAGCTATTGCAAAGGCAAGTATCACTATCAGCCATAATGTACTGCCTATATCTTTTATAGAAAATGTTATATTTTTACGGTTACATATTTCACTTATATGCACAAGAGTTGATAGGAATATAGTGAACACCTGTGTACTGAATTGCTCAGTTTTAAGTATTAACTTGGGCTCAGATGTTTATTAAAGTAAGAAAATTACAAATATATTTGTGAGTATCTCTGTACCCAACATTGATTATATTCCCTTTTCATCTTCCTCAGCCATGGCCATCCACTTGAATTCCTTCTTTACCTTTTCCTGCTTAATTTTACATTTGTGCTATATATTGTTGTATATTAAAAAAACTCTAAAAAATCCATTTTGATTTTCATTCTTGGGGAAAGAAAATAGAACAAGTATAAAGTTTGTGAAAAGAAAACAAAAATAGAACAAATATCATGTTTATGAAAAGAAAACAATTAACAATATTATATTACTAAGAATCACTGACCATAAAAATGTGGTCCTAAATTTTGCTTCACCAAGCTCATTTAAGCAAATGAGTTATTCAATGAATATACAGGACCACATATCACAAGAAATGATATTTTAAGTAAACAAGCCAGTACTAAATAGTCCACCACTTCTGATCAAATGATTTTGAAGAAATATTTCAGTGAAATCATGTCCCATCAGCTATGATAATAACAGGAGCAAGAAAGAGACAAACTCTAGTTCCAATATATAGGACACTGCCATAAGAAGGATGCTTTGAAACCAAATTCAATTTCCAACATCTCCATTTTAATATGCTTCTGAAAATAGGGGCCCAGTAGCACACAGACTAGGAGAAAACCTTGATACTGCATCCATCACCAGCTACATTCATTCTGCAAGGGAATTCTCAGATAGTGAAAGTTCCTGCCTGAAGGGGTAGGTGGCCCTTATTTGCTCCGCTTTCTGCACCATCCATAAAAATATAGGCTTTTTTTCCCTTTTTAAAAACCTTTGGAGCTATGAGTTCTCAATTCTACTGATGAATATGGGTAGGTTCGGGAAGCCTGGGCAAAATTATCCCTGTCCAAAATAACCTTTTCTTGCTCAGGTACTAAGTGGGGAATGTTCTCTTCATTATTATGTGCGAGCTCTATAGTTGTCAACAAACAATCTGATATAAAAATCATCCAGTTCACAAATTAAGAAGGTTACTCTCTATGGGGATAAACAATGATAACTGATGTGATAAATGCAATCTTAAGTAAAAATTACAAGGTGCTCGCAGATTGGTCAGAGACTAAAGTCCATTGCGGGAATCTGGGAATGTTTCATGGAGGAACATTTGAGATACTTTTTGAAGTGTTCACCAGCTAAAGAAGGGAGGAAGAGAATGTCAAGCAAATAAAACATAATGAGTTTTGAATAGGAAAAGCAATTTTATTTGGCTCCTGACCTTCTGAATGTCGTCTCTTATGGTGTTCCTTTACTAGACAAACTTATTTGGCTCTTAATGGACTATAAAGCTCCCATTTTTAGCAGAAGTTCTCGGTTCATTTCTTGAGTTTCTGAGGCTCCCTTTCAGTAATGCCTTTCATTTAATTCTCCATTTCATCCACTGACCTCCTTTTGCCTCCCTACTTCCCTCAGAAGTACCTCTCTTCTCAAACCCAATACCCTCTTTCTCTCTCACAATAGACTGGGTTGTACATTAGAATGAGAGCATGAATACACAGCAACTGGAAACTTATTTTCTTATTTTCAAGCAAAAGGTCGGTTTAATTCTCAGCTTTTCTTCAGGGGCTGAGAAAAACTTCTTGCATCCCAAAGAAGGGAAGAATAGAAAAATAATTAAATGTAAATAGTAACATAGCTGAATGTGTATGTCACATCCTGCCCCAACCTCTCAGTGTTTCTCAAACTTCATAAAGTTTGTTTCCTCTTTAAGAAGACTTCTAAATATTTTTTTCTAATCCTTCTACCATTAAACTTTAATACCACAGATACACTGTGCATCTGTTCATAGAATGTCTCTGAGTTTACATATTAAAGAATAAGATTTTATTTACCCCCTGAAGAATCAATTTTGACTCCCCGGGAGTAATATTGACTAGATGAGAATGCCTAATCTCTTTTCTTTCTTCCATTTTTGTATTTCTTATCCCTCCCTCCCTCCCTTCCCTCCTCCCTCCCCTTCCTTCCTTCCTTCCTTCTTTCCTTCCTTCCTTCCTTCCTTCCTTCCTTCCTCCCTCCCTCCCTTCACTCTCTATTTCAATCATATGAGTATATATGTATGTATTTATTATCCACTACCTGGCTATCCTTCCATCTATGTATACATCTACTTCTTTTTTCCAAAAGAAAAGAAATCACTAAACTTCTATGAACTTTAGTGATCAACTTTATGAAAAGTGAAACTTACTAATTCATAGGAATGTTATAGATATTATGACTTCTACAGGTGTTTTAAAAATAGTTATTATACAGATCAAACTTCAAAGAAGACTTTGTTGAAATGAATAGAAGTTTTGGCTGCCATCTTGGATGCTCTATGCTTCTGGCATTTTGTTTATGACTTTCTCTGAATAGTCTGCACGTTCCCTAACAGTCTTTTATAGAGGGACTGTATATGTGTATATAATTAAACGCCTGAGAAGCATAATCTCTTTGTGTGGAAGATCTAGAACTGATAAGAAAAGAGCTCCTTTTCAATTTTATGTGAGTAAAGAAATCGTTGGCCAGCATTTTATTGAAGATTTTTGCATCGATGTTCATCAGGGATATTGGTCTAAAATTCTCTTTTTTTGTTGTGTCTCTGCCAGACTTTGGTATCAGGATGATGCTGGCCTCATAAAATGAGTTAGGGAGGATGCCCTCTTTTTCTATTCATTGGAATAGTTTCAGAAGGAATGGTACCAGCTCCTCCTTGTACCTCTGGTAGAATTCGGCTGTGAATCTGTCTGGTCCTGGACTTTATTTAGTTGGTAGGCTATTAATTATTGCCTCAGTTTCAGAGCCTGTTATTGGCCTATTCAGGGATTCAACTTCTTCCTGGTTTAGTCTTGGGAGGGTGTATGTGTCCAGGAATTTATCCATTTCTTCTAGATTTTCTAGTTTATTTGCCCAGAGGTGTTTATAGTATTCTCTGTAAACTAAAGAGCTTCTGCACAGCAAAAGAAACTACCATCAGAGTGAACAGTCAACCTACAGAATGGGAGAAAATTTTTGCAATCTACTCATCTGACAAAGGACTAATATCCAGAATCTACAAAGAACTCAAACAAATTTACAAGAAAAAAACAAACAACCCCATCAAAAAGTGGGCAAAGGATATGAACAGACACTTCTCAAAAGAAGACATTTATGCAGCCAAAAGACACATGAAAAAATGCTCATCATCACTGGTCATCAGAGAAATGCAAATCAAAACCACAATGAGGTACCATCTCACACCAGTTAGAATGGTGATCATTAAAAAGTCAGGAAACAACAGGTGCTGGAGAGGATGTGGAGAAATAGGAACACTTTTACACCATTGGTGGGACTGTAAACTAGTTCAACCATTGTGGAAGACAGTGTGGTGATTCCTCAAAGATCTAGAACTAGAAATACCTTTTGACACAGCCATCCCATTACTGGGCATATACCCAAAGGATTATAAATCATGCTGCTATAAAGGCCCATGCACACTTATGTTTATTGCAGCACTATTCATAATAGCAAAGACTTGGAACCAACCCAAATGTCCATCAATGATAGACTAGATTAAGAAAATGTGGCACATATACACCACAAAATACTATGCAGCCATAAAAAAGGATGAGTTCATGTCCTTTGTAGGGACATGGATGAAGCTGGAAACCATCACTCTCAGCAAACTATTGCAAGAACAAAAAACCAAACACCGCATGTTCTCACTCATAGGTGGGAACTGAACAATGAGAACACTTGGACACAGAAAGGAGAACATCACACACCAGGGCCTGTTGTGGGGTGGGGGGAGGGGACAGGGAAAGCATTAGGAGATATACCTAATGTAAATGACGAGTTAATGGGTACAGCACACCAACATGGCACAGGTATACATATGTAACAAACCTGCATGTTGTACACATGTACCCTAGAACTTAAAGTATAACAACAACAAAAAATAAAATGTCATTCAATTAAAAAAAAAAGAAGTTATTAGGGAGTGTCCTTATACAGCAAGGTTTTTTAAAAAACCTCCAATCTGATTATTTTTTTCATGTTCAAAAATACCTCTTTTAATTAATGCATCTTATTTAATCAGGTATTATCAGGTAGTTATTGTGTAAAGTAAACGTTAAAAAGAATTGCTTCATTAAAAGAAGTATAGCAGATTTTACTCAATTAAACTTTAAGCAATTAAATGTGCAAAATTTGACCCCCACCCTAATGCAATTTCTGTATTCAAATAAAATAACATGTTCCACTGATACAGGAAGGATTAAGGGAAGATTTCACCCAGTACAAATTTATTTCTGTATGTTTTTCTCTTAGAATAGACTAATTTTGAGCCTTCTGTTTATGTCAATGATGTACGTCTTTTTCTATTTCCATTGCATGTTTAGCAAATAAAATGCATGCTTTGGAATCTGGGTTTGAGTCCTATCTCTAGCATAAAATAGTTGCATGTTTAGGGCAAGTGATTTTGTATTTTTGAAATTTATTTCCTTTATTTAAAACAATGGAGGTGATATTATATATTTATACGATTTGGGGAAGATTAAGTGAGATAAAGTGCCTGGCACAAAGGAGACGTTAATAAAAGTGAATTCGTTCACCTTTCTTGCTGTTATGTTTCACTCCAAGTGCAAAGATTGCGCTGCATATAAATTTGTGAATGGTATTACTTGTAAACCACTTTCTCTACTATAAACACCAAATCTTTGGAGGTTGTAAGTGATTGATAAATAAGAGGAAGAGGGAAGCAGTCATTTTCATTCCTTTTCAAATATGATCAGAACATATACTATAGGAAAGACCCTATGCTAGACTTTGTGTGGATTTTAGGAATGAATAAAACCAAGGGTTCATCGAAAAGTGGATAGCCAGACATAAAAACCAATGAATCTTACAAGCCAGGGCTTGATAATTTATTGTAAGAAGGGTTCAAGAAAAATGCTGTGAGAGCACGTAGGAAGTTGTGCGTAATTCCATTTACATGTCCCCATCAAAAAGAAAAGAAGCAAAGAATCCGAAAACAGTGTCCTATTTAGGGGTAGTCCTATGTTGTAAAGTCTACCTGCTCCTGAGTCTAGACCCATAGATGGTTTGTGTTTGAAAAGATCTCCCTTCCACATTTCATGAACTGGTATTACAGACCAACTGGTTTCTTTCACTTTCATCTTTCACTGTATGGGCATCCAGGAACTATAAAATAAACTTTTGCCAAATGTCCAGTGCAGCAGATTAGCCACGGTTGTTAACAAATGGAATCAGATACTAACATTCCTAAAAAATGGCTTACATTTGGTTTGAGGAACATGATTTGCCAAACGGGAAATTTGTGAGTGCTAAATTTAGAAGTGAATAGAAAACTTGTAGGCTTCAAAATCCCATTTGGCTCCTAAGCCAGACACAAGTTCACAACTCTGTGGGGCTTTTTTTTTTCTTTTTTCTTTTTCTATTTTATTCCCATGGCAGTCTTAAAAGAAGGAGCAAGAATTCCTTTCAAGCAAGAATGTTTATTGCCTGCATGATGCAGGCTTCCATTTAGTTAGAAAAACATGTTTTTCAATTAACTTTCTCCTGGTAAACAATCATTTAATTTAAAGGAATGACTGTTTAAAAATTGCAAAAATACACATTTTATGTAGGAGAAAACTTTACTTTTTTAAAAGAAGGAATGCCTAGTTGCCAAGGTTTCTAGAAGCAGAATCTAATTTTAGAGCTGTTGCTCATCAATCCAAAATATTTTAGTATTGTACCTGAAATGGAAAAGGCTGAATAATCTTACCTGAAGTGTCTAAATGAAGATGACATTCATCTGATCTAATCCATTTGATTTTCATTGGTTTGCCTTTTGGTGAACAAATTTTCTTTGATGATAGCGATTCGCTTTAAAACTGACACCAGATCTTGGCTTGATTAAGAATGAATGCTTCTTTGTTTTCCATCAAATCTTCACATTTAATTCTCTCTCTCTCTCTCTCTCTCTCTCTCTCTGTCTCTCTCTCTCTCTCGTGTGTGTTTGTCAACTATATTTGCTCTCTGAATGCATGATAATAATCTCTTTTTTGCTTCTTTGACTACCAAGCCAAGTAATTAGAATGTAAACCTCTTGAATCCCAGTCAGTTACGACCATATACAGATCTCTAGGTATATATGTACATATTTTTAAATTAACTTGAATTATGAAAGATCTAAAATAAAGGAGCAAAAACATAAGGATAAAGTATTCACCTAAATATAAACCCTTACCTAAGAATTTATGGTAAATATTCCTTTCATAAAGACCAATGGAAGCTATACTGATGTTATAATAAATAGTAGCCATGACAACAACAACAATAAAAGCAAATAACTGAAGAACATACTTCACCCTTCCCAATCTGAAGAAAATGCATTTTCCTCCCCAGACATTCCTGTCTCCACCACCCCCACAGAAGCTGGGGAGAATGAATGTCTTGTCTAAAAACTTAAGCTCTTATAAGTGGCATTTTGAAATCTTCATTTTGGTATTTATACAGCTAAAGTCATAATCACTAGGTAGCATTTCGTTCAATAAAAGGTTTATTTCTTAATTCTGGCATGGGTGTGCAATTTGATAATGGTGGCAGGAGTGAGGGCAAAACACAATGCTAATAATCTTCTATATCATAATATGTAATGCCAACTTTATTGTGAGGCAGATGTTCTTACATATTTTGGAGGCTTTTAGGAAAATGTTTCATGTTAGGTGCTATACCAATAAATGTCTCCTAAAGGTTTGTGTGCACATGTGTAAGTTTGTATATGTTTATAAGACACAGAATCAATTTCCTGCTGGACAAGACAAAAACCAAAATTGTGTGCAGTTCACTATTTCCAAAAGAATGGACTTGGCTTGTTTATGCCTGCTCTGGAATGCTCTTCAGGTTTTAGGGTATCTAAACAACCTCACAACTCTGTACTATACTGTGAGTCTAGGAATGCCAAAGACCACCATGGACTTTCTTGGTGACACCCATTGAGTATGTTCTTTAACGAATAAGCAAGACTTCCAAAAAAGGAAAATAGATTCTAGAGGAAAATGAATTCTAATATTCTTACTTAAAAAGATGGAGATTTATAGAGTGGAAATTAAAAGTTTTGTGAGCAGTTCTTTCCAACAGGTAAATGTCCGTGGATAGGAAATCAGGATAGTAACTAGAGATATCTATAAAACTCAGTCTCCATGTAATATCTCCATTTTTCCTGTAAATAAGACAAATGGGGAATACAGATTTGTTCAGGATCTAAGGGAAGTTAGTGAGGCAGCAGTCCCAGTTCACTTTATAGTTTCTAATCCTTATACAATATTGACCGAAGTCTCAGAAGATAATCATTAATTCACAGTGTTAAACTTAAAGGATGCTTTGTCTTTTAAACCTTTACACTCAAACTCCTAGTATATCTTTGCTTTTGAATGGACTGATCCAGACACTTATGGTGCATCTCAGCTTACCTGGACAGTCCTTCTTCAAGGTTTTAGGGTTAGTCCCCATCTCTATGGAAATGCATTGGCCAAAAAGTTAAGGGAACTACAGTTAACTAATGGGTCCCTCTTGCAATACATAGATGACTTATTAGTTTCTAGCCCTACTGGGGAAGACTGGCAGAAACAATCCAGCTCCTTAATTTTCTCAGAAAGCAATGGTATTGGGTATCTTCACACAAGGCCCAGATCTCTGAGCAGAAGGTTAAATATTTGGGATATATTCTCACTCCTGGGAAAAGTACTTTTGCCCAAGAGTGAAAAGAGACCATCTTGTCACTCCAACCCCCTCAGACTAAGAGACAGTTAAGAGCATTTTGGGGAATGGCTGGATTCTGCTGGATCTGGATACCTAGATTTGGTCTTATAGCAAAGCCACTCTATGAAGCTTTAAATGGGAGTGATCATGAGCCTTTGAATTGGGATGGAGCCTACCAACAGGCATTCTTGACCCTGAAAGAAAAGCTCGGAACAGCCCCTGCTTTGCGACTCCCTACCTTAAAAAAAAAGCTTTTTACCCTCTAAATGACTGAAAAACATAGCCCCAGATCAGTGGCTTAATTTTCTAAACAGCTAGACCAGTGGCAGCTGGGTGGCCAGGAGGCTTGCAAACTATGGCAGCCACTGCTCTAATGGTAGAAGAAGCCAGTAAGTTTACTTTGGGACAACAATTCGATGTCATGACCACCCACGAAGTAAAGGGAATCTTAGAACTAAAAGGACACCAGTGGCTAACAGGAGGTCACTTCCTTAAACATCAGGCCCTTCTCCTTGACACCCAAGAGGTAACTTTTAAATTATGTTGAGTTTTAAACCCTGCTAACCTGTTACCAGAGTTTATGTCCTAGGAAGCAGATTCTCAACGTACTCACTCCTGTGTGAAAACCATAGAACAGAACTACTCTAGTAAGCCTGACCCCAGAGATGATCCCCTGCCTAGCCCCTGTAAATGTGGAGGGGTTTACAGATGGGAGTAGCTTTGTGAATAAGAGACTAAGAAAGGCAGAGTATGCAGTAGTTAGCCAGCAAGTGATCATTAAGGCAAAAGCTTTGCCTTCTCAGCATTCCACTCAAGAGGTGGAACTAATTGCTTTAATCAGGGCCCTCCAATTGGTAAAAGACTTAAGAGTCAATATATATACTGATTCTCAGTATGAGTTCCTCATGCTCAATGCTCATGCTGCTCTATGGAGAGAAAGGGGACTACTAACAACTAAGGGAGTCCCCATAAAACATCACTCTGAGATCTTGAAAATTGTAGATGTTGTCCAGCTCCCAAAGGAGGTAGCAGTTATTCACTGCAAGGGACATCAAAAGTGAGACGCCTAATATATCCACGGAAATGCTCTGGCAGACAGAGCAGATAAGGCCACAGCTAAAGAAACACCAGTATTACAGGCCACTGTACTAATGCCAGGCACTCCAACCACATTAGCAGTACCATACTATACCCCTCAGGAAATTAAATGAGCAGAATAGAAAGCCTTACAAAAGAATCCCTCGGGATGGTTATGAGGAAGCAATAAACGTTTTCTTCCCAAGCCTGAGTGATGGAATATAGTTATGTATTTCCATTACTCCTCACATTTGGGATGGGACTTCCTATTCAAATTGGTTTCTCAAATATTTTTAGGAAAAAGACTATCCCAGACTGTAAAGAGGATAACCAGGGCATGTGAACTTTGTGCCCATAATAATCCAGGAAGCCACCCCATACCCCACTTCTACTCTAACCTGTACAACATCAGGAGACATACCTTGGGAAAGATTAGCAAATAGATTTTACTCAGATGCCACCTTACAGGGGACTAAAATATTTGCTAGTATTTATAGATACTTTCACTGAGTGGATTGAGGCTTTCCCCACAAGGTCAGAGAAGGCATTACAAGTGTCCAAATTTTTACTCAAGAGATCATCCCAAAGTTTGGATTACCTAAATGTCAGCAGAGTGATAACAGACCTCCTTCACAGCTAAAGTGACCCAGCAGGTTTTTTCAGCCTAAGTCATCACCTTTCAGCTTCACTTCTCCTGGAGACCTCAATCCTCAGGTAAGGTAGAAAAAGCTAATGATGTTTTCAAAAGGACATTAGGAAAACTCTGTCAGGAGATTTCAGCAGCCTGGGTTTCTCTCCTACTCATACCCCTTTTATGCATAAGGATTGCCCCAAAGGTAACTCTAAAACTTAGTCCATTTGAGATGATTTACGGGAGGCCCTATTTAACTTCAGACCTCCTGCTTGATGAAGAGACACAGAGAATGCTCACCCATATTATCAACTTAGACCAGGTTCAAAAGGCCCTCCATGCATATGGAAACAAAATATTGCCCCCTCACACAAGGGAAAGAAGTAACCCTCTATTCAACCAGGAGATTTAATCTTGCTAAAATGTTGGAAAGAAGAATACCCTGAAGATCAATTACAACCAAAATGGAAGGGCCCCTGTCAGGTGTTGTTGAGTACCCCCACTACTGTTAAACTTCAGGGATTAACTAGTTGCATACACCTGTCCAATATTAAACCTGTTTTGTATGAGTTGCAGGCACAAAAGGAGGACACCATGACCTACATCTGTGAGCCTTTGAAGGACCTCCACTACTTATTTAAAAGAATCATCACTCAGCCAGAAGTGGTAACGTGATGCTCTGGGTGGGAATAGAACCTTGAATTTTTATCTTCTTCCTGCACCTGGTTTTCACCTCTCGGAGGACATTTAATAGCTACCTTGTCATACTAATATTCTTTGCACTTGCTTGTTTAACCTCCTAGTAAAGTTTGTGTCTTCCAGGTTACAATAGTTCCCCATAAAAACAATGCTGGCACAAGGCTTCCAACCCACCCTGCCTGTTGACAAGGAGGATCAAAACATCCTGTCTCTGAGTCCCTTTGATCAGGTATTCAGAGATTTTGACTCCCCCAGTGCTAGGCAGGGTATATCCCCATAAACTCAACAGAAAGCAGTTACAGAAGATGGATCTCTGCCCTTCTGAAGCCCCCCATACAATTAATGAAGAGTATCTAATCTCTGAGGGAGAAATGGGGTAGAAAACAGGACTTGACTCTAGAGGCAGGACTCAGACACCAGACCAGATTTAGGACTAGCTAAAAATGGACTGGGGTGAAAACCATTCTCAACTAGACACACCCACCAGTGTATCATGTCAACTTACCACTGCCATGGCAACACCTGGGAGTTACCACTCCTTTTCATGGCAATAACCCAATGATTACTGCCACTTCCCTAGAAATTTCTGCATAAACCACACCTTAATATGCTTGCAATTAAAGGTAGGTGTAAATATGACTGCAAAACTTCCCTGAAAGCTGTTACTCTCTGCCTATGGAGTAGTCCTGCTCTGCAGGAGCAGTCAAGGAGCTGTAACACTGCCACAGGTGTAACACTGCCTATTCAATAAAGCTGTTTTCTTCAATCTCTGGTTTGCCCTTGAATTCTTTCCTGGGCAAAGCCAAGAACCTTGTGGGCTAAGATACACTTTTGGGCTTGCCTCTCTACATCAGCTGTACCATTAACTAGATTAATAAACAAAAAAGAGACAAGATCCAAATAAATGCAATTAGAAATGACAAAGAGGGCATTACCACTGGCCTCACAAACATACAAAAAATCATCAGAAACTATTATGAACACCTTTACACATAGAAACTAGAAAATCTTGAATACATAAATTCCTGCAAACATAAAATCTCCCAAGATTGAACCAGGAAGAAATTGAAACCTTGAATAGACCATAACAAGTTCTGAAATTGAATCAGTAATAAAAAACCTACCAATAAGGAAAAGCCCTAGACCAGATGAACTCACAGCAAACTTCTACCAGATGTATAAAGAAGAGCTGATACCAATGTTACTAAAATTATTCCAAATAATTGAGGAGGAGGGACTCTGCCCTAACTCATTCTATGAGGCCAGCATCATTCTGATACCAAGAAATGGCAGAGACACAACTGAAAATAGCCGTGAAAAGAATAAAATATCTAGGAATACAACTAACCAGGAAGCTGCAATATCTCTTCAATGAGAATTAGAAAACACTGCTGAAAGAAATCAGAGATCACACTAACAAATGAAAAATATTTCATGCTCATGGATGCAAAAAATCAATATTATTAAAATGGCCATAGTATACAAAGCTGTTTAGAAATATAATGTTATTTCTATGAAACCACCAACAACATTCTTCATGGAATTAGAAAAAAAAAAAACTATTCTAATGTTCATGTGGCCCCACAAAAGAGTCTAAATAGCCAAAACAATCCAAAGCAAAAAGTTCAAAACTGGAGGCACCACAATACCTGACTTCAAACTACACTAGAAGGCTACAGTAATCAAAAAAGCATGGTACTGGTACAAAAATAGACACAGAGACCAATGGGACAGAATAGAGACCTGTGAAAAAAATCTGCACACCTACAACTAAAATATCTTCAACAAAGTTGGCAAACATGAGCAATAGGAATGGACTCCTCATTCAATAAATGGTACTGCAATAACTAGATAGCCATATGCAGAAGATGGAAACTGGAATCCTTTATAACGACAAATACAAAAATTAACTCAGGATAGATTAAAGACTTAAATGTAAGTCCTAAAACTACAAAAACCCTAGAATAAAACCTAAGGAATGCATTGTGGATATAGGCCATATTAGTACATTCTCACACTGCTATAAAGACATACCTGGAGACTGGGCAATCTGTAGATAAAAGAGGTTTAATTGACTCACGGTTCTGCAGGCTTAATAGGAAACATGGCTGGGAGGCATCAGGAAGCTTACAATCATGGCGGAAGGCAGAGGGGAAACAAACATGTCTTATCATGGCAGAGCAGGAAAGAGAAAGAAAGGGGAAGTGCCATACACTTTTAAACCATCAGATCTTGTGAGAATTCACTCACTGTCATGAGAACAGCAAGGGGGAAATCCACTCTTATGATCCAATTATCCCCACCAGGTCTCTCCCCCAACATTGGGAATTATAATTCAATATGATATTTGGGTGGGAACACAGAGCCAAACTATATCATTCCACCCCTGGCTCCCTCCAAACCTCATGTACTTCTCACATTTCAAAACACAATCATGCCTTCTTAACAGTCCCAAAGTCTTAACTCATTCCAGCATTAACTCAAATGTCCAACTCCAAAGTCTCATCCGAGACAAAGCAAGTCTCTTCTACCTATGAGCCTATTAAAAAAACCAAGTTAGTTACTTCCAAGATACACTGGTGGTACAGGCATTGGGTAAATGCTCTCATTCCAAATGGGTAAACTGGCCAAAGCAAAGGGACTACAGGCCCATGCAAGTCCAAAACCTAGCAGGCCAGTCATTAAAACTTAAAGCTCCAAAATAATCTCCTTTGTCTCCATGTATCACATCTCACATCCAGGGCATGCTGATGCAAAGGGTGGGCTCCCAAGGCCTTGGGAAGATCTGCCTCTGTGGCTCTGTAGAGTACACCCCTGATGGCTGCTTTCACATGCTTGTTTTGAGCGCCTGCAGCTTTTCCAGGCACACAATGCAAACTGTCAGTGGATCTACCATTCTGGGGTCTGCAGGATGGTGGCCCTCTTCTCACAGCTCCACTAAGTAATTCCTCAGTGGGGACTCTGTGGGGGTGGGGGTTGCAGCCCTACATTTTCCCTCCACACTGTCCTAGTAGAGGTTTTCCATAAGGGCTCTGTCCCTGTAGCAGACTTCTGCCTGAACATCCTGGCATTTCCATATATCCTCTAAAATCTAGGCAGAGGTTCCCAAACCTCAACTCTTGCCTTCTGTGCACCTGCAGGCCCAACACAGTGTGGAAGCTGCCAAGGTTTGGGGCTTGCATCCTCTGAAGCAATTCCCTGAGCTGTACATTGGCCTCGTTAGCCACAGCTGGAGCTGAAGTGACCAGGTTATAGAATGCCATGTCCCAAGGCTGCATAGAGAAGCAGGGCCCTGGGCTTAGTGGATGAAACCATTTTTCCCTCCTAGACCTCCAGGCCTATCATGGGAGGGGCTGCCATGAAGGTCTCTGAAATTTCTTAGAGGCATTTTCCCCATTGTCTGGGCTATTAATGTTGGACTCCTATTTACTTATGCAGATTTCTGCAGCCTTCCTGAATTCTTCCCCAGAAAAAACGTCTTTTTGTTATTGTTGTTGTTGTTGTTGTTTGTTTGTTTGTTTTTCCTACCACATGGTTGGGCTGAAAATTTTTCAAACTTTTATGGTCTGCTTTTCTTTTAATTATAAGTTTCAGTTTCAGGTCATTTATTTGTTTATGCAAATGAGCATAGGCATTTAGAAGCAGCCAGGCCACATCTTGAATGCTTTGCTGCTTAGAAATTTTTTCCTCCAGGTATTCTAAATCATCTCTCTCAAGTTCAAGGTTCCACAGATCCCTAGAGCAGGGGAACAATGCTGCCAGTCTCTTTTCTAAAGCACAGCAAAAATGACCTTTACTCCAATTCTCAATAAGTTCCCTATCTCCATCCGAGAGCCCCTCAGACTGGCCTTCATTGTCCATATCACTATCAGCATTTTGGTCAAAACCATCCAGTAAGTCTCTTGGAAGTTCCAAACTTTCCCTTACCTTGCTGTCTTTTTCTGAGCCCTCCAAACTGTTCCATCTCTGCCCATTATCCCGTTCCAAAACTGCTTTCACATTTTTAGGTAGCTTTATAACAATGCCCCACTTCTCTGGTACCAATTTACTGTATTAGTCCATTCTCACACTGCTATAGAGACATACTTGAGATTGGATTATTTATGGAGCAAAAGGTTTAATTTACTCACAGTTCTGGAGGCTGTACAGGAGGCATGGCTGAGAGGCATCAGGAAACTTGCAATCATGGTGGAGGGCAAAGGGGAAGCAAGCACATCTTACCATGGTGGAGGAGGAGAGAAACAGAGAGAAGGGGGAAGTGCCACACACTTTTAAGCCATCAGATCTCATGAGAACTCACTCATTATCACGAGAACAGCAAAGGGGGAATCTTCCCCTATGATCCAATTACCTCCCACCAGGTTCCTCCCCCAACATTGGGAATTACAATTCAACATGAGATTTGGGTGGGGGAACAGAGCCAAACCATATCATAGGCCTTGGCAAAAATTTCATGATGAAGTCTTATCAGGGAACCTGCCCCGATATTCACGTAGGTTCTTTTCTATTTTCCTTAAGCATTTGACAGCTTGAGAAATAAAGGGACATAGTACAAAAGAGAGAAATTCTAAAGCTGGGTGTCCAGGGGAGACATCAGATGTCGGTAGGTTCCGTGATGCTCCACAAGCCGCAAAAACCAGCAAGTTTTTATTAGGGAGTTTCAAAAGGGGAGGGAGTGTGCGAATAGGTGTGGGTCACAGACATCAAGTACTTTACAAGGTAATAGAATATCACAAGGCAAGTGGAGGCAGGGCGAGATCACAGGACCACAGGACCACAGGACCGAGGCGAAATTAAAATTTCTAATGAAGTTTCGGGCACCATTGTCATTGATAACATCTTACCAGGAGACAGGGTTTTTGAGATCAACCGGTCTGACCAAAATTTACTAGGCGGGAATTTCCCCTTCCTAACAAGCCTGGGAGCACTATGGGAGACTGGGGTCTATTTCACCCCTGCAGCCTCAACCATAAGACGCGACCACGCCCAGGGGGGCCAGTTCAGAGACCCACCCCCAGGTGCGCATTCTCTTTCTCAGGGATGTTCCTTGCTGAGAAAAAGAATTCAGCAATATTTCTCCCATTTGCTTTTGAAAGAAAAGAAATATGGCTCTGTTCTGCCCGGCTCACCGGCAGTCAGAGTTTAAGGTTACCTCTCTTGTTTCCTAAACATTGCTGTTATCCTGTTCTTTTTTCAAGGTGCCCAGATTTCATATTGCTCAAACACACATGCTGTACAATTTGTGCAGTTAATGCAATTATTACAGGGTCCTGAGATGATATACATCCTCCTCAGCTGACAGGATTAAGAGATTAAAGACAGGCATAGGAAATCACAAGGGTTTTGATTGGGGTACTGATAAGTGTCCATGAAATCTTTACAATTTATGTTTAGAGATTGCAGCAAAGACAGGCATAAGAAATTATGAAAGTATTAATTTGGGGAACTAATAAATGTCCATGAAATCTTCACAATCCACATTCTTCTGCCATGGCTTCAGCTGGTCCCTCCATTTGGGGTCCCTGACTTCCCACAACAGTCTCCAGAAGCAATTTCAACAAAAATAAAAATTGACAACTGAGCTCTAATTAAACTAACAGGCTTTGCATGGCCAAAGAAACTATCAACAGAGTAAACAGACAACCTACAGAATTAGAGAAAATATTTGCAGCTGTGCATCCAGCAAGGTCTAACATCCATAATTTATAAGGAACTTAAATCAACAAGCAACAAAACAAACCACCCCATTAAAAAATGGGCAAGGGACATAAACAGACACTTCTCAAAGAAAGACATATGCAGGGACAACATCATATAAAAAAATGGGCCAGGTACAGTGGCTCACACCTGTAATCCCAGCACTTTGGGAGGCTGAGGCAGGTGGATCAGGAGGTCAGGAGTTTGTGACAAGCCTGGCCAATATGGTGGAACCCTGTGTCAACTACAAATACAAAAATTAGCTGGGCATGGTGGTGCGTGCCTGTGGTCCCAGCTTTTCAGGAGGCTGAGGCAGGAGAATCACTTAAACCTGGGAGGCGGAGGTTGCAGTGAGTCGAGATCACACCACTGCACTCCAACCTGGGTGACAGAGCAAGGCTACATCTCAAAAAAAGAAAAAAAAAGCCAACCATCACTAATCATTAGAGAAATGCAAATCAAAACCACAACAAAATATCACCTCACACAAGTCAGAATGGTTAGTATTAAAAGTCAGAAAATAACAAATGTTGTCAAGGTTGCAGAGAAAAGGGAACATTTATACATTGCTGGCAGAATTATAAATTAGTTCAACCACTGTGGAAAGCAGTTTGGAGATTACTCAAAGAACTTAAAACATAACTACCATTTCACCCACCAATCCCATTACTGGGTATATACTCAAAGGTATATAGAATGTTCAACCAAAAAGACACATGCATGTGTATGTTCATTGTAGCCCTATTTGCATTTGCAAATGCATGGTATCAATCTAGATTATCATCATTGGTGGAATGCATAAAGAAAATGTACTACATATACACTATGGAATAGTATGCAGCCTTAAAAAATGAAATCATGTCCTTTGCAGCAACATGGATGGACATGGACAAAATGATCCTGAGTTAATGCAGAAACAGAAAACCAAATATCAGATGTCCTCACTTACAAGTGGGAGCTATATATTGAGTACACATGTACATAAACAGGACAACAACAGACACAGCACCTACCTGATGGTGGGTGGTGGAATGAGGGCAAGGGTTAAAAATATCTACTGAATATTATGCTCAACACCTGCGTAATGAAATCATTTATACTCCGAACCCCAGCAACACGCAATTTACCCATGTAACACACCTGCACATGCACCCCCTGAACCTCAAATAAAAGCTGAAAAAGAAAAAAATGATAAAAATAAGCTGACTCATTGATTCTTATACTCGTATTATAATAACATATGTAGATATATTAGTATTAATTTATTTGTTCTATTATTGGCCATTTAGATTATTTCATTTTTGCTATTATAAACAATGCCACAATAAGCATTCTTACACCTATTACTTTTGATTATTTATGCTAGAATCTTTTAGGTATATATCTAGAACAGCAATCACTTGGTCATAAAGCATGTTGCTTGTTGTCTAAAATTTGTATCTCTACAATAGTAAGATATTCTGCACTCCTCTCATCAATTACTGTTTTCGGAGATTTAAACTTTTGCTAACCTGGTAAATATGAAGTGGTATTTTCTTGTGTCACTAATTTTTATTTTTTGATTACTATTAATCAAAAAATGCAGAGATATCTCTGCATAAGGTGGTGCATATTTCATTAAGTCTATTGGGCTTTATGGCATCTTTATCAGAGTGGGTTTAAAATGTGTCTACAAAGTTTTTTGCACACCTTTTAAAAGATAGAGAATAATTTTTCTCCCCTTGAGGGTGTGCTAGATTTTGTGACTCACTCTTTATTAATAGAAAAATAGAGGAAGTTCTGCTCCTTCATAGAATAGGTCCTATCTGTCACTGTGGTTTCCTGCTTGTGTGCTATCTTGATTCCCCCGGTGGCAAGGAAAGGGGGACAGAAGCAGCTGCCACATACTGAGTACACTCAAGCAGCATGTGAAGTCTATGTGGATAAAAACTGAGACTTTTTGACAGTAAACAGCAAACAATGGACACCTCTTGCCAAGAACTAGCAAGAAACTGAGGCTTTCTTCCAATAGCCACATGGATGAGCCATCTTGGAAGTAGATCTTCCATTCCTGGTCAAAGTTCAGACGACTCTAGGCCTGGTTGGTGTCTTGCCTGAAACCTCATGAAAGACACTGAGCCAGAACCACTCAGCTAAGACCCTTACAAATTCCAGACCAAGGAAAAGATTGACTTAATAAATAATTGCTTATGATTTTAAGCAATTTGTTTTGGGACAACTTCTTATGCAAAAATACAGCTTTTTAAACAGCCACATCAGAGATCTGTTTGCTTCTATCTTCACTCAACTTTACATTGGATTATTTTTCTTTCTCTAGTTTATTTCCTGGAATTATAAAAAAAGCTATTGGAGATACTGATGAAAATAACTTCCAGTCTGAACTTCTTTCCAAGTTTTTCTATGGAGTGCTTTGTTATGTAAAGTTATTGATTTTGATTAATTCAAACATCGACGTTTTATCATACTGTTATTAGTGGTTTTAAGTCTAGGGTAAGAAAACTTTCCTGGAACAACTAACTAATAAGTATATTTTTATTTCCTTTTAAATGCTTAAATTTTTGTTTATAATATGTGGCTGCTTAATCCGTCTGGAATTGTGTGTCTTTGTGTGGGCCTGGGGGTAAGTTATACATCTAATTCTTTTCATACATGTAGCTATTTAAAATTATTTCCAAACTGATATATCCTTTTCTGCTTGATTTTAAATGCCATTCCTGTCATATGCCATTACATCTATATGTTATACACACATATGTAGCATATATAGATGTTTTTTATTATCTATTATCTTTCATTGTTTATTTTCTATATTTGTATGAAGAGCACCCAATTTTATTACTTAAATTTTCAATAAATATTGATATTTACATAAGTAAAACATCCCCACATTATATGCATTACTCAAAGTTTTCTTAGCTCATATTGACTTTTTCCCTTTCCATATAAATCTCATCAGTATTCTGATTTGTGATTTATTGTTTATAAATTAATTTTAAAAGAATTAACATATTTGTATAGAGTGTTTTCCTATCCCTCCGTGAACATTATGTAGATATGTCATTGTTGTATTATTTTATCTATTTCTATTGAATTAGATTTTATCCATAAGCACCTTGAATATCTTTCAGTAATATTTATTCATAAAAAGTTTGTAATTTTATTACCATTTGAGAAGTTCTTTTTAATTACATGCCACCTTTGAAAAATTGCATTTTCCAGCAGATTATTAATTTGTGTAAGTTGATACTGTTTTGAGCAAGCTCACTGTCCTCTATTATTTATTTTAATATTTTGCTCTGTGGATTCCATTGATTTCTAAGATTGCAAGTTCTGCAATCCTGAAGGGGGCTCCCTAGATGTGATGCTTCTGATGTTTTATATCTCTGAGCTTATTTTATCTTCTTAAAATTAAGATTCTATCAGATGAAGAGGAAATGAGGAAACCAAAGGGGAACATAACCTTGACTTTGGGTTTATGAAGGCGTCCCCACTCCATGTAATTAAAATTGTCTTAAACCCTTCTAATCCAATCTTTTTTTTTTGGATTCACAATATATTACTGAAATCTGCTGACTTCATATTTTAGTAAAGAATTTCCTCTGGCCCAAAGAAAAAACTTAGCCACCAAGGCAATTGGAGGCATTTGGACAGCTATAGAGGTTTTTCCTATTACTTCTATTGAGAATAATGGTTTCACCCAAGATAGTTGCCTAATAATATAATGATGAATAAAAATTAAATTCAAGAAAATTAAATTTAGTGTCCTCAAATTTTGTGAAAGAGAAATCAGTAAGTAAATTGCTATTCTATGTTTGAAGATAAAACTAAATTTTATATTGCACATTTAGCACTTATACTTTTCAAAGCTATTTATACAAGATATCATCAGAAGTTTTGATTCACACGTGGATGTGGAAACAAAGACAAAATTATTGATAAGACTTGGTCCAATATGCATGATTTGTAAAAGGGAAGGTGATAATTTAATTCCAGGTCTAAGCTGGACATGGTGGCATGTGCCTGTTATCCCAGCACTTTGGGATGCCAAGACAGGAGGATCACTTGAGGCCAAGAGTTCAAAATCAACCTGGGCATCATATCAAGGCACTGTTTCTACAAAAAATTAAAAAAAATAGACAGGCACAGTGATGCACACCTGCAGTCCTAGCCAGTCAGGAGGCTGAGGGAAGAGGATCACTTATGCTCAGGAGTTCAAGGTTAGAGCGAGCTATGGTTGCAACACTGCACTCTAGTCTGAGTGACAGATTCTGTCACTAAAAATAAAAAAATTAATAAACAAATCCCAGCCTAGTGGGATGAAGATGCGGTTTTTTTCCCTTTTATTTACTTACTGATTATGTTTATTACAACTCTATTTATAATTGTACCAAAAGAAGAAAAAACAAACATTTGCAACACAAGAAAAATGATTAAATGTTTATTGTACATTCCTATAAAATTTATTATTATTATTATTATTATTAGTAGTAGTAGTAGTAGTATTTTGCTTTTGGGGTGGTTACCAGAGGCTGAAAAGGGTAGTACGCAGGGAAGAAAAAGGGATAGTTAATGGGTATGAAAATATGGATAGACAGATAGAATGAATAGGATCTAGTATTTGACAGTACAACAGAGTGACTACAGTCAACAATAATTTATTGTACATTGAAAAATAACTAAAAGAACATACTTGGATTGTCTGTAGCATAAAGTATAAATGCCTGAGATGATGGATACCTCATTTACCCTGATGTGCTAATTATTCATTGCATGCCTGTATCAAAATACCTCATGTACTCCATAAGCGTCTGTTCTCATGCTACTATGAAGAAGTATTTGAGACTGGGTAATTTATTTTAAAAAGAGGTTTAATTGACTCACAGCTCCACATGGCTGAGGAGGCCTCAGGAAACTTACAATCATGGTAGAAGACAACTCTTCACAAGGTGGCAGGAGAGAGAATGAGTGCCAAGTGATGGAGAGCCCCTTATAAAACCATAATATCTCATGAGAAGTTACTATCAGGAGGACAGCATGAAGGAAACCACCCCCACGATTCAATTATCTCCACCTGGTCTCACCATTAACATGTAAGAATTACTACAATTCAAGGTGAGATTTGGGTGAGCACACAGAGCAAAACCATATCATTCCACCCTTGGCCCCTCCCAAATCTCATATTCTCACATTTCAAAACACAATCATGCCTTCCAAACAGTCCCCCATAGTCTTAACTTATTCCAGAATTTGCCCAAAAGTCCAAGTTCAAAGTCTCAGATGAGACAAGACAAGTTCCTTCTGCCTATGAGCCTGTAAAATCAAAAGAAAGTTAGTTACTTCCTAGATACAATGAGGGTATAGGCATTGGTTAAATACACCCATTCTGAATGGGAGAAATTGGCCAAGACAAAAGGGCTACAGGCCCCATGCAAGTCCAAAAATCTAACTGGGGAGTCATTAAACCTTAAAGTTCCAAAATGATCCCCTTTGACTCCATGCCTCACACCCAGGTCACATTGATGCAAGAGGTGGGCTCCCACAACCTCAGGCAGCTCCACTCCTGTGGCTTTGAAGGGTACAGTCCCCCTGTCAGCTGCTTTCATGGGCTGACATTGAGTGCCTGTGACTCTTCCAGGCACACTGTGCAAGCTGTTGATGGATCTACCATTCTGGAGTCTGGAGGATGGTGGCTCTCTCCTCACAGCTCTACTAGGCAGTGGCCCAGTAGGGACTCTGTGTGGGGGCTCCAACACCACATTTCCCTTCTGCAATGCCCCAGCAGGAGTTCTCCATGAGGGCTCTGTCCCTGCAGCAAACCTCTGCCTGGATATCCAGGCATTTCTATACATCCTCTGAAATCTGGGCAGAGGTTCCCAAACCTCAATTCTTGTCTTCTGTGTACCCACAGGCACAGCACCACGTGGAAGCTGCCAAGCAAGGGGGCTTGCACCCTCTGAAGTAATGGTCTGAGCTGTACATTGACCCCTTTTAGCCATGGCTGGAGCTGAAGCAGCTGGGATACTGGGCCCTATGTCCCGAGGCAGCATAGAGTAAGGGGGACCCTGGGACAGGCTCACAAAACCATTTTTTCCCTCCTAGGTCTCTGGACCTGTGATGGGAGAGGCTGCTGTGAAGTTCTCTGATATGTCCTGGAGACATTTTCCCCATTGTCTTGGTGACTAACATTCAGCGTCTTGTTACTTATGCAAAATTCTGCAGAGGGCTTGAATTTCTCCTTAGAAAATAGGTTTTTCTTTTCTATCACATGGTCAGGCTGCAAATTTTCCAAACATTTATGCTCTGCTTCCTATTGAACACTTTGCCACTTAGAAATTTCTTCCACCAGATATCCTAAATCATCTTTCCCAAGTTCAAAATTCCACACATCTCTAGGGCACAGGCAATGTGCCACCAGTCTCTTTGCTAATGCATAGCAAGAGTCACCATTGCTTTAGTTCTTAAGAAGTTTCTCATCTCTATCTGAGACCACCTTGGTGTTGACTTCATTCTCCATATCACTAGCAGCATTTTGGTCAAAGCCATTCAACAAATCTCTAGAAAGTTCCAAAGTTTTCCACATCTTCCTGTCTTCTTCTGAGGCCTCCAAAGTGTTCCAACCTCTGCCTGTTCCAAAGTTGCTTCCACATTTTCAGATATCTTTATGGCAGTGCCCTACTACCTGGTACCAATTTACTATATTACTCCATTCTCATGCTGCTATGAAGAAATACTGGAGATTGGGTAATTTATATATATATATATATATATATATATATATTTTTTTTTTTTTTTTTTTTTTGAGATGGAGTCTCGCTCTGTCGCCCAGGCTGGAGTGCAGTGGCGGGATCTCGGCTCACTGCAAGCTCCGCCTCCCGGGTTCACGCCATTCTCCTGCCTCAGCCTCCCAAGTAGCTGGGACTACAGGCGCCCGCCACTACGCCCGGCTATTTTTTGTATTTTTAGTAGAGACGGGGTTTCACCGTTTTAGCCGGGATGGTCTCGATCTCCTGACCTCGTGATCCGCCCGCCTCGGCCGGGTAATTTATATTAAAAAGTTTTAATTGACTCACAGTTCTGCATGACTGGGGGGGCCTCAGGAAACATAATCACGGTGGAAGGCACCTCTTCACAGGGCAACAGGAGAGAGGTTGGGTGCCAAGCGAAGGGGGGGCCCCTCATAAAACCATCGAATCTTGCAAGAACTCACTCACTATCACAAGAACAGCACTGGGGAAACTTCCCCCATGGTTTAATTATCTCCACATTGTCCAGCCCTAGAATGGGAATTATTACAATTCAAGGTGAGATTTGGGTGGGGACATAGAGCTAAATTGTATCAGTATATACACCTACTATGTACCCACAAAAATTAAATTTAAAAAATGTAAAGATACAGATTTTATTCATTGCACCCTGCTACCTTACCTACTGTGATACTGTGAAGGACAGTGCCTTTCTGTGATACTAAGGCAGTAAATTAATCTGCCTTTTTCAATATAATATATTAAATTTATTACAAATACTTAGAAAGTAGAGGTACAAGTACAAGATAAAGAGTGATAAAAACAGTGTGGATCAGCCTCTTTCCATTCTCAACCCACAACTATCCATTTATTCAGTCACGGGGTCCAAGGCACAAACCCAAAGCCAAGTATTTGATTGAGTATATTTTACTTTTCCAACAGACTTCATGTGCTAATTTGCTATCATAACATTTGATCCTTTAAAACACAGGTCAAAAGTATATGTTTATAATTAAACTCAAGTCTGAGGGCCAGGATTTATTTACTATATAATATAATTATAGAAAAATAATAATGAATTTGCATAAAATATTTATAAGACATAAAAATTATATATGTATTTGTGTTTTTTAAAAATGGACTGAAACTGGACATGAGTTTTTAGTAGCCTAATGTGACTATTTCTCTAGTCATCTACTTTTAAATTTATAAACAAAGAACATACAATGTCATTACAGTGAGGGTACAACATATATGACAACAAGTATGCAAAATGATGTCAAGGATAAAAGTAGGGGTTATAGAGGCAGAAAGCCTGGCTCTGTCACTCACTAGCTGTGTGACCTTGGATGAACTACTTAAACTTCCTATGCTTCTGTTTCCTTATCAGTAAAATGGAGATAATAATAATGCCTTTTTTATAGAAATATTATAAGAATAAAATGAACAAATTAATGCAAAATTATTAGGACTATGGCATATAAAAAGCACTTAATAACTGGTAGCTATTGACTATTATGTCTATTAATGTGTTGTTTATATGGGTCCAGTTAAGAAGAGAAGTTGAGTATTTGGGGAAGATCAGGAGTACAGCGTGAAAGAATCATGGGTGGAAAAGTGAAAGACATTGTAAAGAGATACACAGAAAAATAAGAAGAAAAAATATTTTTTAAAAAGATGGTAGAGAAAATGATAAATAGGGGGCAACTCTTCTGAATTATCACTAGAGTACAGTAGAACCTTGATCATGGGGTTAGGGCTATCAACCCCTCCCCATAGCTGAAAATCCACATATAGCTTTTGAGTGCCCCCAAATTAAACTACTAATAGACTACTGTTGACTGGACACCTTATTGATAACATAACAGCCAATTAATGCATATTTTGTATATGCATTATATACTGTATTCTTACAATAAAGCTAGGAAAATGTTACTAAGAAAATTATAAGAAAGAAGATATATTTACTATTTATTAATTGGAAGTAGATTAACATAAAGATCTTCATTCTCATTATCTTCACCTTAAGAAGGGTTAGAAGGAAGAGGAAGTAGAGGGGTTGGTCTTGCTGACTCAGTGCTGGCAGAGGCAAAAGATGTAGAGGAGGTGGAAGGGGAGGCAGGAGAGGCAGGCACATTTGGTTGGAACTTTGCAGAAATACATCATAATTTCTGTCTGACTTTTTGTGTTTCATTTCTCTAAAATGTTTCTATATAGTGCCAATCCTTCCATCATTTGCTTTAGTTTCAGTGCCCATATTATAGAAGGGTCCATATCATATAAGAAATAAAAAACAGTCTTGAATAATCATAGCCCTTCTGCCAGATTGTCTAATGTCAATTTGTTTCCTGGCATTGCTTCTTGTACTTCTTTCTGATCTCCTGGCACTCGTTAGCAGGCACTCATCTTTATCAAGTTGTCTCCTGTTAAGTCGTCTGTTATTAGCTCTTGAATTTCTTGGAAGATTGTATGTCTTGAAACTCTTCACCCCTCACCCTTTTTTTGCCATATCCACAAACTCTTTCATGATTTTCTTGAATGGCTGTCCTAAGTCCTATGAAGTTTTGCACAACATCAGGGCAGTTTCTCCAGCAGGAATTTATTGTTTTAGATCTGAAGGTCTTCACAGGTTTTTCTATAATAATGATGGCATCTTCAATGGTGTAACACTTCCAGACTTACATGATGTTCTATCTATCAGTACTCTCTTTCAAAGCATTGACAAATCTTTCCATAGGGTACCGTGTGTAATGAGCCTTAAAGTTCCTTATGATCTCCTGATCTAGAGACTGAATTAGAAATGTCGTGTTTGGGGGCAAGTAGGCCACTTCAGTGACTTTGGTGTTGAACTCCTCGCGTTCTGGATGGCCAGAGGCATTGTCCAATATCAAAAAATGTAAAAGGCAGCCCCTTCCTGGCAAGTCACTTCCTGACTGCAGGAACAAAGTATCAGGGAAATCAATCCAGAAAAGTGTTCTCACTGGCCAGGCCTTCTTCTTGTACAACCAAAAGCCTGGCAACTGGTATTCATCTTTTCCATTCAAGACTCAGAGTCAGAAGTTTTATAGATAACGCCAGTCCTGATCACAAACCTGACTGCATTTGCACAAAATAGTAGAGTTAGCCTATCTCTTTCTGCCTTAAATCCTGGTGCTCACTTCTCTTCCTCACTGATAAATGACCCATGTGGCATGTTTTGTTTTGTTTTGTGTTCTGAAATATGGCACTTTCATCTGCATTAAAAATCAGTTCAGGCAGATGTCCCTTCTCCACGATTATTTCTTTCATGACATCTGAGAACTGGTCAGCTGATTCTTGGTGGGCAGAAGCAGCTTTTCCTGTTATCTTGACATTTTTAAAACTGAACCTCTTCTAAAATTATGAAGCCATCCTTTGTTGGCATCAAATTCTCCAGCTTTAGATTCTTTACCTCCCTTTTAAGTTGTCATATGATGACTTTGCTTTATCTTGAATCATATTAAAATGTATACATATACCTTTCTTATAGAAACCCTGCACCCGCAAAAAGCAAAAGCTGCATTTTCAATATGAGATAAAAAGATATTTCACAAAACATGCAAGGTTTTCACATCTGCTGGCATAGCTGCAGTAACACCTTCATGAATTACCTTTTCTTCTTTTTTGAAGTAGTTCTTATGCTATATTCATTTATCTCGAAATGGTGGTCAACCACAGTTGCAGATCTCAATTTATGGTACACATATCAAGCAATTCAACTTTTTCTTGTAACGTTACAACTTTTCTCTGCTTCTTGGGAGCACTTTCAGCATCACTAGTGTACTTTGTATAGGTCCCATGATGTTATTCAAGTTTTATGGTATTGCTCTAATCAAATATGCAAGAACCATGAGAGATCACTTTTTACTGTGATACACAATTTGCTGGAGAAACAGTTGCTTACATGGAAATGATTGGTGTCACATGGCATTTTAACCAGTTTGCAACACTTGAGCTCATACAAGAGATGGCTACAAAATTATTACAGTAGTACTGTATGTGCTACACTTAACTTTATACAGTTATAATTTAATACTACCTCTTTATGCTTGTTTACATTTCTGTCAACTGTGAATAGTATTATATGCAATCTGTAGGTGTGTGCATAAATTTTATAAATTTTAATGTTTTATAATAAATGTATGTATATTTTTTATGGTAATGAATGAGTATCCACATATATTTTATATATTCATGACATATATTTTCTAAATTTTTTCAGTATTTCCAGGTTGTATACTTTTTTCTAATTGTTTTTTTCTAATTGTTTACAAATCTCCAATTTTTTTCTAATATATTTATTGGAAAAAGATCCATATATAAATGGACACACAGAGTTTAAATCCATGTTGTTCAAAGATCAGCTGTATGTATTTTCTCATTTCCTAGGGCTATAAGCCATGGATGCTGAGGAAGGAATGTGAGCATTTTTTCCCACATGTTTTGATTTGCTTATTAGTTTGTTACCCTTTCTTCACAGATTTTGATTTTACCCATGTCTATACTCTGGATTCAATAATCACAAGGGAAAGGCTATGCTGTGAGCTTTAGCTTTAGATGATGGAAGATCATGTTAGCTGGATATGGAATATAGACACACATCCATGTACATGTTTGCACATACACAGTGGTCAATATATGCCGATATATTTTTAAATATAATATCTATGGTCTAAACTACTTAAAAAGACCACTGTCTTCATCACTGAGTAATGAAAACCAAGAGAACATTTTACATCTGTGTAAAAATACAAAGCTGGCTATTAAAAAAGTAATAATTTAGTTTCTCTCTAATTCACTGAAGCCAGTCACACAGAATGTCAGCACACCAGTCATGGAAAGAATAATTCTGTGAGTTGACTACCAATATAGCACTTTCAAAGGTTCGCATGAAACCTGATTTTTCGGGCAAAAACTGTGCTAATATTCCAGTAGACTCTGAGTTCCACTCCTATATTATAAGATGATTAAAACTGAAATTGAACTACCTAGGCCTCTTTATCTCAATCTCTGGAAAAAATGCCTCCACTGATTTATCACGTAGCATCGCTCTTTCAGCCTATGCACATAATCTTTACAAGAATGATTCTTTTGATCCCAACATTACATAGTACAAAGAAGTCATTATTCACTTTGTCACATGCACAAAAAATCTTTAGGTACATTCTAGTTTGTGTTTGTTCCCAGGAAAAATATAGCTCTGAAGATAAATGTCTTACATTTCTGCCACCTAACACAGATAATATATAAGTGCTTTCCTTTTATTTTCTTGTGCTCTGAGTAACTAGCTTAAAGATTGCTCATATAAATGCAATTACGGAGGCTTAGGAATTGTTTTTCTTATATTTTTCTATGTTGTTTTTCTGTTTCACAATCTATCATCTTATATTACATACTTCTTAATTGAGTAAGGTTTATTTGGATGTTAGTGGCACATAAATTCTAAGGTTAGTCAAATATTTTAACATTTTGTTTCAATTTGTGGAACTTCAAAAATTAGCCTGAAAATAGAAAAATATCTTATTTGAGATAGATAGTAAGAACCTAATTAAACATTTTAAATATTCCATTTGATTTCATTGAATATGTTAAAGATAAATTATATACAACATATTTTCTTTAAAACCTTGTGGCATTTTTATTAATTTGTGAACTGGATATATTATATGTGACTTTAACTCCTTGATTTGTTATGCTTATATTTAAGAAGTTCAAATAATTTTGAGTTTCTAGATGGATACTAAGATTCAGTAATAACTTTAGCTGGGAAAATATGGTCTCTTGTTTGCTGACACATTTTCACTTGACACTGAAAATTTGACACTGGTAGCTGAATATAAAATTCCTCAAACTTTGTATACTACTAAACTAATATATCACTCTTGTAGTTATCAGTGATGATGGTAGTTCTACCAGTCCATAACAAATTACCCTTAAACTTAATGGCTTAAAACAACAAATATCTATTACCTCATAGTTTCTGTGACTCAGGAATTTGGGAGTGCCTATAGGCTAGAGGGCTCTCATAAAGTTGCTAACAGGATGTCAGTCTCCGTTGCAATTATCTGGAGACTTAACTAGGGCAACAGGATCCATTTCCATGATTACTAATGTGGCTGTTGGCAGCAGGTCTCAGTTCCTTGCTGGCATTGGCCAGAAGCCTCAGTTCTCTGTCACATGATCTGCTCCATAAGGGGGTTCAAGTGTACTCACAAAGTAATAGCTGACCTCCCCCAGTGTGGGTGATCCAAGAGAGAAGCTGACTTCATATTGTCTTTTATGACCTGACTTACACACCAGCACTTTTACTGCAAGACATTCATGAAGAAAGAGTCATTAAATCCAGTTCATACTCAAAAGAGGTGGAAACTAAACTTTACTCTTTGAAAGGAGCAATGTCAAAAAACTTATAAATATGTTTTTAAAACTCCACAATTTGCCCTCTGCCTGCAATTTATTTTACATTTATATCATATTTAAAATATACTTCTCCTTTTTGAAGACTCTCCGAAGTCCTATATTTGTACAGCATCTGCTTAAAGTCTAAATCACATCCAGGTACAGACGGCGGTCCTTGGGGGCAGCTTCTTATTTTTGGCTCGTAGAGTTAAGTTTTAGAGCTGTAAAATCAACAGGCAATATAACCTCCCTATTCCACATGATATCATGGGAAGATAAGCATAGTGTAAACACTGTAGACATTACTGTTCAGAAAGCAAGGGAAAGGGAGGCACGAAGGAATCATTTTGGTACTCTCTGGTAGTCACTGGCACATAGCAAATTGTATAGAAATTCCCACCAGAGAGCATCTGCTATGGAGGAGGCACTAAACCATCAAGAGTCAGAATGACTGGAACAGTTGACGTCAGCTAGGCTTTCAGTGTGGCTATTCCAAGGCTGGTACTCAGGGCCTGAAGGGAGTATCTACAGTGGCAGATATGAAGGCTACAAACGAGCCCAGCAGCAAAGATTCAAAATTACCAAAGTTTATTTCGCTACTTCCACTACTGAATGTCTGACATGACAGCAACTGGGACCAATACTGTGCTCCTTGATATGGCATCATTTCTTAAGGATATCAACCATCCAATTGGGGAAAGTTAATTACAACAGACCCCTTTAACCATTGAGAGAGAATGATTTGACCTTGAACAGGATTGACATTTATTGTGGATATAAATTTTCCTTTCCTACCTTCAGGACCCCAGCCAGCTCCTTTTTAGAGAACTTAAAGGGGTTTTCCCACAACATGAGATCCTATAAAACATTGCCTTAGATCTTGCAGTTGACTTTACAGCAGTATAGATATTGCTATGGGCTCAGGACAATGAGATTCACTGGTCCTACTGCTTCATATCATCCAGAAGCTGCCAGTTTTATAGTTGGATGAAGTAGCCTTTTGAAAGTACCACTAGGTGCCATTCTGCAAGTATGGTGCACTATCCTCCAGGGTGCACTTACACTCTGATACAACCATTACATAATGTTAGCTTCCCTGTAGGTAGAATACTTGGGTATGGGAACCAGACTTGAAGTAGGAATGTCTCTGCTGGACCTTATTATCAGTGACCCTGGACATTTTTGCTTTTTTTCAAAACTTTAGGCTCTGTAAATCTGCAGATCTGGGTTCCCAGAGGAAGGACGTATCCATCAGGTGAGAAACCTAGACCAGCAGAGGTAATAGCCGCAGATGAAGATAGTAAAGAAGAAAGCTAATGAAGATCAGTTAAAGCTTCAAGACCAGCAAAGGCTATATAGTTCAAGTCACCAACCTTCCTCTTACACATTATTAATAAATGATATCAATAAGAATCGTGCAGAAGCTGTACACAGAAGAAGTAAAGTTACTATAGGAAGCAATGCAAGGGATGACTTGTAGTGGATATTACTTTTATCACCCAGATCTCTCTTTCAGGACACTCATTCTCTTAGCTATCAAAAATCTAGGATTCTTAGCTTGATGGCCGATAGCTGCTACCCTCTCTGGTGCTTGCCCTAGACTTAATGGATTTGTGTTTCCACAAAAGTTACACTCCTTCACTACGGGCATAAGAGGTACAATAACTAGTCCTAACAGGGCCATGAAGGCTCTGGAAACTTGCCTCATCTTGAAACACCAGAAAGCCATTCCAGCTTCAGAGCTGCCCGGTGATTTGGCTGAGACCTCTGTGATAACTTAATCACAGTGCAACTTTTTATTTTCCCTTACTTCCAGGCATCATTCCTAAATGCAATCTTTAATGAACTTCTTTTACACAGTTCTTATTTGTTTATTTCCAGGAAACATTAACTAAAAGTCATCTTACTTGCTTAGTAAGTTATTGAGGTATTATAGGAGGAGGTGTAAAACCCACAGAGTTGGGTACTCAGAATGCTCTCTTTCAAAACTCTCACATAGAGTCTTTCACTTTCTCTCAGAGTCTTTCATACAAGACTATTCATACAAGATATTCTTGTTTGAATCTGTGAGGCTATACATAAGTACATGAGATGTGTATAAACACAGCATTTATATGATGTGTATATATATATCTTAGGTATATATTATGTATGCATGTATAATACATATAATATATAGATATACACACATATGTTTGTGATTAAACAAAACAATTTTGTAATGTGGAAGTAACATTTCTTCCATCTCTCTATTTTCTACATCCTAGGTAGAAATATAACTCTTTTCTTTTTAAAAATCATGAGTTTTCTGAAAGTCCAAAGTACAGAGGAGAGGTAATTCTGAACCAAGAGGACAGCTACACAGACATATATTTTTAAAAAACAGATTTCAATGATAAATTTTCTAATTATCTATGTTGTATTATCCAGTGCTCCAGTGTCCAATTTGGATATTAATTGAGCAAGTTTGGTCAGTCAATTGCTAGCTTTGGAACTAGATGAAACTCAATGGTAAGCATGGATCAAATCATCTCTTAAGTTCGCTGACTTAATTTGGTAAATTTTGGTGGCCAGCCAGTGTTTTTTGTTGTTGTTGCTGTTTGTTGGTTTGTTTTTGTTTTTTTTTTATAAGAAATCTAGGAAGAATAAGCAAAAGAAAATTAAACACCATCTCATTGAGCTATTAAGTTATCTAAGTTGTAGGGCCAACTCTTTCCCAATAGTAACAATGACAAGGTCCTAGCACAAGACAATATAGTAACAGCAGCTGGCCTTTGAATGCTTATAAGAAGCTGTTCAGATAGAGAACTACATGCTTCTAGTCAATGTCAAGCTGAGGAAACAGAATAAATTCTTACTTCTTTATCTCCATTCAAAAACCTTGATACAAACAACTAAAATGGTTCCGGGCACTTTGCTGGATTTTAGGTAATCTTTGCCTTTTTTACGGATGTGAAAAATGAGCTCTAAGGAAGTTAAGAAACTTGACCAAGTAAATGAACCAAACTGGTCAAGTTTAACAAAGATAAGTGTTTTTCACATTTAGAAAGTATTGAAAGTTGAGCAATTACTCAACAAATCTCAATTATTATGAGGTATCTGGACGACAATCTTTATCTCTGACTCTTTGTGGATTGTTTTTAATTTCATTTCATAAAAAATTATTAAGCAGCAAATATATTCAAAGTATATTGCTTATACTTAACTATTCCAGTAATGTTGATTTGTAAATTTCTTTTATATTTAATAAGATTTCCAAAACAAGACATGAAGCAACTTCATTTATTTTCCAATCATGCAAAATATTGGTATTCCTTAAACAAGTAAAAAGTGGAGATGAGCATGAAACCCAGGTTTGTCTAACCACAATCTCCTAGACTTTCTGCTCCACCAATTCTGATATTGCTCAGATTGCTACTTCTTAGTGCAAATATTCTCATTTGAGTGCTGATGTTTCACAAATAAAGCTTTTCTTTCCCTGGCCACTATACTTTGAAAATGAACTCAAAGAGGATTGAATAATGGTGACATTAAGATAGGACACTAGGGCTCCCTTCAACTTGCATTTTTAATAAAATCTCTTAGGCTCCCCATTTGTCCATTTATTACCCTTTGCTCACATAGTGTTCTAGGATTGATTAAGTCTGTTACATACTGAATGAACTAATTTATTAATCTAGCTACTTGCCCACCCTACCGGCCTATAAATCTATCATCATACTGAGAAGGATTAAAAACAAAACAAAACCTCAGAACGAGAAAAAAAAAATCAGACACTACAGGAATGTCTGAACAGGGAAGAAACCCCACAAAAAGTGTTTCCTGTGAATTTATGTCTTTAAGAAGATTACCTCTGGAGGGGTGTTGGTGCCTTTTTTCAGAGTAAGCAGTTGTGGGGCAGCTTAGGCTCACCTTTTGGCTTCTGGTTTCATTAAGAGCTCAGCACCCTGGGTGGAGAACTTGCTTGGCTGGTTGGTGCCTGAATAAGAAGAGCTTTGCTGTACTATGTGAAGGGAGGAGCCACGTATAACCTTGACCATGCAACTTTGGTCACTGAGAATCCCCCAAAATTTTGCAGTTGTTGTCCTTTGAAATCAACTTCATTCATATAAAATTTGCATACAATAAAATACAGCCATTTTAAGGGTACATTTTGAGGAGTTTTGACAAATATGTGCATATTTGGTATAAACACTATCACAAACAAGATATGCCATATTTCCATCACTTTGACAAGTTTTTTTATGCTGCCTTAGTCATTTCATCCATAGTCTAAACACAAAACAACCACGATGATGCTAAATTACTTTCATCTATTCTAGAACTACAGTACATGTGAATGAAAATGCTCAGGATATACTCTTTATGTCTTGCTATTTTTCTTAACAGGATGCTTTGAGATATATTCATGTGATTTTGTGTATTTGTATTTCATTTATTTTTACTGCTGAGTAGTATTTGACTGTGTGTATAACACAATTTGTTTAGCTGTTCCCTTGGTTTTGGACATTTTGATTGTTTCCAGTTGGGGCTATTATGAATCAAGCTGCTATGCACATGTGTGTATCAGTCTTTGAGGAGACATATATTTTCATTTTTCTTGGGTAAAAATCTAGGAATGTAACCACTGAGTCCTATGTAGATGTATTTCTAACTTTATAAAGTAATTGCTAAACTGTTTTCCGAAGTGGTTAATTTTACATTCCTACTAGAAATATGTGAGATAATAGTTGCATATACTGAGATAATACTATGTTTTTTCCCTTTAATCCATCAATATGTTCAATTACATTAATTTATTTCTTTAATGTTAACTCTTGCATTTTTGTAGATAATCTCACTTATCCTATTTATTTCCTTTGGAATATTAGTTTGTAGTTTTCTTTTATATTGATATCTTTGTCTTGTTTTGATAGCAAGAGATGATAAAATGATGAGAGGTTTCCACTCCTTCTCTATTTTCTGAAAGGACACTCATTTCTACCTTGGCAGGTCAATAGGATTCATCAATGATGCCATTTGGGCCCTGAATGTATTTTTATTATGAGTACAATATCTTTTCTCCCCTTTTTAAGTTAAAACTTAAAAATTATTCCTATTTATGAGATACAGAGTGATATTTCCATACATGTATACAATGTATAATAATCAAATCAGGGTAATTGGCATAACCCTCACCTTGAACATTTGTTATTTCTTCGTATTGTGAGCATTCAAAATCCTCTCTTCTAGCTTTTGAAAATATATTAATATGGTTTGAATATGTATCCTCTCCAAATCTCATGTTGAAATGTGGTCTCCAGTATTGGAGGTGGGGCCTGCTGAGAGGTATTTGGATCACAGGGGCAGATCCCTCATGAATGGTTGACATCATCCCCTTGGGGATAAGTGAGCTCTCACTCTGAGTTCACACAAAATCTGGTTTTGAAAAGTGTGCAGCACCTTCCCCTACATCTCTTGGTCCCAATCTTGACGTATGATGTGCCTATTCCTGCTTTGCCTTCTGCCATGAGCAACAGTTCCCTGAGGCCTCCCCAGAGGCCAAGCATATGCCAATGCCATGCTTCCTAAATAGCCTGCAGAACCATGAGCCAATTTAATCTCTTTTCTTCATAAATGACACAGCATCAGGTGTTTCTTTATAGCAACATGAGAATGGCTTAACACATATACACTAAATTGTTGTTAATCATATTCACTCTATAGTGCTACAGAACACTAGAACTTATTCCTCTCATCTAGGTGTAACTGTTAATTGACCTCTTCCCATCATCCCCTCCTTCTATCCTTCCCACCCTCTAATAACCACAATTCTACTTCTCAGTTTTCCTTAGCTCCCACAAACAAGGAAGAACAAGTTTGACCTCAATTTCTTTAATTGATATTGGACAGCATAGTTTTTTGTAATTCTTTCTGTTTCTTCAAAGTATTCATTCATTTCATTTAATCTGTCAAATCTATTGGCACAATGTTCATAATATCTTGCTGTCCTTTCAATGTCTGAAAATCATAGTAATATCCCTATGATACTAGGTATGTCAGACCTAATATTAGTAATTTGAGTTTCTCTATTTTTCTTAATCAGTCTCCCTAAAAATATATCAATTGTAGATACCTTTAAAAATCAGCATTTGTTTTATTAAATTTTCTTCAGATTCTATTTTAATAATTTATACTCTTATTTTATCATTTCTTCTATTCACCTTTGGTTTTTTTTTTTTTTTTGAGACGGAGTCTCGCTCTGTTGCCCAGGCTAGAGTGCAGTGGCGCAATCTCAGCTCACTGCCAGCTCCACCTCCCGGGTTCATGCCATTCTCCTGCCTCAGCCTCCTGAGTAGCTGGGACTACAGGCGCCCGCCACCACGCCCGGCTAATTTTTTGTATTTTTAGTAGAGACAGGGTTTCACCGTGTTAGCCAGGATGATCTCGATCTCCTGACCTTGTGATCCGCCCACCTCGACCTCCCAAAGTGCTGGGATTACAGGCGTGAGCCGCCGCGCCCGGCCTCACCTTTGGTTTTAATTAGCTTTTCATCTAACTGTTTAAGGTGAAAGCTTAGATCATTGATTTTCTAACATTTTTCCTCTGCTAGGTGGTTTTCATTTTCACTCAGTTCTAAATATTTTCTAATTTTTAAAGTTTGAGAATAATTTTTCAAAATTTAATTAGCTTTTCATCTAACTGTTTAAGGTGAAAGCTTAGATCATTGATTTTCTAACATTTTTCCTCTGCTAGGTGGTTTTCTTTTTTATTTATTATTATTATACTTTAAGTTTTAGGGTACATGTGCACAATGTGCAGGTTAGTTACATATGTATACATGTGCCATGCTGGTGCGCTGCACCCACTAACTCGTCATCTAGCATTAGGTATATCTCCCAACGCTATCCCTCCCCCGTCCCCCACCCCACAACAGTCCCCAGAGTGTGATGTTCCCCTTCCTGTGTCCATGTGTTCTCATTGTTCAGTTCCCACCTATGAGTGAGAATATGCGGTGTTTGTTTTTTTGTTCTTGTGATAGTTTACTGAGAATGATGATTTCCAATTTCATCCATGTCCCTACAAAGGACATGAACTCATCATTTTTTATGGCTGCATAGTATTCCATGGTGTATATGTGCCACATTTTCTTAATCCAGTCTATCATTGTTGGACATTTGGGTTGGTTCCAAGTCTTTGCTATTGTGAATAGTGCCGCAATAAACATACGTTTGGCCGAATAGGAACAGCTCCGGTCTACAGCTCCCAGCATGAGCGACGCAGAAGGCGGGTGATTTCTGCATTTCCATCTGAGGTACCGGGTTCATCTCACTGGGGAGTGCCAGACAGTGGGCGCAGGTCAGTGGGTGCGCGCACCGTGCACGAGCCGAAGCAGGGAGAGGCATTTCCTCACTCGGGAAGCGCAAGGGGTCAGGGAGTTCCCTTTCCTAGTCAAAGACAGGGGTGACAGACGCACCTGGAAAATCGGGTCACTCCCACCCGAATATTGCGCTTTTCCGACGGGCTTCAAAAACGGCGCACCCACACCAGGAGATTATATCCGGCACCTGGCTCGGAGGGTCCTACCCCACGGAGTCTCGCTGATTGCTAGCACAGCGGTCTGAGATCAAACTGCAAGGCGGCAGCGAGGCTGGGGGAGGGGCGCCCGCCATTGCCGGGGCTTGATTAGGTAAACAAAGCAGCCCAGAAGCTCGAACTGGGTGGAGCCCACCACAGCTCAAGGAGGCCTGCCTGCCTCTGTAGGCTCCACCTCTGGGGGCGGGGCACAGACAAACAAAAAGACAGCAGTAACCTCTGCAGACTTAAATGTCCCTGACAGCTTTGAAGAGAGCAGTGGTTCTCCCAGCACGCAGCTGGAGATCTGAGAACGGGCAGACTGCCTCAAGTGGGTCCCTGACCCCTGACCCCTGACCCCCGAGCAGCCTAACTGGGAGGCACCCCCGAGTAGGGGCACACTGACACCTCACAGGGCGGGGTACTCCAACAGACCTGCAGCTGAGGGTCCTGTCTGTTAGAAGGAAAACTAACAAACAGAAAGGACATCCACACCAAAAACCCATCTGTACATCACCATCATCAAACACCAAAGGTGGTTTTCATTTTCACTCAGTTCTAAATATTTTATTTTCTAATTTTTAAAGTTTGAGAATAATTTTTAAAAATGTTTTTCCTATTAATTTAACTTTGACTACATTTTGGTCAGAAAATATATCCTATGTGATTTTAATTTTTTTAAATTTATTCTCTTTTGGTCTTTTTTGGTGAATATTTTATGTGCACTTGAAAAGAATATGAATTCTGCATTTGTTCAATGGATAATTATATGGAGAAGTTTAGATAAAAACTGAAGAACTTTGTGATAATAAATAAAAGTAAGGAACTTGTGTGATGCTTAGCAACCCATCCAGAAATGGCTGAAAGTAATTTTAATTTCAATTTTACAACGAAATTAAAGATATCTTCCAATGTAACTTATTTTAGTATCACGTTCTGGGTAAAATGTTTGTTTATACAATTATACAAGAGTGCTTTCTGAAACAAGAAAAAAAGACAGCTAAATATTGCTCTCACTCCTTATACCTCTATCTACCTCTTGAGATGCCAGCCTAAGTCAGTAAAGAACTGTAGTCTTTTTTCTTGATTGTGAAATTACCACATTCAGTGACAGGAGGGCATCTGCAATCCAAACAATGCTCTTCCCTGCTTCACACGCTCAGCAGTACCCTCTGGAGAGCAGTACCCTCTGGAGAGCAGTAGCAAGGAAGCAACACTTATGGTACTTACTATTCATTTTTCAAAGTTCCTCTTTAGAAAAGAGCCCATAATACTTCACACAAGTAATTACTTATAAATAAATTACAACTTCTGGTCTTGGGGTCTTCTTAGAGATCACGCTTCCACAGAAAGCAGAGCACAGTATTTTGGCCACCACCTTAACAGGATCAGTGTAATAGTCCGTTTTCATGCTGCTGATATAGACATACCTGAGACTGGGAAGAAAAAGAGGTTTTAATAGCCTCTCAGTTCCACGTGGCTGAGGAGGCCTCAAAATCATGACAAAAGTTGAAAGGCATGTCTCACGTGGTGGCAGACAAGAGATGAGAGCTCTGTGCAAGGAAACTCCCATTTTTAAAACCATCAGATCTCATGATACTTATTCACTATCATGAGAACAACATGGGAAAAACTCGCCCCCATGATTCAATTACGTCCCACCAGCTTCCTCTCACATCATGTGAGAATTGTGGGAGTTACAATACAAGATGAGATTTGGGTAGAGACACAGCCAAACCATATAATTTCCACCCCTGTCTCCCCCAAAATCTCATGTCCTCACATTTCAAAACGAATCATGCTCTCCTAACAGTTCCCCAAAGTCTCAACTCATTTCAGCATTATCTCAGAAATCCACAGTCCAAAGTCTTATTTGAGACAAGGCAAGTCCCTTCTGCCTATAAGCCTGTAAAATCAAAAGCAAGTTAGTTATTTCCTAGATACAATGCGGGTCCAGGGATTGGGTAAATACACCCATTCCAAATGGGAGACATTGGCCAAAACAAGGGGCTAGAGGCCCCATGCAAGTCTGAAATCCAGTGGGGCAGTTAAATATTAAAGCTCCAAAATGATCTCCCTTGACTTCCTGTCTCATATCCAGGTCATGTTGATTGAAGAGATGGGTTCCCATGGTCTTGGGCAGCTCCACCCCTGTGGCTTTGCAGGGTACAGCCTCCCTCCTGACAGCCTTCTTTCATGGGCCGGCATTAGGTGTCTGCTGCTTTTACGGGTGCATGGTGCAAGTTGTCAGTGGATCTACCATTCTGGGGTCTGAAGGATGGTGGCCCTCTTCTCACAGCTCCACTAGGTGGTGCCCAAGTAGGAACACTGTATGGGGGCTCTGACCCCACATTTCCCTTCCACACTGCCCTAGCATAGGTTCTCCATGAGAGCTCCATCCCTGCGGTAAACTTCTGCCTGGCCATCCAGCCATTGCCATACATCCTATGGAATCTAGGCAGAGGTTCTCAAACCAGAATTCTTGACTTCTGTGCACTGGCAGGGCCAACACCACGTGGAAGCTGCCAAGACTTGAGGTTTGCATTCTGAAGCCACAGCCCAAGCTCTACATTGGCTCCTTTCAGCCACAGCTGGAGCAACTGGGATGCAGGGCACCAAGTCACTAGTCTGCACACAGTATGGGGACCTTTGGCCCAGCCCATAAAAAAATCAGTTTTAACTCCTAGGCCTCTGAGCCTGTGATAGGAGGGGCTGCCATGAAGACCTCTGACATTCCCTGGAGACATTTTCCCCATTGTCTTCGGGATTAACATTCGGCTCCTCATTACTTTTTGCAGCCAGCTTGAATTTCTCCTCAGAAAATGGGGTTTTCTTTTCTATGGCATTGTCAGGCTGCGAATTTTCTGAACTTTTACACTCTGCTTCCCTTTTAAAACTGAATGGCTTTAACACACCCAAAGCACCTTTGAATGCTTTACTGCTTAGAAATTTCTTTCACCACGTACCCTAAAGCATCTCTCTTAAGTTCAAAATTTCACAAATCTCTAGGGCAGATGCAGAATGACACCAGTCTCTTTGTTAACAGATAACAAGAGTCATTTTTGCTCCAGTTCCCAAGAAGTTCCCATCGAGGCCACCTCAGCTTGGACTTTGTTGTCTATATTGCTATCAACATTTTGGGCCAAGTCATTCAACAAGTCTCTAGGAAGTTCCACACTTTCCCACATTTTCCTGTCTTCTTCTGAGCTCTCCAAACTCTTACAACCCCTGCCTGTTATCCAGATCCAAAGTTGTTTCCACATTTTTGGGTATCTACAGCAGCACCCCACTATACTGATACCAATTTACTGTATTAGTTAATTTTCATGCTGCTTAAAAAGACATAAACAAGACTGTGAAGAAAAGGAGGTTTTAATAGGCTCACAGTTCCACGTGGCTGGGGAGGCCTCAAAATCATGATAGAAGGTGAAAGGCACGTCTCACATGGCGGCAGACAAAAGAAGAAAGCTTATGCAAGGAAACTCCTGTTTTTAAAACCATCAGATCTCATGAGACTTATTCACTATCACAGGAGCAGCATGGGAAAGACCCACCCCCATAATTCAATTACCTCCCACCAGGTTCCTCCATGACATGTGGGAACTGTGGGAGTTACAACTCAAGATAAGATTGGGTGGGGACACAGCCACACCATATTAATCAGGTTAGTTGTTAGTAATGTATATCAGATACTCTGGTCCTCTTATCTCGCTGGAAATATGAATGGTTGTACTTTCTTATTTATCTTATGGGTAAGTGTCCATGTGCCTAATATGGCTTATGAGTTGTAAAATGAAATGACCATGTATCACTTCTAGGCTGGAACAATTAATCCTAATGCACAACCCACAGGGTCCTCTGTTTTCTACCACATATCAGCAATATTCTGTGCAGAGGCTGCCCCACAGGATTTTGTTAGGGTGGAGGTGACAGTAAGCAGATCTGCACCTGATCCATGGGTACATAATTTAAGTACAATATAAACCTGCAAAAGCTATTCTAAATGAGAGTTATTAGCTACTGTAGCATAACTTGGCCTAATCCAACAGACTTGTAGGTCAACCAATGAAATAGTCACTGGAAAGAAAACAATATGTAATCCACTAATAAGACATTTATAACCTCCTTTCAGAGATGGAGATAAGAAACTAACATAAAAAATCTTTTCTTAATGTTAATTTATTTTCTTTATTTTTAAATTTTTATTATTTTATTTTAGAGACAGGGTTTTGATTTGTCATCCAGGCTGGAGTGCAGTGACATGATCGCAGCTCACATCAGCCTCCAACTCTTGGGCCCAAGCAATCCTCCTGCCTCATCCCCCTGAGTAGTACAAATGCATGCCACTGCACTTGGCCAATTTGCTTTTTTTTTTTTTTTTTTTTTTTTCATAGATAAGGGTCTCACCTTTTTGCCCAGGCTGGTTTCAAGCTCTTAGCTTCAGGTGATCTTCCCACCTTGGCCTCCCAAAGTGCTGGGATTAGAGGCATGAGCCACCACACCTGGCTAATTTCTTTTTTTATTAATATGCATCACACATTCATAAATTTTATCTTGTTCATATAAATGGTATATTAGTCTGTTCACATGCTGCTGATAAATATATACCTGAGACTGGGTAATTTATAAATGAAAGAGGTTTAATTGACTAACAACTTCATATGGCTGGGGAGATCTCACAATCATGGTGAAAAGCAAATGAGGAGCAAAGTCAAGTCTTACATGGTGACAGGAAAGAGAGCTTGTGCAGGAAAATTCTCAGTTATAAAATTATAAGGTCTCACAAAACTTATTCATCACCATGAGATAGATATGTGGAAAATTGCCCCCATATTTCAATTATCTCTACCTGGCCCCACCCTTGACACATGGGAATTATTACAATTCAAGGTGAGATTTTGGTGGGGACACAGAGCCAAACCATATCATTCTACCCCTGGACCCTCCCAAATCTCATGTCTCTTTCACATTTCAAAACACAATCATGTCTTCCCGACAGTCCCCCAAAGTCTTAACTCATTTCAGCATTAACTCAAAAGTCCACAGTCCAAAGTCTCATCTGAGACAAAACAAGTCCATTCTGCCTATGAACCTATAAAATCAAAAGCAAGTTAATTACTTCCTAGATACAATGTGGGGGTAGAGGCATTGGGTAAATACACCCATTCAAAATGGGAGACACTGGCAAAAACAAAGAGGCTACAGGCCCCACGCAAGTCTGAAATTCAGCAGGACAGTCAAATATTAAAGCTCTAAAATGATCTCCTTTGACCCCATGTCTCACATCCAAATCATGCTGATACAAATAATGGGTATCCAAGGTCCTGGGCAGCTCTACCACTGTGGCTTTGCAGGGTACAGCTCTCCTCCTGGCTGCTTTCATGGGTTGGTGTTGAGTGTCTGCAGCTTTTCCAGGTACACAGTGCAAGCTGTCAGTGGATCTATCATCCTGGGGTCTCAAGGGCAGTGGCCCTCTTCTCACAGTTCCACTAGGCACTTTTCCAGTGGGAGCTCTGTGTGGGGGCTCTCACTCCACATTTCCCTTCTGCACTGCCCTAGCAGAGGTTCTTCATGAGGGCTCTGCCCCTACAGCAGACCTCTGCCTGGACATCCAGGCATTTCCATACATCCTCTGAAATCCAGGTGTAGGTTCCCAAACCTCAAATCTTGACCTCTGTGCACCTGCAGGCTCAACATCACATGAAAGCTGCCAAGGCTTGAGGCTTGCACCCACTGAAGACATGGCCCAAGCTGTACCTTGGTCTCTTTTAGCCATGCATGGAGCTGAAGCAGCTGGGACACAGGGCACCATGTCTGAGGCTGCAAAGAGCAGAGGGGAGCCCTGGGCCTGGACCATAAGACCGTTTTTCCCTCCTAGGCCTCTGGACTTACAATGGGAGTGGCTGCTGCAGTCTCTGACATGCTATGGAGATATTTTCTCCATTGTCTTGGTCATTAACATTGAGCTCCTCATTACTTATGCAAGTTTCTGCAGCAGGCCTGACTTTCTCCCCAGAAAATGGGTTTTTCTTTTCTATTGCATCATCAGGCTGCAAATTTTCCAAACTTTTACACTCTGCTTCCTCTTGAACACTTTGCCACTTAGAAATTTCTTCCACCAGATACCCTAAATCTTCTCTCCAGTTCAAAGTTCCACAGATCTCTAGGGCAGGGGCGAAACGCCGCCAGTCTGTTTGCATAGCAAGAGTGACCTTTACTCCAGTTCTTAACAAATTCCTTATCTCCACCTGAGACCATCTTAGCATAGACTTTGTTGTACATTTTACTAACAGCTCTTTGCTCAAAGCCATTCAACAAGTCTTTAGGAAGTTTCAAATTTTCCCACATCTTCCTGTCTTCTGAGCCCTCCAAGTCCCTAGTAAGTTCCAAACTTTCCCAAATTATCCTGTCTTCTTCTGAGCCCTCTAAAGTGTTCCAACCTCTGCCTGTTACCGAGTTCCAAAGTTGCTTCCACATTTTTCAGTATCTTTACTGCAGCACCCCACTGCCCCTGGTACCAATTTATTGTATTAGTCTGTTCTCATGCTGCTGATAAAGACATACCTGAGACTGGGTAATTTATAAAGGAAAGAAGTTTAATGGCCTCACTGTTTCACATGGCTGGAGAGACCTCACAATTGTGGCAGAAGGCAAATGAGGAGGAAAGTAACACCTTACACGGCGGCAGGCAAGAGAGTTTATGCAGGGAAACTCCCATTTATAAAACCATCAGATTTTGTAGAGATTTATTCACTACCAAGAGAACAGTATGGGAAAACTGCTCCCATGATTCAATTATTTCCATCTGGCCCTACCCTTGACACTTGGGGATTATTACAGTTCAAGGTGAGATTTGGGTGGGGACACAGAGCCAAACCACATCAAAGGGTATAATATGTATACATTGTTTTACGTCTTTTTTCTTTCCTTAAAAGTTTTGCATTGACATGACGAATAATCCTAGAATCCCTCTCCTTGGTGCATAGCCTAGGAAAAAGGTTAGGAACCTAAGAAGGTGGGAAAGATGTGTCTTTATCCTGCCAAGGATACCTGGGTGCCACAAGTGGAAGGGGATCTTAATGTCACACTCTACTCAAAAGGCATCCATTTTTTTTAATGAGGATACAGTCTTTTTCATTTGCCATCATTCTACTTAGCTTTCATATTCTATATGTTGTCAGGATCTCAGAAAAAAATAAGAATTTAGTATACTGTACATATATTGCATATATGTATATTGTTAATGAAAGAATATAAGAAACACAATATATATTCAGATTGAATAGTATGGATAGAGAAAGTAGCACAGTTCTTGAGTCCAATTATTGTCTCTCCTACTCTAAATTGGTCCATATTTGACTCTTATTACCTAAATAGGAAGTTGATTTTTGAGTTATTGACGCACAAGTTAGAGAACTAGAGTTTGGAATCTAGTAAGCAATTCTTAGAAAAGATGACTTACTCCCACTATTGTTCACATTAAATAAATAATCTGAAATTTTTTCATGATTTTAAAAGTTTTAACCCTGTAGTGCTTTACTTTGAATGCAAAGCTCAGGTATTTTCTACCTTAGGAAAGCCTGATACATGTATACCCTGTACAGGTGATTATGGGGGTTGAATACACCTTACTCCTTGGGCATGCACAATAAAACCCTTTCCTTCATGTATATCTCTTATCCCACATACTAATGAGCCCTTTTTCCTTTCCCTCCTCTGCCTTTCTCAAGCTGTAGGCACAGCCGGAGTTGGAAGAATGGGTGCAAGTAGCGTGGACATTATTGAAAAGTGTGTTGCTGGCATCCAGAAATATATATCAGATTAAGTTTCCCCTAAAACAGTGGTATAAATAATAACTAGATTTTTTGTTAATTTGGAGATGACAGAGGCAAATTCAAGTGTTGAGGGCTAACATGAGACTTAATAATTATTCTATTTCTGAGAGAAGATGCATTTCTAGAGCAAAGTAACCAAGTCAAAAAATAAGGTTTCGGAACCCACAATGGTCTAAATTTAGAAGCCATGTTCCGATAGTCATGCCTTTTATTGGATTGATTACATCTAATTTTGAAAAGAATTCTAGGATATTTTGATTATTCAATTTATTTGGTTATTTGAGTATTCAAGTTAATGAAGAATGCTTAAGACATTATCTCCTCTATTCTTCCTTTTCTAATATCCATGTACATGCCAATTCTGTAAAGGGAGACAGGCATACTTTTTTTTTCTGATTCATCAAAAGAGACTCTTGCATAATTTGGCCTTTTCTATTATTTCTCTAAAATTATCAGAATCTGGGCAACTTCAAATCCTGTTTCTACTGCTTATTTGTGACTGCCAACTCACCTTTCATGTCTAAGCATCAGTTTCCCAACTCTTACATGGGCATAAAAACACTTGCCTTGAAAACCTCTCATACTTGTTTCAAGGATCAAATAGCACATAAAAATACTTTATAATTGAAATGTTAGTATATAATTCTTTGGTTGTATCACATCAAAAAATATTTACCTTTTACAAGACAGTATACTGTATAGATTGTTTATGATATGGCTAAGTGGATTATATTGTTACATATTATTTATATATTATACCACTTACATTAATGGTAACTTTGTATTTAGTCATCATTTTTTCCTAGAATGTTTCAGTTTATCACTTAAAAATTGTAAAATAATTTTCTAGATTCTGGACAAAAAATAAAAGTAATTTTTTTCCATCTTTTATTTTAGGTTTAGGGGGATACATGGGCAGGTTTGTTACATGGGTAAATTGTTTACCACAGGGGTTTGACATACAGATTATTTCATCACCCTCGTAAGGAGTATAGTACCTGACAGGTAATTTTTTATTTTTATTTTTTTGTTTTTGTTATACTTTAAGTTTTAGAGTACATGTGCACAATGTGCAGGTTTGTTACATATGTATACATGTGCCATGTTGGTGTGCTGCACCCATTAACTCGTCATTTAACATTAGGTATGTCTCCTAATGCTATCCCTCCCCCCTCCCCCAACCCCACAACAGGCCCCGGTGTGTGATGTTCCCCTTCCTGTGTCCATGTGTTCTCATTGTTCAATTCCCACCTATGAGTGAGAACATGCAGTGTTTGGTTTTTGTCCTTGCGATAGTTTGCTCAGAATGATGATTTCCAATTTCATCCATGTCCCTACAAAGGACATGAAGTCATCATTTTTTATGGCTGCATAGTATTCCATGGTGTATATGTGCCACATTTTCTTAATCCAGTCTATCATTGTTGGACATTTGGGTTGGTTCCAAGTCTTTGCTATTGTGAATAGTGCCGCAATAAACATACTTGTCCGTGTGTCTTTATAGCAGCATGATTTATAATCCTTTGGGTATATACCCAGTAATGGGATGGCTGGGTCAAATGGTAATTCTAGTTCTAGATCCCTGAGGAATCACCACACTGACTTCCACAATGGTTGAAGTAGTTTACAGTCCCACCAACAGTGTAAAAGTGTTCCTATTTCTCCACATCCTCTCCAGTACCTGTTGTTTCCTGACTTTTTAATGATTGCCATTCTAACTGGTGTGAGATGGTACCTCATTGTGGTTTTGATTTGCATTTCTCTGATGACCAGTGATGATGAGCATTTTTTCACGTGTCTTTTGGCTGCATAAATGTCTTCTTTTGAGAAGTGTCTGTTCATATCCTTTGCCCACTTTTTGATGGGGTTGTTTGTTTTTTTCTTGTAAATTTGTTTAAGTTCATTGTAGATTCTGGATATTAGCCCTTTGTCAGATGAGTAGATTGCAAAAATTTTCTCCCATTTTGTAGGTTGCCTGTTCACTCTGATGGTAGTTTCTTTTGCTGTGCAGAAGCTCTTTAGTATTTGTTGATATTTTTACTATTTTTTGTTTTCTTATTGGTTGCTCTAGACATTACAGTATGAATCTTAACTTACCTCCAATCTATTTCAGATTCACATTAAATTCTGTTGAAATGTAGAAACTCTACTCAAATATAGATCCATTATTGTCTACCTCCTTTGTGTACTTATTCTCGTTTATATTACACTCTATATATTATTAATTTGATTATATAATTTTATAATTTAATTTATAACATTGTATATGTTTTAAATAAGTTCATAGAAGAAATGGCCAAAAATACATTTATATATTTTTGTATTTACCCGCATATTTACCTATTTCAGTGCTCTCGATTTTCTAAAAGTCTGGCTTAAAGCTATTCTTTGATGTCATTTATTTCAGCTCGAAGGACACGCTTAAAGATTTCCTTTAAAGCTGGTCCGCAGCCAGGTGCATTGGCTCTGCTTGTACCCAGACTTTGGAAGGTTTAAGCAGGGGTGATGTTTAAGTCTAGGAGTTTGAGACCAGGCTGGGGAACTTAGTGAGACCACTTTTCTACAAAATATTTTAAAAATTAGCCAGATATGGGGGATTGCTCCTGTGGTCCCAGCTTCTCAGGAGGCTGAGGTGTAGGGTCGCTTGAGCCCAGGGGGTTAAGGCTGCACTGACCCATGGGTCATGATTATAAAAAAGACCATCTCAAAAAAAAGTTAATCTGCAAGCAACAATTTTTTTGTCTTTGTTTAACCATGGATGTTTTCATTTCATCTTTTTCTGAGTGATTTTTTTTTTTAACTGGAACTTAATTTTTCTTGGCATTCTGTTTTTTCTTTTTGTCACTTTGGATATTTTATTTTACTTTTTTTATTACTTCTAATGATAATCAGAAGAGTCAGCTATTTCCAGTATTTTTACTCCTCATGTAATGACTCATTTTATCCTTTCCACTACTATGTTGATTAAGCTCTGGCATAGTTTTTAAAATAATAAATTATTGATATATTTTTTTTTGAGACCGAGTCTCACTCTGTCGCCCCAGCTGGAGTGCGGTGGCGTGATCTTGGCTTGCTGCAAGCCCAGCCTCCCGGGTTCACACCATTCTCCTGCCTCAGCCTCCCAAGTAGCTGGGACTATAGGTGCCTGCCACCACACCCAGCTAATTTTTTGTATTTTTAGTAGAGACGGGGTTTCACCATTTTAGCCAGGATGGTCTTGATCTCCTGACCTTGAGATCCGCCTGCCTCGGCCTCCCAAAACGCTGGGATTACAGGCCCGAGCCACCGCGCCTGGCCAAATTATTGATTTTTAATATGTTGCATGCCTTTTATTTTCTCCAGAAAGCTTAAGTAATTGGACTTGACAATTTTATTATGTTTTATCCTTACTTTTTGAGGTGATACATTGCTGAGCTTCTCACTGCACTATGATGGAAGATTTGATTGATTAATCTTTTTATAATTATGGAATGAAACTCTTTATTCCTGGCAATATTATTTGCTCTAAAATTTACTTTGCCTGATATTAATATAGCTACCTGAGCTCACTTTATATTGATGTCACAGTATCTCTTCTTCCTTCCATTTGCTCTTAGCCTATTTATGTCTTTATATTTAAAGTTGGATTATTATAGGCATCTTATGGTTTGTTTTTACTTTGTTATCCAGTCTTACGTCTTTCCTTCAATTGTGATGTTTAGGACACTTACATTCATTGTGATTATTAATATGATTGGGCTTAAATATACCACTCTCCTATTTGTTATTTTCTATTTCTCTCATTTGTTTCTTTTTTTCATTTTCTGTATTTTCGGTCTTTTTTGAATTAACTAAGTATATTTTTATTCCATTTTTTCTTCCTGGTTGGCTTATTACCTATACTTTATTGTCATACTTTTTCTTTAGAGTTTATAGTAAACAGATTTAACTTATCACAGTCTATATAACAGGTGATAATAACTTCATATATGGTATAATAACTTGACAACAGCATATTTAATTGTCTCCTATTAAAGCATTTGTACCATTTTTTTTATTTTTTTGCCAATTATTATTTTAAAATATTTTGTTGGGAGAAAAGCTGAGTGTTGGGAGAGAAGCTGAGGCAGGGTTTGCATGTCTGATATAATGTAAAAGAGTCTTGGAATATGTCTGGGTCCAGGTTCTAAAACCCCTCGTGGCCTTTGGAACACCAAGCTCTGTGACGAAGGGTGGAAGGCTACCCTGACGCACCATATCTAAGCCCAGGGCATAAAACCCCTCGTGGCGTGGATAGAATCCAGGTCTCATGGCTCTGGAATGTGTCTAGACTTGCTGGCTCCTTGCTCCTTGCTCTCCGGGGATCGATGGCATCTTGAGTTAAAAGAACCTGCTCTCCATTATCACAAGTAGCAGAGCATTTGCTAAACCATCACAGCTGTAAATCATGTGCTTAATGCAACACTCCCTTTCGACCCCCACATTCTCACCACTTGTTTCTTTGTTTGATCATCAATAAATAGTCTGGGCTTCCAGAGCTTGGGGCCTTCGCAGCCTCCATACTTAGCGATGGCCCCCTGGACCCACTTTCTCTCTCAAACCGTCTTTTCTCATTCCTTTGACTCTGCTGGACTTTATCTCCCCCACGACCTGGTGTTGGGTCTGATCACCCCAACGTATTTTAAATAAAAAATATTACATTTAGCCAAGAGTTACCATTTTGATTTTGATTCTTTGTATTCCCAACTGGTGTGTGTGTGTGTGTGTGTGTGTGTGTGTGTGTGTGTGTATATATATCCTGAAGTAGTCTCCTTGTATTTCTTGTACTGCATTTCTGCCAGTGATATCTTCTTTTGGGTTTTTATGTCTAAAAAGAATTTCTGTAACTTTAATTTTTTAAAGGTATTTTTGCTAGGTAGAGAATTCTTAATTTACAGTATTTTCCTTTCAGTATTTTAAAGATGTTGTTCCTCTTTCTTCTGAAATTGTTTTCAACTTTATGTTGCTGACATTCTCACCTGTCTTCCTCTTTACACTCTTTTTTTTTTTTTTTTTTTTTTTTTTTTTTTTTTTGAGACGGAGTCTCGCTCTGTCGCCCAGGCTGGAGTGCAGTGGCGCGATCTCAGCTCACTGCAAGCTCCGCCTCCCGGGTTCACGCCATTCTCCTGCCTCAGCCTCCCGAGTAGCTGGGACTACAGGCGCCCGCTACCACGCCTGGCTAATTTTTTGTATTTTTAGTAGAGACGGGGTTTCACCGTGTTAGCCAGGATGGTCTCGATCTCCTGACCTCGTGATCCGCCCGCCTCGGCCTCCCAAAGTGCTGGGATTACAGGCGTGAGCCACCGCGCCCGGCCTACACTCTTTATACAATGTGATTTCCTGCAGTTCAACTACTTTTAAAACATCGTTATCTGGTTTTAAATGAGTTGATTATTAAATGTCTTGATGTAATTTCCTTAATGTTTTCTGTGATCGAAGTTCACTGAGCATCTTGGTTCTGTGGGGTTACAGTTTCCATCAAATTTGGCAATTATTTACCATTGTGTTTGCAAATACTCATTTCTGCCCCACCTTTTAGGGAGTCCAATAATATGTATGTTAGACCACTTGAAATTTTCCCCCAGGTCACCAGTTCACTGTTTACTTAAAAAAAATTATTCTCTGTGTTTTATTTTGGATAATTTCAATTACTAAATCTGCATAATTACTAACATATTATTCTGTGGTATCTGTCATTTATTCAATCCAGTGTGTTTTTACTCAGGTATTATAGTTTTCATATTTAGAAATTCAATTTGTGTATTCTATCTTTCATATTTCTGCTTAAAGTGTATGTTTTTATCTATATTATTATGACTATAGAATATACTTGCAATACTTGTCCTTTTATGCCCTTGTCAACTAATTATCTCATCTGTTTTATTTCTGAGTCTGTTTCATTTTATTTTTCTCCCTTTTATTGATTGCATTTCCTGATTCTTTACAGAACTGACAATATTTAATTAGATGTCAGAGATTGTGAATTTTACATTTTTGAGATTGTATTTAAAATTTTTATTTTCATAAGATCACTGCTTTAACCCCTGAACGATGTAGATTCAGTATCTCCAAGATACCTGAACTCCCATGTTAATTGTAGCATTATTAATAATAGCCAAGATATGGAATCAACCAAAATGTCCATTGACAGATGAATAAAGAAAATGTGGGGTGTGTGTGTGTGTGTGTGTGTGTGTGTGTGTGTGTGTGTATAATGGAATATTATTCAGGCATGAAAACAAGGAAATCCTATCATTTGTGACTACATGGATGAACCAGGGGTATATTATGCTAGGTGAAATAAGCCTGACACAAGTAAACAAATATTGTGTGGTCTTACTTACAAGGATCATCTAAAAAATTCAAACTCATAAAAACAGAAAATAGAATGGTTGTTGCCAAGGTCATGGAGATGAATAAAATGGGGACATGTTGGTCAAAGGGTATAAACTTTCAGTTATAAGGTATGCAAGTTCTGGGGTTCTAATGTAAAGCATTTGTTGTGATTGATGTGTTGATTAATTTGACTGAAATAATCATTCCACAAGGTATATGTATATCAAGCCACCACATTGTACACCTTGAATATACACAATCTTTTCTGTAATTAAATATATTTAAAATAAATAAGTAAAAAGGCAGGTACAAAGATTTTATTTTTATAAATTTCTTCCAGCTTTTTTGTAATGGGGCTAAATTACTTGTAATCTATTTGACCCTTTACTTATTTAGCCTGGGACTAATTATTCACAATAACTAGGAAAAAACCCTCTGAGGACCCTACTCAAGAATCTTCAATTATGAAGTTTTCTACTCTTCTTGGAACAGAACTGCCCTGTGTGACTTTCAGAGATTGTTTCTCCTCATTCTTTCAGGTAGTTATTTCAGCTACCTTGGATAGTTTCTTCAAACAAATGTACTAACCAGTACTCAGCTGAATCCTCAAGGTGGATTGTTTTCTGTCTCCAGAGTTCTCAGTCTGGACAATTCCCTTTTCTCCTGTGCTCAGCTCTGTAAACTCTGGTCCCCTTTACCTCCCTGGAACCAAAGACCCATTTTCTCCATGAAGAGACGCTGCCTGACTCCAGCTGGATCCTCCATTCCGCATCAATGCCTAGAAACTTTCAGACAAGCCAGAGCAATTATAGATCTCATGATTTTTGTTTCTCATATTAGTGATTTCTGTCCTTTATTGCCCAGTGTTCAATATCTTTAGAACCATTTTCTTCTTACATTTTATCTAGCGTTTTAGTGTTTTAGGCATGAGGGTCTATCTGCTTTTAGTCCATCTTAGTCAGAAGTGGGAATTTGGCAAGTGGAATGTCCTACTCATGTTTATGACCTTTGAAAATGACCTTTATCCAGTTATTTTTCTCATTAAATCATCTCTAATAAAGATGTTATTACTCAATGCTCTTAATCTTGATGAAACAAGGCTCTACATTTGTGTATGTGTGTGTGTGTGTGTGTGTGTGTGTGTCTGCTATGTACAAAACACCAGGCTAGACCCTAGAGATACAACAGCGAATAAAGCTCACATGCTATCTTGGGAACTGAGAGTCTGAGACAAAACTTAAACACATATAAACTTGAGTAAATCAATGTGCAATAGCAGACAAGAGGCTCCCTTGATTTAGATCCCAGAGAGTTCCCTTGATTTGAATCCCAGAAAGAGTACTTATTCACTGTGTGATTTTCAGCAAATTGCTTAACCTCTTGAAATATAAATTTTCCTCAGATTAAGAAATGGAGATTATAGTAGTACATAAGAGTATGTGATATCTCATAGTGTTTTGTGAGGATCTAATGAGATAATTTCTAAAAGTAACAAGCCATTGTGTTCAGCACAACAAAAATGATCAATGAATATTGGAAAATTACTATAAAATAAAATTTAAGAGACATATGAAAACTATAATTAAATACCTATATTCTGATAGTGTAAAAACAAGAATCAAAACTACAAGTGTGAGAACAACAAATGAAGAAAAAATTCTAGAAGATAAAATTGAGAAAAACTCTTAGTTCTCTCCTCACTAAAAAATGTTCCTTTTCAGAATTCTTTTTGGCTCACACTTTTTTTTAATTTAGCAAGAGTAAGTATTAATTTCCAGAGCTTAACTATCCTAATTGCTTATGACAAAATGGATATATGAAATGATACATGAAATCACACACACAGTTTAAAATAAGGTCTAATTAAAGGAAAAGAAAATACTTAATCTCACAGCTCAGAATGATTTGTAGAATGATACTGCTTGATTTTGGGAGAGAAATCATTACATCTAAAATTTCATTAGAAAATAAATTTCTTTTCAGAAACTTATGTTAGAGGTCACCATTAAGACATCCAACTGGCATGTGAATTTTTTCCCAATTATTTCATGAATATAAGTCAATTCCTCAAAGGATAAACCCCCATTGTAAGCTTAGGGGCTATATCCTAAAACTATTTTATGTCTCTTATACTAAATAAAACGCCAGATCTATTAAAATAGAAACTTTCCTTTAGTATTTTCCCTTTTGTTGTCAAAACCTGCCCTTACTCAGCTTTATTTTCAAATATCCATATTTGCCTTAGAAAGTAGCATCTTCAACAACTTTCCTTTATTCTATCTAGACATGACTTCTTCCTCTTCAGGATGCAGTCGCAGCAACACATTCTCTGTTCTTCTCTCACGGCGTTTGCACATCACCCTGTATTTGTGTGCATGTCTCTTCTAGTAGTGTGCACACTTAGTCTTCTTTAAGCAGAATAGTAATAATAGTGCTGTTTCATGGTTTCCAATTTACAAAGCTTCCTCAAACATTATTTTTATTTGATTCTTATAATAAACGTACAAAGTGGCAATTTTATCATGAAATTGAAAATTGTATTCAACATTCTTTGTAATTCAAAAAGTCTGCCTTCAAACCCAAATACCTCATTATCTAGAAAAGTATATACTTAGAAAAGTTATCCTTAGCAAACTAACACAGGAACAGAAAACCAAATACCACGTGTTCTCACTTATAACTGGGAGCTAAATAATGAGAACACATACACATATAGAGAGGGACAACACACACTGGGACGTTTTGGAGGGTGGAGGGCAGGAGAAGGGAGAGGATCAGAAAAAATAACTAATGGATTCTAGGCTTAATACCTGAGGTATGCAATAATCTGTACAACAAACTCTCATGACACAAGTTTTCTTATGCAGCAAACCTGCACTTGTACCCCTGAACTTCAAATAAAAGCTAAATAAATTAAAAATTAAAGCTATAAAAAATTCAGAATTTGGGCTGGGCCCAATGGCTCATGCCTCTAATCCCTGCACTTTGGGAGCCCGAGGCAGGTGAATCATCTGAGGTCAGGAGTTCAAGACCAGCCTGGCCAAAATGGTGAAACCCCGTCTCTACTAAAAATACAAAAATTAACCGGGTATGGTGTGGTTGCAGGTACCTTTAATCCCTGTAATCCCAGCTACTCGGGAGGCTGAGGCAGGAGAATCGCTTGAACCCAGGATGGGGAGGTTGCAGTGAGCCGAGATTGCGCCGTTGCACTCCTTCCTGGGCGACAAGAGCAAAACTCCATCTAAAAAAAAAAAAAAGCGAAACAAACACACAAACAAACAAAAAAAAAAACAAACTAAGAAAAAAACACATAATTTTTAAAAAGTTACCTAGCCTTTCTAAATTTTAGTTGTTTCCTTAATTTGCTTCTAGAGAACATTAGAATTAGATAATATAACATAGTTTGCTTAATGCTTGGTCTACAGTTTGCTCAGTAAATTGTAGTTACTATTTTCAATGGCAACAGTAATAGATAAGTACACCAAGCTTGAGTTGTCAATACATTTTTATGCAGTAGTCAGGCTTTGCTTCTTCTCCCCATCTCATATTTTGATAGAAGAAGGAAGGGAGGGGTAGAGAGAGACAAAGAAAACATAGAATAACATCTCAATCCTATTCAAATTTGCTAGTTATCTTTCAATGTATAGCTCTGAATGTTTCTACAGTATCATTTACATGTATTTTGCCACTTAGCTAAGAGATTAAATAAATATCACTTAGAATAATCTAAATTATTAAACTTGCTGCCCTTCTTTGATGAGGACAAAATTTTTAAACTAATGTCAGAAATGCTTACACTTTGAATTATTGTGATCCTCTTTGCCACAAAAAAAATGTCAGTTTCTTAACCTTAACTAGCCTATGTTTTGGATAATAAGATTTGGCAGAAGCCAGCATACCTTTTTATAGGGGTCAAATATGTGACACTGAATTTTTGGTATCTGATGTGTCTGTGATCACTGTTTCGGGAATAATTGTATTGTCTAGAAACAGCTTGTGCTATTAACTTCAGCTTCTGGACAGGATGGATGTTGAAGCAGAAGCCTGAGCTCGGGTCAAAAGATTTTAGTCTGAGTCTCTGCTTGCATTTTCCTCATCTGAAAACGTTAACACCTAAGAAGGTTGTAAAGAAGTGTCATGTAAGTGAAAGAAGCTGTCTTCCAAAAGATTTTATATTTTGAACATTTTTAAGGATCTTTCCAACTTTTAGTTACTGAATTCATAAGCTTTTTTTTCTAAAAAAAAAAAAAAAAAAAAAGGTGAAAAGGAACATTTCCCCTCATAGGCAGCGTCACAGGAATATAACTGGCCATACTTCCGGAGGTGATATGCCTACACAGTGACAAGGCTTTCCGAGAACAGGTCAGCCTCCCTCATGCCTCTCTTTCAAAAGTTTTGATCTGGGATTCAACTTTAAGAGTTACAATAGGCAATATACTTTGTAAATTCCAGCTAAGTAAATTATAATTACAGTCCAGATTTCAATTAGGAAATTTCAGCACTGCTAAGCTGAGGAATGAAGCTTAAAGATACAATTAATATGAGCTTATACTAAAGGCTTTAATGGAATTAATAAACTCTATAACAATAGATTATTACCCAATCTTGAACACAGGCAAAAGGCTCTTGCTGTCAATAACTAGCAAAGCATCCAACCTTCTATTTGCTGCTTTTGAATACTGGTATTTTATCAAATAAAACCCTGTAACTTGTATACTTATGATAGACTTGAATAATTTTAATGGAAAAATAAAGAAAGCAAGCACATGGAATTCCGCAGAAGAAAGTTTCCATTTAACTCTCAAATATAAAAAATGCAAGTATTGATTCTGAAGTATATACTATAAAAGAAAAGATACTGGAAAAGGCAAGACGGGATAATTATGGAGATAGGATGCCTTTTTTTAGGAAGACTAGAAGACATAGGACCAGAGATTTTAAGAGAACAAGAAATAAGGATGAGATTTTGGTTAGAAAGGCAAGCATGGTACATTGGTGACTCTGCCTACCTGGGCCATTTCTTATCAACATAGGGATAAATTGATGGATACACTGAAGGGCTATCAGTGGTTTCACTCAGTGACCTATTTTTTTGATAGAATTTCTCCAATCAATTCATTGATATAAATTCACTTAAGGATCTGTTTTTTGTTGTTGTTTTGGGACAGAGTCTCACTCTGCTGCCCAGGCTGGAGTGCAATGGCACGATCTCCGCTCACTGCAATCTCCACCTTCCAGGTTCAAGTGATTCTCCTGCCTCAGCCTCCCGAGTAGCTGGAATTTCAGGCATGTGCCACCATGCCTGGCTTTTTTTTTTTTTTTTTTGTATTTTTAGTAGAGACGGGGTTTCACCATGTTGGCCAGGTTGGTCTCAAACTCTTGACCTCAGGTGATCCACCCGCCTTGGCCTTCCAAAGGGCTGGAATTACAGTCGTGAGCCACCGTGCCTGGCCTCCAACTTCTGTCTATACAAAAAAACCAGGATTTTCAATATATCTAATATTAATATAATTGTATATTTCTTTACCCTAAGACTGCCTTTCTCTGTGAAGGTCAAATAACAAATGTAGCAGGCATATTATTCATTCAGACAATAATTTTTAAATTAAAGATAACTGCTTTCAATTCCACCCTTCTGACTTCATTTAACCTTTATCACCACCTCACAGGCCCAAATAAAAATACTCCAAATATTTGTATTTTACAGATACACTGAGCATTAGGGGTTCAACATATGAATGTGGGGGTGGGGCACAATTAAGTCCTTAACAGGAACTGAAGTTTCTACCAATTCCCATCAATCAGCAGTTGAGAGTTGCTCATGGAAATTAGTTTCCTGGCACTTCTGGGGTGTTACATGGATAGACAAAAAGGCTTTAGCAATCGGAGCAAGCCCTTTTATTAAAAAACAAACAAACAAAAAACAAGGAAGTTCTGGCAATTAGAGGTGGTGCAAGTATACATTGAAGTGGTAAATATGGAAGAATATGAGTGGGATGTCAAAAGCAACTGCTTTACTTCTTAATAAAATTTCCTGAATAGCCTTCAATAATTTACCCATGTAAGTCAACTTAGCCATGTAGCTGGGAACTCAAAAAATCTGATTTTTCATCAAATCACCAATAAAAATATGTAACAAGGATCAGTTTTATTGAATTAGCTTATTTTATGATTTTATTTTTGTTAATCATTTATGCTTTCTTCCTTTTGTGTCAAAATGAGATTACCACAGTCCCTGGAATCCGGAATCAGTTTTAAGTTTAGACTTCTTCATGAGAAAATTAGAGATTGTTTTCATTTATTCATATTTTCAAAGTGCATCTGAAATTTTATTGCTTTCCCTGTTGAAGTTATCAATACTTTAAAAAATCAAAACTACTGTTTTGAATCCTGAACCTCAGCACCTTGGTCCTGGGTAATATGATTCTTTGTAGTCATTGTTTGAAAATTTTCCCTTTTAAAAATTCACAAGAAGATATGTTAAGTTAGCAACATAAATTTATTTTTCACCTTCCTGAGACTTGTTTCTCTCTCTCTCTCTCTCTCTCTCTCTCTCTCTCACACACACACACACACATCCTATTATATATGTTTCCAACATAAATGTGCAAGGAAAGATCCATCAGCAGTTTGAGATATTTCAACAAATTTCTAAAAGATAAAAAGCAGATGGAGGAGTGGTTTCAGATATTGAAGGAAACTGGAAAGGAATGGTAGCTTGCATGGAGGAGTTTGCCTCACACACGGAAGGCAAACCAGCATTACCATTAATTTGAACTTAATATTCCGTGGAACTTCTGTGTTACAATTTCAGAAATGATATAAACAAAATGAGGTATCATATCATTCTGTATTGTGTCCCTGGGCGCATCATGGAATATTTTTCCTTTACATATCTGCATCTGATATATCATCTGCCTGGAATATCTATTTCTCCTATGCTTCTCATTATTCAAGACTCTGAGGCCCAGTTCAGATGCCATTATGCTAACAATGCCTTCCTTAATCACTAAGAAATTTCTTTTGCGTATTTTTGCAATTTGGAACAGAGCAAAGAAAACACAACTTGGCCACTGAGACCCATGCCCAAGGACACTTCCAATTACATAGGTTTTTGGGGGTAATTATGAGGTGGGCAACCATGTATTGACCCTTTATGAGTGGTGAGAAACCTTTCATTTGTTGAGTCTGTAAATAAATATCTCAGAGCAACTACTTCTGTCAGGAGTAACAATATTTTGCTTTCCATGCTTCTAGAAAGAAAACAAAATATGTTTCACTATGGAAACAGTCAAACCCTATTACCAAGGTCACATTGTAGACCCATAAAAATAGTAAACCTTTAAGGTTTAGAAATTTAACTATGATCTAATGGAGGATGATGTGCAATGCATTGAGACTAAAGGCCACGGGTCTCAGGAGGAAAATGAGTTTCACCTGCATTGTGACCTTGGGCATAGGCTTTACCTTTCCGGATCAATTTTTTTCCTCCCTAGGGAATATATTCTTAAAGATCTTTGAACTTAAATACATGTTTATAGCATGAAGAAGGTTAAGTATTAATATAAAAATAGCTGTTGGGGTTTTCCGGAAGTATGTCTTCTTCATAACCATATCCAGTTCACGGGAAGATGCACTTACTTCATCTATGAATTATACAATGACTTGTATTGCATTGGCTATATCTCTGTATCTCTTCCAATATTTGCTTGGAAACATTATGTTCTATGTGTTAGGTGCTCAATTAATTCTTTCTCTAAAAGAAACTATTCCTCTTCTGTTTCTTGAGGCCTACCTTCTAAACCTGGCTCTAATTCCTACAATCATCCATTAAAACAGGAATGCTAGTAAAGATAATTTGAAGTTACTATAAAGAATTTTTAATCGTCTAATTCAGAGAGATGGTCTTTTCAAAAGGAGTAGGGTCACTTTAATTCAGCTTTCTCTTTCCTTTTGAGTTTTTTAACTCTTTGATCTTCCTTTTTAATATTAAAAAATGACAACAGTGTTCTGGATTTTTTCATATACGTTTAGGGAAATTAGTGGCTTTATTTTTATGGTTAAGAAACAAAAAGACTACATGTACACAGATTCCTTGGTCTAGTTCAGTTTTGCAAATGTCTTAGTTTTAGCCCTGTGAACACAAGAATATGTGAAATCTTAATGTTAGACTTCACATTACTATAGATAGACAGATAAGATAGAGATAGGAAGGAGGAAAAAGGGAAATAAGAAGGAGGGAGGAAGAGATAATAAAAGGAAGGAAGATATTAATAACCATTGTCCAATCATCATCTGACCATTTGCATGATTTCTTATTTAAGGTTCTGTACCTAATTGTCCCATGTCTCAGCTTTGTCTTAATGTATTCAAGCAATTATTAAATTATTTTCCATTGTTTTCTTCCTATCTTGCTATTTCATCAAAGAACTGTTATATAGCCCCTATTTTCTCTTGTTTATGTATCGGAGCACTCATCTTTGCTATTCTACTTTCGAATAGATCCATACCCTTTTTCTAATATTCTAATTTCTCTTTTTCATAATTTTAAAATCTCTCTGCCTGCGTATTTTATTTTTGAGGTACTCTTGAAATAATTATTTTAACGCAAGATGCTATATAAAGGAAAATCTCATGATAGCTATATATCTACAACTACATTTTAAATTCACACCTACTTATATAGCTCTATATAATTATGAGTGTACAAAGTGCAGATAGATTATCATGTAGCATCTGATGGCTGCCCTTATGCTGCAAAGTGTGTTTTCAGAAATAATTTCCTGCCACATTCCTGACTGTATTTGCAGCCTGAGTTGATCCTCTCTCCTGCTGTTCTCTGATCTGCCCCTGGGTTACTAACAGCCCCAACAGACAGACTGGCTCGTGCTACCTGCTGCTCAGACACAGATTAATTCACTACCAGCCATATGGGCTAGGGACTTCATAAATTCCTCTCCTTTTGCTTTTGGCACTTAGGAAAGTGAATGGACAGTTTTCTGGTGGAGAGAAAAACAACCTGGTGGCGTCCAGGCTGGGCAGTAATCACCTGCACCCGACACAACTGGCACCTCCATCTGCCTTTCAGTAGCTATTTGTGTGAAGGGAATGAATTACTGCATTCAGTGCTACTCCGGTGTTGTTAGCCACTGCCATTCGCCTCAATTAGAAAGTCAAATGATTAAATTCCTAACTCATATTTCTATTTACAATAATTACTGAATATATCCATTGTTAAGGTTTCAAAATATTTCTAGAATTAAAAGAAATGTGAATTATTTTGACATATTTTTTGAAATGTATTTAAACACCTATATTTATTTTTAAATATAGAAAGTAAATGCTGTCAAAAAAAAATGTAAAATGAAGACCACAGACTGTAAGTTTTCTAGTGTGGGTTCATTGTGACTTTGGGCAAGTTCTTTGTTGTGCCTTAATTCCCTCTAAAATACCTGTTGAGAAAGTACATTGTAAATTGCACTAAAGAGTAACCTAAAACATCATTGTTAATTGTAAAATACCATTGTTAGATATTGCTCTTTGAAACTCAAAAGCAGAGGATATCAAGGATTCTTCATTCCAAATAAAATACTAACAATCATTTTTCATTAGTAAATTATCAGTATATCATCATGTTAACAAGTCCCAATGTTTAGAAATATATCAATATTCATCTTGATTTCTGTCCCTAAAAATATTCTGTCATTGATTTTTATAGATAGAATAATTGAAACTGGTTTTGGAATGAATAAGCAATCAAAAAATGTTTAATTTTGTTAGTTTTTTTTCTCAGCAAGAGGCATAACTTTTTCAACCTGTTGACAAAATAATACTCCTGTACAAACTAAGACAATACTTAATCATTTTGGTGGTTTATATGAAGGAGATAATTTAGAAATGGAATAAGTAATTTAATTATTTCTAATAGTTATCTTGCCTTCATTAAATCTCTCATTTCCTTTACATTTAGACTCCCCTGAATTTTAAAAATGAATAAAAATTCTGGACTATTATAAAAATATCTTATCAGCTTGAATACTTTGCACATGGAAATATGATCTGTTAAAGTCTTTATTTTTCTCAGGTTTTTTCTTAAATTGGAATTTGCTGGTTATTAAGGCTTTGTGTAAGTAATATTAATGTTAGTTTGCCATTCATTTTTGTTGGTAAAAACAATATTATAATAGCATTATATTTGTTATATTATATATGGTTTTGCCTATACTATATGTTGCATGATGTTTATTTGTTTGCCTACATGTTTGTATGTGTGTGTGCCTTTAAAAGTAGGTTTTTGCCCAAGTACATAGTATTTTAAAAAAATAGGAATGGATTTCAAATAAATCATGCATTCTGCCTAATGAAAATGTATTATACTATTCTGCTATTAGTGAAATGTAAAATGTATTATATTATTCTGCTATTTTAGTATTAGTCTTTATTTTTAATTTTTTTAAAGACAGGAAGTGAATCTTAATTGGCTTTTTATACCACTGTCTACTATAATCTGGTATTAATTAAAATATAAATATTTAATTATTGAATGACTGAATGGGAGCAACTAAGAATAGAGGAGACTTTTGTGTCCTCCTATTATAACATGAGGAGTTATTACACTTGCCCGTTATTCAGAACAAATGAATAAATTAGTGAGAGGAAAAACAAAATGCTAAAACTTATGAAGGACAGAGCATGGCTAGTATTACGGACAGTGATCCCAGTGAAAATTTACTCAGCTCAGTATTTATTGTAATTTATATATGATCATTGTATTAAATTGGTAACAGGAGACTCTGGGTTAAAATTTGAAGTTGACTATATATTATTTTTAATCAATCTTGGTTTTCAAAAATAATCCACAACTTCTGGTCTGGAGCAGATTGCATGCACCTACTCTTCCCCAATAAGTACAGCTATAAACCCTGGCAATAATGCAAGAGACAACAAAAAACAGTGCTGAAAGGGGATAAAAGAAAGCCCAAATGATTTGGGACCCAAGGACTGGCAGAAAAACTTAATGGCAAGAAAGCTTATGATCCCCACACTCAGCAGAAGTCATCGACCTTAGAGTTTCCCAGCCCTAGTGAAGCGACAGAAGGGAAGCCAGGTTGGCTCATTCCCCCTACCCCTGACTGAACAAGAGTTCACTAACAGTACCAGGAGAGCACGGCACCACAAGCAAGGTAAATCAGCTGGGAGTCCCAACTGCAATCAGCAGCCAGAGAAAGCAGATTCTTCTTCCATGTAAGCCTGAGACTCCTTTTCCACCAAGAGACACGGGACAGCTGGGCAGCAACAGCAAAAGGGGTGCTGTCACAATAAGCAGCACAACAGGGAAGATTATTATATCCCTGTGGGCATAAGACCACCTCTCCCAATGAGAATTATTACGTGGTCAGCTGGGCAGCAGCAACTGCTGCTAGGTTAAGGAGTTAAACCTAGGAAGACATTTTGGTCCTAAGGTTCTGAAAGTAGATGGGTAGGTGGAAATCTCACCATAACAGTGTTCTCCGTCCCCCACAAAAAGAAAACCCCACCAAAATGAAACTCCTGTCCAAGGAAGTCAACTGATCCCAGAGAGCTAGAGACTTCTTTCCTTGATTGAGAAACACCTTATAGCACCAGTTGTGGAAACTTCTTCTGCCTTCTTCAGGCAAGAACTGCAGGGACCCATGGGGGCCCCAGCAGTACCGTGTAAATCGAGCAGACCAAAATAACACTGCAAAGATCTGAAAGTTAAACTGTCAGAGAAATAGCAACCCACAAAAGTATGCCAGGATCTAGCTAAACCTAAACAGAGGGGCTGTCTTCTAGAATAAGAGATTTTAGAAGACCCGAAGTCTCCTAATATAAAATACAAAATATCAAGTATACAATTGAAAATCATCCAGTTAGCCCAAGAACCAAGAATATTACATCTTGATGAGAAAAAGACAATCACTGGCACCAGCACCAAAATCAATTAGATGTTGAAATTTTAGGGCAAGAAGTTTTAATCAGTGATGGTAACAATGCTTAAACAATGAATTACATATTATCTTGAAGCAAAAAATATAAAATTTCAGCAAATAAATAGAAGTTATTTTAAAAAATGGAAAACACAGACCTAAAAGAATACAGTAATAGCATTATAAAACTCACTCGATGGACTCATTACCATAGAGAGCCAATGGCTAGTTTATCCGCTGATAAAATAACTAAACTTGATAGATCAATAGAGGATAAAATAACTAAACTTGATTGATCAATAGAATTTATCCAATTTGGACAAAAGAGAGAAAATAGAATGAAAAATAAATATAACGGCCTCAAAAACTTGTGACAATATTAAAAGATACAGCTTTGTAACATTAAAGTTTCTGAAGAAGAGGAAAAATAGAGTGGGCCTAAAAGCCTATTCAAAGAAATAACAGCTGACAACTTCCCAAATTTGGCAAAAACACACAAACCTACAGATTCATGAAGATGAATAAAATTCTAAACAAGATAAATCCAAAGAAATTCATGCTAACACTAATCATAATTAATCTTCTGAAAACTAAAGACAAAGAAAAAAATGTTGAAAGCAGCCTGATATGAGGTTTCCACACTTCACCTAAAGTGGTTAAATGTTGATGTCTGTAGGCTGTGATAAATTACATACGTATATCATAGTTCCTAGTGCAACCAAAACAAAAATTGTAGAAAGAGATATACTCAAATACATTATCACAAATCAGTGCATGTATGGAGCCATACAATGTGTTCATGTAACCCGCAGGAAGGCAAAAACGAGAAACAAAGCCAGAGCAAGTAAGCAAAGAAAAATAATAAATTGACAGACTTAAGCTCTAACATATTAATAATTACCCTAAATGTAGAGTCTAAATAGATTAATCAAAAGACAGGTTGGCAGCTAAAGTGAGCAAAACAAACAAAAAATCCAATTATACTCTATTTACAAGAAACTCACTTTAAAATCAACAACATATGTAGATTGGAAGTAAAAGTTTGAAAAAGATACACCATACAAACATTATTTTTTTTTTTAAAAAAAAGCAGAGTAGCTGAATTAACATCAGACAAAGTAGATTTCAGAGAAAAGAAAACATTACTAGAGATACTACTAGGGACATCACATATTTGCAAAGTGACCAATTCACTGGGAAGACGTAACAATTCTACATGTGTATGTACCAAACTAGAGAACATCAAAATATATGAAGCACAAGCTGACAGAACAGAGACAGGCAATTCCACCATTCGAGTGGGGATTTCAGCACAGCCCTCTATCAATAAAAATAACAGAGAAAAGAGAAAAATCAATGAAATTGAAACTATAAAAATAGAAAAAAAAAATCAATGAAACAAATCCCTAGTTCTTCAAAACGAGTCAACGAAGTTGGTAAATCTCTAGTAACACTGACGGAAGTAAAAAGAGAAAGGACACAAATCACTAATATCAAGAATAAAATAGGGACTATCACCCTGTAGTCATTGAAACAATTATAAGGCATTACTTTGAGCAACTTTATGCTGATAAACTCAACAACTTACAACAAATGGACCAATTTTTTGAAAATCACAAACTACCAAATCTCACTAAAAATGAAACAGATAATTTGAACACCTTCTACAAAATAAATGTGTGATTAAAAAGCACCCAAAAAAGAAATTCCCAATTCGATAGTTTTACTGAAGAATTCTGGCAAACATTTTGAAATCCAATACCAATTTTATGTATTTTCTCCCAATATTTCTCTGTCACCAAAAGAAGACAAACAGTTAAAAGAAAATAAAAAAGACTGGTGTCTCTCATGAACTCAGACACACAAGTCCCCAATAAAATATTGGCAAACTGAACTTAGCAACGCATGGGAAGAACTATGTAACTCTGCAAAGCAGTATGTAAGACTGGTTCAATATTATAAAATCAATTGATGTAATTTCTCACATCAACAGGCTAAACACTAAAATCCTATGAACATACCAGTTAATACAAAAGAAACATTTGTCAAAAATCCAAACCCTATTCAGTATAGAAACCCTCAGGGATCTACAGATAATTTCATACTTTATGGTGAAAAACGGAAGGCATTTTTTCCTCTTAAGATCAAGAACATGGTAAGGATGTCTATTCTTTTCATTCTTATTTAACATAATACTGAAGTTCTAGCCACTGCAATAAAGCAACAGAGGAAAAGGGAAATAAAGAGAGAAAGAAAGAAAGAAGGAATGAAGGAAAGGGAGGAGTGGGGAGGAACAGGGAGAGGAGGAAATGAAGGGAGAAAGAGAGATAGGAAGGGAGGAAAGGAAGGAAGAAAAAGAGACAGGCATGCAGATGAGACAGAACAAAACAAAACTTTTTGTATTTGCACATGACATAATTGTGTATGTACAAAATGTCAAAAAAATTAGGGGAAGGGGAATTTCTATAATCAATAAGTGAATTTAATGAGGTAGGGTAGCATTATACAAAATCAACACAAAAATATCAGTGTACTTTCTGTACACTAAAAATAAACATACATTAGCTGGGCATGGTGGCATTGGCATGTGCCTATAGTCCCAGCTACTTGGGTGGCTGAGGTTGGAGGATCGCTTTAGCCAGTAGTTCGAGGTTATAGCGAGCTATGGTTGTGTCACTGCACCCTACCCTGGGTGACAGAGGTAAAGCTTTGCCTACAAAAACTAAAATAAAATGAAATAAAAGAAAATAAAAATGAGCACATAGAAACAAATAATACAATGCCATTTAAAATCATTCCCTCAAAAATAAAATTCTTATGTATGCACTTAATAAAACATATACAGCATCTGTATGCTGTAAAACAATGACATCGATTATCCTTACATTCATCTTCAGGTTTCATGCAGTTCCTATAAAAATCAGAGCAAGATGTATTGTAGATATAAACAAATTAATCCTAATATTTATATGAAAAGGCACAGGACCTAGAATAGCTTAACCAATCTTGACAACAAAGAATAAAGTGATGATATCACTCTACTCAATATTAAAGCTTGCTTAAACTACAAATCATGACTGTGTGGTATTTTTAGAGAAATAGACACATTGATCAACGGACTAGAACACAGAACCCAGAAACAGACACATAAAAATATGCTCAACTTAATTTTGAGACGTTCCAAAGGTAGCTCAATGCAACACAGATAGCCTTTCAACAAACCGTGCTGGAGAAATTGGACACATAAGGAAATTAAAAAAAGAACTACAACCTAAGCCTCACACTTTATACAGAAAATAACACCAAGTGGATCATGCACTTAACATAAAAGGTAAAACTATACAACTTTTAGAAAAGATTCGAAATAAGTCTTCAGCATAGGTAGAGTTCTTAGACTTGATACCAAAATCATGATCCATAGAACGAAAATCTGATAAATTGCACTTCATCAAAATTAAAAACATTTGCTTTATGAAAGTCCCTATTTAGAGGATGGAAAGGAAGCTACAGGCTGAGAAAAAATATTTCAAGCCACATATCTGACTTATCTGACAAAGGACCAATATTTAAAATATATAAAGAACTGGATATCAGATGAAATATGCACAAATAAGCACATGAAATGCATTCAACATCATTAGTCATTAGGTAAATACAAATTAAAGCCAAATGATATTAATATATTACCACACACTTATCAGAGGGCTAAGAGGATGAACTGAAGCAGGTGGGGTGTCACCTCACTTGGGAAGTGCAAGGGGTTGGGGATCTCCCTCCCCTAGCCAAGAGAATACTTGAGGAACTGTGCAGTGAGGCACAGAACACTCTGGCCCAGATACTATGCTTTTCCCATGGTCTTCACAACTTGCAGGCCAGGAGATTCCCTTGGGTGCCTATGCCACCAGGGCCCTGAGTTTCAAGCACAAAACTGGGCAGCCGTTTGGGCGGACACTGAGCTAGCTGCAAGAGTTTTCTTTTTTTCATAACCCAGTGGTGCCTGGAATGCCAGCGAGACAGAACCGTTCACTCCCCTGGAAAGGGGGCTGAAGCCAGGGAGCCAAGTGATCTAGCTCAGCGGATCCTACGGATCCTACGACCGCAGAGCCCAGCAAGCTAAGATCCATTGGCTTGAAATACTTGCCGCCAGCACAGCAGTCTGAAGTCAACCTGGGATGCTCGAGCTTGGTGAGGGGAGGGCGTGCACCGTTACTGAGGCTTGAGTAGGTGGTTTTCCCCTTACAGTGTAAACAAAGCTGCCTGGAAGTTCGAACTGGGTGGAGCCTACTGATACTCAGCAAAGCTGCTGTAGCCAGACTGACTCTCTAGATTCCTCCTCTCTGGGCAGGGCATCTCTGAAAGAAAAGCACCAGACCCAGGCAGGGGCTTATAGATAAAACTCCCATCTCCCTGGGACAGAGCACCTGGGGGAAGGGGCGGCTGTGGGCGCAGCTTGGGCAGACTTAAATGTTCCTGCCTGCCGGCTCTGAAGAGATCTCCCAGCATATCGCTTCAGCTCTGCTAAGGGACAGACTGCTTCCTCGAGTGGGTCCCTGACCCCTGTGCCTCCTGACTGGGAGACACCTCCCAGCAGCAGTCAACAGATACCTCATATAGGAGAGCTCCAGCTGGCATCTGGCAAGTGACCCTCTGGGACAAAGCTTCCAGAGGAAGTAACAGGCTGCAATCTTTACTGTTCTGCAGCCTCCACTGGTGATACCCAGGCCAACAGTGTCTGGAGTGGACCTCCAGCAAACTCCAGCAGACCTGCAGCAGAGGGGCCTGTTAGAAGGACAACTAACAAACAGAAAGGAATAGCATCAACATCAACAAAAAGGACGTCCATACAGAAACCCCATCCGAAGGTCACCAACATCAAAGACCAAAGGTAGATAAATCCATGAAGATGAGGAAAAAACAGCACAAAACAGCTGAAAATTCCCAAAACCAGAACGCCTCTTCTTCTCCAGAGGATCACAACTCCTCACCAGCAAGGGAACAAAACTGGACAAAGAATGAATTTGACGAATTGACAGAAGTAGGCTTCAGATGGTGGGCAATAACAAACTCCTCCGAGCTAAAGGAGCATGTTCTAACCCTATGCTAGGAAGCTAAAAACCTTGAAAAAAAGGTTAGAAGAATTGCTAACTAGAATAAGTTTAGAGAAGAATATAAATGACCTGATGGAGCTGAAAAACACAGCATGAGAACTTCATGAAGCACAGGCAAGTATCAATAGACAATTTCTTAAAAATACTAACCATTCAAAATTATAATGTGACCCAGCCATTGTATTCTTAGGCATTTATCGCAGAAAAATGGAAACTTATGCTCACTTAAAATGTACACCTGAATATTTGGAGCTATTTGTTCATAATAGCAAACACCAGAAACAATCCCGACATCCTTCAATAGGTGAATGGACAAACTGCAGCATACATATTGTGAAATAATAACACAGCAATGAAATCAAACAAATTATTTGTACACATAACATATTGAATGAATCTCCAAGGAATTGTGTTGAATAAAAAAACATGCCAAAAGATTACATAGGATATGATTCCATTTCTATCATATTTTTAAATTACATGATTTTAGAAATGGAGAACAAGTTATTGGTTTCTATTCCATCTGAGGTAGACAGGCAGGAGAAGGTAGACTCTGATATAAAAGTGCAACATAAGGAATCCTTATAGTTATGGAACTGTTCAGTAGCCTGACTGTGGTGCTGGATACATGAAACTATACATATGGTAAAGTTACACAGAACAAAAGGAACACACATTAATGAGTACAAGTAAAATAGAAAACCTGAGTAAGAGCAGTAGATTGTACTGATGTCCATATCTTGGTTGCAAAGTTGTACAATAATTTTCCATAAAGGAACCATTTGGAAAGTGAAGAGTGCACATGATCTGTCTGTATTATTCCTACAATGACATGTCCATCTAAAATTATCTACATAATATTTCTTTTTTCTTTTCTTTCTTTTGTTTTTTTTTTTTCCCCCCCAAGACAGGGTCTTACTCTGTTGCCCAGGCTGGAGTGCAGAGGTATGATCTCAGGCTCACTGCAACCTCCACCTCCTGGCTTCAAGCATTTCTTGTTCCTCCTTCCGAGTAGCTGGGACTACAGACATGTGCAATGCTCAGCTAATTCTTGTACTTTTACTAGAGATGGAGTTTCACCATGTTTGCAAGGCTGGTCTGGAGCTCCTGACCTCAAGTGATCCGCCGACCTTGGCCTCCCAAAGTGCTGGGACTACAGGTGTGAGCCACCATGCCTGGCCTAAAATTATCTAAAATTGAAATATTTTCAATGAAAAATTCTCACATTTGCAAAAGTACTTTCTTAAGTTGATATTAGCTTCATGGTAATGTGGCAGTATGAGACTAAACATAGAATAATTGAAAATATTGGAATTAGCTTGTTTGGCCATTCTGTAATGCATAAATATATCAAAACATCATGTTACATACCATAAAGATATAGACTTTTATATGTCAATTTTAAAAGTTTTTAAACAAGTCTAAAATGTACATGGAACCAAAAAAGAGCCTGAATACTACAAAGCTGTAGTAACCAAAGCAGCATAGTATTGGTACCAAAATAGACACATGGATCAATGGAACAGAACGGAGAACCCAGAAATGAAGTCCCACACCTACAACCAACTGCTCTTCAAGAAAGTTGAGAAGAATAAACAATGGGGAAATCACATACTCTTATTCAATAAATGGTGCTAGGAAAATTAGCTAACATTTTGCAAAAGAATGAAATGGGACCCCATCTCTTACCATACGTAAAAATTAACTCAAGATGGATTAAATATTATACTTAAATGTAAGAACTCAAATAGAAACCCTAGAAGAAAACCTAGGAAAAACTCTTCTGGACATTGGTTGGTGCAAAGAATTTATGACTAAGACCTCAATAGCAATTGCAACAAAAACAAAAATGACAAATGGTACTTAATTAAACTAAAGAGTTCCTGCACAGCAAAAGAAACAATCAACAAAGTAAACAGACAACCTACAGAATGGGAGAGAATATTTGCAAATGGTGCATCCAACAAAAGACTAATAACCAGAATCTATGAAGAACTTAAATCAACAAGTAAAAAAATAACCTCATTAAAAATTGGGCAAATGATATATTAACAAACAGACACTTCTCAAAAGAAGACATACACATATCCAACAAACATATTTTAAAATGCTGTACATCACAAATCATCAAATAAATGCAAATTAAATTACAACGAGATACCATCTCACACCAGTCAGAATGGCTATTTTATTAAAAACAAAAAATAACAGATGTTGGCAAGGATGTGGAGAAAAGGGAAGACACGGTTGGTAGGAATGTGAATTAGTTTAACCCTTAATGAAAAAAGTATGGCGGTTTCTCAAAGAGCTAAAAATAGAATTACTATTTCATCTATCAATCCTACTACTGGATATCTACCCAAGAGAAAATAAATTGCTTTACCAAAAAGACAAAGACACCTGCACTCGCATGTTGATTACAGCACTATTCACAGTGGCAAAGTCATAAAATCAACCTTAGTTTCCATCAACAATGGATTGGATAAAGAAAATGTGGCACATACACACCGTGGAATAATATACAGTCATTAAAATAAATAAAATCATGTCCTTTGCAGCAACACGGCTGTAGCTGGAAGACATTATCCCAAGTGAATTAATGCAGAAAAAGAAAATCAAATACCACATGTTCTCATTTATAAGTGGGAGCAAAATAACCTGTACACATGGTCATAAAGATGGACAATAGACACTGGGGACTCCATAAAGCGGGAGGGAGGGAAGGGAACAAGGGTTGAGAAACTGCTTATTGATTACTATGTTTGTTGTCTGGGTGATGGGTTCACTAGAAGCTCATACCCCAGCGTTACTCAATATACCCATGTAACAAACATGCACATGTACCCCCTTAATCTAAAAAATAAAACATTTTTTAAAGAAATTACTGGACAATGACTATAAGAATATTACAATTTTGATATTGAGAATTTGTTACATAATTTCAGTGGTTGGGGAGGTCTTGCGTGAGTGAGTAATGGAATTTTATAAACATTAAGAAATAAATATACTCTGGGTGTCCTATATCTACTTTCCTCTCTGACCAGTAGACTTAATTATGATAAGAATGAAAATAACCTACTATACTTCTATTGTACTTTATTTATGAAACTATTGTGATATGAAGAATTTCATTTAGTACTTACAATATATACACTTAAATATAGTTTATAAGCTAAAAACCATGACTTTTGGAATGCATATGGAGAGCATACTGTATTAGTGACATGACCTGAAATGAAAAGCTTGAAAACAGGTCTTGACATTCCATTTCTGATCCCCAACCCTAGAATCTCTCTACAGTTGTATGACTTAGGTTTTTAGATCTTGGGTAAGATTGTTTCATGTTTCCTTCATGGATGTTTTTGTGCCATTTAAGTCTTCTCTTTGAAGGAGGTAACCTTTTCCTATTTACACTGGTCAACTCCATAGTGGCTGGTAGCATACCTGGTACATATTCTTATACAAAATTATAACATTTATAAAAAATATAATTCTGTTATTTTTTGAGCACTTACTTTCTACCAGGTATTGCATTAAGCAGTTTATTTACATTACTTCAACTGATCCTCAAAAAAACCCAGAAAGTTAGCAATGATAACAATCAACAGGTGAGGAGATGGAAACTCAGAACAGTGAGGGACATACCATTGCAGCACCTGGATTGCACCTCAAGTTAGTCTGAATCTCAAAGATGTGCTCTTACATATTACAAATAACTGAATGGGTCAATGGATTGACAGATGAAAGTGTTATACTGGAGTAAAATAGATGATATATAATAAAACATATTAAATTAAAAAATTAAAGTATAATATACATGAAGTATAAAAATCTTAAACGTATAATTTTATTAAAATGTGCATGGTAGTATTACCTTGTAGTCAGCACCCAGATTAATATATTGAACTTTTGCAAAATCAAAGAATATTCCCTCATGATTCACTCCTGTCAGTACTCCTCCAGATGGTAACCATTTCCCTAAAATCTATTAGTATAAACCAGATTTGCTTATTCTTGAACTGTATGTAAATGATACCATTTTCTGTCAGAGATCTGTCACTCAATATGATGCATCTTGTTTTTGTATCAATAAACTGTTCTTTTATATTGCTGAGTAGAATTATTTTGCATAATATTAACCACAATTTATATACTCATTCTATTACTGATTAAAATGTAGGTTGTTTAGATGGTATAACAAACTTGATTGTGGTAATTATTTCACGAGATATATATTTATCAATTGCATTGTACATTATAAATCAATCACATTGTACATTATAATCTGGTGCAATTTTCTTCGTTCAGTTATACCTCAGTAAGGATTGTTTCCAGTTTGGGACAATTACAAATAAAATTCTACGATACCGAAACAACATGAACAAGTCTATATGCAATCAATTTATTATTTTATCAAGTAAATATTTATATGATGATCCCTATGTGCCAGACACTGTCTGGAATGCTTCAGAAATACTTAGTCATTTAAACCTCATACAAAACTTATGGCATAGCTACTAATAATAGCTATATCAAATAAATGGGAAAAATAGGAAAAATTCTGAGATTTGGACTCAGGAAGTCTAGCTCCAGAGCTATGTTCTTGACCTTTGTGCTGCATTTTCTCTCAGTATTTAGAGCCACATATTTGTAGTAATGAATAAAATAGCTAACATGATTGTCACTCTAAACCAAACAAAATATTAAATAGTTTTCCTGGATTAGTTCACTTAATCTTAACAATAGTCCCACGAGGGAACTTATATTTATTTCCATTTTACAGCTAAAAAAGTAGGCGTTTAAGTCACTTGCTCATACCTACACAACTATTAAATAGAAGAATCATGGATTTTCACTGTTTGATTCTAATGTTCACGTATTACACTATTGTATATGCTGCCTCCCAAGCAAGCACTTTTATTCTTATCATGAGAAAACGCACCTAAAACAAGCATGGCTATCTCTCTTCATTATACTCTTTGGCCTCATAATTGCCCAGATGCTGGAATGAAACAACCACATGTCAATTCTGAGTGGGTTTATTAAGAATTCAGTTTTTATTTACTTTCTAACAATTGGTATTAACCTACCACTTGAAACTGGCCAATCATCTATTGGCTTTCAAGGTCCTTTTACTTTGGTTCATTGACTAATTCTTGAAGTTAAAGAATGTAGTATTTTCTATTTTAAATCAGAAGCCCAGATCAAAGGTTTAGGAGAGTCGCGTTCCAGATTTCTCCTGCAGCAGTCATCAAGTGCTTTTTTTTTTTTAGACAGGGTCTGGCTCTGTCACCCAGGATGGCACGCAATGGAGTGATCTTGGCTCACTGCAACCTCTGCCTCCCTGCAACCTCTGCTTCCTGGCTCAAATGATTTCCCTGCCTCAGCCTCCAGAGTAGCTGGGATCAGAGGCACATGACACCATGCTGAACTAATTTTTTTTTTTTTAAGTAGAGATGGCATTTCACCGTGTTGCCTGGGCTGGTCTTGAACTCCTGAGCTCAGGCAATCTGCCCTCCTTGATCTCCCAAAGTGCTGGGATTACAGGAGCCACCACGCCAGGCCCTGGTTCTCTTTCTTTTTTCTTTTTCTTTTTTTTTTTTTTTTTGAGCATGGTTACTTATTTATTTATTTACTTATTTTATTATATTTTAAGTTCTAGGTACATGTGCACAATATGCAGGTTTGTTACGTAGGTATACATGTGCCATGTCGGGTTCTCTTTCTAAAAGCAGTTTGCAAAAGAGCTGAATACCCTAACAGCTTGACCTGGAGCATACAATTTGTTAGCTTCATAAAACTGTCTTACCTGGGTCTTTTCTGCATCTTGTCTTTACAGGATTAGCCACAAAGCCTTTGTGGCAACCCAAGTTTAGACAACATTCTTGTTTGCCAAGAGACAAGGCAGGGAGAAAAAATAGAATATTTAAGTGTTTGCTCTTAGAATATTTAGAAATATTCAACAATGGAGTCTGCGTAAAGTAATAAAAAATTAAGAATTTTTATTTGGCCAAGACCAGTTATCTGTTTCAACTCATCTTTATCATGATAAAATAGCTCTTAAATTTATAAAGTGTTAGCCCAAGCTTTACACAGTTATGTAGGAAACCATGATGTAAGGAAGGAAAATAGATTATGTAAAATCACATGCTGGAAAGCTTTTATTATTTAAAGTATGTAGTGTTAACTTAATAAATTCTGGCTGGGCGCGGTGGCTCATGCCTGTAATCCCAACACTTTGGGAGGCCGAGGCGGGCACATTGCCTGAGCTCAAGAGTTCAGACCAGCCTGGGCAACACAGTGAAACCCTGTCTCTACTAAAATATAAAAAATTAACCAGGTGTGGCAGTGTGCACCTGTAGTCCCAGCTACTCGGGAGGCTGAGGAAGGAGAATTGCTTGAACCCAGGAGGCAGAGACTGCAGTGAGCTGAGATTGCACCACTGTACTCCAGCCTGGGCAACAGAGTAAGACTCCGTTTCAAAAAAAAAAAAAAGCCATAATAAATTTTTATGAGGAAGTAGCTGTTTAACAATAATCATTAAAATATAGCAAAAATGGGAAGTAAAAATACCTCTTCAGCTTTTATAACATGTTATCACAAAAATTTTTGACAAGGCTGGTAGCTCATGCCTGTAATCCTAGCACTTTGAGACCATAAGCTTGGGCAACACAGTGACACCCCATCTCTATAAGAAAATTGAAAAATTAGCCAGGTGTGGCAGTGCATGCCTATAGTCTTAGCTACTCAGGAGGCTGGAGTGGAGGATTGCTTGAGCCCAGGAGTCTGGGGTTGAAGTGAGTGATGGTCATTTCATATGCCACTGTGTTTCAGCCTGGGCAACAAAGTGAGACTCTGTCTTTAAATAAATACAATAAAATACAGTACTTTACCAGTTTGCACTCACAACCACTGCCCACCATTTCGCAGACACACATGTGTGGACCTGGCCACTCTGCCACAACTAGCACATTTGCAGATCTCACTACCACTGCCCTGTCCCCACCAACACATGCACACATGCAGATCCTGCCACCCTGTAACTGTAACTGTTGGCACAACCATATGCATAGACCACACTGACACTGCCCTGATGAAGCACTTTGGTCAGAACACCCATTGGAGCGTTGTTGCCAGTGGCCTGAGAACACCTCAGCCCCTCCAGCACAGCAGGTGTTTAACCGCAAGGGACCAGAGAACAAAGCTGTGGGCCTAGACCCAGAACCCCAGAATTACAGCAGGCAGGCCAGGAGTGCTGAGTAGAGCCTTGGCCTCATGAAATCATACAGAAATGAAGCCAGTTAACTGACCCCAGGTTCTATACCACAGCCAATCCTTCAAAGGAATTAAAGACTATAAAGGAAAAAGCCCTATTCAATCGACAGCAACTTCACAGATGAAAGGAACATCAGCCCACACAGATGAGAAAGAACAAGCACAAGAACTTTGGCAACTCAAAAGGCCTGAGTGTCTTCTCAACTCCAAACAAACACCCTAGCTACCCAGCAATGGTTCATAACGAGGCTGAAATGGCTGGAATGACAGACATAGAATTCAGAATCTGGGTGGCAGCAAGAATCATTGAGATTCAGAAGAAAGGTGAAACCCAATCCAAGGAACTTAAGGAAGCCAATAAAATGATACCAGAGCTGAAAGATAAAATAACCATTTTATGAAAACAAAACAAAACAAACAAACAAAACTAATCTGTTGAAGCTGATATTACAATTGGAAAATTTAATAGCAGAATTGACCAAGCTGAGGAAAGGATTCCAGAGCTTGAAGACTGGTTCTTTTAATCAACTCATTCATGCAAAAATTTAAAAAAAAAAAAGAATTTTAAAAATTGAACAAAATCTCTAAGAAATACAAGATTAGGTAGAGGCCAAATCTATGACTCATTGGCCTCACTGAAGGAGAAGGACAGAGAGCAAGTAACTTGGAAAACATATTTGAGGACATTGTCCTTGAAAATTTTCCCAGCCTCACTAAAGAAGTCAACATTCAAATTCAGGAAAACCAGAGAAGCCCTGCAAGATGCCATACAAGGAGACCATCCTCAATACACATTGTCATCAGTTTCATGCGCGTCCGTGTGAAGAGCCCACCAAACAGGCTTTGTGTGAGCAACATGGCTGTTTATTTCACCTGGGTGCAGGTGGGCTGAGTCCGAAAAGAGAGTCAGCGAAGGGAGATAAGGATGGGGCCCTTTTATAGGATTTGGGTAGGTAAAGGAAAATTACAGTCAAAGGGGGTTTGTTCTCTGGCGGGCAGGAGTGGGGGTCGCAAGGTGCTCAGTGGGGGTGTTTTTGAGCCAGGATGAGCCAGGAAAAGGACTTTCACAAGGTAATGTCGTCAGTTAAGGCAAGGACCGGCCATTTACACTTCTTTTGTGGTGGAATGTCGTCAGTTAAGATGGGGCAGGGCATATTCACTTCTTTCGTGATTCTTCAGTTACTTTAGGCCATCTGGGCGTATATGTGCAGGTCACAGGGGATGCAATGGCTTGGCTTGGGCTCAGAGGCCTGACATTCCTGCCTTCTTATATTAATAAGAAAAATAAAACAAAATAGTGTTGAAGTGTTGGGGCGGCGAAAATTTTTGGGGGGTGATATGGAGAGAGAATGGGCGATGTTTGTCAGGGCTGCTTCAAGCGGGATTAGGGGCGGCGTGGGAACCTAGAGTGGGAGAGATTAAGCTGAAGGAAGATTTTGTGGTAAGGGGTGATATTGTGGGGATGTTAGAAGAAACATTTGTCGTATAGAATGATTGGTGATGGCCTGGATACGGTTTTGTATGAATTGGAAAACTAAATGGAATAACAGAAGGAGAAAAACAGGTATAAAAGGTCTAAGAATTGGAACGACTCAGGATATCTGATTAGAGAGTGCCTGAGGAGATTCAGCATAGTCCTGCCAGCAAAGATTATTTATTTACTTCAAGAGTTAAGAGTGGCAGTTTGGGGATAGCACCAGGAGATATCAGCTGTGATGGCCTGGAGAAACAGTGTAAACAGGCAGTGTAAACAAGAGCAGGGCCTGTATGAGTAGTTGAGAACGGTGAATAGGAGTATGACTAGAGAGAAGATAGTAGGGATGACAAGTTTTTTGGGGGCACAGTCTAAGTTGGTCTGGTGGCTGGAATGAGACTGGGGCCTAATAAAAAGGAGCGTCTATACAGGAGCTTAAATGGGCTGTACCTTGTAGCATTCCGAGGACAGGTCTGACTTCTGAGAAGGGAAAGTGGTAAAAGTATTGTCCAGTCCTTTTTAAGTTGGTGGCTGAGCTTGGTGAGGTGTGTTTTTAAAAGACCTTTAGTCCATTCTACTTTTCTTGAAGATGGAGGACCGTAAGGGATATAAAGGTTTCACCGAATACTAACAGCCTGAAAAACTGCTTGGCTGATTTGACTAATAAAGGGTCATCTGTTATCAGACTGTATTGAGGTGGGAAGGCTAAACTGAGGAATTATGTCTGACAGAAGGGAAGAAATGACTGCGGTGGCCTTCTCAGACCCTGTAGGAAAGGCCTCTACCTATCCAGTGAAAGTGTCTACCTAGACTAAGAGGTATTTTAGTTATCTGACTCAGGGCATGTTGAGTAAAGCTAATTTGCCAGTCCTGGGTGGGGGCAAATCCTTGAGCTTGATGTGTAGGGAAGGGAGGGGGACTGAATAATCCCTGAGGAGTAGTAGAATAGCAGATGGAACACTGAGAAGTTATTACCTTGAGGATAGATTTCCACGATGGAAAGGAAACGAGAGGTTCTAAGAGGCGGGCTAGTGGCTTGTACTATAGCATAACCTGCCTTTGCTGGTGTGTGGCGATTAGGCCTGGTGGAACCGCCATCAATAAATCAAGCATGATCAGGGTGAGGAACAGGAAAGAAGGAAATTTGGGGAAATGGGGTGAATGTCAGGTGGATCAGAGAAATACAGTCATGGGGGTCAGGTGTGGTATCAGGAATAATGTGGGAGGCCGGATTGAAGTCCCGGCCAGGAACAACGGTAATTTTGGGACTTAACAAAGAGTGAGTACAGCTGAAGGAGCCGGGGAGCAGAAAGTATATGCATCAGGTATGAGGAAGAAAATAGATTTTGGAAGTTATGAGAACTGTAGAGAGTGAGTTGAGCATAGTTTGTGATTTTGAGGGCCTCTAAAAGTATTAAAGCAGCGGCAGCTGCTGCACGCAGACATGAGGGCTAGGCTAAAACAGTAAGGTCAAGTTGTTTGGACAGAAAGGCTACAGGGTGAGGTCCCGGCTCTTGTGTAAGATCTCTGACCGCGCTAACCATGCCTAGGAAGGAAAGGAGTTGTTGTTTTGTAGAAGGTGCTTGGGTTTGAGAGATCAGTCCGACACGATTGGCAGGGAGAGCACATGTGCTTTTATGAGAATTATGCCGAGATAGGTAACAGATGAGGAAGAAATTTGGGCTTGATTGAAGTAATGGGAGCTGTCTGTGAAGCTTTGTGGCAGTACAGCCCAGGTAATTTGCTGAGCTTGATGGGTGTCAGGGTCAGTCCAAGTGAAAGTGAAGAGAGGCTGTGATTAAGGGTGCAAAGAAATAGTAAAGAAAGCATGTTTGAGATCCAGAACAGAATAATGGGTTGTAGAGGCAGGTATTGAGGATAGGAGAGTATATGGGTTTGGCACCACGGGGTGGATAGGCAAAACAATTTGGTTGATAAGGCGCAGATTCTGAACTAACTTGTAAGGCTTGTCTGGTTTTAGGACAGGTAAAATGGGGAAATTGTAAGGAGTTTTTATAGGCTTTAAAAGGCCATGTTGTAGCAGGCGAGTGATAACAGGCTTTAATCTTTTTAAAGCATGCTGCGGGATGGGATATTGGTGTTGAGTGGGGTAAGGGTGATTAGGTTTTAATGAGATGGTAAGGGGTGCATGATCGGTCACCAAGGAGGGAGTAGACGTAGCTTATATTTGTGGGTTAAGGTGGGGGATACAAGAGGAGGACGCAAAGGAGGCTTTGGATTGGGAAGAAGGGCAGCAATGAGATGTGGCTGTAGTCCAGGAATAGGCAGGGAAGCAGATAATTTAGTTAAAGTGTCTCAGCCTAATAAGGGAACTGGGCAGGTGGGGATAACTAAAAAGGAGTGCCTAAAAGAGTATTGTCTAAGTTGGCACCAGAGTTGGGGAGTTTTAAGAGGTTTAGAAGCCTGGCCGTCAATACCCACAACAGTTATGGGGGCAAAGGAAACAGGCCCTTGAAAAGAAGGTAATGTGGAGTGGGTTGCCTCCGTATTGATTAAGAAGGGGACAGACTTACCCTCCACTGTGAGAGTTACCCGAAGCTCAGCGTCCGTGATGGTCTAGGGGGCTTCCAAGGTGATTGGGCAGTGTCAGTCTTCAGCCGCTACGCCAAGAAGAATCTGGGAAGGAGTCAGTCAGAGAGCCTTGGGCCAGAGTTCCAGGGGCTCTGGGAGTGGCTGCCAGGTGAGTTGAACAGTCTGATTTTCAGTGGGGTCCCACACAGATGGGATGCAGCTTAGGAGGAATCCCGGGCTGTGGGCATTCTTTGGCCCAGTGGCCAGATTTCCAGCACGTGTAGCAAGCTCCTGTGGGAGGAGGTTCTGGAGGAATGCCTGACTGCTGCGGTTCAGGCGTTTGGAAGTTCTTGTGTGCTGGAGATGTGGCTGGGGTTTGTCTCACAGTGGAGGCAAGGAATTGCAACTTTTTTCTATTGTTGTACACCTTGAAGGCGAGGTTAATTAAATCCTGTTGTGGGGTTTGAGGGCCAGAATTTAATTTTTGGAGTTTTATTTAATGTCAGGAGCAGATTGGGTAATAAAATGTATATTGAGAAAAAGACAGCCTCTTGACCTTTTAGGGTCTAGGGCTGTAAAGTGTCTCAGGGTTGCTGCCAAACAAGTCATGAACTGGGCTGGATTTTTATATTTGATGAAAAAGAGCCTAAACGCTTCTGATTTGGGATAAAGAAAAAGGAGCATTAACCTTGACTATGCCTTTAGCTCCAGCCACCTTTTTAAGAGTAAATTGCTGGGCAGGTTGGGGAGGACTAGTCACGGAACGAAACTGTAAGCTGGACCAGGTGTGAGGAGGGGAGGTGATAAAAGGATTATAGGGTGGAGGAGCGGAGGCTGAGGAAGAATTGGGACCTAGCTTGGGCTGGCGAGGAGGGGAGAGGTCAGATAGGTCTGTAGAAAAGGAAGATTAAAAAGACTCAGTGACGCTTGGGGTTGGGACTGAGGGGACAGGCGGGAGGGAAAGAAGGAAGATTTGGGACGAGTTGCACTGGGCACAGAGACTAGGAAGGGACTGATGTGTAAAAGAATGCCTGGATGTCAGGCACCTCAGACCATTTTGACCATTTTAAGAAAAGAATTATTTAGATCTTGTAGGATGGAAAAATTGAAAGTGCCATTTTCCGGCTATTTGGAACTACTGTTGAGTTTGTACTGGGGTCAAGCAGCATTGCAGAAGAAAATAAGGCATTTAGGTTTTAGGTCAGGTGTGAGTTGAAGAGGTTTTGAGTTTTTGAGAACACAGGCTAAGGGAGAAGAGGGAGGAATGGAAGGTGGAAGCTTATCCATAGTGAAGGAGGCAAGCCCAGAGAAAGCAGTAGAGACACGGAGAAGGGATGGGGGGTTCTTGCCCTCCAGAAAAGCAGAGAAGGGTTTGGGGCACAGAAATAAGGGATTGGGGTGTGGAGATGAGAGGTTGGGGTGTGGAAATAAGCGATTGGGGGGTCCTTGCCCCCTAGGAAAGCAGGACTTGCCGCTAAGGGTGAAGGAGAAGGGGTTGAGGGGTACTTGCCCCTTCCCTAGGAAAGGCAGAGAAGGGGTAGAGACACGGAGAGAAGGGGTTGGGGTACTTGCCCCTTCCCCGAAAAGCGGGACTTGACGCTAAGGGTGAAGGACCAAGGCAGGCATCCCTGCGTGGTCTGACACCCTTGAAATGTGGGTGTATAATCAGAGAGGCGTCCCTGCAATGATTAAACACAAATGGAAGGCTGCCTTCCCAGTCCGTGACCGGCGCCGGAGTTTTGGGTCCACAGATAAAATGTGTCTCCTTTTCTCTACCAGAAAATGAAAGGAATCGAAATTAAGAGAAGGGAGAGATTGAAGTGTGGCGCCAAGATTGAAAGGAGAAAGAGGTTGAGGGATAGTGAGGGAGGTTGGAGAAGAGAGTAAAAAGAGGCCGCTTACCAGATTTGAAATTGGTGAGATGTCTCTTGGGCTGGTCAGTCTGAGGACCTGAGGTCGTAGGTGGATCTTTCTCATGGAGCAAAGAACAGGAGGACAGGGGATTGATCTCCCAAGGGAGGTCCCCCAATCCGAGTCACGGCACCAAATTTCATGTGTGTCCATGTGAAGAGACCACCAGACAGGCTTTGTGTGAGCAACGTGGCTGTTTATTTCACCTCGGTGCAGGCGGGCTGCGTCCGAAAAGAGAGTCAGCAAAGGTAGATAAGGGTGGGGCCCTTTTATAGGATTTGGGTAGGTAAAGGAAAATTACAGTCAAAGGGGGTTTGTTCTCTGGTGGGCAGGAGTAGGGGTCGCAAGGTGCTCAGTGGGGGTGTTTTTGAGCCAGGATGAGCCAGGAAAAGGACTTTCACAAGGTAATGTCATCACTTAAGGCAAGGACCGGCCATTTACACTTTTGTGGTGGAATGTCATCAGTTAAGATGGGGCAGGGCATAGTCACTTCTTTTGTGATTCTTCAGTTACTTCAGGCCATCTGGGCATATATGTGCAGGTCACAGGGGATGCGATGGCTTGGCTTGGGCTCAGAGGCCTGACAATCAGATTCTCCAAAGCCATGTGAAAGAAAACATATTAAAGGCTGGGCACGGTGGCTCACACCTGTAATCCCAGGAATTTGGGAGGCAAGGACAGGTGTGTCACATGAGGTCAAAAGTTGGAGACCAGCCTGGCCAAGATGGTGAAACCCTGACTCTACTAAAGATACAAAAATTAGCTGGGAGTGGTGGCACATGCCTATAATCCCAGCTACTCGGGAGGCTGAGACACTAGAATTGCTCGAACCCAGGAGGCGGAGGTTGCAGTCCCGGGAGGTGGATGTTACAGTGAGCTGAGATAGCTCTACTGCACTCCAGCCTGGGCAGCAGAGTGAGACTCTGTCTCAGAAAGAAAAAAGAAAAGAAAAAGAAAATATATTAAAAATAGCTAGAGAGAAGGGAGAAGGGCAGGTTACCTACAATGGGAACTTCATCAGGCTCAAAGTAGACTTTTCAGCAGAAACCCTACAAGCAAGAAGAGACTGAAGGCCTATATTCAGCATCCACAAAGAAAAGAAATTCTAACCAAGTATTTTATAACCAGGCAAACTAAGTTTTATAAGCAAAGAAGCAATGAAATCTTTTCAGTTAAGCAAATGTTAAGGAAACCATGAGACCTCTTTTAAAAAAAGTCCTTAAGTTAGTGCTAAATATGGAAATGAAAGACTATTACCAGCCATCATAAAAACACACTTAAGTACATACACCATTAACATTATAAAGCAAAGACAAAAACATGTCTACATAACAACCAGGTAATAACATGATGACAAGATCAAATGCGCATATATCAATATTAACTTTAAATGTTGAGCTAAACATCCCATTTAAAAGGCACAGATTGGCAAGTTGGATAAAGAAGCAAGACCCAACTCTATGTTATCTTCGAGAGACCCATCACATGAAGTGACATTCATAGGCTCAAAGGAAAGTGATGGAGAAAAATCTACCAAGCCAACTGAAAACAAAAAGAGCAGGAGTTCCTATTCCTATTTCAGAAAAACAGACTTTAAACCAACAAAAAATTTTTAAAAAGCCAAGAAGGGCGTTACATAATGATAAAGGGTTCAATTCGAAAAGAAGAATTAACGGTCCTAAATATATATGCACCCAATGCTGGAGCACCCAGATTTGTAAAACAAGTTCTTATAGAGACATGTAGAGACCTAGATAACTACACAATAATAGTGGGAGACTTCAACAGCACGCTGACAGTGTTAGATGGATCAATGAATTAGAAAACTAACAAACATATCTAGGATCTAAACTTCGACACTTCATCAAAAGGACCTAATAGACATCTGTAGAAGACTCCATGCAGCAACAGCAGAATATATATTCTTCTCATCTGCACATGGCACGTACTCGAAAATCAAACACATGCTCAGCAATAAAGCAATTCTCAAAAATTCTAAAGAAACCAAAATCATACCAAGCATACTCTCAGACTACAGCATAATTAAAAGAGAAGTCAATACCAAGAAGAACTCTCAAAATCAAACAATTACATGGAAATTAAACAACATATTCCTGAATGACTTTGGGGTAAAGAATGAAATTAATGCAGAAATTAAAAAAATATTCTTGGAAACTAATGAAAACAAGGATACAATACAATAGAATCTCTGGGACACAGCTAAGCAGTGTTAAGAGGAAAGTTCATAGCACTAATTGCCTATATGAAGAAGTTAGACCTCAAAATAACATTTATATTGCATCCAGATAAACTACAAAAACAAGAGGAAACCAACCCCAAACATAGCAGAAGAAAATAAATAACCAGAAATCAAAGCTGAACTGAACAAAATTGAACACAAAAATGTATAAAAAGGATAGATGAACCCAAAGTTGGTTCTTTGAAAGAATAAATAACATTGATAGACTGCTAGCTAGATTAATAAATTAAAAAGTGAGAATATCCAAATAAACAGAATTAAAAATGACAAAGGTGACATTGTCACCAACCCCACAGAAATACAAAAAACCCTCAGAGGCTATAATGATCACCACTTTGGAGACAAACTAGAAAACCTAGAAGAGATGGATAAATTCCTGGAAGCATATAACCTCTCATGAGTGAACCAGGAAGAAATGAAAATCATTAACAGACTATAAGGAGTTTCAAAGGTGAATCAATAATAAAAAACCTACCAACAAGAAAAAGCCCTGGACAAGACAGATTCACAGCCAAATTTTACCAGACTTATAAAGAAGAGCTGGTACCAATGCTACTGAAGTTATTCCAAAAAAAAAAAAAAAAAATGGGGAGGAAGGACTCCTACCAAAAACATCAGACCAATATCCCTGATGAACCCAGATTCAAAAATTTTCAACAAAGTATCAGGAAACTGATACCAGTAACACATCGCAAAGCTGATCCAATGCAATCAAGTAAGCTTTATTCCTGGGATGCAAGACTGGTTCAACACATGAAAATCAATAAATATAATTTACCACATAAGCAGAATTGAAAACAGAAACCACATAATCATTTCAATAGATGATGAAGAGGTTTTTGATAAAATTCTACATCCTTTCATGTTAAAATCTCTCAATAAACTACATATCAAAGGGAAGTACCTCAAAAAAATAAGAGACTTCTATGACAAACCCACAGTCAACATCACGCCAAATGGGAAAAAGTAGAAAGCATTCCCCTTGAGAACCAGAACAAAACAGGCATGTCCACTCTTAGCACTGCTATTCAACATAGAACTAAAAGTCCTATCCAGAGCAACCAGGCAAGAGAAAGATATAAAACATGTACAAATAGGAAGAGAGAAACTCAAACTTATACAAACAATGTGATTTTATACCTAGAAAGTCACATAGTTTCTGCCCAAGGACTCCTAGATCTCATCAACAACTTCAGCAATGTTTCAGAATACAAAATCAATGTGCGTAATTTAGTACATTTTTATATACCAATAATGTTCAGTCTAAGAGCCAAATCCAAAATGGAATCCAATTCACAATAGCTATAAAATGATAAAATACCTAAGAGTACAGCTAACCAGGGAAGGCAACAATATCTACAATAAGAATTACAAAACACTGCTGAAAGAGGTCAGAAAAGACACAAACAAGTGAAGACACATTCCGTGCTCATGGATAGGAAGACTCAGTACTGTTAAAATGACCATACTGCCCAAAGAAATTTACAGATTCAATACTATTTCTACCAAACTACCAATGATATTTTTCACAGAATTAGAGAAAGCAATTTTAAAATTCATATTGAACAAAAAAAGCCCAAATAGCCAAAGCAATCCTAAGCAAAAAGAACAAAACCAGAAACATCACACCACATGACTTCAAACTATGTACTACAAGGCCTCACTAACCAAAACAACATAGTACTGGTAGAAAAACAGACACATAGACAAATGAAACTGATTAGAGAACCCAGAAATAAACCCACACAAGGGAAAATATCTGAGCTTTGACAAAGTTGACAAAAACAAGCAGTGGGGTAAAGAATTCCTATTCAATAAATGATGCTGGGAGAGCTGGCTAGCCATATGCAGAAGACTGAAACTGGACCCGTCCATTTCACCATATATAAAAATCAACTTAAGATAGATTAAAGATTTAAATATGAAACCCAAACCTATAAAACCCCTGGAAGAGAAAACTATGAAATATTATTCTGAACGTAGCCTTTGGCAAAGATTTCATGACAAAGACTCCAAAAGCAATTGCAGCAAAAACGGTAATTGACAAGTAGGACTTATTAAACTACAAAGCTTCTGCACAGCATTGGAAACTAGGAGGAGAGTAAACAGACAACATACAGAATGAGGGGAAATATTTGCAAACTATGCTTCTGACAAAGGTCTAATATCCAGTATCTATAAGAAACTTAAACAAAATAACAAGCAAAACCAACACCCCATTAAAAAATGAGCAAAGGACATGAATGGGCACTTCTCAAAACAAGATATACATGCAGCAAACAAACAAATGAAAAAATATTTAACATTACTAATCATCAGAGGGGTGGAAATCAAAACCACAATAATACCATCTCATACTAGTCAGAATGGCTATTCTTTAAAAGTCCAGAAATAACAGATGCTGGTGAAGATGTGGAGAAAAGAGAAAGCTTATACACTGCTGATGGAAATGTAAATTAGTTCAGCCACTGTGGAAAACAGTTTGGAAATTTCTGAAAGAGTTTAAATGAGTACCACCTTTTTACCCAGCAATCTCATTGCTAGGTATATACCCAAATAAATATAAATTGTTCTACATGAAGACACATGCACACATATACACATAGGTTCATTATTGCAGTATTTACAAAGACAAAGACATTGAATCAACCTAGATGCCTTTAATGAACTAGATAGAGAAAATATGGTACATACACATCATGGAACACTACACAGCTATAAAAAGAATTAAATTATGTTCTTTCAGCAACAGAGATGGAGCTGGAGGCCATTATCCTAAGCAAATGAATGCAAAAACAGAAAACCAACTACACATTCTCACTTATAAGTTGGAGCTAAACATTGAGTACATGTGGATACAAAGAGGAGAACAATAGACACCAGGGACTACTTAAGGGTAGAGAGTAGGAGCAGTTGAGAACTGAAAAACCACCTATGAGGTGCAATGTTCCTTACCTGAGTAACAAAATAATCTGTACAAAAAGCTTCCATGACATGCAATTTACCCATGTAACAAGCCTGCACATATACCCCCTGAAACTAAAATAAAAGTTAGAAAGAAAGAAAAACATGGTTTGGAAAATGGAAAAAAATCTACAGACAGTAAGAAAATGTTTGCAGTTCATAAATGATATAAGAATTCTCTAAATTCAATATTCAGGAAACAAGCACACAATTAAAGGTGGGCAATAAACTTCAATTGACACTTTAGCATAGGATATACAGCTGGCAGATCAGCACAGAAAAATGTATTCATTATTAGTAAGAAAATAAACATTTAAACCACAATGAGATACCATTACACACCTACTAAAATAACTAAAATTGTATATCTGACTAAATGATAGCAAGGATATTAGTAAGTGGAACTGTAATATATTTTTTGTGGGAGTATAAAATGCTATAACCAATTGTAAAATAGTTTGATGGTTTTTTGGACATTCTTAAAACATACACTTACATGATTTTGCTGCTCCACTTGTACTATATTTCCATATAAAAACGTACGCACAAACCATCCCCTATCTAACAGCAGATGAATTTATAAACACATTGCAGTGTATACATTTGAAACAGTACTTAGTAGACTATCATTTAGCAATAAAAATGGCACATATGACAACATGGAAGAAAAAAGCCAGACCAACAAACAATATATATTCTATTATTACATTAATATACAATTCTAGAAAAATGCAAATTAATCTATAGTAGCAAATGAGTAGTTGCCTGGGGAATGCATGGAGTTCCTTACCTAGGTAGAAGGAATAATTCTGGTGTTCTGTAGCACACTAGGGTGACTACAGTTAACAATAATTTATTGCATATTTCAAAGTAGCTAGAACAGAGTATCTGGAATGTCCCCAACACAAATAAATAAAGAACATTCAAATTGGAAAATAATATGTCAAGTTATTCTTTTTCCAAATGAAAAATCTAGACTCCACCAAAAATTGTTAGAACTGACAAATGACAAATGAGTTCATTAAAGTTTTAGGATACAAAATCAACGTACAAAAATCAGTAGCATTTCTATACACCAACAGTAAAATTCTGAAAAAGAAATTTAAAAATCCAATTTCATTTACGTTAGCTACAAAAAATAAATTAACTAGGAATTAATTTAACTAAAGAAGTTAAAATCTTTACAATGAACACTATAAAATGCCAATAAGGAAAATTGATGAAGACACACAAAAAATGAAAAGATAGCTTATGTTCATGGATTGGAAGAATTAACACTGTTAAAATGTGCATAATACCAAACGCGATCTATAGATTCAATGCATTCTTTGTATAAATACAAATAACATTTTTCCAGAAATGAAAAAACAATCCTAAAATTCATATGGAACCACGAAAGACCCTAAATAGTCAAAACAATCCTGAGCAAAAAGAATAAAGCTGGAAGTATCACATTACATATGCAAATCAATAAACTTGATACGTTACATTAATACAACCAAGGACAACACCACATGGTTATTTCAATAGATGTCAAAAAGAATTGGATAAAATTCGACATCAATTCATGATGAAAAAAATCAACAAACTGAGCATGGAAGAAACATGCCTCAAAATAACAAAGGCTGTATACATAAAACTCACAGCTAGCACCATATTGAATGGGGAAAAATTGAAAGCCTTTCTTCTAAGTTCTGGAAGAAGATAAAAATGCCCACTTTCAGCCCTTTTATTCAAAAGAGTACTGGAAGTCCTAGTCAGAGCAGCTAGATAAGATAAATATATGATAAATGAGTGAGATGATATGTAGTTTAATTACCCTGACTTGATCATTACACACTCTGTATCAAAATATCACATGGACCTATTAAATATGTGTAATTATTGTATGTTGATACAAATAATTTTTAAAAGAGTAGACAGTACAGAAATAGGTGGAGTTCTCTTATCCAAATATTATTTGAATGCTGTCTTACTTTCAGTGCACACTAGTAGACACTGAAAATACAACTCTGAAAAAGACCTGGTCTCTGCCTTTGAACAACAAAATTATTTAATGAAGGTAACAAATGCGTTCACAAAGGTTTTCTCGAGAATAATGAAAGTTTAAGGGGTGGTATCTTACTTCAATTTAGGTGGTTCTGGGAGATAGAAGGGGAATCAGAAGAAGAAAGTGAATGCAATGCCTAGAGACAGAACTTTAAAAAGGTAATTGGCAATGTAAGATGAAATTGAAGAAAAATCTGAGAAAGTAAGAGTCAAGGATATCTATTAAATTGTACTCTTAAACTTATTTAAAGAAGACAAAAGGAAGGTAATGGATAGAAACAGATATTAAATGCTGGAAAGTGTGTTTAAAAGGATTTTCTACTTACTGAAAGGAGGCTTAATGGTAGGCAGATATTCCAATTATCTATTACTGCAAAATGACTCACCTTCCAAAAAATTATTTGATTATACTCATGGATTCTGTGAGTAAGGAATTAGGGCACGGCTCAGCAAGTGTGGTTTGTCTTTGTTCCACAATGTCTAGGGTCTCAGTTGTTTGAACAGCTGGAAGCCTGACACCTCTAGAGGCTTCTTCACTCACACGTCCAGTTTATGGGCAGGGATGACTCAAATAGCTTCCTCCCTCTATGTAACTGCAGAGCCTCTCCATGTGGCCTCTTCTTATGGCTCTCCAGGTTGGTGGCCTCAGTTTAGTTGGATTTTTTATATTGCAGCTTAGGTCTCCATAAGGGAGTATTTTAGCAAACGAAGTAGAAGCTTCGTGCCTTTTGTCGAGCCACCCTCTACATAGTGTCACTTCTACCTATTTGTCTAAGCAGTCACAAGCCTATCCAGGTTTAAGGGGAAGAAATAGAGACTCCCACTAGGAGAGTCGACACATTTGAAGTTAACACATTTTAGAAACCACAACAATAGATGTATTCTAGAGGGGAGAAGAAAATCTCAGATTTATGGAAATGATAAATAAATCCCCCTAATTTTCTCAGCAAAATACATTACGCATTAACTATTGAAACATTTCTTGCGGAGGGGACATGGAATGAGGATGAGAGAAAGAACTAGCGATTTGATAAGAGGGATCAGAAGGTCGGAAAGACCACTTAGGTTGAGAAGTCAGTGAGCAAAGAGTAGAGATTTTGAGATTCTTTGGGAATTGAGAAAAATAGAGACATAAGGAAAAACACTTACCATAATTCATTTATCAAACTCATGGCAAAAATACTGGAAGCAAAATTAAAATACGAACACAAACTATGGAAAATATATAACAATGGGCTGACAATTTAATATCAAGAGATGTTACAAATTAATAAGACCAATGGCCCAAGACGTAAGAACACAGTGTCCTAATAATGAATATTAGGTATAAATCTGGAGCACTACGTGAAAACCTAAAATACTTTCTTATGTGAATATTAGGATAGATTTTAAAATAATAACTCAGAGAGGTGGGTTTTTTCATGTTTAAGGCTGTATTTTGTTAATTAGTTTAATATTGTCTTATGACTTTCTACAAAACACACAGCATAAATTTGATAGCCTTTAATAATGTTTGCTGTTGATGTCAAGAATATATTTGAGTTTCAATATGAGCACTGATTAACGTGTGCTTTGTCACAGGAAATTTTATGAGGAAATGTAGAATAGTATTTATATTGGGGGCAGAAGAAAGAAAAACTTAAATTGTATACAAAAATGTGTTTTAAATGATTTCAATTTATTAAACTACCAATAAATCTGAATATACGCACTGGTAATTGCTGCATTTATAAACTCATAAACTCAGGTTTCGCTCTGAATAGCAGAATGCAGAGAAACCATCCGTTCCCAAATGCTGCTCTCTCTTTATCCCAGCAGGTGGGCTTCAAGCTTTTCTATACACATAGTTATTGCTGGACAAATCTTTCCCCCTCTCTCTAGGAAATTCACCCCTCCCTTGAGCCACAGTTCTTTATGATGAGATGACTCATTAAGCTTTTTTCCCAGCAGGGAGCTGACACCCAATTAATGAGCTGACACTGTTCTGAGTCTGCTCTCACTAGTGCAATAAGGCTCTGTTTACAAACACAGGCTGTTGTGCGTGTTAGGGTGGGCAGGTTAAAACTTCCCTGCTGGGCCAGTTGGTTCAAAATCATAAGGGTTCTTTAAACAATGTCTTTGTGCCTTACACATCAGACATACTGCTTTCAGCAGGATGCAAGTCACTCTAATGACAATATCCTGTTTGGCGGGAAAGGGACCAATGGACCCAGCTTTTGGACTATAAATAATACAAATGGTAAAAATTTTACTACAAAGTTACTTTCAATACTATCTAACAGTAGATAATTTTTACCTGTAAGATAAAATTTTAGGTTTGCAAACTTTCATTTTCAGCTGAAAATTGTTGTTAAATCCAGACTCTATCTGTGTTTTCCTCCCTCCACCTAAAATTCCATCTGCCTTTCTTCATTTGGCAAACTCCTAATGAATCTCAGGCCCCAGCTAAAATATCATTTCTTTTGTGAAGTCTTTTTTGAATTTCTCAGGGAGGGGTAACACTCTATACAGGGTCCTCATAAGAATTTTTAAAGCCTCTACAGTAGCATCCATTACACTCTCTTTTAATTATTCTCTTTCTCTAAAGGAGAAGGATCTAAAGTATCTAGACATAGTATAGTGCACGACACATAGTAGATGCTGACTTCGGCTTCTAATTCTATGCCTATGGGCTACCTACAGTTGTGTTCTATACCTATGAGTAGCAGTTGTTACTTCATTTTATATCTAAGGAACCTATTGTTTACTAAAATCATCTCTCTTTCTGTACAATTAGGACTTCATATCTTCCCCCACTTTAATAGTGAGCCACACAATCCCAGACACGGTGCTAGTCATGGGCAATCACAAGGTGAACAACTTACAGCCCATTTTCTCAAGGATCTCATAATCTCATATATAGATAATGATGATTTACCTACTCTGTACCACTTCTGAGTATTAGAGCTTGGATCCAACAGACATTTATTTGGAGATAGAGATAAACAATGCAGAAAAAAATAATTAGGCATATTGTTTTCATTGGGCAAAAATAATATTTTTTATTAAAGAAGGTTTTTACTAAAGAAGGTTTACTTGAAGGTTAACATGATATTATTGCAAATAAAGACAAAGCAATCTGTTTCCTTTTCAAAAATTCTGATACTGACAGAGTGCAGAGGTTCGCCTGTATTCAGCCGTCTCCCAATGATGCTTACTCAGTGCCAAACTTCCCGTTTAAAGTTCTCATCCTAATTCAACAAAGCCTGAAGATAAAAAAGGCATAGGAATAGTGAAAAAGCTTCAAACTATAAAATTAAAAATTGCGCTTGCCTGTTAATCACTGGTTAAAGGAAAGTGGACACAGGGCTTCCAAAGCGTGCGGGGGCGCATTCACTGCATGTATATTGGCATTTACACACCCCCACCCCACACCCCCACACACACTTTTTCAGAAAGGCATTTTCAGTTCACTGTCTTCTCTAGAAACTCAGAGAAAACAGCAAAAGCAATACAAAATTGGGATAAAATTTATTTTACGATAAAGTAATTACGAGTTCCAATTAAAACCACAATGCCTACTGAGTGCGTACTGTGAACTAAAAATCAGTCTAAATGCTTTCTGCTAATTAATTGAGAACACATACACAGCTCCCTAAAAGAAGTGTCGCAGCCCTGATAGACCCATCCAATGATCCTTTGATTAAGACAAGATCCCTCATCAGATCCCTGTTCCACTCAGATTCTTCTATCTTGGAATAGAAGATGAATAAAAAGAAGAGGTTTCTTGTTGTTGTTGTTGTTTGTTCATTTGCTTTTTGTCTCTGACTTAGTGTCTTTGTTGAAAAAGACTTTTGGAAGTAAAATGCTGAGAAGGAAGAGGAAGCAACAAACTTCAGATCTTAATAAGGAAAATCTGCAACCATATGAATTATAAGTGGCAAAATCTTATTCATTCTTAGTTTGTTATAAAGCATGGCTACCATATTCTGCCATACTTCATCTTCAGTCATACCTGCATGGACATTTTGCTAATCTGAAAGGCATTCTGTGCGCCAGACATTCAGGAGGCCTAAGTTTTGACACTAATTAGATATACTTACCTGTGTCACTTGAGTCTTTAATTTTCTCTAAGTTTATTAATTATATTCTTCAGTTTCCAGAAGGGCAGGCAACATACTGCTGGGCTTGTTCTTTTTAATTTCAATCTGCAAGAATTCATTATGGTCATAATGTGTATGTTATTTGTGGGTAATGAAAAAGTAAATATACAAGCATTTATATTTTCATTATGCCTTCTGCAAAAATTTAAGTGTATAAAAGGTTTCAGTCAGTGTTAATGATTGAAACACAAAGATCTATCAATTATTATTATCATCATATCACAAAATTCATGATGCTTTTATGTGCTTGGAACTACGTGTATTTTATTGTGTCATCCTTGCAAGAACTCTGTAAGGTTATTAATATCCTTACTTATGCAGAAGGGGATTGAGACTTTGAAAAGTTAAATATCTTGGCCAAGTTCCTAATAACTAATAAGTGACAGAGTAGCTAATAAGTGACAGAGTCAGAGTTTGAATCCAGATATACCTAAGCTTAAGGCTCACATTTTTAATAATTACAGATTTTCTTCTACCCTGAGTGATGAAGTTTCTTTGAAGACAGATACGTAGGCACTTGTATCTAGTCCTGAGCAATGCTATAAATGTTCTAATAGAGATCAGAAAGGAAGTAATAATTGCTATCTAGCTAAGAGGAGAATAATGGACCTGGTTTTTGAAGAATGAGTAGATTTTCAGGCAGGGAAGCAAAAAAAAAATTATGTAGGCAAAGGCAAAGAAATGTAGAGAATGGTTAGACTTTGAGAATATAAATTGTGGATAGAGAATTGCTAAGGCCTTTGAATGGTGGAAGTGAAAGCTGAGGTTTGAAAAAGAGATTCGAACTACATTATAAAGATTCGTGAACACTATACACAGAAATCAGGATTTCACATTTTCCTGAACTAACTATCAAACTTAATGGAAGCTTTAGTAAATATCAATAGCAGGTTTAGTAAATATCAAAAGCAGTTTCTGTAGTCCTTTTTGCTTACAACTTTTCTACTACCATCACATCAGCCAACTTACTTAATATTGCCAAGATATGATTCCTATGTTCTAATTCATCTGTAACCTACTTAAAAACTGACACATATATAACATTATCAAATGAAACATGGTCTCATATGATGGGGATCTGTGAATAGTACAGAAAATATATAAGAGCTGCCTAATTCATATGTAGGAGTGACACTTGGAAGGAAATAGGTCATGGAAATATGCATAGTGGTGAAGAGCATGAGCACTAGAGTTGGGTCTAAGTACTAATAAACCTAATAACCTCAAACTTTGTGTGATCTTGAATAAATGATTTACCTTTTAGTTTATTCTTTAGTAGTGACAGTGATGAAAGTATAATGAATGATCCATAAATATTGATTAGCCAAAGATTCTGAGAGGGTAGAAATTGATGATAGTCATTCAGGAAAGATAAAGGAAGAACAGGAAATAAGACACAGGTATGGATATGTCCCATGCTAGGAGTAACTAGAATGAGTATAGAAGTTGAGAAATCCAGATAAATTTGATTGGATATGCCAGAATCATATTTGAGGCAGAATGGTACAATGGAAAAAACACTGGATTCCCCACTAGGCCACTTTGACAGTCTTCTGTATTGAGCACTTAACCACCCTTCTGAAACTATTTTTTAAATCCATAAAACATATTTAATTATTCAGAAGCACATAGGAGAATGTATAGCATGAAAAATTCAATATGTATTACTAGGACGTCCATCTTTCACTGAGCTATATGGCAATTTTATTTATATCTATGACTCACACATGTACAACCCAATACTGTATTGGAAGACTCACCCGGTTCTAACATTTAAGCATTGAGGTAATATCCTCCCACTTAATTTGTGACAAAGAGCTCTTTCCTACAAAATAGGTTCATAAATGTTATAATTGAATATAAAAGCATACTACCAAATAAACAGATTTAGGGTAAAGAAAGCAGTAAACTTTCTGTTAACCCCTCTTAGATCTAAAATACCCAGAGCCACAGTGTATACATTATATTAAAGAATTTTTAAAATCTTAGGGGAAATAAGCTTTCTTAGCTTTGTTTAATTCAGACCTTCCCACACTTATTTGACCACTGAACCATTTTTATCGTGAAATATTTATTAATAGTCAGTGGAACTATGACACCTAGGGTTCTACTTTGTTTAATAATACAGGTTAGGGCTGTAGGAAACTGAAGACTTGACTAGGGCTGGAGGATCATTTTCCACATGGCTGTTGGAAGGAGGTCTCAGTTTTTCATCACATGGACCTCTCCACAAGGTTGCCTAAATGTCCTCATGACCTGACGACTGGCTTTTTCCATGGTAAGTGATCCCAAAGAGATAGAAAGGCAAAAGCCACAATGTTTTTTGTGACTTAGTCTCAAAAATTACCCAGATGGTCACTTCTGGCATATTCCATTTGTTTCAAGTGACTCATTAAGTCCAGCGCACATTCCAGGGGAGAGATATTAAGCTCCATCTCTTAAAGGAAAGAATGTCAGAGAAGTCATGAACAGATTTTAAAGCCACTCTTTATTGGCCTTTTGAGAGTAGAGAGGAAAGCTCAGCAACTTGCTTACTTGATATATCAGTCTGTTCTTACACTGCTAATGAAGACATACCCAAGACTGGGTAATTTATACAGAAAAAGAGGTTAAAGGACTTGTGGTCTCACATGACTAGGGAAGCCTCACAATCATTGTGGAAGGCAAAAGAGGAGAAATGCACATCTTACATGGAGGCAGGCAAGAGAGAGCATGTTCAGGGGAACTCACTTTTATAAAACCATCAGATGTTGTGAGACCTATTCGTTATAATGGGAACAGCACAGAAAAAACCTGCCCTAATGATTCAATTACCTCCCAATGGGTCCTTCCCATGACACATGGGGATTATTACAATTCAAGTTGGGATTTGGGTGGGGACACAGAGCCAAAACATATCATTCTGCTCCTGGCCCCTTCCAAATCTCATGTCCTCACATTTCAAAACCAATCATGCCTTCCCAATAATCTCCCAAAATCTTAACTCATTCCTGCATTTACTCAAAAGTCCAAGTCCCAGGTCTAATCTTAGACAAGGCAAGTCCCTTCTGCCTATGAGCCTGTAAAATCAAAAGCAAGTTAGTTATTTCCCAGATACAATGGAGGCACAGGCATTGGGTAACTATGCCCATTTCAAATGGGAGAAATTGACCACAATGAAGGGGCTACAGGCCTCATGCAAGTCTGAAATCCAGCAGGGCAGTCAAATCTTAAAGCTCCAGTATAATCTCCTTTGACATCATGTCTCATATCCAGGTCACATTGATGCCAGAGGTGCATTCCCATGGCCTTGGGAAACTCCACTCCTGTGGCTTTGTGGGGCTCACCCTCCCTCCTGGCTGCTTTCATGGGCTGGTATTGAGTGTCTATGGTTTTTCCAGGTGCACAGTGCGAGCTGTCAATGGATCTACTATTCTGGGATCTGGAGGATGGTTGCCCTTTTCTCACAACTCCACTACACAGTGCCCCACTGGGGACTCTGTGTGGGGGCTCCGACACCACATATTCCTTCTGCTTTACCCTAGCAGAAGTTCTCCACAAGAGCCCCACCTCTGCAGAAAACTTCTGTCTGGACATCCAAGTGTTTCCATACATTCTCTGAAACTTGGTTGGAGGTTCCCGAACATCAATTCTTGACTTCTGTGCACCCGCACACCCAATACCATGTGGAACCTGCCAAGGCTTGGGGCTTGCATTGTCAGAAGCAATGGCCTGAGCTGTATGTTGGCCCCTTTTAGCTAGAGCTGGAGCAGCTGACACAGGATACTAAGTCCCAAGACTGCACACAGCAGAGATCCTTGGGCCTGGCCCAGGAAACCATTTTTTCCTCCTAGGTCTCTGAGCCTATGATTGGAGGGATTCCTGTGAAGATCACTGACATGCCCTGGAGACATTTTCCCCATTGTCTTGGGGATTAGCATTTGGCTCCCCATTACTTATGCAAATTTCTGATGCCAACTTGAATTTCTCCCCAGAAAATCAGCTTTTCCTTTCTACTACATTGTCACTCTGCAAATTTTTCAAAATTTTATGTTCTGCTCCCTTTTGAACACTTTGCTGCTTAGAAATTTCTTCCCCCAGATACCCTAAATCATCTCTCCCAAGTTCAAAGTTTCACAGATCGCTAAGGCAGGGGCAAAATGCCACCAGTCTATTTACATAGCAAGAGTGATCTTTACTCCAGTTCCCAACAAGTTCCTTATCTCTAACTGAGACCACCTCAGCCTGGACTTTACTGTCCATATCACTATCAGCATTTTGGTTAAAGCCATTCAACATGTCTCTAGGAAGTTTCAAACTTTCCCTCACCTTTCTCTCTTCTGAGTCCTCCAAGTCTCTAGGAAGTTCCAGACTTTCCCACATCTTCCTGTCTTTTGAGCCCTCCAAGTCTCTAGGAAGTTCCAAACTTTTCCACATTTTCCTATCTTCTGAGCCCTCCAAACTGTCCCAACCTCTGTCTGTTACCCAGTTCCAGTTGCTTCCACATTTTCGGATATCTTTACAGCAGCACCCCACTACCCAGTACCAATTTACTGTATTAGACTTTTCTTACACTGCTAATAAAGACATACTTGAGACTGGGTAATTTTTAAAGAAAAAGAGATTTAATGGACTCGCAGTTCTGCATGGATGAGGAAGCCTCACAATCACAGCAAAAGGTGAAAAAGGAGAAAGGCACATCTTACAGGGTGGCAGGCAAGAGAGAGCATGTGCAGGGGATCTCCCCTTTATAAACCATCAGATATCATGAGACTTATTCCATATCATGAGACTTATTCCATATCATGAGAACATCACAGGAAAAACTTGCCCCCATAATTCAGTTACCTCCCATGGGGTCCCTCCTACAACACATGGGGATTATTACAATTCAAGGTGAGATGTGGGTGGTGATACAGAGCCAAGCCATATCATTCAGTTATCTCCTTGTTTCCCTTGCATCTTTAATGTTTCACTGTAGAAATCCCAGGTCTTCCTCAAAATGGTGTTTAAAACCATTTTTTGTCTAGATAATGATTAATTTAGAAAACATTCCAAGTAAATATTATATGCATCAACTATCTGCACATAGTAATTATTTTGTGAATTCTGGTTAAGTTTCACTGAGAAAGACTTCTTTCATTTAACTACTCTAGGAAATATAATGTGAGAGACCTAGTTATGTTTAGTAATAATTGTACTAGCCATGAGTAATTAGAATTCTGAGACAATTGAGAAATGTAGAAAGTGTGATTTAGGAATGGCTCCATATGTTAAACCTTGAAACCACAAAACATTCCCTGGGCAAGATTAGGCTCTCATATTTTTAGATAACATTGCATTGATAACAACTTGATTTTTATTTTAACAGGAATATTAGCTATTTCTATGTTTCTTTTAAAAATGTAAGTAAAATGGGACTTTTAATACAAGAAACATGACAGAGTCAGACATTCTGGATTTTGGTATCTATCGTGTGAACTTGGGAAAATTATACCACCCTCATTAGCCTGGTAATTTTCTGTAAAAACAAAATAAATATTTTGCTAAATTAGATGGTCTAAATGCCATCTGTTAAAAAATTCTTTGGTCCTACTATTCCTACTTATTTTTAAATGAATTCCTGGCAAAATCTTAATACTACAAGCTGTTCTGATTTCAAAGGTGACAAATAAAAGATACATGTTTTAAGTGAATAAAAATACATGAGCTAATACTCAGGAAAGGGTATTTTTTAATTGCTTGTTACCTGTAAAAGATATAATCCAAGTGGTAAACGTGATTCTGTGGAAAACACATATATATTTGTAACATTCATAAAAACCTCTATGTTTATACAAGGTCCACAGAAATATTGTTCCCCTTAAAATAAACTATCTGAATAATTGAAATGGCTTAATCCAAATAATCAAGCATGCAAGCAAGCTACTACAAGACAGGTGAGTGATGTTTGTTTATTTAAATAAGAAAAAGAGAAACATATTACGTCACCAGGGATTAAAATAATGCATTGCAGGCAATTGTATCTCATAATTCATAACACAATAAAACAAAAAAAGGTGGAATTTAGTGGTGGTTCAATACTAAGGAATTAGGACTGTTTCAGGTCTGTTCCATTATTGATCTGCTCAATGAAGTCCCATCAGCTGGGATGAAGGGCCTAGAAAATGGGGCTTTTAACACAAGCAAATATATAATGTCCACTGTGCTCAGGCATCATGACCAAGTGGCTGCAGTCAGCTAGTAAGACTTGCAACATAAGTAGTCTCTGATGGAAACCCATGCTGTATTTTGTCCACATGGGAGAATTTTTTTAAAAACTAGGAGCTTTAAAGAGAGAAGGTGCTGAAGTATGAGCCAGTGTCACCATTACTTCCCATTGTGGGGTGAGCAAGTATTATGGGTGAAGCAACCTTCTCATCACCAAGTGGACCCTATTGAACCTTTTTGCTGTGTGTGGTTTCTTTACCTACGCACCTAAATAAGTTCTATTTTTAGGTTTGATAGATCCTCAACTTCTTGTTTTGGGTTCACTGCTTTTATAAAATTTACCCTAAAGTGTCTGACCACCTAAAGACAAATAGAACTATATGAGAATCATGTAGGTGCCTCTCTGTCTTATTTTTAGCAAACATATATTTAGCATATAAATTCTGCCAAGCCTAATGCTGAAATCTTCATGTACACTGTATTAGTCTGTTCTTTCATTGCTATAAAGAAATATCTGAGACTGAGTAATTTATAAAGAATAGCGGTTTCATTGGCTCATCGTTCCACAAGATGTACAGGAAGCATGATGCTGGCCATTGGCCACTGGGGAAGGCTGGGGAATCTTACAGTCATGGCAAAAGACAAAGGGGAAGTGGCTCCTCTTACATAACCAGATCATGAGTAAGAGAAAGAGGGGAGGTGCCATACACTTTTAAACAACCAGGTGTCACAAGAACTCACTATCATGAAAACAGCACCATAGGGGGATGGTGTTAAACCATGAGCAACTACCCTCATGATCCAATCACTTCCCCCACCTCCAACATTAAGGATTACACTTCAAAATAAGATTTGGTTTGGGACACAGATCCAAAACATATCATTTTGCCCCTGGTCCCTCCCAAATCTCATGTCCTTCTCACATTGCAGAATACAATCATGCCTTCCCAACATTCCCCCAAAGTGTTGACTCATTTCAGCATTAACTCAAAAGTCCACAGTCTGAAATCTTATCTGAGACAAGGCTAGGCCCTCCTGCCTATGAGCCTGTAAAATGAAAAACAAGTTAGTTATTGACAGGGTACAATGAGGCTATAGACATTTGTAAACACAACTCTGTCAAAAGGGAGAAATTGAATAAAAGAAAGTGGTTACAGGCCCCATGCAACTCCAAAACCCAGAAGGGCAATCATTAAATCTGAAGGCTCCAAAATAATCTTCTTTTATTCCATGTACCACATCCAAGGAACACTGGTGCAAAGGGTGGGCTCCCAAAGCTTTGGGCAGCTCCGCTTCTGTGACTCAGCCTCCACAGTCACTCTAATGAACTGTTGTTGAGTGCCTATGGCCCTTTCAGGTGCAAGGGTGCAAGCTGCAAGTGGATCTACCATTCTAGGGTCTACAGGATGATGGCTCTCTTTTCACAGCTGCACCAGGCAGTGACCCAGTGGGAACTCTGTATGGGAGCTCCAACTCCATATTTCCCCTCCTCACTGACCTAGTAGAGCTTCTCCATAAGGGCTCTGTCCCTGAAGCAGACTTCTGCCTGGACATCTAGGCTTTTCATACATCCTCTGAAATCTAGGCAGAGACACCTAATCCTCAATTCTTGCATTCTGTGCACCTGCAAGATTAACACCACATGGAAACTGCCAAGGCTTATGGCTTGCACCCTCTGAAGCAGCTACCTGAGCTGTTCCTGGGTCCCTTTGAGCCACAACTGGCACAGGAGTGGCTGGGATGCAGGGAGCTGTGTCCCAAGGCTGTGCAGGGCAACGGGGCCCTGGGGGCCTGGCCCATGAAACCATTCTTCTCTCCAAGGCCTCTGGGCCTATAATGGGAGGGGCTGCCCCAAAGGTCTCTGAAATACCTTGAAGGCCTTTTGTCCATTATGTTGGAAGCCACTAGCACTTGCCTTCCTTTTAGTTATGTAAATTTCTTTTTTTATGATTGTTGCACAACTGTTTATTTATGTAAAAATTTATAAACAAATGTATCTACTCAATGTGGTTATCCCATTTCATATCCATACAGCAATTTTGTTTCCTCTAGTTACAGTGAACTCAAAGACAGTCACACATTGCCCTGTTGTCTAACATGCGAATGATTGGGATTGAAGTTTCTTCAAAAAGGGGAGTTCACCAAGAAATCATCATGAAACCTGACTTTCATGGAACCAAGACAAAAGAAAGGGATCAGAAAAAAAGACAAAGAGGGGAAAAAACCTATGTATGAAGGAAGATTTAAAAACATAAAAGTTCTCAACTGTGTCGTCATAATCCGGAAACACCCCAACCCATTCCAAAGGTCTTTGCACATAGTGAGTTAAGGTTAGGGAGATGGAGAGGCTATAAAGATTGTTTTTCTTTGAAGGACATAAAAAAAACTACTCTCTCAAAAATAAGCATATTATTGGCATTTGTTTTCCTTGAATCTTTTTTGTTATTTATTTATTTTTCAAAAAGTTATTGGGGTACAAGTGGTTTTTGGTTACATGAGTAAGTTCTTTAGTGCTGACTTGTGAGATATTGGTGCACCCATCACCCGAGCAGTATATACTGCACCATATTTATAGTCTTTTATCCCTCGCACCCCTCCCACTCTTCCTCCAAAGTCCCCATTGTGTCATTCTTATGCCTTTATGTCCTCATAGCTTAGATTCCACAAATCATTGAGAACATACAATGTTTGGTTTTCCATTCCTGAGACACTTCACTTAGAATAATAGTCTCCAATCTCATCCAGATCACTGCAAATGCCATTAATCCATTCCTTTTTATGGCTGCGTAGTATTCTATCGCATATATATACCACAGTTTCTTTATCCACTTTTTGATTGATGGGCATTTGGGTTGGTTCCACAATTTTGCAATTGTGAATTGTGCTCCTATAAACATGCATAAGCAAGTATCTTTTTTGAATAATGATTTCTTTTCCTCTGGGTAGATGCATAGTAGTGGAATTGCTGGTTCAAATGGTAGTAATACTTTTAGTTATTTAAGCAATCTCCATGTTGTTTTCCATAGTGACTGTACTAGTTTGCATTCCCACCAGCAGAGTAGAAATGTTCCCTGTTCACTGCGTCCATGCCATCATCTACTGTTTATTTATTATTTCTTATGGCCATTCTTGCAGGAGTCAGGTGGTATTGCAGCATGGTTTTGATTTGCATTTCCCTGATCACTAGCGATGCTGAGCATTTTTTCATATGTTTATTGGCCATTTGTGTATCTTCATTTGAGAATTGTCTATTCATGTCCTTAGCCCACTTTTTGATGGGATTGCTTGTTTTTTTTTCTTACTGATTTGTTTGAACTTATTGTAGATTCTGGATATTAGTCCTTTGTGTATAGATTGTGAAGATTTTCTCCCACTTTATGTGTCGCTTGTTTACTCTGCTGACTGTTCCTTTTGCCATGCAAAAGCACTTTAGTTTAATTAGGTCCCAGCTATTTATCTTTGTTTTTATTGAATTTGCTTTCACGTTCTTGGTCATAAAATTTTTGCCTAAGCCAATGTCTACAAGGGTTTTTTCAATGTTATCTTCTAGAATTTTTATAGTTTCAGGTCTTAGGTTTAAGTCTTTAATCCATCTTGCAATGATTTTTGTATAAGGTGAGAGATGAGGATCCAGTTTCATTCTCCTATATGTGGCTAGCCAATTATCCCAACATCATTTGTTGAAAAAGATGTCCTTTCCCCACTTTATGTTTTTGTTTGCTTTGTTGAAGATCAGTTGGCTATAAGTATTTGGGTTTATTTCTGGGTTCTCTATTCTGTTCCATTGGTCTATGTGTCTATTTTTATACCAGTACCATGCAGTTTTTGTGACTACGGCCTTATAATATAGTATGAAATCAGGTCATGTGATGCCTCCAGATTTGTTCTTTTTGCTTAGTCTTATTTTGGCTCTGCGGGCTCTTTTTCAGTTCCATATAAATTTTAGAATTTTTTTTTTCTAATTCTGTTAAGAATGATGGTGGTAATTTGATTGGAATTGCATTGAATTTGGAGATTGCTTTTGGCAGTAAGGTCATTTTCACAATATTGATTCTACCCATCCATGAGCATGGAATGTGTTTCCATTTGTTTGTGCCATCTATGATTTCTTTCAGCAGTGTTTTGTAGTTTTCCTTGTAGAGATCTTTCAACTTCTTAATTAGGTATATTCCTAAGTATTTTATTTATTTATTTATTATTTATTTGCAGCTATTGTAAAAGGAGTTGAGTTCTTGATTTGATTCTCCACTTGGTCGCTGTTGGCGTAGTGAAAAGCTACTAATTTGTGTACATTAATCTTGTATCCAGAGACTGCTGAATTATTTTATCAGCTCTAGGAGCTTTCTGGTGGAGTCCTTAGGTACATTTTCAAGGTAAACGATTATATCGTCAGCAAACAGTGACAGTTTGACTTCTTTTTTACCAATTTGGATGTCTTTTATTTCTTTCTCTTGTCTGATTGCTCTGGCTAGGACTTCCAGTACTATGTTGAGGAGTGGTGAGAGTGGGCATCCTTGTCTTGTTCCAGTTCTCAGAGAGAATGATTTCAACATTTCCCCATTCAGTATTATGCTGGCTGTGAGTTTGTCATAGATGGCTTTTATTGCCTTAAGGTATGTACCTTGTATGCAGATTTTGCTGAGAGTTTTAATTATAATGGGATGTTGGATTTTGTCAAATGCTTTTTCTTTTGGCATCTATTGAGGCGATCATGTGATTTTTGTTTTTAATTCTGTTTATGTTGCATATCACATTTAATGACTTGAATATGTTAAACCATCCCTGCATCCCTAGTATGAAACCCACTTGATCATGGTGGATGATCTTTTGATATGATGTTGGATTCGGTTAGCTAGCATTTTGTTTAGGATTTTAGCATCTATGTTCATCAAGGATATTGGTCTATAGTTTTCTTTTTTGGTTATGTCCTTTACTGGTTTTGGTATTAGGGTGATGCTGGCTTCATGGAATGAATTAGGGAGAGTTCCTTCTTACTCTATCTTGTGGAATAGTGTCAAAAGCATTGGTACCAATTCTTCTTTGAATGTCTGGTAGAATTCTGCTGTGAATCCATCTGGTCCTGGACTTTTTTGTTTTTCTTAGTAATTTTTAAATTACCATTTCAATCTTGCTGCTTGTTATTGGTCTATTCAGGGTATCTAATTCTTCTTGATTTAAGCTAGGAGGGTTGTATTTTTCCATTCTTTGTTGACTTTCTGTCTTGATGATCTGTCTAGTGCTGTCAGTGGAGTACTCAAGTCCCCCATTATTGCTGTGTTGCTGCCTATCTCATTTTTTAGGTCTATTAGTAATTGTTTTATAAATTTGGGAGCTCCAGTGTTAGAGGCATATATGTTTAGGATTGTGATATTTTCCTGTTGGACAAGGCCTTTTACCATTATATAATAGCCCTGCTTGTCTCTTTTAACTGTTGTTGCTTTAAAGTTTGTTATGTCTGATATAAGAATAGCTACCTCTGTTGCTTTTGGTGTCTATTTACATGAAATGCCTTTTTCCACCCCTTTACTTAAGTTTATGTGAGCTTTATGTGTTAGGTGAGTATTCTGAAGACAGCAGATCGTTGGTTGGTGAGTTCTTATCAATTCTGTGGTTCTGTAGCTTTTAAGTGGAGCATTTAGACATTTACATTCAATGTTAGTATTGAAATATGAGGTACTGTTGCATTCACCATGATATTTGTTGCCTGTGTATTTTTGTTTTCTTGGTTTTTTTGGTTTTGCTTTTTAACTTGTATTTTTGTTTTACAGGTCCTGTGTGATTTATGCTTTAAAGAGGTTCTATTTTGTGTTTCCAGGATTTGTTTCTCAAGATTTAGAGCTCCTTTTAACTGTTCTTGTAGTGGTGGCTTCGTAGTCGCGAATTCTCTCAGCTTTTGTTTGTCTGAAAAAGATTGTGTCTTTCCTTCATATATGATGCTTAGTTTTGCTGAATACAAAATTCTTGGCTGATAATTGTTTTGCATCAGGAGGCTGAAGATAGGACCCCAATCCCTTCTAGCTTGTAGGGTTTCTTCTGATAAATCTGCTGTTAACATGATAGGTTTTCTTTTATAAGTTACGTTGTGTTTTTGTCTCACAGCTCTTAGGATTATTTCCTTCATCTTAACTTTGGATAACCTGATGACAATGTGCCTAGGTGAAGATATTTTTGTGATAAATTTCCTGGGTGTTCTTTGTGCTTCTTGTATGTGGATGTCTAGGTCTCTAGCAAGGCTGGGGGAGTTTTTCTTGATTATTTCCACAAATATGTTTTCCAGGCTTTTAGAATAATCTTCATCCTCAGGAACACTGATTATTGTTAGGTTTGCTCGTTTAACATTATCCCAGACTTCTCAGAGGTTTTGTTCATATTTTCTTATTCTTTTTTCTTTGTCTTTGTTGGATTGGGTTGATACAAAAACCTTGTCTTCAAGCTCTGAGTTTCTTTCTTCTACTTGTTCAATTTTATTGCTGAGACTTTCCAGAGCATTTCACATTTCTAAAAGTGTATCCAAAGTTTCCTAAATTTCTTATTGTTTTTACTTTAAGCTATTTATTTCCTTGATTTTTTCTCCCTTCTTTTTGTATCATTTTTTGGATTTCCTTACATTGGGCTTCCCCTTTCTCTGGTCCCTCCATTTCTGATTAGCTTAATAATTAACCTCCTGAATTCTTTCTCAGGTAAATTAGGGATTTCTTCTTGGTTTGGATCCATTTTTGGTGAACTTGTGTGGTTTTCAGGGGTTACTGAAGAGCCTTCTTTTGCTATATTATTGGGGTTGGTTTTCTGGTTCCTTCTCATTTGGGTAGCCTCTATCAGAGAGAAGGTCTAGGGCTGAAGGCTGCTTTTCAGATTCTTTTGTCCCATGGGGTGTTCCTTTGATGTACTACTCTCCCCCTTTTCCTATGGATGTGGCTTCCTGTGAACCAAACTGCAGTGATTGTTGTCCCTCTTCTGGATCTAGCCAACCAGCAAACCTACCTGGTTCTGGGCTGGTACTGGTGGTTGTCTGCATAGATTCCTGCGATGTGAACCATCTATTGGTCTCTCAGCCTTGGTTATAAGCGTCTGTTCCAGTGTAGGTGGTGGTGGGGTTAAATGGACTCTGTGAGAGTTCTTAGCTGTGGTGGCCCCAGGGTCCTGGCCCATGAAACCATTCTTCTCTCCAAGGCCTCTGGGCCTGTGATGGGAGAGGCTGCCCCAGAGGTCTCTGAAATGCACTGAAGCCCTTTTGCCCATTGTGTTGGAAGCTATCAGCACTTGTCTTCCTTTTAGTTATTTGAATATCTGCATTGCGCTTCAATTGGTACCCAGAAATGGGTTTTTCTTTTCTACTGCATTGCCAGGCTGCAAATTTTCCAAACTTTTATGGTCTACTTCTCTTTTAAATATAAGCAGTATCAGGTCATTTCTTTGCTCACACATATGAGCATAGGTTTTACAAGCAGCCAGGCCATTCTTGAGCACTTTGCTTCTTAGAAATTTCTTCCAGTAGATACTCTAAATTATCATTCTCAAGTTCAAAATTCCACAGATTCCCTAGAACAGAGGCACAATGCAGCCAGCCTCCTTGCTAAAACATAACAAACGTGACCTTTGCTCCAGTTCCCAATAAGTTCTTCATCTCCATCTGAGACCATATTAGCATGGCCATCTTTGTCCATGTCACTATCACATTGGTCACAACTGTTCAACAATTCTCTCAGAAGTTCCAAATTTTCTCTCATCTTCTTATCTTCTGAGCCCTCTATACTCTTCTAATCTCCACCTTTACCCAGTTCCAAAGTTGCCTTCACATTTTCAGGTATCTTTATAGAAATGCCCTACTCCTTGGTACCAATTTTCTGTATTAATCCATTCTCACATTGCTGTAAAGAAATATCTGAGACTTGGTTTTATTTAATATTGGTTTATTTAATATAAAATATTTTTTAAAAGGCTTAATTGGTTCATGGTTCTGCAGGCTATATGCGATGCTGCCTATCTACCTGACTACTTGGGAGGCCTCAGGAAAGTTACAGTTGTTGTGAAATGCAAACAGGAAGCAGGCTTATCTTACATGGCCAGAGCACAAACAAGAGAGAGAGAGATGGGGAGGTGCCATATATTTTTAAACAACTAGATCTCAAAAGAACTCACTATTGTAATGACAGAACCAAGGGGGATGGTGTTAAACCATAAGAAATCACCCCCATCATCCAATCACCACCCACTAGGCCCCATCTCCAGCATTGGGGAATACATTTCAACATGAGATCTAGTTGGGGACATGGATCCAAACCATGTCATACATTAACTCAATTTATCCTTACACTAACCCACTGTGGTAGGTCATGTAGGTCAGGTGCTATTTATGAATGAGGACATCAAAAATTTAAGGAGTTAGCAATTTGCCCAAGGTCACACTGCCACTAAGTGTTAGAACCTGGCCTAAAGACATCTGGCTATAGCCGTGCTCTACACTGTTGCACTTCTGGTCTTTCTTATTCCAAGATCCCTGTGGGTGTATTTTCAACAAGACATAAGGTTTGGGACATTTAAAAAATGAATTGTAGCTTCTTTAAAAAGAAAATGTGTACAAACCATTTCCAGAAGAACAAACAATTACCATATTGATATATGCACATGTACATATTCACTTTCACACAACACTGTTCACGTGCTATCAGTGTAATTGCAGAACACAGAGGCGAGTCTCCTGGGTCACATCTGGAACAATGTTCCTTCCATCTGGAAATATGCTAATTATTGATCACTTAGTAGTAAGGTAGTGGTATGGTTTGGCTCTGTGTCCCCACTCGAATCTCACCTTGAATTGTAATAATCCCCATGTGTCAAGGGTGGGATCAGGTGAAGATAATTGAATCATGGAGGCAGTTTCCCCCATGCTGTTCTCCTGATAGTAAGTGAGTTATCCTGGATCTGATGGTTTTATAATGGGCTTCCCTATTTGCTTGGCACTCATTCTCTCTCCTGCTACCATGTGAAGAGGGGCCTTCTGCCACGATTCTAAGTTTCCTGAGGCCTTGCCAGCCATGTGGATCTGTGAGTCAATTAAACCTCTTTTCTTTAAAAATTCCCAGGTCTCGTGTATTTTTTCATAGCAGTGTGAGAATGAACTAATACAGGCAGGCTGCACAATTACTTTTATATAATTTCCAATACTGTTTTAAATGATATACAAAATGTCTCTATTGTCTATACCACCCTGAGTAATTAACATAAGAGCATCCATAAGAATAGGAGAAAGACTGGAAACTAGCAGATCTTTTAAGAGCAAATGTTTCCCATCAGATAAACTAGTTTTCCATAGATATCATGGAATTTTTTTTAGTATTCAAAAAATTTAGGCTTTAGAGTAGGTATATAAAATTCATACAATAAGTCCAAGGGTCTTATATAAAATATTCTTATACATTATTATATATTATTATATAATATATAATAATATATAATTAATATATATTATTATATAATATATAATAATATATAATTAATATATATTATTATACAATAAGTACTATATGCAAAAATATAGGTGATGAAAACATATGATTTTTACAGCTATGCAGTTGAATACCAGGAGTGTGTGTAATTTTTCATAGATACATAAAATTCACAAAATGTTTCAAACTATCTACTATTAATTTTCCAAGAAATTTCATTTTTTATAACATAGAATGCCTACTTTATTCTTCTTCAGACCAAGTCACAACCCAGTCTAATATGTCTCCTCTCAATCCTTTATACGCCTGCATTTTTCTTTAAGTAATTCAAGTACTGTATAAATACTGCACTTGTGTGGCTCTTACTAAAGGCTTCCCTGCAGTCCTTTTCTCGAGCCTTCTCTTATTCCTCTGATGGTAATCATGCCAATAAAGAATGACATCTGTGCCTTATTTCATTTTGAGCCATTTCAGGTAGGCCATGTGTTGTACCTTGACCTAACATCTCATTTCTGTTCCCACTATTGTGGCCAATTAAATGAGGGCCTTATAAGGAGCCAGTTGACTGATCTGGTTATGTGTGCCGTCTATCACACCAGAGCTTAAGGGCCACAAATCTCTGTTATTACCAAGCTGTTGCTGCCAGAAGCATGCTGATTCTTGACAAAAAGATTAGGATCAATCAAATCTCCCCCAGGCTTATCAGTGGGACTTTTAGCCACACCTTCTACCTCAAACTTTCCCCTTCACCTCCTTCCAAACACCTACGCAGCAGCAAGCTAACAAGGTGTCTGCCAAACCATATGTTCATAATTAGTTAACTTCTTGCCTGTCGCTAGAGGCACCACTGATTCAGCAACAGCCCTCAAGGGTGTTGGACATCCAATAAGACACCACCAACCAGCACAGCCCCTCCCCTCAGCGATCAGAGAAGAGGCATACTTAATTCCAGCTGTGGCATTGTTAAATGAATTAACTTTATCCTCAATTTAAAAAGCCAGCATGAAATCAAAGGAGGCGCAAGTAAAGAAAAATAGAGAAAATGAAAAAAAAAAAAAAAAAAAGCTTGTAGGTTAACTCAACAAGTCTGCTGAATGAAACTCAACTGGTTGGCCTCATTTAGCCAATCACTGCAAGGCAGGTTTCTGGCACCGTTGTTACTTCTGGCATAATTCTTCCTTTTATTTCCCAGTTCTGTGGTTAAGGTCTCTTGTTACACACAGAGGGGATTGATGATATAATTGTTTATGAGCCAGCAGAACACATTTTTAGGTAGTAGTGAGGTTACTGGGCAATGAGAAATTAATGTTAGAAACAGCAGTATACGATGCTGGCTAAGAAATCTCATCTCAAGGTAAGAGTGTTACATATAAAATTAAATTTAAAATCTGATCTTTCAGCCTATACATATTTGAGTGTATGGTTTTCTTTAGAGAAAGAGTTGGCAAACAATGTTTTTCAAAATGTTCTAGGGCAGTGAGAACTCTAAAATATTTTTTGTTCCCATTGTCTAAGAAAGAAATATCTCATATCTTGAAAAGGTATGAATTTTTATTAACTATGTTAATTTTATTTAAATGAGAGGCACTGATGAATTACTCTACTCTGAACAAAATTATTTATATAGATGCTCCAATACATTCATTCATATAACTATGCTTAAATGAGTAAAACTTAATATTAAAAGCGTATACGATCCTGAATTTCAGTAGACACAATTTGCCAATGCCATTTTTGTTTTGAAGCTTTCAAGAATATGGAAAATAAATCTCTAAACTTCAAAAAAAGAATATATTTTCTGTAAGTTAAATATTATAAACTGTTCTTTTTTAAATTTTCAATTTTTAGTAGGTATATATCTATATGGGGTACATGAAATACTTTGGCACAGGAATGCCATGAGTAATAATCATATCATGGTAAATGGGATATCTATCCCCTCAACCACTTATGCTTTCTGTTACAAACAATTATGATCTTTTAGTTATTTTTTTAAGTATAATTAAATTATTATTAACTGTAGTTACTATTGTGCTACCAAATACTGGGTCTTATTCATTTTTCCTAACTACTTGTTTTAAATTAATATAAATTAATCTAATTATTAATTTTGGATTTGAATACTAATTAAGCAAAAATTAAGTCTACATTCTTAATATAGACTTTTAAAACAACAACTTCTTTAATAATTAAGAATAACAAAATGCAATTGTGTTAAAAAAATGTTTTTATGCATAACACTCATGAGACCAAAACTGTGAACTTAACATGCAAGAAAAAAATTTTAAATTAAAAATAAGATTAAAGAATTTTTGTCAGAAATTATTATAAATGAGAAACCAGCTTATTATTTTAAACAATGCTAATATTATAATATTGTGATTTTGTTGCTATGGTTGGTGTTTACACTCAGATGAAATGGTCTTGTGAAGTAATCTAAGAATTTTGGAAAATGCAAAGAACAGGAACAGAACAACTCAAGATTTAAATACCCACCAAGCATAGGTCACTGTTCCTTACAAGTTAAGTATCAGCTTAAGATCTGATTTCATTGTCAATCACATAATCTCTTCTATTATATTAAATAACCATTGAGGTTGGCAAGGGACTCAGGGATCTTGAGTAACAGACATTGTCATGATGATATGTGGCTTAAAGTGAATTAAGAAACAACTGATGTGGCTTGGGACCAGGGAATTAGAAAACAGAAGCCAAAGGGAAAATGCAGAAACCACAGATTGGTACAAGTTACAGGCAATTTTCTTAATAACTCCCTTTACTATGTCAGACAAGCTATGTCAAGCGTCTTCTGTATCCTCTACGGGGAAAAAAAAAAAAAAAAAGTTAACCAGAGCCAAATGCTTGCTTTCAAAGATAACTTGCCATCCTGAAAATATAATTTTTACAATTCAATAACACCTTTTTGAAAAATAAAATAATCTGGCAAAAATGCCCATGCATTAACAAACCATTTTTTCAGTTTAATCTCTTTATATGTTCAACTTTGATGTATTTTAAATAAACAAAGCAAAATTCAACTAAAAATACAATCTGGATTCCATAGCCAAGGGTTTTATTTACAATTTCCTAGTAGGAAGTCTTTATTTTAGCTTTCAATGTGTTGAACTTATAAGGAAATTTAACGTATACATGAGTATTATATTTATGGAATGTGAAGATATACAGAATGGAAATGGAAAATAATGTTAATTCGTATTGACTTTGAGGAATCTTAAAATCATGTAGCCCTGTTGCAACAAGAAATAGTGAACTTCTGAAGAACAGAAGAACAGATCACCTTGGTGCTCTACTATAATGAGCAGGTTGCTTAACAGAAAACTGAGCAGTGTGAGCAGTGCAGCTTGGAGGAAAACAAGAGCCTTATTGAAGATGATGTATTCCAGATTAGTGATAAACACTTGTCTAACAATGTACAAATGAGACTGGATAGAAAGAGACAAATATGAGCTGTATTAAAGATTGAATCTGATGGATACAGCGAATGAAAAAGAAAAAAATTCAATGACATTGCCATATTGACAAGTTTTCGTAACCAAAAAAAAATAAAAAATAAAAATAAAAAAGAAAACAAAAAAGAAAAAAAAATGTGACCATAGAAAAGGTGATGTGAGGTAAAAAAGATTAGAAGTCAGAAAAATGCTGAGTTTGGTGTTAGTCAGATCCAATTAAAGCAGTGATGTGCACAACAGAGCTAAGTATCTGAGAAAACTACAGCTCTGCTGATCAGATGGGGAACTTTTCAATTTGAGAGTTACCAATCAAATGAGGATTACTAGCCATGTGGGAATGGGTGTACTCTTCAAGGCAGTGGATATAAATCAAGAAGAGCAATAGGTCAGGCTCTACATGTTTAACTCCCAGCATAAAGGGGCTGAAGGGGAAGTCATAGAACATAGAAAGAGTGTTAGCAAAGAGTCAGATAACAGAATCTACAAGACAATGAAATTATAGAAAACTAGAAAAGGTAAAAATATCTTGTGGAGTTTGGCAGTCAAGTGTAAAGAAAATGGCTAAAAATCCAAGTAAACTCAATCAAACAGCACAAGCATCCTACAAAATTCATTTCTTAAGCATGGTAATGATGGGAGCCAAACTGCTCAAACAATATGAAGGCAAAAGAAAATAAAGGCAACATTTTCTAAAGTATTATGTAATACTTTGCAAGCGTGCTTATAAGAGATTGGCGAATAATTCTTTTTTATTATGCTGTCCTTGTTTAGATTTTAATATGAGGGTTATAATTGCTTCATACTTTGAATTGGGGTATGGTTTTTTCTTTTTCTTTTATTTTCCATTCTTATTTGTAATGAATTGAGACGATCAGCTTTTTAAAAATTTGATTCAAAATTCACTTATAAAAACACCTGAGCCCAGGATATATTTTAAGGGAGAATTTTGATTATACATTTAGTTTTTTTAAAAGTTATCATAGTATTTTGTATTATTATTTTCTCTAGGGTCATTATGTTATTAATATTTCTAAAAGATTGATCAGTTCTTCTATGTCTCTAAACTTATTTGCATTAATAAATTCCTAACATTTTATAATTTTTAAAAAAACAAATTGGCTGTATCTAATATTATGGCTCCCTTTTTATTGCTAATATTTTAAAATTTTCTCATAGTCAGTGATCTATATGTATGTCTATTTAATTCATTTCTTTAAAAACTAATTAAATAAATTTGTTTATTAACTCTTTTTTCAGTTCTTTATTGCAATTACTCTTATTTTTTGTTGTTGCTTTCCTTTTTCAACTTATTTATTCTGCATTGTCCCAGTTTTGTGGATTAAAAAATTAATTAGTTAATACTTGATTTTTCATTTCTAAGTAATTTTAAAGTGTATAAACCATCTTCTAAATCTTTTTCACAAATTTTGATACAAATTCTTTTATTTTCCATAATTCTAAACATTTTATAATATTGATTATTACTATTATTTGAAGAGAGTCTCGCTCTGTTGCCCAGGCTGGAGTGCAGTGGTGCCACCTCAGCTTACTGCAACCTCCACCTCCCGGGTTCAAGCAATTATCCTGCCTCAGTCTCCTGAGTAGCTGGTACTACAGGCACACGCCGCCATGCCTGGGTAATTTTTTGTATATTAGTAGACACAGGGTTTCACTATGTTGGCCAGGCTGCTCTCGAACTCCTGAGCTCAATCTGCCTGCCTTGGCCTCCCAAAGTGCTAGGATTACAGGTGTCAGCCACCATGCCCAGCCTATTTGTTCTATAACCAATTAATGATTTAGACATATATTTTTAATTTTTAAAGTTGTTCTGGCTTTGGTTTACATTGTTGATTTCTAACTTTATTAAAGAGTCTGTAAATTACCAGAGATTACTTACCAATTCCTGAGTTCAGCAACACTTTAGAATAATGTTTACTGTCTGTATCATAATAGACTATGACAGAAAAGTGATAGGAATTTGGACTATAGTGGTAGGGTGGGGAAGGAAATAATTTGAGACTTGGGAAAGGTTTTTAGGACTGAGACTTCATGACTGATTGACTATAGAAGGTTAACATGAGGAAGGAATTAAGTATGATTTCTGTGATTCTGGCTGTGTGGCAGAATGGGTGGTATCGCCATTACTGGCACAAAGAAGATTGAGAACGATGGCAGAGACTGGGTCAGTTTGGGACAAGTCGTGCCTGTGTTGCCTGTGAGATATTTAGAACAAGGTAACAATAATGCATGGATCTAAAGTCCTTCTCTTAAGATCAAGAAAATAGTTAAGACTAACTATATATATTTTGATGCTATCAAGGCATAAAAAGTCATTAAACCAATGGCAATGGATTGGTTTGCCTGCAAAAAATGTGTAGAATTAGAAAAGTGACAAGATTAAAATCTTGAGCAATTTCAATGGTCCGCTAGAGGAGGAGGAGTTATGGATAGAAAGTGAAGATGAAAAGAGGTGTGTGATATTATGGTAAGATAACAGGATAGAGTATTTTGAGAAAAAGAGAATCAAGAAGAAAATGTCATTAAAAATGAAGTTAAGTAGAATAACTGAAAATTATATTGATACTTAATGTATTACAGGAAGTTGAATTAGAAGTTGATGGGGATTTCTAAATTGGAGTTCCCATTAATATTATTACCAGTAATACTAATTGAGATTTCAATATTTCAGGAAGTTTTATGAATTATACATTCTTCTGTTGATAATATTGAATGAAGCTGTCAGAACATTAAGTATGGTAAAAATTCGAACAACAAACCATCATGTATTAAATGCCTACCGTGCTCCAAGAAGAGCGATAAGCATCGTATAAATTGCCACTCTAAAAAAAATTTCTATCTAAAGCATAAAGTGGTTTAAACAGATAAATGCGTCATTTAATCAGTATGTCAAGACATTTCTTATTTTTTTTGCAACTTATAATTTGTCAAGACTTTTCACATTGTTTTATTCATTTGTCACTGTTGTGGACGAAAAAAATGTCTTACTTCCTCTTCTCTTTATACATCTGCCTTAGCCCATAGAGAAGGACATTTCCGCCTACTCTCCTTTCTTCACTCCCTTGTTGGTTTCTGCCCACAGAAAGAGGAGTTGATCATTTGCCTGTTCTGAACATGAGTCATCTGCTCAGGTTTTGCTGCTAGACAAGGTTTATTTTCCGTAAAAAGCAGGCAAACGCCCTGCTTTATCTTTTACTTTCTGCACTCTCAGGTGCTGCAATTTTTTTTTGTGCTACCTGCTCCTGTGTATAAAGCTCACCTAGTCATCAGCTGTCAGTGTGTACCCTTGCAATATAGCCACTACTTCATTCTCTCAGTTCCATTCATACTACAAGGTAAGATAGAGCAGCCATACATGCTTATGTAATAGTTGAATAAATGGACTTGGGAGTTTGCTCCATAAAAGTAGCCATTTTAACATCAAAGACATCTCACTGAGATATCCAGTCAAGTGCATTCCTTTATCATATTTTACCAGAAAATAATCCCCTGCATTGGGGATTATTAGATAAACACCCAAATTCACACACACACACTCACACACACATACTCATGCACACACACAGACTTTTCTCACTGATGTATTCTTGTGTGTCTGTGGATGCTGCATACGCTCCCTTAACAGGTACATTCAGAGCAGAAGAAATGAATTATATATTATGAATTAAAAAACCCAAGTCCAGAGGTCTTGGTATTTGACCAAGATGAAACTATTAGTAAAAAGCAGATCTAGGATTTAAATACAGATCTTCTCAGTTTATTTTTAGTATTCTTTCACCTGCCCTATAATTTTTCACACAGGCATATAATTAGTTAAATTTGAGTAATCAAAATGTATGTAGCATTTTTCCTTCAATAGAATATTTGCCATATTTGTATTCATTAATAACTCAATCTAAAATATGTTATTTGTTTTACTAACACCAAGTAATATATGAACTATGTGAATTTCATGAAAAAATAGTGCTCCAAATTAGAGAAACAGCATTTTGAGAGTAAGAGTAAGAGCAAGAGAGAGAGGGAGAAGAAATTAAATGCTTAAACATAATTAGCATACCTGAATAGGAAAAGAGATACTACCAATTAAGTCAGTTGGCTTGTCATCTTATGTTCCCATATCAGAACTTTGATAGGTCAGAAAAGACATAGAAAGAGAACAAATAAAGAATAACACTCAGTAAATGGATCAAAACTATACCTATCCCAACCTTGAAATCTTTTAGTCTTAAAAGTCAGCTGAGAGTCTCATGTAAAAGAGGATGAGTTTCCAGTAAAAATCCTTGAGGCTTCTGAATAAAGTGAACACACTGTGAGATAACAAATGGAATATCTAATACTAGAGAATAAAGAGTTAATAAAATAATAGAGAAAACAAGTATTTAAAATGCAGATATAAATATTCTCAAAAATTTAAACATGTTGAAAAACAAGAAGCAAGAATCAATTGGAGACACTGGTTGTCGCAAATACATATGGCTGGAATAAGAAAGAACCTTGGCTGGGCGCGGTGGCTCACGCCTGTAATCCCAGCTCTTTAGGAGGCTGAGGCAAGTGGATCATCTGAGGTCAGGAGTTCAAGAACAAACTGGCCAACATGTTGAAACCCTGTCTCTGCTAAAAAATACAAAAATTAGCTGGGCGTGGTGGTGGGCGCCTGGAATTCCAGCTACTCAGGAGGCTGAGGCAGGAAGAATTGCTTGAACCCAGAGGCGGAGGTTGCAGTGAGCCAAGATTGTGCCACTGCACTCCAGCCTGGGTGACAGAGTGATACTCCGTTTCAAAAACAGACAAACAAACAAATAAACAAATAAATAAATAAAACTAACCTGAAAGTATTAGCTGACTAAAAGAATGGATACAGCCTAATTAAAAAAATGGAGGTTAGGAAGAGACTTAGTAACACTCCCATAATAGAAATACCAGAAATAAAGAAAGAGAATAAAAAAGAGGCAATGAATGAAAAGAATAACTCAGAATTCATTATAATTAAAGCCATAAAAGCTCAGACTGAAAAGTTATGTACGATTTCAATCCTTCAAGAGACGAACATTCCTGCACCTAAAGACACACTGAAATATAAAAGTATTAAAGATATTATCTAAGAGATCCCCAAAGAATAAGCAAATAGTCTACAAAGGAAGCAAAGAATCAAAGTCATGTTAACTCTTCTTAATCTAAGAATATATTCACTGTTTTCATAATTTAACAAATAATAGTAATAAAAATGCAAATTAACTTCTCATCTCAAACTACATTATTCTTAGGATGATGAATAGATGTTTATTTGTTCTTCACAAACTTCCCAATCCTGATTTCCTTGAAATTTAATAAATAAGTTTATAATAACTTTATTGTTAAACAGGTCGTTGTCAAATTGCATTTGTCTACTTTCTAAAACATATTCTTAGAAAGTACACAGGGGCATCATAACTCTGTTTTACAATATCATCAAGCAGAGAATTATCTCAGTTGAGAATGATGGCTTTTAAAAAGAATCCTACTCTCATAATTGTACTTATTTTCCATTGGTTTCTAAATGTGCTTCCCTATATTTTCATAAATTTAAAGATAGAGGACAAAAACTTCAAGACCTGGTTGGTATTTAAAGCGAATTAAGTTAGCTTCATGCTACAGAGTCATAATAATACAAAATTCTAGAATTACTGCAACATTTATTTCTTTTACATTAAATTAAAAGGAGAAATTACATTTTTCAATCAGAATGTGTATTGCGATAAAGGGACATTTATTCCTTACTTCAGTCTAAACGTATTAGAAAAGTCTCCCAGAAGCTCCCTCTAGCGTCTGAAGGATGCAACAGCTCACTGGCAAAGGATTTGTGAGACAAACAGATGTGAGAATTTTAGTGTCTAAAATGTATGGCTCAAAGAGCATGGAGATCATCAACTCCAACACGCATTCTTCTTACAAATGGGAAAACTAAAGGTCCAGAGAGAATGCTTTGTCTAAGCTTACGCTGTTAGTGGTAGATCAAGTAGAAGTCAGGTCTCCTGGCTTCTAGTCCACAGAGCATTCCATTCTACTCTGTAGACTTGGATTTGGAATAAACAGGCCCAGAGCAGAATAAAAGCAGAAAATTTTAAGAAAATGAGATTTTTTTTAATTGAAGAATGTAAGGGATGAGGAAACAGTCATTGGGATAAAGGAGGAAACAACGAGGTTAACATTAATGAAAAGGGCTAGGGAATCATAGTTATATGTTTAAAGAACAGGAACCCAGGGCGGGCGCGGTGGCTCACGCCTGTAATCCCAGCACTTTGGGAGGCCGAGGCAGGCGGATCACGAGGTCAGGAGATCGAGACCATCCTGGCTAACACGGTGAAACCCCGTCTCTAGTAAAAAGACAAAATAAAATAAAATAAAATAAAATAAAATAAAACATAAAATAAAAAATTAGCTGGGTGTTGGCGCGTGCATGTAGTCCCAGCTGCTCGGGAGGCTGAGGCAGGAGACTCGCTTGAACGCGGGAGGCGGAGGTTGCAGTGAGCCGAGATCGCGCCATTGCACTCCGGTCTGGGTGACAAAGTGAGACTCCGTCTCAAAAAAGAAAGAGAAAGAAAAAGAAAGAAAGAAAGAAGGAAAGAAAGAAAGAAAGAAAGAAAGAGAAAAAGAAAGAAAGAGAACCCAGAGACAGGGTGATTAAGATGATGAGTTAAAATTTACCATACTTGAGAGCTTATTGATAGATGATTGGAAATATTCTTAAATTGAACATTTGCAAAACTATGAATTTTATTTGTGGGTCTTAAGATCACTAATGAAGTTTAGCTACTAATTCCCCACTTATTAAAATCTATTACTTAACTATTATTCTCTTCTTGTCACCTGTCTCAGTAGAGATTGCTGACAATGCAGAACATGAAAATGCCAAAGCAAAACAATAAACCTTGATTTCCTGCCCTATCCTAGTTCATGATAATGGACTGGCAGCGGGGTCGTTAGTTAAAACAGCCATGATATATTATCCTTAAATAGTGTGTGCAACTTTTGTTCTCCTCATCCTTCTCCCAGAGCGCACAAAGGACAATGCCTCTCTAGAGAAATCTCCAAGAATGAGCTACCTTTAGAAACACAAACTGCAAACAGCCTCATAGCTTTATCCTTAGGTATGTGGCTTTTGTCTTCATACCGTTTCTGGGAATTAGTTTGTAAAAAATAAATTCAACTATTTCTTTTTAATGAGTATTGAATGTGAGAGCGCGCTGTATGTATAGAGAGGTACATCAAACAGGTCATAGTCTGATGGGGAAAACAGGAAGGTACAGAAGTGGGAAATATTGTTTCTAGTACCTTTCAATTCTCAGAACTTTTTACATCTTAGCAATTGTGGAATGTGATGCTGAATGCTCTGGAGATATTATTACCAAATACATACTGTCAGGTACTAAGGATACTTGATACATGAGCTACTGTTCACCAACAATACCAGTGTAGGAGGTGAGTGAATAAGGAAGATATAGCTGCAGTGGAACTCTAACAAATAAAAACGTGTTAGACAAGAAGCTTCCACATGGAATAATGCAGTGTGAGCACTGAATTTTAAAAAGTGTTGAGTATGCTGGGGAATTGCAAGTAAGTAGATGAGAATTTCTGAGTTTCTATGCTACATCATTTTATGGAATGAAATAACAAAACTCCTCAAGGCTGGCTTGTTTACTCATTAATTGAGCTGTTTCTTGCCAGACAAAAATGGTAGAGATTTGGCGATAAATTTCTGCTAAGTCACTTTGAAAAATGAGAGGACTTCATAGTAATTTAGTTCTTTTTTATTTTCAATTTTCACAATCATCATCATAAATAAAGACAAATACCTAATAAGCTAAAATATATTGAGAATCAAACTTGTGCAATGTTCTACAATTAGTGTTTTTACCAACGTCAATCACGTTTTATTTTTGCAGAAAACTTTTAACTCTGAGGCAATACTATATAACCAATAACATAAGAGAAACAGCCAAAGCATCAGCACATTCCACAAAAATCTTCATCACATCGTTTGGCAAGTTTCTGTATCTAAAATAATATATAAAATACATGATTCCTTGTTTTTTATGTGAAACATTAAAGTAAACTTAGAGAGCTATACTTAAGAAAGTTTTATAAATCTGATGGAAATATCATTGAATCTAAAATGTTGGGGAAGACGTAAGTGCTGTAAAAATGTTCCAGTAATGAACAAGAAGTTGGAGGCTTCATGAAATTGGACAATAGTTCAGTACAGGGAACTATGGTAGAAGACTAGATGCAAAAAGAGATCTAAGTTCCAATAGCAATTTTACATATATGTATATATAAATATGCATATATATGCGTGTATATATATATACGCATATATATGTGTGTATATATATATACGCATATATATGTATATACACACATACATATATATAAAATCTCTAAGGCATGTTATTAAAGCACTAATTAGACTAAATCAAGTTGATGGTTTTCACCCCTCACCACAACTTCCGTTTCTTCTTCTCATACCCAGGAGTATTCAACTGCTCATGTGAGAGCCTCAAGTCCAGAAAATTATTCAACAAATTACTACTCCAAAAGGTTGTCTAAAGTGAATCGGAGACTATTTTCTAGAGAAAGAGATCCAAATACATTGTAGTAGCTTTGGGATACCTTTCACAATATCACCTTATCCAATTATCTGGCAATAATCCATTAGCTATCACTTTTTTCACTTACTGTGCTTGCTCTCTGACCCCAGTTAATTAATTTAAGCTGTTCAGTTTTTGATTGAATTTTTGGCAAATTTTATGTTTTGCTATAAATGTTGTGAGAAATAAAATTTCATTTGAATTTACGTCTTCATTTCTTAATATTTTCTTACATTACGGTCCTAAAGTAGAAATAATAAATAGGTATTAAGTAAATATTCTTTATATCTATTACCAAAGTGTTTTACATAAACATTTTACTAATGTATGCTTGTGTGACTATAGTTTTGACAACACTGAGTTATACCTTTAATTTTATTTTCTACTAGGAAAAGTAATATCTCATTTTAATTTGTGATGTAAAAATAATTGGTAAGAAAAACAGTAAGAAGTAAAAATTCTAAATTATTTCAGCAAAATCTAGAAATAAGTGCATAAAATAGAGCATAAAAACATTTTAAAGGTCTCTTGGGAGGGGCAGATGAGAGTGAGAGAGGTAGCTAAAAATAGTTTTTAAATATAATCTTATTGGAGTGGAAGGAAAGAATGAAAAACTAGAATGTTTCCCTGAGATAACTAATTGAGTTTATCAGAGTCAATATACAAAAATAGAGTACCAAAGCTTTGACCAAACTTGATCCACCTGTTTTCAAATATACTAGTTCCACTTCTTACTAGCTGCGTAACATAAGGTAAGTGCTTCAATTCCTCAGTAGTTAGATATGATAATTATCCCTAGCTCTTATAGGAGTGTTGTGAGAACTGAATTAGATACTACAAATTATTATAGATTATTAACTATAATAAAAAAAATATAGATTTCCAACATTTCAAAAAGGCACACAGTATATACTTGATAAATATTATTATTATAACAGTTTGGTATTCATAGCAATAGAGAGAAATGTGTCTCAGTATGAACATCCAGAAGGAAAGACAGCCACTTAATAATAAAAATAAGGAATGATTTCCAAATTAACAAGGTGAAAAATGTAATGAATACCAACTTTATCAAGCACATAAGAGTAAAGATTGAATAGAAAAAAAGGTCTAGAAACATTAAAATTAAGAAAATACAAATGGAAAATAAAAAATGAAAGATAAAATGTGAACCAAGGGGTTTTTAGAACAGTGAAGTTATTCGTATGACACTGTCATGGTGGCTACAGGTCATCAGACAATTGTCCAAACCCATAGAAAGTACAACACAGGAAATGAACACTAATGTAAACTATGGAACTCAGTTAACAAGCATGTATCAACATTGGTTTATGAAATGTAACAAATGTGCCATCTAATGCAACATGTTAATAATAGCAGAAACCTAGGGTGAGGGTAAGGGGGTTTATAGGAATTTTGTGCTTTCTACTTAACTTTTCTGTAAAGCTAAAAGTACCAAAAAAAGTCTATTAATTATAAAAATAGTGTAGTTATATATATATGTATATATATACACACACACACACACACAGAGAAAGAGCAAGAGATAACTCAGCCGAAATTTCTAATATATATTAGAAATTGTATATTAATTATATATATAATTTAGTAACAACAGATTTTTGTCAGCTATATAACAAAATAAATTTGCTAGCTTTTATCCTTAGTTACTTGTATGTTAATATTTCCTTGAAGTATTTACAACACCTTGCAGATAAATGGTTTAGAAAGTACATATAGATTATTTCATCATTGTAGTAATTCTAAGAGGTAATCAAAGTCAGGTATTATTTATGCTTTAAGGATTACAGAAAAAGCAATGTCTAACTTCATGGAACAAGCAAGTTGCTGAGTGAACATAAAGACTAATTCTTCTGATTTTTTGATTTTGGGAAAGACTCATGTCGATCAAAATAAAAAATAAATATATTCTGTAAAAAGTGCTAAAAAAAAGGCCAGATAAATGAAAACATAAAGCAAAATGAAAGATATAAGATGTTTTATCAATCATTACAGAGATTGGGTATGGACTACAATTTCTCCTGAGAAAGAAAAGGTTTATGTTCTTAAACTGGACTTTGAAAAATCCACACAGTTACAGAGAGACAGGAAGAATATGTTTTGATGTTCTGTTACACAGTAGGGTGACTGTAGCAGTAACAATGTAGTATATATTTCAAGGTAGTTAGAAGAGAAGTTTTTTTTTTCCTTTTTTTTTTTTTGAGACGGAGTCTCGCTCTGTCGCCCAGTCTGGAGTGCAGTGGCGCCATCTCGTCTCACTGCAAGCTCTGCCTCCAGGGTTCACGCCATTCTAGATGAGATTTTTAATGTTGTTACCACAAAGAAATGATAAATGTTTAAAGTAATGGATATGGTAACTACCCTAATTTGATCATTATACTATGTATACATGCACCGAAACATCACGTTGTGCCCCATAAATATATACAATTATTATGTGTCAATCATAAATTTAAAAAGTAAATAAAAATAAAAGAATCTAGTTTATACTATTTACAAGAATCAGAATAAAAAGAAAGTAATGAAAATCTAAAAGTAAATGCAAGAGAGAGAGAGGTTGGAGGAGAGAGAGGATGGATATCAATATTAATGTTAGAAGGTGGATTTCGGGGTTGAAAGCACTAAACAGAATATAAAATAGGCCGACATGTACTGATAAAAGTCACATTTTGTGAAGCAGATTTGCAGTCATAGAGCTTTGCAAGACACATTACAGCAGCTCAATATAAAAAGTAAGAACTACATATCACACTGGCAACTTGAAGAAAATATAATTTGAATAAGAACATTTAATATATTTCTTTTGAAATTTGAGTAAATCTAAGCATGTCATGAAAATTAACTGACTTAATCCTCACAATAATAACTCTGTGAACGGAACACAATTATAATCTGTATGTACAATTGAGAAAAACTACAAATGATAAATAAGTCAACAGGTTTTTTTTTTGACATATCCAATAAGAATTACAAATCCTTCATATGCTTGATTAAGGACAAAAGAAAGGGAGTAAAATATAAAAGAATAGAGATAAGATTTAACTACAGAGAGTATTTACAGAATAATATATGTTATGATATGCAATTCTATGGCAGCCCATTTGAAAACCAAAATAAATGAATGAATTTTTGGCAAAATATGTAATTACCACAATTGAATGAAAAATAAATGGAAAATCTGAAATGATCACTTAGAAAAGTATTGAAGGAACAGATATATTCACAGGTAATTTCTATTAAATATATTAAAAGTATGTACTTCAGGTGCATTAAAGTAAGGGATGAATATTCATGATCAGAAAATGTATGGATGGTGATATTGGATAAGCATTTGATAAAATTCAGTAGCCATGCTCTCTCTCAGATACAGTTCCCCTTCCTCCCTCCAGGGGGCGCCATGGAACGCAGAGCCCTCCCTGGCCCTGGGGACTGGGTGACGTCAGGGGTGAGCCTCTCGTGATTGGCTGCATCACCCTGCGTAAGATCAAAGGGATGAAAGGACAGCCGCGACACCCGGAGCCATTGTGGCTCCGGCCGGTTGCGCCTGCCCTCGGGCCTTCAGGGAGGCGAGGGTTCGAGAGTGCGAGTTCGAGGCCAACACCTGGTCCACATTGGTTGAAAAAAAATTTTTTTTATCGTTCCCTATATAACAACAAAACATAAAGGGAGGACGCCTTGATAGGAAGAAATGACATCTTCCTAAGTGTTTTTAAATTACTTCAATGTATCTTTTTTTTTTTTTTTTTTTTTTTGGAGGGGGGAGACTGAGCCTTGCTCTGTTGCCCAGGCTGGAGTGCAGTGGTGTGATCTTGGCTCACTGCAACCTCAGCCTCCTGGGTTCAAGCGAGTCTCCTGTCTCAGCCTCCCGAGTAGCTGGGATTACAGGCCCAGGCCGCGTGCCTGGCTAATTTTGGTATTTTTAGTGGAGACGGAGTTTCACCATGTTGGCGAGGCTGGTCTCGAACTGCTGGCCTCAAGAGATCTCGCCCCTTGGCCTCCCAAAGTGCTAGGATTACAGGGGTGTGCCCTCGTGCTCGGCCGTCTCTCCCGTCTTTCTTAGACTCCTTGATCTCTGTCCTGGCCCCCGGGATCTTTGTCTTCGTCCCCTCTCTAGTTCGCTCCCATCAGATTCACTGTCTTCTCTCTCTGGTCCTCTCCCCTTTGCCTCGGACTGTATCCTCTTCGTCGCTGTTGATCCCACTTCTGCACTGTCCTCGCTGCTGTCTTCCCCCAGTCCTGTCGCCATCCCCATCCCCTGCCTCAGTCCCCTGTGCCGTCGGCCGCTCCACCTGTGACCGTGGAGTCTTTTTCTGTCACTTCCGTCTCTGTCACATCCCCTCTGGTCGCTCCTGGTCGGAGGCCCTGCCTCCCTCGCCTCAGGGCCCTTCCCCGTCTCCTTCTCTTCCTGTCATCCCTGGCTCCTTCCCAGCGTCTTTCCTTCCTTCTCCGAATCGTCCTCTGCTCCTCTGGGTTTGCGCCTGCTGGGAGCTCTGCCCCTGGGAGCTGTTTCCTCCGCTCAGTCTCTGGGTGTTTCCTAGGGGGTCACATGCTCTTCTAGGCCTGTCCTGGGGCAGAGGGGCCACCCTGAGGTCCATCAGTCAGTCTGACCATCGCCTTAGAACCTCGAGCCTCTCGCCTCGCCTCGCCTCGCCTGACGCCCTTTCCCACCCTTTATCTTTCCCTTCAGGATAAAAAATAAAAAGAGTCGGAACAGCTCCCTGAGGCCAGAGATTTGTGTCTGTTCTGTCCACTGCTATATGCCCAGCACCTAGAACAGTGCCTGGCCCAGTGAAGAGTGAATAAATGAACTGGACCCAGGGAAGAAACAGACTTGCCCCCAGGCCACTCAGAGAGTGAGCTGTGCCCATACCCGCTCCTGGGGCCCTGAGTGATCACGAGGTGGGGTGGGTACTCACCAGTCACAACGTCCACAGGCAGCTGGGCCAGCAGGGACCCAATGGGTGTGAGGGCCTCTGAGCTGTCCAGGGCCCCCTGGTCCCGGAGGTAGAGGATGGCGGTTTCCAGGCTGGCTGGTGGTGGGGGCTCGATGAAGGGGAAGGTTCGGGGGTCCCCCACACTCATGCTCTTCATCTAGAATGAGAAGCAAAACCCCCCAAGATTGGGGAACACAAGAGCCACCGTGCAGCACACGGGGCTCAGAGATCACAAATTCATGACGTTTTAAAATTCCTAGTGTTGGCCGGGCGTGGTGGCTCACGCCTGTGGTCCCAGCACTTTGAAAGGCCAAGGCAAGCGGATCACTTGAGGTCAGGAGTCCAAGACCATCCTGGCCAACATGGTGAAACCCTGTCTCTACTAAAAATACAAAAATTAGTGGTGGTGCATGCCTGTAATTCCAGCTACTCGGGAGGCTGAGGCAGGAGAATCGCTTGAACCCAGGAGGTGGAGATCGCAGTAAGCCGAGATCATGCCTCTGCACTGCGCTCCAGCCTGGCAATACACCGAGACTCCATCTCAAATTCCCAGTGTCAGCCAAGCACAGTGGCTCATGCCTGTAATCCTAGCACTTTGGGAGGCCGCAGCAGGTGGATCACTTGAGGTCAGGAGTTTGAGACCAGCCTGGCCAACATGGTGAAACCCCATCTCTACTAAAAATACAAAAATTAGCCGGGTGTGGTGGCGAGTGCCTGTAATCTCAACTACTTGGGAGGCTGAGGCAGGAGAATTGCTTGAACCTGGAAGGCGGAGGTTGCAGTGAGCCGAGATTGCACCACTGCACTCCAGCCTCGGCCACAGAGTGAGATTCTATCTCAAAAATAAAATAAAATAAAATAAAATTCCCAATGTCAAGATCCACTGTGCAGAGGCAGGCAAGGAGGGCTGCTGTCTCTGTATCTGTCTGCCTAGCACATCTTGCCCCAGACTCTGACCATGGAGGAGAGGCACGTGACCTGAGCTGGACCAATCAGAATCCTTCCATGAGACTGGAGCCAGGAAGAGCATTCCCAGCATCCTCTCTGGTTGTGGCCAGGATGGAAGCCTATCTTATTAACCCAGAACTGCTGTGACCTTTGACTTTGTCCCTTTTTTGGAAATGGGCCCATCTACAGCAGATGGAGAAATTCTTGGATTGTTCCTAAGTTAGACATGCCACCTCACGAATGCACAAAATGGTAAGATCCCCTTTCTGCCTACAATAGTTTCAGTTGTATTTCTCTCACTTACAACCAAAAGAATCCCAATTAATGCAGCAGCCCAGGCAGGCAGCAGATGGAGAATTAAGTGACAGCATATGTCCACCTCGGGGCCTGGCGTGGCATACGTAAGCAAACAGCACCTCTCTGGTGACTGGAAGAAGGAGAGGCTGGCAAGGCAGCTCATGTGACAGCCAGAGAGCGAGAAGGAAGCTCAGAGAAGTCTGTTCGCCTGGCTTTGATCCGAGGGCACTAGAAGTTCTGGCGTCCACCTGCAAGCAGCTGCTGCTCCTTCCTCCCTGCTGACCAAGGCTTGATGCCATCTACGAGTTCACCCAATACTCATTTAACAACCTTTATAGGCCGGGCGCGGTGGCTCATGCCTGTAATCCCAACACTTTGGGAGGCCAAGGCAGGCAGATCACCTGAGGTCAGAAGTTCAAGACCAGCCTGGCCAACATGGTGAAACTCCCTCTCTACTAAAATTACAAAAATTAGCTGGGCCTGGTGGCACCCATCTGTGGTCCCAGCTACTCGGGAGGCCAAGGCAGGAGAACCACTTGGGCCTGGGAGGTGGAGGTTGCAGTGAGCCGAGATAACACCACTGCACTCCAGCCTGGGTGACAGAGTGAGACTCTGTCCCATAAATAAATAAATAAATAAATAAATAAATAAATAAATAACCTTTACAAAAAAAAAATTTCAGTAGCCATTGCTAATAACACCGAATAAAATAAGAATGATAAGAAACTGCCAATATGAAAAGGAAAACCTGCGAGAGCCTTCACACGATTTCAGGCCCAGCCTTCTAGCCTGACACTGAGCAGAGCAGAATTGAGCTGTCCTCAACCACCCCTGCCCTGCCCAAACTGCAGATTTGGAAGCAAAATAAATATTGTCATTTATTTAAGCCAGGGTTTCTTGGCATTGTATTACTGACCTCTTGGACAGGACAATCCTTTTTTATAGATGGCTATCCTATGCATTTGTAGGATGTTCAAGAGCATTCCTGGCCTCCTGCCAGTAGTAACCCCACATATGTATTGACAATCAAAAATAACCTTGGTAGGCAGAAATCACTCCCAATTGGGAATTACTGTTTTAAGCCAGTAAGTTCTGGCATTATCTGTTATGTAGTTACAGTGATAGCTTGTCTTTTCCTGCCCTGGACATCATCCCCACCAACATCCCCACTTAGGGAATTTAACCAGCACATGTAATTCTATCTACACAACATTTATACTTAACACATGCATACATAGCATATAGGACTATTTTTAACATCACTTCACAAAGGTATGAAAAGATAATATGTAGATTTGCCTATATAATCTTTCTTTTCTCACTCAATACCTTGTAGAAATCAAATAAATGAACGATTTTAAAAGATTTTCTCTTATTGGTTATAAAATAATACATTGGCTGAAATCTTATATTGGCTATATAATATTACATAATATATCCTTCTCTTAATGGATGTTCAAATTATATCCATTATTTTTGTTTCTGTAACATTAAATAATAAAATATTTCTATTCATATCTTTATGTAGTGGTGATTTATTCCTTAGAAATATTTTTCCAGGAGAATATTTGCTGAGTTAAAAGTTTTATAATTTTAATAGATGTTATTTGCCAGATTGCTTATTTTTAGATTGTCCTCAATACCTCACATTTCAGCTAGTAGCACACAACTTTTTAAATTTGTTCAGAATATTTTATATTCCTCATAAGATTATACATACACATATATATTACATGCCATGTATAATATATAATTCATATAATATATAATGTATGTCAGATTATATAAGTATGTGTGTATGTACATATATGTGAGTCTGTGTGTGTGTGTGTATATCTTTCATATAGGTCCAATTCCATTCTGCTAAGTTCTAAGTATTTTCAGGTGTGTGTGTGTGTGTTTGCATGTGTGCCATTATGGATGAGTTTTTAAAATTGTCAACTGGATCAACTATCTAAATGAAGTCTCTCCATGTGGCCTGGTTTTTACCTTAACAGTGTGGCTGGGTTCCAAGGTTGAGCTTTGAGAGGGAGGGAGAGAGAGGCAGTGGAGGAAGAAGGCAGGGGTGGGACTGGGGGAAAGAGAAGCCATATTGCCTGTAAGAACCAGCCTCTGAGATTACACAGTTCTGCCTGTTCTTTTAGGTTGAAGCAGTTATAAAGTCTCCTGTAGTTTCAAGAGAAAGAGAAATAGATTCTGCCTCTTGATGGAAGTGGCAAGGTTGTGAAAGAACATATGGGAATGGAAATACTGCTGTAGCCATTTTTGAAAAATATAATCTGCTATAGATGCAACAATGTGAGCTACAAATTTTAAAAATGATTTCTATAAAATTATCTATAACTATACCTAGACATTTAAAAATTCATGGTAAGGTTAACAATTTTACACATTGGCAACTATTAATTTTCTTCATGAGCATTCATGTCCATTGCAGATTTTTAAATTGTAATTTTTAGAGTTTCCTAAGTCATTTATTTATTATTTTATTATGTATTATTCTCCACCTAAAATATGGTATGTTTTATAATATGAATATCACATCCTGAATAATGGTGCTTAAACAGGTGAAACAATAGGGCTATTACAACTGTAATTTAATTTCAGAATACTAGATAAATGTTTTCCATGATATTTAGAATAGCCAAAGAAAGACATTAGAATGACTTTTTTAATTGTTCTAAATTATTATAAAATAAAAACACAATATCCCAAGATCTCATATTTAAAATGACAATACCTAATAAATACTGAAGAATTATTAAAATTGCTAACTATCCACAAAAGAACAACATTGATTAATGGCAAGATTAGATGGGAGTTCGAAGATCCAGTTTCTGGTTTAGCTCTTCACTTAAAAATTGGTCCTTAGCAACTCCATTAACCGCCCAGGTGGGTCTCAGGAGATGAGAGAATATCAGATGGGATCATCTCGAAAGTCCCCTTCTGTTCTAAAAATTATGAATTCAAAGTTCTAAATCCTTGGGAATAAAAGAGCATCAATTTTAAAAGACTTTTTTCTTTTGTTTTTAAATGAGAGCTGGTTTTGCAGAAGCATTTGGGAACCTGTATTGTCCAAAGTACTTGATTGGAGAAAATGCCTCTATTTTGTAGACTCTCATATTTATTTGAAAGACCATTATTTCACCAAATATTTGATGCTTTGAAAACAAATCTGCCTTCGCGTACCTAGTTAAAACCCTTCAATAACTTTCCATTGCTCATAGGATAGAGCATGGCACCTGCGTGACCTAGTCTTAACCTATCGCTCCAGCCCTATTATTCACCACGGCTTTCATTTCTGATATACGTATCAGGACCATTGAGTATGTGTTTTGTCCTCTCTGTTGTATGTTTCTCTCTCCCTCTCCCTCTCCACCGGTTTAATTCCTACTCTTTCTTCAAGTTTTGGTAAGATGTCATTTGGTCAGAAAAATATACCTTGACACCTCAGTCTACTCCCAGCTTCCTTCCTCCAGGTCAAATGGGTAGGAGCACAGGTCAACACATCCACAGCACCCTACAATTCCTTGTTCATTGCACTTATCACTATTTTAGTTTACATATATAAGTGTGTAATATTTTCCCTTAAGTATAAACACCATCAAGACAGCCATGTCTCTTCTGTTCAGTGCTTTATCCACAGTAATTATATAATGTAGAATAAAATTGAAGAAGAGCTCAGTTACTCTTTGAATGAATTCCTGCTTGTATTCACTAAAGTCTGCCATCTGGCCTTTGATGGAACACTTTCAGGAATGGAAAACCTACTACTTAAGAAAAATTGTTTATTTTTTGACAATTCCATTAACTACAACTATTGACCATCAATCTGTGGCCCTATAATTTTTGCCTTGAGTTTTTGTTTCAGACTCTGATTTTATGTAGAATAAGTACTTTTTGAGCTCCATCATCTATGTAGCATTTTCTCTGTTTAGTAGATACATTTTCATCTAGGGCATAGTCACACTTCAAATGCAGAAGGAATAGTGCAAGCTGATGCCTACAGGGAAGTGGTAGTTAAAGGAGGGCAAAAGATGAGACAACAAAACATTGTTCCACAAAGAACAAAAGTATAATATTTTATTTGTGGTTTACTAGTCTCAGCAAAACAAAGATTTAACCAAAGCTGTCTTCACATTCTTTTCTTCTTCTGATTGTTCACCTTTTGATGCATTTTCTTTCATATTCTTTGTTTTTACTTATTATATATATTTTTGACTTCTATTTTAGGTTCAGGGGTACATGTGTAGGTTTGTTATGCAGGTAAACTTGTGTCATGGAGGTTTGTTGTACATATTATTTCATCACCCAGGTATTAAGCCTAGTACCCCTTAGTTGTTTTTCCTGATCCTTTCCCTCCTCCCACTCTCCACCCTCCTATAGGCCCCTTTAAACTGTATTTTTCAGTTTTCTTCAAATCTGTCTGCTCACACTCCGAAGTTCCCAAAGGCATAATCAAAACATCAGTGTGGGAGGAAGATTCAACTTGGTGGTTTTTAACTTCCCCTTGAACCCTGATAAGTTCTGACCTAGTGTAACATGACCCATGAAGGTCCTGCACTCAAAATTCTTTTTTGCTTTCCTAAAACTTAAACCCTTAAGATTTGGAATAGACTCAATATATCCTCTCACTCAATGTGCTTCCCTGCTTTTCATGACCAGTTCTGAGAACCTAGGGACTCAGAATGGAGGAAAGAAAGAATGCTATAGTAGTGGAGATTAGCAATGATTCTACTCTACTATCAGCCTTCTCACTCACGGCTGCTTCTTCCTGTCTTCCTGATCACCCTTCATGGCCATGGAAGTTCTATTAAATCTCAGCAAAGCTATCCCTATATAAAAAAGAGCCAGAAGTTCTCCTGTCTGTTTAAAGATATGCATGGAAATTAATTACAAAGACAGACTTCTAATCTCAAAATCGTATTAAATTGTGAGTTCTGAGAATTAGAAATAATTTTAAGGAGCATATCTTTTTGGCACTATTGGTGTATGAGTATAATATAAACCATATGAGACTAGCAGTAATCCACCCTCTTAGTGAATTCCTCTAGTGACAAAGAGCTCACCAGTTACAGGGTATCAGGTTCTATGTTTACATAGTACTGAGAGTTACAAACGTTTATTTTTTAAACTGAAATCCGGCAATTTGGTAATTGTAACTATTGGAACTAGTTCTATTTAACCTCTTCAATAATTTTGTCACAACATTTCTCTTACAAAACAATAAACACTATTAACATGCTTGTATATTTTCCCTTTGCTTTTTAATATGTATGAATATATTTGCATACATTTTAATATAAGTAACATAATGTCATTTTTCTACGTCTTTAATTTTTTTTTCAAAAACATGTTCTGTAAATATGCAATCTGTACTATGGATATATATTGTAATTTATTTAAACAGTTTCTTACTGAACATTTTAAAACGTTCACAAATGTTCAGTATAATGGTGCAATAAACAAAGTTGTACATTATTTTTGCTCAAATGTATTATTTTTATAATTTTATAAATTATTTTGGGCTTACTGGCTTAAAGGATATGGATATTTTAAAGTTTTGAAATATATTTGCAGATGGATGAATGTTATAGGTACGTTTTTTCTCTTGATTATTTTGTTTTATGACAAAATATATGATTCTTCATACATAAAGAAAGATATATACATACACACACACACAAAAACCCACGCTTATAGCACTTATTTCTCTCCTGAGCTAAGAAAAAAGCAATAGACACAAAAGACAGATACTTGGGAATAAGAGTTATCTTTATCGTTAAATAAAAGCTTGACTGTAAAACACAACATATCTATAAATGCATATTAGGTAGCCTACTAAAACTATATACACACACATATGCGTATTAGATAGCCTACTAAAGATATACACACACACACACACAGTTACTATAACATATATTTTATACATCTGCTATATATACTATACTATATATGTGTGTGTATATATATATACACTTATGTATAGTATGTATATATATACACACACATAGTTTTAGTAGGCTACCTAATATGCACTTCTGAATAGAAATAGATTTACTCACTTTATCATGGTGACACTGGGTGGCCACACACAACTGCAGTTGGGTCAGAGCCTACTCTGTCAGCTTTCCTCAGGAGAAGCAGAGAGAGCATGTGCCGTGTAGACAATTACATTAAAATGGTAAAAAAGTTCTTCCTTTTCTTCTTTCAATCTCACCAATCAAATAAATCTGTTCTCCTAGGAATTGTTGCCCCTTTGTAGAAAAATTAGGTGCAGAGAGTAGTCTTCGTTTCCCAGCATCTGTACATTTCCATCTGTATATATTTCAAGGCAGTGGACTTCACTGATTACTCCATATACATGCATATGTATACATGCAAATATATAAGCACATATATTTATACATATTGAGATATGTATAAATTGTTACTAAAGAATACACAAAAATAACTGCTAATAAAAATGTTTTAAAATATGCAATTCTATAATATGCAATTTGAGTTTTTCCCAATTGTGTTCTAGGACAATAAACGATTTTTTAAAGACCTTAGTCAATTTGCTTGCCTGTCTTTGGGGGTCCTCTTATCTACAAATGAAGCTGTTGAAATGCATTTGTTAGTTTAACATTACTGGCTGTGATTTGGTCATGCAGTGCTAATACCGCTATCCCAAAGGTGGCAGCAGAAAAGCTTCTGGTTGGATAAAGAAAACAAAAAGATTATTTGCACTGTTTTCAACATGGCCCTCTTTATCTAACATCATAGACGTTTCTGGAGTTTTACTTTATTGTTGACAGAGTACTTTATTATGATACTTTTATTCATCTTAATGACATTTAGCATTACGAATTTCATAGCAATTATGTATTTTTCTAATATTGTTTTAGAATATACGAATACTTCCACTGGCTACAGGTTGGCATTATGCTTTCATTTTGTGAAGACTAAATGTAGAAAACAGAGAAATTATCAAGTTTCACCAATCTAATACAATTTTTAAGTAAATTTCTTTTATTTGTTTTAGTTGGTAAATTAGATAATTTTGCCACAAATTATTAGGTTAATAAAAATTCAGTTACTACTTCACAGATTTTATAGATTAAAAAACATGAAATTATAGCTTCGGTATAGCTTAACATTTTATATTTAAATGTATTTCTTTGTCTTCTTTTCATGAGAGAAGTCACATTATTTCAGTTTGTCTGATAATTTCAGGGCTAGACGAATTAGGTCCCAGTTGTCCTATTTTTCTATTACACTCTTAATTAAGTTTTTTTAAAGAAACTAGGCAGTAACCCTTTCATTTCTATTATCTTCAGAATAAAATTGGATGCCATGTCCAGTGCCAATGTACCTTTCAGAACTTTAATGCTTTGTCAGTAATCTATCCATTCATCTGTCCATCAAAAATCCCTAAGACGCATTTCATGAGCAATGAAAGCACAAAAACCAACTTTGTGGAAATACTGGTGCTCCGGAAGCAGAAATTCATTTTATTTCAAATTATAATTGGACTAGCATGCCTCTGATGTATATTAATTATGACAACTATTATTATCATTATTTAGAGGAAGGGTCTTGCTCTGTTGCCCAGGCTGGAGTGCAATGGCACAATCATAACTCACTGTAGCTTCAAACTCCTGGGCTCAAGTGATCCTCCCACCTCAGCCTCCTAAGTAGCCAGAACTACAGGTGTGCCTCACCATACTTGGCTAATATTTAAATTTTTTTTTGTAGAGATAAGATTTCACTATGCTGTCCAGGCTGGTCTTGAACTCCTGGTCTCAAGTGGTCTGCCCACCTTGGCCTCCCAAAGTGCTGGGACTACAGGCATGAGCCACCAGGCTTGGCCTTATTGTAATTATTTTCTAATGCAGTTGGGATAAAGTGAGGGAAGTAGAACTGTATTTGTTTTATTTTATTTCCGTTTCCATCTCTAACCTTGTGGCAATACAAACTAAATTTTACTGTTTTGTATGTATTTTCATAGTAGTATTGAGATTATTTTCTTCCAATCTGGCCAGATAGGTTATACAGAGAAGAGCTTCCCAACTAATGCAGTAAGGCACAATAGATTACAGGCCTTTGATATACTGAGTCTTCCTGTCCTTGGGGCTGGCCTGGTAGGATTTAGGGGATTCACATTGCTGTCAACAGGCAGGAAAATCCTCAACTATTTACTCCAGCTTGCCTGCAAATATTATTTTGAAGTGTTATCTTACGAGAAAAGCCATAAAGCAATGCTACCAACTACAGTAAAGGTTTGCTTCATTTTGCACAATGAATATAGATCTGTATCCATTTTCCAGAAAAATATAAAGTAGATAGGTGATATTTAAAATATATGCGCTTAGACTGAGAATCTTGAAAGTTGTGAATATCACTCTAGTATGTAATTTTCCTTAATAAAATGCAATAAAATATAACTGAAAAATTAAGCAATCACTTAATGAGTCAATAAATAAAGGACTAGATAGTTTTAAAGTTATTAAAATGCATTCTCACTGAAACATCCAATAAAACAGTATTATAAATCTCCACATACACACATCACATTTCCATATAGAGCTCATCTGAATTACGCCCAAATGGAACATTTCACTTTTTAGGTTACCTAAGTTCTTTCTGTTTCCTGGCCAATAGCCTGATATAGTTTTCTTGACTTTTTCTAATGCCAGAATTAACAGTTGACTTGCTCTTCAATGCCTTTTGTTCATGTAGAAACAGTTTTTTACCACTGCATAAATAAGTACATACATGAAGGCTACCAGAAAGCTATGTTACTGGCAGGTAGTAGTAGGTAGTAGACAAGTCTCTATCAATATCAACATGATTGATTTCTGCACATCACTTTGGTGGGGGTACATTTAGTAACTACGGGTCAACAAACTGAATCTGTCATGGTTCTCCAGATATTCTAAACAATGCAAATGCTAAATCTTACAATGAAAACCATCTACTGCACTGAATTTTCTCTAAGGATACATTTTTCTTCACCTACAAGTGAAAGCAGAAATGCTGTGGGTTTTTTGTTTGTTTGTTTTTGTGTTTTTGTTTTTGTGTTTTGCCTGGAGGGTCAGCTATTGAAGCTATGAGAAAAAGCTATGTTTGTAAAGAGAAATTAAAAATTGTTCTTTATTATATATGTTACAGAATCCACGAATGGGGTAATCAAATAAAGCGTTCTCCGGGGATGAAATGCATGAACAGTCCATGTGCCAATCTATTTGTCTCCTAGGTCTACCTCTGATCACACTCTACCTTTCCTGTCTGCAGATTTGGTTTGTGTGCAGGTCAAATTACCTCCTATCTTTTTTAATATATTTTTGCCCTGGCGGGGGCGGTACGATGGCTCAACAACTAGGTTGTTATTAGTCACCTACCGCTTAACACTATCCCTTTAGACACAATACAAAAGGCAGTATTCAACTGATCTTCTTGTTCACAGAAGAAAATCATCTATATGGGTTACATCTACACACTAAGAAAGATGCACTTCATGCATACATATGAAAACAAAACTGCCAAAAGATTTTACATTATTGTTTACTTGATGCACTTTTCAAAAAAAATTGTCAAACCAATAATAATAATAATAATTAGGCTTATACTTAAGATGTACATAAATCAAATTTGAAGAATTTAAAATATTTTCCATCTGTTACGATTTTAAGAAAGCTTTATCTTCTGATTTATGTTCAGTTGTTAATACTTCTTCACTGTTTAACTTCAGGGTTTCTGAATCACTATCTATACTCCCACTCCTAGTAAGCTGAAGTAGTTAATGATTTGTAAAACACTTGTGTGTTTAAAGGTCATCAAAGACTCTTGAAAAATATGTCTAGCCCTCAAAAAAAAAAAACACGTTATTTTACAAATGTACCTCTCATTTATAGTTGCTTTTACCAAAAAAAAAAAAGCACAGCAGCATGCATATGATCAAAGGCAGAATTCCCTATATCTAATAGTAAGAAGAGCTAACATCATGAATACATAGACAGTAAAATAGTAATTTTGTAAGCATTAGTGGTCAGCTTTTTAATAAACCTTTTGGGTATGTATTGCTTTCCTAATTTGCCAGATGAGTTAACTGAGGATTTAGAGTCTTTGATAATATAATTCCAGGTGATTCAATTTCAGAGAGTAGAGAAGAAATTGGAATCCAGGTATATTTGGATTGAAAGCCTATGGTCTGTTTTCATACTGTGTTTGCTCAATTGCCTATTTTGTATCATTTTCAGGCCCAAGAAATTATATCTCTCAGAGGCTCATGTCTCATTTGTGACAGCTTACAAAAAAGTAAAACAACTGGATCCTTTTTTTTCTGCTCCTGGTGCTCATCACAAAACTAACTGGGGTTTTGCCAGACAGACTCTATGTTGGGAGGACTACAAACATGAGTTCTTTGCCCTGAGCAAAATCACTGATTCTTACAACTTAAATGGGTTTTGATCGGTTTCCTTTTCTGATGTCAGGGTGATACTGCCAGTGCATCCTTGCTCAATATGCAGTGAGGACGGAGAGGGGACCACTCATGTCACTCTCTGAAATGAGTCCATGTAGAATAAGCCAGTTCACCTATTTTCCAGGCAGTGACACCCAAACCTGGTACTGTTCACTTAAAAATGCTTACAAATAGGAGAATCGCTTGAACCTGGGAGGCAGAGGTTGCAGTGAGCCAAGATCGCGCCACTGCACTCCAGCCTGGTGAGAGAGGACAGAGCAAGACTTCGTCTAAAAAAAAAAGAAAGCTTGCAAATAAACAGCATTGGAACAGGAGGAAAGGGCCCCAACAAGTCTGGCACCTTCTTCGTCTTCATCATCTATTCTTTTCTTAAATTTGGACACAGAGCACTTAATACGTATCTGCTGTGTGCTAGTCACCTTGTTAAGTGCTGTGGGTCATAAGTATAGTTCAAGGAAAAATAAATAACAGTCAAAAGTATTTTAGAGAAAGAGCTGTGCAGAACAGGCTCAGAAGTTTTCTCAATTCCTACTCCCTGTCTGGTGTTAGTTTGCTAGGGTTACCATAACAAAATACCATAGACAGGATAGATTGAACAACAGAATTTTTTTTTTCCCCCAAAAATTCTGGAGGCTGAAATTTCAAGAGCATGGTGTTGGCAGGGTTGTTGGCTTCCCCTGAGGCATCTGCTCTTGGCTTGGAGACAGGTGCCTTCTCACTGTGCCCCTACATGGCCTTTACTGTGTGTGTGCCACCCCTGGTGTCCCTTATAAGGGCACCAGTTTTATTGGATTAGGGTCTCACATATGACTTTATTTAGACTTAATTACCTCTTTAAAGGCCTTATCTCCAAATACAGTAACTTTGGGGTTAGGGGTTCAACATATGAATTTGGGGAAACACAACCCACCCATAAGAGTAACCATTACATAAATGTCTATAATGTGCAGTGGACATAAGCCAAGGTGGGTCAGATACCACATACATGGAGCTAGGAGCATGGATGCTTCAGCCAGCTTGGGTTTAAATCCCAAGTCTGCTACTTCTTAACTGTATAATCATTGGTGAAATTTCTTAATGTTAGTGCTTCATCAGTCAACCTGTTATACCAGACAATAAGAGTACCTACCTCCCAGGGTTAATGTAAATTGCTTTATATCTATTACGTTAGTAAGTTGAAATAAAAGTTGGCTATTAGTGGTGGCTAAATGGTTTTAAAGATGGTGTTACTCCTCTTTCTCCTCTAGATATAATAGGAACTGTGAGAATAAAAGGTAAGAGAAAAGACAGGAAATCAAATGCTTTAATTGAAAGATATTAACATACACCAAGTTTTCTTAATTATAATCATTTATTTTATTATAATGTGAAGAAAGGTACAATATAAAAAGATACTTGGATTCCGAAATTTGTAACTTAATTAATTGTTTTTACAAATCTTTGTTGAGCACTTATTACATGTGAGAAAGCGTTTCTGGTATTTTGGAGACAGCAGGGAACAAAATAAACAGGAATTGCTATTCCAGTGAAGCTTACATTCCAGGATGGATATATATCACCTCCATATTTAACACTCATTTCAGAAATAGGGGAAAGTAAGACACACCCAATAGAAAAAAAAAAAAGTCAATTGACAACGTCATACAGCAAGTTAATATTGTTATCGCGTAGCCAGAAAAAAATACACAGGAAGCATACTAACTCTGGGGCCAGTTAGATGGGCTTCCCTAAAGAGTCCCTTGACCCCTGTGATGCCGGTTTGGGCTTTTCTTACCCCACGTCCAGGCACCTGGACCATCTTCTCGCCCGGCCCGGCTCGGCCCTGCCCCGCGCTGCGCGTGGAGCGGGAGGGAGCCCGGCCCTCGCCTCGGTCCCGGCTGCGGGGTCGCCGCCCGTCTCCCCGCCCGTCTCCCCGCCCGTCTCCCCGCCCGCGGCGAGTCCACACTGGGGCCGGGTGTGAAGCAGCGCCGCGCACCCGGAGCGAGAGGGCCGGAGGTCCTGCCTCTGCCCCACGGCCGGTGGCCAGATCGGCAGGTCCCTGGTCCCGGCGCGGTGGCCGCCCAGAGCGCGAGTGACTTTGTCTTCTGCTGGGTGACTCCTGGCTCACGTCACCGGTTTGACAGCCTCTCACCAAATCACAGAGCGGCGCTCGCCGGGAGCTCTGGGCGTCACCGGGAGCTCCCGCAGATTAGAACTCGCCTCTCCTAGCTCCTCCCCTCAGTCTCATTTAAAGCTCCCACTGGTTTTACTGAAAAATTGAGTGGGCTCAGTTTCTGCAGCGCTTTCTTCCACTGCAAGATGGTAAGTGAGGAACTGGCGTTAGCTAGTCCGCTGGCAAACTTGGGTCTCTGAAAGTTAATAAGCTTTGCATTTAGAATTTATTCCACCTTCGGAGCAAGATTTCTCCGCTACCCGCCAGTTAAAACAGATCCTCTCTGCTGCCCTGTGTCTCTTTTAGTATCCTCTATCTGCTTTCTCTCTCTCTCTCTCTCTTTCTCTCCCTCTCTCCCTCTTCTTTCTCTCCTTTCTCTCTCTCGCCCTCTCTCTCTCTTTCTGTTATTACTACTTTCCTTACTTTCTCCCCAACTTCCCCCTCCACCTGCACTCACTTTTCATTCTACCTCTTCCTCTAGATTATGCATATATTTGCAAACACTTGGACATGAACTTGTCTAGGGATATTTGAAGTTTGTTTTCTTCTCAGGTATCAATTGCATAATAGCTTAGCTCTGATTCCAAAAAATAAAATAAAAAATAAAAAACCTCAGGGAAAGAGTCTGCAAACATGCTTTTAAAATAAAAGAAAATTGCACTTGATAAACTTTTGGCTGAATTTCTTTGGTCTGCACTGCCCAAGCTGGACTTGCTTCAGAACTGGAATTTTTCAAAACTTAATTTACCGAGAACATTAACAAAGTGCGATTGAATTGACTTAACTTTTTTTTCTCTTTTTTCTTCTTATTTGTTTTCTCTCTGTTTATGTTAATGTCCAAAGAAGCCCTGTAGTAGTCAAAAAGAGTTTTTCCAAAGCTGGGCTCTGCTAAAATGAATGGCTTTTACCTGATTAAACATTGACAAATAATTTAAATTTGGTGTTGTACAAATTAACCCAGGAAGGCTGCATACCTGCCCCTGCCTGGACGTATGGAAAGACTGTGTGTTTGAGGTTCAAGAAGTGGAAGGCAGGAGAGTGTTCACTGGATCAGAACACAGTGGAGAATACATGCCAGTTAATGGCAAGATAACTTTGGAGGGGCACTGAGCCCTAGTGATGGACAGAACTAGAGCTTGCTGTCTTTGCTAACGAACTTCTTTCAGCTTTGATTATACGTTTACTTGGAGCAGCTTTGTGGTCCTGTGCTTAGTGTTGGGAGCAAAATGTTTTAATTATCTCTGGGACAGAGATAGATAGATAGATAGATAGATAGATAGATAGATAGATAGATAGATAGATAGATGATAGGCAGACAGACAGACAGACAGATAGATTGATGGACTATGAGCCAGCAGTATGTTAGGTCAGACGGAGGAAAAAGGAAGGAATAAGGCAAGTATGATTCAGAAACAAAAATGAAGACGTTAGTCTATATTATGTCACATCCATTTCAGCTTTAGCATTCTGCGTTCTTTGTCCTTCAGGAGTTTTAGAAATATAATTAAGGTATTTGCAGAAAGAACCAAATAGTTCTTATGGTTTTGAATCATTAAGTAGAATTCCCTTTATTTAGATCTGGGTAGACTATTAGATGGGCTGGTCGTTGCAACAGACAATCCTCCTGGATATGTACAAATTTCACCCATTCAATGCTAGTCTGCTCTTTTGCTCAGAGGGCCTAAGGGAAATTCTGGGTAAACCAAGAAACTCATTCCCTTTTAGTAATTATAATTTGACCACCCCAAAATTAATATGGATCTATACTTAACACCTTTTCTGATTTTTTTTCTTTATATTTCACTGCATGTAATTTCGGTATTTCTCCCACCCTTTCCCCCTTCTAAATCTCCATCACCCCATCTTTTGGGACCCCTCACTCCCCCCATACTGAATTTCACAGAACACCATTCTGCCTTGCCAAGACCAGTACTTTGTAGGAGGCCAGAGCTATAATTGCCCGTATTCCACTACAACGTCAGAATCTAGTGTTGACGTTTCCACGGAGACTTGGGTCTCTTTCTGGGCTGCTGGTCTCCTGGACAACAGAGAGCTCCAACAAGCACCACAGGCACAGGGTAAGTTCTGCTCTTCTGCTTCCCTGATAGATCTGGAGCTCTTTTCCATACCCGTGGCTGCGGAGCATCATGGGCTGGGACTCTAGAATAAGGGACGATATGGAAAATTTAAGTAAACCCAAGGACTCCTGATTTTTACAGTCATAAAGCCTGCTGCTTTACACTTGCCAAATAGTGAAAATGGGATTCTTTACCTTGCCCACTGGATAGCATGTATTTCTCCCTACAATTTACAGTTCTTGGAGAGTCCTATCTCACTGAGGGAGTGTGAGTCTGGATCAAAGTTTTATAAACAACACACCAGCAGAATGTCTTTGGAATGAGGATACCAGTTGGAACACTTCTTTTGGAATTCAGGAAAGTTTCCCTGAGTTTGAGAGAAAAGCAAGAAATACTAACTTAATTTTTATTTCATAGAGGAAGTTCCATGGATAGTGTGTTAGAAGTTGAAAAAGGATTCCCTTTTACACACACAAAAAGCTTCAACTTTGGAGAGAACTATAGCATTGATGTAAAATGACATATTAATCTTGATCTGTGGCATACCAGCAGTATTTATAAATATTAAAGAAATGTCTGTGTTAAACACTCAAGTTTCTTAAAGAATTCTCAGACACCCCAGAATTAAATATCCATACTGTTGGTTCTGCTACATGATTTGTTTTATTTTTTAAAAAGACACAAACAAAGGAACCCCAAATATTAAAAGCACACTTAAATGTCAGGGAGGACATTGTTGAATATTAGCTTTCCACTACAAGCAACAGTAAAAACAAAATGCCCAAGAATGTGAACCCAAACTACTTATGCCATTTTATTCCTATCTCCTTACTCATCATTTCACTTTAATCAAAAATATTTCAGTATCAACAATATAACCAGAGAAGGACAAGAGTCTAAACTGTACTAGATGAAGAAAAGAAAGTAAAAGTAGACCTGGTTAGTATGCCCAACCATAGTTTTTTATTGATAGATAGAGCTGACTGTCAAATATGGGGGGAAAAGGCACTTTGAAAAAACATTTATAAAATATACAGATTAGGACAGTTGAAACAGATAAGGTCTGGGCACAGTTTTGAGATTTTCATTAAGATCTTCAAAGAAGCAAGGTCCAAATTGTTTTAAAGTAGAAAGTGCTACCACATAAAATTCCAAATAAATACAGTCCGTTAGATTAAAACAGGCAGGCAGACAGGCAGAGAAACTAGTAGCATTACAGACTAGAATTTAATTATAGAGCCAAACAGTACATTATCAAGTGCTAAAACTTAGAAAATAAGATAAAAACTAGAAAAACATAATGGAATTACAATGTTATGCCGAGTTTGGGGGAGATCAATAAGTATTTGCATAAATTAATGACAAAGACTGGACAGTCTTTAATTTATCCAGCAGGAATACATATATTAGGCAAGAATGTGACCCCTTACTGCTTAAAAAAATTTACCTTTTTAACTGCTATGTCATACAGCATATAAATATTTGTCTCTCACAGCTTGCTTGCCTTTTCTAAAAAACTTTAAATGTCTTGTTTTCCTGTATGGCAGCAATAGCTGTTTAAGAAAAATAATTGAACCTATTAAACTTTCTGATTTGATTTGATAAGTTTCTTTATTACACAGAAACTACAAGATTATTTTCTCAGTTATCTATTTGTATTTTCACAGAATCATTCAGTGACTCAAATTTTCCTCTTCCGGACTTGTGCTCATGGGAAGAGGCTCAGCTTTCCTCTCAGCTCTACAGAAATAAGCAGGTATGTGTAAGTCAGAACATTGAGACTGGTCATGTTCTATGTGGTCCATTCCCCACTGCTAATATCTTGCTTCTTTTCCCTTTTGAAATTCATGCTGACTCAGTTTAGAACCAAAGTGACTGGTGTGTCCAAAGAGAGATCAAAGTTAGATGATCAATGTCAGAGAAAAGAAAAACAAGCAAGACACTCTAGAAAGGCCTGCAGTCAAGCTCTCACTTTACACATTTTAGCCGTATGACCTTGAATCCTTTTCCTTGTCCTCATTTATGGAATTGTAAACCTTGTACTGCCTATCTCAGAGAGCGTTTGAAAAGATCGAATGATATAATGAGTGTGACAGTATTTTTAAACCATAAGCATAGCTAATACTTGGAGAAGACATAATGATTATAAAATATTTTCCTAAGATTGCTTTTTACATGTTGTGTCAGTTTTGCCCCTGAAGGATAATTTAATCTAGTGGACATACAGACAGATCAATCTGAGGCTGAAAGAAGCCAACCCACCTCTATTTTTATTTATTTATTTATTTAAACATGCAAGGGAGGAGTCCAGCAAAATCTTCCTAAACATCATTTTCTATATTTAATTTAACCTAGTGGACATACAGACAGGTCCATTTGAGGCTGAAAAAAGGCGACCCACCTCTATTTTTTATTTATTTATTTAGAAGTGCAAGGAAGGAGTCCAGCAACATCTTCCTAAACATCATTTTCTATATTTAAACAGTTGCATGCAGCTCATTTTCCTTCATATCTACCTGATTCGCTTGTGGTTACAATTTTAAAAGTCTATTATAATCTCTCCAAATGCTTTGCAATGAATGAACATTCAGAGCACAAAGCTGAACAACTAGGCATTAGGGGGATGTAGATTTAATTTAGGCCTCTCAGGATGAGGGCTCCCTGTGCTTGTGTTCATACAACAAACAATCATCAAGTTTAAGGCAGTTAAGGAGCAGTGGCATTATTATAAGGTTACAAAGTCAATATAGTGGAGCAGCCTTCACCACTGTCTGCTTTTTGTAGCTGCAAGATACCCTGGTGCAGAAGGAAGAAGAACTCGCCAGGTTACACGAAGAGAATAATCACCTCAGACAATACCTGAATTCTGCTTTGGTTAAATGTCTTGAAGAAAAGGCCAAGGTATGTATGATGTATGTATCTACTTTATAAGAACAAAGCAGTGATTTGAGAAAGGAAATGATTTATGTAAAACTCCTTGATTAAACAGTGTATCTTGATATGCATTTATAAGATGGATGGTTTTTCTTAAGGAAATAACGGCTCTTTCACAAGAATTTTTATCTATCATTTCTCTGAAGTACCTAGATTGCAGATGTCAGTCTTATGTTACAAAAGAAGTTGCTTAAAAATCAAATGCTAGTCGAGGGTGGGGGTTGCTGAGACAATCAGTGTTAATCAAAAGGCAGAATTAGATGGATGGAATGCTGGTACGGGAAGCAGATCTAAAAGACACTCAGTTCTTTTAATGATCTGTTTGACTTTAGGCAAATCATTCTTACTTAGATCCTCACTTAACTTCATCTGTAATGGATGGTCTAAAATATCTTTTAAAAATTCTGCTAGATCTAAAATGCTGTGAATATTGCCTGAGCCCAAATCTCTTGATTTGGCATTTACAAATTATATTAGGCAATTAGGCATACACAATTACATTATCATTTAATTCACATTTTTTCTCCACTTTTAAAATGAGCTATTTCTAACTCAAGGATAAATAACTTGCCAGTAGTCTTCTTTTGTTCATGCTCAATTCTTTGCCTTTCAATTTTTTATTATCTAGTTGCCATTATGTTATCATTAATGCTTTCATCATCAATCTTTTCCATACTTCTAGACAAGCTGCATTATTTGAAATTATTTGATCTAAATTGATGATGCTTCTTGCTACTCTTACTAAATAGAGCAGTTCAGAGAATAGAAGACACTAGATTTGATTTCTTTACAATTCAGTTGCCTTTGTTAAAAAGAGAATATTTTAAGAGAATAGGCCAGGCTATTTTCCTGGGCTCCTAACTCCAGCCACCATTCCATAAAAGGACACTTATTATATTACTAAGTGATAATAACTAGGCAGTTTTATCTGTCAGTCTTAATAATTTTCCAATATTTAGAATAATATAATAATATATCTCAGAAGTGCTTTGAAAGTTAATGAAATAAGAAGAAGCAGTGTTGTATAGTGTTTAATCAGAGGATCTGTGTAGATTTGGGTGGCTTAGGTTTATGTGCAAGCTACATCATTCTCAGCAAGTCATTAATATATCTGTGCTTTAGTTTCCTCATTAATGAAGATTTTAATAACATCTATATCCAATGAGATAATACATGTAATCAGTGCTTTATAAATTGTAGTAAATGATAGTTCATTTATAAATGATAAAGATATTATGTATAAATAATATTGTTTATAAATATATTTATATTTATTTATAAATATTTATTCATATAAATTTATGAATATTTACTTATATAAATTAATATTTATTAATATATTTATAAATATATAAATATTTATAAATATATCTATTTCTAAATATTTATAAATATATATTAATAAATATTTTTATTTATTTATAAATATTTATAAATAAATATAAGTATTATTTATAAATATTTATAAATAAATATAAGTATTATTTATAAATATTTATAAATAAATATAAGTATTATTTATAAATAAATGATAGTTTATTTACAAATGGTAACTTAATAAATGATAGTGCTATTATTGTTATAATAATAATAACTTGCCGGTGCTGAAATCTTAAAAATATCATCTGGTCCTTTCAACATTTAAAACAATTGAGTAAAAAATGTGATTTAGAGTTTTTAGGCAGTAACTTGTCATCACAGATTTTACTTTACAAACAAGCTAATCCAATCCATCTTACTTGTGTGAAGAGAAATTTAAGCATTTTTTCCGAAATAATTTAGTTAACTAGTAAATATATGAAAAAAGTATAACTTTCAAATATCACTTCCCTAGAAATTGCTCTCATCTGATGAGTTCTCCAAAGCATATGGAAAATTCAGGAAGGGGAAGAGAAAATCCAAAGAGCAAAGATACTCTCCTGCTGAGATTCCCCATCCCAAAAATGCCAAAAGAAACCTCTCTAGTGAATTTGCTAACTGTGAAGAACAAGCTGGGCCCCCTGTGGATCCCTGGGTCCTTCAAACACTTGGGTTAAAAGACCTTGACACTATCGATGACACCTCATCAGCTAACTACAGTGCCCTCGCATCTCATCCCAGAAGAGTCGCCAGCACATTTTCCCAGTTTCCGGATGATGCAGTTGATTATAAAAATATCCCCAGAGAGGATATGCCAATTGACTATAGAGGTGACAGAACAACCCCCTTGCACAGCACTGCCACTCATGGAGAAGATTTCCACATCCTTTCTCAACTTTCAAATCCCCCAGTGGGGCTGAAAACTCTTCCTTACTATACTGCTCATGTGTCACCCAACAAGACAGAGATGGCATTTTCCACATCCCTGAGCCCTCATTGTAATGTGAAAACTCATTCCTTCCACCAGGGACAAGCCTTTGTGCGTCGAGATGAGGAGGGAGGCTGGAAGTTTACCTGGGTCCCTAAGCAGTCTTAGTGACCCCTCTTTTATCACAAAGCACTGCCACGAACTCTGTTTACAAAGACCTCTCTTGCACTTGAATTTGACTATGTGGAACACAGAAGCTGTTGCTTAGACTGTCTCCTGCCACTTTAAATGTCACTCTCAATTACCCACTTAAATCTGCAGGGAATGGCTTCCAAGAATCCATAATGAAACGTGTCCGCGCTTCTTTTACCTAAATTTGACTTGTTTACACACCAATACCTGCTATTGACATCCTCTCTTTGCCCTATACTTGATAAGGTATTTTCCACTCACTTCTATATTCCTTTAAGACCTAGATACATTTTTCCAATTTTAACCAGTTTAACAGATTTTCCTCTTTTAAGTAGTTGAAATATTCACAGCCCTTTTACTTTTCTCCCTTTGTCATTTCTGAAAACTGTCTTTAGAATGAGCCCTATTTTTGCTTCAAGTACTTGCTACTGCATGTTCAAATAGCTGAGGGTGGGGTTGAAACAAGTGTCTTTGCCCATCACCACTACTCCTGAAGACATAATGTGGATGTGTGTAGCATTATGTTCATGGCAGTTCAAAAAGTTCAGTGCCCCATAGTGGCATTGACAAAGCCTCTTAAAACAACTGTAACTCCACTAATAATCAATATCACAGATAAACTTTAAAATTACAAAGAATTTAAATTATTTTTAAATGCCTCATGATGTATCAGCTTCTATATGTACCCAGCATCATTTCTTTAACCAACATGACTCCAAGAAGAACATTTTGAGGGACTGTGGTAACAAAACTAGTCATCATCTGCAACTACCCAGATGCTGACAAACTCCTATTGCTGAAAATAGACTAACCTAGCTCAGCCATTGTCTCATTCATTCATTCATTCGCGTATTCATTTTTTCATTGATCAGTCCACCCAAGAAATCTGTAGAATACCTAATGCCTACTTTGTACCAGGCACTATGCTATGTGATGGTGATAAAATACAAGCAATTTAGACACTGTGGCCACCATCATGAGACTTAGACCTACTCATCTGCTATGACTTTGCGAAAACGACTTCCCTTTTGTGAAGGTTCAGTTTCCCAACTGTAGAATACAGAAGTTGGACTAGATAATTACTAATATTCTATGAATTGAGGCTGGGTCCTATCAGATTTACTCCAACATGGCAGTTTCAGGTCACTGAAGAAACTAAAGAGAAGTCTTTAGATAGGCACTGCAAGTATTAGGTAGGGTAAACTTTATGTACAATTAATAAAATTCAAAAACATAAGTCATTTGAAGTTAACATTAGAAATCATTGCTCTGATCACAGTACTCTTTTTCTAGAGCCCATTTTGCAGTTAACTCGGCGTAACTGTGTAAGAATAATTTGCCTCTAAAAATAGATACATATTAATTTTTAAATAAGTGCGGATAGATTGCATATAAATATTGCTATCAAGGACTTCATATTTCTAAATTTGAAACAATATATTTTCAGTGCTTGTGCTAGTTTTCTTCTTTCCCATCTCTCAAGACCCCTATCATTCCCAGAATAATTTGCACATCCTGCATGTGCACCTATGTTTTTTGGACAAACTTCAATTAATGATGAAATCTTTCATGTTGAAACCTGTTCTCATTTTTCTCTTTTCCACATCTCAATAAGTCATCTTGCACAATCAATATCTCGTAGGTCAACTGTGTTGGTTAGGATTCTTTGTAACAGAGACATGCCTTTCATTGTTGTTTCTGTTTGGTTGTTGCTTTATTTTGGTGATGTAAGCAAAGGGTCTGTTTTATAAAGTTTTGTTGCCACCCACTTTTAAAAATAATTTATGAAGAAAATCCAATATAGTAATTAATATTACTCTCTGGAGTACTTTAAGAAGTAGAACACATTCCATTTTCTAAAAAATAAAATAAAATAAATAACTGTGCCTTTTACATTCTGGTATCTGGGCCCCTGGTCGGTGAAATTTGTCGCTTTTTAGAATAAGAGATTTAAGGATTCGAATTATTGTACTTTATGACACTAGGAATTGAGAAAGTAATATAACTAATTTTGAAAGTCTAATAATCAAGCTGTAAAAGGAAATGTATGAGTTAACAAATATTTATTTTGCATTCTTTGTGTGCCTTATCATGTGTTAAGTACCATGAGGGTACACCCAGGCTTAGCACAATGCATTTGGTATACAAAACCATGTAAAATGTCATAGCTTTTGATAGCTTTTAAATGAAACTTAATTTTGGCCCAGTTTAAAGATATTACCGAACATTTGGGATAAAATGTGATGGTTTCCTGGCTTCTATCATGGACGATGTTATGGAAGACAATTACCACGTTTTTGAAATCATGTCTATAAATATTTAATATCCATTTAAATTATGTATAGAAAATTATTTTGTTCATGTTTTAGAAATTAAACATTTCTTTCACCTGAGTATATGTTTTACTTGTATGGCTTCACCATGTCTCTCTGGTAAACCACAGTTAATATTTTAAGCTATAGTGGGAAATAAAAACTCTTTTGTGATTGCGGTAACTATTTTTATACCATGCTTAACATTCCCTAATAGCAGATTTTCTTCTCCTGGTTTGTAACCATAATCCTGTGTATTTGCTCTTCTTTGTATGATGTCTATGGCCAGACTAATGACTTCAGCATTTAGGGCTTGATGGTTCTTTCCCTTCTCTAGGGCATATTAATGAGGCTTTCGAATGTTAAGTGGCTTAGAGTCCAGTGCCTTCTGGGTACACTACTCTCTTAACTAGCCACACATAAAAATTAGAATCCAGTATCAATTTGTTAAATTTTCCAATGTCCTCTGATCATCTGAAAAATAAATCATACTTGTATCTCACTCGTATCTGGAAAAAAAGGTTGTTGCTAAGCTTCAGCTATGAAGGTGATGTTAAATAAATGAGATTATTTAAGACTTCAGTGATGCTAAACTATAAGTTTGAAAAATTTGAGGAAAAGGAGCAATATGAATTAATGGAAAAAATTATCTATTTGATTTAATTCAAGAAAACGACTTTTTTAAAGGAAGAATGACAAATGGATTTAACAACCCACCTGTAGCATAGATGTGGAGAAAAGTATAGCGTTAATATATCCAGTGATAAGTTTTTGATAAATATTACATCTTGCTTGTAAGGTCAGGGTATATAATTTTACCTGTGTTTCAGTTTACCAAAAGATTCACATAAGATTAAATATTAAATTCTGATATTTTTCTTTATATTTCACTAAATCAAATAGAATTTGTTTTCAAGCTACAAATATATAATGTTTTTCAACTTATTTTTCATATTTTATCTGTTTTTTGTTCTATAAACATAACCAGACATCCAGTTTTAATTCTTGTATCAAATATCCTGCAATTGTTAAATATAATTTAACACTTAATATTTTAAATAATATGATTTCTATATAATTTGAAATATTTCTAATTATATGTAAGAGTCAATTTTGTAATGAATTTATAGCTAATAAATAATCACAAAAACTTAATCCTACTTTTGGCCCTTATTTTGGAAACATTTTTTAGCGAATGGAGCAACGAACCAAGAAAAAGTTTTCTGTACCCATTTATTCTGTAAATTTTGTCACAGAAAAAAAAGCATGTCAATTTTCAAATGTATGAAATAGTAGTATGATTAATAATGGAGGTATTTATTCAACAGCTATAGCCTCAGCTGAGATATAGCCTCCGTTTCAGGCTCAGCTGAGGATATAAGGATGAAATATGTGTTAAAACTAACTTGGCTATAAATGAGAGAAACATAATTTAAATATGCTTAATCAAAGCAAGGGAATAATTGGCTCTCATCATTGATGTTTATATTTCCAGTATAGTTGGATCTATGTGCTCAAAAAATGTCAGCAATCTGGTTTGGGATTTCAAGGAAGGCTATGATTAGGAATAGATTATTGAATGTTGTTAAGATAACACTCACCTTACAAAAGCATGACAGAAACCAACATGGGATAAGGTCTGTGAGCTTAAAGAGCAATTGACATCTCACAAAATATTCTCTAGTTTTGTGACATTCCACCTCAAATGAATAAAGCCTCAGTTAAATGTTCCAGATTGATTTTAGTTATACCATGAGGAATTATGAAAAGACTAGGGTATCCACATATGAAAATTTTGAGCAGGATTATCTTGAGGCCACTATATAGGTATATAGCCATATTTTCCTCAGGGAAGGATTAATATCAAGAGACAGTGATTTGAGACTTGCATCTCAGGGCAGTAACCTGTCACTACATGGAGATTATCTTGTTATCAGTCATGGATAACCTGGATTTTATTTAGTTTTCTTACAGTGGTATTTTTTTTTCCTTGGAGAAAACTATGAATAAACTTCACTCACTTTAAATAATCCTTGAATAGGAATGTAATTGATGTAAGTTATTTCAAACATATTATCACAATGTGTTTCATGTCTTTATTTCTATTTTAAAGATAAGAAAACTGGTTCTAAGTGTTATATGGGCCACATTACAATAGTTGAGGCCCAAGATAAACCCTGGTGCTAATGTTGGGTCTAATACCTTTTCTACTATTGTTGCGGAATTTTCTCCTTTGTTCAGCTAAAACCAGCTTTTTGTCACACGAATAGGAAAGATTAGGCTCGCGGACACACAGAAGGGTGAGGAGTGGAATTTATTAGGCAAAAAGGAAAAAGGAAAAATAACTTTCAGCAAAGAGTCCTGCAGGCAGGTTTCCTGCCTTACATATTGAAATCCCAGGTCACCCCATAGGAACAGGAGAGGCCAGGCTCCTCACTCCTGCAAACGGACACGAATTTCTTCAGGCTCTTCCCCATCTTCCCAGTGCACAGGTGGGCATTATTTGGACAGACTCAGTCGGGAAACGGCAGGCTTCATCCGGAACCAGCAGTCCGGTTTTTCAGCCTCCGGGCTGTTTTAGGCTTGAAGGCAGGGTTTCACTGGGGACACTTGGCTGTCTCCTGTCTCTATCACTATCACACATAATGATAATATTTGGCACTAGCAAATATGCTTACAGTCAACAGGCTGTCAGAGACTATTACAAATCTCAGAGATAGAAGTGTAAAGTATGGAGGAACTCTTAAACCTTTCCTTACTTTCAACAGAAGGATATTCTGGTGCTGAAGAATTTCATTATTGCTAACAGGGCTTGTTCACAAGGGACCTAATTCATCCTCTATCATTTCAAAAGAGAGAAATTCGGATGAGTAGAGTAGGATGGAAAAGCGGGCTATCATGGTCCAAAGTATTGATATGCTTCTTAAACAAAAAAATTCAAATAAAGGGAAATAAATCTGTTTCTCAATTACTGTTACTAATATTAAAGCCTAAAGTAGCAGTGTATAAATGATCCTTATGAAAGTCTTCCTCTTCTTCCTTTAATACGGAAAATAAATTTTATACCTGTTTAAGTAATAGCATTACTCCCTTTACTGTCATTCCTTTTCAGTATAACTCAAAGGGAAAGTAAAACAGTGAATAGTCATATTTATAAACTGACTCATTCTAACACACTGGAGTCAGTCTATCCTCACACTTTGGAAATCAGTGGTTAATTGATACCTTTTCAGGAACATGACTGCTGTTTTTGTTGTTGCTTCTTATTTCTACACCAAGTTTATAATCTGAAATAATAAGGCATAGAAAGGGTATTTCTAGGTAATTTCTCATTTCAAGAGAGTCCTTAATACCAAATGACTAGCCCCTCAGGGATAAGGCCCAACTATCTCAGGAGCTTTATAAAGATTCCCTCAGGGTCCTCCAGTTGCTGTGAAGTTGACAGCAAGAAATCTCTGCAATGAGTATGCGCTGAGAATTCAGAATCCCTTGTTATAATCAGGCAAAAGGCAAAACACACCTTCCTTTCATTTTGCTCTCCTAGGATTTGCCATCTTCCAGAAGCCACAGAGTTATTCTTCTTCCACCCCTGGCCCACAGGGAGTCTTGGGTGGAACCTGGAAGTGGCATCTGCACAGTGCCAGGTGGCCCACCCATGAATAGAGCCGTGTGTGCACCCCAGGAATCTCAGCCTCCTTGGGGAATTAGAGCACCATATTGCCAGAACCTTAGCCTTTTCTTCCACTGTTTTTCAGAACCATGACTAGTCCCACCTAGCCAATCCTGTTGTCCTCCCTCCAAATTTCCACAATAGTTGTAATTAGCAGGCTGCTTCCTTTTGAAATGATAAGGGATGAATCAGGTTTCTTGGGAGCCATCCTGTTAACGACGAGAGTAAAAATGGCTGGTGACTCAGCATAGCCCTAGATGATGAATGGAAATATCCTTTCAATGACCTGGAAATGGGCTTCTGGAAGACCATTTAATATGTATAGTAATTATTAGAATTTATTTATGTCAGTTGATCCGAATACAGAGATTCCCACTCCCTTTCCTACAGTGCAGTGATATTATGAACAAAGAAAGACTGCAGTATAAAAAGTAAGTTCCTCCACTCATAACTGTCAAGCTTGGAAATTAATTTAACTTTTCTCAGTCTCAGTGTATCCACATCTAAAATGGAGGTAATAGTGTTTGTCCTATATGTTTACCAGTTTTGTGAGATAATCTTATAACTTTTAAGGACCGTGTATATGTTAAATTTCTATCATACATCCTCGATCTTCACCTTCACATAGAGTAAAAATCCATTTCAATTTAATTCGCAAATGTAAAGCTTCACACTTGATAGAATGCAACACTATTAAATCAGTTAGAGATATTTTTACTGATGAAATTCAACAAATGCCCACTGTTTTCCTATTGTCTTCAAAGTGAAATTTTATGTTTTAGGCACTATAGCTCATGTCTTAAAAGAGTTTACCAGTTAGTAAGTGGAGGGAAACTAGGAAAGGATTCATTGAAGGCATGATATCAGAAAAATGCTTTGGATATAAAGTTAGAATCACAACAAGTAGACATAGAGGTAGAACAAAAAGCTCAACAGCACCAAGTGTGGGGCCTATGTAGAGAATGGTAACTTTTCCAGTTGACTGCAGGGTAGGTTTTTATAAAATGGTGTATATATTCTTGAAATGCAGCAGACGCTTCTGTACAATGAAACACACAGCTTCTATGAATGTTTTATCAATAATAAAAGGGAAGTAGTGTATATCAAATCCAAAAGAGTCAAGACAATTGCTTAGATATGTTATTTGTAACCTCAAAGCATCACTTTTCATGTTGATTGACATTGGTATCAGTATGGTAACTATTAAAGGTATCCAACTTTCGTAGATGTCCTTTTTAAAGCTTTTCAATTTTTCAAGACTGAGGCAGGCCTACCCTTTATAGACAAAATTATGGGAATGTACGTAGTGAAAATTACCAGCTGTTCTTGATGCATATCCACCAGTTTTGTTTCAAAATTATAGGTCATTTTTTAAACATGATATTCCTATATTTCTGTAAAGATCTTAAATGTACTGCACATACAACATGAGGACTAGGGAGAGTATATGGTAGTGGGCATCATCTTTCTGGAACATACAATGAGAAAAGAGCCTATCCTAACCCTCCTAACCCTTCCCCCCATTAGAGGAAGAGGGGGAGGAAACTTCCCCTTTGCAGGCAAATGGAGGTATGCAAGAGAGTCATGTGAAGATGAGGAATGATGGCAAGAAAGGGAATGTAATCTTTTTTCCTTATATAGTCACTGGCTGCAGCAACATGACCTGGATCCAGGGCAATGAAAGAGGAGACAGCAGAGTAACCTGGATTCCCAACATTTTTCAAGACAAAATAATTACTGTGGTTGATGAAACACTGCAGAAGTTCAGCAGAAGCTTCTGTTCAATAAACTTGAGACATCTTAACTTTATGTTCCCCACCCATCTCCCAGGCAATGATCTGAGCTGCAAGAGGCTGTAGATTAGACAACTGATAGTGTGAGCTGAAGTTAGGAGAAGGAGCTGTGAGAAATGGTCAAGGCAAAGCTATGTAGAAGTTTTTCAGGTCCCTAGAAGGACCCCACGAATATATCACACCAGGAGCATAACTATATAATTTATTGTACAAACTATGACGTTTCTGGAGTGACAAATACTGAACTGGAAGCTATGTTGGGGCAATAGATACAACCCTAGGTTATTGTCACCAAACCAAGACATAGGTCCACAATATGTAGGAAAAAACAGCACTTCTATTTCTGCCAGATAAAGGACACCAATAGCTAGTCATGTTATCCAGGGAAGCAGCAACTTTGAGTAAGAATAGACTAAACTTCATTTTATTTGCTAGATATGAATCCAAATTATAAGAGACAAAAATAAAGTATGTCAAGAAAAGACCATCTCCTCCATTCTTAAGTGCCTTGGACCACACGTTTAACCCACATTGGAAGAGGGAGATCAGTTATAATATTATCAGTCCACCAGTTATAAGATTAAAGTTTAAAACACATGGACTCAGTTTCATGGACGAAAGCGACCTAATATTTATGATGTTTACCTCAAAATAGAAAGTGTAATTCAATATAGCAAAGCTAAAATCAGCCAAAGTGAAAAATAAAGATAATTTTCCTTAGTATTCCAGTGAATAGAGGTCTCCCAATAAACAGACTCACAAGTGGCTGTTGAGAGTGAAATATTAGTTGGACAAATAAATAGAGTAGGCTTTTTGAGATGAACTGGAGTGCAAATGTACAGTAAAACAAATTTGAGTTTCCATGAACTTCTCTTCAGCAATCATTAGGCGCTTATCAGCAAGTCATAAATTACCAAATAAATATGTCAAAGCCTACAACTTTAAATTTCCACAAATTACTTCAGTTATTTGCATATGAATTTATATATTTTTAGTAAAAGTGTTAAAATGTGTAATAAATTTTATATACACACATATGTATATGTGAATCTGTATATATGTAATATCAAACAGTAAGTTTATAATTACTTTTTCATAAAGAAACTATCATATTTTCAGGTTATTAAAATTTTTCTGCAATATGATTTTCAATTAATGCATGGTATGGCTATTTGTGAATGTACTATAACATATTTAACTAATTACCTCTTCATATGAAGGTTACTTCCAATTTTCTTTTTTCTTTTCTTTCTTTCTCTTTTTTTGTTGAGATGTGGTCTCACTCTGTCACCCAGGTTGGAGTGCAGTGATGCAATCTTGGCTACTGCAACTTCCACCTCCTGGGTTCAAGAAATCCTCCCACCTCAGCCTCCCAAGTAGCTGGGATCACACGTGCATGCCATCACACCTGGCTAAATTTGTGTATTTTTGGTAAGGGCTGGTTTTCTCCGTGTTGCCCAGGCTTGTCTCATTCTCCTGAGCTCAGGCAATTCACCCGCCTTCACCTCCCAAAGTGCTGGGATTACAGGCATGAGCCACAGTGCCCACCCCAACATTCTTTATTATATGTAATGTAACTATATATATATGTATAATGTGGGAACTTCTTGTGGCTACACGTTTTCACTGCTTATTTCCTGAAACTGTAGTTGTTTTGTAAAAAAGTATTTACACTTTTAAGAGTTTTGAGGCCCGGCGCGGTGGCTCACGTCTGTAATCCCACCACTTTGGGAGGCTAAGGCAGGCGGATCACTTGTCAGGAGTTCCAGACCAGCCTGGTCAACCTGGTGAAACCATGTCCTTACTAAAAATACAAAAATTAGCCAGGCGTGGTGGCATATGTCTGTAATCCCAGCTACTCGGGAGGCTGAGGCATGAGAATCGCTTGAACCCGGGAAGCGGAGGTTGCAGTGAGCAGGGAGCATACCACTGCACTCCAGTCTGGGGGATAGAGCGAGACTCAGTCTCAAAAAAAAAAAAAAAAAAAGGTTTCAAAATAAATAGCAAAAGGAAAAAAAGCCCTAGACCTTATCATTCCTTTCTGAATTTGTTTCCACACTGCTATAAAGAACTACCTGAGACTTCTAATTTATGAACAGAAGAGGTTTGATTGACTCACAGTTCTGCAGTTACCTAGTATCAGGTAGTTCTTTATACCAGTGTGGGAACGGACTAATGCACTGCTTTTAAATCATTTGTTGCCTCATGTTGCAAAATCTTACATTGATATTAACGCATCTGCCAACCTAAATTTGGTATAGCTCTCATGTATTGAAATAAAACCCAAGAAAATTCTGAAAATAAAACTCAAGAAAATTCTGGTGGACATATGAATTTTCAGGGTTGATTTGGAAGTTTAAGTTAATAAAATTACTGCAATCAATAGGACTAACACCTAATTTTTTCTAAGCTCTCTGGTCAATTCTGTGAATTGATGAGAGTGTTGAATTTTGAGTTGAGTGGTTTACTTTGTAAATAATGTACATTATTTTCTCATTACAGATATAATCTATACTCATTTTATCCACGGATCATATTTTATAGGGTAATTTATTATCAAAGGAAAAGAGAATCTCCTACATATTGCAGATAACAAAGTAAGCTAATTTATCAATCCCTCCTTTTCTTCTGTATTCCTCCAAATAATTGAAAAACCCAAACAGCAGTGATTTCTGTTAAGTGTATTCAAATTTATTTTATATATTTGAATACTTTAATATTTCTTTGTGCTTTCTCTATTTGCTTATAAGATCACAAAGTTATTGCTCATCTAGAAATCTGATGCAATGTCTATTTTTCCTGATGCTCACTCCATCATCATGGGCAGATTTTTTTATATAATTTTGGCAAAATAGAGACTGTCAAAAAATTACTTTTATGCAAAATATTGATAAATACTTTTTTCTGATACTATCAATCGTTCTTAAATTATGGTTTTATAAAGGATTCCCTAATAACATATTTTTCCTTGATAACATTGTATTCTGAAATATGCATATAAATTTAGGAATTTTATATATTCTTATATATAAGGAATCAATTATTAAATATGTATTAAATTATTTAAAAACACAATTGCAACTTCATTGTATAAAATGATTTAATTTTAAAATGTGTATATATAGACAAAGCTAAAAACAGAAACTAGATAAACAACAAAAAGCGTTTGGGGTGGGGAGCAATAGAAAAAAAGAGAATTTGGGATGACATTTTTTCCCTGTCATTTATATTTTTGCTAATATCAAAATCAAAACAATTTGGAGAAAAGCTAAAGAGACATAATAAGCAAAGGTAATTACCAGAAGTCATGGTGGTGAATCTGTGATGAATTTCTATCCTCCTAAAGCAAAGAATTGTCAAATACGTGCAGTGGAAAGAGAAAAAACGTTATATGACTGTGTTAGACATTTTTAAGCAACAAATACTCAAGACGTTTTATTTCTAAATGGAATGATGATATTTAAACTATAAGAAGTAACCATTCTGGATTCTTATTTATTCAAATCCTTCTATTAATTGCCTAGTTATGTAGTACTAATTCTTCATTATTTTTGAATAAAACAATACACTACTTAAATTAATTCTGAGACTTTTATTTATTAAGTTTTAAATCTTACTTTTCAAATTGGCAAAAATTAAGGATGATAATGTACAGGAATGTGGAGAAACATTATCAAGAAATGTGGAGAAAGATGTCCTTTTATACATTGCTGTAGGAAATGCAATAAAGTACACTTAATTGATTGAAGCAAAAAAGCAGTCAGTGTCTATAATACACAATGGTTGAATACCTATGTGTGTACGTATGAGAAGAATTTTGTGTGGATAAAAAAATGTAGGATACAACTTTGTGAAGGGAGAAGGAGTGGAGTTTGCTGTGTGGGAGGGAGCCTGGGACACAATTTCCTTCCAGAATTATAAAGGGAAAGCAGGGCAGAAACCTTTGTGCCATTATGTCATTGCCACTCATCTTACTCTTTTTAAGGTGCCCCTGCTGTCCAAGGCTTTAACTAAAATAGAGAGGAGAATATAGCAAATATATGACAACCTGCTTTCTCTTTTCTCTTCTAGCTTGTTTATGGTCGAGTTCTACAACCCCATCTAGGAAATAATTTTATCTCTATGAAATGTGACTATTATTATATATCTGTAATACTGTGTTCAACATCACAGCTGAATTTTTTTAACATTTTTTTCCATTGTATGACTACTGTAACACGTTCAACCCCACTACCACATGAGAGATGGATGGCTCAGCTTGTCTAGGTACAAAGGCATATACATAAAAGATGAAAGAAAAAAGCATTTCTACCATATAAATAATATTAATCTTATTAAATATGAGAGAACTAAGAAAATATTTATTCCAATCTTTTTATCCATGGATTTTAAATTTAATCAATAGGCTTTGGAGTCTGTTTTAACCAACATTGTGAGGAATGCTGACATATTGAATGATTTTAGAAGCATTTAGTCCTCAACTTTACAAAGGCTGGTTAAAGCAGACTTCCTATTATGCCTAGACTCAACCCAAATGTAAGATAATCAGTTGTTAAGTTCCCCCAAAAGGCTCATATCTACACTCATTAGAATAGATGCTAATTTTCTACTTAACAGTTACATGGCTTTATGCAGATTATTTAACCTCTTTAGAACTTTGCCTCATTTGTAATATTGGCAACACTATAGTGCTTAACTCAAGTTTTGACACAATGATTGAATGAGTTACACTGAAATATTTAGAACTAGTCCTGACACATACTAGGTAAGATGCAGAAATGTTAATTATTATAATCACTACTATTATAATCATCTATAAAGAAACACATCAAGGTAGAATAAGAAAGCTTGGAAATGCAAATTATGAGAACTGGAAAAGATTTTCTAAACCACATAGATCAATTGAGTGTAGCTCCTGCGAGAAGTGCAATCAGAAAGTAGGTAGTTCAGCAAGGGATAGAGACTCTGAGAGTGGAAATCTGTGGCCAGTCAAGTTATGATGACTCCAACATGGTATCATTTTGCTCTTGAATTGATCTCTTTCCCTGTAATTATTGTTACCATCAACATATATTGGACCCATAAGACATTTTCTTTACTTCAATATATGATCTCTGATAAGACTTTTGTTCCTTTAGCATTGTGGGAGAAAGAAAATCATTTATTTTTACAAAACATTGGTATATTTTTAATCACATATGCTTATATGATACATATTAGAAAACAAAACTAAACACATAAAGCAATACACATAGAGCAAAAATACACATTTATGTGTAGAAGCAAAGATGAGAAGTATTTTTTAAAATACACATTTATGTGTAGAAGAAAAGGTGAGAAGTATACTGAAATGGGCATAGTGACTTTGGGAACTGCTGATTTTTTCTTTTTGTTGTATAAATTTTCAAACGTGTAAAAATAGGGAAAATCCTTTATGAGCCCCATGTACTTCAACAATTATCAACATTTTCACATCTTGTTTGATCTGTTCAGAACTACTACTATATTATGATCACCATTTTGAGTTCTTAAAAACAGGTATAAGATATCATGCCATTTCATCCAAATCACTGTAATATACATGTTCAATTATAAGTAACCACTAGACCCTTATCACATCTAACAAAATTAATATTAATTCCTTAATATAGTTTTTTACTTCTTAGTAAAACCTTTATTTTGTAACACTCTTTTATTCTATAACAGCCAAACTTATCTAATACTTTTCTATACAGCATTGATTTGTTAAATAAACTGGCCATTTGTTGTACAGAACTGACTAGTTTTTGAATATGTGAATTCATTATGCATGTTTTCATATCAACATATATAACTATTATTATTTTATGATTGCATTGTGTGGTATTTTATTATACATTGTAACTTAAAGTTGTTGACCATCCCAAGATAGAAGAAAAGAAAATAAACACAAAGAAGAGTAAAATAACTTGGCTTACAGCACACATATTTCTTATCTTTCTGTGGTTGTCTTTTTTCAATATTTCTAGTGCATATTGTATTTTAATTTATTATTAATACATAAATCTAGAAATAAGGGAAAGAAGGAGGATATGATAGTGAGAGAAAAGAAAGGCACTCCACTGTCTTTTATTTTTTCATAGACTAGATTACTTAATCCTAGCACTAATGTTGTATTTCTACGTGAATGGTACCACTTTAACATGTACCATTCAGAAATTCCCTCCTAAACATTTTAACTCTTATGTAAGTAAGACTAAAAATAACTTAGTTTTATATGCAAACTGGAAAGCATTAAAGTATCCAGTCCAAAGAGGCACATTTCTTCTATGGTTTATTATCATTGAGAATAACGTCACTTTTCAGGAAGGATCCTAAGTCATTTCAATTATGAAAGGTATGCCTTTGTAAGGAGTTCAACAGATTGTGAGTCCTAATCACACTTTGATCACATTGCTTTCATAAAAGAATAATATACATGCAACTATAGCACCATCAGTATCATTACAACCCTTTGTTTCGTTTTATGAAATACAAAAATCTTAGATCCAGAATTTTAGTATTACTTAGTCCAATTCACATGAAAAACCTAGAAATAGAACATTGGTCTCCTGAAAATTTCTACTAAATAACCTATTGTATAAGAAAATGTCATGTTTAATAAGCATATTTGCAATGATAAAAAGAACTTTAATTTATGGACAAATTTGTAATTGGAAAAAAATTACTTCAGCACAGGTATTTGTCCCTGGGCAACGGGAGAAAGGAGTTTTGGATTAGGTAATTTTTTAATGTTCTCTTCAGCTCTAAGGCTCTATGGTTGATTAGTTATTTAAAAAGGATGGTTATTAAAGTAAAACAACTGTCTGAAGACTTTAGTGGATATTTACAAAATGATTATAGTTGGGTTTTACATATTTTTGCCACTCACTCGGTTTGTTTTTTTTTTTTTTTTGAGATGAAGTTTTGCTCTTTTCGCCCAGGCTGGAGTGCAATGATGCCATCTGAGCTTACTGCAACCTCCGCCTGTCGAGGTCAAGCTATTCTTCTGTCTCAGCCTTCTGGCGATTCACTCTTGAACATATATTTATTGGTATGAGGAAGCAATAATTGTCCTGTTGAACCCAAGGTGCACAAAGTGAACAAAAACATCCTCCATCACATTGCTCTGGCCAAGGTGCTGAAATCAGTCCCTAAAATTGCATTCCAAGTATCAAATCACTTAAGTAAGTACTAATTGTTTTCTATTGTATTTTTAATTACATTCAAATAAAATACATATCATGATACCAAAAATGTGTCTTAAGATTTCTACACCCCTAAAAAGTAGGCATCTGTAACAAAAATTACAGCTAGCACTAATCATTAAAATGACATTGTAGCCTGTTTAAAAATACTAGGGCTCTTTTTTGGTTTCATACAAATTTTTAAATAGTTTTTTCTAGTTCTTTGAAGAATGTCAATGGTAGTTTAATAGGCATAGCACTGAATCTTTAAATTGCTTTGGGAAGCACGGCCATTTTAATGATATTGATTTTCCCTATCCATGAGCAAGAAATGTTTTTCTTTCCATTTTTTTGTGTTGTCTCTGATTTATTTGAGCAGTGGTTTGTAGTTCTCCTTGTAGTGATCTTTCACCTCCCTAGTTAGCTGTATTTCTAGGTATTTTGTTCTTCTTGTAGCAATTGTGAATGAGAGGTCATTCTGACTTAGCTCTTGGCTTGATTATCGTTGGTGTATAGAAATGCTAGTGATTTTTGCATATTTATTTTGTATCCTGAGGCTTTACTGAAGTTATTTATCATATTTAGAAGATTTGGGCTGAGTCTATGGGGTGTTCTAGCTATAGGATCATGTTTTATGCAAACAGGGATAGCTTGACTTCCTCTCTACCTATTTGGATGTCCTTTATTTCTTTCTCTTGCCTGATTACCCTGGCCAAAACTTCCAACACTACATTGAATAGGAGTAGCAAGAAAGGTCAACCTTGTCTTTGTCAGTTTTCCTGGGGAATGCTTCCAGCTTTTGCCAATTCGGAATGATATTGGCTGTGGGTTTGTCATATATGGCTCTTATTATTTTGAGGTATAATCCTTCAATACCTAGTTTATTGAGAGTTATTAACATGAATGTTTGTTGAATTTTATCAAAAGCCTTTTCTTTTTTTATTAAGATAATCATGTAGTTTTTGTCTTCAGTTCTGTTTGGTGAATCACATTTATTGATATGTGTATGTTTAACCTTGCATCCCAGGGATAAAGCCTACTTAATCATGGTGGCTAAGCTTTTTGATGTGCTGCTGTATTCAGTTTGCCAGTATTTTATTGAGGATTTTTACATCAATACTAATCAAAAATATTGAAATATTTTCTATCCCTAATGTCTCCCCTCATATTTACTTGGCTTACCATCTGTAATTAAATGTATTTGACCCATATATCTTAAGGAACACAAATCAGTTCCATGGCTGGTCATTCAACTAATATATTGTCAACATCCACTTGTATCTCATCCACACAGTAAAAGTTACTTAGTGATTACCATGTACAAGGCCACATTGCTGGGAAAAGGAACAAAAAAATGAGTATTGAGGATAAGACAATTACAAATGTGCATAATATACACGTTTTTAAATGATACATACCAGAAGAGAATTAAGAATAGAAGCATGAAGATTTAACGTAGAAAGGGCTTACTTTTAGCATGGGAGAGGTAGTCATTAGAAAAATATGAAGACTGAAAATGTAGCAATTGATCTGGACCCTGAAGGATTCTTAAAATTTTGAATAATGGGACCTAGAAAAGCATTTGAGATGAAAGAAAAATAGTGAGATCAAAATAATACGGAAGAAATTTAGGGTGGATTAAATAAATAAATAGTAAATAAAATTGAAAAATTTGGTGTTAATAAATTACACAGAGACTTCTATTCATCCAGAAAAAAAAATTACTTCATTTAAACTCACCTTTAGAAAACAGGAATGCATATAGACTTATGAACAAGACTTACCTACTTGCAATTATTTTTCAGGAAGATAAAGATGGTAATAAATGGAGGGCGGCAATGAGAAGGAAGTGGAATAGGGGGTTTCATGAATACCCTGCACTGGCCGAGGTAATAAAGCAGGAAGTCAGAAAAGGCAGTATGGCCTTGTCTACAACTCCTCTAATTTCCATAAAGAAATTAATTCATAATAATCATAATTTTCAAATAAGCTAAAATTATTTATCTATCATTGTAGTTATTTAAATATAATGTTAATTGGGTTCTTAATATGAGATACTCAATATTTTCAGCTTACGAAATAAATATGTTCATAATACATGTCATCGTCTTCAAGGAGTTTATTTCTACTTTGGGACACGACATGCAAACAGATAATTCACATCTCATCCTATAGTAGCATAAATGAGAAACATATTGAGAGAATTTAGCAGTATAATGTAGAGAAAAGAATTTTGTTGTGAGAGTGTGTAGGTCCGAGTTCTAATTCTGGTTGTCACTTATATTCTGTGTGACCTTGTGTCCTAAGTTATCTTCTTTAGGAAAAATGATTCAGATAGACAGATATACATGCAAGAGATTTTCAGAGGCGTGCTCTCAGGAACAGCGTATCTAAAGGAATATGGGCAAGTTTAGAAAAGAGAAAAATTGATCAATGATACCGTCAAAACAAAGCCCTCAGCCAACTCCATGGAGAGTTCTGAAACTGAGATGGCTCTTCAGAATTAAGGCAAAGGGCCAGGCTTTGGACCTTGACTTTGGAAGTGGGATTAACCTTGAGGGGGGCAGCTCTCTTAAACTGAAGTCGGTTCCTGAGGAAGAGCTCAGGAGTCTATACACCTGGCATCTGAGGGAGTAAGTACCTTCATCATGAAACAGGTTCTAGGTGGTGTAACACAATATTCCTGGTAATGTACTCTGTGAGCTTCTCAGCTCTACTTGCTTCAGTGGTAAGTTCATCCCACCTGGGAGCAACTCTTGCAGTATTTTGGTTGATCTTTGTTTTTTTTCTGGATAAACCTGTAAGAATTATTTTATTTTATTTTATTTATTTTTTTGAGACAGAGAGACAGAGTCTCACTCTCTCACCTAGGCTGGAGTGCAGTGGCGCGATCTCCACTCACTGCAACCTCTGCCTCCTGGGTTCATGCCATTCTCCTCCTCAGCCTCCCAAGTAGCTGGGACTACAGGTGCCCACCACCACGCCCAGCTAATTTTTATTTTTGTATTTTTAGTAGAGATGGGGTTTCACTGTGTTAGCCAGCATGGTCTCGATCTCCTGACCTCATGATCCACCCACCTCGGCCTCCCAAAGTGCTGGGATTACAGGTGTGAGCCACCACGCCTGGCAAGAATAATTTTAATGTGACAAACAGCAGGGCCCACGTGGCAGTTCATCTTACGACTGCAAGTGATAGTCATTATTTTTGTTCATAATCCATTCTAGGTACACTTAATTTCAACTAACACCTCTGCTTGTCTGGGTAACTTATGTGGTAGTGACACAAGTAATAACCCTGTTGTAATCTGAGGCCCTGGTCACCATGATCTTTTCAGGCTGTGTCTTATGTACTTGTCCATTTAGCATCAAATTGTGCAAAAAGGCACCAAGAATTGCTCCAGTGGGCCAAACAAATGCCAAGCATTTCCTCCTTATAACTGTTATGTAACAGTAGCCAATCCTCCTCCTGATGACCAGGATCAACTACTCATGCCAATGTAATGATCCTTTCCCTTATCTGCTACACTGTTAGCATAAAGAGCCCAAATGACTTGGTGGCAACTTTAGCTTAAAGTTCTATGGGACTGTTACTGTGGTGCTGGTAAAGGAGTTTCTCCCCAGGAATAGGGCCGCTAGGCCAACAGAGACTAAGGCACAAGTCCTCCCAGTGAGTTAATGGAGTGAGTAAGTGGGGCCACTCTTATCTCCCATTTTTGATATGGGACTCACATATTCTATGTAATGGAAGCATAGTACCATAAAATGGTCATTGATTTAGGGTGTAAACCCCATCCTGGAGGATAGCATATCATCTTTGTAGGCTATCAACTCCAAGTTGGTGCCTTATTTGCATCTACTCTATCAAGTTGGCAGATTTAGGATGGGAGGGCATGTGATATGCCCACTTCCATACCTTTTTTTTTTTTTGGCATAAAGTAGCTTCCTTGTTCTGAGATGGTATTATGCAGAATCATAAGTGATACATCAAAACTCTATAAATTCTTAAATAGTGGTGCTGATCAAAACCCTGAGAACTAGAAGGCAGGCCTATTCTTCAATATTTGTCTATTTCAGTCAAAATGAGTTGCTGTTCCTTTCTGATGTAAGGGGTTCAATGTAAACATCTTAAAAGAAAATAACGGATTGATCTGCTTAAGAAATGGGGCAGGGTCATATGGTCTCTGTTGATAGCAGATTGATATTAAGCAACAGCTAGAAATTTGAAGCCCATATTGCTGGGTTTATGATAGTTTAAGTTTCCATCTCCTCCATCAGGCCTACTCCACTTATGAGCCCGTTGTGCTGCACTGCAGTGTCGATGGGACTGCGACAATGGTAGTTTTCCTCTGATGAGTGTTAACTTGTAATACAAAAAAAAAATCCCACAAACTTTCACATTTCATGTCCACTCCTGTAGGGAGGTTTTGGTGTATTATCTTGTCTAGGAATGTGGATGAGGAACAGAACCAGAACTTTTCACTTTACCTTCCCCACTTGTATCAGTTTGTTCTCACACTGTTAAAAGAAATACCCAAGACTGGCAATTTATAAAGAAAAGAGGTTTAATCAACTCACAGTTCTGCATGGCTGAGGAGCCCTCAGGAGACTTACAATCATGGCAGAAGGCACCTCTTCGCAGGGCAGTAGGAGAGAGAATGAGTGCACCAGCAGGGGAAATGAACAGACCCTTATAAAACCATCAGATCTTGTGAAACTCACTCATTATGATGAGAACAGGATGGGAGAAACCATCCCAATGATTCAATTACCTCCATCTGGTCCTGCCCTTGACACATGGGGATTATGGGAATTACAATTCAAGGCGAGATTTGAGTGGGGACACAGAGCCAAACCATATCATTCTGCCCCTGGCCCCTCCCAAATCTCATGTCCTCACATTTCAAAACACAGTCATGCCCTTCAACAGTCCCTCAAGTTTTTAAACCAACTTTTCAATCATGATGACTATTCTGCAGAGATTTCAGCACCAGCACCATTCAGTTTGTTTGCAATTGACTTGGGAGCCATGTACAGAACGGATAGTACAGATTTGTCACAGGTCAAATCACAATGTTGAGGAAAGCATACCTTCCTGTAATTAGAAAGGATCCCCTAAACCGTACTCAGTTTAAGACATCCAATGTACAAGAGAACAAAAATCATCATAATAATGTGGTTCCAAGGAACACAGTTTTGATAAGGAAAATAACTTAAGCTTCTGTTTCCCATTTTAATTCCTGAAATCTCTAACAATGACACAACTGCCATGTATACATTACAGCAAATGTATATAATAATTCATTCAGACTTCTTGGAAAGAATACATTTAGCAATCTGGGATGATGGAAAATATAGCGTGATTCAACACTGGTTCTTTTTGTCATTTTACACAGACATCATGTTAATATTAGATGAAGGCACAAAATGTTTAGTGCATAAACCTAGTTTCTTTTAAGATTTAGAATTTTATTTTAGTCTCTTATCTTAGTTTGGACCACTTGTACCCAGTGCTGTACCTACTATTTAACTTACCCAACAAAATCGAAAGACCAGATTTATAGGGGACATAACTGTTTATATTATCAAAATGTTTGCATAACCGAAAGTACAATAATAAAGATGAAAATGCCTCCTATTTCTTTTAGAAAGTAGTACTTCATAAGCTTGCTGCATCTTTGATGTTTTTACTACTACTGCATGACAATGAATATCTGATAGAAAAAAGGAAATGTTTACTTGAATTATGATAGCTCATGCATCACAGTTTGATCTAAAAATGAAATTTCTACAGAAACAGGAACTATTTTAACAGAGAAAAAAATCCCTTATCCAAACTTCTTTGTAGTGGTAATAGCTGCAAATTTGTAGCATTTAGAAAACTGCACTGTCAACAAGCTTTACTTTATGAACTGAGAGGTACAAATCTAGAAAGCAGATGAAAGTGAATTATTTCTTTAAAATTTTAGTAAAACTTTTGATAATCAGAGTTCAAAGCAAATATGGCACATAACTCAAGCATAAATCAAGATAGAGAGCATGGAGAGTTTGATTTCTTTTCTCTCTCTCTTTTTTTTTTTTTTTTTTTTTTTGAGACCGAGTCTCTCTCTGTCGCCCAGGCTGGAGGGCAATGGCGTGATCTCGGCTCACTGCAAGCTCCACTTCCCGGGTTCACGCCATTCTCCAGCCTCCCGGGTAGCTGGGAGTACAGGCATCCACCACCACACCCGGCTAATTTTTTTTTCTTTTTTTTTTTTTTTCTATTTTTAGTAGAGACGGGGTTTCACCATGTTAGCCAGGATGTTATCGCTCTCCTGACCTCGTGATCCACCCGTCTCGGCCTCCCAAAGTGCTGGGATTACAGGCATGAGCCACCGTGCCTGGCCGGAGAGTTTGATTTCTTAAATTTTCCAAAAAGGTGTCATTGCAACATATAGGATTTCTCCTCTATTTTAATCTTACCCATTTCAAAGAAAAGAAAAGGGAGTGACTTCCATATAGACAGCACGTGCACGAGTGCACACACACGCAGGGTGGCAGGTAGAGTGTCTAATTCTTTCTTCCCACAACCCAAGTCTCACTTTACTTATTAAAAGAAAATTGCAGAACTCCCCATTGGTTTTCCTTTACCTAATGATTTCTGTGGCCTTAATTGCTGCCATCATTGTTTTTTTTTTTATTTCAACATAACAAAATTCAAAAGCAGCTTCATTCAGGAACCTGTGTCTAAACACCTGTGTAACAGCAGGGGTACCTAGGTAATAACTGCCAAATTCAGTGATCAAACTTTGGAGTTCCACAGTAAGATACTATGTGAAGCTCAAAATCATGTTTCAGACCATTGAAATTGAGGCAGGAGAATGGCGTGAACCCGGGAGGTGGAGGTGGAGGTTGCAGTGAGCAGAGATCATGCCACTGCACTCCAGCCTGGGCAACAGAGCGAGACTCCGTCTCAAAATAAATAAATAAATAAATAAATAAATAATAAATAAATAAATACAAATAGCTGAAGACATGAAGTAAAAGATTAAGTACTTGGTTTTGTAACATATTTACCAATTAAAGTCACAAAATATTCTTCATTATTATTCATGCAGCTAATTGAGAAAAAGATAGTGCAGAAATCAACTTTAAATAAAAAATTATTTCTTCACTTCCTCCCACCCCCTATACTCTACAAAATGTTTTCTCTGGAACTAGGCCTTGAAAAGGCCACTACATATTAGGGTCACATGCATTAGCAATTTAAAAAGCTAACTTCGTGGTGATTGTAATTACATTATAAAAATGTTCACATGCATAAGCCTAAAAGGTGGAAAACCTACAGTAAGTCTACAATATAGTGTTTACATTTGATCACCAGTTTGTGTTACGTAGAAGTCTTTAGATGTGGTAATGCATTGTAACCATTTAGGAAGGCGTCTAAATCTTTACATTCTGGACAAAGTTTATGTTTTAATCTACAAAATTGCACGAAGGCTAACAAGAGACTTCCCATCATTCTAAAATCCGTCAAGCTGAACAAATTTAGGACACTTTCTTATAAATATTACCCTTTCAAAGCACTTACAATTCTATTTGTTCCACATATTATGATCTTAACTTACATAGGGCTGATCTCAATTATTGATGGAATATCACACATGATAGGAAGAACAAACCTGAGAGAAACATTACAATACAATAGCAAACTTGCTCAATTCTTTATCAGCACTCTCTGCAAAAAAAACTTTCTAAGCTTTCCTCCTCTTTATTTTAGCACTGAATTGTGGAAAATGTGCAATTTTATCTTGACATGAAAATATTTCAATGTACAGTGATCTTGCCTGATGGGTTTTAGTATTTTCTGCGTAACTGTTACAGGAATTCTTATATGATTCTCTTCCATTCTGTTGTAAAGGCCAGAAAAAAGCAGCCAACTGTGAGGGAAAGAGCTTATCGCCAGAGTCATAATATCTGAAGACTTTCAGAGTAGGTTGATTTTTCCCTCCTTCTGTTTGTCTCCATTTTCTTCTCACAGCTCATAAAATGTAGAGGTTTGCTGTTGTGAACAGTTGCGGTTAGTAGGATTTTTTTTTCCTCCAGATTAAAGTCCTATCTCACCTTACTCTGTTTCTGCATGCAGTATTTGACTTGCTCAGTGTCTGCCTGATTGCATCAATGAGCTCTTCTTTTAGCTTTGTTCATTCCTTTTTCATTTCATCTAAGATGTCCTGCTTCAGCCTGTGGTAGTTAAGTCCTTCCATCTGGACTCCATTGCCACTGGGCTGTAATAAGGGTGTGGATTTTGGTTTGGAGATAACATGTGACTTGCTGCCATTCATTGTATTCGTTCTTTCCCAAGGTTTCCTTGTTGGTTCAGGTGTACTTGTTGAAGAGGCCTTAGAAGTTACAAGCTCTGAATCTTCACCTTTGTCCTTTTTCTTCTGTTTCTATTTTTGATCCCTTTTCAGCAATTCTTTTCCTCCTGGCAGCAGGGCACTCATTTATTTCACTAAACCACTACCACCTAAAGGAAGGAGTCCATTTCCATGGCCTGTAGGCCTGTATCTGTTTTAGATGAGGCCGAGTTCACACCAGTAGCATTCCCTCTGCTTGGGAAAGAGGCATCCCCCATCCGTGACACTTTCCTAAGTTTTGCTCCTGCAATTGCAGCTGCAGGTGCAGTTAAAGGGCGATTGTCTTCTGACATGGATCCCCAAAAGAATCCAGATGCAGGGAGGGGCCGGACAGGAGGCGGTGGAGGAGGAGGAGGTATTTGATTAGGGAAAGGAGGGGGAAGAAGGGGCCAGTGGAGGCCCAGTGGATGGGGAATGGAGGCGGTGGAGGGGGCCCTGGAAGAGGAGGGAGTGCTGCTGAAGCCTGTGCGGGCCTTGGTGGGAGTGGTGGAGGAGGTGGAGGTGCAAGAGGTCCCAAGACAATGCCCTTTTGGGCTGGAGTCTCGGCCAGCTGAGAGGCTGCCTGCAAGCCTGGGTCAGAAGCAGAAGAGTCTCCCAGCACAGAGTTTAGACGAGTCTCAACAGAGGCAGGGGCAGCAGCATTTGATATTCTGCGCTCTCTCTCCCATTCCAGTTGTTCCCTTTCTAACTGTTCTTGTCGCTCCCTCTCTTGCCTCTCCCATTTCAGTCTCTCTAGCCTCTCTCTTTCTTGTCTTTCTTGCCTCTCCAGATTCAGGAGTTTGCTGTTCCTGTTCTTGTCTCTCTCTCTGGCTCTCCAGCTGTTCTTGTTCCAGTCGCTCCCTCTCCAGCTTTTCCCTTTCTAACCTCTCTCTCTCCAGCCTTCCTCTTTCCGTTCTTTCTCACCAGCCTTCCCTGCTCCAGCTCCTTATGAATATTTTAAGGGTAGACACAAGGCATTCAAGGCTTAGAAAGAGGATATACAAGTGCTAAATGTCTGTTAAGACTTCATGTGTGCTTATTGACTGCAGGTTAAGCTGATATTCCCCATGTTCACATGTCCTTATAGAATGCGGAAAAAAGAAACATGGAACTGGGCCCCATTTTTAAAAACAGATCACCATTTGGCCGGGCACGGTGGCTCATGCCTGTAATCCCAGCACTTTGGGGAGGCCGAGGGAGGTGGATCATCTGAGGTCAGGAGTTCGAAACCAGCCTGACCAACACGGCGAAACTGTCTCTACTAAAAATACAAAAATTAGCCAGGCATGGTGGCAGGCACCTGTAATCCCAGCTACATGGAAGGCTGAGGCAGGAGAATGGCTTGAACCCAGGAGGCGGAGGTTGCAGTAAGCTGAGATCACACCATCGCACTCCAGCCTGGGGGACAAGAGTGAGACTTTGTCTAAAAAATAATAATAAATAAAATAAATCATCACTTAAAATGCACACAACTTCAGGCATGCATATGTATACACACACCAATTTACATTGAAGCATTTACCTACATATCCTCCCTCATTCTGGATCAAGGAATAACAACAGAGTTTTGACTCAGGTCAAAAAATGAGAAGGAAATGAGTTCCAACTCTTTAATGTTTAAGTGGCCGCAGCTATGCATGAATGAGAAGAGTGAATTCAACTTGCCAAGTAGGTCAGCAGACAGTACTCCGGAAGGTCAGAACGGTCTGGTCATGGATCATCTTTTCCAGCCCTGGTCCAGTGACTTCCATTTTAGTTCATGAACATTACCCATTATACTAAGACTGATCTATCTAAGATGAAATAGCCCCATGCTGCCAGAAATAAGATCGGCAAAGGGCAGAAAAATTGCTCTATCAAGATTGGAATTCTTCGGGATCTAACTTACTTAGGCCAAGCTAGAGCCTCATAAAATATGAATAATATAGTCACAGGAGGAAAATAATCATTGCAGAGATGAGAAATATTGCCAACTTCAACATAGCTTTTGAAAATGAAATAAATAAAATTAAATATGACAAGACATTAAAAAGGCAAATACTAAACTCAATACTACTAATTAGTAATATCTTCTAAGCATCTCTAAGCTTATTTTTTTGACTGTCAGTGTCTTTGGGGGTTCACAATACTGCTGATAATCTGACCAAAATACTGTATTTTAATGAAATCTAAGTAACTATTTGAATGTATCTTTGTCTTTTATAATTTGGAATTTTTATCTATTATACTTAATCTTGTAGGGTAGAGTCTTCTATATCATTATCCATTACTACATTTATTGGAAATTGATGTTGTCATCTCAGCACAATCTCCCTTCAAAAAATATTTTTTGTTGCATGAATTGGTTAGAGGGATGAGGTCGTATAACAGTTTGATAAGGACACCTGAAAATACGGGAACATTGATTTGATTAAATGTAGAAAAGGGAAGAGTGCATTTCAGATCTCCCATTAGCAGGATTATCTATCAAGTTGAACCATTTAAAATTTATATAAGACAAATATGGTCTAATATTCTCAGTTTTATATAATTTAATCTATCTAAATAGGCATGTAATGTACTTTTATGGAAAAATATCTGTGAAAGTGCTTAATAAATTAGGCTGGCAAGCAAAGTGTATAAGCAAAGAGCTAGAAGTAACCACTTTACATTTGATACTAAATAATTAAATATTTCTTTTCTGAGACTGACTACCTCAATTGTAAAATAATGCTGTTTAATTTCAACATAGACGGCTAATTCAGATCATTTTTAACCATTAAATACACTTTAGAGTTTAGTCCAAATATAGGGCTGGTAATCATTAGAAAATCAAACCAACCTAATCAACAGTGTGCTTGTTACTTAAAAGTTCCGTGTCAGATTTTATTGGATAGAAAAGTTTTACTGCCCATATGCAAACAAACACCTTCCCTCGGAGTTCTTCAATAGACTCTGTAGTATTGCAAATACATCAAAGAGTGAACTTATAGTTATATGCAGTCCAGGTAATAAAACAAAGCTTTAAACTCAAATAACTGCCTTATTTCTGTGAATTGCTGCTGTCGTTTTTGGAACAATACTTTAAAGGAATATAAATATTTGCTGCTTATCTTTAAACGACTCCATTGAAAAAGCTGTCATTTACATGTATATTAACCAGGTCAGTGCACACCGGTGTACAGTGATCTACTTTTATTCAAATGGGTGCAATCAAATGTAACAGTGAAATAAGGAGGCACTTGTAAGCAGTTCCTCATATTCCTCTAGTACCTTGGTTAGTGATGAAAACATTTATTGGCATTTAGAAAAGGACTGCTAAAGGAAAAATCAATACACTAATTAATTATGAAATGGATTTTCAGTGATTACATAGTCCCTCTTATGTATACAACATATCGCCATTTAGCAAACACTTTCAAATATATTCAATATAACTGATATTCAGAAGATGTATGATATACTGGGATGTGAATGAAATTTAGAATCAGAAGACAAAAATTTGAGTGCTGTCTTTGTCATTTTTTCTGTTTAGATGAACTTGAACAAGTAAACAGTCTGAGTCTTCATTTTCTGTATCCATAAATGAGGTTAGTAAAAATCTGTCATAAGCATTGCTGCAAGAATTAAGTGAAGAACTGCATGTAAAAAGTGATGTATGAAAACAATTCAAATGTTAGAAGTTTCAATTCAAGATGAACAAGCTTCAACTTTGAAAATTAAGTTATGTGACCAAAGTGCACAGCTACAGACCTAGTTTTCCAGATGAAGCTTGCAATAATATCATTTATCATTTTATCATGCTTATGAATGCCTTATGACTCATAGTATTTTATATGTTTAAATCCATTGTCCTTTAGTGAGAACATTTTATTATAAACATCATATTTTAACATTTCACTCAAAGCCTTAACTTCCCCTATATTAATACTCATTGCAGACCTCTGTGAGTGTTTTGTATTCACGAAAGGAACAAGGGCCAGATACCCAAGTTTTCCTTCTCTGGCTACAGAATGCAAGAAAATGTGAATGCTCAGATCCAGGAATTAGTTTTCAAGAAAAGTTCCTTTTCAAGCCTTATCATCAGTTCATAGATTAATCCTTTTTCATCTGAGCCAACTTATGTCACTTCTGATTTTTAAACTTATTTTCCTAGCTTTGTGCAAGCATTTGTAACTGGTCCTCACTATCATTCAGATATTTGTTAATACCTACTCTATGTTGAAGTCTGTGCTAAATACAGTGAAGAATACCAGGAGAGATTAAAATTTAAAATAACACCTTGGCCTCTGCAGACTTGAGGAGAATTGTCAGTAGTTATTCTTTGGTAGCTCAGTAAACAGCAAGAAGAGCCTCTGATCCTTCAGAACACTAAATCTAAACACATTAAACTACATCCTCTTTTAAACTAGCTTTTCTTTGAACAATAGTCTTTAAAAAAAAACTTTAATTTTACATTCAGGGGCACATGTGCAGGTTTGTTACCAAGGTAGACGTGTGTCATAGGGATTTGTGGTGCGAATTATTTCATCACCCAGATAATAAGCCTAGTACCCACTAGTTATTTTTCCCGATCCTCTCCTAAGCTAGTTTTATTCAGAAATATGTGGATGTTATACTCATACATAAATGTATTAATAATGCCATATGGCAGTTTTAGTTTTTAGACTTACTTTTTTTATAGATTGCAACTGGACACGACCTTTTCCTCCAAAATTCCTTATGTCTTTTTATTTATGACACTCAAATTACACTAGATTCTCATGTTTTTCTCTCCCACAAAACCTTGCACATTTTCTTAACAGCAATTCCTACATTATGTAGTGATCAATTTGTTTAATGTCTATCACTTTCACTAGAGTGTGAGTTCCTTGAGAGCAGGGAAGTTCTTGATATTATTCATCTTTCTCCCTCGGTCTCACGATAGTGATTAGAAAGAGTACTGTTCCACAACTATGTCTTAAAAGACTGTGGGGCATCTAACGTGTTCGTGTCAATGGACTTTCTTTCCATTAATATTCCTTGCACCATTCTGTCAGAGAAGAATTCAAGGAAAATCTGATATTTTAGAAGCAAACAAAAACCTCACCTTGTGCTCATAGAAAAGTTTGATATAGAATGGAAAAATGGGTTTAAAATACCAAGTTTTCACGGCAATCATAAAGGAAAAGTTAAAGTGTTTGAAATTAAACAAACTCCACCTTTCCTCACACATTACTTTTAATTGCAAAAATCGCAATTAATTTTGCACCAACCTGATCCTATGTAGCAGTCTTCCCAGTGCGATTTCAGCCCAAGCTGAGCTGTAACTAAACTTACTCACACATATGGCAGGCTGCTTCCTCTTTTGGTGTTGCTGGCAGAGACTTCAAAGATTTTAGAGACTTGTTCCATCAAGAGGACATTTGTGATTCTTTTTGTGAGGGTAAATTCTGATGGGGAAAGGTGAGAATGACATTTCAAAGCATGGTAGTACAATAGGAATGGTCAAGGATTTTTTAGTAGACGTCACTCTGGTTTTCAATGTAGGAAATATAAATATGGAAGTCTAGTGGCCTAGAGGATTACTCTCTCCTGTAAGGGATTTTGCATTCTTTTTATTTTTTCTTCTGAGTTGAGCTTCTCTGGATCTCTTTGGAATGTGCTGTTCATTTAAGCATGGATGCACTCAGCAGCAGTTTGTGGCCCGCTGGGCTGTTTTACTTCCCCAGCCAGGTTGTGCTTGCCAGCTTTTGTTGAGAAATAACAGGAGGTCATACACGATGTCAAGAAAATGTTGGCATGGTTAGAGAAACAAGTATTGTATTAGTTGCAATGAATTTAGACCTACTGATGGTAGGATTAAAGAAATCTGTGTCTGGCACTCTCTGCAGCTTGAAGCAGCTTACAATGAGCATAGCCTGGACACTAGAGAGGCTCAGCAAGCTGACTGGTACCTGGCCTTCTTGACCAAGAAGGATGTACCCAAAGCGTGTGGTAACTAAGTGAAGGTCTCCTAAGACACACGTAAGACCATAAGGTGGTACAGATAGAGGTGACGAAGAAACAAGGAAAAGAGAAGGAAGGAAGGAAGGAAGGAAGGAAGGAAGGAAGGAAGGAAGGGAGGAAGGATGGAAGGAAGGAAGGAGAAAGAGGAAAGAGGAGAGGAAAGGAAGGGAAAGTGGAAAAAAGAAAAGGAAAGGGGAAAAAAGGAAAGGAAGGAAGAGAAGTAGACAAAACTACATAAAATATCTATCTTTTGCAGTTACAAATTGAACTAAAATAGTAATAGCAACTCTGGATTGACTGTTTTACCATAGGTGAGTCATGGGTCCAAAAGCTTACCATATATTAATGAATGTAATTGCACAATCACACAATGAAGTCATCACTACTATACTGCCCTTTTACAGATGAGAAAGTAGGGCCCAGAGAGGCAAGTGAATTGCCCAAGAGTTCACAGTTAGGAAAGGGTGGATTCAATATATGAATTCAGAAAATCTGACTGTAGGATCCGCACTCTAACTTCTCTCCATAGGCTGAATCACCCAGACTCTTCTAGTAACCCACAAACATGACTTGATAGAAAAGGAAAGTGAATATGCGGAAAAGAAGATTGGAAATACAGAAGGGGAGAGCTGTAGTAGACCTCAGGAAGCAGCTAAGTTTAGAATGCTGGGACTGAAAGTATTTTTACACCCTATGCTTGCTTTGATGTGGAAAATTGATTTTTCGATTTTTTCCCTCATTATTGTAATGCCATATTTGATTCATATTTGATTCACTTTCTAATTTTTACTTTTAATGTTGCCTACCGCTCCAAGCCTCTTTTTCTGTTTTGTTTTGTTTTGTCTGTTTGTTTTTGACAGGGTCTTGCTCTGTCACAAAAGCTGGATTTCAGTGGCACAATCACAGTTCAGTACAGCCTCATCCTCTCTGGCTCAAGGGATTTCCTGAGTAGTTGAAACTCCAGGCATGTGCCACCACATTCTGCTATATACATTTTTTAGTTTTTTGTAGAGGCAGAGTCTCGCTATGTTATCCAGACTGGTCTTGAACACCTGGGCACAGCACTCCTTCTGCTTCGGCCTCCCAAAATGCTAGACTAACAGGCATGAGCCACCACATTTGGCCCTGTTTTTTTGTTACTGCTAATATGAAACATGCCTTAGGATTATATACTTCTAAGTCTGTTTGCTTTACCAAGCTTATTGAATATGTCAAACACCTATAGATTAAAAATATTACATAGATTCATAGATTACTCATAGATTAAAAATATTACCTGCACATGAATGATAGGGAAATATATAATGACATGATGGCATCTAAAGTTAAACTGGTACATTTATCATCACAGAAATCATCCATTTGATTTCATTTTTGTTTTTGCTTATTTTATATATATTCAAGCAGTATATATGACCCCACAGTATGTGGGTGACATCCTGTATGCTAAACCCTGATATACTAACAACGCAGCCTGAATTGGAAACCAATTACAGTAGAAAAGGATTATGTGAGAATATATCTCTGTCTGGTCAGATTCCCTCTTTAAAAAAGGGAAGACCATCATTACGCAGAAAGGAAGTGGGGATGAGAGAATACAGGTCTCCTAAATCCTAGGTGAGCGTCTTTTTATTCCACATGCACAGAAACTTAAGACATAACTTGTTGTCACAAAACCATAAAGAAAAGGGGAGAGCAACATGGAAAAAGGCAACAAAGGAGAAGTATATTTTTTCTTTTTCTGTTCGAAGGACAGTGTTGAATTTGGTTTCCTAATATTTTCTTGAGGAGTCTTGCTCCTCTAATTAGGCATACTGTCTACTATTTAATAGTTTTCTTTTTTTGTCATGTCCTTTACTGGTTCTCCTATCAGGATAACGCTAGCCTTGTAAAATGAGTTCAGAAGTTTCCTCTGCACTTCCATTTTGAGTTTGAGAAGAATCGGTATTCATTATTCATTATTCTTTAAGTTGGTGGGGGCGGGAATTCAGAAGTGAAGCAATCAGGTACTGGGCTTTTCTTTGATTGAAGACTATTGATTACTGATTCAATCTCCTTACTTATTATTGGCCTGTTCAGATTGTCTACCTCTTTGTGATTTTATCTTGGCAGGTTGCATTTATCTGGGGATTTATCCATTTCTTTTATGTTATTCAATTTGTTAGCATATAATTATTTATAATACAGTTGACCCTCAAACAACATGGGTTTGAACTGTGGGGATCCACTTATACATGGATCTTTAAAAAATAAATATTACACCAAGTGTGCCTGCCTTTCATTCCACCTCATCCATCTCTTCTGCCTCTGCCACCCCTGAGACAGGAAGATTAACCTCTTTTTTGCCTTCTCCTCCTCAGCCTACTCAACATGAAGACAAGAGGAAAATACCTCCATGATGACACACTTCCTCTTAATGAATAGTAAATATATTTTACCCTCCTTATGATTTTCTTAATAATATTTTCTTTTCTATAGCTTACTTTATTGTAAGAATACAATATATAATACATATAGCACATAAAATACATGCTGATCAACTGTTTACACTATTGGTAAGGTGCCTCATCAACAGTAGGCTATAGGCTATCAGTAGTTAAGTTTTTGGGATGCCAAAAGTTAAATATAGATTTTTGACTGTGCAGTGGATCGGTGCCCCCTATTCCCTATGTTTTTCAATAGGCAGTTGTAGACCTTTATGATCCTTTATAGTTCCTTCTCTTTTTTTTTAAGAGATGGGGTTTCACTGTGGTGCTCAAGCTAGAGTGCAGTGGCTACTCACAGGCTATTAGTGGACCCGCTACAATGCTAGACCTGCCATAGCATTTCCAGGATTGCCCCTTCACCAACTCAACTTAGCAACCTTGGGGTTCAGGTTCAGATCATAATTAGACCAACTGTAGTGGCAGCAGGCTTCAGTCTTGCCCCAGAACCAGGGAAGCTCTGGAGGATCTAGGAATACAGACTCCAGGCCTACCCTAGCAGACCAAATCAACACATTCACCCAAGTGTAACCAGGCTTCAGGCTCACCTACTTGCTAACCCAGGCTCCAGGCCAGCCAGCCCAAAGACTCCAGCAGGAATTCTGCTTAGTACCATATCAGATGGCCTGTCCAGAATCTCTGGGCTGGCTATCTCTGGACCTAATATTAATCAGCATGAAAGTTTTATCCTGTTGCATTTCTGACCTGGGTTGGCTCAACCATCCTTAAGCAACCTGGTGGTCCTCTGCTTTGTGAAATCACCATATTGATGCTAAACTTAGTGTGGACACCCAACCAGCATAGCATAATACAGCCCAGAACTCCTGGGCTCAAATGATCAACTATGTTTAAATTAAGATATGCATATTATTCTTATAGACATAATGCTGTTGCACACTTAATAGACTACAGTATAGTGTAAAAGTATTGTTATATGCACTGAAAAAACAAAAAAAAAGAACAGTGTGACTCACTTTATTACAATATTTGCTTTTATTGTGGTGGTCTGAAACTGAACCCACAATATTTTGTGGGTATACCTGTAGTGTCCTTTTCTTTCAGCTTGAATAACTCCCCTCAGCATTTCTTATAAAAAGGCCTGCTGTTGATACTCTCTACATCTTTGTCTTGGAACTTTTTCTCTCTTTTATTGCTGAAGAACAGTTTTGCCAAGTACAGTATTATTTGTTGGGAGTTTTTTCCTTCAGAATTTTGAGTGTTATCTCCCTTTCACCTAGCTTGTAAGATTTCTGCTGAGAATTCAGCTGTTAGTCATATTGGAATTCCCTTATATGAAATTTGCTTCATTCTCTTGCTGCTTTCAGAATACTCTTTGTCTAATTTTTGATAGTTTGACTATAACAGGACTTGGGGTGGTTTTGTTTAAACTAAATCTCACTTTGATTTATTTATGACTTTTATTTATTTTTATTGACTCATTGTACTGCCTAGGAGTCCTAGAAAAAAGTTAAACAGAGGTTGTGACATCTTCTATTTAAAAGACATCCTTTTCTTTTACTTGAATTTAGTGGGGAACATTTCTACATTTCACCATTACATATGATGCATGCACGATGTGAGTTTCATTTTGTTATGATGCTGTTTATTAGATTGAGGAAACTGCTTTCTATTTCTTATTTCTTGGTCATTTCTGCCATGAAAAGATGTGAATTTTGTTGAAATATTTTTCTGCACATCATGAGATAATTATGTTACTTTCTACTGCTCATTAAGTTGTGTTATATTGGCTAATTTTTAATGTTAAGTCAAACTTGTATTGCTCGGATAAAATCTACTTGATCATTGTGTATTGTCTCTTTCAGATATTGTTGAATTTGACCTGCTAATAATTTGTTGATTAATTTTATGTCTATGTTCATGAGGAGGATTGGTCTAATTTTTTTCTCGTTTTGTACTTAGTAGAGTTTCGATCTAGATTACTCCAACTTCATAAAGTAAGTCTAGACTTGTTCCCTCTTTCTTATCTTCTGAATGAGTTAGGTAAGACTAGTTTAATTCTTCCTAAATATTTTGTATAGCAACCAGTAAGGCTAAGCTTAAAATATATTAATAGAATTTTTAAAAACTCTGCATTTAATTTATTTAATAAATACAGAAATATTCAGATTTGATTCTTTTATTGGTCAGTATGCTAGGAAGAATTCTGAGATAGCCTTCAAGTTTCCTTCCTTCTAATGTGCATGCCTGGTATATTCTCCTTCAATGTGGGATGAACTTGTGTTATGAGTAGTCAAATTAAAAAATATATATTTGTTTATTTATTTTAGTAGAGATGGGGTTTCCCCATGTTGGCCATACGGTCTTGAATTCCTGACGTCAACTGATCCACCAGCCTCGGCTTCTCAAAGTGCTGGGATTATTAGCGTGAGCTGCCTTTTTCTTTTCTACTCATAACACCTTATTATGCCCAGTCCACTTTCAAAGAGAATATACCAGGACTTGTAAAATCCCATATGATGGCATTTTATCATATGATTATGTAATTAAGCAGATGACTGTGAGTTCATCAAAAGCAGGATTCTTGCAGATAGACCTGGCCTAATCAGAGAGCACTTAAAACAGGGATTCTGCCTCTTGTTGAAAAGAGAGATTCTCCTGTTGATTTAAAAAATGAAAATTTTCATGTTGTAGAGATTCAGGAAGTACCGAATGACCTCAAGGACCTAATATCCTCAATTCTACCAGAACTGGAAGAATTGGAAGAGGACTCTGAGCATCAGATAAGAACACCGGCTAGATAACACCTTGGTTTCCGCCTTGTGATACCATGAGCAGAGAACCTAGCTGCGGTATGCCTGGACTGGTGATCTACAGACATGTTAGACAATCTCATTCTAAGCCTCTGCACTTGTGGATATTTTTTAATGCAGAATTAGAAAACTAATAATGTCAGATTGGGTAAATTGTGTTTTTCAGAAAATTTGTTCATTGTTTCCAAGTTGTAAAATTTATACATGTAAACATGTTCATAAATTTTTATATTTTCGACGTCTATAAGATCTGTAGTTATGTCTTATTTTCATTTCTTTATTAGTAGTAAATATTTTTTCTTTTTTCCCCTTGAGCAGTCCCTCTAGATATTTATCAATATTATTAATATTTTCAAAAAATCTGCCTTTTTCCTTATTGATTGGTGTTCTTTTACTCTTTTTAAATTTTATTTTTTTAAATTATTTTATTTTGTTACCAGCAGGATCAAGCAGGTAAGTTTGCTCTTGTTTTTATATAACCAAGTTGCAACCTTATTTTATGACCTTAATACTTTTTACTTTCTAAGTATTTAATGCTATAAGTTTTCCTTTGACATTCTTTATGTGCACCTCATAAATATCGATGTGTTAAATTTTTATCATGGTTTGGTTTAAATTATTATTTCATTTATTTGTGTGTGTTTTTATTGTTGGTGGTGGTGAGTTGTTTTGTTGTTAAATTTCTAAGTATTGGGTGCTTTTATAGATATTTTGTTACTATTACTTCATAACTTAGTTCTGTTTTGATCAAAGAACATATTCTATATGATTTCAATCTTTTCAAATTCAGTAAGATTTGTTTTATGACCCAGTTTATCATCAATGTTGATAGATGCTGCATGTGCACTTTAAATAACTATATAAAAATCCCAGCTTCTGCTAAGGAAGTAAAGAGCTTAAAAGGGTATTACTCCTACACTCACAAGAACAGCAAAAAGTGGCCAATTTTCAAATTCCCAACTTTATTTAAACGCATCAGACAGTTCATGTGTTGGGACAAACAACTAACCAAAAATATAAGAAAAGGTAAGCAGCAACAGAGATCACCTGAGGCAGAATCTTCCTGGCCATAGTGAGAAAAATTTGGCTAAATTCGTTAACATAAATTTGCCAAAGGCTGAGTGTGAGGTAGCAAAACACAAAAAAAACCTGTGAAGAAATTTAATACTGACTCACAGGCTCTTGTTCACAGACCTAGGTGGGTGCTCAGCAAGAAAGATTGGAGTAGGGCAAGGAATATGAGCAATCAATCATTCCATACGATGCAGATATGGGGAAGGGTGGATGCAGATATGGGGAAGGGTGATTGCAGCTGTTGCATGGAAAGCACAAAGCCCACGTAGATTCTTCTCCTCTAAATCTCTTATAGAACAAAATACTTGCACCACTGATAGAAAGATAATATATTCTGTTAAGCTTAAGACATTGGTGGAAACTTGTTGTAGCTGGATAACGGCACAATAAATAAATCTATTTCTTAATCAGAGAAGGTCATAAATACTTAGTGAGGTCAAACTTATGATTTATAATGCAGTACAACCACTGAGAAGATAGAACCTCTAATAAGACCCAGGAACACAGTGCCTATCTAAAACTAAGGGAAATTAAAAACAGAGAATATTTTCAAACCTCCTCTGAACCAGGCTAATAAGAGTTGGATAACAAGTAACTGCTGTCTACTATTGAGGGAGGGAAACAGCATGAATGAAGGCATTCTCTGAAGTACAGGACCAAAAAAAAAAAAAAAGACAAAGCTCAGAGTAGAATAGATATTAAGAAAACCCTCTGGAAAACTCATCTCCATTCTAAATGAAAAGTAACACTAGAGGAATTTAAAGCCTGTACTGCACTAAGAGTAGCCATAACAACTGAAAAATCCAAAAGCAAATCTACTTCTCACTAGGTTGAGTAATCAAAAGCTGAAAAGGTGGAGAGCCATGCCCATTTCCAAGCACAAAAACAATTTAATTCAGTCTCTACTGCTCTGCAAAAGATGTCTAGCCTAAAAACAAAAATAAGAGATGTACAAATAAACAAGAAAGAGCAACACACTGTTACAAAGCAAAGCAATCAACAAAACCAAACTCAAATGTTACACAGATTTTGTTATCAGACAGAAAAATTAAAATAACTATAATTAATCTATTGAAGACTGTAATAGAAAGGTTTGCACTATGCACAATCAGATGTGTAATTTCAGCAGATAGATGAAAACAAAAGAAAGAATAAAATGGAAATGCTGTAAGTAAAACACACAGTAACAGACATAATGGATTTCTTCAATGGACTTATCAGTAAACTTGACATGGTCAAAAAAAGAATCAATGAACTTTAAGGTAAGTCAACAGAAATAACACAAATTGAAAAGCAAAGAGGGAAAATAAAACCTTTTGGTTTCGTTCACTTGTTTAAATAAAAAACAAGATGCAGCCTCTCAGAATTTGTGGAAAATATCTAAAGGTTTACCATGTATGCAATTGAGCTGAGCACGGTGGTTCGTGCCTATCATCTCAGCACTTTGAGAAGCCTATGTGCTTCTTGAAGGATTGTTTGAGGACAGGAGTTCAACCCCCTCTCTACAAAAATTGTTTTTAAAAATGAAATAAGTGTGGTGGTCTGCACCTGTAGTCCTAGCTACCTGGAAGAATGAGGCAGGAGTGTTGCTTGAGCCCAAGAGTGCAAGCTGTGTTTGCACCATTTCACTCCAGCCTGGGCAACAGACCAAGACCCTGTCTCAAAAACAAAACAAAACAAAATCCAACAACAACAACAAACTATATATGTAATTGAGCTGCAAGAACAGTAGGACTATCCAACAAACTCATATAAACTTAAACAGACCAGACACAAAATTCTGAAAGCCAAAGAGAACAACATTTTTAAGACAACTAGAGAATGAAAGACGCGTTATATAGAGAGAAACAAAGACAAGAATTACAGTAGACTTACCATTAGAAGCTATGCAAATCAGAAGACAATGGAGTCTCATCTTAATAGCACTGAAAGAAAATCACTAACAACCCAGAATTCTATACTTTAAGCAAATTTCTTTTAAAATGGATAAAGACTTATTCAGTGAAACCAAAACTGAGAAAATTGATTGTTAAGATTCCTGACATGCTGTCAAGAAGTGCTAAAGAAAATTCTTCAGACAGAAGAAATATAGAATCTGAAAACTGGATATTCACGTAGACACAAAAACAGAGTACTAGAAATAAAACAAATAAAAAGATATGCATAATGTATTTTTCCTTACTTTTCATAGCTCTAAAAGAGCTGAGTTCCTTCTGCAGGTTCTAGAGGAATATCCATTTCCTTGTCTTTCCCTATTCCTTGAGGCTCCCACATTTCTTGGCTCATGTCTCCCTTCTCCCTTCAAAGGCAGAAATAGCAGGTTAAGTCCTTACCCTACACCACTTCAATCTTGCTTTTATTGTCACACCTTTTCTGACACTGAATCTTCTGTCTCCCTCTTTCGCTTTTACGAACACTTGTGGTTACATTTGAGCCCAATCAGATAATACAGGATAATATCCCTACTTTAAGTTCTGATGATTAACAACATTAATAACTCTTTGCCATGTAACATAACACATTCACAGTTTCAAAGTTCTAGAATGTGTACATCTTTGAAGGCTATCTCTCTACACCGCACAAGTATTGACTTTAACTAGAGTAACTGTAAAATAAATGTGTGTTTTACTATTATTTGATGAAGCTCTGTGTACATTTCAGCAGGATTAAGTTGATTAAAATCATTGCTCTATTAATTCTAGACTTATTCTATCAATTACTAAAAATGGTGTTCAAATCTTCAATTATGATGATAGATTATTTTTCTCTTCAGTTTTGCCAGTTTCGTCTTCTTGAGGAATTGACTCTTTCATCACTCTGAAATATCCTTCCTTAATTTTGGTAATACTTCTTGTTCTAAAATTTATTTTGGTTGATATTAATATGGAAATGCCACCTTTTAAAATGTTTGAATATGTACGGTATATTATCTCTCATACTTTTCCTTTTAACCTGTCTCTGCATTTGTATTTAAAAGGTAATTTCTGTAAGCAGCATATCATTGTTCTTGATTCCATATTCAGTTTGACCATCTTTGCCTCTCACACAGAATATTTAAACCAGTTTAATTATATGTAAGTATATTTTTTAAGTGTACCATCTTAACCATCTTGGATTTTAAAAAAGTATTTCACCTGTTTTCTGAATATGTCTGATCCTCATGTCCAGTCTTCTTTATGGTCAATCATGACTTGTTTTGGTATACATTTCTAAAATTTAACTGATCACGCTACCCTCAAATAATGTCAGACTATTTCATAAACACTTTAAAAACCCTACAGTAACATAATTTCATTGCCCCTCATATTTTTTGTACTTTTGTTAACATGTATTTCAATTCCATATGTTATAGACTCCTAAATAACTTCTGCATAAACACAGGTGTTATAAGAAGTGTGTGAGTGTGTGTTTAGACAGAGTTAAAAGATATTTTATATTTATCTACATATGTACACTTTCTGGTTATTTTCATATATTTCTACAGAACTGGACTTTCATCTGATGTAATTTTTCTTAGCTTGAAGAATTTCTTTTTATGTTCCTGTATTAGTCTTACTGCAGTATATTCTCTCAGGTTTTCTTTTCTTTCCTTTTCTTTTTTTCTTTTTTTTTTTTTTTGAGACAAAGCCTCTTTCTGTCACCAGGCTGGAGTGGAGTGCAATGTCACGATCTCAGCTCACTGCAACCTCCACCTCCCAGGTTCAAGCAATTCTCCTGCCTTAGCCTCCCGAGTAGCTGGGACTACAGGCACCCGCCACCATGCCTGGCTACATTTTGTATTTTTAGTAGAGACGGGGTTTCACCATGTTGGCCAGGATGGTCTTAATCCCTTGACCTTGTGATCCGCCCACCTCAGCCTCCCAAAGTGCTGGGATTACAGGCGTGAGCCTCAGTACCTGGCCTCTCTCAGGTTTTGTGTGAAATGCCTCAACTTTACCTATAAAATTATTTTTTCTGTACATAGAGATTGAGTTTGACAGTTCTTTTTTCCTTTCAGCACTTTAAATACTTTTGTCATTGTCTTCTAACCTCCACTGTTTCTAATGAGATTTTGTCATTCTTATTATTGTTCTACTATATAAATGTCTCTTTTTCTCTAGTTTCTTTTAAAATATAGTCATGTGCCATATAGCAATGTTTTTGTCAAGAACAAACCACATGTAAAATGATGGTTTCATAAGGTTACAATAGAACTGAAAAATTTTTATCACTTATTGACGAACTCATAGCCATTGTAACATGATAGCACAATACTATGCTTCTGTGTTTGTGGTGATGCTAGGGTAAAGAAGACAACTCTGCTTCCAGGTATACAGCATACACAATTTTCTATACTACATAACACTTGAAAATGATAATAAGTGACTATGTAGTAGTTTATGTATTTGTCATACTACACTTTTTTTTTTTAACGGAGTCTCGCTTTGTCACCCAGGCTGGAGTGCGGTGGCGTGATCTCAGCTCGCTGCAACCTCCACCTCCCAGGTTCAAGTGATTCTCCTACCTCAGCCTCCCAAGTAGCTGGAAGTACAGGTGCATGCCACCAAGCCAGGCTAATGTTTTGCATTTTTAGTAGTGACGGGGTTTCACCTTGTTAGCCAGGATAGTCTCCATCTCCTGACCTCGTGATCCACCCACCTCTACCTCCCAAAATGCTGGGATTACAGGCATGAGCCACAGCGCCTGGCCCATACTACACTTTTTATCTTTACTTCAGAGTATAGTCCTTCTAATTAGATTATAGATAGATAGATAGATAGATAGATAGATAGATAGATAGATAGATAGAGATATATAGACAGATTTACCTGTGAGACAGTTTCAGGCAGGTTCTTCAGGTGGTATTCCAGAAGAAGGCACTGTTATCATAGATGACAGCTTCATGCATGTTACTGCCTTTAAAGACGGTCTGGTGTAACAAGATGTGGAGACAGACGAGAATGGTATAATGATCCTGACCCTGTGTGGGCCTAGACTAATATATGTGTTTATTTTTTGTTTTGAACAAAAAAAAAGTTTAAAAAAAGAAAATTTAAAAGTAGAAACAAAGAGTGAGGATATAAAGAAAGAAAATATTTGTATATAGCTACACAATGTATTTGTTTTTTAAACTCAGTGTTATTACAAAAGAGTTAAAAAAACTAAAAAGTTTGTAATGTAAAGCAGTTATAGTCAGCTAAGGTTAATTTATTATTGAAGAAAGAAAACCATTTTTAATAAATTTAGTGTGGCTTAAGTGTACAGCGTTTATGAATCTACAGTTGTGTGCAGTAATGTCCTATGCTTTCACATTTACTTACTACTGACTCACTGACTCACCCAGAGCAACTTCCAGTTCTTCTACAAGCTCCATTCATGGCAAGTGCCCTATATAGTGTACCACTTTTTAACCTTTTACACTGTATTTTACTGTACCTTTTACATGTTTAAATATGTTTAGAGACACAAATAATTGCCATTATGTTACAAATGCCTACAGTATTCGGTTCAGTAACATGCTGCACAGGTTTGCAGCCTAGGAACAACACGCTATACCATATAGCCTAGGTTTATAGTAAACATACCATCTAGGTTTGTGTAAGTACACACTATGAGGTCCGCATGACAACAAAATCACCAACAACACATCTCTCAGAATGTATCTCCATGGTTAAGTGATGCATGACTGTATTTTTTAATGTTTAGTTTGCAGCAGCTTTCCTAGGAAATTCTTAAGTATAGTTTTTTCTGTTTGTTGCACTCACTGTCTTTGGAATTTGTCGTTGGAGCTTCCGGGATCTATAAATTGTGTTTTCAGAAATCATATTTGAAAACTTGTATCCATTATTTCTTCAAATGCTGCTTTGTTCAGTGTCCTCTCTTCTGTCCTCACAGCTCTCCATTTATACCTATATTTGACTAATTTATAGTTTCTCGGAAGTCCTTGAGACTTTGTCCATTTTCTTCTGTATTTTCTTTCTCTGAGTGCTTTATATTGGATGATTTCTATTGACTCAACAAACAGAAAGTTCACCGATACATTCTTCTGTTATGTTCAATCTGCTTTTAATCACATTCAATAATTTTATTTCTGATACTATATTTGTTAGTTCTAGATTTTCTATTTTTTAATTGCTTTCAGGTTTATCCGGCAATGTCCTATTTTCTCACTCATCATATCTGTCCTTTCCTGTAAATTCTTTAATATATTTGTATGATTGTTTCAAAGTTCTTGTCTAATAATTCAAACATTTGGTTGTTAAATGTCTTTTTATTTACTGAATATTTCCTTGTCATAGGTCATATTCTCCTACTTATTCATGTTTTATAATTTTCATTTTATGCTAATATATTGTATAAAAGGAAATACTGAAGTAATGCATATATACATAGTATATATATCACATATAGTATATATACTATATATACTATATATTATATATAGTATATGTAGTATATATACTATACTACATATATGCTATATATAATAGTATATAGTACATACAGTATATATGTAGTATAGTATATATACTATATAATATATGAATATATATAAAATATGTATAATGCATAAAATATATATACTGCATATATTTATATATATAGTTTTATTTGTTTCTTTTTCTCTAAGAAGTGATCCACTTTCCTCTGTTTTCCTCTGTTAGCTAGAGTAAAGGACTGATCAGTTTGTTGCTTCAAGCAGAATTTGAAATGTCTGTAGAGATGTTGTGGCTTTAATCCATCTGGCAGGGCTTAGAATGGAATCACTAGGAATCAAAGTAGTTGTTTCTTTTCTTTTTGGCTCAGCCCCCAAATACTTTGGGCCACCAAAACGCTAAAATTTTGATGTTATCAGAATTTTCGTTAATTTCAGCTTTAATTAGACTCATTTTAACTTTCTTTTAAATTTCTTGGCCACTTGTTTGGGACTTTCTTTTAAGTAATAACCTACGAATAAATACTGCAAGATTATGAGATCTCAAAAATAAAAAATCTTAGACGTATATCTGAAACTGAAACTACAACACTGCTAGACCCTCAGACTGCAAGACCTTGATGAAATCGAGGGGGCTCTAAGTCTGCAAGATGTGAAAACACTTCACTCTCATTGAAACAGTAACATAAACAAGAACACATTTTTTTTTCTTAAATTCATTAAAAAGCTATGAGCCTAAAATTTTTTACATACAAAAATAAGCACAAGGAGGATCATCGTAAGAGACAAAGGTTACTTTCATAGCTGACACAGCTTGGAGTAAGCAGTTTGGGCAAAGAAGAAAGAACTCTCGGATTGGGAAATAACTGGATAATCATTTAACATTTCTAGAGCTAGGTTGATGTCAACAGAGTGCAAACATTCGCCCGTATTACTGAGCACCTACCCATTGCGTTGAATAGAACAATTTCTGTTTGATTTGACTCTCCAGCAATATTCTAATAAGTAACAGCAAAATAATTGTTTTACATGCCTCATGAAAAAGTCACAATTTTATACTCCATCTTCTAAATCCCACAAATGTGCCTTCGTCCTGCATCAGCTGTTCAATATTTTTTCCCTCACAAACATTTGTCTCATTTACCATCTCCCCAGTGATTCTTTCCCTGAAACCCTGTACTTTTGTAAGCCGGATGTTTACTAATGCACAGCGCCATCTCCTGGTGATAATTAGGAATCAATAGCGGACGTGTACAAAGATTTAGGCTTGTTTCCAGTGGAAGCACAGGGTTAGCCCTCCTTGCCCAGTGTACCTTTTCCCTGACTGGGTGGTATTAGGCAACTCTAGCAAAAGCCGCCGCAAGAAACCATCCCGTTTATTAGAGATGCACCTGAGTGACTTTGTATTATAAAGAGGAACGCCATGATGACATACTTGCTTTTGCGTGTACTATTAGAGGCATGTAATAGACTATAATATCTGAACTTACAATATATGGTCAATAGCTACTGAATACAGATGGCACTGTGACATCAGGAAGAATATAAAATATCTCCATATTTGAGATTGTGAAGAAAAATCACCATTTGGAGTCAGAAAATCCAGATTTTAGTTGTGCGACCCAGACAAGTGCTTTTACTTCTGTGAGTCTCAGTTTCCTTATCGGTTAAATGATCATATCTCTTGCACCTGCCTTGGTGTGCTATTCTGTGGATAAAGTGAGATAATAGATGTAAAAACATCAGTGAAAGGCTAAACACATACAAGTGTCACTAGTAGTCATGGTTAGCTACTGAAATTAGATGGCACTTTTCATGACAATTCAATCCAAGCTGTGTTGCAGGCAGGAATTACAAGTGTGGTATCTTCTTGAGTTGAGAAAAATGGAATTAAAGGACTATTTACAAGTCTCTTTGTGATCCTCGGAAAAAAACAATAATCCCTTTTTCCGTGGATAATATTCTCATTCCTCTGATGATTACAGTCAACAAGGGCTGGTCAGTGACTCAGAGAAAGAGCCTATCCTACCTGAAAGAGGTGTGCTCACCACCAAGTAGTCAAAACATCTATGTGAGTGTTCACAGACACGGTCAGTCTTTTCTGCACTCACCGAAGCTGATACAGACAGGAAGCACAGGACAGTTTGGGGCAACTCCTAATCCCATCCTCCAAGCCACAATTACACACTTGGTTTTCCTGACTATCTTCTCATTTAAGGTTAGCTGTTAATATACAGTTTGATGTTTTAAAAAGGGGGTTTTAGGTGAGTTGTGCTCAGAAGGACTCTGGAGAACAGTGAGTGCAACTGTCTTTTTTTATAGATAAGAAAATTGATGACCAAAATAGAAACAACAAAAATTTACTCATGGTATCACATTGATACTGAACAGGTACCCCAATATATGAAACGCCCAACATATGTTTTGCTTGTTTATTTTGTTTTGTAATTACAGTACTGGGAACTGTTGTGGCTTTCTGTTTTCTCTTTGATCTGTGCTCCAAAGAATGATTCTGATTATAGGATGTCAATATCATAAAAATATAGCATTTGATGGTAACAAAGCTGCTCTCTGACTTACAAATACAGATCACAAACATGGATTTTCATGTTTTTTCCACCAGGGGTGAAACAGAGAGATGGTTATTTGGATGTCCATGGGAGACAAGCAGACATGAAAGATCAGCCAGTTACATGTAATAGAAAAAGAGTAGTAGGCTAACATCAGGGTCCAGAGACAGGCAAATGCTAACCACCCACATAATGGTTTGTTGTCATGGAGGTCAAAGAAGAGATAACCTAGGGGATCATCGAGCAGTAATCAGGGGTCTGGGCCCAGGTAGAAATTGGAACTCTCCTCGTAGTTAGGCAGCAAAGCCAGAGTCATTGTGTTAGTGTTCAAAAATAGCCACTCTCCTCCGTAAATAAAGGACTGGAGATTTCGACTGCATATCAAAGGTGAGAAGTATTCTCTTACCTTTTCTAGGCTACACCAGAGAGTTTGTGGATCCATAAATCTGGTTCTGAACCATAAACAGCTTTTATCACCTCTGACTCCTGACAGTGATGATAGCAGTGGCTACTAACTCTAATATTACACTTGAATTCTTTGGGGGCATAGGTGGAATTTTATTGAGTTTTGCAAGCCACTCAAAATCCAGAGAGCATGTGGATTTGTCAGGGAGCAGGTCCAGGGAAGACGCTAGTGATGGTCAGCAGCCTTCCCCACTCAGGGGATAACTCTGAGTTCCTAGAAGAGTACAAGAGACAACACTCACTGACCTGGCTCCAAAGTGAGGCGACGCAGGGTCAGAGTGTAGTGCTTGGCGAATGATCTCATGTGTCTCTGGACAGCTTTTTTGGTTTCTGAATGACTACAGCCATATCTGTTTCTAGACCCAAAAGCTACAGGAGACAAGAAGCAGGCCAAAAGACACACTGGCAACTTCTATGTGCATTCAGGGGTGAGCATCCTGAAGCCCAGAGCTGCAAATTCTACAAGAGAAGCCTCCTACCTGTAGGTTTCCTTAAATCTTATTCTGCTCCAGAAAGGCATTCAAGATGAGTTGTGGGATTTTAACTCATGAGAAACATGTAAGGCACATCCAATGCTGGACACAAAAGTCATCACTGCAAAGTATGAGCTGGAGCAGGACCAAACACAGGGAGTCGTGTTCCTTCTTGTCCCAGACGAAACAGAGACAATTACTTCTAAAGGTCTGTGTGAGTGATACTTAGTCTTCATGGTTAGTTATTAACACTGGTTGCAAGCTGGGGGGCCCCTCAAAGCATAATTGATGTCTATTGTTTAATTTGCAACTTTGAGTCCTGTGTTAGACAGCAAGCCAAAAAGGGTGGGGGCATCTTAGTAAATAAAAGGAGACATAAAACCTACCACCAAATTCCTCCGCTTCCACTATTCATTTTGAAGACTTTCATGTTTAGTATTTAATGGGTACAAATATAATTGATCACTTTAAGTCTTTGTTTATTTGTACAGATTTAAAAAACAACCAGAACAGCTGCCTCTCTGCTGACTCTGTGGGGTAAATGTTCCTGGTCAGTGACCTGAGAGCAATGTAGACCCATTTAGAATAGAAACTTTCCTCTTCATACTTTAATGTGGCTTCTTAGAAAAGCATTAAAATTTGAGCCCTCTCTGGAATCACCTGTTGTTACTAGGAGAACATTGCCCTTGAAGTCAAGCAGGCATCTCAAGAAGAATTGTAGGAGTAGAAAGGGTACGTTTTTAGAGTAACCTTTTGGTCGTGTTACCTTTGGATTCTGTTATGTTCAATACACGTTTACAAGAACCTATTATTGAGATGGCTTATAAAAATTAAGTAACAAAACTGATCCATGTGAAGCGCCTAGCAGAACACTCAGAAAATGAGGGCTAATATAAATGCCAAAATGTATATTATCACTAAGGTAACAAGTATTTATATAGAAATTTTAGAAAATTCGGATAACAGCAAAAGTAATAAAATCACCTGCAATCTTATTCCACAAGATAATCTCTGTTAATGGTTCCAGTCATTTTTCCTAAGGAAGTTATTATAATAATAATGATGGATTATATAATTACATTTTGCAAGTGCTTCATGATACCAAGATAACCATCCCTGAAAAATTTGGTGTAAAGAGTCTAAGAGATTAAGACGTTAGTGTATTCTGCAGTGAGTTAGCTCTATGACCTCGAGTGCTTCTTTTGTTCTCTGGTCTTCATTTTTACCTCTATAAGTGTATAAGTAAAGCTATGTAATCACTAATGACTTTCTCCACTAAAAATCAAAATTAGAAACAAAAGCCCTATTATCTTTCTTTCTCTTTGTTTCAAAATTTCATCCTGGTATTCGGAGATATAGACAGGAATGAATTGGCTATTGTTGAAACTCTGATTTCTTAAAAAAACAAAAAGTAAAATGAATTCTTATATACATTTAGATTAATGGTAATGTGTACAGAGTGGTAAACACACACAAGCATGTACATGCACACACACATATTCTTGGAGGTACTAGTCACCAATAGGTCAAAAAAGGTACTCATATGTAAGACTGACACTGTTTCAGGAATCAGAGAAGCCATTTGCACTTGGTCTTTTAACTTGTCAGTGAAAAATTGATGAGTTGTGCCTATACAGGCACTGAGCTAAGGTCAAACTACCCTTGAAGAGACAGGAAGAAAGAATAAGTGATTTATAGATAAGGCCGGTAGCCTTGGCACCAGGAGCTTTTGTTTTTTTTAGCTCTAGTCACTGAGAGAGGAGTGCGCCTCAGCAGGCACAAAGTGTTCCCCAAACAATGATAGACACACGCCAAATTGGAGCCCAGCCAGGTTCCAGCTACCACACTGAATCCCTACTTGCTGCCCATAGGCATACACAAAAGGCAGGCCCAGGTTGACACAGCCTCCCAGGTAAGGACCAAAGCTGCTATTTGTCATCACTAAACAAATGGGCCATTCTTTCTCCTGCTCTCTAGCAATGGCAGTGAAACTTGCCTAGAAAAAAAATAATGGGACAAAAAAACAACTCAAAATTCTGGGCTTTAGGTAAGAGTGAACTCCCTCCCTTCAACTCTATTACATTAAGAAACATTGCTGAATTCTGCTAGTTACTTTCTCTGTCATCTTGAGTATATATTTTTCTAAATAGTTATATAAACATTAACCTAGTAGCTGTTTTCTAATTATGAAAATAATTCTTGTCATTGTAGATGATGCAGAAAATCAGAAGAATCCAAGAAAGAAATTAAAAGGTCTTCATAATTCGGACACTAGAGATAGCCACAATGGTCATTTTAGTGTGTACAATTTTGACAATTTTTCTGTGTGTGGTGATTGTGTATGTGTGTGTAGTGTGGACACACAGATGAGTAGGTGTGATGAATCACTGTTTTCCATAATTGGAAACATATCATACATAATATCTCCTACTGTTTTACTCAACATTACATCATGAACATGTTTGCAGTCATTAAGTTATCATAAAATTGTGAAAATAATATCTTTTGAGTTATTACAAGTGTTCAATAAATAAATGTAAAAGGATGGTCATGGTGGCTCATGCCTGTAATCCCAGAACTTTCGGAAGCCAAGGCAGGTGGATCATCTGAGGTCAGGAGTTTGAGACCAGCCTGGCCAATATGGTGAAACCCCATTTCTACTAAAAATACAGAAATTAGCCGGGCATAGTGGCTCATGCCTGTAATCCCAGCAATTTGGGAGGCTGAGGCAGGCAGGTCATGGAGTTGAGGCATTTGAGACCAGCCTGGCCCACATGATGAAACCCCGTCTCTACTAAAAATATACACATTAACTGGGCGTGGTGGCACACGCCTGTAATCCCAGCTACTCAGGAGGCTGAGGAAGAGAATCACTTTAACCCAGGAGGTGGAGGTTGCGGTGAGCTGAGATGGTGCCACTGCACTTCAGCCTGGGTAACAATAATGTAAAAGCTCCTATATTGTGGCTTCTGGCTGATAGTAATCACTGAAATAATGTTAACTTCATTAGAATCCAATCAACTTGAAATATTTCTTTCTGTTTTAAATACCCAAAACTATATAGCAAAACTGTCCATGAAGAGATGGGAGAATGATGTTGCGGAATATCACAGGCTAAAAAGCAGTGACCCTAGCTGGCTGATATTTCCTCCCATCTCGTCTTAAAGAATGTGCCAGATTATACTTGAGAAGAGTCCACTGGCAAAGAAATTATTAAATACTAACACAGCTCATTCTATTGTCTCGCAGCTTGAGTCACCAGAAAATTCTATGTAATGTCAAGATCAAACCAATCGAACCATGTCTTTCTATCAACCTAGTCAGTGATCCCCATTCAAGCCATTTAACAATGTAAAAAAAAATTATTTGCTCAAGACCGTTGTGCAGATAATGTGAGGCAGTAATGCTTAGGACTGAAGTTGCATTTCCTGTGTTCTGTCTAATATTTTTCTTCTATTTATATAGAATTATAACTGTAATTCTCACTCACTCAAATTAGGCTTATTGTTAACAAAGAGATTACAGTTTTTAAAAGTAACAACATCCTTATGAACAGTACTGTGCAAAAATATATGTACCATGATTACGGTACAAAGGGAGAAGAAACATCTTTGGAAGCCCATGATTAAAATGAGGTAGAGCACTACATATAGGTACAAATCCCCAAATCACATAAAAGATGTTCTAACATGCTCAACTCTGACCCCTGATTAAGAGGATAATCTGCCACTACTTGGCAGCAAAAAGCTCTGAGAAACTATAGATCAAGTGGCAAAATATGGATGCTACTTTCCAGCCTTTGATTCTATTATTCAGTGACAATTTTTAAATGTTTATATGTGCAAAGCACTGTAATGGGAGCTTTAATATATGCAGTTATGTTTAATTATTAATTTTGTTTAATACAGCAATCATGCATTTTAAAGACAAGATCAGATGAAAAAGTTGATATTTAGTTCTTTGACCTTTAAATAACCTCCCCATGTTTGCACAGCTAAAAGTGGTAGTAATGGCTTTTTAAAGCTCAATAATAATTATGTATACCACAGTTAGAATTTGGAAATTAGTCATTTGCATGTAATAAAATTATTGACACATTTTTATTTAAATATAGTACTACCCTAGCGTCCACCTTATCTGTACTCAATTTCATCTAATTTTTTTGTCTTTTCTGAATCTTTTAAATATTTAAAAATGATTTTCCACTCCTTTTGACAAGAAATTACATCTCGTGGCCTTCTTATTTTAGGGTTTTTTCCTAGCAAGTACAGCATACATTCTTAATTTTTAAAAGTCTAATTTTAACAGACGTTTTTAACTTTTTCCAAATGTAACAGGGACTTCAGAAACCTTTATTTCTATTTCTTCTATGCCATCATTTTAATTCTTCATATATTTAAAACTAACTGAACAGTAAATTTACTATTTTAGATAGTCACAATTATGTTAACTGTTTAGCTAAATACTATTAGATTTACAGTAAACACTGTGTTTACTGATTTAAATAGCTAAACACTTTTAAAAAATTACTTGAAGTGGGTCCAGTTTCAACTCTTCCATTGCGAAAAACTCCAAGCTCCTGCCTTCTTCCCACCATAAGCAGTGGAATGCCAGCTGAAGTCGAGTATCTCATGGGTCACTACTGTGTAAGCTCATGATTTTGAGTTTTGTCTTTAGTTCCTGATTCTGAAAACTTTACATTTTATGATTGAGCTCAACTTTATATTAAAAAGGGTTTGTAAGACATTATCAATAATTTCTAGATGTGAGTAGAAGAGTACTCACCCACATCAGCACAAAAAGGCTTCCATTTTTGTTTGTAATTATCTGTAAGACTTGAACTTATGTTTTTTAAGCAAAAACGAACCATAAAAATATAAAAAGATAGATGTTGTTTACACTCTTCTAGTAGAAACAAATGTAAAACAGAGCTGTTCAAACATAGACTGCTAGCACACAATACATCCTATGTACTTTTTATTCTAAGTTATTTAAAAGGAAATTCAGCTAGCAAAATAATAAATGCCCTGTCAAATGCTGGACATTAAGCTTAGTACATAAAATGTAAACCCTGACTTAAATTCACTTCTTGATATTGTCTCATGTCCAAAGAATGAATTAAATATCTATGTCTACTTACAAAATGTGGCATGTTCATAACATGTTAGTTATTCACTATTAATTTAGCCACAAAATTCTGACAGCTGTCAAAAATTCATACATTTATCAGTTATCTCAAAACTGGCAAAGCCAACCTCACCTGTGAATTAAACGTCCATCATAGTGAGGTTTCCATCAACATCTTCTAATCTTCCGTATCTGGATGTTTGATTATTATACAATAAGGTACATGAGGTGGGATTGGGAAGGCTGTCTGGTTGAATATGACATTATTCATGCAATGTGTAGGTAAGGGCTCAAAAAATTGAAAGTCCAGCAAACAGACAATTTTTACCGCAATAAATTATGAGAAATCATTAGGATTTTATAGGATGGCATAAGATATAACCACAAAATACAGAACCTCTACATAATGGTAAAGATTTATTTCATTTAGCACTCAAGCTAGATATTTTCTTCCCCCAAAAAGCAATGTTTAACATTTCATCACTTCCTTCTGTGCTACACTAAAGCAGCTAACTTACAAACAGGATATTAGCGCATTTATAGACAATATGCTCTTCTGTGAAATAATATTGAAATATTAGAATACTGATGTTTCCTATGTTACTTGTGCTCAAAAGTAATTTATTGCCTGCTTCCCAAATAATTTCCTCTATTCGAATGTCTAGAAAACAAAAATTAATTTCTCTTCCTCCCTTGAAATTAAGCATTACCACATAACCTCTTCTGGATCATATACGATGCAAGAGGAGTTTCTAGGTTAGTTTCTAAGGGAGTGTTTTTTTTTAAATTCAGACTTCACTGTTAGAATGTGTTTGTCAGTTCACCTCTAGCTGCTTTGTTTCCTTCCTGGATAATTGATGCAATGCTGGGAGTGCAGTAACCAGGCTGGGATCGTGACATTGAAAGTCACACACTACTTATAGCAGATCAAGACAGCCTAGGTCCTTGATGACATTTTAGTCATGAACTCCTTATCCTGAACTTATTGATTCTTAAGAAAAACAACTCCTATTTGTTTTAGCCATTATTAGTTATTGTAATTTTTGTGGTTTACACCAATATAATCATGACGCATGTACCTTTCCCACCATTCAGCCATCGGTACCAACTGCCTTTCTCTTCACAGTGAGATATATATCAGAAGTTTCCAAACTTCCTAGGTTCAAAAGCTCTTAACATACCAGTGATTTCCTCAGAGCACTCCAGGCTAAAAAAAACACCTAACAGTTCAATTTATGAATTCATTAGATCCAATTTAACAATTTAACTTTTGTAATTTGTGTGGTATCTATATTCCCTTAAAATATGTAAAATATTGCACTGCACCGCGTGAATGACCTGTAATTTCCAAAGGAGGGAGGAAGGAGAGAGAGAGAAAGAGAGAGAGAGAGTATCTGATGGCAGAAATGTGAATTTAAATACTTAATAAAGTTTTCAAAAAAATTTTTAAAATTTTTGTGAGTACATAGTAGGTGTATATATTTATGGGCCACATGAGATGTTTTGATACAGGTATGCAATGTGAAATAATCACATCATGGGGAATGGGGTATCATCCGCTCAAGTGGAAGTTTGGAAGTATTCCTTCTCCTCTATTTGTTGAAATAGTTTGAGTAGGATTGCTATTTGTGCTTTTTAAAATGTTAGGTGTAATTCAGCAGTGAAGAAATCAGGTCCTGGGCTTTTCTTTACTGAGATAATTTTATTATTGGCTTTGATCTCATTACTTGTTATTGGTCAGTTCTGATTTTGGATTTCTTCCCGGTTCAATCTTCATAGATTGTAGGTATCTAAGAATTTGTCCATTTCTTCTAGATTTTCCAATTTATTGGCATATATTTGCTCATAGTAGCCACTAGTAATCCTTTGAATTTCTGCAGTATCAGTTGTAATGTCTCCTTTTTTATTTCTGACTTTATTTGAATATTCTCTCCCCTACTCTCCTTTTTTTCTAGTTAGTCTGGGTAATCTTTTGTCAATTTTGTTTAACTTTTCAAAAAATCAACTTTTTGTTTTATCTTTTGTATTTTTTATTTCAATTTCATTTATCTCTGCTCTGATCTTTATTATAATATTTCTTTTCTTCTAATTTGGGGTTCAGTTTGCTCTTGCATTTCTAGTTATTTAAGATGTATTATTAGGTTGTTTACTTGAAGTTTTTCCTCTTTTTTGATGTAGACCTATAGCTATAAACTTCCTTCTTAGTACTGCTTTTGCTGTATCACATAGATGTTGGCATGTTGTGTTTCCATTATCATTTGTTTACATTTTTTAAATTTCCTTTTTTATTTCTTTGTTGACCCACTAGTCATTCAGAAATGTAATGTTTAATTTCCATGTACTTGCATAGTTTCCTAAATTCCTCTTGTTATTAATTTCTAGTTTTATTCCATTGTGGTCATAGAAGATGCTGGATATTATTTCAATTGTTTTGAATGTTTTAAGACTTGTTTTGTGACCTAACATCTGGTCTATCCTTTGTGTATTAGTCTGTTTGCATGATGCTGGTAAAGACGTACCTGAGACTGGGAAGAAAAAGAGGTTTAATTGGACTTAGAGTTCCACATGGCTGGAGAGACCTCAGAATCATGGTGTGAGGCAAAAGGCACTTTTTTTTGTTTTTGTTTTTTTTTGAGACAGAATCTTATTCTGTTACCTGGACTGGAGTGCAATGGCATGATCTCAGCTCACTGCAAACTATGCCTTCCGGGTTCAAGTTATTCTTCTGTCTCAGCCTCCCGAGTAGCTGGGATTACAGGCACATGCCACCATGCCTGGCTAAATTTTTGTATTTTTTAAATTAGAGACGAGGTTTCACCATGTTGACCAAGCTGGTCTCAAACTCCTGACCTCAGGTGATCCACCCTCCTCAGCCTCCCAAAGTGCCGGGATTACAGGCATGAGCCACTGTGCCCAGCCAAAATGGAGCTTCTTACATAGCAGCAGCAAGAGAAAAATGAGGAAGAAGCAAAAGCAGAAATCCCTGATAAACCCATCAGATCTCATGACACCTATCCAGTATCATGAAGATACCATGGGAAAGACTGGCCACCATGATTCAATTACCTCTCCCTGGGCTCCTCCCACAACACGTGGGAATTCTGGGAGATACAATTCAAGTTGAGATTTGGGTGAGGACACAGCCAAACCATATCATTCTGCCGCTGGCCCCTCCAAACTCGTATCCTCACATTTCAAAACCAATCATGCCTTTCCAACAGTCCCCCAAAGTATTAACTCATTTCAGCATTAACTCAAAAGTCCACAGTCCAAAGTCTCATCTGAGACAAGGCAAGTCCCTTCCACCTATGAGCCTGTAAAATCAAAAGCAGGTTAGTTAGTTACTTCCTAGATACAATGGGTGTACAGGTATTGGGTAAATACATTCATTTGAAATGGGAGAAATTGAGCAAAAGAAAGGGGTTCCAGGGCCCATGCAAGTCTGAAACCCATCAGGGCAGTCAAATCTTAAAGCTCCAAAATGATCTCCTTTGACTCCATGTCTCACATCCAGGTCATGCTGATGCAAGAGGTAGGTTCCCATGGCCTTGGGAAGCTCCGCCTCTGTGGCCTTGCAGGGTACAGCCTCCCTCCCAGCTGCTTTCATGGGCTGGCATTGAGTGTCTGCAGCTTTTCCAAGTGCACGGTGCAAGCTGTAGGTGGATCTACCATTTTGGGGTCTGGAGAATAGTGGCCCTCTTCTCACAGCTCCACTAGGCAGTGCTCCAGTAGACACTCTGTGTGGGAGCTACAATCCCACATTTCCTTTCCAAACTGCCCTAGCAGAGGTTCTCCATCAGGGCCCTGCGCCTGCAGCAAACTTTTGACTGGGACCCAGGGGGTGGTAATTGAATCATGGGGGCTGGTCTTTCCCGTGCTATTCTCATGATAGTGAATAAGTCTCATGAGATCCGACAGATTTATCAGGGGTTTCCTCATTTTTCCAACTTCTGCCTGTTACCCAGTTCCAAAGTCGCTTCCACATTTTCAAGTATCTTTTCAGCAATGCCCCACTCTACTGGTACCAATTTACTGTATGAGTCCATTTTCACACTGCTGATAAAGACATACCTGAGACTGGGAAGAAAAAGAGGTTTAACTGGACTTACAGTTCCACACGGCTAGGGAAGCCTCAGAATCACGGCGGGAGGCAAAAAACACTTCTTACACGAAGGCTGCAAGAGAAAAATGAGGAAACCCCTGATAAACCTGTCGGATCTCATGAGACTTATTCACTATCATGAGAATAGCACGGGAAAGACCAGCCCCCATGATTCAATTACCTCCCCCTGGGTCCCTCCCACAACACATGGGAATTCTGGGAGATATAATTCAAGTTGAGATTTGGGTGGGGACAGAGCCAAACCATATCACTTGAAAATGATTAAGATGCTGAGGAGAAGAATGTGTTTTCTGAAGCCGTTGAATGAAATGTTCTGTAAATATCTATTTGATCCAATTGGTCTATATTGCAGATTAAGTCTAATGTTTCTTTGTTGATTTTCGTCAGGAAGATATGTCCAATGCTGAAAGTGAGGTGTTGAAGTCTTCAGCTGTTATTGTATTGGAGCCTCTCTTTCTCTAGCTCTAAAAATATTTGTTTTATTTCTGTGAGTGCTCTAGTGTTGGGTTCATATATACTCAAAATTGTTACATCCTTTTGCTGCATTGACCCTTTTATCATTATATAGGACTGTATTAGGCCATTTGCACACTGCTATAAGGAACTACCTGAGATTGGAAAAATTATGAAGAAAAGAGGCTTAATTAACTCACACTTCCACAGGCTTAGCAGGAAGCATGACTGGGAGACCTCAGGAAACTTAAAATCATGGCAGAAGGGGAAGGGGAAACAAGTACCTTCTTCACATGGTGGCGTGAGAGACAGCCAGCAAAGGGGGAAGTGCCAAACACTTTTAAACCATCAGACCTCAAGAGAACTAACTCACTATCATGTGAACAGCAAGGGGGATATCCACCTCCATGATCCAATCACCTCCCACCAGGCCTTCTTCCAATTCAACATGAGATTTGGACGGAGACACAAATCCAAACCATATCAGTGACCTTTGTCTCTTCTTATTGTTTTTGTGTTGAAATCTATTTCGGCTGACATAAGTATAGCAATTTTAGCTCTTTTTTGGTTTCCATTGGCATGGAATATCTCTTTCCATCCCTTTATTTTCAGTCTATGTGTGTCTGTATAGGTGAAGTATGTTTCTTGTAGGCAATGGATCAATTAGTTGTGTTCTTTCATTCACTGAACTAGTCTATGTCTTTTTGTTGGAGCCTTTAGTCCATTTACATTTAATGTTATTATTGATAAGTAAAGACTTAATTCTGCCATTTGTTATTTGTTTTCTGGTCATTTTGTGTTCTTCTCTTCCTTCTTTCTTTCACTCCTCTAGCAAAGACGATTTTCTCTGGTGATATGATTTTAGTATCTTGCTTTTTATTTTTATTTTTTTGTATTTATTGTGTTTTTGTTCTGAGGTTACTGTGAGGCTTGCAAATACTATCTTATAACCCATTATTTGGACATAACAAATTTACACAATTTGCATAAACAAACAAGCAAAAAGAAAATAAAAACTTGCCTTAACTTTTTCCCCATGCTGTTTAACTTTGTGTTTTTCTATTTCTATTATATTGTACTATGTCTTGAAAAGTTGTTGTAGTTATTATTTTTGATTGGCTCATCATTTAGTCTTTCTACTTAGGATAACAGTAGTTTATACACCACAGCTGCAGTGTTATAACATTCTGTGTTTTTCTCTGCACTTACTGTTACCAGTAAGATTTTTACCTTCAGTTGATTATTTATTTTTAATTAATGTCCTTTTCTTTCTGATTGAACTACTTCCTTTAGCATTTCTTGTAGGGTGTGTCTGATATTAATGAAATCCCTCAGCTTTTGTTTGTCTGAGAAAGTATTCCTCCTTCATGTCTGAAGGATATTTTCACCAGATATACTATTCTAGGCTAAAAGTTTTCTTTCCTTCAGCTCTTTAAATATGTCATGCCATTCTCTCCTGCCCTGTAAGGCTTTCGCTGAAAAGACTGCTGCCAGACATATTGGAAGTCCTTTGTAGGTTGTTTCTTTTCTCTTGCTGCTTTTAGGATTTTTTCTTTATCCTTGACATTTGGGAGTATGATTATTATGTCTTGAGGTAGTCTTCTTTGGGTTAAGTCTTCTTGCTATTCTGTAACCTTCTTGTACTTGGATATAGATATCTTTCTTTAGGTTTGGGAAATTATTTGTTATTGTCTCTTTGAATAAACTTTTGCCCCTATCTCTTTCTCTATTTCCTCTTTAAGGTCAATAAATTCTTAGATTTTCCCTTTTGAAGCTATTTTCTATGTCCTGTAAGTGTGCTTCATTTTTTTCTCTTTTGTCTCCTCTATTTTCAAACAGTCTATCTTCGAGCTCATTAATTCATTAATTCTTACTTCTTCTTGATTCATTCTGCTAGTAAAGGACTCTGATGTATTCTTTAGTATGCCAGTTATATTTTTCATCTCCAGAATTTCTGTTCGATTCTTTTGTAATTGCTTCATTCTCTTTATTAAATTTATCTGATAGAATTCTGAATTCCTTCTCTGTGTTATCTTGAATTTCTTTTGGGTTACCTCAAGACAGCTATTTTGAATTACCTGTCTGAAAGGTTCCATATCTCTGTTTCTCCAGGACTCGTCCCTGATGCCTTATCAGTTCATTTGATGAGGTCCTGTTTTCCTGGATGATGTTGATGCTAGCAGATATTTTTCAGTGCCTGGGCATTGAAGAGTAAGGTATTTATTGCAGTATTTACTGTCTGGGCTTATTTGTATCTCTCCTTCTTGGGAAAGCTTTCCACATATTTGAATGAACTTGGGTGTTGTAATGTAAGTGGTTTGTGCCTTAGGAGGCACCTCAAGCCCAGCATGCTGTGGTTCTTGCAGACTCATACAGGTACTACCTTGATGGTCTTGGAGAATATCAAGGAGAATTCTCTGGATTACTAGGCAGAAGCTCTTCTCTTCTCTTACTTTCTTCCAAACATACAGTTTCTCTCTCTGCTCTGAGCCACCTAAAGCTGGGAATGAAGTGACACAAGCATTCCTGTGGCCACCACCACTATGACTGCACTGGGTCAGACCTGAAACCAGCACAGCACTGGGTCTCGCCCAAGGCCTGCTGTAATCTCTCTCTGGCTACTGTCTATGTTCACTCAAGGCTGTGGGGCTGTACAATCAGCAGGTGGCAAAACCATCCAAGCCTGTGTCCTTCCCTTCAGGGCAGGCAATGTTGTTCCTTATTCACCAGGTGGATCCTGAAGTGCTGTCTGGGAGTCAAGGACTAGAATCAAAAACCTTAGAAGGTGACCTGGTATTATATTGTATTGCAGCTGCGCTGGCACTCAAACCACAAGACACAGTCTTTCCCATTCTTCCTTGCCCTTTCCACTCCAGGCAGAGGAGCCTCACCACAGAGCTACCTCCAACCCTGGCCATGAGCAGTGCTACCAGACTACTACACGTTTCCTTAAGGCCGAAGGTCTCTTAAGTCAGGTTGTGGTAAATGCTGCTTGGCCTGGGTTTCACCCTTCAGAGTAATAAGATCCCCTCTGGCCCAGGGAAGGTCCTGAAATGCCATCCAAGAGTCAAGTCCTAGAATCAGAGACCCCAAGAGCTCAATTGGTGTTCTACCCCTATGGTGGTGTTGGTATCTAAGGTGCAGGATAAAGTCTCCTTTACTTTTCCCTCTGCTTTTCTCAAGCAGAAAGAGTTTTTCCCTATAGCCACCACAGCTGGTAATATGCTGAGTCTCACCTGAAGCCAGCAAGTCTCAGAGGCTCACCAAGGCCCTTGATGTAGTACCTGAGTATCGCTGCAGGTTATTCAGGGCCCAGGGGTTCTTCAGTTAGCAGGTGATTAATACTGGTGTGGCTGGAAAGGCTGCTTTTCCTTCAAGGCAGCAGGTTTCCTTCTGGCCCATAGTGTGTCTAGAAATGTCATCTGGGAGCTAGGGCCTGGAACAAGGGCATCATGACTCTGACCAATGCCCTATCCTGCTGTGGCTGAGCTGGGATCCATGATGCAAGATGAAGTTCTCCCCACCCTTTCCTCTCCTCTCTTCAAACAGAAGGAAGGGATCTCTTCTGGAGCCATGAGCTGTGCAGCCTGGGATTAGGGGAGGGGTAATGCCAGCACTCGCTTGACTTCCCTAGCTGGTGTCTCAGTATATGGTGTGACCCCTGTCACCCCTAGTCTACTATCTCCAGGACTAGGTCAGCCCTAAGACTCGCCTAGGTCTTGCAGTCCTTATGGCCTAGACTGCCTTTCCAGTTTACTTAGGGAATCAGAGCACTTTGGCCCTCAGTGGAGAGGTATGCAGGCACTCGTGTTTGAACTTCTGAGATGAGAGATTCCCCTTTTGCTAAGACTGGTTTAAATGTTCCTTTGTGGGAAGACTTTACCTGAGTTTTCTCTGGTTTTCCTTCCTGGTCTAACAGAACAGTACTGAGTTCAATTCCTCACACACAATTGTTTTGTTCTCCCGCCCCCAGTACCCAGAGAACGTCTACACACCAGGACACTGCTGTTGGAGATGAGGGAGGAGTGGGGTAAGAGATTCAGGACTGTATTTTTATTCTCTTCAGTGCCTCATTCAGCAATATGAAGTTAAAACCAGTGATTATAAGTACTCACCTGATTTTTGGTTCCTATGCAGGTGTTTTTTCTGTGTAGTTATTAAGTTGGTGTCCTTGTGGGGAGGGATGATCAGTGAACCTTTCTATTCTGCCATCTTGCTCCACCTCTCCTCCTGTAACGAACATTTTAAGCCTGGTTGCATGGTGTAGGGCAGGAGTGATCAAGTGGAATGGGGCACAAGAGATATCTCAGGGTAAGAGAATTTACCTATATCCTGATTATGGGATTGGTTATATACATTTTTAAAAGTAACAAAATTCAAAATATTTTTCACATAAAATTGCTGGAAAATATCATATGTAAATTTACTAATGGTGGTAGACAGGATTGCTTGCTAAAGGTGATTAGGATTCCAAACGACAATGCATATAAATTTATAGTTCACAAATGAATGCAATAGAGAAATAACATTAAAGCAAGGACATGTATCACAGCCAAAGGCCTTACAACAAGAGGTCCTGAGAGGCAAGGCATGACTCCCAGCTGTGTGTAAGGGCTGTGTGGATGTGTTTTTTCTCTCAGATCAGATACTACCAATTTGTGCACAACTCACCTTGGAACCAGGGAATACCTAATACTCTGTAGGCCATGTAAGCATTTTCCTACTATGGTACTAGCCCCAATGGCAGAACGCTCTGGGGTTCGCCCTGAAGCCAGGTATAAATTTCTAGTATTACTTGATTGATTAAACAGTACTAACGAACTAGTATAAAAGTCCTGGGACACATGATTACAAAGCAACAATATTAAGTACATTTCATGCCTTGCCCAAGGGTCAGTATTACGCAGATACTTTAGCAAGACAACTCAGGCTAATTCTGGGTCTGCTGGAATTAACCCTCATAGCACGGTCAATAATACCTAATGAACAACAACAATAAAAATGGCAAATGGTAAACCACTATACAAACATAATGAATTACGTAAGTAGTACTTGCTCTGCACCATTTCATGGTAATGGAGAGTGATTACATTACACTAACATGCGTAAGTTTCAGATAACATAATACCATGCAAGTGAGGACTGCCTGTAGTATATCTATAAACTTGTAATACTTATTTCTATAAGCCATGTGATAAAAACAATTCCATCAATTTTGATTATACATTCTGGCAATATTAAAGGGCTAGTTAAAATTATCCAAGTCCAGATTTTGTTGTAGTTTGATCTCTGACTCAATCTTCAATTGAATATGTTGATTTGTAAATGATTAATTACTCTCAAAAATTTATTTTATTCTCTGTGAAATCAAGATAACAATCTTGTCATGACTGAAAAATAAAATGCATGTAAAGCACTGGGAATATGCAGGCAGTCAATGAGTGGTAATTACAAGAATGGCTTTATGAACATGCAAACTGTGCATTCACATAGGGCCTCAAGCTCAGAAGGGGTAAATACTTGATTTACTGCTCTGCTGTCATTATCTCGAAAGTCTTAATAGTTTGATCTAGGAACTCTGAGCTTATGCTTTGTAAGTGATGTCCAGATAGAACAGTGGATTGTGTGCAATATGTATGTCCCGTTTTCCACTGACACACAGTAATAGTGTACAATGGGCACAGAATTCTGGTAGACTTGAGATGCAGAGAGACTCAGAGTGTGTGCCTGACAAGTGTGCTATGCCTGCAACTAATTTAGTGGCACTAACATGCTTTCTAATTGAACCAAAACTTGCTTTGTATGCAGAAAGAAGGCAGTTGTGTTCTAAGAAACATGAATGACCAAAGAACCTTGTCATATCCTTTCTCATTCGTGTTACTTTTCTGTATTAGCCAACCACTTGCACTGAAAATAACAACATAGAAGGAAAGGGAAAAATAAAACAAAACCTCATTCCTTTGCCTTTCAATCCTTCTTTACTTATTACTAAGATAAAAGTAGAAAATGTTGCTATAATGTGCAGGTATCAAGAAGTAAAGTAAAAGCAGTTGTTTTGGTTTTACTCAGTTTCCTTGCTCTGGCAAGAATGAAACACTTGTGTATGCACAAACTACAAAATACAAATAGCGTGATTTTGGCAATTCCACATACAGCATAAGCAACCTTATATTTACATTAAAATTGGCATTACACAATATACAGTAATATGCATCTTAATAAAAACATTTTTAATTGCGTTTCTATAAATATACAGCCCAAAAAGACATCATTCCTTTACTCTATGTTATCTTATTTTTTTTCTTGAAGGAAACTGAAAAATGAGATATAAAAAGAATGCATATTGACACAGCTAGTGTCTGAAAGAGAAAACTGCATGAGTAAATTTCAATAGTGTATTTGGTAACCGAACCTGAAAGGTGGGTACTGGTTTACAAGTCTGTTCTGGGAAATAGAAGCCTTAGTGATTTGGTGTTTCCTTGGTGATAGGTCTTTCTTTTCAGAAGTATTGTCTTTGTAAAGGCAGAGGTGAAAACTTTGGCTGATGATTGTTTACTTATTCTGTTGGATCAACTTATCCACAGTACTAATAATTTGGAGTTTAGATATGAAATAATGGTAAAGTAAAATTAAAGGGAGTGTGAAAAAAATCATATGAAAATATGGTTGAAAATATTATTGAATAAATGTTTTTATGCATTTAAGGACTCACGTACTATATTTCTGTTAAAAGTCCCTTTTAGAAAAAAAGTAACTATTCTGGATATGCTTTTCACCTAGAGAAAACACCAATAATGATCCATGGTGAGCAACTTCTTTTCCTTCTATGGCAAAAAATTTTAGATGTATTGAGTAAGTATTGCATTCAATAGAAGTTTTAGAATCGTCTGCTTTTTTCTAATAGATAATTGTTGTTTTGTTTTATTTTGAGCTATCCATTGAGGTTTAATCTCCATATCAGTTTTTACATATATATGTAGGTATAGCTAGGCATTTAACACAGAAGACATGGATGCAGTCTGGAGAGGGACAATACAGTTTGGCTTTGAAGGGGCTATTCCAGACCTTGAAACAAGAGAGTCAGTCCACAGAAGGAAGTAGCCGGATACAATGTCTTACCTCCAAGTGACAGGAGGTTTTAGAATGTTCTCTTATGAAGAGATGGGATATATAGATTTCTGAGAACTAGCTGAAATAATCAGCCAACTCAAAAGCAAAAGTAACTCAAGCTTCATAGCTTGAGATACATAAATACCTCAAAACAAATGGAATATGAAGATTTTAGAGTTTAGGTCCTTAATGCCATGAAGTTCTCTCAGCAATACCATTGATTTTCCTTCCAACCATGAAGATGGAAATAATAAAAGCCTCTAAGAGATGAGGAAAACTAATTCTATTATAGTTTCATACTTTTATAAAAATATTTTAAAGAAAAACTACTGAAAACAAAAGCTGATTATTTCTTCTTTGGGTGTTGTCTAAGGCAAATCGTACAATTTTTCTATTTATGTCATTCAAGCTAATACACTTAATGGCATAAGGAAAAAATGTCGACATCACATTGTCACTCTTTTTTTCCATCCCTTCCTTCCTCTCTCTCCTGCTTCTCTCCTCTCTCTCCCTCTGTTCTTTTCTCATTTCTTTTTATACTTTTCTCTTCTCTTCTTCACTGCATCCTTATTCCACTCCTTCATCTCGTGGGAACGGCATTATTTGAGGAAAATCTGAGTTTTAAGACTGTGCAGATGTGGTTTTTGAATTACGGTTTTTCAATTTATTAATAATGCTACTTCGGTTATATTAATATTGTTTAAGTGCACAGACTTTCAATTTCCTCATCTACAAAATGGAGTAAATATTTATCTATTTCACAGGGTTTGGGATGAGGATTAAATAAGATCTATAAAGTGCCAGACTAGTGGCCCACTCATAAAAGGCATTCTGTTGCTGTCAGTTTTTTGTTGTTTTTCTTTTCCTTTAGCAAGGAGAATTGGGTTTGGAAATCTATACAATCCATTAGCTTTAAGGCCAAAAGAGATCTCTTACTTGTTGTGCAAGGGAAATTTTAAAATCCTGATCAAAATAATTACTGACTGATCCTTGGTATAGGAATACAATACTAAAAAGACTCATTAGCTAAAAGCAACTTAATAGCTGCCCTGTTTTAAAAAAATTAAAGCAATTTCATACTTCTACAGTTGGATATCTTCCCAGGTTTTTGCTCAAAACTAATTTATAGGAACTATAGCTCCCTTTTCATAACTCTGACACCCTGACTCCATATCTCAAACTATGGTTGTTTTGTTGTTTTTTAGTTTGATTCTTTGTGTCCCCTTTAGGCACTGGTTCCATGATATACCGCTTATGGGACAATTTCAGACAGTACATTTTATTGAAGATGGAATGCTTACTCTACAGAAGTAATAATTTATTTATAGAAAGAGTATTCTATAATAGTTTTTACTACAGCATATCTTAAAATAGTAAAAATTTAGAAAACAATCTACTTTTCCAAGTAATTGGTGACACATAGGGTGTTGCTGCTACGCCAGCATTAACAATGACATGTAATATTTTATATAATATAATAATATATTGTGAAAACGGACTTTACAAAAGTATTTAATGTTATGTGATTCCAATTTGATGTCAAACAAATAACTATATTTGTGTAATATATTGTTTAGAATAAAGACTAGAAAAATACATTCTAATATGTAATGTATTTATCACTTGATATGACTTCAGGTGACTTTGATTTTCTTTGAAGTCCTGGTATATTTAACTTTTTACATAAACATTAATTTTACAATCTACAAAAAGGTTAAGGAAAAGAAAAAAGGGAAATCAAGTGTATTTCATATAAATTCATGTGCATTATACTTAGGACAATCCATTCTTGAATGGTTACGCATATATTATCCTGCTAGCTACTGATCTATCCATCCATCAGAAAAGGTAGGGATAATTAACTTTTGACCAGACTCTATGGACATTCAAAGAAAGCTAGATTGGAATGATCACTCAATCTTATGGAAGGAACAGAGGATGTTGTTCATAAATTGACATAAATATTCATTTTAGCAAAATTCACTTTATCTTGAAAATTCTTCTTAGCTCAACTCATATTTCAATTTTTCTAGGCAGTCCCTCTTAATATTTTGAATCAAAAGACATCCCTCTACTTTCTTGCCTTTTCTTGACTTATTTGTAACTCTAAAGAATGGAAATGGCTCCATCACATTTTATTAATTTCTATATGTCTCTAGCACCTAGAAAAATGTTTCTATATTATTTGTAGAATTAGGTTTCTGTTGCTGTGGTAACAAATTCTCATAAACTTAGTGGGTGAAGCAATATGACTTTTCCCAGTTCTGTGGTCAGAATCCTGATACAGCGTGGCTTATCTGTTTTGATTGTTTGTTTGTTTTTTAAGTGTCACAAGACCAAAGTCAAGGTACCAACAGGGCCAAGTTTATTTATGGAGGCTCTACAGGAGAATCTACTTCCAAGCTCATGTAAGTTCTTAACAGAATTCATTTCCTTGTGACTGTATAGCTGAGGTCCTTCTATATATGTTGACTGTCAGCAGAGAGCCTGTCACAGCTCCATAAGGCCACCTGCATTCTCATGGTGTTTCTCCCACCATCTTCAAACCAGAAAGGGCAAGCCAAGCCCTTCTCATGATTTGATTTTCTCTAACTTGCCCTCTTGCACACTTCCTTTGCTCCCCACCAAATAACTTCACTGCTTTCAACGGTTTGTGTGATTAAATTCAGCCCATCCAGACTATCCAGAATAATCTCCCTATTTTAAACTCTCTACTTCTAATAAATATCTGCTTTCAATGGTTTGTGTGATTAAATTGAACCCACCCAGACCATCCAGAATAATTTCCCCATTTTAAACTCTCTACTTCTAATTATATCTGCAAAGTCTCTTCTGCCAACTGAGGTAATCTATTCTTAAAATCCAATGATTAGTGTATGGACATCTTTGGGGGAACATTCTGCCTACGACATACGTATTCAATAAATAATTATTGAATTAAATTATCCAGACCCATTAAATTTAGATATCTTAATACTTAAAAGGGAATGTTATGCCTAAATAACTTGTGGGAAGCTTCTAAGTTTTACAAACTCACAGGCCTGAAACAAAAAAACATAGCTATATTTTCCTAACTCACATATATCAGAAATTGCTAGACCTTTGATACTCCAGATAGTCTCACTTATTTCTGAAGACTCTCTAAGTTATGTTTCATCTGTCTGATTTCTTCCATCTTCTTCTATGATTTTATTATCCGCAATCCATTGGGCTATTGTTAATATTGCCTGGGCCCATAAAATTGTACAGGGGCATCACTACCAGTATTCCTGGTGGACAATATTTGCAGAAATTCCCAAACTGCTATCATCTAGTTTTACCAATTGCACCAGCTTTTGCTACTACACAGAGTGGGCTATCAGCTATTATCATCTATACAACCTTGGATGGGGTACCACCAGAGGTGCTGTGCACCATATCAACCCCATCAAAATGCTGAGACACTGTCATCATTAGCAAAGCACTAATGCATAGAAGCAACATCAAATTCCATTCGGGAAAGGAGAAAATCCTCTCTTCCCTTCCCCCTTTTTTGAGTACTCTGAACAAAATGACAAGTATCCTTATAAAGAGACAGAAAAGAAGAGACAGACACACCCAGACACAAAAGGAAAGCTATGCAAAAATGAAGATAGAGATTGAAGTGATGCATCTGCAAGGCAAGGAACATAAAAGATTGTTGACGTCACCAGGAGTTAGGAGGGAAGGATGGAATAGTTTCTCTCTCAATGCCTCTAGAAGGAACCAACCCTGTTAACCCCTCCATTTTGGACTTCTGGACTGTGGAACTATGAAAAAAATATTATATTGTTTTAAGCCACCCCAAGTTTGTGGTGCTTTGTTAAAAGAACCCTAGAAAACTAATACACATGACATATCACATGTGTTAAGCACATGCAAGGGCATTATTTTCATTGACTCACAAGGGCCATTTAAGGCAGATATTATTTTCTTGATTTTACAAGTAAAAAAGCAAAAATGAGAGCAGCGTGTTGACTTTCCTAAGATAGTATAGTGAGGTATTTGGATACCGGATCCACTGGCTTTTACCAGCTACCCATAATCATTTGTTCACTCATCAAACATCACTGAATTTATCCTTTTTTCTCCAGGCATTTTGTTTTTTTGTTCTGGCAAGATATGAAGACAATGAAGAAGCACTCCTTGCCATCAGGTTGCTTTCAGTCTACATCATGGCATACAGAAAAAATATATGCTTTATGGAGTAGCAGTCATGAAGAAAATATTTTCCAGTAACTTTGGGTGAGGGAGATGAAACTGTAACATTGTGAACTATGGACCCAGGATAACAGACTAAAGTCAAAGAAATAGATTAAGAAGACTACGCTAATCTATATTTAACAATGATTATTATTTATAAAATGCTTTGGAGTTTTAAAAACATTTTCACATAATTATCTCACAATAAATGAGAGTCAGTATAAGTAAGTGACTTAACTCATAGTTGAGGAACTAGTACTTGAATAAGGCTGGGAATTGAACTTGTGTCCTCTTCATCCAAAACTGATATTCATTATATCATACCAAACTATCAGGAAATTCCATATAGTAAATAACTTGCATTTCCTTTATCTTCTTTTCCATATTGGTCTCATGAGAACACTGCATCTTCCACTTTTCCATGGTAGCACTAATCACAATTACACTTAAAATAGTTTGTTGTGTACTATAATTTTTCTGTGGTAGGATCCAATTCAGGATCACATGTTCCATTGTGTTGTCATATTTCTTTAGTTGCCTTTAGTATAGTAGATTTCCTCAGAATGTATTTTTCTTTCATTACCTTAGTATTTTTAAAGAGTGTGAGCCATTTATTTTGTAGACTCCCTCTCAATTTGGCTTGTCTGAGGTCTACTGAAGATTAGATTTATGTTACGCATTCAGGAGATATACCACAGATATGGCGTTGAGTCCTTCTAGTGCATTGTATCGAGAGACATCTAGCAATGACTACCATTATCCAGATATGGGATCCTAGAAACTATTCTCATTAAAAATAACAAAGGGCTGCCTTGAGAAATGCCTAATTTCAGAGTTGAAACTGGAATATCCAGAATCATCCTGAAACAACTTGCTATTCCAGAAAATAAGGAAGCTGTTAAACAATAATGATTACAAGCCAAAAGGACATAATATCCAAATGTAATGCATTGCCACTGGACAGATCTGTGAGAATTTGAGCATTAGAATGAGAACTAATAAGAGTGAGTTGTAACCTATTGATTAAATAATTGATAAGTTCATTAAGCATAGAAAAAAGGAAGAATATTAGAAAGCTTCTTTTTCAATAATATATGTAGAAGAAATGTAATTTTTTAAATAAAATTTATAAGACCCAATCTTCTGCTCGGCTCATCTGCCATTTATCCATACCAACTAACACAGTGACTGGCGTGTAATAAGTATTCATTACATAGTTATTTGCTATATAAATAATTGAATTAATAGATGAACACTAGATTCTTGCCGTGATTTCATTTTCAAAAAAAGAAGGAGACCTTAGCCAAAGCATTATATATTTGTAGGTCACAGTTACCTGTACGTAAAATAAAGTTTGATGATATCAACTACTTGAAAGCAGGAGTCTGGGACAGATATTCTCTTTATGTCCATTCTAGATTTCTAAGTCAAGATTTCTGATTGCTAGATCCAGTTTGGGTCTCTCTTGAAGATAGTTCATGTTATTTCGAAACTGTTGCCTGGGACTTTCTGTCACTGCAGTGAGTTATTGAAGAAGTAAATTAATGTTGAATAATGCTTTATGCAGTGTTTATTTAGGTGGAACTGAGGTGAACCTATTCTGTGACTCACTGTTACATTTTTTTTTGTTACACTGGAGACGTGTTTGAATATTTGCAGATTTCACTCCAATTGTTAAGTTATGAATTCATATAAGTTTGGCCAACAAGTTCCATATTTCATTACTTTCGCCATGCAAAAGAAGGACTGTAATTAAAGTTATTTATAATTAAAGATTTAGGATTATGAGAAGCAGTGCAAGTGGGGACATTTAAAGGCTAATAAAATGTATTCATAGGATGAGTAGTTTTGCTACTCACTTTATGCTGACTTCTGTACTGCACATCATTAATAAACTCAATATATATTGTTTAAAAACTCTCTTTAAATCTTACAAAGTATTAGAGAGTGAAAGAGCAAATCATTATCTGAGTTGCTACAGAAGGAAAAATATATGAATTAAAATGTCCAAGGTAACAAAGAATATCAAGGTTGAAGAACAGATAAACACTATTAGTGGAAAATTGTTGAATTGCAAAACTCAAAATTTAAATTTAGCCTAACTTAAACCAAGGTGAAACTTTATTGTAAGGATACTGAGGTGTTTCACGGAACTCACAGAATGGAATGCAGCTGGTCTCTGGACCTTAAGAAAAAAATTAATCCAAAGAATTGAATATTACCAGAAAAATATTTCGTCACCTAGAAATCCTTTCTTTCTCTCTCTCTCACTTTCTGCTTCTCGTCTTCCTCTTTTACCTCCTGCTTGTCCTCCTCGTTGTCTTCATCCTTCTTGTCTCTGTTATTCATGATGATAGGAAACATGGCTGCTGCATACAATACTTGAGCTTTAAATCTTACAACTACCAGGTGTCTACACCTATACTAAATGCAGCTTGGAAAACATAGACTTAATACACAAAACGGCATTATGGCTTTACTTTACATTGACATGGAGGAAAAGGGTGGAGAATTTCCCAGGAAATTGTTCTCAGTACACTAGCAATTACTGAAGGTACAGTGTGTCCCAGGTGCTTTATATCCAATAATTATATTAAGCAATTATTACTCACAATTGTTAAGTGAGGAAATAATAGACCTGAGAAGGCACATAAACTGCTCATAGCACTTAGTGTGTGGTGGAGCTAGTATGTAAACTCGTATTTGACTATAGACAAATGTTATGTCTTCTTTCTGTTAAATAAAAAGCATTCACATTTCCATTTACACACAAATTAATAAAAGGACTAACACGTATTTGGAGAACAGAAACAAAACATTATAGGGGACGTGGAAACTGAGTTGTTTTCTTAGACTTTAAATTAAGTTAGACTTTCATTTGTAGCCATAATGAAGTAATAGGAACTGGATTTAACCTTACACCCTAAAAAGTAACTAGAAAACAGAAAACTATATGAAATACAGAAAAATACATGAGATAAATTTTTAAACATTGAACTACAAGCAGCACAGAACTGTTGTCTCTGAGAGAAATGAAGCAAATAAAAGTGAGTACTATGTCTTACAATTTTTCTTCCTGGAGATATATTTCAGATCACAGAGCACAGAAAGTGCATTAGTTGGGGCTTTCCAGAGAAATAGAACCAACAGGATATGTATTTACAGAAAAAAAATATACTATTTTGAAAAATTGACTCATGCATTATTAAGACTGGTAAGTCCAAAATCTACAAGGTGGGCCAGCAGGCTAGAGATGACTCAGGGCCGAGCCGGTGCTCCAGTTCAAGTCCAAAGCCCATTAGGTAGGAGACTTAGGGAAAAGCTAGTGTTGCTGTTGAAGACTGAAATTCATTTGCTTCAGAATTTTCTCATGCTGGGGGAGATCAGTCTTTTGTTTAATTCATGCCTTTAACTGATTAGGTGAGGCCCACCCACATTACGAAGGAGAATCTGCTTTATTCAAGGTCCACAGATTTGAAAGTTAATTTTAAGAAAAAAAAAAGCACCCTCAAAGGAACACCTATAAATATAACCACATATCTGGGCCTTATGGCCCAGCCAGGTTGACATACAAAATTAACCATTATAGAGACGAATTCTCCCTCACCCCCAAAAAACACAGAAGTATCACTGATTTGAGAAGACACAGATTAGAAAGTCTAAATTAACTGGAAGCTACAGAGCAGAGTTGTGAAAAAGAGGGATCTATACAGAAATCTAGAAATCTGATCAGGTTTTTCTTGAGTCTTACTAAGATGTGCATGTGTAGGGTGAATCTCTGCAAAGTTGGGGGAAAAAAGACAAAAAAGCTGTGAGAAAATGGTTCCAAGAGCTTTTCAAATTTCCATCGTCTAGATACTATCTAGATCTACCATACAAATCCATAAAAACAGCACAAAGTAAAAAGGAGAAAATATAGACAAATATTTCTCATGAGCTTAGACATAAAAGCCCTTAGCATTAGCAAATTAAATCCAGCAATGTATAAAAATAATTAACATCATTACATATGGAATATTTTCCAGGTATGTAAGACTGGTTCAACATTTGAAAATCAATCAGTTTAATTCACCATATCAACAGGCTGAACAAGAAAAGTCATGTGATTGTATCAGCTGACACAGAAAAGCATTTAACAAAAATCCAGCACTGATTTATGATTAAAACAAAGAAACAAACTCTCAGCACATTAGAAATACAGTGGAGTTAAGAGCATCTACCAAAACTTTCAGCTAACATCACACCTAAGACTAAAAGACGGACTCTTTTTCCTTCCAAGATTGAAACAAGGTAAGGATGTCTGGTTTTACTACTCTATTCACTCAGAAGTTCTAGCCAGTGCAAAAAGGAGAAAAAAAAAGTCATACAGATTGGAAAGGAAGAAATAAAATTGTTCCTGTTAGCATATGATGTGATCGTCTTCACTAAAAATCCTTCTATTTTTTTAAAACCTAGACCTATTTAGTGAATTCAACAAGGTTGCAAGATTTATGAACAATGCACAAATATCAACTACCTTTTTGTCAAAAATTAAAACACGGTACTACTTAAACTTACTTCAGAGCATATGTATCCAAAAAAATTATGAAATGCTGATGGAAGAAATCAAAGAAGACCTAGATAAATGAGAAGACATATCATGCTCACGGATTATAAACCTCAACGTGAAAGAGATGTCAGTTCTCTCTAAATTATTATATAGGTTTAATGCAATCCTATTAAAAATTGTGTGTTAAAGACATACTTGATGCTAGGCAGTTTATATACAGTCACCCTTATGATCCATGGGGAATTGGTTTCAGCTCCCCACCCCTGGCCCAGGTGATACCAAAATCTGCTGATGCCCAAGTCTTTTATGTAAAATGGTGTATATTATTTGCATATAACCTATAAACATCTTACCTCCTGTATGCTTCAAATTGTCTTTAGGTTACTTATAATAACTAATACAATGTAAGTGCTATGTAAGTAGCTGTTATACTGTATTGTTTCAGGAATGATGACAAGAAAAAAATGTGTACGTATTTAGTACAGATACAATTATCTTTTTTTTCTAAATATTTTGGATCCATGATTGGTTAAATCGAAGGATGCAAAACTCACAGATATAGAGGCCCACTGTACTGTACCTACATACAGAGATTGACATTTTATGTATATTTATAGGCACAAAATTTCTTGAGTTAACCTTAGTAATATTATTAATTTTTTTACACAATTCACACTAGTATGTCCTACAAATTATTTAATTAACTTTTTGTTAAGTTCAAAATTTTAATAAATCATTATTAGAAGCTAAGTAGCCACAGAGTTTGACTGGTTTCTAATTTATTGCATTCTAAAAATGTTATTTAGCAATATTTTCAATGTTATAGATTACTACATATTTTTTCAGTTTTTATTTAACAATAGTATAATTAAGAAAAATGGCAAAGAGTGGCTAGTAATGAACAGGTATTTGATCCAAGAAGTCTGGCAGGGTCTTTGGTTTTATTTCCAGCTTCTGATAACAGTGCTTGAGGCCGTCTCTATGTGCTTTTTTCCCCACAGATGGCAAAGCAATTTATTTTTAAATGTTTGGAATCACATATTCCTTATCTGATCTTGAAAACTTACAATGATTAAAGAATCTCGATCTTTGAAAAAAGTAAGTCCAAAAAGCTGCCAATAGCATTAAATAGAACATGAATCTGACTTTATGTAGGACCGCATCTTTTTACTCAAATAAAGATTTTATTTACTTTGAAAATACTGTTAGCCTCTTGGCTTGCATAAGGAAATGGCTCACATTTCGTTAATTCAATTTATTCTTATAAATATTCTCAAAAGTGAGGTAATCCTTTGAGTGAGGTAATCAATTAATTTAGCATAGAAAAAAATTATGTGCTTTTTTTTCTTCTTTGTAAGTCTGTGAGTTATTGAGGACATGCCTTATATGTGAGACCTCTTTGTTTTCAGACCAATGTTCCATTTTGTGCCTCAGTAAATCAGAGGATACTCACATTCAAACTGGTTCCAGAAAAAAAAAAAGGTTAATTTATTGTTTCACATAACTGAAAAGTAGAGAAACCAATTTGGCTTCCGGGAAAATTGAATCAAAGATATTATCAGAATTCTGTCTCTGTCCCTCAGTTCCGATTTCCTGTGTGCTGGCTTTATCAACAAAGAGGTTCTCACCAGACAGCAGTCCCTGACATTCTACATCTCTACAAGCTTCATGGAAAGAATGCTCCATCTTCTAAATAAATCCGGTAAAATTCTGAAGATTGATAAACCTGTCATCAGCCATTTGTTGATCCCTAAATCATTTACTGTGGGCAGGGTATGTGGTGTTCTGATTGTGCGTGTATTCATTCAGCTTAAATTCACAGATGGAATGTGGCACTGAATTTTCTTCTCGAGGGAAATTGAGAATCTATTATTTAAAAAATAGGAAATAAGGCCGGGCGCCTAGGCTCACGCCTGTGATCCCAGCACTTTGGGAGGCAGAGTGGGGCAGATTGCTGGAGCTCTGAAGTTCGTAAACAACCTGGGCAATATGGTAAGACTCTATCTCTACGAAAAATACAAAAATTAGCCGGGCATGGTGGTGCGCCTTTGTAGTTCCAGTTGGGAAGCTGAGGGGGAAGGATGGCTTGAGACTGGGAGGCAGAGGTTGCAGTGATCCTAGATTGCGCCACTGAACTCCAGCCTGGGCAAGAGAGAGTGAGTTTGTCTTAAAAAGAAATAATAATAAAAATGGGAAGTTAGAGCCGAGCCGGCATAAATGAGTCTTATAAATAAAACACATCCAACACAGATACCTTACATTAAATAATTAGGGCAATTAAATTATAAACGTGAGAAAAATAATTAAATGGCATTTACATTCAGAAGAGCATTATTGGAAGTTATTGTCTGCTACTTTTATTTTTTTATTTTATTTTACCTTATTTTGAGCTGGAGTCTCGCTCTGTAGCCCAGGCTGGAGTGCAGTGGTGCAATCTCAGCTCACTGCAACCTCTGCCTCCCGGGTTCAAGCAATACTCCTGCCTCAGCCTCCCAAGTGGCTGGGATTACAAGCGCCCGCCACCACACCTGGCTAATTTTTGTATTTTTAGTATGGACGGGGTTTCACCATGTTGGCCAGGCTGGTCTCGAACTCCTGACCTCAGGTGATCCACCTGCCTCGGCCTCCCAAAGTGCTGGGATTACAGGCGTGAGCCACCTCACCCGGCCTTGTCTGCTACTTTTAAGCTGTGGAGACTGTAATAAATGACATGAGATATATGAACTTAATTTTTTTAAATTACTTTTTTGCGGAATAAAAAAAATTTATAATCCACTAGTGAGATAATTGTGTACAAGGAAAAATTCAAAAGCATTTTTTACAAATTAGAATTAATGTAACAGTTCAGCGGATTTTTTTGGAACTTAACCAAGACAATAAAATTAAACATAATTTTATGCTTTAAGAAACAATTCAAGGCTGAATTTTTAAAAAGCACATAAAAAGTTATGTGCTTTTTTTTTCTTCTTTGTAAGTCCATGAGTTATTGAGGGCATGCCTTATACGTGAGATCTAAAATAGTATCAAAAACACAAAATATTTAGGAGTAATGTTCCCATAAAATAAATGTAAGGCCTCTATATTAAAATTATTTTAAAAATTTAAGTCAACATTATTGGATTATAATTTACAAACAATAAAATTACATTTTTCTGCATTTCACTCATTTTTAAACAAATGCACAGTCTTGCAACCACCATTTAGTGAGCATTTGCATTACGCCAAAAAGTTCCCAGATACTCTTTTGTAGTGAATCCACCTTCCTCACATCCAGCCAATCTAGCTAACACTATTCCTTTTTATGACCTTATAGTTGTGGCTTTTCCCAACATCATATCAAGGCAATTCTACCATGTGTAGCCTTTTGAACCTGGCTTCTTTCAGTTAGCATAATGTATTTGTGATTCATCCATGACGATGCATGCATCACTACTTATTTCTATATTATTGCTGAAAATTATTCCGTTGGGTGGTGTTCCACAGTTAACTATTTAACTGTTGATTGACATTTGAGTTGTTTCTACTTTTCAGCAATTATGAATAAAGCTGCAATAAACTTTCCCACACAGATTTTTTTTGAACATGTATTTTATTTCTCCACCTAGGATTGGGATAGGTGGGTCAATTGATAACTGCTTTACTTTGTAAAAAAATGAACAAACTAATTTCTAAAATGTCTGTACTGCTTCGCATCATCACTTAATATATAAGTGTTCCAGATATTTCATACTCTCACTAGTATTTGGTCTTATCAGTTGTTTTTTTAGCCAATCTAGTAAATGTGTAATGATATCTCATTGTGGTTTCAGTTTGCATTTCACTAATGACTAATGATAATGAGCATGTTTTCACATTCTTAATGGCTATTTATACATCTTTGGGAAAATTTCTGCTCAAATCTTTTACATAGTTTGGGTTATTTTTTCTTACTAAGTTATAATAGCTCTTTATATATTCCAGATACAAATCTTTTATCAGAAAAGTATTTTGAAAATATTGTTTTCTAGTCTGAAGAGTTATATTGTTATTTCTTTGCAGTGTTCTTTGAAATGCAACCTTTTACTTTTGAGGAAGACATTTACTGATTTAAAAAATTGGTTCAAAATTTTTCAGTTCTAAATAAGAAATTTTTCTTGACCCAAGCTCACAAACATTTTTCTTGGTTTTTATTTCATAAGTATTATAACTTTACGTTTGATATTTCGGTTTATAATCTATTGCAAGTTAATTTTTGCATGGCGCAAGGTGGGATTGAGAATTTTTTGGCCCAAAATGGCCAATTGTGTGAGCACAATTTGCTTGAATGGCTAGTCTTTTACCATTGAACCACCTTGACATCCTTGCTGAAAATTAATTAACCATATACGTGTCGGTCTGTCTTTGGACCCTCTATTTGTTATTGTGCTATATAGGTCTATCCTTGGCCAGTGCCACACTGTAATATATTAAGCAGATTGATAGTAGTGGTTAACATATATGTACAACACAATTACATATAATTGGATACATGTACAAATTACATATAATTATATTAATATAACTTTTTAAATGTTTACATAACTTATAAACTATAAATAATGCATCACATATATTACATAATATATAATAGTTACTTAATCATATATAATTATGTTGTACATGTTTTTATTTTAACTATATATATGCCAAGAAGAGAATATAAACTTATTTCAAGCATGCATTTACAACTGTATTTTTACCAGGTCACAAATAATTTATTTTAAAAACTTTCAAACTTGTTGGTAGCAAACAACTTATTTTGTAATCAAAACCAATAAAAACTGAAACTAAATGAGCTAAGAATTTAGATCAAGAAGCTAGAGAAAGAACCACAAAATAAGCCTAAATTACATAGAAGAGAGGACATAGTAGAGATGAAAGCACAAATTAATATATTTTCTTATGTTAAATATTTTAGGGAATCAAAAAAGTGTGCAGTGTGCAGTTAATTTTATAAGACTGATAAAAATTGATATCAAAAAAGATAAGACAGTAAAAGAAAATTATAGCACATCCTTGCTTATGAATATAAATGTGAATATATTAAATAAATCAAGCAAATCTTATGTAGCAATGTGTGTGTGTCAGTGTGTGTGTGTAAGATGTATCTCCATCAGTGGGATTTACCATGAGAGAGCAATAATATTTAAATTGCTTATCTACTGAATACAGTAAATATTCAGATTAGCTCATTAAATACAGAAAAGTTACTCAATACAGTTCCAAATTTAATAATAATAAAATAACATTTTAGCAAACTGGAATAGAGAGAATTCCCATACTTAATCATAGAATATCTATTAAACATCAACTGTAAACATCTTTATGGTTAAACTTTAGGTATACTGTAATTAATGTAAGAATTGAGACGAAATGTTTACTATTGCCATGGCTATCTAATATTTAACTGATAATTCAAACTCATTAGAAAGGACAAGAAAAAGAGAAGAATAAGAGACAGGAATAAAAGAAAAAGACAAGAATAAGAGATATTAACAGATGAAAGGTTAATACTATTTACATAGAATACTAAAGAGTATATGTTCATAATACATAGAAAATAATCAGAAAATACTATTGCAAGATAATGTAGAAAAAAGTAAAGATAATTGTTAAATATCATGAATATCTGAATAGAAAATGTAATAGAATAATATGAAACATTTATAATAGCACAAAAATTGTAAAGCCCATAGGAATACATAAAACTAAGTAGAAGGATGTATAAGTTGAACTGAAGTAATGGGGAGAAATGTAATATTAGCATATGGGAGGTACTAATATTAAAATAGGAATTCTTCCATCTTTATTAATTTAATGCAATTCTGATTAAAATTACGTACGTTGATAAAAGGGAGAGAGAGTGAGATAGAAATAGAGGTGGAACTTTGGGGAGGCCGAGGCGGGTGGATCATGAGGTCAAGAGACCGAGACCATCCTGGCCAACATGATGAAACCCTGTCTCTACTAAAAATACAAAAAAATAACCAGGCGCGGTGGGGGGCGCCTGTAGTCCCAGCTACTCGGGAGGCTGAGGCAGGAGAATGGCGTGAACCCGGGAGGCGGAGCTTGCAGTGAGCCGAGATCACGCCACTGCACTCCAGCCTGGGCGACAGAGCAAGACTCCGTCTCAAAAAAAAAAAAGAAGAAGAAATACAGGTGGAGAGTTAAAGACAGAAATAGAATGAAACCATAAAGAGTAAAGAAGAAACAGGCATTATTATATGAAAAATTATATAAAAGGAGAAAGCCCTTCCTGATCCAATGCTTGATTGTAATGTATGAATAATCCTATTGCTGTGATATTGGTATAGAAATAAAGAAACAATTCAATGTAACAGATGAAAGTTTTGAGAAACAGCCTGAAGTACATAAAAAGCTTGATATGTGATAGTAATAATATTACAAATCAATAGGGATTAAAGAGGAAATTTAGTGTTTACTGAAATGACTGGCTATCTACACAGATAAAGATTAAATTCAGTTTCTCTTCAAACCATAAAAATAAATTCCATATGAATTAATTACCTCAATATAAGAACAATTACTTTAAAAATATTAGAATAAAACATAGGAGGATATCCTTGAGTTCTCAGGCCTAGAAAGTATTCCTTTGACTTAATATAAATAGCAAAATTTATTTAAAAAGTAGATTAGTAGATGGAGTACCTTGATGTTTAAAATTGTGATCAACAATATCATAATAAACAATAAGGCAGTGACAGAAGATATTGCAAAATATGTAACAGACAAAATTGTTGTTGAGAATATATTGATGATTTCTAACAATTATTATCTTGACTGTGATGATGGCTTCATGGACGTATAGTTTGATCAACACTCATCAAATTATATAATTTAAATTACACATTTTATTATGTGTCAAGTAAGTCTCCATTATGCAGTTAAAAATTAATAGAACAACTTGATAGGAAGACAGCCAAAATATACGAAAAGGCAATTTACTAACAAAAATAAATAAATGGCCAGTAACTATATAAAAAGATACTCATTCTGACTAGCAATCAGAATACACAAATCAGAGTAATGGTGGTTCCATTTCAAAACTGTAAGATTAGCTAAATTAAAATAAAATAGAAGGAAAGGAAACAATATCAAATCTTAGGATGTGCAGTGAAAATACAAAAATCTCATACACTCTTATCTAGATTGTGAAATAGTTCAATCATATTAAAGAAAAGTTTTGCAATATTTACTAAAATTGAAAATATGAATGCATATGAATACCCAAAGACCCAGCAATTTGAATTTCAAGTGCTGGAGAAAACTCTCATATGTGCAACATGGTACACACGTAAATATGTTTATTGGAATAATATTTGCAATAGCAAAAATAGAAACCACTCAAATGTCCACCAAAAGGTGAATAGATGAATACATTATAACAATTTCTAAAGTTAGAGGTTTAGTACAAAACAATAGTTAAATTTAAGAAGAGATCATGAATAAAATGAGTGAATACTTTTTAAAGAAAATTCAGAGTAAAATGATTTAATTAATTTAAAAAACGCAATGCTATACTACATATTATTTAAAGATATGTAGTATCTTTACCACATATAGTATAGCTATATGTGGTAAAAGTACAACATTGGATGGAAAGAGATCCAATTTGTTAAATTTATGATGGTAGCTACTTCTGGGAGACAGGTAAACCGTACTGAGAAGGAGAAATTGAATTTTGAATTTATTTTAAATGTATCTATAATTATTTTTTATTTAATTAAAAACTATGTCCCAGCACGGTGGCTCATGCCTGTAATCCCAACACGTCGGGAGGCCAAGGTGGGCGGATTGCCTGAGCTCAGGAGTTCGAAACCAGCCTGGGCAACGCGGTGAAAACCCGTTTCTACTAAAACACACACACACACACACACACACACACACACAAATGAGCTGGGCATGGTGGCCTGCACCTATTGTCCCAGCTACTCAGAAAGCTGAGGCAGAAGAATTGCTTGAACCCAGGAGGTGGAGAGGGCAGTGAGCGGAGACCGTGCCACTGCACTCCAGCCTCGACGACAGAGCGAGACTCTGTCTCCAAAACAACACCACCACCACCAAAAAACTACTTGTATTTGTGTGTGTCTCTGTGTGTCAAAGCACTGATATTTGTAATATTATTATGTGGACTTTTCTGTGATTTTTAAATATGTTGCTATAACACAGTAATTTTCTATATTTATTAAGCTCAAGATAAGCTATGTTTACAAATGTAAAGCTATTTGTAAAACCGCAAAGCATTTAGTACATGTATACTAAATACATACAACCCATATTTGAACAGAATTTTAAGCAATTGTCATATATCCATCTCCTATCAAGCTTTAAATGATAAATGAATGCACTTCTAAAATGTCTTAAATTTTTTTACTATTTATCTTGTAGTTGTAATTAATAAGTGAATAACAAATCAGTGAGCAACTTACAAGTGCCAATAAATTATGACAATAACAAAATGAAGGAGCAGACGGAGGTGGGAGTGGGAATGTGCATAGATATGTACGCCTTTCCAATGTTCCACATGAGGCTTAACACACTGTCAATACTCAATAAATGTTAAAAAATAATAATACTGGCTACCATCTGCAGGCCAATTTTTAAGTGATAGAAACACACAGGATTGACAGCTCAAAAAGCCAAACTCCCTGACTAATGACTCCTAGCTTGTACAGCATTTCTTAGCTCAGTTAATATTATAAATATTATTTCAATCACCCAGGAAAAAGCCCCCATTTTCCTTAAAACTACTTTCTCCATTGTCATTTGCAAACCCTTTCATAAACACCTGACTTCAGTCGGCTACCCTTCTAAACCATGGTTGACGTTGGTGCCAATGTTTTAAATAAAAAATGCAAATCTAGTTATATGAGTTCCTTGCTCAGAAAAACTGATTATGCTTTGATTGCCTACGGAGATAAACACTTTGTTTTTTTTAACTTGGTATATAAAACTTTCTGAAGTATTGCTTCAACACAAGTTTCTAACATAGTATCATGCAGTATCACTTGAAAAGTTTGCTATTTATTTATTATTTAACTAATATTATCTCAACAAAGAAAAACTAAAACATTTCTCATTTCTTCTATCCTCTTCCCTCCAGGAACAGAGATTAAGTAGGCCTTGGATTATCTAGCTCCAGGCTATTTTCCTCACTAGAAATAACTGGTAGTTATTTTGCACTTCTTGTCTCCAAGCTGAAGGTGGAGCTGATCTAAATCTATTCTCACCATGCACAGTCAGTCTTTTGGAGGGTTAGGCCTTTGAATAAATTAGGTTGAATTATCTACATGGAAGGCCTGGGGACTGTACAAGAGCAGAGTAACCCCAGAAACTGGTTAGGTGTTCTTTTCTTAACAGCTTGATAGAAAATAATCATGTGTTCCTTTAGAAGCTATGGTCAAAGGACTACAGCACTGGAGGACAGTTGAGGACCCCTGTATGTTATATAAATGCAAACCATGAAGGTCATTGTCACACTCCACCAAGAACACAATGTCTAATAAACCAAATAATGCACTAATACTAACAAAAGTAACCCAAGACTTAAGACCTCTCCATATGTTCATATTACTTAGGGTTACGTAATTTCCAGAAGGGGAAAAGAGTCCATTAAAAAATTGATGATTAAATGACACCAGTTAGAAGGCAGAATAGGAAGTCCTAGTCTTCATTCTCCACAGAAATATTGATGTAACAATGATATGCAGATCAAAGTACAGTTACAAGAAGTCTAAAATCAAATTAAGAGATTGTAGTACTCTAACCAAGCACAAAACTGAGAACAATCACATTGAAATGAGTAAGAACAATTTCACTTTACCCGTGTTAACCTTTCCCCGAACTGGCACAGTTCAGTGCTGAGGGAGATTGTCTCAGTCTGCAATTTCTCTCTCAGGGGAAAGAGAGATCGGCGTGCCCATGAAATATCTCTGACCTTTTTGTGCACTGCCTGAGAGGCTGGTTTCTGTCTTGCCTCACGAACACCTGTGAAACTGGCATAGTTCAGAGCTGGCACAGCTCTGCAAGATTGAGAAAAAGGGCAGAAACTGAGGCCTTACCAAGGCCGAAGGGAGAAGAGTAAAGCTTACCTCCAATGCCCTGGCCTCTCCGTGTGTTGCCTGAGGGGCCAGCTTTTGACTCAACCCACACGGACCACTGACAGAATTGACACCATTTGGTGAGGCTTGCTAAGAAAAATGGAATAGGGGTGCATAGCTTGCTGTTTGAGAGACCCTCAGAATCTCTACCCAGGCTTATTGGTGAAGGTTTTCACTATTGAAAACACTTTGTTAAGACTGGGAAAGGTGGCTGCTTATGCAAATGCACAGACACCAAAGCAAAGCTACAGGGAATAGAAAGAAACAGAAACATGACATAAGCAAAGAACAAAATAAATCTTCACTAGCTGACCCTAAAGAAGTGAAGCCCCATGAATTGCCTGTCAAAGAATTAAAAATAATAACCTTAAAGTAGCTCAGTGAGTTACAGAAGAACATAGACAACTAAATGAAACTGGGAAGATAATACATAAACAGAAGAAGAATATTAACAAAAAGAAAAGATAAATAAGAACCAAACAGAAATTAGGGAGCTGAGGAATAAATATCAGAAATGAAAAAATTCAATAGAGGGATTCAAGGGCAGAAATGATCGAGCAAAAGAATTAGTGAGCTTCACACCAGGTGCCTTGACATTATCTAGTCAGCAGAAGAAAAAGAAAACAGAGAATGCAGAAAGTTTAAGGAACTTAGAGGATATCATCAAGTGAACCAATATACACATTTTGGAAGAATCAGAAGGAGAAGAGAATGAGTAAGGAGCAGCAATTTTTTAAAAAGAAGTAATGGTCAAAAACTTCCCAAATCTAGGGAGGGAAATGGGCATGAAAATCCCAGAGTTCAAAAGGACACAAATAGAATGAACCCAAAGAACTCTACCCCAAGGTATAGTATATTCAAATGCCAATAGCCAAAGTCAAAGAGAAAAATAAGAAGAAGAAAATGACTCATCACATACAAGGGAACATCTATAACCCTATTAGCAAATTCTTCAGCAGATATCATGTAGGTCATAAGAAAGTAAAATGATATATTTAAAGTCCTAGGGGTGGGCAGGACCTGCCAACCGATAATATTGAACCTGGCAAAACTTTCCTTCCAAAATGAAAGAAAGATAAAAATATTGCCAGAGAACCAAAACTGAGGGAGTACATCGCCACTAGAATTGTCTCACAAGAAATGTTAAAGGAAGCTCCTCGAGTTGAAATGAAAGGTTGCCAAGCAGTAACATGAAAATATAAACCTCACTAGTAAAGACAAATATATAGACAGAACAGAATACTATAATAGTGATAAAGTTAAAATACAAAAAGTATGAAGAATAACTGTAACTACAGAAATATATGAAATGGATACACAATCTAAAAATATCTAATAGTGATATCAGTAACATAAAGTGTGTGTGCATTGCGGGGGAACTAAAAATGAACGGTTTTTCTATGCAATGAAACTTAACTTTTTATCAGTTTAAAATACACTGTTGTAACTATATTTGATGTAAGCCTCGTGGTAATTACAAAAACAAACAAAACCTACAGAAAATTCAAACAAAAAAGAGAAAAATCAAAGTATAAGACTACGAAAGCCCCAAAGATCACAAATTAAGACAAATAAAGCAAAAAAGAACAAAAGAACTATAAGCCAGGCATAAAGAAAGTAACACAATGGTAATAGTAAGTTTTTACCCATCAACAATTACTTTTAATGCAAATGGTTTAAATTCCCAACCAAAAGAGATAAAGTGATTGAAATAATTTAAAAATCCAACTGTATACGGTCTACAAGATACTCAGTTTAGATTTAAGGACACACATAGGCTCAGAGTAAAGAGAAGGTTATTATATAATGATAAAAGATTCGATTCAATGGGAAAATACAACAATTATAAATACAGGTGACTCGAAATCAGAGTAATTAAATTTATAAATCAAAGATTGACAGATCTGAAGGTAGGAATAGACAGCATTACAATAATCCTAGGAATCTTCAGTACCTCACGTTCTATTATGGACCAAATATCCAGATAGAAAACCAATATGCAAACAGTGAACTTGAAAGAATAGCATAGACCAAATGGACATAACATACACATAGAAAATGCTCTACCCAACAGCAGCAGAATACATTTTCTTCTCAAGTGCACAGGGAATATTCTCCAGGATAAATTACCTGCTAGTTTACAAAATGAATCACAACAATTTAAGTATTTTTAAATTATTCTAACTATATTTTTTGAACACAATCGAATGAAACTAGGAATCAATAACAGAAGAAACATTTAAAATTTTATAAGTATGTAGAAATTTTAAAAACATATATTAAATAACCAATGGGCTAAAACAAAGAAATTCAAAGGGAATATCGAAAATATCTGTAGAGAAACAAAAATGAAAACAGAACATAAACTTATGGGATGCAGCAAAAGCAATACTGAGGTTGAAATTTATGGTGATAAATGCCTACATTTAAAGAGGAGGAAAGATCTCAAACAATCTACTCTTATACTTCAAGAAACTAGATGTAAAATGACAAACTAAGTCCAATAGCATAAGAGAGTAAATAATAAAGATTACAATTGAAATAAAAAAATAGATTAGAAAAACAGTAGAAAAATCCACAAAAATAAGTTTTTTAAAAAATTATAAACCAATTGATAATCCTTTGGCTAGACTAAAAATAAAAAAGAGAAGACTCAAAAATATAAAATAAATAATGAAAGAAGAAATGTTGCAACTGATGCCATAGAAATAAAAAGAGATCATAAGTGACCAGTATAAATAATTATAGGCCAATGAATTGGATAACCTAGAAGCAATGGTAAAAGCCCTAGCAACATATAACCTATCAACACTGAATTATGAAGAAACAGTAAATCTGAAAAGAATAATAATACAGAATGTGATTTAATCAATATTCAAAACTATCTTTTTTTTTTTTTTTTGAGATAGAGTCTCACTCTGTTGCCCAGCCTGGAGTGCAATGGCATGGTCTTGGCTCACTGCAACCTCCATCTCTCAGGTTCAAGCAATTGTCCTGCCTCAGCCTCCCAAGTAGCTGGGACTATAGGCGCATGCCACCACACCCAGCTAATTTTTGTGTTCTTAGTCTCTACTAAGGGTTTCACCATGTTGGCCAGGCTGGTCTTGAGTTCCTGACCTCATGATCTGCCTTCCTCGGCCTCCCAAAGTGCTGGGATTACAGGCATGAGCCACCACATCCAACCTCAAAAATAACAAAGAAAAGCCCAAGCCCAGAAGGCTTCACTGGGGAATTCTACCAAACACATAATGAACAATTAACAACAATCCTTCTCAAACCCTTCCAAAATAATTAGGGAAGAGAGACTACTTCCAAACTCATTTTATGCAGCTAGTCTTACCCTGATACCAAAACCAAACAGACACTGTAAGAAAATAAAACTAGAGGCCAATATTCATGATGCACATAGGAAAAGAAGTCATTATACAAAAAATATACTTGCACATGCATGTTTATAGCAGCACAATTCACAATTGCAAAATCTAGCCCAAATGCCCATCAATCAACAAGCAGATAAAGAAATTGTGATATGTATGTACAATGGAATGCCACTTAACCATAAAAAGGAAAGAATTAATGGCATTCACAGCAACCTGGATGGAGGAACTGGAGACTATTATTCTAGGTGAAGTAACTCAGGAATGGAAAGCCAAACATAGTATGTTCTCACTCGTAAGTGGGAGTTAAGCTATGAGGATGCAAAGGCATAAGAATGATATAATGGACTTGGGGGACTAGGGTGAAAGGGTGGGAGGGAGGTGAGGGATAAAGACTACAAATTGGGTTCAATGAATACTGCTTGGTGACAGTTGCACCAAAATCTCACAATTACTACTAAAGAACTTACTCATGTAACCAAATATGACCTGTTCCCCCAAAACCTATGGAAATAAAAAATTAAACAAAAACAAACAAAAAATATTTTTAGCTTTGCAGGCCATACAGTCTCTGTCACGGTTACTCAAGCTGCCGTTGTAAAGCAGAAGTAACTATAGACAAAAGCCATAGACAATAAGTAAATAAATGGAGATGTATTCCAGTAAAACTTTATTTACAAAAACAAGTGGCGGGCTGAAATTGGCCCAGTACCTGTTAGATCAAGCTTGTTAGTTGCGCTGATAATATATTCTATATCCAATACATTTTTTGTCTGTTCAAAACAATTTTGTAGATCCACAAAAGACCCTGAATAGCCAAAGCAATCTTGAGAAAAATAACAAAGATAAAATCATCACACTTCATGATTTCAAAATATAAAAATAAACTACAGCAATTAAAACAATATGGTACTGATGTAAAATATAGATAGATAGATAGATAGATAGATAGATAGATAGATAGATAGATAGACTGACTGACCAATGGAAAAGAGTAGAAAGCCTGGAAATAAAATCATGCATATATGGTCAGCTAATCTTCTACAAGGGTGTGAAGAATAGCAAGTGGGTAAAGGATAGGCTCTTCAACAAATGGTACTGAGAAAACTTAATGCAAAAGAATAAAATTAAACTCCAATCTTACAATATACACAAAAATCAACTAAAATTGATTAAAGACTTAAAGTAAGACTTGAAACTCTGAAGCTCTTAGAAGAAAACATATGTGAAAACTTCTGCCCAGAAAAGTAATCATTCAACAGAGTGAAAAGGCAAACTAAGTAATGGTAGAAAGTACTTGCAAACAATGTATCTGATTAGGAGTTAATCTCCAAAATATGTAAGAAACTCATATAACTCAATAGCAAAAGAATTCCCAAAAACGTTATTTAAAAATTGGCAAAAGACTTGGATAGACATCTTTCCAAAAACATACAAACAACCAAAAGATATATGAGAAGATACTCAACATCAGTATTCATTAGGGAAATTCAAATCAAAACAACGACACATCACCTCACATCTCTTAGGATGACTGCTCTACGAACAAAGAAAACAAGTGTTGGCAAAGATGTGGAGAAATGAGAATGTTGTATCCTGTTTGTGGGAATGTAAAATGATGCAGCTGCTATGGAAAGCAGTATGGAAATACAACCAAAAATTTAAAAGAGAATTACCATATAATCCAACAATCCAAATTCTGGATACATGTCCAATAAAGTTGAAATCGGGATCTTGAAGAGATATCTAACTCCTATGTTCAATGCAGCATTATTCATAATACCCAAGATAAGGAAACAACCTAATAAAGAAAATGTTGTATATACATTCAGTGGGATCTTATTCAGCAACAAATATGAGAAAATCTTGGCATATAAAACAACATGGATGAAACTGAAGGACATTACACTCATGAAATATATGAGTTACCGAAGAACAAATACTGCATGATTCCATGTGTATGAGACATCTAAAATAGTCAAACTCACAGAAAGAGAAAGAAGAATGGGGGTTTAAACAGCTTGGGGGACAGGGGGAAATGGGAGTTGCTGTTCAATGGGTATGAAGCTCCAGTTATGCAAGATGAATAAGTTCTAGAGATATGCTGTGCAACGTTGTGTCTACGGTTAATGATACTATATTGCATGCTTTCCGTTGGCATTAAAAGTGAGATATCATGTGTACAAATATCATTTATTGAGCTTTTATTAGTTAATAGGTAATATGGTAAGTGCCTTACTTATATTTCCTTCCATAATCCGTATAATAAATGCATATGATGAACTTGAGGGTTAGAAGAATTAAATAATTTGCCTTAGGCCAAATATCTAAGTGGTTAAATCTAAGCGACAAACGTCTGATTCCAAAGATTGTGCTGTTAGTTACTATTGCTTACCTACTGGAGAAGAACTTATCTTCTTTATGGATGCTCTATGCCTCACATTAGTTTCATGTTGGTTTCATACTAACATTAAATACTCAAAATAACAACCCTAAATCTGGCTGTGACCCAATATAAGGTATCTCAGGAGATTGCTGGCCTGGTATCAGAGATTCCAGATGGGAAACTCATACAAGCCGCCTTCCTAGGCCTCCTTTGGCAGCATATATTTCCAATCCCAGATGGAAACTGTAAGTGAACAAAACCAAACTGAACAGCTTAAATTGATTGAATTCAAGTTTCATTTAGTTAAATTTCTAAAAGTAAAAGATTTAAAATAAGTAGATGTGTTTAGTGAGAGCTTTTTGCATGTTGCTTTTAGATTATGAAAGGTAGTCCTCTAAATCCTCATGATGACTGGGTGTGGTGGCTCACACCTGTAATGCCAGCATTATGGGAGACCAAGGCAGGCAGATCACCTGTGGTCAGGAGTTTGAGACCAGCCTGGCCAACACGGTAAAACCCCATCTCTACTAAAAAATACAAAAAGCTAGCCAGGTGTGGTGGCGGGTGCCTGTAATCCCAGCTACTTGAGAGACTGAGCAGGAAAATCACTTGAACCCAGGAGGCGGATGTTGCAGTGAGTTGAGACTGTGCCACTGCACTCCAGCCTGGGTGACAGAGTGAGACTCCATCCAAATAAATAATAAATAAATAAATAAATAAATAAATAAATAAATAAATAAATAAAATCCTAGTGATTAATCAGAAAAATATTACTGTTTGCAATAAATTTCACCCCTTAGATCCACCACTGTTGTGAGTTTTTTCGTATGTGTTTTCCTCATGTGCTTTATCCTTTCTTTACCTAACTATATTTGATAGGCCAGCCATTTATCATCTGATAAGAAGACAAAAGGTTTTCTCCCTTCTCAATTATGAGCTAAACCCAGATGCCAATGAAAATAAGATTACTCATGTATAATTTAACCTTGGCTGTTGACATAGTTTGTATATTTGTTACCACCCAATCCAAATCTCATGTTAAACTGTAATCCCCAATGTTGGAGGTAGGGCCTGGTGGGAGGGGATTGGATTACGGTGGACTTCTCGTGAATGGTTTAGCATTATCCCCTTGGTGCTGTTCTCCTAGTCAGTGAGTTACTCCTGAGATCTGGTCATTTTTAAGTGTGTGGCAGCTCCCTGCCACAGTCTCTTTCTCTCACTCCTGCTTCCCCATATGAAGTGTCTGCTCCCGTTTTGCCTCCTGCCCTGAGTAAAAAGCTCTCTAAGGTCTCCCCAGAAGCAGATGCTGCTGTGCTTCTGTACAACCTGCAGAACCATGAGCCAGTTAAACCTCTTTTCCTATAAATTACCCAGTCTCAGGTATTTCTTTATGGCAATTCAAGAATGGCATAATACAGCTGTAGAGGTTAGTTTCCACCTCAAACTTTCACTTAAACTGTAATATTTGAAGAGATGCTGCAGTAATATCAGAACTAAGAAAATGTTCCCTCTTCCACATCTCACAAATGGAAGGGCATACTATTTACAGTAAAAACACTCCAGGCTAAATCCTTATTCCATCAGTCAACATCTAGCTGTGTTTACTTAAACAATTTATATATCTCTGACTTTTAATCTCAGTGAATAAGATTAAGGTAAAGATGGTTGGGTGGATGGATATAGGTCAGCTTTTATCTAGTAAGCCAATATCTCAGATTTTATTCTATAGAAAAAAATGTTATTTATATAGGAGCTTTTGTTTGTTTTTCTATAAGCCCTGACTTTAATGGCTGTGCCTATGTAATGTGCTGTTTGTGATGACTATGGAAATCCTTGTTTTTCTACCATGAACTTTCTGTGTCCCTGTCTGTGGTCCATGTCCTCATTGGTGATTACTCATTTCTTTGATACTGAATGATTCTCCTTCAGTTGAAAAATATCACATTTTGGAGTTTGGATTTTATAAGAAAATGCACTTCTGTTTAGCAGAACTTGAATGTGTGTGTATAAATAAGTCAAAAATATACTTTACCTAATGCTGTTTCACACCATAGTGCGGGATGTCCCACTAGTCTTAGTGTAGTTTCATGCAATCATTTCATGTACATGATGCAAAGATCATGTGTAAGTCTATACTGGATATGGAAAGCAAAAATTACCGAGTAGAAAATAAAATAAATGGTCATTGACATTTTAAGAAAATTTACCAAAGGCTTCCTTTAAGAGAAGTATCTCAGAATATGAGAGTTGTACCATTATTTTTAAAACATTTTTAAGCAATCTTTCCTTCCTCATACTCCATACTGTTACAGAAAGAATAGAAGCATCTTCCCATAAAATACACGTTATATAGTAAGACAAAATATCAAAATAATTTGAAAGAAGGAACTAATTTGAAAGAAAGAAAGTTATGGAAAATTCATTAACAGTAGTTACTATAATTCAACATTAAATTTAGCTCACAAACTTTTTATTTATTTTTTGAGATGAAGCCTCACTCTGTCACCCTGGTTGGAGTGCAGTGGCACAATCTTGGCTTACTGCAACATCCGCCTTCCGGACTCAAGCTATCCTCCTGCCTCAGTCTCCCTAGTAGCTGGGACTATAGGCATGTGTCACCTCGCCTGGCTAATTTTTGTATTTTTAGTTGAGACAGGGTTTCACCACGTTGGCCAAGCTAGTCTTGAACTCCTGAACTCAAACGATCTGCCTGCCTAGGTCTCTCAAAGTGCTGGGATTACAGGTGTTAGCCGCCATGCCAGGCACAAACATTTTTATGGGGAATATACAGAATTACTGTATACAGAATTGCTTTTAGACTATAAAATATGCCTCCCGGTTTCAAGCAATTATCCTTCCTCAGCTTCCCAAGTAGCTGGGACTACAGTGTTAAGATTCCAGTGAATTTATAATGTCCTACCCCTTTCTGCTACTTAGTGAAAATTAACTACTTCTCTGGATTTGAATTGAAAAATCTTTAACAGGTCTCTGAGGAATAAGTTAAACAGAAGTTTTGCCAAAGGTGAAGGGAAGAAAGGGACAGGTACCTGGGGAGTAAGAGGGATCTATGTGGTAGACTTGAAAAGAGAATTGGACTCCCAGAGGGTAGAGTTTTGAAAGTGTCAAAGGATTTATGGCTGACAGGAACTTACACTCTATTCCCACCCAGAGAACGGACTGGATAACCTGGAGAGATACAGGCCAATGCATGAGGAGTCTAGCTTTAACATCTTGCAAGTACCAGTAATTATGCCTTTGGGCTTAGTCTTTGAGAAATAAAAGGCAAAGAATTGGCATTCAACAGTGGCAGCTTACAGCAGAAGCAGCGGAGCTAACCATGGCTATGACAATAGCAAAAGGATCATGCATTTCCCTATTATCCCAACACCAAACATTGAGGAGCACCATGAGTAATAATGGATATTCTGCTTTTTTGGATGATGGGGTCTCAGAGCCAGGTTTAAATTAATCTAAAAAAAAACAATTCAGTGTTTCTCACATCCAGGTTATATAGAATAAGTTCATGCATGCTACATATAAAATGAGTTATATCATCATAAAAGTTTCCTATTGAAATTACGTGTGGTCTACCAAAATGTTAAATCCCTGCCATCTGTGGATCTGTTTAAGTATTTTTGAAAACAAGCTGCTCTGAAAGCTTTAGAAAGTGGAGGCTTTAAGTAGAAATCTTGTTTCCAAAGATGAATTATTTTCATTTTTGAATATTCAGCAAAAACTACAGAATATCTTGTAGCAGAAAGACTGAGGAGAATATGGACTCTAATTTGAATATCAATAGCTTTTTCATGTGGGTGTCTGAATATCTTTGCTTCATGGCAAACTATTTGCATAACCACCCACCAACCCAACTACTACGATTAAATCCCATTATACTTTCCGTTAAACAAATTCTTAAACCACATTTCCTTCAAATCTTTATGTAGATATCAAGACAGTCTGGTGCTAGACATCTACATAGGAAATATTTAAATTCCAGAAATCTGTCACTAGCATTTTTGTATAATCCTTCATAAATATTAATTATCTCAATTCAGCAACAAAATGGTAGTAAAAAGATTAATAATCAATTTTTGGACAATTACTGCTTTCTGGACTTTTTAACAGTGAAGAGATGTGAAGATTTAAGTAAACATATTTTGAGTATGCTACATATAAAACATCACTGTATTAGGCTACTCTTGCACTGCTATAAAGAAATACCTGAGACTGGGTAATTTATAGAGGAAAGAGGTTTAATTGGCTTATAATTCTGTAGGCTGCACAGGAAGCATGGTGCCAGCATCTGCTCAACTTCTGGGGAAGCCTCAGGTGGATTTAACTCACAGCAGAAGGCAAAGCAGAAGCAGGCATGTCACATGGTGAAAGTGGGAGCAAGAGTGGAGGAGCAAGAGCACACACTTCAAAATAACCAGATCTCATGTGCACTTGCTCACTACCATGACAGCACCAGGCCATGAGGGGTCTGTTCCTATCCCATGACACAAACGCATCCCACCAGGCCCCACCTTCAACATTAGGGATTACATTTCAACATGAGATTTAGACAAATATCCAAGCTATAGCAATCAGCAAAATATTATTTATAATATTTCATTGTATAATGAGGAGCAAACCTCAAAAGCAGTATTTGCACTTTTGAGAACTCTTATTTGATACTTCAAAGCTACTGGCCTCATTTTTCTCCGGTTTATACCTCTGCCATGTGTACTGGCTTTGCATGGATTCTGTAGCATCTTGCTTCATCCCTATGTCATGAACCTCTTGCTTTCTGCCCTCAGGGCCACCCTGTTGATTGAAAGGCTTGAGAAACAGTAGAACCTAGCTAATAACCCACAAGACATAAGTGAGAAGTACTAGATCTTGGGTGAAATTTTGGTAAATGGTGAAAAAAAAAAAAAAGGTAAGTACTTCTTACTCATCCTGCCCCTTCTTAACATAGACTGCCTTGGGATGGGTTTGTGCAGCTCCGTGGTGGCTGGTATATCTGCAATCAATTGCATTTAGCAGCAGCCAAATCAATAGCATGTCCAGGAATTGGTTTTTTCTTTGCTTCACTCACCTTTTCCCTCGCTGCTGCTTCCTGGTATTGCACTTCTCAATAACATCATCTCACATAAGACGCTCTCAGGCTCTGCTTTTTGTGGAATTTGCTTTCAGGCTGAGTGAAAACAAAACACAGAACTTATCCCCATTACTTCTAGAAAGAAAACTTGGCTCCTACACTTTGAGGATTGAAACACAACATGGCCTTTGCATAGTAATGAAAGCAATGCTTCTTCCTTTTGATCCTTCATATGTATGAAGCTTTAAAGAGAAAGCTACAGTGCACTAGTTAGGAAATCAGTTTTCTTAAGGGGGAAACCTTCTGCAGTGGAAGCAGACTGGAGTCACTAGAAAGTAAATATGTGATTACTGAGATATTGTGTATTAAAGGTAGGGCAGTAATAATGGAGAATTTGTACATTACCTGTATTTCAGCAACACAAAATTAGTTGTTTCCTCAATACTAGTACTATCCTTCCTTCTCCATATAGACCTATAAATATCCCATTTATAATTCAAGTTCCTATTGTAATTCTATTGTAGAAGCTGGCCTGATTCAATGGCCAGCATAGTCATTTGCAAACAAATTAGGAATTCCCAATCCAAAAATATATTCTTAATCTTATAGTTCTCCAAATGTACGGTCACCAAAATTGCATGCCAAACAGGATCCAAAAGCCTTTCTGTAAAGCATCATAACTCACTTAACCCTTGCAACTCCTTCTTATGTCTTAGTCTATATTTTTTTTCCCAGATTTCACACCCAAGTAGCAAGGAAGGACAAAAGAATATTTCTAGAGAACATAGGGAAAGGGCTCCTTGACATTCATCTTGGTGATGACTTTTTGAATATCACACTGAAAGCTCAGAGGATAAAACCAAAAATAAATAAATGGGGCTATGTTAAAATAAAAAGCATTTGCACAGCAAAGGAAAAAAATCAACAAAATTAAAAAGCAACCCACAGACTGAGAAATAATACTTGTAAACCAGTATCTAATGAGAGGCTAATATCCAAAATTTACAAATAACTTATTATTCAATAATAGAAAAACAAAAAACCTAATTTAAAAATGGGCAAAGTACCTGAACAGACATTTCTCCAAAGAGAACCTAAAAAAATGGCTAACAGGTATATGAAACTGTGCTCAACATCACTAACCACCAGAGAAATTAAGACCAAAATGACTATATCACCTTACCACAGTTAGGGTGGCTATTATCAAAAGACAAGAGATAACAAATGTTGTCAAGGGTATGAAGAGAAAGAAACTATTGCAAACTGTTGATGAGAATGTAGATTGGTGCAACAGTTATGGAAATCAGTATGGATGTTCTTTAACAAACAGAACTACCATAAGACCCAGCAATCTCTCTTCTGGGTATGCACCCAAAGGAGATAAAATCACCATTTCGTAAAAATATCTATACCCTTATGTTCATTGTAGCATTGCTAACAATAGCCAAGACTTAGATACAACCCAAGTGTTTATAGATGAAAAAATGGATAAAGAAAATGTTTTATGTATATATATATATACACACATTATTCAGCCATAATTTGACACAATGTGGATTGCCATGGAAAACATTATGCTAAGTGAAATAAGGCAGGCACATAAAGAAAAATGTTGCATTATTTCACTTATATGTGGCATATTTTTCAAAACATCAAATATACAGAGAAAAAGAATAAAACAGTGGTTATGAGGACTGACTTGGGTGTGGGAGGAGATGGGGAGATGTAGTTCAAAGGATACAAAGTATCGGATACATAGGATAATCAAGTCTAGAAATGTACTACATGAGGACTATAGTTAATACAATTGTTTGTATTAGGAATTTTTTTTTAAGTAAACAGATTTGAGCTGCTCTTCTCATAAAAATGTAACTATGTGAGTTGATTGATATTAAAATTTCCTTCACTATAGTAACCATTTTACTATCAATATGTACCATAACATTATGTTGTAAACCCCAAATATACACAATAAAATTTATTAACCAAACAAACCAGAACATTTATCTTCTGTTCTATTTAAGAATAGAGACTTCGCTCACCTTTCGTTACTTTCTAAAGAACCTTTGGGAACTCACAGTCTCTGATAGGCTAAAAGTTGTTCTAATCGCCACCAAGATACTCATGTCCAACTTCTTAGAACCAATGAATGCAAAAGAGGCTTTGCAGATGAGATATAGTTAGGAATTTTTAGGTGGGGAAATCATTGTGAATCGTTCACCTGGGCCTAATGTGATCACAAATGTCCTTATGAGAGGGACGTAGGAGGAGTCCGTGCTAGAGAGAAGGCCATGTAATGATGAAATCAGAGAACGAAATTACACGTTTTTGATGGAGGAAGGAGTCACTAGTCAATGTATTCAGATAGCCTCTAAGAGCAGGAAATCCAAGGAAATCAATTCTTTTCCAGAACCTTCAGAGAGAATCAGCCCTGCTAACACCATGACTTTATACCATAGCAGCTGATTTTGAACTTTTCACCTCCAAAACTTCAAGAGAACACATTTGTGTTGCTTTAAGTCAACACGTTTCTTGCACGTTGTTACAGCAACAGGAGGAACTAATATTACAAATTTTGTTAACTGACAGTGGGGTGCTGCTTGACAAATTCTTAAATGTGTGAAGTGCCTTTTAATTTAGGTAATGGATATAATGGAAGAATTTAGAGGGGCATGATAGAATAAACCTGTATTACCTCAGAAAACATATAAATCATTGTAAACATGCTGTTGATAAAAATATGGACTTCAAAGGTGATGGTGGGGAGGACTTAGGAAAAAATAAGCAACATGTTATTAGAAAAAGGAAAAGGGATCTTTTTTGTCGAGCTAACAGTATTTTTATGTGGCAAATGCTGCTGAATTATGTTCTATAGCTATGTGAAAGGCAGAACTTGTAAGCGATAGACTTAGATATTTAGCTGAGGAGATGTGCCAGCAGATTGTTGAAGATACAGTCTAGTTTCTTCTTGCTTATAGTAAAATGTGATAGGAAAGAGATAAAGAGATGGGGAAAATAGGCGAAAAGGAACCAGGAAGTGATGATTTGAAAATCCTCAGTCTATCCAGATTTCAAAAGACACTAATATTAGGAGAGTCACTACTAAGAAGGTGTGGCTGATAAAATTTTGCTAGTGCTGCAAAGGAAAAAAAGTTCATAGTATTCGTTCACATGGAGGGCTGGTTGAATAGGCATGTAACTCATGCATACCTTAAACTGTCACAAGAGAAGCCAAATATAGAGATGTGTTTATCTAAGAAATGCCTATAGAGGAACTTCCTATTTAATACAGTGAATACTCATGAAATGCATAGGAGACAGACAAGGCTTTTGAGAATTCCAAACCTGCAAGCTTGGACTGAACAAGACAAGGAAGATAACTGCATTTGATCTTAGCCAAAGGCCAAGAAGCAATGGAACAAGAAAAAGATGAAAGAAGATTGTGGAACTCCACACATTTCATAGACAAAAAGCAGGACAATAAAACTACTCATCTCAAAATTTGTGAGGCCCTTCATGAAAAAGGAAAGAGGAACTTCCAGTTTTTATCCCAGCATGTAAGAAGCTTGGAAATTGTCACCAAATACTAACAAGAAGTAAAAACCTGAACATTACTGAAAAATCAACTTTTCTTAGATCCATTAGAAAGGTGAGATCACAGGGCAAACCATGACCTCCAAAAACGGAAGAAACAGATGGATTCAGAGGATCACAATTACTGAGCAGAAACCTCTACTGGAACCTGTAATAGGGTAGAAAAACCAAACTGTAATTAATACATTGGATCAGTCTGGACAAGTCAAAGAGTTAAAAACTACAGGAAGGCTAAGTCGTAGGGGAACCACCACACTTTTATGAGTTTCACATTCAGGAGTTATAGCAGATTCCCATAGTAAAAATAAGAGAAAAATCCCCTTTTGCTCCTAGCAGCAAGAAGAAACATGTAACCATATTGAAAAATGCCAGAGCATTCTGTTCTTCTTAACAAGGCCTACCCCAAGAAACATTGTTTTATCAGATTCTAATGTATTGAGGTTGTGTCAGAGCCTAACTGATCCGGAAGAGGAAATGCCCAACTCTAGCCCATATAGTATTTAGAGAGGGAAGGAAAATAATTAAACCCAGGTGCTCCTGGCCATCCTGTCCCATCTAAAGGGTGTGAAAACTGAAAAGCACTTGTGATGTTTACAGCTCAAAGACACAGATTCACTAAAAGATTAGGCTTAATTATAGGACTATAGAAAACTTCCCTTGCCCCACAACTTACGGCCACATCACTAAAGACCTATTTACCAAAGTTTATTTTACCTGGTATATCGTGCTTGGCTTTCAACAGAAAGTTACAAGGCATATTAAATGGCAAATAAAACAAAATAAAAACACACTTTGAAAGGCCACAGCAAGCAACAGAACCAGACTGAGGCAGAGATGTTAGAATCCCTGTCCTGGGAGAACTATGAGTAATATGGTAAGAGCTCTAATGGAAAAGTAGACAACACGCCAGTACAGATGGGCAATATAAGCTGAAAGATGGAAATTCTGAGAAAGAATAAAAAAGAAATGCTAGACATTAAAAACACTGTAACGGAACTAAAGCCTTTGGTGGGCCCATTAGTAGACTGGAAACTGCCAAAGAAAATAATTTCCTTAAGCTTGAGGGTATCTCAATACAAGTTTTTTTTTGTTTGTTTCTTTTTTTGTTTTGTTTTTTTTTTTTGTATTTTTAGTAGAGCCAGAGTTTCACTGTGTTAGCCAGGATGGCCTCGATCTCCTGACCTTGTGATCCACCCGCCTCAACCTCCCAAAGTGCTGGGATTACAGGCGTGAGCCATCACGAAAGTTCATGGGTACATGTGCAGGTTTGTTACATAGGTAAACTCATGTCATGGAGGTTTGTTGTACAGATTATTTCATCACTCAGGTATTAAGACTAGTACCCATTAGTTATTTTTCCTGATCCTCTCCCTCCATCCACCCTCCACCCTCTGAAAGGCCTCAGTGTGTGTTGTTCCCCTCTGTGTGTCCATGTGTTCTCAATATTTAGCTCCCACTTGTAAGTGAGAGCATGCAGTATTTAATTTTCTGTTTCTGTGTTAGTTTGCTAAGGATAATGGTCTCCAGCTCCATCCATGTTTCTGCAAAGGACATGATCTGATTCTTTTTTATGGCTGCATAGTATTCCATGGTAGATATGTGCCACATTTTCTTTATCCAGTCTATCATTGACGGGCATTTAGATTGATTCCATGTCTTTGCTATTGTGAATAGTACTGTAATGAACATATGTGTTCATGTGTCTTTATAAGAAGACTGATATTCCTTTGGGCATATATCCAGTAATGGGATTGGTGGGTCAAATGGTATTTCTGTCTTTAGGTCTTTAAAGAATTGCCACACTGTCTGAACTAACTTCGCCACAATGGCTGAACTAATTCACACTCCCACCAACAGTGTATAAGAATTCCTTTTTCTCCACAACCTTGCCAGCATCTGCTATTTTTTGACTTTTTAATAATAGCCATTCTTACTGGTGTGAGTTGGTATCTCATTATTTTGATTTGCATTTCTCTAATGATCATTGATGTTGAGCTTTTTTTCATAGGATTAATGCCACACGTATGTCTTCTTTTGAAAAGTATCGGTTCATCTCCTTTGCCCACTTTTTTTATGGGATTGTTTGTTTTTTCTTGTGAATACAAGTTTTCAAGACTAAAAGCAAAAAGAAAAATATTCTTTAAAATAACGGAATGTCTGAGAACTGTGGGACAAATACAAAAGGTGTAACATATTCATGAAGGGTATCCCAGAAAGAAAAAAAACATAAAGAGAAAGGAATGGGAGGAATATTTGAAACAATAATGACTAAGACTTCTACAAATTAATGCCAGACACCAAATTACCGATCCAGAAATCTCAGATAACACCAATCAGGATAACTAAAAAAACAAAAAACAAGAACAAAAAAAAAACCAACAAACAAAAAAAACCTACATCTAGGCATGTCATTTTCAAAATGCAGAAAATCAAAGATAAATTTTAAAAATCTTGAAACAAAAGGATAAAAACACCTTACCTACAGAGGAGTCAAAGATAAGAATTATAGCCAAGATCTCCTCAAACATCATGCAAATATAGAGAGGAGGCTGAGGTGGGAGGATTACTTGAGCCCTGGGGTTTAAGACCAGCCTGGTCAATATGACAAAATTCTGCCTCTACAAAAAATACAAGGATTAACTGAGTATAGTCACAGCTGCTTAAGAGGCTGAAAGGTAGGAGAATTGCTTGAGCCTGGGAAGTTGAGGCTGCAGTGAGCCGTGATCATACCACTGCACTCCAAGCTGGGTGAAAGAGTGAAACCCCGTCTCAAAACAAAACCCCAAAACAAATAAACAAACACAAACACCAAGCTACAATTCTGTCTCCTGCAAAAATATCTTTTGAAAGCGAAGGAGAAATAGACTTTTCAGACAAACAATAACTGAAGGAATTTGTTGCCAGGAGATCTGCCTCACGAAAAATGGTAAACAAAATTCTTCAGACAGAAAGAAAATTATATTGGTCAGAAACTTGAACCTACATTAAGAATGGAAGAACATTAGAAAAGGAATAAGTGAAGATGAAATAAAACCTTTCATTTTTCTTATTCTTAATTGACTTAACAGATAGTGCTTGCTCAAAATAGCAGTAATAACCATATGATGATTATAGCATACATATGAATGAAATTAATGATGGCAATGATATAAAGGATAGGAGAGAAGAAATAAGAATATTTTGTTATTATGAGATACTTGCACTACACATGAAGCAGTAAAGTGTTATTTGAAAGTGGGGACTTGGATTTGGATTTTTAGTAATTGTTTATTGCAAACTAGGTCAACTACTAAAGAAGTATAACTGATATGCTAAAAAATGAGAAAATGGTGTTATATAAAATAATTAAAACACAAAGAGCAGAAAAGGAGTGGAAGACAGACAGAAACAAAGAACAAAGGCAACTAGTAGAACTTCATTTGACAACAGTAGAATATCTATTCTTCTCAAAGTCGCATGTAACATTTATCAAGATCACATTCTGGGCCATAAAACATACCGTAACAAGTTGAAAAGAATATAAAATTACATACATCAGGTTTTACCCCTAAAAATGTGACTTTGGAGAAAAACGATTATCATCTATAGGATCTATGATGTTAAAGATTAAATCATATTGGAATTCCCCCATTGTGACTGCTGCATATTTGACATACAATATATATCTGCCAGATGAATGATTTTTTAAAAACAGGCAATATCTGTTCTGAGTCTGCAACATAATTAAAATAGAAACCAAAACCAGAAAGATAGTTGGAAAATTCCAAAACACTTTGATTGAGCAGCACAATTTTAAATAACACATGGATAAAAGAAGAATCCTTAAAAAAATTAAAAAACATTTTGAACTAAATAAAATGAAAATACAGCTTATCAAAATTTGTGGAATGCTGTAAAAGCTGTGCTTAGAGGGAAATATATAACATTTAATGCATTTTTAGAAAACTAAAAAGATTTAAAATCAATGCTCTAAGCTTCCACTCTAGGCAATCTGAAAAATAAAAGCCAATTGCAACCCAAGTAAGCAGGAAAAAAGAAATAACAAAAATTAGAGCAGAAATCAATAAAACTAAAAATAAGAAATAGAGAAAAATTGATGAAACCAAAGTTGGTTGCTTGAAAGATTAATAAAATATATAAGCCAGACTAAATAAGAAAAAAGAGAGAGAGGACACAAATTACTAATATCAGAATTTAAAAGGGGGAAATCATTACAGGTTCCATGGACCTTAAATTATAATAAAATATAGTATGAACAATTCTTTGCCAACAAATTTGACAATCTAGATGAAGTGGACAAATTTTCTGAAAGACACAATCTGTCAAAATTCACATAAGAAGAAATTAGTAGACTATGTAAATATGCCTGTAACTATTGAAAAAATTAAATTCATAATTAAATATCTTCTGAAACAGAAAGCATCAGGCCCAAACAGGTTCGCTGGTAAATTCTAGCAAACATTAAAAAAAATTATCTGCAATCCCTTCCAGAAGATAGAAGCCAAGCGGATGCTTTAAAAAACATATATTTCGTTTCAGATTCAGGGAGTACATGTGCACAATTCTTTTACATGAGTATATTGCATAATTGTGGGGATTGGGATTCTAGTGTACCTGTCACCCAAATAGTAAATATTATAGACAATAGGTATTTCAAATCTTACTCCCCTCCCAGTTTTCTCTGTTTTGGAGTCACCAGGGTCTATTATTTCCTTCTTTATGTCAATGTGTAGCCATTGTTAGCTCTCACTTGTAAGTAAGACCATGTGATACTTGATTTTCTGAGTTATTTCACTGAGGATAATGGCCTCCAACTTTAGCCATGTTGCTGCAAAGGATATAATTTCATTCTTTTTTAATGGCTTCATAGTATTTCATAAGAATACTTTCTAACTCACTCTATGAGGCCAGCATTACCCCAATACCAAAATCAGAAAAAGACATTGCAAGAAAAGTAAGCCAAAGACCAATATATCTCATGGACACAGATGCAAAACTTCTCAACAAAATATTAGCGTATCAAAACCAACAATGTATTAAAATAATTACACACTACAACCAAGTGGAATTTATTCAGGTAGGTACAACTGGTTAAACATTTGGAAATCAATGAATGTATTCCTTCATATTAATAGTCTGAAGAATTTTTTAAAATCATATGATTTCAATTGATGCAGAAAGAACATCTGATAATATCCAACGCCCCTTCACAACAAGAACTCTCAGTAAACTAAGAATAGACGCAACTTATTCAACTTGACAAAGAATATCAACATATAAACTTGCTGTTATCATCATAGTTAACGGTGGGAAACTAGGAGCTTTCTAATTAAGATCAGGAATAAGACAAGGAATAAGGCAAGTCCCCTTTTATATGCCTTCTCAACATCATAGTGGAAGTCATAGGTAATGAAATAATACAAGAAAAAGAAGCAGAAAATATACAGATTGAGAAGAAAATAAATAGAACTGTCTTTGTTTTCATATGTCGTGATAACCTGTGTAAAAAGTCCAAAAGAATTGAAAAAAATCTCCTAAAACTGATAAGCAATTATAGCAAGGCCGCAGAATACAACGTTGATACATAAAATTTAGTTGTGTTGCTATATACCAACAATGAACAAGTAGAATTTGAAGTTTAAAACACAATACCATTTGCATTACTGCCCCTCAAAATGTAATACACAGGTATAAACCTAACAACATATGTACAAGATCTATATAAGGAAAATTATAAAACTTTGATTAAAGAAATCAAAGAACTGAATAAATGGAGAAATATCCCATGTTCATGTATAGGAAGGAAAAATATTGCCATGATGCCAGTTCTTCCCAATATCATCTATATAGATTTAATGCAAACCCAATAAAAGAGCAAGAAGAAGCTGGGATTTAAAGAAGAATTTTTATGTTAAAAAAAAACCTTTTGGGCCGGGCGCAGTGGCTCACGCCTGTAATGCCAGCACTTTGGGAGGCCGAGGCTGGCGGACCACAAGGTCAGGAGATCGAGACCATCCTGGCTATCACGGTGAAACCCCGTCTCTACTAAAAATACAAAAAATTAGCCGGGCGTGGTGGCGGGCGCCTGTAGTCCCAGCTACTCGGGAGGCTGAGGCAGGAGAATGGCGTGAACCCGGGAGGCGGAGCTTGCAGTGAGCCGGGATCCCGCCACTGCACTCCAGCCTGGGCAACAGAGCAAGACTCTGTCTCAAAAAAGCAGCAAAAACAACAACAACAAAAATAAACAAACAAACAAAAAACCAAAAAACCTTTTGTTCTGTGAAAGACCACTGTCAAAACAGTGAGAAAACAAACCGCAGTCTGAGTGAAAATATTGGCAAAAGACATATGCGATAAAGGACTATTATCCAAAATATACAAAGGACACTTCAAACTCAACAAGAAGAAAATAAACAACCTGATTAAAAATAGGCAAAAGACCTGAACAGGCAACTTACCAAAAGATGTACAGATGGTAAATGTGCATATGAAAAGATGTGCAACATCATATGTCATTAGGAAATTATAAATTAAAACAATAATGAAATGCTACTACACACCTATTAGAAAGGCCAAAATCTAACATACTGATAACACAAAATGCTGGAGAGGATATAAAGCCACAGGAGCTCTCAGTCATTGCTGGTGGGAACGTAAAATGATACAGCCATTTTAGAAGACAGTTTGGTAGTTTCTCACAAAACTAAGCATATTCTTACCGTATGATCCAGTGAATGGAAAATTACTTCCACACAAAAACCTGCAAACAGATATTTATAGCAACTTTATTCCTAACTGCCAAAATTTGAAAGCAATCAAAATGTTTGCCAGTAAGTGAATGGATAAATAAACCATGACAAATACAGACAATAAAATATTATTTGGCACTAACATGTAAAGAGTTATCAACCTGTGAAAAGACATGAAGGAAACTTAAATGCATATTAGTAAGTGAAAGCAAATTCGAAAAGGCTGCATATCCTATGATTCCTTCTGTATGCCATTCTGGAAAATATACACCTATGGAGACATTATAAAGTTCAGGAATTCCCAGGGGTTGGGAGCAGGGCGGAATGAACAGTTAAAGCACAGAAAATTTTTAGGTCAGTGGAAATACTCTGTATAATGGTTGGTACATGTCATTATGCATTTGTTACAACCCACAGAATGTGCTACACCAATAGTGAACTCTGTTGCAAACTATGGAGTCTGGGTAATATAATGTGTGAATGGAGTTTTACTAATTCACACATTAATGTAACTAATGTACCAGTTAGTGAGGGATTTTAATAGTGCCAAGGCTGCACATGTGTGGGAGAAGGGCATGTATAGGAACTATCTGTACTTTCCATTCAATTTTTCTGTGACCCTAACAGTGTGTCAAATGATGAAGAACAATGTGTCAAATGTAGAAAAGAAAATAAGAATGGACTCGGAAGATGAATCTATGAGTCCACGTGGTGAAGTCAGAGCTACAGAAGATTATTTCCAGGCCTTCAAACTTAATGAAGTGGGCCTGGTTGAATTTTGAAATTACTTGGGATCAATAACTCTTTTCTTCTTTCTATTGCCTCCCTTTTGGAATCGGAACATATAGCTATTGTTCTATGCCTGCCCCACCACTGTAATTTGGAAACAGATAACTTGTTTTGTGGTCTCACAGATCTAGAAATGAAGTTAAATTTTTGCCTCAGAATAGATTATACCCAGAATTTCAACACACCTGATTTTGATGGAAGTATTTTGCATGTGAGATGCTTGTGAATCTTTGGGGGCCACAGGACAGGCCTAAATAATGCCCCTTTTAAGGTGCCTACATCCCAATCCTCAGGACCTGTGAATGTTAACTTATATGGCAAAAAGACTTTAATGATATAATGAAGTTAGAGATTTTGAGATGAAGAGAATATCCTGGTTTATCTAGATGGGCTGAATATAATCACAAGGGTTCTTATAAGTGATATGCAGAAGGAATCAGAACTAGGGAGAAGGTCATGTGGTAATGGAAGCAGAGATTAGACTAATGCATTATCAAGAGGATTCATTTCGGCCAGGTGTGGTGGCTCACACCTGTAATCCCAGCACTTTGGGAGACTGAGCCAGGCAGATCACCTGAGGTCAGGAGATCGAGAGCAGCCTGACCAACATGGAGAAACCCCATCTCTACTAAAAATGCAAAAAATTAGCCGGGCGTAGTGGCGGGCGCCTGTAGTCCCAGCTACTTGGGAGGCTGAGGCAGGAGAATGGCGTGAACCCAGGAGGCGGAGCTTGCAGTGAGCCGAGATCGCGCCACTGCACTCCAGCCTGGGCGACAGAGCGAGACTCCGTCTCAAAAAAAAAAAAAAAAAAAAATCAGCCTGGCTAGCATGGTGAAACCCTGTCTTTGCTAAATATACAAAAATAGCTGGGCGTGGTGCTGCATACCTATAATCCCAGCTACTTGGGAGGCTGAGGCAGGAGAATCACTTGAACCCGGGAGGCAGAGGTTGCAATGAGCCGAGATGGTGCCATTGCACTCCAGCCTGGGCAACAAGAGTGAAACTCCGCCTCAAAAAAAAAAAAAGTCTCACTTTATATGTCAATTTGTCTAGGTTGCAGTGTCCAGATGTTCATTCAAACACCAGTATAGATGTTGCTGTGAAATATTTTTTAGAAGTGATTATCTTTTAAATCAGTAGACCTTGTATGAAGCAGATTATTCTTCATAGTGTAGATGCACCTCATCCAGTCAACTGGAAACTGTAACAGAAAAAGATGGAAGTTTCCTCAAAAAAGAAGAAATTCTGCTTCCAGACCACCTTCACATTTGAGACTACAACATTCACTCTTCCTTGAGGTTCCAAGCTGCTGGCTGGCCCTGAAGATCACAGATTTGCTGACCCCACAGCTGCATGAGCCAATTCCTTTCTCTCTCTCTCTCTCTCTATATATATATATACATAGGATATATATTACATATTAATATATATCTCTATAAGTTATACATAATATGGAGAAATATATTATATAATATATATTTACTTCCAAGTTTTGTTTTGAATATATGTATATATTTATTATATATATGTATGTATTTTTATCCTATTGGTTCTGTTTCTTAAGGGATCGCTAATACAGTGACATAAACCAAAAAAAAATAGGCAATCTCTACAAGCTGCAAAAGAAAAGGAAAGATTGCCTTGTCCCCTAAAGCCTCCAGAAGGAATCAGTTCTGTTAATACATTGAACATAGCCCAGTAAATCTAATTTTGGACCTGTGGACTTCAGAACTGTAAGAGAATATTTATGTGCTGTCTTAGCCCCCAAGTTTGTGATAATTTGTTACAGTAGCTATAGAAAACTAATACAGGTTCTTATCTTCATTTTATTAGTAAATTATTCCTGTTTTAACATTTTTTGAGGTAATAATACATCTCCCCTTTTTAAAATGACAAGTATAAGTGATTCAACTTGTATCTCACTGTACATTATTTCAGCCTACCTTTGTACTCCAGTTTGTGCTATGTCAACCTCCTGTTGCAGGTGTAATCCATGGCATCTTATGTCACCCGTTACGGAGTAACTTTACTTCCCTTCCTGTGCTTCTCTTCCACTGCTCTGTGAGACAATGGCCAGAAGCCTGTTACCTATTCAGACATGGGGGAAATCTGTTAAGCCCCATATGGCTACTGTGAATCAATGAGAGATGGGAACCAGTGGATAAACTCTTCCTTTTTCTAAAATTCAAGGGCAATAAATACACTTTCTGCATGGTTCCGCCAAGGCACCTAGCACAATGTATCACTGGTTGTCCGCTGTGATGATTATCATGATAATTTGCTCTTAGATTGGCTTGCTTTCTTGCTTTTTAAAAATCCTTTCCACCCTCACTTTTATCTCTTGGGATCACTTCCAAAAACAAACTATCTTTAGTAAGCCATTATTTCACACCTGATTTGGGAGGGAACTAGTCTTACCTGTCTAGTAACAGAAGAGACTGTAGACAGCTTACTATTAAGATGGGATTCTACAACTAACACACTCATCAGTCGGACAGCAGTAAGGACCGTGTTGCTGTTAGGAAGTGTGCGATGCCAACCCCTGCATGCCACACTATTGTCTTCACTAAGAGTTTTACCAGTGGAACCGGGATAAGGTACACACAGAATGTGAAGCTTAAGCTTCTGAGGTAGTTTTAAGTGGTGGCGTTTAAGTCATAAAGAGGTGACAATAATTTTATACATTGTGATTTGACCAGATTTTATTTACAGCTTCAAATCCAAGATTAAAGCAACAGACTCAGGTAATTATGTTGTAAAAATAAGAAAGCCTCCATGGCAAATATTTAAAAAGGACCCTCTTTGGGAGGCCGAGGCGAGCAGATCACAAGGTCAAGAGATCAAGACCACCCTGGCCAACTTGGTGAAACCCCGTCTCTACAAAAATACAAAAATTAGCTGGGCGTGGTTGTGCGCGCCTGTAGTCCTAGCTACTCGGGAGGATGAGGCAGGAGAATCACTTGAACCCAGGAGTCAGAGGTTGCAGTGAGCTGAGATCACGCCACTGCACACTCTAGCCTGGTGACAGAGAGAGATTCCGTCTCAAAAACAACAACAACAACAACAAAAGACCCTCATCTCTTGCAGCTACAAGGCAGAGGCCCAAGTTCTAATTAATTACAAAGGTAGCAAAGCTGCAGAGGAAACTAATTGTATAACCTTTAAAGTTCTCTTATGTCAAAGGCAAGGCGTGGATAGAAAAAGAATGAGACTGCAGTGGGGACATTTGATTGGATAAGCTTAGAACCTTAGACCTCCAGATTCTCCTGAGCCCTTTGGCCTAGAAGAAGCCATTTCCTCTCACTTGTAACAGAAGAGATGCCTCCAGTTCCCTGGGTTCTTGCACAGACAACTGAGGGACTTGCCTTGAAAGATCATCTTTGTTTTCATCAGGAATGCCTCTGCTTCCCTTCATTGCCTCCACACTAATACATACATTCAGCCTGAGCAGGTACATAAGGTATATTCTAGGAGAAAGTACATAAGAAAGAGAAAAAAACTGATCAAGCAAATGAGATAAAATGTTAACATTAGGTGACTCTAGGGAAAAGTTATATGAATATTCTTTTAATTATTTCTTATTATTACAACTTTTTAAGTTTAAAATTATTTCCAAATAAGTTTTAAGTTTAAAATTATTTCCAAATAAGTTTTAAGTTTAAAATTATTTCCAAATAAGTTTTAAGTTTAAAATTATTTCCAAATAAGTTTTAAGTTTAAAATTATTTCCAAGTAAGTTTTAAGTTTAAAATTATTTCCAAGTAAGTTTTAAGTTTAAAATTATTTCCAAGTAAGTTTTAAGTTTAAAATTATTTCCAAGTAAGTTTTAAGTTTAAAATTATTTCCAAATAAGTTTTAAGTTTAAAATTATTTCCAAATAAGTTTTAAGTTTAAAATTATTTCCAAATAAATTTTAAGTTTAAAATTATTTCCAAATAAGTTGTAAGTTTAAAATTATTTCCAAATAAGTTGTAAGTTTAAAATTATTTCCAAATTTAAAAAAGTACACATTTTTCAAACTTCATTTTAAACAAATGAAGAAAATAAAGGCATTTCCTCAAGAGGCCCCTCAACGAAGGAGAGCAAGAGTTCAACATACTTTCTTTGATTACTTTAAAGGGGTTTAAAAGTTTGAGGAGTTCACCCTCCCATCCCCAACCATATCTTAGGAATAAGTCTTATGTGATTAGTTGCATAAGTTGCTCTTTCTATCTAATGAAACCATTTCTTTAGACATGCCAGAGCAGGAGGTTGTGAAATTAGTATGAGCTGGTTCAAAAGTAATAGAATTCTTTCTTGCATTCCACACAAGAAAGATTAAAAAAAATATATATATGCCCAAGGACCAAGTTGTTCCTTAAGGCTTTGATTTTCTTTTTGACCTGCAAAAAATAGCTGAATTTAAAGAAGCAACATAATACCCATGAAGTCAAATTTTCTAAAATCATTGAAATAGAAGATGTTATTGAAATGTTCAAAATTAATCCAGTCTTCTAGGTTTAGCTAAAAATTATTAGGAAAGTATTTTTCTTTCTTAAGCTTTTGATATGTAACAGGAAAAGCAATTTTTAAAATCTAAGGTTGTATTATTGGGTCACCTGATCAATCATTTTCACCCATTTCTGTAATTTAACACCAAATTACAAATGGTAAAATGTTTCTGTTAATATATAATGTCATCCTTTTGGAAAGATTTAGGATATATGGTTCTTTATTGCTCCAAGCTGACCACTGCTTTTCTGCCTTTTCATTGCAAAATCAGCATCCTACTTGTAATGTGAAACAAAACAGGCTTTTTAAACTATATTTTTTTTTTCTGGGACAAGTCTCCTCAGGCTTGGCACGCAGAAATGAAAATATATCTCCCATTGCAGAGAAGACAATTCCTTGAGAAAGCCTCAACAGCTCTTTTTTTCTTCCTCTCACTTTCCAGAAGCAGTTTAACACTTACACGCTTAATCATTTCAGGCCCTCATAATAAATAAACTATATTAGCAAGTTAAAAGTTGTAAGTTGTGCTAAAAATATCAGGTGATCCTTATCCTAAGGTGGACAGGCCGTGTTTATCCTTCAGTTCATATTTTCACTGCCTAAACTTTATTTTAAGCTTCTAACTTTACATAGAAATAAACAGTGTGGTCTAGACAGGAGAATAAACTTGTCCGAAGCAGAGCCAGGCCTCATGTCTCAGTCCAACCTTATTTGCACCATATTTAGAAAGAAACCTGTTTTGTTTACTCCAGATTTACTCTACTGGTGATGTCAGCTTGAACATGACCAAGAAGGCTCTAATTCTTTGAGCCGATGATGTTCTTGGCTGATTGTGTATCTGTTTTAAGTGAAACAGGATTGTTCCCATGTGAAGCCTATCTGGTTCTGCAGAGTTCAAATTACTTGTAACTTTTTGGTTGCTTGATGCTTGACTTTGGCTCAAATCTTTTACATACACTGTTTTCGCTTTTTAAAAATGGGTTGGTTTTTTTTTTACTCTTTCAAGCATGAAATCTACCATTTTCTATATTTATTATTGTCATCAATCTTACTCAGAAGCCAAAACTGTGAACTGCTCCTATTTGTATAGGTCCTCACTTTGGGTTGAAAACACACACACACACACACACACACACACAAAATGTTATCAGAATCTGAACACTAAATCCCAAATCCTGATTTATAAGAAATACCCCCAGGCTCAAGAACAAAGACACTGGGATTTACGAAGTGTATATATACAGTAGTTTCCCATTTTCCATGGATTCACTTTCCAAGGTTTCAGTTACCCTACGTCAATCATGGCCCCAAAATATTACAGTATTTTGGGAGAGAAAGAAAGACATATTATATGCATATAAATGTTATTATAATAGTTGTTCTATTTTATTATTAGTTATTGCTGTTAATCTCTTACTGTGCCTAATTTATAAATTAAACTTTATCTTATGTATATATGAATATATAGAAAAAAACATGGTTTATATAGGGTTTAGTACTATGCAGGGTTTCAGGCATCTACTGAGGATCTTGGAACATATCTCTCACAGATAAGGGAGGCTTATTTTTCTGGTCTTAGTAACCATTTGTCTTAGTCTGTTTTGTACTCCTATAAAATAATACTTGAGACTGAGTAATTTATAAAGAAAAGAGATGTATTTAGCTCACGGTTCTGCAGGCTGAGAAGTTCAAGGGCATGGCTCTGGCATTTGGCAAAGGCTTTTGCACTATGTCACAACACATTGAAGAAAGTCAAAAAGTAAGCAGATACATGTGAAGACAGTAAAACATGAGGGCCATCCTGGCTTTATAACAACCCACTCTCTATTCCCTCTAGAACCAATCCAGTCTTGACAAAACAAGAACTCACTCACTACCTCCAGAACAGCACCAAGTGATTTATGAGGGATCTTGTCCCATAATCAAAACACCCCCTACTAGGCCCCATCTCCCAACACCTCCCAACTGGGAATCAAATTTCAACATGAGTTTTGGTGGGGATAAATAAATGGTATTCGAACCATACCATACTTGTTTTGCTCACTTGTACAATTATGCATCACTTAACAACAGGGATACATACTGAGAAATGCATCCTTTGACTGGTTCATCATTGGCAAACATGATAGATTGTACTTACACAAACCTGGGTGGTATAGCCTACTGCACATCTAGGCTATATAGTATTGCCTATTTCCCTTAGGCTATAAAACTGTACAGTGTGAGGCCAGGCACGGTGGCTCACGCGTGGAATCTCAGCACTTTGGGAGGTCGAGGGAGATCACTTGAGGTCAGGAGTTCGAGACCAGCCTGACCAATATGGTGAAACCCCATCTCTACCAAAAATACAAAAAATTAGCAGGGCATGGTGGCACACACCTGTAATCTCAGCTACTTCAGAGGCTGGGGCATGAGAATTGCTTGAACCCGGGAGGCGGAGGTTGCAGTGAGCCAAGATTGCACCATTGCACTCCAGCCTGGGCAACACAGTGAGACTCGTCTCACAAAACAAAAACAAACAAACAAACAAACTTTTCAATGTGTTACTGCACTGAATACTCTAGGTGATTATAACACAATGATACGTATATACTACTGTAGACTTTATAAACACTGTACACTTGGGCTACACAAAATTTATTTTTAAAAATATTTCATCTTTCTACAGTAATAAATCAGCCTTAGATTACTGTAACTTCTTTATGAACTTTGTTTTTGTAACTCTTTGACACTTTCATAATAAATAATACTTAGCTTAAAACACAATCACTGTATAGCTGTACAAAAATATTTTCTTTCCTTATGTTCTTATGTATAAGCTTTTTTCTGTCTTTCAAATTTTTTTAACTTTTCAAATATTTTTGTTACCTAAGACAAGAACACACACCTTAGTATAGGCCTTCATGGGGTGAGTATCATTAGTATTACTGTCTTCCATCTCCACCCTGGAATGTCTTTATGGACAATAACAGACATGGGGCTGTCATCACCTATGACAAGAATGCCTTCTTCTGAAATAGTTCTTCAAGGAAGGATATGTCTGAGGATATATCCATATATATTATACATATATATATACACACACACATATAAGGATGTGTGCATGTATATATGCACACACATACACATATATGTATATATGTAGAAGGAGTACACTCTAAAACAGCAGTTAAAAAGTGTACTATACTAAGATGTGTGTTCTTGTCTTAGTTAACAAAATTCACCAATACATAACTTGCAACATAGTCACTTGTTATCATTACCGAGTATTATATACTGTACATAATTGTCTGTGATAGACTTTTATCTGACTGGAAGCACAGTAAGTTCCTTTATATCAGGATCACTACCAACATGTGAGTAGTGTGTTGCACTAAAGTCCTCACAACAGCTACCACGTCACTAGGTAGTAGAAATTTCTCAGCTCCATTATAATTTATGGAACCACTGTTATATATGTGGTCCATTGTTGACCAAAATGCCATTATCAAGTGTGCGATTCTATTTTAAATAGAAATTAGATCATCCAGTGTGCACCATCCTGCAACATGCTTTTTCATGTAATAATAAACTGAATATCTTCCCATAGTAGGATAGAGAGATCTGTTTATTTTATATGCTGCATATCACTCCACTAGGTAAATATAACATTTTATTTCCTTAAATTTGAAAAGGGTACTTACTTTTTAAAAATCCACAAGACAAAGGTTTTAGTTGGCGAAAAAGTAAAAGATTTGCAGAAGTCCATAAAATCAGGAGAAACTCCCCCCTACCCTAATCCTATTCGCTGGTGGTAATTGCTGTTAATAGCTTGATGTGTCATTCCAAAATTTTTATGCAAGCACTCTAATTTAAATATATTAATATATTACTGTTGAGAATTCAGATCTAAGTTTAATCATTTTTTATGTGTATAATTTCTTTTTTATTTATATAATGAGATAATCTCCTTGCCTCTGGTATTCCAAAATTTCCCCATGCTCTAAGTTAATCGGTGTTACTATTACTTTTTCCATTTGATGATAATAGTTTTTGTAAAACATAGAAGTAATACTTCATAGCGATTCTGAAAATTTAACAGCAATTTTTTTTATCATTGCCTCTCTCTCAAATTTTCTATGTAATCTCCTTCTGAGATATCTCCAAATAAAGGTATGCTAGACCAACTTACTCTGGTCTTCATGTCTCTTAACTTCTTTTTCACATTTTCCCATTGTTTCTCTTCACTGTATTTTGAATTGTCTATTGAGATCTATTTTCTAGATTTTTCTTCAGCTGTGTTTAATCTCTTATTTAATCATACACTGGGTTTTAAATTGTATTCATATTATATTAAATTCCATTTATAATGTTTTAAATTTTATCTACTTTTTATTTTAGAAGTGTGTTTTTTGGTTGAGCATGGTATCTTATAAACCTGTAATCTCAGCACTTTGGGAGGCTGAGGTTGGAGGATCCCTTGAGCCCAGGAGTTTAAGATCAGCCTCGGCAACATAGTGAGAACATGCTGCTATAGAAAGTAAAAAAGTTAGTTGGGCATGGTGGCGTGTACCTGTGGTCCCAGCTACTCCAGGGGCAGAGGTGGGAGGATTGCTTGAGTTGGGATATAGAGGATGCAGTGAGCCGTGATCACGTCATTGCACTCTAGCCTGGGAGACAGAGCAAGACCCTGTCTCATATAAAAATAATAATAATAATTCTTAAACAGAAGTGTTTTTTAGTTTTCTTTGTTATTACTTACACTATTTCACTTGTCCAAGCCTGTCTTTTTTATAGAAACATATTAACATATATTCTAAATATTCTGTCATATATTTTGTATTTCAGTACCTGATATAATTGCAGGTCTGACTTGTATGGGTTTCTCTTCTCTATTGAGTCTCACTAATTGTGCCTATTTGTGTGTGTGTGTGTGTGTGTGTGTGTGTGTGTGTTTTACTTTAGGCTACAGATTCATATTCTAAGAATATTCATATTCTAAGAAATTGTGGGAAGTTTTAAGGTCTAGGTTGAAATTGTATTTGTTTCAGAGAATTAGTGTTTGCTTTGGTAGGTGACTGGGGGCACCGTCAACCTGGGACCATTGTGAACATAACTCTGTGCTTATGCTATGTTAGATCATGCAGATGTGTTAATCTGAGTTATGTATTCACATGAAAGCCAACTTGTGTTTGTGAATGTTCAGGTAAATATGTTTTCTTTCCTCAACATTCTGTTAAAGTCAAATAATGCAAGTTTTTGTTGTTACTAATTTCTGCAAATTGAGTTTTTTTCTCACTCACACTTTTGTTAAAGACATAATCATTTTAAGTGCCAGCTTTATGTTGATGTCCCTATTTGGGTTTCCACCTAAACATCAAGAGATCTTTCTATGCAGTCTTCAAAATCTCTCTGGATAAAAGTTGTCCTTGAGCTTGCCTTTCTTTCTTTCTTTTTCTTTCTTTCTTCCTTCCTTCCTGTCCTTCTTTCTTTCTTTCTTTCCTTCTTTCTCTTTCTTTCTTTTTCTTTCTTTTCTTTCCTTCTTTCCTTTTCCTTCTTTCTTTCCTTTTCTTTCTTCTTTCCATCCATCCTTCTTTCTTTTCTTTCCTTTCTTTCCTTTCTTCCTTTCTTTCTTCTTTCTTTCTTTCTTCTCCTTCTTGTATCACTCTGTCCCCCAGGTTGGAATACGGTGGCACAAGCACAGCTCACTGCAGCCTCAACTTCCTGGGCTTAAGAAATCCTCCTGCTTCAGCCTCCCAAGTAACAAGGACCACAGGCATGCCACAATGCTGGCTAATTAAAAGAATTGTAGAGACAAGGTCTTGCCATGTTGCTTAGGCTGGTCTTGAACACCTGGGCTCAAGCAATCCTCCAGTCTCAGCCTCTCAAAGCGCTGGAATTACAGGTGTGAGCCACAGTGCCTAGCCTGTCACTGAGCTTTCTTATCTCCTGTGTCTCCTACCCTGACTTTGTTTAGGCCTTTGATGAATTCTTACCTTATTGCAAACTTACCAAAAATTTGCATTTTAAAAGTCCTTGTATGGCCAGGTGCTGTAGCTCATGCCTGTAATCTCAACACTTTGGGAGGCTGAAGGGTGAGAACTGCTTGAGTCCAGGAGTTCAAAACTAGCCTTGGCAAGACCCCACCTCTTTAAAAACAAATTTTAAAAAGGTGGGTGTGGTGGAGTACACCTATAGTCTCAGCAACTTGGGACGTTTTGGCAGGAGGATTGCTTAAGCCCAGGAATCTGAGGCTGCAATGAGCTATGATCATGCTGATGCACTCCAGCCTGGGAAACAGAGTGAGACCCTGTCTCAAACAAACAAACAAAATACTATTGTATATTTGCTTTTATTGGGAGAATCTTTAAATGTATATCTAGTTGGCTGCAAATAAAAAACCAAATTGTTTCAAACCTAGATTAGTTGGAAGTTAACATATTTATGTATTCAATAAAGATTTACTGAATTTCCATATCATACCACATACTATTTTAGGAACTGGAGCTACAGAAGTGAATGAAAACAAAGGCTCTAACTTCATGAATCTTGACAATTCTAATGGAAAACAAATAGACAATAAAGGGTTACTTTTCCAAATCATTTACATTCAAATCTCAGCCTATCTTGAACTTTGCATGAACCCTAATGGGAGAAAGAGGGACAACAAAATAGTGAGGGAGTTGGATGTGGTAGCTTTCTTAGGGGGAAAAAAAAAACAGAGATGAGCCAAAAAGTTAGTGATGGAAGCAATAATTTTAACAAAAACTTTTATTCATTTGAATAATTTTAGCCTAAGTTGTCCCACCTCTTCATTTTACCCATGAGAAGAAAAGACCAGCTAGATTACATAATTTGCTATATTTTTTAATTAAGCAGTCAACAATCTCATTGATGGTATGCTTATATTACTCATAACATTTTCTCCATGAGTTTGAATTGAATGTAATTAATATCTCAAAGCTGTCTCAACTTTCTGTCTATTGCTTCATTATCCAAATACTTTAATATTCATTCTTTCTTAAAAGGATATAATACGATTATATATATTACTCTCTCTGTCTACTTAAATTTAGCTCTGTTACTACTATTTATAAAAATGTTTACAAAAATGGATTTCGATCGCAACTGTCAATTATAATTTAAGGTATAAAGTATACAAAATATACTAAGTATGCAGATAAAAATCTGTTGAGCTTCAAATAATCTTGAATCAGCAAAGTAGCCTGTCATAGAGTTGGTTTTATTTTCATATAAATTTAAAAACATACAAAAATGTTATCTTCCCTCCTTTATTGATTCAACATTCAACTAACCAACAACAGTATTAGAGATGCAAAGAAGCAAATTAGACAATGTTTCATATTCCTAACAGCACACATTCTAATGCAGATTACCGTAATGCAGGATAAATGCCATGACAGCAATATATAAAATCATTGCATGAGATGAGGTTGAAGTGACTCATTCAGTCCTGAAGGATATGGATAAGAAAGTCTCACAATGCTTCATGATGCATGTGACTATTGCACTGAAACATTAAAAAAAAAGTAAGGAAGGTTTTCTAGCGTGTTTGGAAAGCAATGCCATGGTGACGAGGCAGGAGAAATACCAGTTTTAGAGGGATTTGAATGTCGTAGCAAGAAATTTTAAGTTTATTCTGTCTAGAAAGGGTAGCAAAACTTAACGATATGTCAGGAAGAGAAGATCACATGTGCAAAGTCTGGAAGTGATGAAAGAGCAGACATTGTTGACACCAAGAAGCAGTTTTATATGAATAGATAGTGAAGTGTTTAGGGAGTGGATTTTTATGTACATGAGGCTTGAAAAGTAAGTAGAAGTCAATTTGAAATGATTATATATAACTTGCTAAAGACTATGGTATTTGTCCTGCAAAAAATTGCAAGCCAAAGAATATTTTTTACAAAGTGGGATTGACATGATAATCATTTTTAGCTGAAGCATGTGATGCACCAAGATAAACCTCCTCTGCCCATCTGACTTCAGTATGATTGTGACGGATAGTTCCCTGCACTTCATGTGTCCCCTATCAAGAGTCGACTTCAAAGACTCCCTCTTGCTTTTTGCAAAGCCAAGAAAGCTGCTCTGACATGTTCAGATACAACCTCTAAGTATAGGGGTATTAATAGTGCTGAAGGAAACCCTCAACTAACAGAGCGGAGGAGTTGGTGAATTATTGTCCCCAGGGATTTTCATCCACTTTGGGGACAATTCTGAGGTGCATTCTATCTGGTTCACCACAATTATAAACCACCTATTAACTTCTTCTTTATTGGCTTTTCCTTCTTCTCTGTATTATTATTCATGCTCATTTTCATTTGCTTTATGGGATTGCAAGGTGCCTGTTATAGGGTCTGCTCTCAGAGAAACTCGAACTGAGAGAATTGCAATGAAAATGGCCCTAGGAATTAGATTCTCAGGATTGAATTTTGAATAGGATCACTCACCAATCAGATGGCCACAAGAGCTCCATTGTTGGAGATAAGAGAATGGTAATCACCCCTGACATGCTAAGACTCTGCGGTGGACTGGGATAATGAAGACATGCTGACTTATGCAACAACTCCAGCCCTTGAAAGATATGAGAGTAATAGCAATTTTAAGTATTATGGAGTTGGCTGACTTTTGTACATTTCTCTATAAGCCTTTAAAAAAGAGAAAGGCATGATCAGGTCAGCCAACAACCAACTCAGGAAATGCTGTGAAAGCTGGAAGACCTTCCCATAGCATTTAAAGGCATCTTCATTTCTTGAAGCCAAAGGGTAGACTGATCTTAAAATCAAGTTCAGGATTTAATCATTAGCATGACAGAATTGTAAAAGAAACTAAATCCAAACTGTAATGAATTCCATATGCTAAAATCAAAGCTGTGATGGGGAAGATATTAGACCTTGAAACTTTGGAATAAAATATTTAGATATACGTATTTAAGAACATAATCTACCAGACTCCGCTGATAAGAAGTGACCTCATTCTTCTTGCTGGAAAAGAGTACCTTTTCTCTTTCCTGGAGACAATACAAATACCTTATATGAGGTGATGATCTTGCAAGATGGTACTTTTCTCCCAAAAATCTGTCTCTGTTTTCTTTGATGCCTGCAGACCAATAACGAGGGTCAGGTTAAACAAAGGCTAGAAAGGATGTACAATCTTTGCCCAGATAGTAGATAGCTTTCTTTCCAAAAGTGTTTCAAGTTCTAACTAAGTAACCTGTACAAAAAGAAACCAGGAGAACATATGAGGGAATGGACTCTGACAGTGTTAGGCCAGGGTGGAAAGTTTGAATGTCAGACAGCATACAGAAATGGCTACTGATATAGGAGAACTCCTCCATGACTCAGGATTTAACATTATGGCAACGTTATGGCAAGGACACACAGATATGGCCCTAAAATATTGCTGGAAAATGGTTCTTTAGATCTTGGGCATAATGAAAATGGCATAGAGTAAATGAAGTAGAAATGCAAGAATTGTCTTATCAGAATTCTGTGAAAGAAGTCAGAAGACATGGGAAATAGGCAAGTAATAATGGATTTAACTTGTAAAACTAGAGAGCTGATAGTTGCCCTGTGTTCCCTGAGGAGGCACACCATTGTCTTCATTAAGATGATAGGAATGCATACGTGAGGAAACATGGACTTTATTGCGAATTTTATTGCTGACCATCCTCTCTCAGTCAAAGCTGACTGTAGAAAGTAGTGCATGGACCTGGGAACCTGAGTTTCAATGGGGTTGATCAGATCCGAAAATATAGGAAAGGCCAGATATTAGCACTAATCATCTAAGGCAAACTGAATTTAACTACAAAGTTGGTGTGGCAACCAGGGTGTTTAGAACATTAGGAATCTGTGGTGATGACTAACTCAGCCTGGTAAGGTAGTTGAACTATAACTGTATTACCAGGAATTCAAATATAGGCAATCAGAAAGCCGATGTCAGCAACTGCAAAGGAAAATAGCGATCCCTCACAGTTTCTTTATATGGGACGATCTTGAGAACCAGAGCTCATCAATTAAAAGGGAGGCCAAGTCTTGGAGAAAGACCCTGCAGTGTCAGCACATGTACATAAAATAACTACTTCCCCCACAGAAACCTGTATCCATTTAGAAGGTAACAGTTCACTGGAGAAGAGAAAATCTCCATATCTTTATAGGGAAGTTTGATATACAGTCTGAACTGACATTGGATCTAAGAGATGGACTCTGAAACACATTGTGTGTCCCCCAACCCCACCATCAGGATGAGGACTTTTGAAGGCCAGGCGATGAATGAAATTATGGTCCAAATATATCTCACTACAGATGCAACAGGTCTGAGGGCACATACTCTGGTCATTTCCCTGATCCCAAGAGCATAATTGAGATGAATATATTAAGAAGCTGGTAGAACCTTCATTGTGACTGTGGAATAAACAATATTATATTTAAAAGGCCAAGTGAAAGCTCCTAAAACTCTTCCCTCAAACTACCAAGACAGTAAGTCAGCATCAATATCACATCCCAAGAGGAATTCTAGAGGTCAGTGTCATCACCAAAGATATAAAGTATGCTGGAGTGATGATCTCCCATTCAGTTCAGCTATGTAGCGCCTGCAAATTCAGATGGATCATGGCAGATAACAGAGAAATATGGTTGCTGTCATGAAATTGTGGGACTAAATGCAGCTATGCATCCTTACTGGAACAGATAAAAATGGCTACTGATACTTGTTTTTTAGCTATGGATCTGGAAAATGTATTCTCAATCCTCATTAATAAAGGAAAAATAGTTTGTTTTATATGAGACAGAGAGTAGCACAAATGTATTACTTTTACCTTGAACTATATCAGTTCTCTTGCTTTCTATCACAATATTTGGTAGAAACTCTGATCATCTTTAAATTCTGCATAATATTGTGCTAGTCCACTGTATTAATCCACCATGCTACTGGAACACGGTAAGGAGAAAGTTGCAAGTACTTTTGAAATTTTTCTGTAAATTTTAACATTACAAAAATTTATGGCTCCAGAAAACTAATTTCATTTCTTATTATACATATAACTCTTTAATCTAAACATAATATTTTAGTACAATTTGAGAAGTTAGATTTTCTTATACATTTCTAAATGTTTATTCTATACCTATTATTAAATAGGCTCCAAACTCTCTATGATTGGCAAGCATCTTCTCAAATATGTTAAATTCATGTGTGGTCTATTACATTGTCTATATTCTATTTTGCACATCTGTTTTATCCAGTACTGCATGTTTTAATTTATAAAAATATATTTAAATGTATGTCAATTGTTTTGCTTTTAATACTCTTTGATATTCATTACCTGTTTGTTTATATTTCCAGAGGATGTTTGTTGTCTCATTACAGAGTTCCTAGAACTCTCTTCTAGAAGTTTAATCATTATAAATATTTCTATTTTCCCATATCAATTTATACAGTTACTACAATACAAGAAGTGAAATTTAAGTAGTGAATTTGTACACGTAGTAGTAGTAGCAGTGAAATTGTATTAACTGTATAAATTAATATAGAAAAACTGAAATATTTATAATAAGCTTCTTATCCATAATAAAAGTTTCAGCTCTTATTTAATATATTCAATAATTTGTTACTATTTTATATGAAATATGCATATTTATCATTGGGTTAATCACTAAATATTCTGTATTATCACTTTTATGAATGCAATTCACATTAATAATTTATTTTAATAAGAAACATTAATTGATAAGGCAAGCCAGAAAATCAACCTTGGAAAAAATGTGTTGTACTTCGTATGTAAGTCTGAACTTCATAAACTTAGATGTATTTTAGTCTTTATATAAAGAGCAAAACAATAGTAGTGAGATTTTTTGTCATCACATAGAGAAACAATTGAAAAGTAATGGTACTTAGCCTGGATAGACTAGAAGTTATAAGCTTTATTCCATTGGAAAGATTTTCACGTGGGTAAAATTAATAAATACGTGGTTATAAGAAACACAATTACACTATGAATAGAAACTTCAAGGTAACAGATATTGACAAAATATTTTAATAAAATCATTTAAAGATAGCATAGGCTAGCCCTAGAAGATTATGAGTTATTCCCTGACCTAGAAGTTGTGCAAGGAGAGGCTGAAATCACCAGAAAAGGTATTTGTGAAACAAATGAGTTGTTAGAAAGTGATATTTGAACACCTTCCAATGTCCATTATCAAATACTTCCAAAGTCTTTGATAATGTGGAACTTATGGTATAGTTCATTTATTCTTCACTTTGGTGCTTTCCTAATCCCACACACAAAATTTGTGGTTGAAATAAAATATGGTAGATCTTCATTCCAGTGACGGAATGAATTCAGCCCTCGTTCACTAGGCATTTTGGTGGCAGATGTAAAATGCACTTGTAATATAGGAGATCCTTTGAGGACTCAGCCTTTATTTAAATTCCTTCAGGGTTTACTTTAAAGCTAATGGTTTCAGTAGACATTTTATGGATTTGAATCACATTGTTAAATGCTTTAATACAAGTTGAAAAAGCCAACTTTACTTTCTTTTGCATGTGAGCAGAATAAATCTCCCAAGACAAAAACCAAGAAGGATGACTGACCTAACTCAACTTTTGTGCCTTTATTTGATGAGGAAGTCCAAAATGCCATGAGATTGATTAAATCAAATAAATAGATCGGTGTTGATACTTAGGGTGATTTGTTCATTTCTCTTTGTTTTGTTCCCCTTCTAAGCACTGCCAAGTCTACTGCCATGCAGATACATGTGACTGTTTGCTGGTAAATTATCACTTTTTAGAAACTAACTTAAACTAGTTCCTCATTTAAAGAAATGAATGTTAAGTCTAATGTAAATACCTAACAGCCCACTCCTGTTTGTGTTTCGGTTGGGTGGTTTAAGTGGTTTATGAATTTTGTTTTCTTCACATACAAAATCAGCTGATTCTCATTTTCAGTTTCTGGCTCAAAACTAATAACTTATTCCTTTGAACACATATAGAACATTTTGACTCTTTTGGCATAGATTTCAAGAAAACATTTCTCTCTACAATTGCCATATAGCTATACATTTCTGAGCCTTTCTCTGGGTGGTACAGTGAGTAGAACCAAACACATATCAGCTTCTGCTCAGTAAGTTTGGGCATCTGCTGAACCCCTACTGCACTCCAGGACCTAAGATGGCTTTTAGGGATAAAGAATGAATTCAATTTCTTGCATAAAGTTGCTTACAATGTAATGGGGGAGAAAAGAAAGAAGCATAATTCATGATCGCTCATAAATCTAAGTGGCACAAGCCAGAGATTAAGTGCCATAAGATTTACTGAATGAGAGCTAGCACTTTTGATTAGGAAGCATTTTATGAGCTCATAAGTTGAACAGGTTTTAAAGCAGGAATAAAAAAAGAGAGAGAAAGAGAAAATTGAGGCCCAATAATAGATAAGTAGTGTGCTTTAACTGAAGCAAATGGACTAATGAATTTTAATAGTCCTAGGCTTTAGTCTAATGTAAGGTGAATACTGCCCTTTATAACAATTATTTTTATAACTAAATTAGGTCATCCATAAAGGCTTGGTTTTTCAGGGACACTAGAAGCATATATCACTGTAAAATCTCCAGGGAAGTGTGACCTAATACTGCATTTAATTGAGACACTCCTGTTTCCTTTAGGGAGTAAATCAGTTGATTTTCAACTCTTTTATTCACCTCTAATTTAAGTGTCCTCTTTCTAAATGGTAATTTGACCCAGCACATCTTTGAAATGTCTGAGACATTTAGTAATTCCTTAAGGGGCTTTTATACCTGTGAGCTGTGATGAATTCAGAAGGTAGAACAAGTTGATGACTTTGGAAAAAATTGTGTTTGATGTAGTAAGATTCACTTCCAGGAAATCGCAGCATAAAATCTAAAGGTCAGGAAGATAGAAAGTAGCAACAAGATTGCCAAACACCATTTCCTTTTGTGTTAAATACAGGAAAATGTCTGGGTACGTGTCATAAGAGACGCTTTTACAAATCACATCAGAAAGGCACAGGATATTGTTGAAAGAGGACTGAGTAGGAATTGGGAGAGGAGGAAGTCAGTTCTGGCTTTGACAGAAATTTCCTCTGTGAGTCTGATTAAATCACTTAGCCTGGGGTTCAAGATTTCTCCTGCACCTCTCTAATGAAAGGACTGGGGAAAATCAACTTTAAGATCATTTCTGATTTTGATAGTGTTATCTTACCTTATCATACATTTGATCCTTTAGTATTTGTAGGAGTGAAAATTAAGATGGAGGTCTGATTTGAGTTGCAGGCTTGAAAAGTTTTGTAGCTATTCTAGCAGTGAACTGAGCAAAGCCAAATCATAAGGAGAACTGCATTAGAAGCAGAGCTGAGAAGACAGAAATAGGGCACTTGGCCATAAAATAGTGCTTAGCAATCTAGCGTTATAAGAAATGGAATAAATTAATAAGTAAAATAGTTTAAGGATTTACATTAAATTTGAGGCTCTGTTTGAAAATCTTGAAGTAGCAGCTGCATTTGCAAAACCATAGGCCTAAAAATGACCACTAGGAAATTAGCTGAACAAATACTATAAAGTTTTTAAAAAGAATGGAGTGAGTAATTGTTCTGATTCTAATGGTAAAAATTAGGTTGATTATATTTAAATGACAGCCTAGAAAATTGATTTAGAAACTGGAAATATAGGGGTTGGATAAGGCTTTTTAAAATATCTGGCTGACACATTCATTTTATAAATAAAGAAACTGAGGCCCTAGGGACATTTATCTAAGGCAGTAGCTAGCTAGCTAGCTAGCTAATTAGTCTGTTTTCATGCTGCTGATAAAGACATACCTGAAACTGGGCAATTTACAAAAGAAAGACGTTTATTGGACTTACAGTTCCACATGGCTGGGGAGACCTCACAATCATGGAGGAAGGCAAAGAACAGCAAGTCACATCTTACATGGAGACCTTGTTCAGGGAGACCCCGTTTTTAAAGCCATCAGATCTAATGAGACCTATTCACTATCACTAGAACAGGATGGGAAAGACCCACCCCCATGATTCAGTGACCTCCCACTGGGTTCCTCCCATGACACATGGGAATTGTGGGAGTTACAGTTCAAGATGAGATTTGTGTGGGGACACAGCCAAACCATATCAGATAGATAGATAGATAGATAACAGATAGATAGATAACAGATAGATGATAGATAGATAGATAGATAACAGATAGATAGATAGGTAATAGATAATAGATAGAAAACAGATAGGTAATAGATAATAGATAGATAAATAGATAGATACATAATCATTTTCAAAATATATTACAGAGAGTTAAATAGGTCATCATGTTTTGTACTGGAGAACAGTAAGGCCCAGTCATGTTGATAGATGCAGGAGGCAGATAAGGAGGAGGATTTCTGGAGAATCTCCCACCGCCTGTGCACTGGGAGAACAGGGTGGAGCCACGGGAAGTTAGCCCCTGTGCAGTGGGGAGAAGCCTGGCCTCTTCAGTTCCGGTGTGGTGGCCTGGTATTCAATCTGTGAGGTGGGGGCCTGTTAGCAGTATCCCCTCTCACTTTGCTGAGAATATGTTTCTTTTTTCCTTTTCGCCCAATAAATTCCATTCCCCTCACCTTTTAATGTGTAAGCATTCCTAATCCTTCCTGGTTGTGTGACAAGAACCTGGTTTAGCTGAACTAAGGAGCAAAATTCTGCAACAATGTCATGTGGCAAAGCTGTCACGGGATTATGACAGAGCTCTCTAGGGCAGACTACCTTCCCAAGAATGCCTTAGACAAGTATCAGCATCCACCTTCTCTTTAAGAACATGAAGCAGCTGAACTGTGACTGCCCTTAGCTCTATAATGGACCCTCTCTGAGTTTTCTACCAAGCTCCAATGAAAATTTTATAAATTTCAACTTTAAAAAAAATCAAAGATAAAACATTTAAAATATACTCTTTGTGACAAATAACAGGTGATGAGATGTGATATTTTTCAAAAAGAAAGACGGCAAGGACATAGATCCAAATCAGGAGAGTGCTTAGCTTTGAGTGATGAAACTATATCATTTGTATTATTTCTTTCCTTAAAAATGAACTGCATGTTATGAATTTACTCCAAATGTATATTGTGCATGTATGCATGCATGTGTGTTGGGAAATGAACAGCTCAGAGTACTTACAGGAGCTACTGTTTTCATTAGGTGCCCCAGGGTTTCGGTCTTGAACCCCATGTGATCCTCTAGGCCCTACAGCCTCACCTCCTTCAGGAGACTGTTCAATAGCCTGAGCAGCAGAATTGTCAGGAGAGATCTTGTCCACAACTATGTATATTTAACAAACTGAAAGAGAAGGCTACGGAAACATTTAGCTGCAGAAAAGCAAAATCAGAAAGATGATTTCTTTGATTTAAATATTAGTGATTAGAGATATTTGTCTTCCTGATTTGAAATTAAATAAATGCAAATGTATTATAAACTCTGAAGTGTTAGGTAAATTCCAGGAGTTTTGTAGCATGTTAGCTCTTCTAAAGTTACCTGTTTTTTCAGAAAGATATTCCTGTAGTTGTAAAAACCTTACCTCATAGGACTAATAGGTTCAGAAATATTAAGCCAGTGGCAAGATTAGAAGAGCAAAAATTTTACAATTGGGCTTTGAATTATATTCTGAAATTTGAACTTCACCATACAGAGATAGAAATACTAATTTTGGAGAGATAATTCAGGAACGTGTCACAAATGTAGTATTGGGGATTGTTTACAGCCTGATTAAGACTTCATCAGGAATAAAAATGAGAAGGGGCTTCCTAAAAGGAATGAGCAGCACGTGGCAAGATAAAAGATATTTAAGAAGCCTGATGCATTTGAAGGGCAGTGGGGAGAGGGGTTGCAGATGGCCATGTCTGGGGATGTAAGCTGGGGCAAGAAGAAGAAATTCATCTGCTGAGGTGTTTGGATTTTATCTTATAAGCAAAAGGGGTGTCAAAAGGGGTTTATAAGCATGAGAAAAGATCAAATTTGCTCTATAGGAAGATAGACTTGGAGAAAGAGTGGAAGTCCTGGTGAGAGAAAATAAGTATCTGATAGCATATTGTTTTTGCAATAGTCCAAGTGAGAAATGTTGATTTTACATAAGTAAATAAATAAAAGTAAAAATATTCAAGAATGCAATTCTTGACATATAATCAGTCAAATTCTGTGTCCTTTGGATTTGGATATAGAGACATAGAAGAACAAAGGATGATCTTTAATTTTCCAGTTTGGGATTTAAGTAAATCTTGTATAATTATGCAAAGTTGAGATGACTTTTTATCAACAATCACATCTGCAAGATATTTGCTCGTTTTCTTTTATCAGGTTTGATTTACTTATCCTTATTATATGTTGGTACCAACAGACCTATGGGACTGTAGCTATCTCCGCCCTCAGGAAAATTTCAGTCTACTTGAGGAGATAGATATGGATATAGCCACAAAAGACAGAATACATTGAGAATTTTTAAATTAGTATAAAGGACTCTGTGAGTGCCAAGAAGAAAGACATTGATTCTGACTGCTCATACTTGACCTGTTTGTCTGCAACTAAATTGTGAACTCCTTGAGGTCAGGAGCTGGCTGTTGTTGAGCTTTAAATCTGTGAACTTAGCAGTGTCTGACCCTTAGCTGACTTTCAGAAAACCTTCTTTTGTAAAGAAATTAACAGAGAAGGCTGTTGTCCATAAAACTTCGGTAAAATATACTTGATAATCCCAATTACTTTTCTTATAACCTAGCAGAGAAGCAAGGTAAGTGAAAAGTAATTTGGTTAAATACCTCATCAAATAATACGAATAATATGAAGTTAATGTGTGAAAACAATCCAGGAAAGAAATGTCTTTTTGTGTGGATACATCTTCTGTGAACTAAACAAATTGGTTTAACTGGGCATGTCTCTAGGGCCTTACATCAATTGTTCTGAGTCAGATATTTTGGGGGCAGGGACTTGCCTCCCCTTTTTTTAATATTTTGTTTTGTTTCATGGGTGATCTTGATATATGCTATGTTGTTAAAAACCAGAGCCCAATGTAATAACTTGGTAGGTGGGTCAGAATCACTTTCTCACTTAAAAACAAAAACAACACAAAGATTTACTTTCTTTATCTCCCTGACCAGTTACTATCTAGGGTATGTCTTCTTAGGTTCTGGTGATTCTGCCTCTTATCAACTTTAGACAAATAATCACATCCCTAGTAGTTTTTCAAATAAAAACAAATTCCCTATCTATTTATGACATCTGTTATATTTTTACATTAGCTCACATATTAAAAAATGCTCTAAAAACTTTACGGAACAGAGCACTTCATTTTTAAAACTTAGATACCCTCAGGTACTTTTGCTTAGCAATCAAAAACTGGATTGTTTTTGCAACTTTAAGCGTTCCGTAAATTTTCTCTGCCCCATTTTTGAGCTGAATCATAGCACGTAAACACATACTAGAGACTTCGGTTGCATGTGTCTGTCAACATTGCTTAATCCTGCCAAAGCCTCTCTACGGGCTCTAACCACAAACCCAGAGTAGCCAAATAGCAGTCACTGCCTCTCCAGCCATCTTTCAGAGGAAAGTTCATAATAATTAATTTCCTCATTAATATTTTTAATATCTGTAGTTACTTTGCCATTATTTACTTATCAAGAGTCTTGAAACTGAAGTCATACATTTCAGTAGTGAAGGTTGCTCATGAAGACAGGCTGCCAAATCCTTGGATGATAGTGACCTGACTGCATGACCATCTAAGCAAGCAACTGACACACTCTCTTTGGCTAAGTATGGCTCAGAAGCATTGAAACGTGAACACATTTAGTTGTGAAAAATGCTAGTCCCAGAGTTCTATGGCTCAACTTCAGTTGTTGAAAATGATCAACTTCTGAGCAGGTATTGAAAAACCCAGTGAAATTCTTTAGACTTCTGATTGAAGTTTCTGTTAAGACCTATGTTTTCACTGGGCTTGATTCTCCTTTTTTCTTTTTCTTTTTCTTTTTTTTTTCCATCAACTTTTATTTTAAATTCTGGGTTACACCTGCAGGATGTACAGATTTGTTACGCAGGTAAACACGTGCCATGGTGGTTTGCTGCGCAGATCAACCCATCGCCTAGGTGTTCTCCTTTTGAAGCTAAGGTAGTTTCAGTCCAAACAAGAAAGAGAGCTCTCTCCCTGATTATTCCTGCCTTTCTTATCCTAGCCCAATAGGTGTACATTTGTCCTGAGTCATTCTTGATATCCTTTGGATGCAAAGAGTAATTACTCTACCGCACTTCACAATATCTGAAATAAAAGATATCAAGCAAACATTTCTCTATATACAATAATCATACCCTTGGAAAACAGAAAGATTGCCTTAGGTTTAATTAATTTTGAGGGATGATCATTCTTGAAATATTGTGATATTTACATCATCAAACATACAATTATCTTTGTAGTGATAGTGGTAGCAGTTGTAGCAGTATTATTGATTTTTAATCAAGTAAATAGTTTATATTCAGGTGGATAATTCCTTCTTATTAAGACAAATATTGCGTTAGAAGTCCGAGTTTAAAAGTAAGTTTGTAAAATTATGAAGCTACCACAATTTCAAAACTGCTGGTATTTTATTTAGAATATTGTACAGTCACCTAATTAAGGATAAACACCTGAAGGAGTTATTGTATCTTCCTCAAATTTTTTATTCTCTGCAAGGTGTCATTATCATTATCATCCCTTGAATTTGGGAATATTTAGTAGTGTATAAGTATTAATTGATAAATGCTCATTTAATATTCATGAAAATTATGTTAACTAGACATTATTATCCTTATTTTAGCGTCAGAGAACTAAAGCTCAAAGAGAACATGTGACCTACCCAATATAAGGAACTATTAAGCAGTGGAGGCAGGACTAGGACATTCTATTTCTGACTTGAGAACATTTATTAAGAAGAACTTATCCAAAGCAACTAAAATTGCACAAGGGAAAAATAGGTAAATAGCATCAAGCAAAACCACCCACTTTGACCTGGTCAACTCTCTGATGCCTAAGCTGCCAAGACCACTTATTACACTTATTATATATTACAGAGATATATATAGTGAGATAGATATATATATATAGTGAGATATATATAGTGAGATATATATATATATATTTATCATCAGACTCTGCAGCTCTTTATAGCACTAAGGCTATTTCAACCTTACATTGTTTTATTTATGAAATTGCAGTTTTCATTCCAGGATGAGGAACTCTTAGCAATGTAATATCCCAGAATGACAGAGAAATAGCATATTGGGACCAAAGGTAGAAGTAAGAATGCAAATTTTGTATCTTGAGGAATCTCAGTATGTTATTGTTGGAAGAGATTGTTACACAGATATTTACCCAACATCACACAAAAAGTTGTCAATAGTGCCAGGGATTCTAATCAGATCTCCAGTCTCGGTGTAGTGCTCTTTCCATTATCCTAGTATATAACTGAAACCTCCATATTATATTGATCTATAGTACCCTAAATTGTAAGAGTTAGATTAAAAACAAGTTTTCTCACTTCAAACTGCGACGAGAAAAAGAAACCTCCCAGGAGAATCAGGATTGAAATTACAATTCTTTTTTCTGACTTTTATTTTTTTATAAAAAGTCATTGAAAAAATAGTCTTTTTTAGCATATGATTACCAATGTAAATACATCATGTATTGAAAGTGTCAATGCTCAAAAATGTCATCTTTAAGAAAAAAGACTACTATGATTACACAAAGAATAAACTTACATTAACTGACAATTAGTAATTGTATCCATCACCGTATTTACATTATTACAATTGGTTGCAACTACTTGGATAAAGTGAGGTCCCTGGTTTACGCATTCATTATGGTTCATTATTATCAGTAAGTAAATAATAAGCTTGAATTCCACTGATTTGTTTGGAAAGCATTGATTTTATGAGTACCTTTCTAATGGAGTCCTAATCTCAATCCATCAACAATTACTGAACACCAACTTTTGGCAAAGAACAGGAACTGAAAAGAGGTAAAATTCATGAGCCCCACCCTTACATAACTTAATAATGAAATGGAATTAAATGGCATAGTAATACATAGTCCAGTAAATAATACTATATGATAGTATATAATATAATAATATAGACAGTTTCGGTGAATCGTATGAACTATAGGAGCTCAGAAAAGGAAGAGTCTGCTGTGAACTAAATAAAGTCTGTGAGAAAATGTCACTTTAATAAAAATCTACTAAATACAATAATATTTTATCTATGAGAATAAATTCTAAGATTTCAGTGAGAACTTGAACTTGGGCATCTGATTCGTAGTTTAGTGTTATTTCTATAACATTTACAGTTTTATCAGATATAAACTTAACCAAAACTTTTAGGATTTTATTCTCTCAAAAATCTCTTTTCCTCTCCACTTTTCTCTCAATATTATTTTGTGTCTCCAGAAAGAAATTATTTTTCCTTCAGTAAACTACATTTTGTTTGCAGAGAATATTTGGGGACCATAAACATTTGAATTAAAGTTTGGAATCCTCATTAATTCCTTCGTCACATCTTCATTTTCTCCCCTAGCAAAGAATGGAGGCCACCACTTTGAAGCTGGTATTACTCTAATGGTAGATTTGTCCTTTTCACTGCCAATCATTAGTTCAGCCATTTGCCTTTTTGTAGTGAGGGGGTACAACCTTCGGCACTAGCTCACTTCTTAATAATTATAACAGTTCTTACAGAAAATAACCTCTACAGATGTCTTCAGTGGAGATCCCCTAGGCTCATTCAATAGTCAAAGTTATAGGAGTCCTATAGGAGTCTAGAAGTCCTAAGAGTTACAGGAGTCAAAGTTATTGGAGTCATGGAGAGATCTCTAACCATCCTAGAGTTACCATTTGGAGAAGTCATTCTGATTTTAGTTGGATGAGTACACCCCTTTTTTAGAGATAACACAGTTTCCTTACCAAACAGCAAAACTTCCAAGGACAGGGATTATCTCTGCACACTTCTCTTCCACTTGTATGTACAATGAAAAGCACAGGACTTTGTATTAAGCACACTAAATGAGAGGCAATAGAGTAAATAGCAATTAAGAGCACAGACTTTAAATTAAGGCCCATTGCTACCACTAAGCAGACAGAAATCATTAGTAATTGACTGCCTGGAAAGGCAGAGACAGTACAATGCAGTGGTGAGAGGATGGCCTGAGGAACCAGACCATCAGCATTTCAGTCACAACTCCACCACTTCCTAGCTGAGACTCTGAGCAATTACTTAACCTTTCCTGTGCCTTTCTACTACCTCACCTTAAAGTTGGGACTAATAATAATACCTACTCGATGGGGTTTTATTGCAGATTCAATGAGTTAATGTAATTAATATTATATTTATATTTATTTTTATTTTATTATAAATATAAATATATTTATTATATTTATTTTTATTTTTATTTTAGTATAAATATATTTATATTTATTATTAATATTATATTTATAATATTATTAAATATAATAAAACATGGCCTGGCAAATAATAAACATTGGATATGTATTTTCATTGTTACTAGATTATTTGGCCACCCCACCTTTTTATTTTTAAAATGGAAAGACAGATAATATACCTATCTCATAAGATTATCATAATTAAAGAAAATAAATGTAGGTAAAGCACTTGGTACAGTGCCAGCACATAGTGGGTCAGTATATTTTATCTATAACTATATTAATAATTATATGAGGTATTGATTTTATTAAAATATGATATTTTAAAATATGACTTTGCCTGATGAATTTCAGTGTCTGGTTAAATAACACGCATGTCATTGAGCTCTCTGTTCTCTAAAGGTCATTGACCTCTTTCTGTAACTAAATCTGAGTCGTGGCCATCAGAGCTCCTTCTGGTAATTCTCTCTTCTGAGTGGCAAATTAGCCCGAAGTGTTATTCAGGAGATTAACTATTCTTTAATACTACACTTGGGCAAGAAATAAAAAGTTTACGTTAGTCTCAAAAGATTGTCCTTACATATGTTGCCTTTCTGTTTTAAAGAATGACTCTTCTGGGTGACAGATTCATCGGGGAAAGTTCAATGAAGTCATTACTTTGTAGTGGAAATAGGTTAGGGAGTAATCCAGCAGGAAGGAAAGTTAACAACTTGTATCATAGGAAAACCTGTTTGGATAAATTTGCAGGAAAAAGCCCTCTTTTCTTTCAAAGGTCTTTGGGCCCTGGCAAAAAATGTCTAGAAGTAGGCTTCTGATGGCCATGCTTCTATTTTCCCATCAGCCTTTAGGAGTAGACTTGTTCTATACAGAAATGTCATTGGGTAGGAGGCAAACACAAAGCACAGTCTTCTGGGCTGCCTTCTGGAGTGAAAGCCCAAGGCTTTTCCAGATACTAGAAATGTTTCTATCCTGCCATAAACAGGAAATATTCAAATTTAGCCTAAGAAAAAGAACGAACTAGTTATTGCAAGTGTGGCCATCTCATCTAAAGAGATGACGCTTGTGCGTACAATGGGGAGTAGAACAAGAGAGAAGCAATCTAACTTGTTCTAAAAGGATTTTTGCCACTTCACTGGATTGAACACACCTGAAACCAAACAGCTGTCATGGCTTTTTGACAGCAGAGGTCAGGCAAAGAAATATAAACACTGTATTTAGGATGTTCTAACGGATCTTATTTCTTATTATAGGATTAAATGTGTGTCTAATTCATTCAGAGATTTTTAAACCAATGACAAATAATCACAGATTATACTTTTAAGTCTATGTAAATGGATGAATTGCTGTATTGGATTTACTGTTTCAAAAAGTTGATGAGAAGTTCTACCATTCTACCAAGAATATTAATTAGACTTTGGCAATTTTCATAAAAATACCTCCTCATGTCTCCTCCATCTATACTGATACAATTGCCTCTTGAATTAGAAAATAACTTTTTTCTCCAACTTGAGTGAAATGTCCTAATGTTTCCAGTGAACTAGGTGGGCTTATGTTAACTAGAAGCTTATATGCGTGTAAATATCAAATGTGACTTTTCCAGGTAGTAAGTTAATTCCAGTACATTGACTAGTGGTACATTAATAGGTGGAAAATTTGTCTACACTGTTAATAACAGATCGAGATTGGCCAAAATGTTGAGCTTCATTTAACATACCCTGCTGGGTCTAACAAAAACAAATATTAATCTTCTGAGTTATTATAATTGGGACTATATATTTAGCGAGTTACTAAAGCATACTTAGATTTAATTCCCCTTCTACTTCATGGCAGAAATCAGAAGAGATGCTTCTCAAATGAAAGAATCAACTGATGATATCCCTGCAACACTCATCAGAGCAGTTTTTAAGGAAGTTGAACGTATTCTAACATCAAACGTACAGGTGGAAAAATTGAATAGATTCAATCCTAGAATTTTAATACTCTTCACAAGAGAATGGAATCTTATCTTCTTGTTTCCGAAGCAACTCTGGGAAATTACAATATTAAAATACTAATCTGAAACTGTCACCACCAACCACAGACATCAGAGTTCCCCATGAATCCCAACGCATTAATGGGGGAACTGTTTGGCCTTTATATTGGCCTTTGTCAGTAATATGGCTAATACTGAATAGTTTGATTGATTACTTCAACACAATGTTTCATATTAAATGTAGAGATTTGGGTATTTTCCCCCTTTCTCTGAACCTATAATTTTTTATGTCCTTAATGAAAATTTGACATAAATAAAACAGGAATGTGTACTGTATTTCATAACAAAGTGGCTTACATGACCAAACTTTATTAAAAGGAATGTGTTCTCGAATAACATTCTTCCCACCACAAAGATGTATGCAAACATAGTCAGAGTTGTATCTTATGACAGGCAGAAAAATAAACTCGAGAACAAAGAAATACTTTTTCCTTCTTTAATCATTCAGTTAACAAGTGGAAAATAAACCTAAGCATACTTTTAGTCTTCATTGTGAGAATAAAATTCTTTACATTTTGATTCTTCATTGCTCCCTTGCCTCCTCCTTTTCTGTTTATGAACTCTTAAGGGATTGGTAATGCCAATCTGACTGAAGAAGACGACCCAACCAAATGTCAAAATGTATTTATCTGTACAAGACTGAGGGGAAATCACCAAGTTGATACTTTAGAGAGAAAAACACAGCTGTTCCTTCTTTCCAGCAGTCTAAGAAAGTGAGTGTCCCCCAAAACAAACAAAACATGCGAAGGCATATTTCCAATGAGTACTAAAGTCTTCTTGGATAAAATGAAATGAAGTTAATATGAATCCTGTTTAACTATAAATTTATTAATTAAAGACCAGAAGGATTACTTAGTTATTACTATTCACCAAGCCTGTTCCTTAGGGGGATCCTTCCATTCAAAATACTTTAAGTGAAGGAACTACTACATAGCAATGTTGGAATTCCAACAACACACTGTAGGGGGCCTGGTATATGGCTAGTGTTTAGTTAAGTATGTTGGATTAAATAATATTATTTATCTCAATGTTCTGTTTTTTAATACATTGACCATAACAGGTCACTGTTGCTTAGTTATGACTGACAACAAAAATTACTACCATCCAATACCATGTGCATTTATTGTACATTCTAGGACCAGCATATAATCATTCTTGAGTACTGCTAAGATAAAACCAGTCCCAAAGGTAGAACAGAATCTCCTTGATCATAAAAGCTTGCTGCATACTTTGTTCCTAATACATAACTATTCCGGTCTTACTGTTTCCAGTCATGGAAATGTGTCAAAGCTCCTATTTGGTCTCCAGCATAAGAAGACCTCCACCATTTAAGGAGGAGAAATATGGTAAATAACAAAAAATAGTCTCACCATTCCATCTTATATACAGGTGGGGTCAAAGAAATGCAAGAAGATTAATGAAAGCCAAGTGCCTAGCAAACACTCCGCAATGGGTGAACGTCATGGTTGACTCACTCTGGGAGGAGAACAAATATGCAGAGCTCATGCTTGGCTTCTCAAGCATGGCAGAGTGTTCTTTCATAGGTTTGCTGTCTTTCTGGTTGTATGGTGCAGAATAGCGGAACCTCCCGGTGACATGACCTCACTGTTATAGGCCCCCTTAGCCAAGCTTTCTTAGCTGAGAGTGGCCAAGAGGATAGTCTTAGGAAAGACGGTGTGGATGTGCCTTGTTATCTTTGTCAAATAGGATGTCCCAGCTATGAAAGAAAGTTTTATTGAGAAAAGACAAAAATATTTTACTGAAACATATTCATCAGAAGAATAAATTCTGGAGAACTATCATATAGCATGGTGACTATAATTATAATGTACTGTATATTTGAAATGCTAAGAAAGATTTTAAATGTTCTCATCACACACACACAAAAAATTATGTGAGGTGAGGAACATGTTAATTAGCTTGAAGTCAAGCTAATTAACATAATCATTCCACACTGTGTGCAAATATCAAAACATCACATTTTATCTCATAAATACGTACATTTTTTGTCAATGAAAATAAATACACAATAATGATAAGTAATTGTAAAGTCCTCCTCTCCCAAAACAACATATTTTAATTGGCTTGATATAATAATTATAAATACCTATTAAGTACCCGTGATATATCTGACATGGTGTTAATAATTGTAGTATATACAATTTCTCACTTAATTAAAGCAACAATTCTATAGGATTCAAATGAGGAAAACAAGGCTTAGAGGGAAGTAACTTGTCCTAGTTTATACACCTAGCAAGTTAGCAAGTAGTAGGTACGTGTTCCATTTTAATTGGACTATTGAAATAGCGCCTCTCAGATGGTAATCCTACCCAGTTTCTTACTCTAATCCTGTCTTCCAACACACACACACACACACACACCCTACTTTTCTGTTATTATCACCAGAGTGATCACACTATAGCAGAGATATGGCTATGAACTCATTATTATTAAAAAGGAAACAGTGACCTACACTGAAACTCTTCTGCTAAGTAACCGTCTATAGCTTCCTACCGTCCATGGGACAACGTGCTCTGTTTGGTATCCAAGGTGCTTCATAATGTAATCCTCACACATGAACCCTTTCCTTTTCATGTATTTCATGAATCTACCAAACTTACTTTCCCTACATATCCTCAGAAGTTTCTCACATCAGGGCTTTGCTCACATGGTTTTCTAGATTTGAAACACTCTTCACCCAATTTTAAAACTGGCATTCAAACCCATTTATCTAAGACTCAGAGGAAATGTTACTTTACTTAAGACGTAAACGGGTTTAAGAAAGATTCAAATATTATCTTCCTTAACCCTTAAAAGATAAAGATAAATCCTCAAAGCGAATACCAAAAAAAGTTAGTGATGTTGGCCCCTGTGGATAAAAACAAACAAACAAACAACAAACTAAGTTACATCACAAGGTACAAATAGTAAAATCTAAAAACTGAGAAAACATGAATCCTGATTTGAGGCTTCCATTTGTCTACTATATTTTGTTGATCATTTCTGATAAGTATAATAACAGTGTTGAAATAAATGTATGTGTTCTTTGAAAATTTCCATGTCTATAGATTTTTATTGGCTATTTCACTTCTTTATTCCTTCTCAGGCTTTTATCTATAGTTAAGACATCCTAGCAAATCACTAGAACTGTTTCTAGCATGTAAAATTGTATAATAATTCTTCTATGTATGCCTAACATAGTTTGTTGTGTGGACCAAATTCATTAATTCATCCAATATACTTTTATAGCATATTTAAACATGTCAGGATTATGCTGTGAAGAAAAACATACGCTTGAGACACTTTGTACATTATTCAATCCTTCACAATATAATCAGCAGTCAAAGTGAAAGCCCTTTGAAAACTCTAAAATGTTTCACTGTGTAAGGAATTGTTAAAGTTGTGTAATGAATACTTAAAGATACATCATTAACCTTTGAGGTCAATGCCATACAACCTCCATCTGCTATCCAACAAGTGTCCTTTAGAGAGAATTGTGTAAAAAAAAATAAAAAAATAAAAAAATAAAAAATAAAATAAAAAGAATCTGTGGAAAAAGACTCATTGCTTATTAGTGTTATGTGGCATGTCTTTCTTACGTTCTTATAATTTGGTTTAGTCCTAGTTTCAACAGTGAGATTTCTCCAAAAATATAATTAGTAACATATTATTAGTAGTCAACATCTTTGAGATTTTGTAAAATATTAAATCACTGTTTAACTATAACTACAGTTGTAGTTAAAATGTGATGGATCTAGATCCACCTGTGATTTTCCTGGAGGATAGCTTTGCATGGTGATTCTGGGAGGGAAAAAGGTTCTTAACATATTACAATGAGAAAACATTGGCATCTGACTTCCCGTAGTGCTGTCAATCACTGTAAAGTACAACCTAAACCTGTTCATTAGTGTTTGCATTCAGATTTAAGTACTGGCATTACAGGTGAGGCAATAGGCTAATCAATAGAGCTTCTTTTGTGGTTATTAATTTAATATTGGTTTATGCCCACGCTGGAATCTGCCCTTACACGCATTTACTGGCAAGTGTATATTTAGACAGCACTTTTTTTTTGCTTCTCATAGTTTTAGGGATGTTTCATTTTCAGGTTCTTTCAGGATAACCATCATATGACTCATCCAATGGACATTTAATCACCATGTTTTCATTTTCTGTTCTTTGCTTTCTGTGGTACTTTCAGATCACGAATCCCTCATAGCAGCTGGTATTCTTAGGAAACAGTTTAATTTCAATGTTGGAATGAAATCAAAACAAAAATATTCTTATGACGACAAATCTGAGCCTACTCAAGGAAGTTTTTATTAACAAAAATAAAAAAGTATACATTTTAAGATTCACTTTAAATTTTTGAAAAATTTTGCAGTTTTTGGCAGAAGAGGCACATCTTGTTTTATTTCATTTCACTTTATTGTGCTTGGCAGATGCTGTGTTTTTTACAAATTGAAAGTTTGTAACAACTCTGTGTGGAACAAGGAAGGCTCTCTGCATCAGCGCCATTCTTCCAACAGCAGGTGTTCAATTTCTTGTTTCTGTGTCACATATTGGTGACTCTAGCAATATATCAAACTTTTTCATAATCATGATATCTATTACGGTGATCTGTGATCAGTGATCTTTGGTGTTTTTGTTTTGGGGCACCATGAACCACACCCATATAAGACTGAAGTAGTCGATAAATGCTGTGTGTGTTCTGACTGCTCCACCAACTGGCCATTCTCTTATCTCTTTCCTTCCACTTCAGCCTCCCTATTCCCTGAGACATCCCAATATTCAAATTGAGCCAGGCCAGGCACTGTGGCTCATGCCTGTCATCCCACCACTTTGGGAGGCTGAGGTGGGCGGATCACTTGAGGTCAGGAGTTTGAGAGCAGTCTGGCCAACGTGGCAAAACCGTATCTCTACTAAAAATACAAAAATTAGCTTGGTATGGTCCCAGCTACTCAGGAGGCTGAGGCAGGAGAATCGCTTGAACCTGGGAGGCGGAAGTTGCAGCGAGCCAAGATCGCACCACTGCACTCCAGCCTGGGTGATAGAGTGAGACTCTGCCTCAAAAATAAATAAATTTAAAAAAATCAAATCAAATAGAGCCAAACAATAACCCTAAAATGGCCTCTAAGTGTTCACATGAATGGAAGAATCACGTGCCTCTCACTTTCAACCAAAAAATAGAAACGATTACATGAGGGGAAGACATGTTGAAAGCTGAAATAGGCCCAAAGCTAAGTCTTTTGCTCCCAGCAGCCAAATTATGATTGCAAAGGAGAAATTACTGAAGGCTATTAAAAGTGCCATTCCAGTGAACACACAAATAAAAAAGTAAATCTGCGTTATTGCTGGTATGGAGAAAGTTAGAGAGGTCTGGATAGAGTATCAAACAAGTCACAACATTCCCTTAAACCAAAGCCTAATCCAAAGCAAGACCGTACTATGATCCACAAGACACTACAAACTGAGGTGAGGAGGCTAAAGAAGAAAAGTCAGAAGCTGGCAAATTTTTGGTTCATGAGATTTAAGCAAAGAAGTCATTTTCATAACATGAAAGTGCAAGGTAAGGCAGCAAGTGCTGATATAGAAGTTGCAGCAAGTTATCCAAAAGATCTCGCTCAGATAGCTGGTAAAGGTGGCTACATACTAAACAACACATTTTATTTTTTGTTTTGAGGATTCAACTTAATATTTATTACATATTCATTGCAGATAACTGCTAAACCCTCAAACCACACAGCTTAGTATCACACAATTTCGTCTCCAAAGACTACAGAAACAGACCAACTGTATATAAACAATCTTGTGGAAATATGTAGGAGAGAACAGTAATTTGGGTGAGAAAAATATGGCACTAGAGCATTTGGGATGGATATGTTGCACAAGCAAAAAGTTCAGACGCTTGAAAATATGGTCAGCTATTAATCTCATATTTCACCCAGTAACCCTAGCCCTTAGTCACCATGCCTTCCATCATCTTTTTACCTCTGCCTCTTCTATTTTTGCCACTTGTCCCTTGCAGCTCTCTCAACTCCCTTTGCCTCTAGTTTATTCTTCTTCCCATTTGCTACAGCTTAACGTTTTGGGGGGAGTATTGTAGCAAAGCTATTTCAAAAGCAGCAAAAGTCCAACTGATCCAATAAGTTTACAAATAGAAATTTATACCAACAGGGATGCTTTCAAAATCTTAAATTACAGAAGTGTTATTTATATTAGCATAAAACTTTTTTTAAACCTAAATACTTGACAATAGGACACTGTTGGATAATTTAACAAACATCTTCATAAGAAATTATTAAACCATTAAAATTTGTTTTTCAAGAAATATTTAATAATAAGGTAGATAACATATGCTTTTCTAACATGGATTTTTATGTCACTGCAGCTGAAGCAAAACATCCTGCTCACTGGGTAAAAGACACACATGGACCTGCTTTATGGGTTTTTACTTCAGTGCAATTAAAAAAATACTGTAATTGTAATTTCAGAACTTCAAAATTTCACTAGGTACCAGTGTTCTCTCCTTTTTTCATATGGGAAAAGAAAATTCCTTTGAAAACCATTTGAAGCTTGGACAAAAATTCCACAGCTACATTCCTCAGGATCACTTTGCAGAGTCTCAAGACTCAGATACAGCGAAGCTTCAACTTAACCTTTCAGAGAAGACATTCTATTAATAGCTTTCATGATCTCGTCAACCAAGAGAATGTTGGTGGCCATCACAGTGCAGGAGTGAAGAAGCTGTTTCTTTACACAATAGTTATCCCATACTCCTATTTCTGCTGCTACCACTGGCTCACCTATGTTGAGGTCCACATCCACAAGCTGACTGATTCTGAATATTCTGCTTGAATTTCAACTAACGTTCTTGAAGGTCAAAAGCAGAATTCTGAGCAAGAACCTTGGGAATAATTGAGCAATGCATCAGTAAATGCTTGAACTCCAAGCTGTGCACTGCCCTTTACACTGGTCTTCTGCCATTGCCATTTCCACGGCACCAGCACCTGGAACTGCACAGCCATCATTAATAGCTCCTCCTACAGTCCTCAAGCCATCTCTGATGGCTTCTTTGATTTGAGAGAGTGTGTGCTTATTTGGTCCTTTGATCAATAATGTGAAAGAGTGAGGATTGTTACATTGCTGAATAAAGGTGAACTTCTCCTCAGTGTATACTCATGCACAAGAACCACAAGTCCCAAGCAGTCAGGATTTAGGTCATAAAAGTAAATCAGAGCTACCCTGCCACAAGCAAGAGTCAGCCTCTCCATATTTCTACTTTTCGCTCTGTGTAGAGCTGCTATGCTTTCTTTTGCAAGAACATCTAAGGAAAAGAGATCTATTCCCTTTTGATAATCACAACAAATCCTTTATCTGAATCACCACAGATTTTCCTTTTCAGTTCTACTATTTTTTAACTCCATGTTCAATGAACTTTTTCTGATTTTATGATTTTTTTCTCTCTCTTCTTCACTCTTGTAAATAAAAAGGCCAGAATTTACTTCCTTTTTTCTTACTCTAATGACACACTACACTTGAGGATGTATGCATCTTCCACCCTTTTCTTCACATCAGGATGCCGTGCTCCATGGTCCAAAACAGGCCTCTAATTAAGCTTGTATCAGCTTCAGGTTTATGTTTCATCTCCATGATCACAAATATGAAGAGATCAATAGGTTCATCTTGTTTGTTAATGGCCAAAATGGAGTCCACTACAGCCTATGTTAAGATGTCTGCAAGTTCAGCATGAACTTTAGTACAAAGAGATGTTCTGGCCACATCTCTTAAGTGTTTCTATGTGCATCTCTCTGCTTAATTTGACTTGTTCCAAGAACTGAAGGGCCCTTACCTTTCAACCTCAAATCCTTCAGTGATTATTCTGGGATGAAGGCCTTCAGAAATGTAGAGGTTGGCCTGTTTCAGTAGCTCTCTAATTATTAGGACATTGTAAGTCATACCATCACCCGTTATATCATCCTGAGCTGTTGCTACTTTTGCTATTAAGAATGCATTTAATAGCATTTGCATTTCGTGAATTTGCATTTTGTGAAGTGGCACATGGCTGTCTTTAGTAAGCTTGATGTGTCCAGCACAGAAACAGGCATCCTCATGACGCCCTTGGGTCCCAGGTTGGTCCTCAGTATGTCCTGTAGCCCCTGCACCACACTGATGTTGAGCACCAAAACCACCTGCACTTGGGCCACCTCAGCCTTGGGGTTCTGGGTCTTCCTGGCAGCCATGGCTGCTCAAGAGGAGGAAGAGCAAAAGACCTGTGCTGAGATCCCAGAGCCAGCACAGGCCGTAGAAGACCCGGATAGTGGCTCCCATTAACCGGGTCTTCTGAAGATTTTTAGTGTACTTAAAACAACCTCATGTTGGGAGAAGACGCCATCTAGAACTTTCATCAAGAGCAGAAGTCAATTCCTAGTTTCAAAGCCTCCAAGGATAAGCTGACTCTCTTGTTAGGGGCTAATGCAGATGGTAACTAAGTTGAAGCCAAATCTCATTTGCCATTCTGAAAATCCTAGGGTCCATAAGAAGTATGCTAAATCTACTCCGAAGATGTGACTCTATTGCTGCAAGTTCATGATAGAACTTGAATGGGTGAAGAGTTTCTTCTTATGAATGAGCCAAAAAGAGTGTTTTGTTTTTTAAAGATGGAATCTACTCCTGGTGGACATGCTGTAAATATTGTGAAATGACAGCAAAGGATTTAGAATATTACATAAACGTAGTTGATAAAGCAGTGGCAGGGTTTGGAGGACTAACTTCAATTTTGAGAGAAGTTTTACAGCATCACACACTACAGAGAAATCTTTTGTGACAAGAATGTTCTTGAGTCAATCAATGGAACAAACTTTATTATTGTTTTATTTTAAGAAATCCTCACAGCCTCCCCAACCTTCAGCAACCAGCACTCTGATCAGTCAGCAACCATTAACATCGACGTACGATCTTACACCAACAAAAAGATTAGGACCTGCTGAAGGTCCAGGTTGACGGTTAGCATTTTTTAGCAAGAGTATTTTTATATAAGATGTATGTACATTGTTTTGTTGACATAACGCTATTGCACACTTAATAGACTATAGTATGTCATAAACATAATATTTATATGCACAAGAAAACCCAAATTTTTGTGTGGCTCACTTTATTGCAAAATTCACTTCATTGCGGTGGTCTGGAACTGAATTGCTAGTATCCATAAGGTATGCCTGTATTGGAAAATCATTTGAAAGCCAAGTTTTAGCATAGAGCACCATTGGAATAGTAAGCCAGAAAGGTCTATAGGAATTGTCTCCATCCAATCTTTGTACCTCAGAGATAGAGGAAATGAAGTCCATGGAAGCAATTTAATTTGTCTATGGTGACTCCTCAACTTAGCAGCAAAGCCCAAGCCCCCAATGCTGTTTCAGTACACTTCACTATCTCACACAAAGTGGGTTAAAACCTTACTTTGCAAATTAAAAGCACATTCTCATCTGATAACATGCTTCTGACATTGTGATTGGAAAAGTACAAACACACACAATGAAAAGAATGACTTTTCAGATTCTCCAGATTCTTTTCTGATAGTTTAGCTATTACATGTAGATAATCTGAAACATTAAAAGAAACAAAGAATATAATTCACCCAGGGAGTAGATTATGCCAGACTCTTAAAAAAGGAATTTAAGTTCTGAAGAATAATTATGAAGTGTCAATCAATTGGCAGTAGTAGGAAGAGCATCCCTGGCAGAGAGAATAGCATAAGCAAAATCCTTAAAGCAGGAAATCTCTCAGCACTTTTTCAAATGAAATAAAACAATTATGATTGGAACATAGTGAGTGAAGCAAAAGCTGATGTTGAAAAAGTGGATAAACATCAGCCTATTCTGGACTTATGGACCATGCTGAGGAATTATATTTTACCTTTTACTGTTATAGAAAAACTTTAAAACATCTTAAGCCAGGAAAGGGGATGATATAAATTTTAGAAAAGACTCTTCTCAGTTCCATATGCATTATTTGTAAGAAGAGATGAAGAATGGAGGTGAGATCATCAGGTAGGAGGTTTATTGTGATAAGCCAAGAGAATACTAGTGATTATTTGAAGACTAGAAAGGTAGCAGTGGAGTTGGAGAGGAATGCACAGACTTGAAGTTAATTTTTGAAGTAGAACTAACAGATTTTGAACAAGCTTCTCTGGTTAAAGAGACTAAAATCTTTACTCAAAAATTATATAATCAAGTAATATTGCTTACTTGATTATATAATTTGATATACCTCTTTTATTGATTCCTTCTTCATTTATATAGACCAAAAACTGTCAGATCCTCACAAACTGTCAGGGAAGCTATTATCTAGGCTTTATTTTGTCCCCAGGGCACACATCTTCTTTAGTCAGTGTCTATAAAATCCACCTTCCCCACATTCAGATTCTTATTTATCCACTCAACAGTTGTGAGAACATGGACAAGTCATAAAACCCTTTAAACTCATTTCCATGAGGAAAAGAAAACACTTCCCACTAGTCTCCCCCATCTTAATTTGTTATTTGCTCTGAGGCTTAGTAAGATAATAGGGACATCCTAGTTTCCAAAAAAATTAAAAGCCCTTTTATCACATTTCTCCCTTAAACACACACACACACACAAACACACACACACACATTTAAAACCACTAAAGAGATGTTTTAAGACACAAATATACAAGGACAATATTGGAAGAGACTTTTCTTTCAACCTTACCAGTCTAAGGAGAAAGACTAACATCATATCAAGAATTCAAGCAAGTCTCCTTACGGGTAACAAGCCAAGCCAAGCACTCAGAGAATTTAATCCACTTTTGGATCTGATTCATTAGAGGAAATGGGCTGAGAGAGGTGGCTCACACTTGGAATCCCAGCACTTTGGGAGGCCAAGGCCGGTGGATCATGAGGTCAAGAGATCGAGACAATCTTGGCCAACATGGTGAAACCCCGTCTCTGCTAAAAATACAAACATTAGCTGGCCATGGTGGTGCATGCCTGCAGTCCCAGGTACTCGGGAGGCTGAGGCAAAAGAATCACTTGAACCAGGAGGCGGAGGTTGCAGTGAGCCAAGATCACACCACTGCACTCCAGCCTGGTGACAGAGTGAGACTCCATCTCAAAAAAAAAAAAAAAAAAAGAGGAAATGACAACTGCCAAGGATGGACAAATGTCCGAACGTCACCTCTAATATAAAAGATATAGACAGAAATACACAGAATAAAAAACAACTTGGAAGGAACAGAGCTTGTGTGAACAGAAAACAGAAAGAACTTTAGTAAAACTATAATTTTAATCTTCAGAGAAATAAGAAAAACATTTCAGCCAGCCATGAAACAAGAAGTGCTATAACAAAATCAAAGTACAAAAACATGTAATAGTAGAGGTGAGGAACTCAATAGAAAATTTGGAAAAAAAAAACAGGTTTAGGAAATGATGAAAATAGAACAGCAAGTTGAGAAAATAGAACATGGGAAAAAATATTAAAAATTACAGAATGAGTTCAGGAGGTCCCACATATAAGTGAGAGGACCTCTAGAAATAGAACAAAAAAAGAAAGAAAAGGAAATTACTTATAAAATATAAATAAATATAGTATATAGTATATAAATACTAACTGATATAAGTGGAATAAAACACATCCAAATTGAGCAAATACAAGAACATAGGATGCAAAGAGAAAAATCTTACAGCCTTCCAGGAAGAGAAAATAAAATTAGATATCATATGTAAGACTGGGATTCAAAGTGTCTCTGTAGTTCTCAAAAAAACAGTGCTTGAGCAATGCCTTCAAAATTTTAAACTAAATAATGAAAAACCTAAAATTTTAATCTAGACTAATTAAAAATCTGATAATATAATGAAAACATTTTAGTTTAGTTCACAACGTAAAGTTCATGAACCATTGCTCAGAAAGCTTCTGATTTTGCCTTTCACTTCAATACAGGATCTAGCGGATCTAACACAGGGGACAAGTAAGGGGAATCCTCAGGGTTATGCTGAAGGGCAATTCCAGATGACAATTGAACAGACGTAAAGAGCAACCAGTTAGATTAAGCAGTGTGACCCAAGAAACAGATATGCTAATGGCTATTACTACTAAGAATCCTTCAGCTCTGGGATACCTGGCTCAGGTTACTATTAACCTGGACCATATGCTGATGAAGTCCCCACTCTTGCTTCTATGCACTGTTGTCAGCTGAGGACATTCACTCTACCATACTGAAATTTTCTGAGAGCTGGAAGTTGGTCATGGTGAGCCTAGAAGAAAAAACAAATCAAACCATCCCACTCTCGAACCATATTCATGCCAGATATCCAGTATTCGGCTCACTTTATAGATCTGTCAGATGCCTGACTGTGGAGCTTTCTATAGCTCCCTCGGCTCATTCACTACCTTTCCCATTTAATTCTCCAAAAGAAATTCTTATAACTTCAAAAGGAAGCTGAAAAATATGCTATGATCTAAAGACTCTACCTAAACTATTTTCTACTAGGATCCTTGTTCTGATGACAACGCGGCTTTTCTTACAGAGTCTTTGGTGTTTCCCACTCAGTTTTTCTATGTATAGATTTCCATATTTATTTATATATAAATAATTGAAAAATAATTTTAAAATCAGTAAGAAAAAGAGACGCAAGATGTGTGATGCTTAGCATAGTGCCTGATACCTAGTGAAGTTTCAATATATCACAAGTACAATTGTTCAAATTTTATGTAGTCCTTAAATTTCTTGGATTTCCATGAAAGCTCCTGTTTGCCCGCTCACACCAGTGCCTAAAGGCTGAATGACCAGTGAACTTTTCTTGGCGTTTCCAACTCCCCTCTAGACCTTCACGTTTTCAGTTCTTATAATATTGGATGAGGTCTAGTTTTTATATTAAATCCCTTATTCACATGATACCCACAATGGCTCTGTTTCCCTGACCAATAAAGTTGTGATAATGTGCTCTAAGGTCTCTTCCAAATCTGACATTCTATGATTCTCTTAATTCCATCCCATATGATATTATATGATTTACGTATATCTCAGTAAATAGCAAGGAGCAGATTCAGGCCCATTCATTCATTTTCAGCAGACAACAAGGAAGTTCAGCCCACTGTAAGTTTTCATGTACTTCCCAGAACACCAAGAACTGAGTTCTCAGATTTCCAATATATAACCAATAAAAGAGTTTACAATGACTGCGTACGAATTAAATAGGCACACAGGCTTACCTGCATAACAGTATATATTTACAGCACATGTGCTTAAAATAAGTTAAATAAGAAATAACAACCCCTTCTATTCATGCTGCTTAAGTATACAAAGACAAAATGCAAACTAAAGATTTGTACAATGACTAAGGCCGAGCTGTCTCCACCCATCAACTCCTTCCCATTAATCCTCAATTGTTGCAAAAATATTTAGCTTGTACCCGAAGGAGAACAATATCTCAGAAACTATTCCAAGACAATAAATCAAGAAAGCTGGTTTGTTCACATTTTTTCTTTCTTTTTTTTTTTTTTTCTTTTTTTGCCATTCTTGAGGTAAACCTCCCACAGAGAAAGTTATGCCATGCAAGGGATTCAGCATAATGAATGAAAATATATTTGTCACCCATGGATTCTTTTCTGTGGCACAGTTCCAATCCACAATCCTGGACAGAAAAAAAGTGTGTGCTTGTGTGTGTTTGTGTGTATGTGTGTTGTATGGTTTCTTAACTTTATAATTGCAGCTGTTCAAACATTTATCATTTTATGCTACAAAATAAGGAATTCACGGGAGCACAGAGAAGCAGCATATTCTTCCATCAGTTTAGCATTTGTTCTGGGATTTAAACAAAATTAATTAAGAATGCATGTGGTTTTCATGTAAACTAGTCTGGCTCCTCCAAATAAATCCAAGAATTATTCTTTCTTTGCAACCTTCTTCTGCTGAAACCCTTACCAATCCACCTTTACATGCCACTTTAGCTATGAAAGTTATTTTACAGTTTAAAAATGCTTTTATATACATAAAATAGGGCAGCAGAATATAGGAGGAAGAGACACTGCCTTTGGAGTCCGAAGATCCTTACCATCTGTGCAACCAAGTGGGTGGGACAGTGGAGGTGGGAGCCTCCACTATTTTGAACCTCAAGTTTCTTGGAAAATTTCTGTCAGACTTAGATGAGATCATTCATGTGAAGTTGATTTGTGAAAGGTCTAGAATGAGACAAAGAAAGAGTATTAAATCAAGAGGCGTGCAGTCAATTTGCATTTTATAGATGACGATCAGCCATTAAATGGTCCACTAAAAATTAAACAGAGGCATGTCAAAACGAGAAATACAAAGTCTTGGCTACAAGTGCAATATTCTCTCCACTCCATCTCACTGCCCCTTGTTATTTTCCTCTCCTTTTCTTGAAATCTTTTTCTCCCTGGTATAGACTACATCATCTAAAGTAGAAATGATAAAAAAGAGCATGCGATTGGAATTTAAACTTTCTGAGTTTAAATCTGAGCTCGCTCGCTCTCTCTCTCACTTGTTTTGTGACTTTTGAGTATATTAACTTCTCTTTGCCTCAATTTTACCACCAGTAAAATTAAAATAAAATTGGCATCAACATCGTAGTGCTGTTTTGAAGATTATACGAGCCAGCAAATGTAAAGTACTTAGAATCATGCCTGGTAGGTAGAAAATATTCAACAAATGTTAAGTGTTTTTATGTAAATGATCCTATAGTGTCACCATGTTAATGTGATCTATTGTGCTGGCTTTGCCATAATAGTCAAAGCAACATCACTCATACCTGGTATGCTTAAAGCACTGGTGATGAGGCAGGAATAATATGAGTAGGATTATGTTGTATTTATTGTCAGAAACTGAGCAGAATATCTTAAAAGAAGTTCCAGCTTCAAAATGTACAACGCCATTTAATGCTATTGCTGGAAAGTCCAGAATATATGGAACAACCATATTTGAATAAAGGCATGCTGTTTTAGTCCATTTTCTGTTGCTAAACTGAATACCTGAGACTGGGTAATTTGTAAAGGAAAGGAATTTATTTCATACAGTTCTGAGGTTGGGAAGTCCAAGGGCAAGGAAGTGTATCTGGTGAAGGGCTTCTTGCTGGTAGGACTCTGCAACGTTCCAAAACAATGCAGGGCATCACATGGTGAGGAGCCAAGTTTGCTAAATGGGCTTTTATAACAGATACACTCTTGTGATAACCCATTAATTCATTAATCCATGAATGGATTGATCTATTCATGAAGGCAGAGTGCACATAACTCAATAACCTCTTAAAGGCCCCACCTCTTAATACTGGTACATTGGGGAGTAAGTTTCAACATGAGTGTCAGAGGTGACAAACTCAAACCATAGCAATGTACATTACTTATTTCTTTTTGGTTAAAACTGTAGAATCTTTGAAAGGGCTAGGAATGACTAGAAAATATACTAGATCAACTATTTTCTATGCTTAGACAGAATTATTTGGAAGCTAATTAGTAGAAGACTCCTTTGATATATATATATAGTAAGTGGGGTACACCAGAAACACAAATCCTAAAATGTCAGGATGTAAAGGGAATTTGGGGTCACCCCTCTCCCCATCCCACTCAATAAATAACTTTCCTCTCTAACATTTCCTATAAGCGATCTGCTAGCCATTATTTAATGTTTTGAGAGACAGAAAAATTCTCAACTACCAAGGAAGCCACCTTACCACCTGATAATTTAGACTTTTGAATGTTTTTCTTTACTTTGAACACAATTTTGTTTCATAGTAACTTCCATACAGGAACTAATTCCTAGTGCAAAAAGAATGATAATATTCTATAAACAATAAGGACTATGAATACGTACTATAAAACTAAAGTTGTGGCTGGGCACAGTGGCTCATGCTGGGAATCCCAGCACTTTGGGAGGCTGAGACAGAAAGATCACTTAAAAATCTTCCAGGACATTGAGATCAGCCTAGGCAACATAGTGAGACCACATCTCTACAAAAAATGAAAAAAAAAATAGCCAGGCATGGTGGCACATGCCTGTAGGCCAACCTACTCGAGAGACTGAAGTGGGAGGATTGCTTGAGCCCAGGAGGTTGAGGCTCCAATGACCTGTGATCACACTAAAACAAGTTATTATTGGTAAGCATTCTAAAATCACCTATATTTAGGTATCATAGTAATACTCCTGAAATTAGACATCTCAAGCTTCTTGTCATTTTCTATCGGTTTTCACACTAAGTATGATTCATTCCCACCCTCATTTTTTGGCCAAGTACCATAGGTGAGGCATCTATAGGACCAACTCACACTTCATCTCTGAGCCCACAGTACGTTTTGAGTAGACATTTATTCCCTAGTGATCATTCATCCATGGATGAAATATTTGCTTCTATTTTACCCCACTCTGACCTACCTTTTCATTACTATTCACAGTATTTCTGGACAAATTTAGCTAAGTGTCACTTTCAAAAACGAAGTTTTTATGGCATAAAGGATCTTGCAGCACAGAGAAAGTTGTAAGGTGACACTTCAGTGAGAAAGATTTAATAACAAAGTAAGCCTCATTCAGTCCTGACCCCATGAGCATGTTCTCGTGCTTCTTAGCTCAGTAACTTCCATCTTATCTTTAGGTATGTTTTGTCTCTCTTTTTCTCGAGTTGAATGCATAGTTGATTTACTTTCAATCATTTTTATTTTTTAATTAATGTATTTACGGCAACATAATTTCTTCTAAATATTGCGTTGGCCTAATCTTACATATTTTCATATATGCTGCTATTGTATGTTCAGCAAATAATCAACATGTCTCAGAGATACAGCCAGCATAGCTGGCACGCCATGTAATTGCCTATAATTGTAGTTTTCAATCCCTCTTTATCCAAAGTTTTGCTTTTTAGTTGTCTTCTTTTTATATTTTCCAAGTGGATCATCTTCATCTGTCTACCGTTTTGCTGTTAATTTCTTACTATCATCACATTATAGTCAAGAAATCTGATCTCTATTATTTTTCACTTTTTAAAATATACTGAAATTTTGTATTTCTGTGGGTTGCAAAAATCTCCACTTTTTTTTTGACTGGCTCTGCCTTCTAGTTTAGAAATTTCGTATTCAGCTGTGTTCATTCTGCTATTTTGGCCCATCTGTTTTTTGTTTCTGCATTTGTATTTTTATTTTTGAAGTCTTATTTTTCTTTCAAAACAGTCTGATCGTTTTTATGAATGTGGTATCCTCAAAAAAATTTAAAGGACAATAATTATATCTAGGGTTATTCTGGTTCCTAACTTAAGACTTAGAGTTTAATTATTTGCTTTTTTTGATGTACAACTTTCTTAGTTACTCATATTTGAAATCCTAATTGGCAAATATTGGCCAATGAATAATTTTTCACTCCAATTTACATTTTTATTGCTGTAAAGATAAATCTGTACATGTAAATCGTAACTCTTTGTGGCTTTAAAGAAAAGGTTGGTCAGAGTGAAGGTCTATTGGGAAGCTTATACCTATGGGTGTTGCCATGTCTGCATTTAAAATCTGAAACTACTGCAGCTATCTTGCAACCATGGGGACAAAGCCAAGACACCAAAGATGTCAGATTGAAAAGGTTAAAAGGCTGTAGTTTTTAATGTTATTGCTGTCACTGAATAAACGACCCTTGAGATGTCATATCTATGGATTTGTTATTAGTTATCGTAGTTTTAACACTTTTATATAGACTAAATTACCTTGTCCGTAATTACAGCCAAATCATCCAAATTTATATACCACCTTCACTTTCCAAAAACCAATCAAAGCTGTCTTTTAAAATAACATATCACACCATACCACTCTCCTGCTTACATTTCTCCAGTTGCTTCTCATCTTATTTACAATAAAATATAAACTTTTTGTCTGGCTTTTAAAAGCTTACATAATCTAGGTCCTTCTTCCCCCTATGACCTACTCTTTACCATCACCCCACTAGCATTCTTTTAGATCCCCAAACATTTTAAGCCCTTGCACTGCTTTTCTGTCTCTCAGGAAAGTTTTCTTTCTGATATCTAAACAGCTAGTTCCTTCTTACTTACCTGTCGATTAAGAGATCAGTTTCTCAAAGAGCTCTTCCGTAACTACCCAGATTACAGCAGCCACCAAGTCATTTTTCTATCATATGAACTTATCTATTATTTACATTGCATTTATCATAATCCGACATATTTCTTTTTAACAAATGGGCATTTATATTATATGCCTAGAATGGCACAATACATCCTCAGTAGATAGCTGTTGAAAAAATAAATGAATGTGCTATTTATTGTCAGAAACTTTTCACTGCTCTGATAAAATGGTGGTATTTTTGTCCAAGTACTCACACTGCTGTGGATGTATTTTTGTATCTATTACATCATTTCAGTAGAATTTAGGAAAAAGAGGTAGAAAAATACATACACTTAGCAATAATTTAATAGGAACAGAGACAACTTTCTAAAATGTAATCATCGTTTCCTTTGAGCTCTTTAGCGACGTGAATAATACTGTTCATCTAATAAAATAATAAGTTTTTTTTTACACTTAAATTTTTATAGTCTCAATTCCTAAATGAAAGCAGGGAGCCAGAAAGGAAGATCACACATGAGGCACACATACAGAAAGTTCCCATTTAGTCCTTCTTGCTTTAGAATTATTCCTTTGCTTTAAATAGATATTAAAAAAATAGACAGTTTCAAAAGCCCGGATACTGACTAGAAGAAAACATGTTAATGAGAATGCAACCTGGTTCTCAAGTTTTCTTACCTGAGACATGAGTGTAGGTCAGTAGTTCCCAGATTTTGCATAGATAGATAGTTATGCTTTTTAAGAACTCATTTTTATTTTGACCAATTAAGACATTTATAAATACTCTTAATTATTGTTTTAAAATAAAAAACATTATGACATCAAAGATTGAGGAGAATATAATCTCAAAATAAAGAATACCTCTTTGAATGAAATACTTTTAGCTTTATGAAAAATTTACTTCATTGTTCCTATTTTTCTTATTTTGCCATGGGCCAGTGGAAAACTTACCACTAGTTCTAGGTATAGTAAGAAATTCCTGTGACTTAAGGCTCAATTTCACACTTCATGACCTCGAAAAAAATCCCTTAACCTTCTAGAGACCCAGTTTTTTTTTTATCTCTTTCTACTTACATTAGTACAAAAGGGTGAAGACTGAGTGAAATAGTAGTACTTGAAAACACTCTGTAAGCTGTAAATATCTCTATCTATGCAAGCAATAAATATTTTCCTTAAGTCATTCAGATTTTTCCAATTTGATGACATTCATCCCTCTTTCAACAACTAGATTCCTTTTCAATCTCAACTAAATATTTCACCTTTCACATTTCCATCACAGTGTTCCTCATCTGTGTCCTTAGTATCTCCCCTCTAACGTGTGTGTTTCTCCCATTAAAACCTGCCTGGCCTGTCCTGCTTATATATGCATAGTGAAAAAGGTTTATAATCTACGTAGTACCTCTGCCATGTTGTTAGGGGACTTGACAGTAGACGCAAGGAGGCTGTTGCCATAATCTGAGAGAAAGGATGACATTTAAAGCCCAATTAAGCGGTGAGCATCGTTGGTTCTGGATTTAATTATAGATCGGATTATGAATTTGATGTAGGTACGAGACGAGTCAAGGATGATTCTAGCTGTAACCCAAAAAAGTATCTGTGACCAGTCTAAGTCAATTTAAAGGTTTAGTTTGTGAAGGTTAAAGACCATGGCCCATGACATAGCCTCAGGAGGTCCTGAGAACATGTGCCTCAGGGTTGAGAGGTATACCCTTGGTTTTATGCCTTTTAGGTGGACAGAAGTTACAGGCAAAGACATAAAAGAGTACACTTAAGGTAAACATTGGTTTAGCCCAGAAAGGTATGACTTCTCAAAGTGGGGGCTTCCAGGTCATGAGTGGATTTGGTTGAAAGAGTTAGGCATTGCCTAAAGAATTTGAAGTCAGCATAAAAAAATTCTTAAGGGAAGCCATGGTTCTTGTCATATAGATGAAGTTCTGGTAGCAGGCTTCAAAAAGAATAGATAGTAAACATCTCTGATCAGACCTTAAATGGTATCAGACTTTCCTCTCCAGAAAAGATCTAGTAAGGGAAAAAGATTTTCTACAGAATTCAAATTTCCCCCCCAAGTGATAGCTTTGCATGGCCATTTCGAAATATGTCAAACAAATATATTTTGGGGTAAAACACTATGACTTCCTTCAGAGCCTGCTCTCTGTCCTGTGACACTATACCAGAGTCAGGTTGGGATTTGGTATCTTATTGCTATAAAGAGCCTGTTTTGTCAGTCTTAAGAACTCTGTTTTATTATTAATGCTGGTCAGTTGTGCCCAAATTCCAAACGGAGAAAGGTTTAATGAAGCATGTCTGATCCCCTCCCACACCTTCCATTCATGCCCTGAATTAGTTGCTCAGGTTTCTTTGGGATCCCTTTGGTGAAGAGGGGAGTCCATTTAGTCTGTTAGGGGCTCAGAATTTTATTTTGGTTTACATAGCCCTTTTCACACAGAAAACCACAAGCTGCTATAAACTGAGAAGGGAAAACTAAGCTTTAGAAGGAAGATCAAGTTTGGTTTTGAACATACTAAGTTTGAGACATCTATCAGACACTCAAGTAGAGTTGTAGGCATTTGGAAATTGGAATTTGGAGTATATGGGAGAGATGCAGAGTGGAAATATAAATTTGGGAGTCATTGGCCTATAGGTGGTTTTAAAAGTCATGAGGCTGGAGGATATCACCATGAAAGTGAGGCAGACCCAGAAGAAAATAGGTTCAATGTCTGATCTCTGGGCATGCTTCTGTTCCAACAGCAGAGAGGAAAGTAAAGGAAACTGACAGAAGTAGTCATTGATATCAGAGGCAATCCAGGATGATATAGTGCTAAAAGCCAATTGAAAACTTCTCCAGAAACATGAGGTTAGAACATCTCGATGGCCTTTGTAATTCAGGCAAGCTGAGCCTCAGTACCCATTCAGTCACACCAAGTGTAAAACCAGTCACTTAACACTGGCTTGCCAAGAATTGAGATTAAACGGCAAAGCCGTCTACATGAACAAACCACACATATGCACACTAAAACAAATTAGAATTTAAAAATACCACCCTTTCCCATAGACTTGAAATTTGAAGAATATTGATTTGAATATTCCAAGGCATAAGAAGAGAAGGTAGAATGGAAATGTAACATGGTGCTGGGCTTTCACATGGGCGCCGTTTCAACGTGATCAGAGGAAGCATCACTGGCCCCCCGAGTAGAGGTGGTGAATAAGCTAAATGACTGCCCGATTGAGTGGCATATCAGTCTAGTGAATCAAGCCTCAAGTACCTTATTGATGTGTCACACTATAAATCAACTTAATAAGAAATTTGCAGGTATGTTCAAATGTTAAAGTAACATTTTGCTTTCCTAGAGGACCTTTTCCCATTTTGAAGAGACCTGCTTATGCCATCTTTTCATGGAGATCAGCCATCTTCATTGACAGGTTCAAATTTTCAGAAACTCAATTTAGACCAAACTGTTAGAGAACATACTGATCAAATGATATGAGGCCCATGCAACCATAAAGCTGTAAATAAATGACAACATCAATGTTAACAGTGAGAAGGGAAAATAAAACCTAGGGCAAACACCCACCATATTTCAACAACTCTTTCTTAGACCTCAGTCTAAGTGCCAGCAAAATCTTGCTCTGAGACACGTAGTTGTAGTTTTTCATGTTTGCCCTATTGTTGTCTGACGCTATTGCCACATCTGACCTTTATACCTTAACTTTCCCTGTTAAGGACTTGCTATAAACCTCCCTCACTGCTGGCTGGCAATGCCCTCCAGTGGCCATTGTTGAAAAAGAGCCTGAAAAGAAGGTCCCAATTCTAGAACGGACTACGAGAACATGAAGAGCTAACTCACACTGATAAGCTGTTGTAGTGTGTTTTAGCATTCATTAGTTTTCCTATCTTTTTTCTTTTTTCTTTATTTTTTCTGACAACCCATCTTTCTTGATAGTCTTTCCAAATGTTCTTTCTTTCTTGACTTACTTCTAAACACATAAATCTGCATCCTATATCAATGCCAACTTGACATGGATGTCTATGTTTAGAAGGAATTTATGGCATAAAGGGCAAGCAAGTGCAGACGGTGTGGGTGCTATTTCAAGCTTTCATGGATCCTGGAACAAAGCAGATTATTTGAAGAAGGTTTTAATCCTGGAAAATAAATGCAAAAACAGCATTCACAACATTCTTTTCCTAAAATATGTTGCCTAGTGACCAAATTGAATCAATTGTCAATTGATCCAGTAGGAATCTCAATGGATGGTCTGTTTGACAAGGCTTTGTGAGGAAAAATAAGGATGAGCTTGTGAGGCTCTGTCTACCCAGGGGAAAGAAGTGTGTGGCAAGAAGAAATTCTAGAGAAGGAGTGGAACGGAAGACAGGAAAAAGCTATGTCTGAAAAATAAGACAGGAATAGAAAGTTTCAACTTAATTTTTTAAAAAAATTCATGTAAGATATTGAAGAATATTGAAAACATACAGCAATAATAAAAGAAATATTTTTATTTCCAGCCTTTATTATAATTAAAGTGCTTATTTTGAAGACAGCCATCCGACGGGGAAGCAAATATTAGTATCATCATCTTCAGACATTTGAGAAAATTGATTCAAATAAAGTTAAGGAATTTGACCAACGTAACAGATGATCTGGGTCCAAAATTCATTCTCTTATGAAAGAACATTATGAAAAAAGAAAATTAAAATGTAGGAAGGAAAATACTGAAGTTTGGAAATAAAGTAAAGACGTTCATTTAAACATTAATGTGCCCATATGTATTAGCTCAAGGTACCATAACAAAACACCACAGACTGGGTGGCTTAATATGAACTTTATTTTCTCACTGTTCTGAAGGGTGGACATCCCAGTCAAGACTCCAGCTGATTCTGTTCCTGGTAAGGGAACTCTTCCTAGCTTGTGGCTAGCAGACTTCTTGCTGTGTTCTCACGAGGCCTTTTCCCTTTGTCAGAACTAAGAAAAAGAGACAGCCCTGGTGTCTCTTCCTCTTTTTCTAAGGACACCAGTTCTATCAGATTAGGGCCCCACCCTTGTGACCTCACTCAATCTTAATTACCTCTGTAAAGGACCTGTCTCCAAATACAGTCACATTGGCAGTCAAGGCTTTCATTTATGAATTTTGAGGAACACAGTTCAGGTTATAGTACCATATTTTACCCTAGCTAAATGAAGTAAGAAGCTAAACGTGATACCAGAAATACTCTTTAATGCAATTTGTATAATACAATTAAATTTCATTCAACAGAGGGGACATAATCAAAAACAAATTCACCACTCATGGAAGAACAAATCAGACATCTAAGAAGACTATTAGCAAAAGATGGCCAATCCTTAGCTCAAAGCTTCAGAAACTAGGCTTCTGGAAGCAGTCTTCTAACATGACACCAGAAAGACCCTAAGGGCTAAACTACAACAACCTGAATAGAGTATCTTGATCTCATCTTTCTCAAATGTGAATTCTTCATTTCCACCCCAATATCATCCCTTTGTAGTGAAAGTTTTCATCATTTGTTTTTATCCAAAACAGACAGTAAGACAAATATTCAAGTTTTCCCAAGAAATGCTGGTAGGGGAGTAGGGAGGAAGTGGAGAAGTAAAATAGGAAATGGAAGAATTCTAGCGCAGGGGGCATTATGAAGTCATGTACCACTATTGGTAACTGGAGCTAAATCTTTCTGGGGAACCCTAGAACTCTAGTGGGACAGAGTTTATGGGTATATTATCGAGTGAGAGGAAAGTGAAATATTGATCTGTCATCTTCCTTTATGTTATTTGTTGAGGGTTGTTTCTGGGGCAATAACTATTGCACTTCTAGTTTTCCTTGAGTGTAGACCCAATATGCTCCTACAGTCAGAAAAACACAAATCCACAGGCAAATAGCTGCATGTGTTCACAGTAAGACTTAAAACAAGACCGTATTTTCCAAATTATTGTTTATCATCATGGAGATACCCAAGCTATTTCCAAGTCTTGTTGTTTCTCTATCCTCAATATCTCTAGAATACAGTCAATTTCAATATCCATAATCCTACTAGGCTAGGCATATCACCATCATTTGCCTAGACTTTTGAATATGTTTCTAGATGGTCTTCATCCTTTCAGTATGCTTTCCTCCAGTTTATTCTACACATGGAAGCTTTACTATAGTTATAAAATATAAATGTGATCATGTAATTTCCCTGCTTAAAACACTGTAGTGTTACTCCAATGTCATCTGGATAAATCCACACTTGTTATCATACTTTGGACTTCTTAGCATGGTTCAGGAGGTTTATTTCAAGTATCAACCTCTCCTACACACACACACGCACACCACCTGATGTTCCTCACAGTGAGTGTCTATCATGGCTGTAAACGTGTTCCTGCCCAAGGAAGAGGATCTCTGTAACCCCTCTCATACTTCCTATTGCCCAGGGTAAGTACCTCAAAAGAGAACCGAAATGCAGGCATATGATTCCCCTAGATGACCTTACCTAGAATAATAATATAAGCTATCTCAATACACCAATACCTTTATATATAGTATTGTTTCTTGTGATGTTGGTAGCCAGTTCCTAACTTTCTTTGCTGAACCCTGGCCAAAACATGATTTTCCAATCCATTATTTTTTCAAATCTGAGAGGAGTTTCTGCAGAATCTTCCCAGACAAGCTTCTGTTGGTGAAGGGTTACATTTTGAGGGCAGCCTCTGATTTGGAAATATATTTAAAACTAGGTTACAGGAAAACAAAACAAAACTAGTTGGAATTGAGAAGGTTGTGGGTGAGTCACACCTCAAAAAAAAAATAACAATCTCTGCTTCTCATTTCTGGCTAGACACTGGACCTGCAATGCCTCCTATGAGACTACATACAGTGGGCGTGTTATGGATGGCTGAAGCACAGCACGGTACTGTTGTAACAAGAAACAGCCTCTTCTGTAAGGGACAAATTGCCGAGAGTGCAGCTTTTGGTTTGAGTAAAACAGAAAAGGAGAAAATTGACCCACATGTGCCAATAAAAAAGAACATCATTTAAATAAAAGACCCGTATTAACCATTTAAAAATGTCAGGAATTAGAGAGTAGGGGAGCACACATTCCCCTTTATGAACTCTGAAAAAAATCATATTGCACATAAATCAGCCCCTGGTTATTTCTAAAAATTAATTTCCTTCCTTCCTTCCTTCCTTCCTTCCTTCCTTCTGTTCTTTTCTTTCCTTCCTTCCTTTTATCTTCTCTTTCTTTCTTTCTTTCATGTTTCAGACATACTTATTCCTACAGGGGCAGAAGCTCCTCATGTACCAAAAAATTGTTGATATTCACTGCAAGAATGTCTTAAAAATTATTTTTAAACTATAATTTCTAATATAGTTTTCTGCTGTACTGAATGCCTGAGATGTCTCCATTCTTATGCTATAAGTATACAGTTGCAAAAGAATTGCAATTCAATTTTCAATTTCAGAAAATTTTTATTTAAGACATGCAAAGAGATCCACAGTGATTTTTTTTTTGTTTGTCTTTGTTTCTGTTTTTGTTTTTGTTTTGGAAGAAACTGCATAAGAATTATTATGTTGCAGGCATCCACCACGAGGTGGAGCAAGATAAAATTCTTTTCAAGCTCTTTTCCACACACAGCCTGCATCAAAAAGAAATAGGGTCAAAAACACACATTTTTCCTTTCCTGAATTATTATTATTTTTTCTTTCTAGCTGTTCCCTGGTAATTCTAGTACATTCAGCTCAGTAAAGGTGGTAGCTGTTAGATTTCAGGTACTGCAATTTTCTGTTTTCTTCGTATCCTCCTGCAATTCTGGCATGCTTTAGTTTGAGGCTGTGCAGGTCAGAAATTAACCTAAGGTTTTCTTCCGTGTTATGGTTAAAAAAAAAAAAAAAACCGCACTCTTAGGAGAAGTACACTTTGTCAAAGATTTTAGTGTAAATACTTTCTGCCAGAGAGCTAGAGAAGTCCCAGCTCATGTACTGGTCATGCAAGTTAGTTGTTGAGACTGGGTCACTAGGGAAAAACCGGCAGGATTTTCTAATTCAGCGTAGTATCCACGACCAGGGAGCCAGAGGTGAAGGCTCAACCAAGTCCAGGGAAAACTCAGGGGCTAAAAGTACTTGATATCTCATACATTTCCACACCAGAGATCTGAAGCAGGCCATATGCAGGGTTTCAGTTGCCAAAACTGGAGAATTAGGGGAGTAGGTAGAGCATTACGCGAAGAGGAGCCTAGGAGGCTGGGAACTCTGCCACAAGATTGATTCTACCATCGATTGTAAGCTTGAGCAGCTAAAGACATAGGGTCACACGGGCATTATCAGTCTCAGATTCACGAATGCCAAAATTTGAAGTGTTTTAAAAGCTATATAATAGAGTTGTTTTAAACCAGGTTACGAGATTATGGCTTCACAGAGTTTACCCAGAGAAGTGAGGGTAGCAGAAAGAGGGCTGAGTAAGGCAGGCTCTGGCACTTCCTCCGATTCAACTAAGGTAATTTGCTTTTCTTACTATGTTTCCATGAAAGAGTTCTCTTGAGAAAAATGTATTATTATATGTGCTTAATTATATTTATTTTATTATATATATAATTATATGTATGTTTTTGTGTAATTTCAAAGAAGAAAGATAATACTGGGATGTACGAATACAGGAAGGTACCACGCTTTGACGTTCAGTATGCTAGCTGGTGAAACTACTCTCCTCAGAAGGAAATTGACTCTCCAAAAAGCGTATGATGAAACACTGGCAGTGAAATAGATTCTGATGACTCCTGAAAGCAAACCTTACCTCCCCAGGTACACAGAATAAAAAAGAACATAGAATGAAAGAGATAATGGCCCCAAAGCCAAATATTGACCCACTTGTTACCCAAGGATAGCCTGATCATCTCCAACTTACATGTTAGAGTGCTTCAGAGTTTAAAAGGATTTTACATCTGCTATGGTATTAGAAACCCGTAACTCTTCACTGGTTCTTATTTACCTTACTGTGTCTTTGGTTATCATGTTTATTGGGTATGTCCTATCACCCTCACAAGTTTGTATGTCTCATTTACATTTATGTATTTTTCTGCTTACTCCTAGCATAGTTCCTGGTTCATAGTAGATCCCATGAACTTTTGTAGAATAAGATTATATACACACATTTTTTTGTACCTACTATATGCCTGTACATACACACACAAAAAATGTGTATATAATTGGTTTGGGTGAAGCATTATAATGTGAGGCAAAACTTGTCCTTTAGCCTTCAGCAGCAAGAGTCAATTCTTTTAATCTCCTAAAGCTGGATTAGCTAATATACCTGATCTGAATGTTTACTTGCATGTAGGCATAAGGGGTCTATTCCGGGAACAAACCAGATTCATAAGCTTCATGAGGGCAATAGCTTTGCCTGGAGCACTTCACTGACATTTACTCACAGAAGGAAACCATCCCAGCATCAGAATGGACTGAGCAAGCTGTAGGTGTTGAAAATAAAGACTCCATTTGGGAAACCCACACAGCACGCACCAACAAAAATCCCCACAGCTTGTTTTAAGCTAAATGCACAGATGTGTGTGGGGAATTCCTTAAATAACAGGGACAAGTTGTAAGTTTAGACTATGATATCACAACAAAGTGCTATGGGGGTGTGGATAGGAAAAGAAACTAAACCAGAAGCACAGGATGTTTTAAGTTGGAATTATGAGAGTAGGAGGAACTGGATACCCAACATTTAGAGACTCTCACAGTCTTTGACTTGGCATTTGAATAGATAGAAAGATAGATAAATGTGCGTGTGCACGTGTGCACACACACAACCTATATTATCTTATGTTCCTTCTTTTTCAGTCATCAGGCAAAACAAAGAAACAAAGAAACAAAAAACCCAAAACCCCAAAACCAAAACCAAGCTGAACTGATTCAGATTTTCAATGCAAAAAAAAAAAAAAAAAAGTAAGCAGCCACAAAACATATGCAATTGGAAATTAAATAATGTACAATGTACTCCTCTTCCTTCCCTTTTTTTTTCAGAGGAAAGGTTAATATATAATGCTCTGTCTGGAAATATATATATTCATCTGGGAACTAAAGGAAGGAAATAAGATCCTCACCTCTCACCATTCCTCCTCTTGGCCCCAATTACATAATTTGTAAAGCTTGTCACTGCAATCTTAGGCTTTGCCAAGTTAAGAGTTTCTGGTTCCCAGAAAAGTAAACACTTCTTCCAGAGGCCACAGTAAGGTTTATCATAAACTTGAAACTATATCTACCACCTGCTCTTTTGGCTCTTAAAACAATGCATCAGCCAGCAAAGAAAGGAATTTATGTAATAAGGACCCAATCGATTTGGATTGTCACGAGGAGTGATGTTTTCTGCTATTTAATGTAGGCAGGGATGACAGTATTTGGAACTGCCACACTCATTTCAGATCCATTGACAATAGTCAATGAACACTAGCAGCAACCACAGCTCAGAAAGAAAACTAAGAACTTAGAACTAACCAGGCAAGTGACACAGACCAGCCAACTGCTGGCTGAGGATAAGGGAGATCTAGAATAAGAAGTAGAGAAGGAAGATGATGGGTATCAATTACAGCCTCAATGCTGAATGGCGCAGCAGAGACTTGAGTATACATCAATAACTATCTTACCTTAAATCTCTTTACATCTAAGTGACTTTAAGTGGCCAATGTCTAGAAGGAGACCTGGAGACAGAGTGGACAAAAGTAAAGGCATCAGGTTCTCACAAAAATGAGACTCCATATTGGTACATGCAGTCAGATATAATAGAATAATGAGAAATCAGAGTGGTGTACTGGGTGATGTTGATAAAAAGAGTCAAACTCTGTAAAAGATGTAAAGAGGTTTATTCTGGGCCAAATATCAGTAATCAAGGCCTGAGGCACAGTTTCAAGATGTTCTGAGAACATGATGTATCCAAGGTGGTTGGGTTACAGCTTGATCCTGTACATTTTAAGGGGACAGAAATTACAAGCAGATATCAACCAATACATGTAAGGTGTACACTGGTTCAGTCCAGGAAGGTGGGAAAACTTGAAGTGGGGGCTTCCAGGTCATAGGTGTACTCAAAGATTTTCTAATTCTAAGATAAGGGGTTGTTGAGACCAAGGTTCTTATTATATAGATGAAGCCTGCTACCAGCTTTTTAGGGCCATTAAAAAATATGTCAAAGAAATATATTTTGGAATAAGGTACTTCAATTTCTTTCAAGGCCTGCTGTCTAACATGTGATGCTATGCTAGAACCAGGTTGGAATCTGGTATCTTATTGCTACAAAGAGTCTGTTTTGTCAGTCTTAAGATCTCTGTTTTAATGTTAACGCTGGTCAGTTGTGTCTGAATTCCAAAGGGAAGAGGGTATAATGAATGAGGCATATCTGGCCCCCCTTCCCATCATGGCCTGGACTAGTTTTTCAGGTTTACTTTGGAGTGCCCTTGGCTGAGAGGAGGGATCCATTCAGTCTGTTGGAGGGCTTAGAATTTTATTTTTGGTTTACAGTTGGCTCTATCAGGTACCGTTTATGAACCATTTTAGATTATTTTGGTCCCATCTGCTTCTTGTTGCAGTTGTAGCCATGTGGCTGCTAACTTCACACATGTATCATTTGACAGTGCCTTGTCTCACATCCACACTGTACTCTTCCTGCCTCCCATGTTGGGCCTTCCTTATCCATACTGAAGATGGAAGCTGTGAATTTCCACTTGGGCCCACATATCTGCAACTGAGAAGTGTTGGGGATTTAAAAACTTATAGGGGAAATGTTTGCCCAATAGGAGCAGAGACTTGGAGTATAAACGATTTCCTTTTTCTCCAGAAGAGACTGTGTTGATACACAGTTTGTACCGTTTTTGAGAAGATAGTCCCGTGGGACTGACCAATCAGTGAACCTTGTGGTAGACTACTGGATAATAAATCTTCATATTAACTCTCCCACCTTGTTTTTTATTTTCCCCCTGTCCATCATTGTTACTTCCTGGAATCCCTCTCCCTAATAAAGCAGTAGAGAATACATCTTTCACATTCATCTCAGGTTCCCAAGAAAACCAAGGTTAAGACACATGGACAGTACTTTTAGTGAGTTTCTGCAGACAATAGTTAGAAGATTAGCCCATATCACCTGAAAACAGAGCTTTGAAGCCTTTAACAAGGCCACTCTTCTTGAAAATTGTTTTCCACTTTTGGTGTGCTGAAGTCCATGATTACATTAACCAAAGAAAAGTTCCTCCTTCCATTTATTTTAGAAAAATCTGCACCGAAATTACATCTGATACAGCTCCACAAAGAAGTTCCTAACACGGCTCTACCACTTGTCCTAGTTTTAAAGCTACTTTTAAAATTTCCTATATTGAAGAGAAAGTAAGACAAAGGAGCAGAGGCAGATTCAGGAGAGGAAGGAAGATGAGAGGGAGGCTACTCTTTACTGAATAGCCCAAAGGTTTGAGTGTTATGTGAAACAGGGTCATTCCCTCCTTTCTGAGTCACCTGGTCAGGTAACTACCTAAGCTACTTCAGTAGCTCTCAGACTAGATCATCACCACCATCATAGCAACAACAACAACAAACCCTTTAGGCCAATGGAAGAAACAAGGGAGAGTCTGTCATAGGAAAGACCCCATGAAACCTAAACTCAGTGTAGATAAGATTAGTATTGTCATCATTCTCAGCCTAGAACTTCTTGGCTTCTCTCTGTGGGCTCTCCACAGGGAGGCAATAGGAGATTGTAGGAGATATGAGATTTGAGATTGTAGAAGAAGCATAGAATTTCAGAAGATATATATTTTGTCCTGTCTTTACCACTTCCTTCTTGGTCTATAAACAGGTCACTTAACTGCTCTGAGCCTCAGATTCTTCATGCAGAGAATTAAAATAATAGTGACTCCTGTAATACATCCCCACAGAGATGTTGTGAAGATCTGCAAGATAATGTTTGTGAAAGCACTTTATTAACTATGAAGAGCAAGATAAATATTAGTTGCTATTAATATTATCCTCTTTCATCCTATTAAGGCATTTTCTTAGTTGAAGAGGTGTTTATTCCTCATTATATACCGCCATATAAATTATAAATATATAATTGCCTCCTTGAGCTGTCAGTAACTAGGTTGAAGTAAAAAGTTCATCTTCTGCAGATTTGTAAAATAAAAATATTTCTATAATACATTTTCACCACAGGATCTTAAGATTACCATAGCCTTGTAAGATATCTCTAGCCCATTGAGAATAGGCCTCTTTAATTGTTGGCTATTTCTTCAAATACTAACTTCTTTATTAAATATACACACAAAAGAGTACACACACATTCTAATCCAGAGATGGAGTACAGCTGATTTTGAGCTGAGAAAACCATAAAAATAGATTTTGAGCAAATATTTTTAATCTCTCTATATACCAGCCTCGATTAGCTTGACAATATGAGCGAAAGACGTCTTGGTAGAGATTGGAAAGAGATGACATTAGAGTGGGTATTCGGTGAAAAAAAGTAGTAGAAGCACTGGTCCCTCTCAAAACCTTTTCTTTCCTTTTCTTTTCTGTTTTCTTTTATTTTTTTCTTTTTTCTCCTTCCTCCCTCCCTCCCTCCCTTTCTTCTTTCCTTCCTTCCTTCCCTTCCTGCCTTCCTTCCTTCTTTCCTTCCTCCCTCCCTTCCTTCCTTTTTCTTTTCTCCTTCCTTCCTTCCTTTATTCCCTCCTTCCTTTCTTTCTCTCTCTTTTTTTTTTTTTTTGACAGGGTCTCACTCTTTTGCCCAGACTGGAGTTCGGTGGTATAATCATAGCTCACTGTAGTCTCAAATTCCTGGGCTCAAGCAATCCTCCTGCATCAGCCTCCCCAAGAGCTAGGACTACAGGCACTAGCCAGCACACATAGCTAATTTTTAAGTTTTTTGTAGAGACAGGGTCTCACTATGTTTGCCAGGCTCATCTCAAACTCCAAGCTTCAAGCGATCCTCCCATTCTGTCCTCCCAAGTGCTGGGATTACAGGCATGAGCCATCCAGCCCTGTCTCTCTCTCGTGACGTTTTTGAAAGCACCCCAGAAAGTAACCATTTTTTAAAGCCTAAAGTACTTTTTTTTTTTTTTGAGATGGAGTTTCACTCTTGTAGCCCAGGCTGGGGTGCAATGGCATGATCTGGGCTCACTGCAACTTCTGCCTCCCAGGTTCAAGTGATTTTCCCGCCTCAGCCTCCCAAGTAGGGATTACAGGCAAGCATCATTACACCTAGCTAATTTTTGTATTTTTATTAGAGATGGGGTTTCACCGTGTTGGCCAGGCTGGTCTCGATCTCCTGATCTCAGGTGATCCACCTGACTCTGCCTCCCAAAGTGCTGGGATTACAGGCGTGCGGCACCGCACCCGGCCCAAAGTACCTACCTTTCAACAGGAATTTTAAACAGTATTTTAATGTATTCAAAATATATACTTAAATAACTTTTTAAAGACTTGACATGTGTTTATCCTTAAACATGTTTCCATTGAAGGGGAGGGAAAATTGGCTTTCCTCCACTCTCCTATGTTCTTTGGCTGGGCTACAAATTAAATTGACATGAGACAGATTAACAGGAGAAAAACCATATTCGATGACATGCATATGCACGAGAGTCCCACAAAAATATGAGACTCCAAGAAAGGCCAGATGATTGAAGCTTATATAGCATGTTGAGCTACAAAAATAAATAGGGGATTGGGGCTTCTGGGGTTTGTAGAGACAAGTTATGGGGGAAGGTAAGGGGAGGGTATGTATTGTGAATAACAGTTGTCTTGATATACAGATAAAATGTCTCTCAGATAATAACAGTTATTTCAGAACAGGCTTCTTCCTGATACAGATACTTTTACTAATATAGATGTCCTTTATTGAAGTACATTTCCTTTATAAAAGGCCAGCTTTTCATAGTTTCTCCTATGCCTGCAATTCCTCAAAATAACATGCTGAAAATGTGCCAAAGAAGTTTATTTTGGGGTAGCATATTCTGGCCTCCTATAATCATGTTTTGAGGTGGTGCATCCTGAGCCTCAACTCTGTTTTAGAAAATAAAATACCATGAGACACAGAAGAACTGGGGAAAGAGATACAAACAGGTTTCACTTATACTGACAGTACTTCCACACAACTAAACCTAATAGATATTTTTGCAGTCTTCAGTTTACTTGTCTTATAATTAGCAATACTTTTTGAAAAAAAAATGTCTAGTTCTTTGGTTTTTGGAATACCACATTTTCCCGGATTTTTTCCTACTCCTATGTTTCTTTTTTCTTAATCTTCTGGAATTTTTTTCTTCCTTTATTTAACCTGTAAAAGGTGGATTAAGTTATGACCTAGTTTGGAGCATTCTTTTTCTTCCAACTGCATACTTTTTAAGTGATCTCATTTTTATCCTGGGTTCTGTTAGCACTGAATGAAGATGATTCCCAGTATGCACATGAATCCAGAGCATTCCTCTGAACTCCAGAATCTTAAAATTAGCTGCCAACTTGACATGTCTACTTGGACGTTTAAAACCTACTCCAAGCTCAACATATCCAACACTGGACTAATGATTTTTCCAACCAAATCAAAACAAAACCGCAACTTAAACAATGTTTTATCAGTATCATCAATGTTCCTTATCCTGGTGGGAATGTAACATCACTTATTCAGTTGTGCAACAGAAATAGGATTTATCATTTCATTCATTAATTTGACCTCCTGAGTGGCAGACAATGTTTTATATATTTAGAGAACATTATCAAAGAAAACATACAAAGATCACCTCCACGTGAGAGGAAACAATTTTCTTTTGTCATATTTATCTATCTAACCATTATATTTCAAGTCCTAACATTTTAACTATCTAATGTTTTCTTAAATCTGCGCAGTCTCTCAAAACATGAACATCAGCTAATCTAAGCTATTTCAACTTTCATTGGTACCATTAGTGAAATAGCCTCCAGTTTGGTCTTTCTTCTCGACTCTTGTTCCTCTTCATAACCATTCTTTTTTTGTATGGCCAGAACAATTTTTACAAAATAGTAATTTCATCATGCCCTTTTTGTGTTTAAAAATCCTTTCATAGCTCTCTATTACTCTTAAACTGAGGACCAAATTATTTTACACAGAGTATAAGGCTCTGCACGGTCTGAGCCACTATGAATATGTCCAGACAATTGTTCTTTTTTCTTTTTTCACTCTTTCTGCTCTAGTCACACCAACCTTTTTTCATTTCCTTGAGAATACCATTTCTCCCACTACAGCTTTTGTACATGCGTTTCCTCCTGTCAGAAAGGCAGGTAATCTCCATTCCCACCCTTCTTCAACAGTTAACGCATTGTCATTAATAATTGAAGTTCATTGTTACATGGTCAAGGAGTTCGTCTCTGAGTCCCTATACTAGTTATATTTAATTTCATAAGACTATATACTTCATCTGAAGTACCTGAAATAACCATAATTCGTTTTATAACATTAAAATGAGAAGGAAGGGGAATATGGTTTTGATAATGATAGAGAAGACTATCAGTCTAATCTTAGTCTTGCAGATAACGACTATAAACTTTAGAAAAAATTAAGAAAAAATAATTGAAGGCACTGAAGAGTGACAAAAAATAGATAAACTGGAGGTGATTATACCCTTGAAAGAAGGGAAATGTTTTGGGTGAACTTTTTATTGATGCAGCTTTCTGCCTGAGAGAATGCCCCAGTTTGCACATCAGAGTAGAGTTAAAAAAAATATGCACGAAGCTGTGGTTTGTAAACAAATAATATGCATAAACAAAATGAGAATATCAACAAAGAGAAACTGTGAAGAACCAAAGAGAACTTCTAAAACTGAAGAATGCAATAACTGAATTGAAAAATTTATTAGAGACTTGAAGCAAGAATCATCGAACTCAAAAATAAGGACTTTTGAAATCACTGAGGCAGAGGAGAAAAAAAAAGAATGAATAAAAATTAAGAGAGACGGGGTATTTATGGAACATCATTAAGTGGAAGAATATACATTTGGAAGTACTAGAAGGAGATGAAAGAGAGAAAGAGAAAGAGAATCTTCAAGAAACAGTGGCGAATAATTTCCAAATCTGAGGAAATAAATGAACACAAAAATTCAAAAAGCTCAATAAACTCCAGTTAAGATAAATCTAAAAAGACCTACACCAAGACATATTGTTGAAAGTCACAGATAATCTTGAAAGCAGCAAGAGAAAAATGACTCATAATATACATAGGAATGCCTGTTATATTATCAGCAAATTTCTCAGCAGGAATCTTGCTGGCTAGTAGGGATTTGGATAATTTTTTATTTGAATTGAATGATAGAAGATAGTAAAATAAATTAACCAAAAATAGGTAGAAAGAACAAAGACAAGAACACCAATAAATTGTATAAAAATAGAAGGAATTAGTAAAGGAATAATTGCTTATTGCAAAGAATAATATTATAAACCCACAGAAGAATTAAACTATAAAAAAGAACACACAAATTAACAATATCAGAATTAAAAGAGGGGCTATCAACACAGATCCTAAGACACTAAAATTCTAATAATTCAATATAAAAGTAGCTTTATGCCAACAACTTTAATAACTTCGATTAATTGGCCAAATTCCTTAGTAATGCAATTCAGCAAAAGTAGCAGAAAATGAAATAGAAAATCTACAAACCATTAAATTATTAAATATGTTGAATTTATTTATCAAAATTTTTCACGCACAAAATGCTTAGGCCCATATTGTTTCCAATGGTTTATCGTAAGAAATATTTATATATATAATATAAATATGTATTTAATATAGTACACACACATAATAAAAGAATATATAATTCAGATATATATCACACGTTATATATATCTTTATGTATTATATATTTTTATAATATACATTAGATATAGTATAAAATATTTTCAAGATATAAACAAAATAAGATATATATTTTATATCTGAGATATATATTCTGAATTTCAAATATTTATTCTTTATATATTAAATATTATTTTATATATATTGTTTGTATATATATCTTCATGTATAATATATAATATATGCCATATAATATAACATAATATAGTATTATTATGTGTTATATAATACATAACTAAGTTAGTTTTCCTCATAAGATTTGTTTAACATTTGAAAATCAATTTATATGATTCGCCATATTAACTGAATACAGAATAAAATCCATATTGTTTTTTCTCAATAAGTGAAAAAAAGCATTTGATAATGTTCAACATCCATTCATAATATAAGCTCTCAGTAAACTATGAAGTAAACATAACTTCGTCCTATAAGGGGGTGTGTGTGTGTGTGTGTGTGTGTGTACATAAATGTGTATGAACATTTGCACATACACTTGTGGTATTCCTAACCTGCCAAATATACTTATTGGAAAAATATCAAATGACCATCCTATTCTCTCCAACATTAGAAATAAAGCAAGACTGTTTACCTTCACTAATTCATTCATTAGTGTACTGAAGTTTCTTATTAGTGTGATAAAGCAAGAAAAATAAGTTAGAAAGATTGAAAAGAAAAAACTATTCACAGACAACGTGGTTGCTATTAAAAAATGCAGGCCATGTATTTTACAAAGTAATTATTAAATCTGATAAATGAGTTTAGCAAGGTTGAAAGATACAAAATCAATTTACTATAATCTATTATACTTCTATATTATAGTCACATGCAGTTAAAATTACAATTTTAAAGAAAGCCATTCCATTTACAATAGCACCAAATCAAAAAAAAATAAAAAGATTAGGGAAAAATTTAACATAAAATATTCAAGACTCAGCAAATTTTAGAAGACCTGAATTTTAATATAAGCTGTACCACAATCATGGTCGGGAAAATTCAATCTTATTAAGATGTAGTTCTCACTAAATTCATTCATATATTCCACACAATCTCAATCATCACAGCAGCAGGCCTTTAAATTGTCATTGACAAGGTGATTCTAAAATGTATATGAAAATGCAAAACTTAGAGCAGAAAAAATAAGTCTGAAAAAGAACAAGATTGGAGAACTTACACAACCTAATATCAAGATTCAGTATATATAAAGCTAGAGTAGTCAAGACAGTATGGCCTTAGCGTAAAGATAGACAAATTGATCAACAGAATAGAATAGTGAGCAGAGAAATAGGCAGACCCACACTTAACACAGTCAACTGATTTTCAGTTAAAACACCAAAACGATTCAATGAAGAAGGAACAATCTTTATAACAAGTGATGCTGAAACTACTAGACATGAACTGAGGGAAAAGCAAGCCTTGACCTTGCCTTTATGCCACACACAAACATTTCTCCAAGATGGATAATAGAACTAAACCTAAAAACAAACTAAGAATAAAAGCTTCCAGAAGAAGCTCTGACCCAGCATAGGCAAACTTTCATAGACAAGACCTAGAAGTTGTTAGTCATAAAAGAGAAAAAAAGTGATGTTAGATTGTATTTAAATTCAGCCTTCTGTTTATCAAAATATCACAATAAAAAACGAATAAGCAACCTACATATTAGCAAAAAATATAACAGGAATACCTCAGAGATATTGCAGGTTCACTTGCAGACCCCCATAATATAGTGAATATTGCAACAAAGTGAGTTGTGAATTTGTTGGTTTCTCACATCACATAAAGGTAATGTTTACACTATACTGTAGGTTTTTAAGTGTGTAATAACATTGTGTCTAAAATAGCAGTACATATTGTAATTAAATATATTTTATTGCTAAAAATTTCTAATGATCATCTGAACCTTAAGTGAATCACAATCTTTTTGCTGGTAGAAGTGGTCTTGCCTCAATGTTAATGGCCACCGACTAATCAGGGTGATGGTTGTTGAAGGTTTAGGTAGCTGTGTCAATTTTTTAAAATAAAACGAAAATGAAGTTTTCCTCAATGTTTGACTCTTCCTATCATTAAAGAGTTCTCTGAAGCATGCAATGCTGTTTGATGGCATTTTACTCATAGTGGAACTTCTTTCAACATTATACAGAGGAGGAGGCTGGAGGACACGGTGTCAGTTTTGCATAGGGCAAGGGGATTGGTTTGACTAGGCATGAAATTCACGTAGCTTGCGAAAAAGCTGGCCCTCCCACCCTAGCCTTTTAATATGCAAATACAGGGCACCATGATGTTCCACACACGTAGGGATAAGTGGGGGCTGCCATGTTGCCAGGAACATGTGGGGCAAGGGCAAGAAGGCTGCGGGAATCGCCATGCTGGGTGGAACTACTTTCTAATGGCTGGCATTTGTATATTTATTATTGTATATTTAAGGTTGCCAGCCTGGCTCTAAGAGCTGGGGCTTTACAGGAAACTTTTCCAGAGACGTTTAAAAAAATGAAAACTTTCCCAGGATCCCTTTTCCTCTCTATCTGCCTAAAATAATTTCTTAATAACTCTTATCACATTCCCATCTGTGGAGATATCACACTAACTGCTGTTATGGGGGCTTGGACAATGACTCTTTCTAGCTACTTCCTGCTGAAAAGGGACGTTGAATGGGGAACACCAGCTAGAGCTCCTCAATCTAAGGGTCCTCAGAAGAATGGTATGTCCATTTGTGGTTCAGTTGGCAGCACCATTTGGAGTTTGATTGCTTCTAGGCAAGAAGAAACGATTTGAGTTAATAGTGTTGAGTATACAGGGTCCAAATATTAATACAAGACATATAAACAATAGAGGGCTTAATAAAGGGGTTAACCAATTCCATAAAGACTGGAATTCATCAAAGAGGGGCGGAAGCCGGCATTTTCCCTGAGCCTGTGAATAATTTTGATTTCATTGTTAAGATTTTTTAGCTTTTCCTTTGTAGATTTTCCTTTACTAGAGGTGTTAATCCAAAAGCACCATGTTTCACTTAAAAGTGCATTACTAAACCCAATAAAAAGTCCTAGCAGACTTAGTGATAGTAATGCTTTTATGCTTCCTTTTTGTCAGTAACTATTATCCCAGTTATAAGGATAATAACTAAGCAAAATACGAGAGCAATGGAAACTCTTTGTACAGTATTTTAGTTAGAAGGTGCTACCCTATTGCAAATAGTACCCTATTGCAAATAGTACAGTGAGTATAGTAATTTTCACAAGTGTGGTGTAGTAGATAATTTCCATTTAAAATTTTACTTGCTAAGATACAGAATTTTCCTTTGGGGATGTCTATGAACTTTCTTGGTTTTATTTTCCCAAACAAAGAAATCTTTGGGTTATGGGCACCCTATTCACTTTCATTACCTGGCAGAATTTGCAAGATAATTGCCCAGAACTAGCATATTTATTCACATTTTTATGTTACCCATCCCTTTTTCTTTTTTCCAAGCTGCAGAAGATTACTGCTTGATTCACAGGAATAAGCAGGGTTAGTCTAAAATGTAGGCAAAAAGCTTAAAAACAATTTGACTAGTATTTAATGACAAATGTATGATAAGCTTTGGAGCATGATTTTTCTCTCCAGTTCTCATTTTTGGTAAAAACAATTTATGAATAAACCTTAGTCCTGTACTTGGCTTGATTATTTGCATAAAGTTGAGCAAGCATGGTTATTTCTACATAGGCCTTTTGGATTGGGTTTGATGAAAGTCTGTTCCACAAGAAATTTCAGGTAAGAGTTTTAAAGCCAAGCCCAGCCATGGGTTTGTATCCTCAGATACTGTGAGTTGGGTGATCCTCTCCTCTTGAGGTCCCAAGATAAACTCGGAGCTTCCAGACCTGTTAGAAAGTGATTTTTTTTACTAATCACAGGTTAGGAACCCTGTGTGGGGACTGTGTAGACAAGGTATGAGGCCAGTTTTCCCCAAAGGGCTTTTATTGGCTCTGCCATGTCAAGCTTGATTCCTTAAAGGGAAACACACCATTTCAGTTAAAGCCTTGGTAAAATAACCAGTTTTTTAAATTGTATCCTGTTGACAAAGAAAAATGGATTCTTATTGCACTGATGCAAACAACTATATTACCATAAGTTAAGAGTACTTACAAGTAGTCTTCAAATTTTAGAGGAATCAGGCAGAGAAAAATAAACATGCACTGAATTTTGTCCACAGGACTATATCTTATCAATTATTAAAGACTGTAAATAGTTTAAAATAAGTTTCCTTGACTCTGAAGAATAAAACAAGGATCAGCAATATTCCAAGCAAAAATTAAAAAGATTGCTCAAAATTTCTGAGTGCAGTTCACTTAGTTAACTCTTGTTTTGCTTGATATTTGTGAACATTTCAGTTCATTATGAGTCCCATACATTCTTTTTCTATTCCAATGTCACAAATTTTAAAGCTATTAGAAACCTGCATTTGAGAACACCTGTTAAAGTCCTTAACATAACTTGATTATAAACTGTTTTTTGAGAAGGAAAAAAGCAAGATAACAACTGTCTGTGAATGACAAAATTTCCAGGATAGCTACAGTTAAAAATACAACTGACAAGTTTATTTATCTTCAGGGTTTACAATAACTTTACCCTTAATTAGGATTGATAGCTTATACTTAGACATTAGAATTTTAGAAATCCCATACAATTTTTGAACATGTATTAGTATTATTCACCAAAATGTAACTTAAAGAAGATCGGACATCATTTTGGCAATCTCACGTAACTAAAATTGTCAAATAATCCTGTATACCTCTTTTCTGAATGTTTCAGGGGGCCCTCTGAACCATTCAAAAAGCCAGGCCTTAGGAAGGACAATTTCCAGACTGTCATAAATTATTTTGCCAAAATGATGACTCAAAAGGCAAAAACCTTTTATTAACCTTGACTATGACATAAAAATCCTGTTCAAAGCCAAATTTTACCCTTGCATTAGTTTATTAATGTTAATCCCAATGTTTAAATGAAACCTTATAGATCATTTCATTTTAGCCAATTTGACCATAAGGTGAAATTTTTACTAACCTTTTATAACCCTTTTACTAAAGGGAAAATTAATGTCTTAAGACCTCCTTGCTACGCTTTCAATTTATGAAAAGACCATCTAGATGCTATGGGAGAAGAAGGTGGAGTGTTTCTGTGATGCAAATTATTACAAGGCAACCCAAAGTCAATTGGCTCATTTTGTAATTAGCCCATCCCTGATGGGCGTCTCATCTCCCACTGGGAGGTGGGGATGTTTGTTTATCTTCCAGGTGGCCAAGAACACGCTTCTCTGATTTATAACTACTATTAGCCATTCCTTAAAGTATATTTCCTACCTAGTTGTTACACACCAAAACTCTCTTATAACGTGAAGTAATTTCTGATACCCCCAAAACTTAAAACCGTTACATAACACAATGCAAAACAGAGCAGAGGTTTTGATTTTGAGAGGGATCTATCTGCTTTCAATTCTTGGAGTTTCATGAGGAAAAGAGAGTTTTTTCCCCAAAACAGGGTCTGTGGCACCTCCTCTGTTTTTTTCCCCAGGCATTACATGCTACCCGAAGTTATCTTAGGGCCTTTAAGGCATGCATCAAGAGTGGTAAGACAAAAAATGGAGAAAAATAATTCAGTTGACTGAGAAGAAAAGAGCCTTTATCCAGAAAAACAAGATTCGAGAAGAGAAAAGCATAAAGGTCTTTTAAATACACCTGTAACTTGAATATCCATTTTTAATTAAACTAAGCGCTGTTTAAGAAAATCTTTTTAAATCCCTTGTTACTTTAGCCACATCAAGCAGTTAAGACTTTCGGCTTTTGAACCTTACAACAAATAACCTCACAGGTGAAACCAAAGAGGCTTAATTAGGTTATGACTTAACCACTAGTGTGCAAAGTATTTTTAAAGGAGTGACAGGCAGCTTTTGAAATGGTAGCTGCAAAATTGTGACATTGCAAGAAGCACCCAATATTATCTACAGCTTAAGACCAACAAGTTCTTTTTCATTAATTATACATTTACAGAGAACATAAACGCTGATCCTTATTATCCCTTTTACCAGTTCGCGCAGGGAGAGAGAAGCCAGAGATTTAACCGGAAGAACTACATTGTTTCCAGCCCCCAAGCTGTCCTTGCGCATCCCTGGGCGGAGGCTGAACCAACTTTGGGAGGAGCCTGGTTTACAGTCTACAGTCTAAAACAAAGATGAAAACAGCTGCTTCCCAAGATAACTTCCCTCTTGCCTGGGGACCAGACCAAGAAACTAGCCACAGGATTAGAAACCATGGCCCAGGAGCCATGCAGCTGGAGGTTACAAGATTTTGACCCTCCCTAAACTGCTCTCAAGATTGGTGCTTAAGATATTTTGTAAACCATGCCCTTGATGATCAGTTGGCACCACCCAGATTGACAAACTGGCTTATCTGATTTAGCACCAGAAGACAGCCACTATTGTAAAATAGCAGAGACTAAAACAAAGTATTGCCATGCAGTTACAGATTATGTTCCCAAGGACATGAAACGAGATGGAGGCCTGTAGCCAATTTTGTTACTAACCGTTTTGTTGGGCTGGCTTGAACAGCAGGCTTTTGGGGTCCTGGGCCTGCATCCTAACCTAAGATACCCTTTCTTTGACAGAACCATAGAGAAAGATGTGCAAAGCACCCAAGATTGTCTACAGCTTAAGACCAACAAGTTCTTTTTCATTAATTATACATTTACAGAGAACATAAACGGTGATCCTTATTATCCCTTTTACCGGTTTGCACAGGGAGAGAGAAGCCAAAAGCCCAAATGGTAAGAAATATTTACCCTTTTGCCGGCCTATTAGGCTTCTGGGTTCCCTTCCCCCTAGCTCAACTCTATACCAAGCATTTCAAGATTTGGAAAATTAACTTTTCCCAGGTTGGAAGTACATTACAAAAGAGATAGAAGCCATTTTAAACCACAAAAGAAGGAAAACACCATTGAAAGGAGTTCCAATTAGGGTTGTTAAGAGGTAATACCTCTCTTCCTTTTAGGAATGTGGTTTCCCCTGTTTCTTTGCCTTCCCTATTTTCTCTTTTCCCTTCTGGCCTACACTATAGGAGACATATTGCTCATCTCCAAAATTTTCTTCTGCTTGCAGAGCTGCCTGTTTTAGCTGCAGTGAAGGTTTGTTTGACTCAGCAGCAACATAACATCCCTCCATGTGAGGTCACATACCTGAGCTAAATGTTGGAAAGGTTCTATATGCCTATCAGCGTTGTTAGAAAATCAGCCTCAGTTTCCCTTTACTTGCCTAAGGTCCCGCAACGAGAAGGAAACTTGAAAAGGGGCCCCAAATAAGAGGACCCTCAGATGACTTCCCTGGAAGTTACTTTTTTTAATTTTGGGGAACTATTTTCCCTAGGCCTGCCTGATATGGCTGCAAAAGAAAATAAGCCACTTTTTATTCCAAGTTTCAAGGTTGAAGGAGTCCCAGTGCTTCAAAATACACTCCAGGGGAGTGCATGTTGAAGATGATCTGTTACCCATCTAGAAAGGGAAGTGAGAATAAAAGCGTCCTTTTAGTCTCTTTCCTTTCGGTATGTGATCCAGGATGGAGATGAAAACAGTAGACGGTGTCCCCACAACTATTTTCTCTCCATCGTTCCTGGATTCCCCCTGCACCCATTTAAATGTGCCAGCCATGACTGCAGGCATGACCCTCCAAGCCATGGCACCAGAGGAACTGACTTTTGGGCCATAGTCACGCTGTCCCCAATCAATCAGTCCTCTACTTTTTATTTCCCTTTACCTCCTAGACTTGTGTGGCCTGTGTGCCCTCTGAAAAATGGATTTCAAGAAAAACCCTGTAATTGGGCAAGGCTGTTAAAGGGGGCAGGTGTGCTAGATTGAACTCCATATCCTGCGATTATAGCCCATGCTAAAGCATTTACCCATAAAAAAAATGGTTCTGGTTAACTTCTGGACTTAAAAAGCCCCTTATTAATTAAGTACTGTCTTAATAGAAGACAAAATCAACGCCTTAAAGGAACGTAGGAACCCGAACGGCCGTTTTTCTGCCAGTGGGGCAATATCGAGACTAAAATTTGGCTATGGAAGACATCTTATTCATGACTGTTAAAAGCAGAAACTTCCTGTTCCTAGAAGAGGTCTAGAGCCTGATTTCTACTAGGTGGCTTAGCAATACCATGTGCTTGCCAGAGAAACCTTAGAGAGAGCGAGCTATTGAGTTACTGCCTACGGCAATTTGAGATCTTTTCTAACATAACTGATCCCTGAACTGTAAAGATTCCTGCATATGGGTGGATCACGAGGTCAGCAGATCGAGACCACCCTGGCCAACTGGTGAAACCCCATCTCGACCAAAAATACAAAAAAATTAGCCAGGCATGGTGGCAAACGCCTGTAGTCCCAGCTACTTGGGAGGCTGAGGCAGGAGAATTGCTTGAACCTGGGAGGTGGAGGTTGCAGTGAGCCAAGATTGTGCCACTGCACTCCAGCCTGGGCAACAGAGCAAGACTCTGTCTCAAAAAAAAAAAAAAAAAGATCCTGCATATTAGACACACAGAGAGAGGGTAAAAGACAGCAAATAGAAAGGGAAAGAAAATTTGGTGACAGGATAGCTGGAAGAGAGCCTTGAGATTTAAGAGCAGATTTAAAGTTGAAATCTACTCCAAACTCACCAGTCTGATGATTGAATTTCCATTCCTGGCCAGTGCACCAAAATGATATGGCTCTAATGAGTGGAGGAACACCAGGGTTCTTGGTCCTCATGCCAATTTAGATAAAAGGACATGGACACAGGTGGAGTGGTTTTAAGGAGCGGAGAGTTTAACAGGCAAGAAGGAAGGGAGAACACCTGGTGTTCACGGTCTCTCTGGCTTCAGAGTGAAGCTGCAGACCTTGCGGTGAGTGTTACAGCCCATAAAAGCTGCACAGACCCAAAGAGCAAGCCACAGCAAGATTTACTGCGAAGAGCTGAAGAGCGAAATGACAAAGCTTCCACAGTGGAAGAGGACCTGAGTGGCTTGCCGCTGCTGGTGCCAGCGGCCAGCTTTTATTCCCTTATTTGGCCCCACCCACATCCTGCTGATTGGTTCATTTTACAGAGTGCTGATTGGTCCGTTTTACAGAGTGCTGATTGGTCCCTTTTGACAGAGAGCTGATTGGTGCATTTACAAACCTTTAGCTAGATGCAGAGTGCTGATTGGTGCATTTATAATCCTTTAGCAAGACAGAAATGTTCTCCAAGTTCCCACCCGACCCAGGAGCCCAGCTGGCTTCACTTCTCAATGACACTGGGATGTGTACATAATTAACTGAAAAGGGGGTTGAGGGAGCTTCCTGGAATGATGGAAATATTCTATATCTTGATTAAGTTGGTGGTTACATGGGTATACATAATGATAAAGTGTCATTAATATATACACATAGCATGTGTGAATTTTAATTTATGTAAATTTACCAAAATAAATTTATATTTTTAATTCATCCAAAGAGAAAAAAACATATTACGTAGAGGTACCAGCAGTACAAATGATTGCTGACTTCTTACTAGAAATCTTTAAAGTGCTAAAATTAAACAAAAGAAAGCATAATTGTCAACCTTGAATTCTATACCTCATAAAAATATCATTCAAAATTAGATAAAATATTTTCAGAAAGAAAAAATCTGACATAATTGATTTTCAGTTTACCCACACTATAAAAACTTTTTAAATGTTTAAACAAAATTATTCAGGCTGAAAATAAATTATATGGAATAAAACCCTTGATAAACAGGAAGGAATGAAGAACATGAGTATAGGTAAATATCCAGGTAAATATAAAATGAATTATATATAAAGTCGAAACCCTTTCCCCCCATTACTATTGGTTCTGATTCTCTGGAGAACATGACGAATACAGTAATCATTTAGTCATTGAAGACAAGATTTTAGACAGCAAAGTAAAGAGATGGCGGGAATTTTTCCATCTGCACTCTTGCTTACACTGTTAAACCATTAGTCATATTTCAATGGGTCCTGTTTTACCTCTAAATTTCTATTTATATGTAAATGAATAATTTTTTATTGTTTAATTCCATTTTTAGCAAATTTCTACTATGTGTACCCAAAGATATTATATTTGAAACAGTGAAAAATAAACATACAATTGTTAAATTAAGTAAATAATATAAGCATAATCTTGCAAATGAACTAAAAAATCAATTCTGAGGAATCTGAATGTCTCTGAGTTGTCTGGTGAGGCAATTCATTCAGCCAAAAGAAGCTTTCAGCTTTTTCTAGGACCCTCAGAGTCATGTAGATATATTTGTAAGAATATGTTTTTTCTGATAATTAAAAATGACTTTTTTTATTCTTCCTGGATTTATGTTTTAACGGTGACTAAAATAGCCTCAGATGCATCTTGAGTCAAACGGATGGAATTAAATTCCCATTTATTCTTCAAATCACCACTCTGATGTCATTGCCTCTGAGTAAACCTCTCTCACTACATCAATTCTGGATCTTTTCCATACACGCTGGCTTCTTTTCTTATATTTGTTACTATGTATTGTAAGTCTTTCTTTTTCCCCATTTGTCTATCACTCCACCAATGGATAGGCTACTTGAAAGATACATTCATGTTTTATACATCTTCATATTCACCACATCTGGCTTAGTGCCTGCTTGAGTAAATGTTTGTTGAATTACATTGAATCAAGTCAAATCCGATAAAATAAAATCAAATAAAGTTTATATATTAGTGATGATATTGATCTTTTTTCAAATCTACTATTAGAGTTTCTTGGACCTACATGTTTATGTGCATAGTAAATTATTTTTAATGAAAAGCAATAGAGAGTTTTCTCAAGCTACTTCAAATGAAGTGAATTTATTTTAAAAACATACATGTCAGTAAACAATTAACAAGTCTTAGAGGAACCCAAGAATATGTCCTGGAAGCCCCAAGAATGGAGTTATCTACTGCCATCTAGCAGAAGCGGGAGTTCAGGACCTTTACTTCGGTAATTTACTATTCATATGAGCTTACCACTTTTAATTAAAAATAGAGACTTAAAAAAAAATAAAGCACAGGACCAGGTGTGGTGGCTCACCCCTGTAGTTCCAGCTACTCCAGAGGCTGAGGAGGGAGGATTGCTTGAGCCCAGGAGGTCAAATTTGCAGTGAGGTATGATCTTACCATTGCACTATAGCTTGGGTGACAGAGTGAGACCCTGTCTCAAAAAAAAAAAAAAGAAGAAGAAAGAAGAAAGAAAGAAAGAGAGAGGGGGAGGAAGGAAGGAAGGAGAGAGAGAAAGAAAGAGGGAAAGAGAGAGGACGAAAGAAAGAAAAAGAAAGGAAGTAAAAAAGGAAGGAAGGAAGGAGAGAGAGAGAGAGAAAGAAAAGAAGGAAAGAGAAATCAAAGGACAAACAGGCTGTTTAAAAATACCCATGTACTCACCACCCAGAATTTACAACCGATAATCTTGTCATATTTGGTTAAAGACTTTTTTTCTAAGGGAAACAAAATGCTACAGATAAAGTTGAAACCCTTTGCCCCAATTCCCAGTTTAATTGCTCTTCCTCTTTTTGAGAAGCAATCATTGATACAAATTGGGAGTGTTTTGTTTTCTATATTTTTTACTTACAAACACACATACACAACATATATCCATAATTCACAAATGTTTCCTCTATTTTAAAATTGTTCAGAGGTATTATATTTTATATATTACTAACACAGTTGAACTTATTTTTACAAGAAAAATTTGTGTTTTCTCATTTTTTTTCTTCCAGCCTTTCCTGCCCTCTGTTGGATTGATAGAATTGTCTTTTTTGTCTGTACTGTCTATATTTTACCTCTTTTTTTTTTTTTTTTTTTTTAAGACGGAGTCTCGCTCTGTCGCCCAGGCTGGAGTGCAGTGGCATGATCTCGGCTCACTGGAACCTCCGCATCCCAGGTTCAAGCAATTCTCTGCCTCAGCCTCCCGAGTAGCTAGGATTACAGGTGCCCGCCACCACATCTGGGTAATTTTTGTATTTTTAGTACAGACAGGGTTTCACCATCTTGGCCAGGCTGATCTTGAACTCCTGACCTCATGATCCGCGCCCCCTTGGTCTCCCAAAGTGCTGGGACTACAGTTGTGAGCCACCACACCTGGCCTATTTTCTCTCTTTTCCTATTGCTTTTTAAGTTAAATATTTATGTTATTTTAGTGGTTTCTACTGTATTTTAATATACCTATTTGGTTGATATTTGTCTGATAAACTAAATAATGTTTCTATCATTCTCCCAAACAACAAAAAAACCTGAGTTTCACAACCATCTTAATTTCTCCCCTCTGGCCTTCCATATAATTATCTAGTATTTTCATTCCACAAATGCTAAATAATTATCATTTTTAAAATTTACATTGAATACTTAAGTTTGTTTTCAATACTTTTTATTTCTTTACTTATGTTTGCTTCTTACATATGATTCCTTCCTTCTAGCTTCACTTTCTTCCTTGATTAAGTATATTTCCTTTTTGTAAATTTCATGGATAGTGCTTTCACTCAGCGTTTGCTTTTTAGAAATGTCTTTATTTTATCGACTGATGTGAATTATAGTTTACCTGGGTATCTAATTTGGGGACAGGTTTTTTTCCCTCAACACCTCAACACTGGAATAATATTATTCCAGAAGCAGACTTGCTTCAATTTATGCTGGTAAGAAGTTCACTGATGGTCAAAGCTACTTACCTTTATATTATGATCCATTCTTTTTCTTTTTTATTGGTTTGGTTTCACTTTTGATTATTTTGAGCATTATAAACACATAAAAATACTTATCTCTCTCTTTCCTGCGGTTCCATGCATATGAATTTTCCCATTTGGAAAGTCTGTTGTTTGTCTGCTTTTGATATTTGTTAAGAACATCTTCAGGGGTCAGCTTCTTAGGGAGTCTTATGCAAATGCTGAATACCGTAAGTTTCTCCAAGGGAGCAGTTTTATAGTTGCCTCTGCCTAGGTCCTAAGGTGTTTGCTAGTTCTAATTTTTATGTCAGCTTTTTTTCCTTAGGATTTTTCCAAATATTTCAGATAGCGTAAACTTGAGCTCCACATAGGTAAAGGACGAGTATCTCATTATCGCTCTCTTTTTTTTGTAATTTTTAATTTTATTTATTTATTTTTAACTTTTATTTTAACTTCAGTGGTAGATGTACAGGTTTGTTATGTAGGTAACTCATGTCATGGAGGTTTGTTGTACATATTATTTTTTCACCCAGGTATTAAGCCTACTACTCATTAGTTATTTTTCCTGTAAGATCTCAGTCTATTACTGGTGACTTTGTTCATGCCTGTGACCTCAGGTTTTGTTGGTAAGCGGGCAGGGATTTTCAGAGATTTTAGGACCCCGTATATATACAAAGCAGCACTAAGTTTGGCTTCTCATTTGTACTTAAGAGCCCAGCTACAATCCTCTCTATATGTGGGAACTGAAGTTTTGGCTAGTTTTTGCATGTAGCATTAAATGTTTAAGCTACTAATGCATATACCCCTACTCTCCCAGAGGCAGTGTGGCCTCTTGCTCATTGCTGTTGCTCTGGGCTTATTTTTCATTTCTGGCCTCTGAATATTTCTCTTTCTTGCTTTATCTTTTTTTTTAATAGTTTTAATTTATGTTAAATATATTAGCCAGCAATGCTATGTGTCCAGCATAAGAACAAGGACTTCTGTTCTATTAAGTCTGGCATTTAACTCAGAGGTCTGGAATTCCTATTTGCTCAGTTTCTGATTCTTTTTAAGTGTCTTCTTTTTTATGCTTCTCCTGCCAAAAGCTATTTTTTTGTTCTATGTTTTCCTATTCAAATTCCAAAGGAAGATGATCTAATTGGCCTTTTCAACAGCCATTGCCCCTGTGAGCAGATATTTCATACTAGACTACTTTGTATGGTAGCAGCCAGTGAATGAATTTGCTGCTCTCGGACCAGTCCAAATTAGTGAACTCACTCAAAGAACAAACGACGTCAGCTTTTCTTAGTAGAGGTGGTAGGTTGGGATTTGAAAAGGTGTTAGGGGTGGTAGGCACTGTCATTAACATATCTAATATATCTTGTAATATAAGGTTTCAACTAATGGAATGAGTAATAGCTTAGATATCACTTAAGAAATAAGAGTATGTGTCACATAATAGATATGTAAAATTATTTGTTAAAAGAGTACATACATCGATGAATGAATTACCTGTGTTTTCATATGGGCTCTTCATTAATTTGATTTGAGCAAAGTTCTCTGTCCCTCAATTTCCCAAATATAAAATAGTGGGAATAATATCAGTTCTGCCTACCTCACAAGTTGTTATGAGAACAGAATCACAAGGAGGTAGACTATGTGGAAATATTTTGAAACTATAAAGTGTTATATAAATGTGATTTATTGCTATTGCTATTGCCATAACATAACATTTTAATTCAAAAGAGTTAAACAGACATTTTAACTCACAAGGCCATCTTGATAGTCTTATAATCTGTAATGACAAAATAATACAGCTTATTAATCATCAAACAGTTCTTGATCACATTTCATCATCACAGTATGTCAATGATATAAAATATAAACAACCACTTAAGAATCATGTTTATTTGAAATGTTATGAGGGAGTCTTATTTGTGTGGAAAATTTATTATTTTATTTTATTTGTGACGGAGTTTCCCTCTGTCGCCCGGGCTGGAGTGAAGTGGTGCGATCTTGGCTCACTACAACCTCCACCCTCCTGATTCAAGCGATTCTCCTGCCTCAGCTTCCCAAGTAGCTGGGATTACAGGCGTGCGCCACCGTGCCCGGTGAATTTTTGTATTTTTAGTAGAGATGGGGTTTTGCCATATTGGTCAGGCTGGTCTCGAACTCCTGACCTCATGTGATCCACCTGTCTTGGCCTCCCAAATTGCTAGGATTATAGGCGTGAGCCACCGCACCCAGCCTGTGTGGAAAATTTAGATGTTGAAGCCGGATTTATCTGGTTTTCAAATCCTGGTTCTGCCACTTGTTATCTGTTTTATCTTGAACAAGTTAGTTTTTCCGAATTTTGGTTTTCTCATCTATGAAATGGGGATAATTATCCTGCCTCTTGTTGTCTAAATGGTATAATGTATGTGAGTGAGAGTAGGTGGATCCTACTACTTTTCATTACCCTTTCTTTCTCCAGCCAGTCCCCTGCGGCCTCCCACACACAACACTTCATAGCAATTTCAAGGTCAGATAGATTGAAAAGGACTACCTAGTAGGAAGAAATATTTATTTTTAAAGGAAATCAATGTCCATAAACACAACTATTTATAAAGTACATAGTTGTGGCTTTTTTCATAGTTTTTATCAATTAAGCCATGTGAAATGTGCTCCAAGAGATGAGTCACTGTCTGCAGTTATTTAAACTTGATGGCCCGTCGCTACAGCCTGTCTCACGCAATTAATGTAATTCCCTGAATAGATCAATGTAATTTTTTGAATCAAATATCTAACCTAGAGTTTTCCAGATTAAGGTTTGCATAATAAAACAATATAGTCTGCTATGGACATGCTATTGAGTATGATTTTGTTATAATTCCAGAGGAAACGGTTGTGTTATCTTCATGACTTCTCTTTTAATTCTTCAAAAGACTGTATGTTTCACAAACATAGCTAATGGGATATGTTTTCAATTTGTTTTTCAAAATTTGAAAATAATTATGGGCCAGGAGCAGTGTCTCACGCCTGTAATCCAGAACTTTGAGAGGCCCAGGCAGGTGGATCACTTGAGGTCAGGAGTTTTGAGACCAGCCTGGCCAACATGGCAAAACCCCGTCTCTACTAAAAATACAAAAATTAGCTGGGCATGGTGGCTCATGCCTGTAATTCCAGCTACTCAGGAGGCTGAGGCACGAGAATCGCTTGAACCTGGGAGGCAGAGTTTGCAGTAAGCCAAGATTGTGCCACTGCACTCCAGCCTGGGCCACAGAGTGAGACTGTGTCTCAAAGAAAAAAAAAAAGGAAGTAATTATGCACTGTACTTGCAAAAGTTTTCTCTGTGCCTTTTGTGTGTAACATTTTACTATTCTGTTTTGGATTGTTGCTGAATTAATGATAATTGATTAATTAATTGATTTATAGCTCTGAATAAAAAAATTCAAATTCCTGAATAAAATATATTGAAAGCTCTTCCTAACGGTAATTGATTTGATAAAATATAATTGGAAGCAGACTTTCTTTGAAATATTTTGACTTTAAACTTTTCTTTGTTTCTCTCAAGGGCAGGTTTTGTCTTCAGGCTGTGTGACTTGTGTTGAATATAGGCACTGTCATAATTGAATGAACCTTTAATTGTAGACTTTGGGTGGCTTTCAAAAGGAAGAAAAATTTCTCCCTAATTATCTTGGACTAATTATCTCTGCATTAATGGTTTGACTGCTGTTATTCATTATATGGGAAGCATAAATAGAAGGTTAGAGCTAAGGAGAACAGTTGTAGGCAAGGTCTTTTCTCACTCTCTGAGACTTACTTTTCTGTGATGGATCCAAGAGGAGCTTGGGTTTTGATTATTGGACACTGAAATTCTGATTCCATGATCATATAAAGTGATTTTATTAGTTGTTATATATTTATATGATTCTATACTTTTCTTTTTCTGACCTTGCCTTCTCCCCTCCTAAGCACTACAACACTTTGACCCAGCCCTCTAGGACTTATGATCAGTCAAATAAAACTTTTGACATCCCCTATCTCTCCTCTGTAACTTTCCTTCTTTTCTTATTCTAATATAAACTGGTTTGCCCTTGAAGATACTGTTTCTCCTCTAGCTCTCTCAGGTAGCTACTGTTTTCTTCCCACACCCCTTCACAATTGATGTGGCAGTAAAATAAACATCGTGCTTTCCCATTCTCTTGCTAGACCATTGTCATTCCCTCCTCTACAAATTTTTCCAACTTTAAATTTGATATAAATCATCCATATTGCCACCTGAATGCAATCAGGAATTGCATCTCTGAATGCAAAAAAATCAGTCATCTGCTATCCCTGATCCCTTCTCCTTATTTCATGATTTGAAAACCTTGTTTACTGACATTATCTCATTAATGTTGCCTTAGTTGTTGGTGATTGAAATATTCACATAGGTTATACTTCTGATACTTTGGCATCTCAATTTCTTGATCTCCTCCCTTATAATGGTCCTGTTTTCAGTCTACCTCACTCCCTCACTGCCACTATCTTACACTTAATGTTACGATGCTAGAATTTCAACTTCTTCATGAGCTCAGTTTCCAGCATCACATTCACTCCATCAACTCACCTTCCTAGCACACTTGACCTAGTACTGTAACTCCAATAATCCTTTGACATGACCGGGCCTCCAATCTATTGTTATTACCATGTTTCACAATTTCTAAACTCTCTTACGTCCTCACTTTACTCTTATATGGCTTAAAGTCCGCAGCCAATCAACATAATCATGCCTTGGCATGCATTTTCAGTTCCCACCCTGGTTAAACCCACTTCTCCACCTACTTACCACCTGCATATGTGCAGACAAATGTGATGGAGAAAAACACAAAACCATTCAGACTGGTCTCATATCAATTATACGGCCACTGTTCTCATTTAGACTCTCATTATTCTTCAGAAATTGTAACACATTGCCCTAGAATACTCACTCTCTGAATTTTCTAGATGACTATTTCATACTTGTCTCATATCTGATATCCACCACATCATCTTTCATACCCACTCTAGTCTGATTATCTTGATGATTTTTTTAAATTTGGAAATCAACAGAAGAGACTGCATTCTATCATCTTTCAGTTTACTTCAGTAGCCTTTCAACTTTGTTTTGGTTTTTCTCTAGTTATTCTCCACAAAATAGACGCAGTTATCTTGCTAAACTATAAGGTAGGCCATGTTACAACTCTGCTCAGATCTCACCAAGAGATCCCAAAGCTGGATATCTTCTGTGTCCCCTAGATCCTTTTTATTCTTCTCTACCCTGTTTTATGTCATAGGACACTGCACTTTTTAGGTAGCATCTGTCAGACTTTTTGATCTCTGGATTATGGTTGGATTCAACAGTGAGGACACTAGCCAGAGATTGGTGGGCAGGAGAGTAAGACCTAGGTATTCCCCTTGCTTCTATCTGGCCAAATGTCGGCTGTATCCCTCTGTGGAAGACCACAGCTGATGCCCCATTGCCCACTCCATGAAGATATCCCTGTTTTCTTATAACTACTCCATCCTCTTGCCACTTTAGGCCTAGGGAATTGATGTTTCCAACTATACTATTACTGGGTACTATACTGTCTCATATTGGGTTTCCTAAACTTTGTCCACACATCTGAAAAGAAAATTATTAAACTATTCTTACATACATGGTATATGTATGCCATATGTTTACTTCTGGGGCTACAGAGATAGATTTGCCACTTCATGTGGAGCTAAATGAAAGGTCCTTACCGTGGCCTACAAGGACATACATTAGTGCCACCTCACTCTAATACCTCTGACTTCATTGCCTACTCTCCCACATGATCCATGTATACTAATCACAGGATTCCTTGCATTGGATTTTTGACATCTTACAGCTTTTACACTTGCTGTTAAGTCTGTTTCTTCTCCCCCATCCTTAAGATCTTCACTCAAAAGCCGCCTTTGGAGTGGGGCCTCCTAGGAATACGATTTGAAATTGACAGCCCTTTGCCAGCACTCTTCACTCCATGTCTCTTTTTTATCTATCATATAACAAGCTCTATATTTTACTTATTTAGTTTCTTTATTATCTGTCTCTTGCCACTAAAATGTAAGCTTGAATAGAGGAAGGAATTTGTCAGTTTTATTCACTGATGTGTTTTCCTGGTTTCTGTAATAGTTCTTGGCCTTGAGTAGGTACTCAATATTGTTGAATGAGTGAATGAATAAAAATACAGGAAAGGCCAGGTGCGGTGCCTCACACCTGTAATCCCAGAACTTTGGGAGACCGAGGCGGGTGGATCACCTGAGGTAAGGAGTCAAGACAAGCCTGACCAACGTGGAGAAACCCCGTCTCTACTAAAAATACAAAATTAGCCGGGTGTGGTGGCACATGCCTGTAATCCCAGCTACTTGGGAGGCTGAGGCAGGAGAATCACTGGAACCCAGGAGGCGGAGGTTGCAGTGAGCCGAGATCACACCATTGCACTCCAGCCTGGGCAACAAGAGCAAAACTCCATCTCAAAAAAGTAAAATAATAAAAATAATAATTAAAAAAACCAGGAAAAATGCTATAGGGGATTTAATAGGAAAGAAAATATTTTCTGCTGGAAGTATCAGAAAAATTGTGTTTGAACTGTACCTTGAGAGTGAACGTGTGAGATGAGTAGGAGGGTTTTCCCAGCAGTAACAGCTTGACCATGGCCACAGTGATGGAAATGTACTCAAGAAATGCCAAGTCATTTATTTGAATTGGGATGTTGAGCGCATATCTGGAAGCGCAAAGAACTAAGTTTTTGAAGATCGGCTAAGGCTAGAGAATGGAATGTCCTAAATTTGGACTAAAACAAACCAAAACAAATGTATCTTTTAGGAAGTAAGGGGACACAGTCTTTGAGAGTTAAAGTGTCACGGTCAGTGTGACCGTGACACCAAATCAAGAAAGATTGATTTGGTGATGGATGTACAGAGTTTGAAGGGGAAAGAATGGAGTGATTAAGGGAAACTGAAAGCTGTTTTGAGAGATTATGAGCCCTGAACTGCAGCAGTGGTGATGAGCCTGGGAAGAAGGGCTGCAGGTTGTGTCATTCTGCAGGAGTTTACTGACCCATAGAGGACAATATACACTATTCAAGGCATTTGGAAGAGCCGATCTCTTAATTACCGACTGTACCTAAATCAACACAGTACATTATTTTATTTTTGCCATATCATTTGTATTTTAAATAAAAAAAAGATTGCTTTTTTCTCTCGGAATTCATTAGCCAGAGACACTCTGTGGTACACTGTAGGTAGAGAGTATTTATCAGAGCTTAGTGTCCTGTCCTTTTGGGCCTATTTAATAGCAAGATCACAAACAGAACATCTGCCAATGAGCATGGTGCTGATTCTAGCATCAGCTGTTATGCAGATAGAGAAGAGCAGGGATGGAAGTCCTTAATGTGAGGGTAGCAGCCAGGCCAGGGACGGCACAGCTGGGGCTCTTTTCACCCCTACTCCGTCACAGACCATCTGTCCTGAAGTAATGCCAAGGGCCAAATTTAGTGGTGCTGGATGTGGTGTTGGAAGCCTCTGGATTCCAATATTGAAATTCATTTCATACAGTAATGAGCAAAAGACTAAAATGGTGCCTTTAATAAAACATTACATCTGTGATAGAGGGGAGATGAAACAAAGAAAGATGCAAGGTTTTATTACTTAGATCCTGATGAGAGTCGCCATGATAATTAATTTATTTAAGAAAACATTAATAGAAAAATTGCCACGTACTAATCACTATGCTAAGTGCTCAGATTAGAGATTCAATAAATAATATTTCTTCATGGGAGCTTACAGAACAGCAGGTAAAACAGATATGTAGCAATTTATAACTTAACACCAGAAGTCTTAGGAATAATACAAGGGTAAGAAACATCTAATTCTGCCTGGGAAACATTGGAAGGGTTTAAAAACATTTGGGCTGAACTTGAATCATTGTAAAAGTTCTATGTGGAGGGGAAAAGGAGCAGGCATTCCAAACAGAAGTAACTTTGACAAAGCATGTGGGCCATAAAAGTACTTGGCATTTTCTACGAACAGCGTGGTCGTGTACGTGTAGCTTATATTCTTGGGATTCTTGAGGAGAAGTAGGGGGAGAAAACTGTGACCTTTTGAGGAAGCAATTGACTCAGGAAGAGTAGAAAAGTGGGGGCATCTGAGATTTGGTTTGATTTTGTGCAACTCAACTAGCATTTTATGCACTTATAGGGAATTCCAGCCTCTTTAGATATCTGATTCTGCACTACCTGAAAGGGGTCATGGATTGTGCCTTGATACCCACAGAAACTTCACTATTTTTACACAGACTCCTAGAATACCAGAGACGGAAAGCCACATAGAGATCCTTGAATTATATTGATGGATAACTATGTCATATGCCTTGCTTGAGGTCCCATAAGAAAGGAATTATAAGTTGGATTAGAACTCAGGTCTCTTAACTCCTGAGATGTCACTGTTTATACACTAATTTCAAAACCAGCCCCTATTTATTTATTTATGTATTTATTTTTGGTATAATGAAATATATGGACATATATTACAATAGGAAGCTTGCTACAGTTTGTGTGAGTAAGAGATAAGGGCATAAAGCTGTTCAGAAGACAAAAGGTAACATTTCTTTTCATTCTAATTTACAAACTAGTTACCTTGGACCTTGAGATTCAAATTGGTTTAGAAAAATTGGAAGCACCAGAGTTAAACTATGAATAGATCTCCTGTAAACTTAATATATTTCCTCAGAGTTACTTGTTTCAGAGAGTGACAGAAAACAGATAAGGAAAAACAGAAGTTAGCTATTTAGCTTTACAAGTAAGAAATGCATGTAACAAGAGCTAGGTCTAACAGACAGGGGTATTTATGATTCCTTTCAGAAGCCTCTCACCTTTTAAATATTCTTCCCAGTATTACTCGATGCTGGTGCTGGTGTGTGTGTGTATATGGTGAGGGGAGGAGGTTATTTAAGCATTACTCAGTAAGTAAAAACTATATAGAATTATAACATCCTACAGAATTCCCAGTGCAACCCCATCCATTTGGGAGACTCAAAAGCCTGATGTACAGAGAGGAGAAATCACTCAATTATTAATAGATAACCATTTCAGTTCAGAGGTAAGACAAGAAACTGTATTTTTTTTTCAGATAAAGCAATTACCTTTCTTTGAAAGCTCATGCTTACTTTTGCAGTGGCTGCTTTTTAGAGTAAAACCGTTTTCAATCTCTCTAGAGATGAACCCATGATAAAAGTTCTATTTCGGTACACAGACCCCAGACCAGAACATGGCTAACAAGCCCCATCCGCCCTATCCTTCTCCAGCTTCAAGAGACCGCCTTTTATCTACAGCAGAGCAAAGGAGAGAGGAATTGAGAGAAACAGAGGAATGCCAGAAGTTTAGAGTATATAACTTCCCCCATTCTGTAGTCTTTCAACAGGCAAAAGAAATGACCTAATCAGAACGAAACAGCTCTCATTTCAGTTGTGGTACCACTGCAGGCAGTTGATTATCATGTTAAGAATGAAGTGAGGAACGGTAAGGGCCAGGTCCACTTTTCTGGACCTCAATTTATTCAACTGGAAAATAAATGTTTGTGTATGCTACTGAAGTGACTTTCAAACGTGTTAACACGTTCTTTGATGTTCCTCCATCCAAGAGGTGGAGCTGAATTCCCCAGCTCTTGAGAATGGCTTGGACTTAGAGAACCATTTCTAACAAATAGAATACTGCAGAAGTAATGATATATCACTTTTGAGGCTGGGTCATAAAAAGCATTTTGGCCTTGCCCTCTTGGCTCACTTGCTCTGGGGTAAGCCAGCTGATGTGTTATGTGGATACTAAAGCATCCCAATAAGGGAGGTTCATATGGCAAGCAACTGAGACTTCCTACCAGCTTCCATGTACCTGCCCTTGGAAGTGGAGCTGTCAGATGACCACAGCCCTGACCAACAATTTGACAGCCTCTTCAATTAGTAACTGAGGAAGAGCCATCCAGCTAAGCGTCTCCCAAATTTCTGATCCATATATACTGTGGGGTAATAAATATCTGCTGTTTTAAGCTTCTAAAGGGCAATTTATCAATAGCAATATGGAATAAATACAGCCCTTTTCATACTTCTTATTTTTCAGAGACTGTTTTTTTTGTAGTCTCCAACCCTTAGAGTAATATGAAACTATACTAAATCTTTCACACCTAAATTTTTAGTTGTGAAAGATTGGACCATGTGCTCTGAAAAGTAGTCCAGCATTTAATGGGTTAAGGAATTTCTCTAAGACCTCTTCATTTCCTCCACATTTCTCTTATAATAACTAACAACAATATAATACCACTACCAAGCATGTGCTTTACACGTTTTTGAGATTAACATTTATTACATAAGTTTACCCTTACAACAATCCAATGAGGTAGATATTATATTATTCCCATTTTATATATGAGGAAACTAAGAACTTGAGAGCAAAAGTATGCTATTGAAAGTCACACAGTCAGTACAACTAGTATTCCAATTCATACCTTCTGACTCCAATTTAATATATCAAGAGCATAATAGAAATGACCAATCAACTTTATTCCCTGACACTCACTGCACATTATAGCTATAATGGCCTGATATTAGAAAGTTTTTACACATCTCGCTGCCCCGTTACATTACTGATATTTGTAAATGAGTGAAAAACATTTTTCTATTCTCCCTTTTTTTTTTTTTTTGAAATGGAGTTTCGCTCTTGTCGCCCAGGTGTGCAGTGGCGCGATCTTGGCTCAGTGCAACCTCTGCCCCCCAGGTTCAAGCGATTCTCCTGCCTCAGCCTCCCGAGTAGCTGGGATTACAGGCACCCACCACCACGCCCAGCTAATTTTTGTATTTTTGGTAGGGATAGGGTTTCACCATGTTGGCCAGGCTGGTCTCGAACTCCTGACCTCAGTTGATCCACCTGCCTTGACCTCCCAAAGTGCTGGGATTACAGGTGTGAGCCACCGAGCCCGACCCCTTTTCTCTTTTGGTTGTTCTTATAAGTCATTTGTCTTTGCCCAAAACCATTTCATCATAAACACTTTGTCTTGTTTAAGATAACTGATGATATGGATGTCATACATACTGGAGTTATGGCCTCCTTTGGCTACCCAATTCAGTCACTACACTGATTATTTCTCTCATTTTATTATCTTTATTTTGTGTTCTCATATTTTATGTAATTTCATAGTAAGATATGAAAATAAATGATTCAATTCCAATATCTGGCAATGAGTTTTAAGTTTTGAATATTAAGAAGGATTATTTACAATATTAGGAGTTCTTTTGCCTTTTAAATATATATTTATAATATAACATCATTTATTTCTCATTGAAACATATGCAAACTTAAGACAGTTATCCTATATCAGAGCACATATCTAGATCAATATGGGAGATTTAGTAGACTGAGATGGACCCGAGGTATGTGTAATTTTTTAAAAGATGAAATTAAATTCTAGGTAAGAACCACTTGCCCAAGTTACTTCAAAACACAATGCCAAATGCTAAATTAATTGCAAGCATATGACACAGTTTTTGACAATAGAAAATTAATAAGTTATATATGTCTTTGAGTCTTAAATATACATTAGATTTTTTTCTTTTTAAAAAAATAAAGCAATGAAGTATTAAAATTCCAATTACCTGGGTGAGTTAAGTTAAAAACAGCTCATGATCTGATTTCAAAGTTTAGTTTGAATCTTTCTTCTTTCTTCCAATAAGCTCATTTCAAAGAGTCATTTTTTTCATTTAAATATTTTGAAATGATTAAACTGTTCAAGAGAGAAACTTTGTGAATTATTTTCTAAGGGATTTTGAATGTGTCAGTAATCTCCTTGCTACACTAAGAAATAATAGTTTTTTTTGTTCAACATTATAACTTAGTAACATAGACCAAGACTTATTAAGCACAAATCTTTGCCAAACCAAAGAGAGCCCTTCTTCATGATCGAATGATTCCATACACATTGGAGAAGTCATATAAAAATTCAAATCTTTAATACAAGCAGAGAATCCAAATGTAGAGAGAGCAGATGCACACACTTCATAATACACCAGTTTTTGTCTCTTCCTTCACTTGAGCTTTAGCATGTTCATTTTGAATCCCCTGTTTAGCTCTTCAGATAGATGGATCAAGGGATGCTTTCTAATGACTGTGTTACATGCTCTGCTGTGTTCTAGATGTCTTCACTTCTTCTGAGGCTCCTTTGATATCCAAAATGAAATGGCTCATTTACAGATAGTTTGAGCATCACATTCTTAGGGAACTAGCTAAAGCTACTGAATGGAAGGTAACCAAATACAGTAACTTTCAAATTTTTAAGCATGCTTTCTCTTAGCCAGAAGCTATGGTTATTATTATGCATTCCTTCAACAACTTTTCTTTGGGGAACACTTACAAACAAGGTGTACTTTTCTGCATGCTGTTTTATCTTGATACTTTGGCAAACTGAGGTGGAGTACTGGTAGCAAAGTCCCTTTTTTTTTTTTTCATTAGCAAAGTATGTGACATATCTCAGTTTGAAGATTTCTTACCTCTTCAGGCTTCCGTAATATGTTATTCTCATCATATTTGTAGACAAAGATGGTGGTATGTGTTCACCAAGTTCATTTCATTTTTCTCTTTCGAGACATAGGAAGACTATATTTTCTAGCCTTTTTTATGATTACAGCAGGACCTCAGAGCTAGTTCTGGCTAATGAATTGTAAGTGAAAGTAATGAGTGTCACATTTCAGCTAAAGCATAGCACAACAGGAAGCCACACATTTCAGATGGCAAAGCATAAAAAAAGTAAGCTCTGGGCCGGGTGCGGTGGCTCACGCCTGTAATCCCAGCACTTTGGGAGGCCGAGGCAGGCAGATCATGAGGTTAAGAGATCGAGACCATCCTGGCCAACATGGTGAAACCCCGTCTCTACTAAAAATACAAAAAATTATCTGGGTGTGGTGACGCGCACCTGTAGTCCCAGCTACTCGGGAGGCTGAGGCAGGAGGATCACTTGAACCCGAGAGGTGGAGGTTGCAGTGAGGTAAGATCACGCCACTGCACTCCAGCCTGGCAACAGAGTGAGACTCCGTCTCAAAAAAAAAAAAAAAATGTAAGCTCCTATGCTGGACGTGTAGCATAAACAAGAAATAGGTCTTGTTATATGAAGCTACTGAAATATTGGGGTTCTTTGTTAGCATGGCATAGCATATCTTATTCTGGTTAATACATATGATGACTACAGCGATCCCACCAGGTTCCAAATATCACTGATTGATATTTCATATATTATAAATACATTCTACTAATCATCTATTCAACTGTTTCCTTGTGCTGAGGCAACTTCGAGGGCTAAACATGCCCTACGTTTTCATCTATTGCCTGCAAACACCTTGTTAAGAGGATGATTTGTAGTCCTTGGCTGGAGAAAATCAGAGCCTACAAGGGTAAAAGAGGAGTTAAAGAGAGATAAAAATTAATGGTTCTTGTTTTTTTGTGTGCATTAGAATCACCTGGGAAAGTTATTCCACGTGCAGATCCGCCCTACATCAGGGATCCTCATTTAGTTAATCTTGGATGGAGTCAAATAACATGCATCTTAATATGAGCCCCAAATGGTTCCAATGTGGATACATTAAGGAATACATATCAAGAAGGCTTGGGCAAGCTCCTAATTGCGGCTCTTTTCCCTTACAACCTGAGCAATAATACAAAAAATATGGAAAGAGTTTGAAAGAGTTCTCATAGGTAGCAGTTTTTCAACATTGACCTATGAAATGCTCTATTTAATTATCAAGGACACAATATAAAAATACAGACTTCTAGACAATGTCCAGCACCTAATGAATTGGTCTCTCTGGGGAAGGGCCTGCCCTGGGACCTTCACTGTAACATGTCCCTCAAGTTACGTGCACGGAAGTTAGATGCACGAAAGTTTTAAACCAATGCCATATAAATTGCTTATCCTTCTGTGCATATCTTTATGATTAGTTCAATTTATTATTCATGACTTTTTCTGAACCAAAACATTAGTTTTCCCAGCCCCTTCAAATCTTCAATCTGGGAGTGAATACATTGTTACTAGAGTTCTTAATAGTTACAGGAGAAGGTAACTCTGAAATTCAGTTTTTATCGAGCTGCCAAAGAAAATTTGTTTTTCAAGGTAAATGGTGAATATATTTTTATTTTCCACCAAGAAAAATTCAAATAATTTATTTTGAAGGCAAAAAATATAGCATTATCATAGAGTCTAGAGGACATTAAAAAAATTCTATCTTTTAAATGCTTTAAGAAAGTTTATAATATTTTAAAATTAAGCCATGTAAAATAATAATATGACAAGGTCAGATGACATATCAGACCCTTAATATAACATTTAATTAGCTGTGTGTGGGTTTACATTAACTGCTTTTTTTACTTGAATGTTTTATGGCCCAGATTAAATAATTCCACTGAGGTAGCTTTGTAATAGAATTACTTCCCCTTCAATCTTACATGGATGGTTCTAGAATTGGCAGTGGATCAAGTGTCAGAGTCTGGATTGGAGACTCAACCCTATTGATAATTGGCTGAGTGTCACTAGGAAAGTCACTTAAGCTGGATAATATGGTCCTGTTCTATACTGCTTTTGGACATTTTACAAGAGTTTAAAAAAGGTGAGGCATATGAAATAAATGTATAATATATCATTTAATGCCATCAACATCCAATGAGGTTGATAATAGTATCTTTATTTTAGCTAGTAGGAAATTGAGGCTCAGAGAGACCATGTTCAAACAGATAGGAGAGAAGTAGGACTCACATCCATCTCTATTTGATTTAAAACTCATGCAACTAAGTAGACAATATTTCTTATGCAATGATATATCCATTTACCCTACAATCCTGTTATTTCTATTATGGATATGCATGGCCCATGAAAAAAATTTCTTTCTTATTATAATTTGCTTCATTGAAATGTATGGTACTGAACATCACATTCAATTTGGCATGTCAGGTCAAGAAATAATAATATAACCTCTGATCCTTTCTCCATACAGTAGAAGTATAGTCTATTATCTTTCTGACCGCTGTATAACTAATACTGAAAACTAAGACTTTTACTGCTTCCACTACACTTATATTGTCCAAGGAAATTGATACTTGCCAAAATGTAGTTTTGAGAGCACCAAAATTTTCTAGCTACTCATATAATATGAGCTCATATTTAATTTTCCATGACTCTGCCAATAGTTCTTTCATTTCTTTGTCTTCACTAAAACAGAAAATAATGTATAAATGAAAAATTTAATTTCTCATTTTCTTCCAAAGATATTTTACACTTTGAGATGCTGTGTTAATAAGGCATAACACTGATAGTGGGTCAGAGAATCTTCTCCCTCCTTGAGCTTCGGAGCCGCTTACATTACCCATTATTAATAGATTTGGAGAGAAACTGCTATCTGTCTTCCAACTGAAGGTTCTTGAATATACATCAAGGATGGATTATTCTTTACAAGAAGGGATTTAATAGAGGACAAGGCCTTTGGGTTGTGCTAAGTCATTTTCTACTGGATATTTAGTTAGGGTGGCCTGTCGTTTTCTGATTACAAGTTTCAGGGTGAGTTCACATTTACTCTAGGGGGCCCTTGTTCCCCCATCTTTGGAGTAGGAATCTTCTAGTTTTTTGTTTGTTTGTTTGTTTCGACAAAGAAAGGATCTTCTGAGAACATTTTCAAGAGGGGTAGTGAGATGAAACTGCTTTCTTTCTTTCCCCACTGCCCATTCACTGTTACTGACCGGGAGCCACTGACACTCATTGGGCCACAACTCACTAACAGCCACAGCTAATGTATTAAAGGTGACTTCTCATGTAAGGTGTGGTCTCTTGCTTTTTTGGTTCTGCTCATGTTCAGGAGTAGCAGACTTCGTTCTTCTTATTTTCTGACAGTAAGCAGGCAAGAAACCTCTAAAGAGTAAATGGAAGGCACCGAATTTTCCAGATTTTTCTTTTCTAATGGAGGGTTAGGTCAGATCAGCTCAATTGTAACAGCCCAGATGTCTTCAATTTGAGGAGAGGATAAACATGCTCCACTATGTCCTTAGAGCCAACCTGTGTCTTCCAGTTCTGGTATTATCAGGGACACTAAAATTCCATTTGGAGATATGTTCTTTGGCTGAATACTTTAGTTATGAAATTACAAACTAGTTGCCCTCAGGCTAACTATGTCCCACAGATATAATTTGTTTGGCTCTTTGTTTTTTCCTTCTTAACTTTAAGCCATCCCATAATTGACATTATACATAAAAATCTGAATTTTTTAGATTCTTTAGAAAAAAATGGACAATATGGCAACATTGGGGCTCAATTAGTGACAAAAATCAAATGGAACTGAGTAGAAGCTACCCATTTTTTTTTTTTTTTTTAAGATGGAGTCTTGCTCTGTCACCAAGTCTGGAGTGCAGTGGCACGATCTCGGCTCACTGCAACCTCCACCTCCTAGGTTCAAGAGTTTCTCCTGCCTCAGCCTCCTGAGTAGCTGGGATTACAGGTGCCCACCACCATACCTGGCTAATTTTGTATTTTTGTAGAGATGGGGTTTCACAATGTTGGCCAGGCTGCTCTTGAACAACTGACCTCAGTTGATCCACAAGTCTTGACTTCCCAAAGTGCTGGGATTATAGGCATGAGCCACCACACCCGGCCTGAAGCTGACCCTTTTTAAGAAATATGTGTTCTTCAGTTGCTTAGAGGGCCAATGATCTACCTGACTTGGAAATCAAATGCCATGTGCCTTATATGAGTTTATGAAAATGTTTACAGAGAAGAAATAACTATCTGTGCCTATGTCCCTATTCACATCAGTTCTAGATGGAGAGCATGTAAAATAAGCTGGTATCTGGCCATATTTTCTCTTTTCTCTTACCTTCTGATCCTTGTAGGCACTTGAATTTATTATCCCTTCTCAGAAGCCTGAATGGGACGAAGGCACCTATTTCTACGCTACATCACTTACAATACGGAATTTTTCATCTGTCAGTTCTAAAAATATGAGATTGTTGTAAACTTCCATTTCATTTAAGTCACATTCTCCCTCTCTTTTGGTTATTTTCCACATCTCTCCCATTACATATCAGAGAGAAACAAAAAAGGCATCTTAGTTTTTCTGGTACCTAAACCAAATCTCCATTTTCTGAAATGGAATACTCTCCAGATAAGAATACAACAATCATAGGAAGTAGAAGGGTGAGAGAGATGTAAAAATTTGTTAGTACAAATAAAATGACGTAAAAATAGAATTTTATTGATGCTAACAATGTTAGGCAGTTTAGAGAACACTAGTTTACAGTGAGACAGAGAACGCCATGTATCCCTGGGTGGGTATGTTTGGTTCTTTGAGGAAAAATGTGCTGTAGGTTTTCTGTTGAGCTTCGTCCTACAGCTTCCACCAGAACCAGCTCCTTTCCATGCTGCTCCCTGGGAATGCATACACCCTGTAAGCATCATAGCCCAAGTACACCTGACTGACTTATAATGTGAGGTTGATCAACTCACTGAAAAGAAACACATTTAAATTCTTAGCTCAGTTTTAAACCATTGGACAAGATAGAGGATCAGACTTTAGGCAACTTTCACATACTGACCTTCTAGGGCCCAAGAAGAGTGTGCTCTTCTGAGGCCTTTAGAGGCAATAATTCTGGATTCAGGTCCTTCAGGTCTTTTGTCTCCTAGAAATAAATAGTTTTTAAAAATCAATAAAGGGGACAGAAATCTGATAGTCCATTAGATGATAAAAATGTCAGATTTTCCCACAGGTTCATGACATACAGAGGGTTGGTAGAGATAGTAGCCACCACCCACCACACACAGTAATTATAGGATATAAAAGTCGTTGTTATTGGATAAGTCCGTGAAATGATGAAGAGCAAGGGCTGAGATCTGGGGAGCAGGGGGTTCCAATCTGGTGCCATTTTGTATCCATTGAGTTTCTGACTCTTGGGGAACAGGCTTACAGAGGTGTGTCTCCCACTGGGGCTGGTTATGAATCTCTGCCCGGCTCTTGTTCCTAAGGTGATTCTCTCCTTCACAGTAGGTGACACAACAGCGGCAGGTGGCGGAGGACTTCCCTCGGTGCTTGGACATTGTGCCTGGGGCTGGAGGGCTACCTGCAGCCCTCTCTGAGCTCTGAAGTTCTGGGGGCTCTTTCAAACGACTTCTCCTCCTTTGAACGTGATCCAGACTGATGTCAGACTGGGAAGAGCAGCTCTCATTCCAGCCAGAACTGGCACTCAGACTTCTCAGGGGAAGAGCCAACCGCAAAGCTTTCCAGAATTTAGAGCCAGAATGTTTGGACTTTTCTCCCTTCCAGCTCACAAAAGACACAGACTCTTTGAGCTGAAGAATGCCTGGGTGCGGGTGCTCAAGGGGACGGTACTCAACCACAATGAGCTTGGTGGCAATGGAGTTCTGGCACATGACACCCAGTTTAAACTCCAGCATGCTGATGCTCTTTTCTGTCACATAGTCAGGGCTCAGAACAACAATCATCCTTCTGCTTCTCTGAATGAAATCAAAAACTGCTTCCACTGTATCTATAGGAAAATGGAAATATAGGACAATGTATAGTGAAAACTTACATATATTCCAGTTCGTTATTGTCCATCCTCCAGAGGACAGGGAATGAACAAACACTTGAGATGACAGAATCTCAGTGCTGAATAATTTACCCAGTCAAAAAAATCTACACCACTCTTGTCAATGGTTGCTAAGAATTTACTGCCTTCAAGGATGGTATGGTAGTTGAGCTCAGTCTCTCTCTCCTACTGCAAAACCCTCATTGCAGTAGTCTCCTTCTTCAATAAGTCTTTCTTAAAACACACACACACACACACACACACACACACACACACACACACACACACGGTGGGCAATTGAGTAACTACCCTCAAAATATTAGCCACCATCAAAAGCAAGTCATTTCAGCTCTGTTTACAAATTATTTCTTGTTTTGAAATCTTCTTCCTCGCAAATGTTATCTGGTGGTCAGATCTTGAGTCTTTAAATGTTTAGAATATTTGAAAACCATTTTTATATCTTTGTAGTATTTTCTTCTTATGTCTGGATTAAATATTTTCAGGATATTTCTCTTATTCCATAAATGACATGGCCTCATGTCTCCTCTGCATGTTTACCATTTTCCTCTGGATAATGTTCAGTTTATAGATGTGTCTTCTAAGAGTAGTATTATGAACAGGAGTGAACATAATGCTCCTGACATAGTCTGATCAGCAAAGAGCAACAGGAATTATCACCTCCTAAGATTCTCAGTTATATCCTTTGATACTTAACATTTTTGGACACAACATCGGACAGTTCATAGTAGTTCATAGTATTTATCTTGTTATCAATTAAATTCTTTTTTCTGTGTGTGTGGTGCGTGTGTGTGTGCGTCTGTGTGTGAAGAATTGGAATTAAAGGGGCAAAAACAATGAAAATGGGTAAGAATTAGTCAAGTAGCTAAGACTTCTGGCAAACCATTCGATTCTAATGGTATCAAAGTGGATTTGGACAGATCCCAAGGGAAAGTTCTTCAAATAAATGTAATGCTTAACTCACTGTGAGATTTAGGAGCTTAGAACATGCCATATCCTGAAGGAAAAAGGTTCAAAATTGTAAATCCTAGCCATTTATAACTTTGAAAACATGTGCCAGAGTCACCGTGTGAGGGTGAACACCTCTGCTTTTGGTCCAGGGACGAAACAGTAACGGAGAGAGTTTTCAGCCTTGGAAGACAGACTGAAAGTTTGCATTGGTCATTGTGAACTTGACAGGGAATAAGGGAGCTGTGCTTCTTACAGATTATAGTTTTGTTTTTTTCAATCAGTGGATTTAACATGAATTTGAAGGGAAATTGGAGAGACACGTGCTCAAGTTTTGAGAACTTTTGATTGGTTTAAGCAGGAGTGCAAAAATGTTTTTAGAGACATTTTGTTTCATTCATTCTTAAGAGATAAATTTAAATTCTCGTTTATCATTAAAACCCTTCTGTGTGTACGAGTGTGTGCACATGTGCATGTGTTTTAGCAACTCCTCAGTCCCCTCTAGTCCTACTCAGAATCTTAAGAGGCTGCCTCTCATAAATCAGAGAATATGAAAGTGGGAAGTCTACTGCTTCTCCTGGCTCCTGAGAAATGTGAAATAACCTTAAGGCAACATGGCTAGCTTGTCAACAAAGAGAACTCATGCAAATTGTGTGTGTGTGTGTGTGTGTGTGTGTGTGTGTGTGTGTGATATGATGTTTCACTTCAAAACAGTCACCTTAGGAAAATGTATGTTTTTGCCAATAGGAATATTGTTGTTTAAAATACAACAAACACTGTTCCAGATCTTCTTAAAAAATGACTTTTGAGTCTGTTGCTCTTTAATTTTTTTATTGGTACTCCATCCAGAAAGTGAGGAAGTTTAGATTTGAAAGAGGACAATGCTAAATGCAGGTAAGAGTGGCGGAATTTTAGACGTTGAGAAACACATGTAGGAGATGCTTCTCAGAAAGGTCCTGGGCTATACCGAAGGATCTTCACTTAATACTGTAAAGGGAGTTGCATGCTTTATTGCATATTTTTAAAATACCTTCTATATTGCCAAAACTTCATATTTGAGGACAGGAGCTATTATTTTTAATGCTAAAGTTTACTTGGAGGAGTAGTAATTTAGCTCATTTATTCTGTTTGGCTCAAAAAATGAGGTATGGCCATATAATAATGAGATTTGTTTTCTTGTGTGGTACTAAATTGGCTTTGAAGTCATGTTGTATGACTGAGAACTCTTCAATACTCAAGAATACTCTTGCCTGTAAAAGTCATAACTTCCATGGAGTTCACTTAGAAGAAAACTAGGATGGTCATTTTTTTTTTTCTCCTCTGGATGAGTTATTAGTAGATAAAAGAACAGCAAACCTCTGTCTCTTTCATTTTCTCTATTAAAACTTGAAGTATAGAAAAAAGGAAATATTTAACTTGGAAGACGAATGTGGTTTCAAATATTGCTTTCTCCATTTATCCCTATTTGTATCTTAATATCTTTTGAGTCCTAGTTCATCCATCTATAAAATGCATATGATAAAGTAAACTCGTAGGGCTGATAAACAAATTAGATGCCTACATGTGAATTTCTAGCACACAGTACACATTGCATAAATCACTTTGATTAAATTACTGTTGCTCAACGTCTAGTGAACACAATAGTAAAATCATATATGGACTAATGTTTATTGAATCTGTATCAATTATTAATGCTAACTTTAAAATATCATCTTACTATGTGGATTTATAAGAGTAATAGTGTGTAAAAGTTCTGTCTATTCAGTTTTAAATAGATGTAGATTAAAATTACTACTAAAACACTCCATCTCCTAACTCATTACTAAGGTTACTTTATATTCCTTGAGTAGAAACAGAGAAATAAGATAGACTAGTTGCTAAACCCGTCTCTCATACCATACTGTGTATTTACTTGCGTTAAAGAGCTAGTGACATCAGTATATACTGGAAAAAAAAATCTTGAGAGTTTAAGGAAGGTTAATCACAGCCAGGTAGATCATATGCAAAATGCTGAAGTTGAATCTTCCAAAGAGTCACCAGTATGTTCTAGTAGGTCACTTAACACGTTCAGGGTTGGAAACAACTTCAGACTCAAAACCACTTATCCAGTGCAAAAAACTCATATACAAAATCTCAATGAAAATCTATCAAATAAATGCTTATATACCTCTGGTAATGGCAGGCCTAGTATTTCCAAAGATAGTGAATTCCATTAGTGTCGAACTCTGCTTTACAGCTATTTTCTAACTGAGCAGAAATCTGTTGCCTTGTAACTTCGATCCGTTGATCCTAAGCCTACACTTTTGGGGCTGGTTTGCAAAAGGAAAATTAATTCTTCAGTAGAAGAACCTTTACTAAGCTAACCAATTCTGAGCATGTTACAGGGCTCAGTAAAATGAACAAATAGGATTTTTTTTTTTTTTCTGAAGTCTCGCTCTGTCGCCAGGCTGGAGTCCAGTGGTGCAATCTCAGCTCACTGCAATCTCCGCCTCCCGGGTTCAAGCGATTCCCCTGCCTTAGCCTCCCGAGTAGCTGGGACTACAGGCGTGCACCACTATGCCCAGCTAATTTTTTGTATTTTAATAGAGACAGGGTTTCACCATGTTGGCCAGGATGGTCTCGATCTCCTGACCTCTTGATCCATCCGCTTCAGCCTCCCAAAGTGCTGGGATTACAGCGTGAGCCACCGCGCCTGGCCAGGGATTTTTTTTTTTAAAGCAAAAAGGCATCCCTGTCACTATGGACTTGTATTATTAACCGAAAATAAAATATGTTTCCAAATATTAATCACTGATTTATTCAAAATTTGTAACAGAAATGCATCTTTGATTCAAATGATCATCAATTAACTAAAGTCATGGCATTAGTTTTATCTATTTCCAAAGCAACTACCGTGTGGTTGCGTTAAAGCCTATTAGATGAAAAATATTCCTGTAAACGACCTAAGTTCCAAGTTGAGTAAAAAGGAATAAGCTTGTTTTCCTTTGTATTAAAATAATCTTTCTCTCCTTTTTCTCTGTCTCTCTGTATCTTTCCATCTTTTTGACAGTCTTTCTGTCTCTCTGCATACACACATACACATACACATACACATACACATACACACATAAACACATATACACCCATAAAATATGTCCTAGTATTCTGGAACAATTCATTTTACTTAAGTAACTTTTACTTCCATGTAAAGAAAATGTTCTTGATAAGAAGTTCCCATTTTACTCAGATTTATCTCAGAAAGACACTTAACTAATGTAACTTATTATATTTCTTTGTGAATATAATAAATTCTTTCTGTTTTCACTTATGACCAAATGTGAAATGACCAAATGACCAAATGACATAAAACACATGCACAAAATAAAATTCAAAGCTGAAAATAAATGGTTTATTTTTAACATAAGTAAATTTACAAATCAAATGAAAAATGAAAAATACAAAAGTTCATGAATGAAATAAAAAAGACACTCTCAAAATATTAAAACCTATGGAAAGAAAATAAGTAATTAATGAATGATGTTTTTGTTTCCAAATACAATGAAGTGATTTTTTATTAGAGTCCTTGGGAATCATCTAAGTTACAATACAGAAGAGAATTAAATAAATCGTATATGATTTTGTAATTAGACACTCTATATATCACAGTTCTTTGTTAACCTGGGCATGGAACGTCCCTATAGCATATATTTAAAACCATTAATTTTTTTTAAAAAAATTTGAGACATGGTTTGTTCTTGTTCTCTAAATTATGTTTCCCCATTTCCCTTGAATGTTCTCTATTGGCCATCTTCTGGAACATTAAAAAAAAATCTTGAAACAAATTCTCTTGCAATGATACGTATCACATAAACTTGATATGCTTTATATTACAGCATTTGTAAAATTAAGTACCAAAGGCAGGCATATAAATAGAAAAAACATCAAGGTATTTCTAGGGGTGCCCAACAGCATTTGGGATAAATATGGAATCCAAAAGTGCAAAAGGAATGCAGCATTGGCAAGAGAATGGTCCTTTGGTGACTAGACTATTCCCTGTTTGCCTAAAGTTTATGTAAGAATTGATATTCAAAGCTTATCTGGAATAAGTTCTTTTCTGGTCTAGTAAGTGAAGGGTTAATAGAGGGAGTAATTGTGGTTTCTAATAGGGAAAAATATTAATAAGGCTAAAAAAAAGTAGATCCAAGAATGACCTACTTTTCTACTTTTTTCATCCAAGTGAAACTTTTTTCAATTTAAAATAATCAATAACACTTATAGAGGGAAATGATTTATTATGGGTACTTAAATATAGGATATAATTTTACATTTGTTCATCAACATTCATGTTACCGGGATAAGGGCTTTCTTAAATTACGAATTATTCTGTTTCACAGGATACCAAGATTCATTTACAGTTATATTTGTTTCCTTTATCACTCAACAGTTCAAATAGTTGAGCACTGAGGTTAACATAGCTTAGTTTCTAAATGTGTCTGCTGGGAATATAGTAGGAAATCAATTAATGCCCGATGGCTGGCTACTGCTTAGCAGTGACCATGGAAGCTCTGTGCACAGCAGATGCCACTGCAACCTAGATAAACTGTAGCAATACTTAAGTTATTTATATAAACTTAGGGAAGGCAAGAACTATGACAACTATCACTCTGTGAGCTGTGAATTAACAAATAATATGTACAGAAAACACTGACACAAAAACATTCCAGTAAAAACATAATTTAAAAACTGGACAAGAGTTCCAGTGGTTTTTAATATTGTACCCATAGCTATTTAAAGTCATATACATACACATACACACACACAAATTATATATATATATATATTTCATGTGCATGTGGATTTATATACACAGATATATGTAATGTATGTGTGTGGATATGTATATATATAATTTGTGTTTGTGGAGATATAAGATATATATCTCATATACACGTGTGTATATATATGTATAATCTACATGTAACATAGATATTTACCACTCTGTAAACTCTGCACTTAGTTTTCCAAGTCTTAAAAACAGCAAAATATTACTGAAAACAAACAAAACAACTTTCATTGACAGTGACTTCTCATACTGACTTATTTGGAGCAAGTATATTTCCTGCACTAGTGAATAGGTGACAGGAAATACAGTTAATTCTCTTAGAATATTAATGCCAAAAGCAACTCTCAAGGCCACTAAGACTGACCTCCGCCCTTTACAATGGAGCAACAAAAACGAGTGAGAAAAAATCACTTTCCCAGTATTCACATTAGCAAGGTTAAGACTTAAAAGACAAATTGCCAAACATCCTTTTCTGTGCTCTTTTCATGAGTCAGAAAAATGCCCTAAAAGAGTCTTTCTGTTACCTCCCTCTCTATAGCACCATTAGGAGATTTCTTTCAGACTGAACCTAGTATGGAGCCTCCTGCAAACTCTAAATGAGCAATGCGATATAAGCAGATAGGGAGAAGGAATGAAAAAATGTGGGTTGACCTGTGGATAATCAGGAATTGACTGGAGCAAAAACAAAAATTAAGAAATATTTTTCAAGTTTACATAGATTTCATAAATTACCTGAGATGAGGACAAGGGTGGTATAGAAGACAAGTCCTTTAAATCAATTAAAAGAAACATTTTCAGTTACACTGCTTTGTATCATCCTAAGTGGATGTCAGTCTTGCTGTGGTTATGTATTATACAGCCGAATGAGGAAAAAAGTTCATTATCCTCAGCTAAAATGTAGGCCTTGATTATCTTTTCAACGGACGAGTAAAAATAAGATAAAAAGAAAACTATACTCGGAAACTCATGACCCTGTCAACAGTGACTTATTTTAAAGGCATATTTAAATTCATAGGAAAGGCTGCTCCATATGTTAAGATTTTAAAAAGAATGGAGACATATAAAAACAGGGATAGACAATGTAGAAGGGGAAATTCGCATTGAACAAGTCTTTGCCTGCAAAGAACATAGTGGCATCAGAGACTGGTGACAGAACGTTGATGATATCTTTCTAAACTTTAGTGTTGCCTGAGGAAGCAGAATAGTCAGCCACACAGTCACCCTAAATTTATCCCTATTGGGAGGCTTAGACCATTATTTTTGCCTATGAAACCATAAACTGCGAATGAAGACTGGGGGGACTCTTTCTTCCTGGAGCACCCCTTGTTCTTTTTACCCTTTTCATTATTCCTTTCATACATTTTTCAAAGATGAATACGAGAGGCCCTGCTCATCACTGCTAGACCGCCTGGGACTTTTCTTCACTGGCATGGCCACCTGCAGCTGCTTCCAGAACCTGCCCTGTGGATACTTGGATTTTTCCCCTTTCCATTTAATGACCGTGAGCACCGTCTTAGCCCTCTTCAGCTCTTTCACCTTCGTTTCCTTCACAGCTTTGTACTGTACTAAAATGACGTTGATGTTGCCCCGAGAGGCCATATTTTCTAGGCCAGCCTTGAGCTCCAGGAGGGCTTGGGTTCCCTGGAGCACGTAGTTGGGGCTTAGAACAACCAGGAGGCGTCTGCTTTTCTGAATGAAGCTCAAAGTCTCATCTGTGACAACTGGGAAAGAAAACAACCATGGGGATTAGTGTTGGCCAAAAACTCCCCAAAAGCATTGAGGCTTGAGGAGCAAATGTAGGGAACTTAGGGTACCAGCCTAAGAATTGAGGTGAAACATTTTACCAGCAAAAATGTGAACAACTTAATCCTTATACCTGCAAACTCTCTTTGTTAAATACCACTGTCTTCAGGGAAAACAGAAACTATATACACATATTTCTAAAAAGAATTCCAAACAGGCATGAAGCCAAAAGGTAGTATAGTGTTGTGACCTTGATCTTCAAAAACAACACTTGAGACACAAGGAGTAGACACATTATACTGAAAGCAGTTTCTTTAAAGTGTGTGGCATCTTATGGTCTAGCCACGTCAGCTCATGAGCCCTTTCTTCACCAAAGAAACCCATGCACCATGCATAAACTCTCTAGTACCAATGGACACTCAAAAAGGTATATGTTATATAATCAAAAAAATAGAATTTTATCTTTTGCTAGGACAGGACAACAAAGTTAGAGACCTTCATCTTCTGAAAGTCCCTCTCTATTGTTGGATACCTCTCTGACTCTAACATCACTATGTCCTTAGACTAGAAGCTTAACAAAATCTAGCCAACTGAATGGCATTTTGGCTGGTAACACATCCTCGGTGGGCTTTCTACTTCTTTCTCCCCTGGAGCCTAAATTAATCGCTGGATCTTTCTCCTCAAACTCCGACCATTACTATAAAGCTATGTGTTTCGGCAGCTGCTAGATGATGTGTCTACTTGCACTAACAGGCAAATGCTTTCTTCAACGAAAAAAGAAGAAAAAGCAGGAAAACTGGAAATGCCATGTAATTTTATTCTGCTGTCAAGGGCCCTGATTAGTTTCTGTCACTAAATTCTTGGAACCAATCCATCTCCTCACAGTTGCTTATCGAGGATTGCATAGTCCTTTACCTGTGTTTCAGATGGTTGCCAACTCTAGGTAACTTACTAGAATTGTGGAAACTTATATCATGTCTTGATATATTCCTTTATGAAGTCATTTTGCCCCTTAATCTTCACAGGTTCAGAAACAGTAGGGAAAGCCTTGTGATTAAAATCTAGCATGCACAGCCTGGGGGAGAATCCAGGAATGATTGTGTGTTCCAAGCAGTGGCACTGGAGGCTGAGCATGTGCAAGCATGGCAAGAGACCCAGAGTCAAAGAAGATTGGGTAAGAGCGGCAGGGAGAATAAAAAAGGAAGCAAAAGCTAACTAACAAATGCAAGATGCAAGAGTAATTATGCAGAATGTGAATTCTTCAAAGAATTATCAACCCCTATTGGAGGGTCTTACCCAGTTCCGTGGTAGATAAGTATTTATTGAATGGCTGTACGAACAAATAAATGGGTGAATAAATGACTGGGGAAATTAAGTATTAAAATGAGTGGAATTTATCCTTTAACTGTATAATTAAGTCATAACTTCCTGGAAAAATTATACTGAAAGAAACATCTTATGATGGACTTTTGGTTGATGATTGGGAAGATAAAATAACTGATCCAACTAAATCAAAATGAGAATAAAATTTCAAGTCTATCTCAATTATCCATGCAATATTTAAAAAAAAACTGTTAAATGATGAATGTAGACAGGATTTTAGAGGAGTAAAATTGGTTTGTCTTGCTTATGATTAGATATATTACAAGCATTTCAACAGGATAAAGTTTAACAGTGGGTTTGGGAATGTAACTTATATATTTATTAAAAAGACACCAATGAAAAATTACTTTGTGTGTTACTGTGCGGATCTAAAAAGGAGTTGTACTTTTATTTTAACACATTCAAGAATTTAGGCATTTCCTTTCTTTTTAAACCTTCTAGTTACACTGGCTATTATAAAATTTTAAAGTAACCCTCAAATGTATAAGCTGACAGGAAGAAGAAATAGACCCAAGGAAAAGGGGAATTTGAGTAGCACTATTTTGCTTGAAAAGAAAAGTGAGGGGGAAAAAAAAGAGCAAATGCCACAGGAAAATACTGTAATTATTATCAGTGAATCACATAAGGAAAAATTCTACCCACACTCTTCCGCCACTCACTTTTAGTAAAACCAAGTAAACCTCTGTCTTTCTAAAACCAAAATAAAACTGCTTTAAAAAAAAATTCTCAGTCTTGTAAAACAGTTCTAGACCAACCAGTGTAGATTAGCCTAAACCGAAAAATCTAAATGTGAATAAACAGGATGTTTACAGCTATGGCCCTTTAACAGAGCTCTAATCCACTGTGCCTCCATGCTTTTCTGACATGCATCTCTGAAAGATTGCAAGGGAAAATATTTTAATACCATAAACTGAGTTGAATAGTATACATTTCCAACGTAGTTTTATTTCTAGAGGAGTCTGTTACATCAAAGAGCATCGGACATTAAATATCCAAAGATGCTGTGCCATGACTCTCTCCCATAATGCAAAACTAATGATTCTGTCTGCCTTTCAAGGTAGCATCATTTGTACTCCTCTGAAATACCTACTTCCCCCAGGCAGACTGTCTCGGTCAAAGATGCACAGCTTGTATCCAAATTCATTCTCCAAAACTCCACGGAGGGTCAGTAATACAAATTCTTCTTCTTCCGCATTCCTTGCATAGGATACATAAATATCATACTCTTTTCCATCTAGCAAAAGGAACACAGATACAATGTAAATTAGGAAAGTTTCTCAATACCATTACATTTTTCTTAAATCTAACTTCTGCATATTAGACATTTTCATTATGTGACAGATTCCAGTGCGATTTTCTACTTGCAACAAGTCTCCACGCAAAACGACTATTTGAAGATGTAATTTTGAATGTTATCTGATATATCCTCAACTCTCATCTTACAGGTTGCTTTACAGTGGAAAAAGAGTGAGGTTTGTCCCATTCAACTGTAAATTAACAAAGCCAGAAGGTAAATCATAGGTACTGGCAATTAACACTGTAGAGAAAATTTCAACTTCCTGTCCAAGCCTATCACTCATTAATATCTTAAAATTACAAATTGAGTAAAACCTTGTGAAACTGCCTGAATTATTTATATCTGAAAAGAACTAAAATTAAAAATATAATTAGATTTAATGGACCAATCTTTCACGAAGTTGCTTAATTAGAAAAATCACATCTCATTAAAAACTATCGATTCCGTGTTTCTTCCATAAGCCTACTGAATTAAAATCTTTATGGGGTGGACCTATGAATTTGTATGTTTAAATGCTCTATTCTTTTCACTAAGCAAATTTGCACTAGAGCTGTGCTTTTCAGATGTTAACGTACACATGAATCACTTGGGAATATGGTTTAAATGTAGATTCTGAGTCAGTAGGGGCTAGGTCTAAGATTCTTCTTCTAATAAGCTACACGTGATATGTTGCTGCTGGTTCACAGATCTCTATCTGAGTACAAGGAGTGTGGATCAGCACTGTCCAATACAGCAGCCACGAGTCACGAGTCTATTGCTCACTCGAAATGTGGCTGGTTTGAATTGAGATGTGCTATAAGGATAAAGTAGAATACATTTTACATTTTGAACATTTTTAGTACCAAAGAAAACACTAAAATATCTCATTAGCTTTTTAATATTAATTGCATGCTAAAAAATAGTATTATAAATATATTTAGTCAATTCGTTATTTTTACTTGTTTCTTTTTACTTTTACTAATGTGGTCACTGGGAAATTTTAAGTAGGTAAGTGGCTCGCATTATATTTCTATTTGGAGGGTGTTAATTTAGACCGACTCACTAATTAATCCAAGAAAATAGAATAATAATCTTCGGAAAGATTTCTAATAGCAACGGTTGAAATTAAAGTTAATCTGCTTAAATCTTCCAGTTAATCTAGGTTTTTCAAATCAACATGTTTTCTTTTTTCTTTTTTTTACAACATATGTTCTAAAGATGACAGTAGAAGAGGTTTATGTCAAATTTCTGTTACTTACCTAAAATGGTTTCATCTGTTCCAAAATGAGCCCGGTAAAATAGGACCATCTCTAGCCAGTAAACATGGTAAACAACAATGAGAATCACCACTAGCAGGACTGTGGCTCCAAAACCACAAGCCAGTTCCACTGTGTATCTTGGAGCTGGCACTGGAATGAACAACAAAGAAACAGAATTGATTTCTGTGTGGTGACCACAGTGACCCACCATCCCGGCAAATAGCTGGATAAGCCAAGCAGCTTAGCTATGCACCTGCCTATGTATGAACAATCAGAGATAACATTGTAGAGTTTAGCACTATTTTAAAATACTAGACTGTGTTATGTTTATCTTTTTGTTTCCAGCACCTGGCATAGAAGGTGTTTTTTATTTGAATAGTCTTTGACAATATATAAATTAAAACAGAATCATAACATCAGGAAGGGCTTAGAAGGTCATCAAATTCAAGTCACAATTTGACACCTAAACCTCCTTACAAATATTTTTGAAAATTATCATTCCATCCTCGGTCCATATCTTGGGATGGAGTTCTCATTGCTACCTGAAGAAGTCCACGGTATTGGTAGAATTTTAATTGTTGATGCAGCTGATTTGAGTAAAAATCTCAATATTTTTCCACTATAGTTTCATTCTCTTGTCTAGTGTAGTATGAAAGGAATTTAATTGTCTTTCCTTTCTACTTGGAAATCGGCCTCAAAAACATTATTTTCACTGTGCAAAAGCAAAGGACATCCACCAGATGCTGAATATGCTTGGTTCTGGAAGTTATTTCCCATGTTCACAGTTCTTCAGTACATATTCTAGAGGTGAACTTGCAATATCTGATTGTGAACAGATTTCTGCATTATCTACTTATTTTTTATATTTTAGGCACCTTTGCAGTTTCTTTGGAAGTATCAGAAATAGAGTGAGGTAATTCTCCAGTACTTAAAAACCAGATCTTAACTCATTAGCCCTATAATCAAGGTCTGTCACAACCAAATTACTAACCACCTTCCTTCCTTTCTCATTTACCATTGCTTTTTCATCAAAAACATCAGGAAGATTTAATATGATGCCCGTTTCTCATGCTGTGACTTCTGGCTGGAAGTCCTTTCTCTTTTTAGTTTCCAAGTCTATGCTCGAATATCATTATTTTATATAAGCTTTTATAGAATAAAATTTTTATTGAAACCTGGCTCTCCCGTGTAGAAATTTTTACTCTTCCCTTTGTTTATCATTTGATTACAGCATTACTTATTATATTGTAATTTGTCTACAGGTCAGCTTCTTCACTCCCTCTCATTAACTATACCTTTACAGTCTTTCAGGTAGAGATTATGTCTTTTTCTTCCATGATATCCCTAGAATGCCTAGTATCTCAATGAACATTTCCACATATAAGATTTTACACTTCTGGGATATTTAGAAGTCTATTACTAAATTATGTTTCACAATTTTATTTAGTTGCTTTATTAGCTTGTGATAATGAAGTTTAAGTGTTTGAAGGAGGAACAGTATATTTACTGGGTCTGAAGCAGGAGTGGCTTAAATTGTGTATTAGTCAATTTGATTATTATCTATTGACATCTACCATTTGCCAGAAGCTTCTGGGGATACAATGGTGAATAAGACGGAAAGGGTCTCTGCCCTTTTGTGGCTAATATTCTAATTCAGGGCAGTAAATATGTAAAGAAATAAATCAGCTGGTTAATTTTAAATAGTGATTAGTGCTATAAGAGAAATAAACCATGGTAATGTGATAGAGGTGATTGAAGGGTGGGACTGGGGCAAGGGCGGTGTACTGCATAAGGTGGTGAGGGAAGGCTTCTGTAAGCACCTAGAACATTGTAGATGTTAAATGTTTGCTGAGACACAGCTTAGAAGAATCTCATTCCAAGCTGGAATTGCTGTAGAGGCTCCCTGACTCCAAAGTGCGGGGATCTTTGAACACCATCACGATGAAGCTCAATTATTGATCATACAACAGTTGAAATAGAATCACGTTTATGAACCTTGAGAGCTTGTTTGGAGGTTCTAGCAGGGGAGCACAGCTACTCCTATACCCTTGACAAAAGACCAGTCCCCCTCTATTGCAGATGGTCGTCCTCTTCCACTGAGTGCGCAGCTTCGGGAAGGAGTCACGTGAAACAGTGAGGGAGGAAGGGGACACCCGCTTAGCCAGCCAGATAAGCTGAATCTACCCTGGTGATCAATGGGGTGACAGATGTTGCAGGCAGATCAGCTTCACATCCAGGAAATCACTTTTTAAAAAGGCATCTATTCAAAGCAGAAAATGGTAAGCAGCCTGGAGCTGAACCTGAAGTTCTCTTATTAAAGGGTGAATCATAGAGTTTTGATTTTATTATCCTAAACTGGGGATATTAATCCTGCCACAGGTATAGCCTGGGACTTAGCAGTGCAAAATTATTACCAGGTACTCTTCTACTCCTTCCATGAATAATGGCACCTTAAAACAAGAAAACTCCATCATAAATTCCAGAAGCTGTGTTAGTGCAGTTGCTGAAAGTTTACTAAGATCTATTTGGATAGCTGGCATGAAAATCACTGTGTCCTTGGTATTTCTGAGTACGTTATGTTAACAGTACAACAGGGTAATTTCCACTGTTATTTTCATTATTTGCTCAGTTATTTTGGCTCTCTCTGGATGAACATTTTGTAATGGGGGTGGAGGTTGTTGCTGGCTGCACGTACCTGAAATGGATTTTTGTTAAATGCCAATAGAGAGCCTGCTTAATGACCGAGAGATCAATTACCCTCATAAATTTCCCCTGCCTCATTCATTTTACTACTGCCCATTTTATTTCTAATGGGGCATTTTAATTCTGTTTTGTGTCATACAGTCATTTGTCATATTTACAGACTGTATTTTGTAGAGCAATCTTGATAAAAAGGAGTCATTAATGCTACTTAACGTATCGAACTCTTAAATAATCTACTAGCTGGATTTTCTAAATAGCTTAAGTCACATGCAAGAGGTTCTCTACAGGGCTTTCAGGTAAAGCAGTGCTGGCTTACAGGGAAAGAGTGACCCTCAGACTACATTTGCTGACTGCCTAGCTGGACCCTCAGGTGTTTTGACAAAAAGATTTCACTCTGATGCAATGCCAGACTAAAGAATTTCCTATCAGAGGCCGGGCGCAGTGGCTCACGCCTGTAACCCCAACACTTTGGGAGGCCAAGACCGGTGGATCACCTGAGGTCGGGAGTTTGAGACCAGCCTGACCAACATGGAGAAACCCTGTCTCAACTAAAAATACAAAATTAGCCGGGTGTGGTGGCGCATGCCTGTAATCCCAGCTACTCGGGAGGCTGAGGCAGGAGAATCGCTTGAACCTGGGAGGCGGAGGTTGCAGTGAGCCAAGATTGCACCATTGCACTCCAGCCTTGGCAACAAGAGCAAAACTCTGTCTCAAAAAAATAAAAATAAAAATAAAAAAAGAATTTCCTATCAGAAAGACATGATGTAGTACGACCAAACTGGACTCCTAAACTTCTCTCATTGATTTTACTAATATTCTGATTCAGGATGTAGCCAGATTTAGCTCCTTGATGGTTGTTAGTCCTTAAATCAGTATTTTTTCCATCCCTTTTGTAGTTCAATGTAAATAACTGGCTTCAAAGCCCAAATTTCCAGGTAACCACCTTGGTTAGCTCTTGGCATTTTCCCTGTTTTGAGTTCTTGCTCTACAATCACGTTTCTCTAGGAAATCTGAGTGATTTCCGTCATCTTTATTATTGCAGTTGGAGCCTTGCCATCCACTGCATGTCCCAACTAAATGCCAGCTGCTTGCACCTCCAAGTGTTCCCTGCCACAGAACCCATGGCTACTCCGTTCTAAATTATTGGGACTGATGGATAATTTTTGGAACTGTGGTAATGACCATTCTCCTGAGTTGTAAACAAAGGGAATGCTTTATTAAAATTATGATAAATCAGAGACCTATGACTAAATTAACTCGCAGATGTTACTGATTTGGCTATTATAGTGTGTTAAAACATGTGCACTTTGGACTTCAGCTTCTGTTCTTAAAGGAGTAACTAGTCCTGGACTAGCCTTCCTTCCATATCTAAAATACAGTTTGTAAAAAGTTGGACAACTGGTAACACAGGAATGTGATCTGTGAGAGAAAAGACAAAAAAGAGGTAAATGCTACGATCACTCTGGCTTTTCGATTAAAGGCACCTTTTAAACTGTGGCACAGAGAAGGGAAAGCCAAAATGAGAAAGTGGTCACACTGAGCTAAAGAGATAGAAATGAGAGTTCAAGGCTGCTGTTGAGTCAGATTGCATTTATAGAGAAGAGAACTATTTAGAGATGGAACTCTAGAAATCTGCACAGGATTATCTCGAGTCTTCGGCCAAATACAAAGCTACACATATTTGGGGGAATACTTTAAAAGGTTAGGCAAAGAATAGCTGGGAACAGATCAACTCTAGGAGCACATGAAGGGCTGTGAGACAGTTGGGTACAGGCCACTCAGAGTGAAGAGACTGTGTTTAGCTCCCCAGTATTAATTAGAGACTTCAGGTATGACATGCTTTAGAAGTAGGTCCAATCTAACCTTACAGAAAAGGCTATTTTAGACCTGCTTTAACAAAGATAAGATGCTTTTTTAAAAGCAAGCAGTTATGCAAGTAATTTAATTACCCTCTAGAACAAAATTTAACACTGTCTTACGAAATTCAGAACTCAAAATTGTAACATCCATAATATCCAGCATATAATTTTTAAAAAGCTATATAAAAAAGCAAAAAAGTCTATATTAGCTAATAAAAAGATAGCTAATCAAAACAGAACAAAAATTGACAAAAGTGGTGGAATTATCAGATAAACACCTAAAAATGAGTATTCTATGTGTATTTGTTCAATTTTTTTAAAACCATGAACATTGTGAACAGCAAATAGAAAATATCAATAGGGACCTTTCAATGAAGATATGGAAATTCAAAAGCTAAAAGATACAATTCTGAAATAAAGAAAATGCTATCGATTAGACATCACAAAGAAAATGGCCAGCATACATTGGAAACTACACAAACACAGAGCAGGGAAAAGGATGAAAAAGGAAGAAATAAAAATAACGAGATCAGTGATCTGTGGGGCACTACTAATTGGATAGCAGTGGTCTATCCTAATTTCAGCTGGAGTACTAAAAGAAGAGAAAGAGTGAGGGGGAAAGCTAGACATATTTGAAAAGAAAATGGCTGAAAATTGTTCACAGTAAAGGAAAAATATAAACACATAGAACTGAGAAGTTTAATAAACTCTAAGTAAGAAACACACACACACAAAGGACACCACAGGCCATCATAATTTGATTTTCAAAATCAATAAAGAAAAGGTGATCTTAAAATCTGCCAAAGAAAAACATAACAAATACATAAAGGGCACAAAAATAAACAAGAACAACAGCAGCAACAAAAACTGCCCCGTTTGCATTTTAAATAATATTAGCCAGGAGACAATGGAATACCTTAAAGGGCTGAAAGAAAAGAAATAGATACACTTTCAACATATCCTGTGAAAATATTGACAAAGGCACCAGAGAAACATAATGAGAAAGTAAAAATCTTTCCAATTAATTGTGCTGGAACAACTGGATATCGGTATGAAAGGAAAACTGAACTTCAATTTCTACTACACACCATTCATGAAAAAAAAGAAAAGAGATGGACTATAGGCCTAAACAAAGGTGAACCTTCCTGACTATGGGTAAGCAAAGCTTTCTTAGAACACAGAAATTAATAATCATTAAAGAAGAAGTTAATAAATTACATCTCATAAAAAATGAGAACCTCTGCTCATTAAAACACTTCACGAAAAAACAAATTGTCATGCAACAGACTGGGGAAAAGTATTTGCAAAACATGTGTCTGACAAAGGACTGGTATCCAGGACAGATGAAGAACAGCTAAGATTCAATAATAAAATACAAACTATTTATAAAATGAACAAAATGTTTGAACAGTCACATCAAAAAATACATACAGATGGCCAATAAGCACATGAGGTGTAAGTGCTCAGTATTTTGAGACATCAGGGAAATGAAGAATTAAACTACAGTAAGATACCACCATACACTCACCTATAATTGCTAAAACAAAGAAGGCTGACAACACCAAATCCTTAAGATGTAAATATGTTGATGGTGGAATATGGAATGATACAGCCACTTGGGGAAAAAAAAAGGTCTAACAGTTTCTGATAAAACTAAGTCAGTAATTCCACTCATAGGTATTCATCTCAGAGAAGTAAAAGCGGTAGTCCATTAAGAAACTTGGATAAGAAAGTTCACAGAAGCTTTATTCAAAAGACCCCAAAACTGATAACAACCCAAATGTTCACCACCCAGAGAATGAATAAACAAATCATTCTGCATTCTTAAACAAAACAAAAACAAAACAAAACCACTCCATGGCAAACAAAAGGAGAAAATGCCTGATACACACAACAGCATGGGTGAATATCAAGAACATTTGCTGAGTGAAGGTACAGTTATACAGTAGCGCATTCTGTATGGGTCCACATACACAGAGTTCTAGAATATATAAAAAAAAAACTATTCTAAAAAAGGAAATAAAAACAGTTGTATTGTTTGGGGAGGTGGGGAAGGTGGGGGTAGAAAGGATTGACTGATAAGGGGAAGAATGTTACTTTCTGGTGATGGTAATATTCTATATCTTAATAGGATATTAGGTAATGCATATATATATGCATTTCTCAAAAATTATCAAATGGTACACTTGAATTATGCAATTTGTTACTTTATGCAAATTTTACCTAGAAAAGAAACCTACAAATAAATATTAAAACACTGATAATGATAAGGAGCTTAAATGTTTACTGATGTCTGCATCTACTTTGAAATGTATCAGAAAATAAGATGGATTGATATACTGGCAGAAGAATGAATAGACATGTGATAAAGCAAAGATAACCAATGTTAATGGTAGGATCTAGGTAGGCTGTATTACTGCTCACTGTGTAATTCCTTAAAATCTTCCATATATTTGAAAACTTTCTTAGTAAAGTTTTGAAATATAAAAATTAAAATGAAATAGGACATTTTCAGATTAAAACAAAGCTGAGAGAATTTGTCACCAGCAGATGTACCAGAAACATTAAATAGTTCTTCAGATTAAAATGTTACCAAGAATGGATAGTGTCAGAAATAAAAAATAAGCAAATAAATTTAAAAAAAGATCAGTTCTTAACTTAATAGAAGACAGTTATTTAAAGCCAAACTTTCACAATACATGTTGGTACACTGTAATTCATGCAAAACCAAAATGTATTATAGCACAACACAAAGGATGGGAGGGAAGAAATGGAAATACGCCATAGTAAGTTTCTCATAAAATATGTAAAGTGATTAATTCAAGATCAACTGATAAGTTTAGGAAAAATATTATAAACTCTAGAGGAAACAAAACAAAACAAGCCCCAAACAAAAAGGAAGAGCCAAAAGCTCAAAAAAGTGATAAAATAAAATACAATGAAAATACCAATTAGTCTAGAGGAGATAAAAATAAAGACAGGTGGACAACAAATAGCAAGATGGTAAACTTAAAGGCAGTCATATTAATAATTAAAGAAAAATGGATTAAACATTCAAGTTAAAAGCCAGAAATGATCAGATTGGATCCAATACCCAATAATATGCTGTAAATAAGATACATACATTAAGTATAAAGTATAAGTATAAAAGCATAAAGATGCTGATAGGTAAAATAAAATAATGGAAAAAACATATACTAATTATAAGAAAGCTGGCAGTGAGCTGAGATCGCACCACTGCACTCCAGCCTGGGCGACAGAGCAAGACTCCGTCCCTCTACCAAAAAAAAATTAATTAATTAAAAAAGTAAAAAAAAAGAAAGCTGGAATGGCTACATTCATATTAGACACAGAGTATTAACAGAGAAAAAACGGACATTTCACAATTTAAGAGTCAATTCATGAAAAAGACTTGTCAATCCTAAATAAGCATGTATTAAATATCACAGTTCCAAAATACATGAGACAAATACTGGCAGAACTGAAGAGAGAATTGGAAAAATCCATATTATATGTAAAGATTTCAACACCATTCTCTCTTTTAATAACTGAATAACAAAGTATATTGGAAAAATCAGAAGGATATTGAAGACATGAACAACACTGACACCAATTTTCTTAGTTGACATTTACTGGACACCACTCGAAACTACAAAATATATGTCTTTTTCAAATGCATATCAAACATTTACCAAGATAGGCAGTCTGCAAATACTTTTTTTTTAAGTACCAATAAGCTTAAAAAGAATAAAATCATGCAAAGTATGTTCTTTGGACACATCAGAATTAAATAAAAGATTAGAAATTAGAATCAAGTGTGCAGCACTGTGGCAAAGCTCTCATTCCCCATTCCCTCGGTTTTCACAGATACCCTGGAAATTGAACCTGAAGGATAAGAAAAGGAAGGCTTGTACTAGTTCATATACACAGCCAGCACTGAGTCCGGAACTTGAACCCAGGTCTATCTAGAACAAAAACCTATGTTTCTCCACTCCGTAATGTAGTTCTCTCAGGTAGTTCTAAGTTGGAGATACCTGCTCCCAGACTTTTTTTCTAATTTTTTACATTAGCTAAACTTAAATGACAATATGAAATGTTACAAATAACTATCAAGAGTGAACATAAAGCCAACTCTAAAATTCAAATGAATTTTCATATATAATGTAGTAAAACGATCTGGAAAATTCCAAGCATGTTTAAATTAAAAAACACACACTGAAATAACCCTTAGGTCAAAAAGAAATGAAAACAGAAATTAGAAAGTATTTTGAACTTAATAATAACAAAAACTCGACATTTCAACATTTGTTGGATTTAGTTAAACTAATCCTATGAGGAAAACACATAGCTCAGAATACTTATATTGGAAAAGAAGAATTACTTAAAAATCAGTGATACAGCTTACATTTTAGGATGACTGACAAAAAGAAAATGAAGTGCAAAGTATGCAAAAAGAGGAAAATAAGTATATGAATAAAGTAAATAAATATATAAACAACAGAGAAAAATCAATAAAAATATGTTCATTGAAAAAATTAGCAAAATTGAGAAACCCTTATCTTGACTGATGAAGGACAAAAAAAGGCAAAACACCAATTACTAATATCAGGAGTGACAGTGGAACATCACTAAAAATCCTGCAGACATTAAAAGGATAATAGGAAATAATCTAAAGAAAAGTATGCCAATAATGTGACAACTTAGATGAAATGGAAAAAAATGCCTTGAAAGCCAAAACTGCCACAAGAAGAAACAGAAAATCTCAATAACTAAAAAGGACACTGAATTCATAATTAAAAGCTTTCCCAAAAAGAAAACAACGGCCGGGCACGGTGGCTCACGCCTGTAATCCCAGCACTTTGGGAGGCCTAGGCGGGCGGATCACAAGGTCAGGAGATCGAGACCATCCTGGTTAACACAGTGAAACCCCGTCTCTACTGAAAATACAAAAAATTAGCCGGCCGTGGAGGCGGACGCCTGTAGTCCCAGCTACTCGGGAGGCTGAGGCAGGAGAATGGCGTGAACCCGGGAGGCCGAGCTTGCAGTGAGCCGAGATCGCGCCACTGCACTCCAGCCTGGGCGAAAGAGCGAGACTCCTTCTCAAAAAAAACAACAACAAAAAAAAAAACACAACAGGCCCAGATAGTTATATGAGTAATTCTTTTGAGCAAGAAATAATACCAGTTTTACCCATAGGCTTTCACATAATCACAAAAGAGGGAACATTACCCAGCTCATGTAATGAGACCAGCATAACCCTCACATTAGTCACAGCATTACAAGAAAAGAATACTACAAACCAAACAAACCAATATCCTTCATGAACAAAGATATGAACAAAATTTGGTGAAACCCAATCTCTACTGAAAAGAAAAAAAAAATTCGCTGGTATGGTGGCGGGTGCCTCTAATCCCAGCTACTCAGGAGGCTGAGGCAGGAGAATCATTTGAACCCAGGAGGTGGAGGTTGCACTGAGCCGAGATCGCGCCACTGTACTCCAGCCTGGGCAACAAGAGGGAAACTCTGTCTCAAAAAAAAAAAAAAAAAAATTCTTAACATGAACAAAAATCTGTGACAAAATATTAGTAAATCAAATCCAGTAATATATAAAAAGGACAATAAATCATGACAATATGAGGGTTTATTCTGGACATGCAAAATTGGATGAACATTTCAAAATCAGTAAGTATAAATCATCACACTGACAGATTAAAAATAAAAACATATAATTCTCTCAATAGATCCAGTTAAGTATTCAACAAAACTCAACATACTCACACAAAAAAATTCTCGGCAAACTGAAAATGAAAAAATTGCTCATGAAAATAAAGGTCATCTACAAAAAAATCCTGTATATAAAAACCTGAAGGCTTGCCCTCTAAATTTGGAAACAATGCAAAGATGGCTGCTCTCAAAACTTCTACAGAACATTGTACTGGAGGTCCAAAAGAGTGAAACGGACAGTAAAAAGTTATTAAAGTTATGAAATTTAGAAAGGAAGAAGTAAAAATCTGTTTGATGATGGGTGACACAATCAAGCATATGGAAAATCCTAACAAACTAAACAAACAAACCCCACCCTAAAGTTCAAAAGGTCAAGATCAATATATACAAATCAATTAATTGCATTTTCAATGAACAACTGGAAAATGAAAATTTAAAAAGTACTATTACAGGCCGGGCATGGTGGCTCACGACTATAATCCCAGCACTTTGGGAGGGAGGCTGAGGAGGGTGGATCATCTGAGGTCAGGAGTTTGAGACAAGCCTGGCCAACATGGAGAAACCCCGTCTCTACTAAAACTATAAAAATTAGCCGGGTATGGTAGTGGGGACCTGTAATCGCAGCTACTCTGGAGGCTGAGGCAGGAGAATTGCTTGAACTCAGGAGGTGGAGATTGCAGTGAGCCGAGATCACGCCACTGCACTGCAGCCTAAGTGACAGTGAGACTCTGTCTCAAAAATAAATTTAAATAAAAGTACTATTACAATAGCATCAAAAACAAAATATTTAGGCATACATTTAACAATATATATGCAAGGCCTGTACACTCAAATCTAAAAGAAAAAATGCTGAAAAAAGTTAAGATCTAAATAAATGGAGAGATATATTATATCCATGGACTGGAAAATACAGTATTGTTAAGATTTCAATTTTCTCCAGACTGATTTATAAATTAAATACAATCAAAATATCATCAGGCCTTTATGTAGAAATGGACAAACTGATACTATGATCTATACGAAAAAAAATATATGGTTCCTAAAATAGTTGAATCAATCTTCAAAAAGAAAAAAGGGGGAAGACATATAGTATGTGATTTCATGACTTACTTTAAATTTTAAAACTATGTTAACCAGGATAAAGTGGCATTGGACTAAAGATAGATAAACAGATGAACAGAGCAGGGAATGCAGAAATAGATCTATATTCATAGAATTAATTTTTTGGGCTCTTTTCTGAACAATTCAACAAACAAAGGAAAGATTTTTCAATATGATATGAGAACAACTGGTTATCTATGTGGAAAAACAAAACACTAAACATTAACCCAGTACCTCAGAGTATTAAAAAAATGGATCATAGGCCTAACTCTAAAAGAAAAATCTACCAGTCTTCCAGAAGAAAACACAGAAGGATACCTTTCTAACCTGAATACCTTTCTAACTTTAGGCAAAGATTGCTAATACTGAATTTAGAAACCACTAAGCATAGAATAAATTGATACAATAAATGCCATCAAAGTTTTAAAGATTCTGTTTAAAAGAAAATGAATTCACAAACTGGGTGATAATATTAACAATTCATATATCTGACACAGGACTTTTATTTGAGATATATATGCGTCTGTGTCTATATCCTAACATACATTAAATTTAAAAACAAATGACCAGTAACAAAAATGAGCTAAACATTTTAACAGATACTTCACAAAAAGATATATTAGCTAATGACAAATAAGGCTATGAAAAATTGTCCAACATCATTAGTATCCAATAAATGCAAATTTAAAGCACAATGTAATAAAACTATGCATCCATCAGTATGGCTAAAATTTGAAAGTTTGACAGCTCCAAAAATTGGTGAGGAAATAGAGCGCCTGGAATTTGTGAACATTGCTAGAGGACAGGTAAAATGGTACAATCTCTTTGGAAACAGGTTTGGCAGTTTCTCACAAAGTTAAACAGATACCTTGCCTTAGTCCTTTTCATGCTGTTATTATAAAACAATGAGCTGGGCGTGGTGGCTCACACCTGTAATCCCAGCACTTTGGGAGGCTGAGGCAGGAGGATCACCTGAGGTCAGGAGTTTGAGACCAGCCTGGCCAACATGGTGAAATCCTGTCTCTAGCAAAAATACAAAAATTAGCCAGGCGTGGTGGCACATGCCTGTGTAGTCCCAGCTACTTGGGAGGCTGAGGCAGGAGAATCACTTGAACCCAGGAGGCAGTGGTTGCAGTGAGCCGAGATCATGCCACTGCACTTCAGCCTAGGTGACAAGAGTAAAACTGTGTCTCAAAAATAAAAAATAAATAAAAATAAATACATAAAATATAAATAAAACAACTGCCTCCTCTTTAATACTTAGCTTTAACTGACTATAATGAAATTTTGCTGTCAATAAGACCTACACCAGTGTCTTTCTCTCATTCCAGGCCTTAGTCTTTTCTTGATGTCCTTTTGAGGAAGTTCATATAATGCTTTGCTAATAAATTTAGAGTAGTCCCATACATGTAATGTATGAATGTGAACTCAGATATAACCTCTGAATTTCAGCATTAGCTGGCCCAGAATAGAAGCCAAGTGAAGAAAACCACAACTCCTCTGGTACCACCGGAAATACACAGGTGTGACCAAACAGTGATTTTATATCAGCTTTCAGCACAGATCATCTAGTCTAGAGGATCCACCTGTCACTTCACATTCCTGACACTGTCCTTATTACACCATTTAGAGCAGGGGCTTCTGTAAAAGGGGAGCTACTCTGGTCGCTCTGGGAGGCAAACTTGTGCTTCACTCCTACATTACACCTTGCTTTGATTGTTCTGATCCTATTCATTTGACAATAAGTTATTAATTTATGTCACCTTCCATAATTATTCCCCAGGATACATCCCTCAGAAGATGATCCCCACAAAAAGCTCCATACTTAAGAAATCTGGAGTCAAATACATATGAAAACATCCTGCCACTATAATCCAACTTCCCGCAGATATTCCCATCAAATGTTCACATATTAAATACTTGAATGGGTCCTAACTAAAGTAACTTGATTGATTTTTTAAAATCCAGACATAAATGATACTTATTTGATGATAAAAGCCTTTGTCAAATAACACCTATGAAAATCTTAAGGAAATAATGAGTTCATATTTATTGAGCATTTCATATATAGGTATATATGCCAATAACTGTGCTGAGCACTTTAAAACAACCTTATAAGGTAGTGGTATTATTGTGTCTACTTTAAATATAAGGAAATTAAGGCTCAGAGAGATTTACTTTTCACAGAGTTAGGATGTGCAGAAACCAGAATTTCAACACAGGTGCTCTGATTCTAGAGTACAATAATGCATTGCAGGACAATACTGATTCTTAGTAGTGTTCCCGAGAACTCAATTTGGGAAACTGCCTTACATCATGTACTTCAGTCTTTCCTTTTCACACTGGCTTCTGAGGAGCAGAAGCAATGAATTACCCTGAACTGATTCACTAGTACTTCATACGCAGCATATACATTTCAGGCCTTTGCTATTTAGTTTTAAAGTTGTAATGAAAGTTTGAGGTGAATCCTGTTTTTCATCAGCTTTAAAAAAGCATTAAGTCTCTGTAAAATGTAACAATTATGTGCTATGTTATTCACTTTTGAAGAAATATTACACACTCTATAGACTAGGAGCCAGGAGGATTCTGAATGACCTGATTTCATGATTTCATGTGTGATAACTCATCATTACTTTTCTCAAGACCATTGAAAACATCCTTGAAGGGATTTTCTGGGATTCTGTGTTAGGTGAGAGACACAAAGAAAGTTTTAGACACAGTCTGATTTAGGAGCAGCACTTCTGACAAGAAGGCTTTATAATTTCCATTTATTGTAGAATAATATAGTACTATCAACATAGAAATCATGTTTATACCATTTAAAATCATAATTTAAATGATTTTCATTTTAGCAATTGTGGCTGCTGGTATATTATAAACCTGCTTAAATATTGATACATAGTGTTTAAAATAATATTATAATTATGCATTTTTGGAAAATAAACATTCAATACCTTAATTAGTTGCATACAATTGGATGGCTGCTATTAATAATGTTTTACAACTACAGATAATGCTTCTAATAATATTAAAAGGTATATAATTCCCTTTCTGTTATTTGTTCAGGAAAAATTCCGAAAGTCTTAGGTCAGATGATGCAATCTTTTTTATGACTCTTGAAGTCTACCATGAATGATTTTTAAAAGGGTCTTAATAATTCACCAACAATATGTGGCTCTACCAGTTTTTTCTATCTTTGGTAGCTTTGAATATTTTCTTTGTTTTTAATTTTTCATAATTGTACAGACACAAAATTGTGTCTCACTGTACTCACGTCGATTTTTTTAGCTACATTTGGGCATTACGGTACTAACAATATCAGAAACAATATTTTGAGTATCTTACATAGATGAAAACTTTCATATTTTTCATTTAAGTTTGATTCATTACTATGGGTTAGATGCCGTCGGGCTAGGTGCTGGAGCTCTCTTGTTCTCAATCTCTCCTTTTGTCCTTATTCACCACAATGTTAATTTGGAGCTGAGAGATTCATCACTGACCGCATCTATTACCTTTCTGCTTCACCTTGGCTGCTTTGGCAACTTCGCCTTTGGCACTTCTAGCATGACAGACATAGCTGCGCTTGAGATCCTCAGAGGTAACTTTCTTGATGCTCAAAATCTGAGTTCTTGTTTCATCTTCTGTTCTACTATGACTTATACTAGAAATAGAGAGAAGAAAATCAAAGCATTTGAGAGTGACTCAAGAGCTATGGACTGTGTAGGAATCAGACAAGTAAGCAACCACAGACCCCCACTACAGGTGAGGGCGAGGAAGGTTGATAAGCTGAGCCACCTATAATGCAGTGATTACAAAGTATTAATGGTAAGATTCTAACACTATACTATACCATCTACGCTACACACTATCCCATTGTCTAGACCAAATCCCAATACTGGCTTCTTTTTATAGATCTCTCTTCAAAACAAAATGTCTCTTTTGCTTAAACTTCTGAGCCAGGATGCTGTATCAGTTTAGAGAGAAGCTTCTGGGGCCAGGTCCTTTTGGGTTTTTATCCAGGATTTGTCAATTCCTGGCTATATACTTTGGGTGAGATAACTAATCTTTCCAGGTCTCAGGTTCCTCTTTTGGAAAAGAGGGAAGTCATAATGCCCACACAGTGCATTACATGCATTAATTTATTCAGGAATTCTGAGGACTGAATATGCTAAGGCATGAATATTAGAATAATGCTTAATAAATATTCATGTAGGTATTACTGTTATCCCATAGGAATAGCTGATGCATTTCAGTGATTCCCAAAGCATGGATTCTGAACACAGCTAGAATACTGTGGTCAGAAATCTGAAATCTCATGGTTAAATCCTAACATATAAAAAGAGAAAGCTGTTATGAACACGTAAACTTTGTAAAAATAAATATATCCAACTCTCAGTGAATCAGAGATCAAGTGTTTTGGGTCCAAGATCAGAATTTAAAATCCCTTTGAACTCCTTTACTTATCGCAGAGAAAAATCTCTCTGCTACAGCTGACTGCCATCTAGGTTCTCTTTTTAACTAGGCTTACTGTCAGGTATGAGAATTTGGTTAAGGGCTCTGATTGGTTTTGCTTAAGCTTAACGCCACTGCTATCCTATGAACACTGAGTACGTTTCAACAGCAGCAAGGTGGAACAACATGACTTTCCTTGTTATTTATTCATTATTATTATAAGGATGGGCTACAAAGTGTTAAAAATTCCTAAAAAAGATCAATAATTCTCCCTGTGAGCCTCCAGCTACATTACTTTGTCATATAGCTGACCAGCTGCAAATTTTTAATTGGTGCAGTGAGCCAACTGCTGTTCGGTAATGGTATGCTTCATTTGCAGTGGAACCTTCTGTCTTCAAGGACGCACACTTTCCACTTTGCCAACGCTTTAAAAAATCAGGTTTATTTAGGAATAAAATGTTATTTTATTTTAAAAGTGAGTTATATTACTACCCATCTACCTTTAAAATAAAATTTAAATTACACAAACGTATTTAGTTAATATTAAAAATTACTAATTATAAATGTAACTATAGGTTATATGAGATAAGAAAGAGGAGGAGAGAGAAAATGCATGCTCACTGCAATGCAAAAAAAAACAAAACACAATTACCTAAGGCACAAATACATAGGGCCAGACACTAGGATTGAGAAAAGGAAAAAACACAACTACACTGTAGGTTTCCACGTACCCACAACCCTTGATTGTGACCTTTTTATTCATGTAAGATATGTATTCTCTCTACTTCCATGTGGGTATCATAAATGTGTGAATCTTGCTGGGCTTAAGACAATAGGGTGCATGTCCTCTGGACAATCTGATGAAGATGCTCAGCCTCAGAACATTCTAATTCAGCTCTCCACTGGTCATCAGGCAGCATCTATTCCTTGCATTGCTAGCCCAGTAACCCTGGTTTGGGATGCAATCACCAAAGATTTGAAAATCTTGCCGATTTTTGTTAGTGATAGGGAAAAATGAGAATTTTTATTTTCATTGACTAGAACACACATCAGAGATCATTAAGTTGAGAAACAAAGGTTAATCACTCCCTTGCTGGCCCCCATGATACCTTTCGTTAATGGTGACATCAATAGTGATGTCATCAGGTTTTTTTCCATCAATGGTCCACCAAACCTCATTGCGAGAATCCATCAGAAAACTAAAATAGACCGTACAGGGAATGAGTAGCTCCTCTCCTGAAAAAAAAAACCAAAAAAACAAAAAAAACAAAAAACAAAACAAAACAAAACAAAACAAAACAAAAAACAAAGACAAAGTTAGCCCATTAGTGTTTATCCTTCACATGGCTATATTGGTTCTACTCTCTGGCTAATCAGAAGCTACGAGTTATGTGTACCTGAAACCCTGCTTATGAGTAATTCTCTAGTCGACTCCCATAAGGTAATGCACCATACTTCATTCCAAAACAAACAAGCGAAACCAAATAAAGAAGGCCATCAACTTTGTATAAAATTACCAGAGTGACCATTTTTAATGTAATCTAAATAAATTCTAAAATGATGATATTTGTTTAAAAAGTCTCTGACAAGGCTAGGCATAGTGGCTCACACCTGTAATCCCAGCACTTTGGGAGGCCGAGGCAGGTGGATCACTTGAGGTGAGGAGTTCAAGACCAGCCTGGCCAACATGGTGAAACCCCGTCTCTACTAAAAATACAAAAATTAGCCGGGCATGGTGGCACCGCCTGTAATCCCAGCTACTTGGGGGGCTGAGGTAGGAGAATTGCTTGAACTCAGGAGGTGGAGGTTGCAGTGAGCCAAGACTGTGCCACTGCACTCCAGCCTGGGCAACAGAGTGAGACTCCATCTCCAAAAAAAAAAAAAAAAAAAAAAAGGTCTCTGACAATATTCTTTTTAGCCCTAGACCTCCAGAGACTGCTCTTCTCCTTTGTTATTTTCCTCAAGAAGGGTGACTGAGGACAGGTTCTCCATATCTTCAGTCCTTGGCCAGGAAAGATGGGGAAATACCATCACAGAGAGATCTGGCTGAGGAGGCCCACCTTGAAATGCTCCACCTATCAGGGTGCATTCAATAAATTTTAAGATAACTTAAAAATAGAAAACTCTATGCTATCCCTCTGAGATGGAACATGAGGTTAGGGAGATCCCTAGGCAGAAAACAGTAGTAACAGCAGCAGTAGCAACATACTTACTAAGAACTTTGTACAAGTTATTATGCTAAATATTTATATTTATTAATGGTCTTATTTAATCTTACAAAAGCACCATAAGGTATTTTTTAAAATCTATGTTTCCCAAATGTAAAAGGTGAAGCTTAAGGATGCTAAATGATATTCCTAAGTTAAATCAGTAATAAGTGAAGGGCCAGGATTTGACCTAGACTGACCTTCCATCCCAGTTTGCCCAGAACAGTTCTGTTTTATGCCTGCTTTCCTGGTTACCTATATTAATAGGTAGTGGCTATGTTTACTCACAGAAAGTGTCCTGGTTTAGATGATAAATTATATCGTCACCCTAATTTGAACTTAGGCTTACCTGACTGCGTGGCCATACTCTATCTACCCTCCCATTGCAACGTCCTTAAGTCTTTTCCCTCCAGTTTTCCCTATCTGTATGTCACTAAGAAAGATAAAGGGAACACGGATTCAACAATCCTTCTGTCAGCATAGTTTGACAGGTAGACAAATATATTTATGTTATTAATAAGGGTTTACCCTGACAGCAGGAAGAGTATTCATATGACTATATAAAGCCATACCTAATTCTAGGAAATTCAGCCTCTTACCATGTTCTCTGTGTTTCACAAAGCAAGTCATATTTTCAAACTTATCTTGATTTTTTTTGGCATTGTTCTCCATCTATGTTGATCACTATTATCTTTTTTAGAGCAAAATCAAATTTCTCTGTCAACATACATAACATACAAGATCAATTGTATCTTTATTATTGTTTGTTGCTATAAATTTATTCATACCAGGAAAAATGTCATATTTAAAATTCTCAAAATAGTTTTGGCACAGGTCAAATCTCATTTTGTTAAGTCCCTGAACTCTTTTAATTGATTTATTTTTTTCATCAGCCTCTTCCCCAGTCACCCTAGCCCCCTCGCTCCAGAATGCTTTGCTGCCCGCCCTGATGCCACAGCCACTTTTACTCCTACTCATGTTAATTCTAGATAAACATTTAATGTTACAGCCTTTCTAGCCAATTGTGCTCTGCAGAAACCATGCAGCTTTTCTGCATGAAGACTTAGCATCCCTACCCCAAAGAGGACTCCATACAATTTTTCTGATGCTTATTGGCAAGAGGAACTAAATAGAAATAATAAGAAGGATGCACAAAATGCACCCTAAGATTGCCTATAATGGTCAGTGTTTTAAGGTCTATAAAGCTTTATGCCTCCGGTGCTCACCCAAACACTGGATGGCGAAGAGGTCCACATCTATGTTCCACATCCAGGTTAAACTTATTGGCAAACCAATGGTGCTTGTGCACAACCCAGTTCAAGTCGCCAGCTGCAAAAATGCACCGCGAGCACACGAGGACCCCGCTGCAGTGTGGGTAGGGAGCACCCTCGGAAACATCACCCTCAAGTTACTGCCACTTGACCCGCCTGGCAACTGCGTGCATGTCCGACAAGTTGTACTTATGGCTTAAGGAAAGTGAGCTGAAGACTTCAGGGACCCTTTAGATAGGGCCCAGAGATACGCATCAGGGCTGTATGTGTCTTGCACCCACTCCATAAACTTTTTAATTTTTTTCATTCTCTGATACATATCCTACATACTCCCCACTGACCACAAAACAGGCACTGCCTGAAACAAGAGGTGTGTCAAGTGGAGGATGCATTTTGACAGTTCCTGTGTTTGTCAGCTTTCCATGAACAACTACATACCTCTTTTTCCACCTTTTTTTTTTATTGAATGGCATCCTCTCCGTTGCTTTCACCCATTAACAACTGACTATTATCTTTAGCACATTTTAAACAGATGCTCTTTTATACCTCTGTGAAAGCTGTCAGAGTCAAAATGGAGTCACTCGTGTCACACTCCAAAGAAAAACAGTTGGGAGGTCATATAAAAAGGGCCCTCACACACACATGCCTATTATAAAAACTAGTACAAAGACTCTGAGCACCACTATCTTGCACAAAGGCCAGCGCGATTCTTAAACAAATAATATTTCTGTGAGGAGGTCTGACCACCAAATGCCAGTCAAGCCTGGACGGATGTTACCCTGTTATTGGTTCTTATAACCAAGGATAATTATTTCAGAACAACTTTATGTAATCTTCCTCACTTTGCCTTTCAAAACTGTTATGTTCCTATGCTTTCTGGGTATGGCTATGGTTCCCGCATGGGATGCCATAGCACTCATATTCCTGGATTGCTATCTGCAATTCATTCCTGAATAAATCCTTTTCTTTTTGGAGAGCTATTGTCTTTGTTGTTATTTAGGTTAACACCTCTCACTGGGTTTGGACTGGATGTATTGTAAGTGATACAACATAGAAAATGTTAAAATTTTCTATAGTTTCCTGTTCACTTAACTGTGGGAGGCTTTGAGTCAAAAGAGTAACATGTTATCCCGTATTTGGTCAGTTATCAATGATTTTTGGCTATAATGAAAAATTATGGAAACTAAAAGAAGAACCGAAGAGCCACAGTAAGCATTCAATAGTGTTCTGCGTCAATGTCTACTAGTTTTATCAGTTGTTAGCTATTATATTCACAGTCTTGCCTTCAAGATCCACCACTGACCTTTCATAATGGAGCAGGAGCTTGAAGGATGTCTAAATCTTGTGCCCATGTTGCAGCCTTGGCAAACCAAAGCCCTGTGCAAGCTAAAGTTTGCATCAAACAGAAATCACTCATCAGCAGAGGAAGACGGCTAGCAGAGGGAGAAGGGAGCAGATACCGAGAGTGAAGCAAAAAATTCTAGAGTTGCCCATGGGATCAGGGAAGTAACTGATCTCCACAGCTGCTTTGGTTTCTGACATTTCAGTTTCAATTCATGTGTTTCTCTACAACAGTCGTCTATTTTCTTGCATTAACTTAAATGACATTTTATTCCTTGTAATTAAGAGAATCTAAGTGAAATTCAGAGACATAGCTGTAATTACCTGGTTCTTTCTCATAGACCACATGATCATTAGGTGAATGGATCACAGGGGGCACTGCATTTTTTGGAGAGCCTGTGTTAGAGGAAATAAAAAAGGGAGATGATGTTAAATCAGGCAGCCTTATTAAAAATTCTGCTCTTCTCTGAATCTTGCCTAACTTCCTGGCATAGTTTGTCAGTTGTTTTAGAGAAGGCCTATAGTCCAAGATATACTCAATTACTGCACTTCAGTCATTTAAAACAAGCAAAGCATAAAATAAAGGAAATACAGGTTTGATGACTGCTCCCAGTTCCTGACATGGGCTCCTAAATCCCCTGTGATTTCCTGTGTGACAGGGGTAATAGGAGCATCTATTGTTTTAATATTGTTCTAGTCCCAAATTCCTAACACAACAGCTTCTAAGACCTTTGGAATCTCTGGAGTAACGAGTGGATTTTATATGCTAATGAAATGATTGGTGGCTAGGGTTCCTATATAGCTTCTGGATGAGCGCTAGTAGCCAGAAAGACCATAGATGATTAACACAATCTCCAGCCTCTCACCCATCCCTGGAAGTTTGGGAGTGTGGCTGAAATTTCCAGTCCTTTTACTCAATAATGCCTGTGTGACGGAACCTCCATAAAAACCCTAAACAATGAGGTTCGGAGAGCTTCTAGGTTGGTAAGGACATCCACAAGCTGAGAGGGTGGAGCTCTGAACTCAGGACCCTTCCAGAACTCCCCCTATGTATCTCTTCAGCTGGATGTTCATTTGAATCCTTTATAATATTTTCTATAATAACAAAGTAAGGGTAAGTAAAAGGTTTTCCTGAGTTTTGTGAGCAGTTATACCAAATCACAGAACCTGAGGAAGAAGTAGTAGGAATCTTAAGTTTGTAGCCAACTCAGGCAGAGTTGTGGGTAACGCGGGAACCTATTGCTTGTGACTGGAATCTAAAGTAGGGGGTGGGGCAGTCTTTTAGGAAGGAGTCCTTCACCTGTGGGGTCAGTGCTAACTCTGGATAACTGGTGTCAAATTGAATTAAACTTTAGGACATGCAGTTAATGTCCTCAGAAAAGGTGAGAATTACTTTGTATAGAAGAGCCACACATTTAGTGACAAAAGTGTTTTGAGCATAGAAAAAAATAGTTTTTGCTTTACAAAGAAAAAAATAAAACATACTAAATACCCTCCATGCTTAAGGTCGGATTGCTTAGCAAAGCTTTCCAAAGCTTACATGAGATAGATGTCTTATGTTGCATAATACCTAATTGCTTTCATGCCTTAGTCAGTTGTTTCTTCTCTCTGTATTTCTTCACAACATTACCGAAAGTGTCTAGTATGGAAGCTGGTTAAATAAGTATTACATTAATGAGTAAATCAATGGAAAATTCACAATCATGATGTTAAGGCCGGCACATTAGTCTACTTGATGACTAGTTACCAGTTGAATGTTTGTTTATGAGATTGCTGCTCTTTATAATATTCAGTACTCCTAATTTTTTAAAAATAATACATTGAGTAGAGTTTTTAGTATTGTCTTCAAAAGTATGAGCTCCAAAGATTTAATAACCAAGTTCTAATCCTGATTTGGCCATATATTAACCATATAAAAATGCAAAAGCAAAGTTACTTGGTTTTTCCTAATTTTTGAAAAGCTAATTTTTCATAACTCTAAAATGAGGATAATTAAAACTCATATCGCAGTTTCACTATGAGAAATAAACTAAGGAATATATATTAAGGATATGCTACTGGCATATAATAAATACTCAACACTTTGCAGCTTTAAAACAACAAACTTGTGTTGCTTGAAATTTGAGAAAGAAGCCCCCAGTGCCCAGATCTGTCTGTGAATTTTTAAATCTGTTAATCAGAGTGACAAAGTATGCTTATTCCCAACTTCCCCAAAATGCATACTTTTAAGCACATATATTAGAAACAACTGCTAAGATGAATATAAGGTTACATTATTCATTTGACTTTTAAAATTTAGTCTGTTTTTTTCTTATGAATTAATCCCCAACTCAGCATTATTTAGAAAGTAAGCAGAAAAAGAACAGAAGTGATTACGACATTGTTTGAATACTATTTGCACTATATGAAAGGCTGTTTGTAGCTAACTTATACTAAATCATGTCAGACCAGTAGAAAAAGCCCTGAGCAGAGACCTGGGATCTAGAATTACTTCTTCAAGTAACTCACTGAGTGTCTCTAAACAGGTTACTTCTTGTCAGTGAGCCTAATGTTTCCATCTATTAAAAGATGGGGTATGACAAAACAATACCCAGAGATGCTATCTTTTTTAATACACTGGACACAGTGGTATTTAGGGGTAATCCCCAAAAGCCATATATCCTGACACTACTTCTCTATTTCTGGGTTTGCTAGGAGTTTGTCAACTCTGTCTAAGAATTGCCTTTCCCACTTTCCTAGTTTCTCACCCCCTATTCTCTTAGTGCAAAATAATGGTTGAACATTATTGCCAGCAAATACCTTCAGCAATAGGTACAGCAGTTTCAGTATGTAGAAAAATAGAGTTTACTTAATCCAAGTAAAACATTCTTTTGACAAAAGTGTTGCACTGAGTCTCTATTGCTTGCCTGAAACTGCATTAATACAATATGAATATTTTTTTAAATATTCTCAATCAATTGCAGTTCCAGAGTACAGATAAAGACAGGGACCTTGTTCAACGTCATGTTTCTAATAAGTGGCAGTGACAGAATTTGAACACAGATCTGTCTGGTGCTCCTTTCCCTCCCCAAACTACCTTTACTTCATTCATTTATTCACATATTCATTCAGTTGACCAACAGTTACTGAATGCTTACGATGTGCATGGAATTGTTGAAGGCTCTAGAGACAGTACTGTAAACAAAAAACATGAATCACTTTTCTTATACAATTTACATACTAGTGTGTAATAAACTATTAAAAACCATAACAAGATGATCACATGCTTGTTGTGTGTACTGGACACTAATCATGCTTACCTACTACCTTTACAGTCAGAGTCCTGGTGAGATGAAACGTACGTCCATTTTCTGGATATGTAACAACACATGTGTAATTTCCATTATTTGAAATTAAGGCAATGAGGAAACTCAAGTTCATACCTTCGGGTATTACATTATTAAAATTCTGTATTTTATAACAGCCCTAGAAAAAGTAAAAAAAAAAAAAGTTTACTTTTTAGATACATGCATAGAAAACATACAAACACACGCACACTCACATCTAATTTTGCACAGAACACCGAAATATTCATGCTGCAGTTTTTATAAAACTATTTTGGTCAAGTATTTGACAAGATTTCTGCGAAGAATAAATGAAACACCTGTCATTATCTTTTCTGATCATGAGAAATTAAAATTCTAAACTAAAGTGTGACTTCAAAAACACAGGCTTCCTGTCTCAGGATCAAATTCTGGGCATCCTATGTTGATAGTAAAGCAAAGTTACAGTTTTGAAATAATGACTAAGGAAACTTGAGCAACTGCAAGACCTGCTATTTAGAAAGCAATTCTTTTTCTTTTTATAATATTTCTTCACTGATTATATTAATTTGGGACTCCAGTCACTCCGTCTGATAATCTAGGCCCCAATTTAGATGTCTGATTGGCATTTTTAATCACCCTGTTGTTTCCCTGTATCAGATATTTCCAAACTGTTTTGCATTTTTCTTTTATTACTTTTTTTTTTTTTTGAGATAGGGTCTCATCAGTCTGTGACCCAGGCTGGAGTGCAGTGGCGTGATCTCAGCTCATTGCAACCTCAGTCTTCTGGGTTCAAGCACTTCTCCTGCCTCAGTCTCCTGAGAAGCTGGGAGTACAGGTGCGCGCCACCATGCCTGGCTAATTTTTGTAATTTTGGTACAGATGGGGTTACACCATCCTGTCCAGGCTGGTCTTGAACTCCTGACCTCGTGATCCGCCTGCCTGGGCCTCCCAAAGTGTTAGCATTACAGGCATGAGCCACCAACTTTATCCCATTTTTATAACTGAGTATCACAGATTTCAGAAACTAAAAATAAAATATCTTCATGGGCCTGATCAAGATCTAGGAATGTATTTCTGCTCCTAATTCACATTTGCATATAACTGTTGACATTTAAAATTGAGAAATTGAACTATCTCAGTCCACAACTATCTCATTCAACATATCTAGAATCCTGTTTCAAATTCTCAGTCTCACTATTTGGCTAAATTATTACTTTTTGCTGTTTTTGAGAAAAAAAATCAATACACTATCTGTGACAAAAATATATGTTGAACATTTACTTTTAGAAAAGCTTTTGTTTTTCTTTTAAATATCAATAAGTCACCTATGACAAAAAGATTAGGTTATCTCTAAGGCTTTTTACATCTTTAAATTTCTGGGAGTCTACTACTAGCTTGTAACTTCAATTTTTTTTATTCACATATTTCATCTTTAATGTTTGTATGATTAAGGTTTTCTTCAATTCCTGGAGCATGTACTTTGAAATATGACAGTTACATTGAGGCACATTTTGTAATGCTTTGTCACAGGAAATGTGTATTTTAAGAACAGCATTGAACTTCCATTTCATGGAAAAGATCATCAAGAGGAAGCTACTATAAGCTTGGGTAACGTATTTTTTTCAACGCAGCTTCTCCTGTAAGATAAGCAATACTTGTAGACACTTGTCAGGTCAGCAAACGATTTCAATATCCTTAGGATATCACAAAGGATAAGGTCTCAAAGGCCTGTATTCTTATAAGTTTATGTCAGATTTGGTTTGAATTGAGTTTACAGTATCAATAGAACTATTTTATTTTTGTGGTACTTTTCATTTAAACAGTTCAAAGGTATTTCCCCCTCATTTGTTAGCTTAGCTATTCTGAAACTCCTGTGAAGTAGACAGATCAGACTAAATACGCTGTAATTTTATAGACGGAAAAAATGAGACAGAGATATTCTAGATAACACAGTAGAGAGCTGAAATTCAGTTTTCCAGAAAGCCGAATAACGGTCTTTCATCAGCTTCTTAACTAAGAATGAATACCTCTCCTCAGCAGTGAGTTGAGGCTATAAAAAATTATACTGAGACATGCACTTAACATATACTCTGTCTCGTCTGATCCTTATTCCAAACATGTAAAGTTTGTAATGCTTTTACCTCCGTTTTATAGATGAATGAACAAGGCCTAGAAACGTTAAGTAACTGTCAATGTCATACCACCAGACAGTGTTAAAGCTGGAATTTGAATTCAGATCTACTTGTTTCAAAGTCCTTGCTTTTAATTTCACCTGATAGTGTCTCTTCATTCCATATAGCAGCCCTGAACCTGTGCCATCCCTGGAGCCAGCCTGAGTGAAAAGCGTGATGTGGCTCTATCACTTAAAACAGGCTAATTCCTGCAATCAGTGGTAAACTGAGGAAGCACACTTTTGAGGATGAGAAGTCAATTATTTTTACTGAACTTGTCAACAGTATTTCCTTAAGAATGTGATGAAAGAAACTTTTTATAGCTGTTTCAAAGCTATTAGGCCTAAAACATTTTAGAAATAAAGGGAATATTTTACATTCTAATACGTGTGTGAGGGTAATTCAGGGCATTGTTACACTACAAATGTCTATGAACATTAACCTGCTGTGTGTCTGGTTAGCTCTCTCTTTCTTATCAGCAACTCTGTCTCTAGACCCTTCACAACACATGTACCTGAGACACATAGGATAATTTTAAACATAATAAACTGTTGATAAAAATAAAACCTGAAAATGTTATAATGATTTCAAAACCATTTATTTGGAATCCAGAAGAAAACAAACATAAAAAAAGATTTAGATTCTCCAAGAATAGGAAACTTGCTTTAAAATATAAGAAATGAGTGAACAGTAAGTGAATTTCCACAATAAAGCAAACACTTGTCTGACTAGAAGACAAACAATCCTAGTTGACCCATTAGTTCCTCATTCTGAATTCAAAAGAGAGAAGTTAAATAGAAGAGCGATTTTTCAACCATGCTATGGTTGCTGTGGCAACCGACCACAACATATAGGTAAAGAACAACACAAGAAATGACTTTGGGATCTTTCAACTGAAACGAATCATGTGGGGAGGGGAAGGGTGCAGTGGAGGAATGTCATGATGAAGTAAGAACAAGTGTTTCCATTCAAGAAACCAACAATGTGTAAAGAACTGTGTGAAGGCACCAAAATGGAAATGATACAATTCTAACTTATAGTTATTCATGGTCTAATGAAGGATTGCAACAAACACAATAAAAGGCATTTAGGGTCAAGGGAGTATGAAATAAAAACAAAACAACTTAGAAAAACTTAATGAAGAAAGATTTGGGCTGGTTCTTAAATGATAAGAATATTAACATCTGTTGAGGAAGAAGGTAGACATGGGAAGTAGACACTTCAGGCACAGGAAAAAGCGTGAAGAACTCACCTGTATTGTCTTAATTTTTTTCCCTGACTGTTAGTACTTAAACTACATTATTATAATGCTCTGTTTTCATGCAGAGTTCCTCCTTTGGAAAATTAACTTGTATGAGGGACAGTGGGGTTTTTAAGTTCCATATCTGCGTGGTCGGAAACTTGCTCAATACTTGGTGCTTGGTAAATGCTCGACACGTTAGTGTTGCCTGATCAAAGGTATGAATGAGAGAAGCCAAGACCCAAAAGGCATGGAGCTGAGGGCTCATCGAGTGTATAAGTGCTGATGAGTATTTGGAATATAAGACATTGGATGGTGGGTTGTAGGATGGAAAGGGAAAGTAGATGTAAAGATACAAAGAGTTTAATTGAGATACAAGGTTTGAACTGTTAGTAGTATCTACTGAAGTTTTTGCATTCAAGATAAAGTTGGTATAAAACACATACTTTGCTATGAAGTCTTAGAAGAGTTAGATAAACTAGTCACTTCCAATTAACAGAATTAAGTCATGCAATGATTACACAACAAATATTTACAAAGTCCCTCCTATGGGCCAGGCACTGGGTTAGGAGCTGGCTATACAATTGCCAGAAAAAAAAAAACCACAAATGGTGCTTATTCTCTGGAATTTTACAGGGCAGGCTAATTCATTCAATTATTTAATCAATTTCTAAGTACAATATAGTTAGCTCAGTTTTATGCTGTGTGCTTGGTATTGAAGGGAAAGAGAAAGAGACAGGAAAAGAGTGGTCACTACTTACTACAGAAAAAAGAGAAAATCTCTAGAATAATAAAGACAAGATATGAATGAAGTGCTATCGAAGTACAGAGTAGGTGATTTATATGGCCTGAAGTGGCTTCAAGACTTCATAGCTATTTGAATTTGGCTTTGTGTTTAAGTCATGAATCTTGAGTCCTCAGAGGCCCTAAACCTTACGTCAAATGTTATCTGTATATGCATATATGTACACATATAGAATTATATGTGTATAGCTCTGAAAGAAAATATGGTACATACTCTCTCACACTAAAGGTTGAAAATCCAATCACTATATAGGAAGTGTAGGTAAAGAAAAGAGTTAAAGAACCAATCTATGTTGTCAAATCAAATAGAAGCAGGCATTTAAAAAATAAGGCTTACTACACAGACCTTGAACTAACTTCTCAACAATATCTCTATGCCAACAAGAAGGCCAAGCCAGGCACGTTTTCAGAAATGTTCTTTCCTAATAGCACTTAGTCTGGAAGAGCAAATATTTTCCTATTTTCTAAGAGATAGTTATAAAAAATGCTTGACCACAATAAAAATGAAAAGTGGAGGTAATATATCAATTTTAGTAATCACTGTGGCTACAAGGAAAACTAGCTTTGTGGAAAGTTACAACCACAAAGATAATAGAAAAGTCATTATCTATTCTGATAAATAGCAGGTGAGAGTAGTTCAGCAGCTGTCATAAATGTAATCTACAAAACACCCAATAAAATGGTTCTTTTGATCCTCGGTGAGAAAATTGTCTATGCTTTTATAAGCATCTCTAAAAGATAAAGTTTTAAATATCAAACTATAAGGAAGAGAATTAATACAGTAATATGAAAGTTAGGATGGCCTGCCAAAGACTCTAAATTAATCTCATCAGTAACAAAAGCAACAACAAAAGGACTGCATTACCTGTGTCTTTACTTCTATATGTTTGGAGGTTCCTATGTGAATAAACAAGGCAGTCTCCCATTTATACACATGGTATATTTCAGAATTTGTTTTATAAGCCAGCTGTTTGAAATTCTGTAAATCACTTACAAACTATGGTTTGCTTTCCAGACTAGTTACAAAACCTGGCTTATTCAACAAATATTTGCTGAACATCAGTTTAACTCACAGGAGTTAAACTAGAATACCTAATGTTGAATTAGAGAATTGTGAATTCATGGCAGAATTTTTTTCCGCCATGCAGAAAAAAAAAAGAGGAGAAAGAGAAGGCATGTGGAGGAGGACAATCCAATCCTATCCCATTTCTTCAGCAATTCTGAAATGTAAACATTTGGTTTTCTGTTTCCTGTAATCTCAGTTTGTCTGAGATGCCTCCGATTTCTCAGGGCCCTCTATCCACAGGTTCACCTACGTCCCACGGTCCAGTCCACACCCCAGTATGTGTTCAAAGATCACCCTGCCCTTCCAAAATGTCCTAAGCTCCAAAAGTAAAGGCTGGACCACCCTCCTTACATCAGTTCTAGAGAGTAGAGTTTTTGTAATCACACAGAACTGGCCTGAAATCCCAGACTCTCCCATCAGTAGCTGCATTGTTTTGAGTAAATTATATATGAAAGTGTAAAAGTGTGGTTTCCTGACACATTACATTACATAGGTTAGAATCTTAGCTCCTAGTTCTGTGGCCTTGGAAATATTTCTCAACCACGCTATACCTTGGTTCCTCAACGATAACATGGGGAAAACATGACAGCCTATTTCATAAGGATGTTGACAGAATTAAGTAAAATCAAGCGTTTGGAACAATACGTGTGTTCAGTAAATGTTAGCTGTTATTGTTTATCTCTCTGAATCGCCATTTCCTAATCTGTCAAAATATGGTATCTCCCTTGCAGAGCTGGTGTTACATATGAACATAAAGCACACAGCACGCTGCCGTGTGATTACTGAAATGTAAGAAATATTAGTTTCCTCTTTCTTTCTTAAGATTAGCAGCTTTCATCTTTCAGATAACGGGAAAGCAAATTTCCTGAAACTTATTATTATGGATCTATCTTTTAATCCTCATAGACTTAGTTGCATTACTAAAAGAGAACATCTTTACCATGTCTCTTTTAGTAATGCAAATAAGTCTATGAGGATTAAAAGATAGATCCATAGAGGTAGGAACCAACAGATGTAGGAACCTCTGTTGGTAACAACTAAAAAAGAATTGCTGAAGAAGGACCAAGACATCCGGGTAGATGCTTGGGGATGATTGTAAAAGGCAGAAAATAGAAGGCAAAGTTAGCACTGCTGTACAGAGACAGGAGGATGCAGTGACCAAGAACCTTTGTTTTGTTTCCAAGATGGCAGAAGTCTTAGGATTAAAGGTGTCAGTTGATTACCCAAAGGTAGAGGAACAGGAAGCAATATATCAGAAATTATTAGCAATCTTCTTAATCAAATAAGAGAAAACATGACTGGTTGTTGTCTTTTTTTTTTTGAAATGGAGTCTCCCTCCATTGCCCAGGCTGGAGTGCAGTGGCACGATCTCAGCTCACTGCAACCTCCACCTTGTAGGTTCAAGCTATTCTCCTGCCTCAGCCTCCGGAGTAGCTGGGACTACAGGTGTGCGCCACCATGCCCGGCTAGTTTTTGTATTTTTAGTAGAGATGGGGGTTTCACCATATTGGCCATGTTGTTTGCCTTTTTTAGTCACCTGTGCATGGTTGGATATTGGCCATGGTAATTGTTTTACAGCTGTGACTTTTTCTGTCTCCTTCTCAGAATTTATGTCTCCATTTACCCATGAATAGTATCTCCAGAGTATGGCATTAGCTCAGTTCTCTTCTCACTTTATTTAGTCTTCTTAAGTGCTTCAACTATCACATGAATGCACCCAATTTTCTGTCTTTAGCTCTGATTTTTCTCCTAAGCTCCAGACTCATAATCACGTAACCACTACCTGCTAGTCACTGCCACCCGCCAGCTAGATGTCTCACAGACATCAGCAACTAACTTAATATGGCATTACCTAACCCATTACTTACTCCCTAAACCTGCTTCTCCTCTGTTACTTCATACCTTGGTTAATAGCACCATGTCATCCTTTCGTGAAAACCAGAAATCTGGAGATGCAGAGTAAGACATTACATAGCTTTGCCCTCAAGAAATATGCTGTCTTCTAGGATACATATCTCTCTCTCCTTAAAACCAACAGTATTTTCTCCTTGTCACTCTTATGAAACTTAGAAGTTTACATTTTGATAAGAGTAGAAATTCTTTGTATTTACAAAGTTATTTGTATTAAATTATGAGGTCATTTGGGACTACACAGCTCTGGGCATATATTTTATTCATTATGGTGTTCCCTCAACCCCCTGGCATATTGCACTGATCACAGTTAATCTTCAGCTAGTATACAGATATTCCTTAACTTATGATGAAAGTTACATACCAACAAACCTATCATAAGTCAAAAATATGGTTAAGTCAAAAATGCATTTAATTCTCACAACACAGCAGACGGTCCCCAACTTATGACGGTTTTATTTATGATTTTTCCACTTTATGATAATGTGAAAGTGATAAAAATTCAGTAGAAACCATAGCCCCATCATAAATCATAAGAAGCTACTTGACATACCATGAGGTTTTATCCCAATAAACCCATGATCAAGTTGAAAAATCTTAAGTCAAACCATAGTAAATCGAGGACTATCTGTAGTCATGAATGAATGACTAAAAAAATAAAGAAGTGAAAAATAATATTGAAACAGGTATAAATAAACAGGAATACATGAGAGAAATATGATTTCCAGCTGGAGGGAACAAGGAACAATTAATAAAGGTGGTACAATTTGGTCTGTTCTAAAGGGAGGACATTCTAGGCAGAGGAAATGCATGAGGAAAAAAGGAGATGAGAAAACGGCAGGATGTGTATGGGAACAAAACTAAAAAATCAAATAAGGTTCGAGATTAAAACCTAGATTGCACGGTAAATAAACTTTTTTTTTTAACTGGAAGGTATATTACACTTATTGATGTAAAACTGTTAATATTATTTTTTAACCATCTTTTAGGTTTTTTACCATGAAAAATTATAATCAGAGAGAGGACAACGAGCTCCTGTATCTTTACTAGCCTCAACAAGTATTAATTGAGACTATGTCTTATTTCATGCACAGCTACTCACTGCACCCCAAGATTATTTTGAGGCAAATCACAGACATCATATAATTTTATTTTAAACAATATTTGAGTATCTCCAAAAAAGAAAACTCCTTCTGCAAGCATAACTACAGTACCATTATCAAGTTTAAAAAGTAATAATTTATTAGTAACATTAGTATTGTATGTTCCAAATTCCCTGATCTTTTCATAATTTGCTTTATAGTTTTTTTCAAATGAAAAAGATCCAACTAAAGTTGATTCATTGCAATTGGTGGTTAAATCTCTTAAATCAGTCTCTGCATCTCTTTCTCTTCCTCACTCCTTTTCTACCTTTCTTCTCTCTCTCCCTCCATCCCTCTTAGTCATTTTATTGTAAAATAAAGCACATACAAAAAAACCATGCAAAACACATCTAAGAGTTAATGAGTTATTATAAAGCAAAGGCCTTTGTAACCATCAGTCAGGTCCAGGAACTTTGCCAGTCCCTCCTGAAGGCCTTCGTCACGGCCCATGTCAATCACACCTCCTTTACTACCCTCCAAAGTAGGCACTATCTATACTTTTATAGTAAAATCACTTCCTTGTTTTTATTTATATACTTTTCACCTATATATGCATGCTTAGATGCTACAGTGCTATCTACTTTTTAAATGTCTTATATGTTTCTTTTAATCTATACAGTCCCTCTTCATGACATTCCTTTTCTTACAATTTATCTTTTGAAAAACCCAGCACATCTGGCCCATAGAGTTTCACATAGTCTGGATTTTATGGATGACATATTCATGCTGCAGTTCAATGTATTTCTATGTTATTTATATATCTCCTGCAAAATGACAGTGGGATCCAAAGGCTTAATCCGACTCAGGTTTAATTAATTTGGTAATATGAATCAATATGTAATATTTTCTTCTTTTATCAGAAGAAACATGTCTGATGGTTTTTCCTCTTGTGATGTTAGCAGTCATTGATGCTTAGATGCCTAGATTTATTAATCTATTGAGAGTTGCAAGGTGATGATAATTCTAATTGGATCATTAAATTTTCATTTACTATTAGAAACACTTTACAAAACACACTTCTCTACAACACTTCATTACCCAATGTTACATGTCTTCTAGGAAAACCAGAATGAATACTTGATTATTCTCCTTTACCAGTTTTCAAGATAATAAACTGATTTCCTATCATCATCCAAATGTAACCCATTAAATTTTGTGAAATGTCATTATAAACTTATAAATTTAAACTGACTTCATAGGATTTAAACCATTGCAATTAGGTTCAAATTATTTCGGTTCAAATTGTTCATCTTTGGCCAACAGAAGACTCTTCAAGTTGACTCCCAAATTGTATCATTAACAACTTAAGCAGAGACAGAATTTAAAATGTTCAGCTTTTGAAATTTACAACAAATTGTGTTTGTGGAATTTTTTATTTCTCTCGGGAGTTCTGCCAAATTTTGCTGCATGTTTTTGAAGCATTGTTATTAAGCACACAAGCTTTTGTTATTTTTATGTTTCGCTGATAAAGTGATCCTTTTATTATTATGAAAGGTCATCTTTATCTCTGGTAATCCTCACTGTCTACTTTATCTGATATTCTTACAGCCATTCTAATTTTCTTATTGTATTTGTCATTTTTTTAATTTTAATTTTTTCTCCCTTTCACCTTCTACTAATCTTAAGGTATTATCTATTGTGTTTTTTATTCTGTGATCTTCCTCTTAGATTATCTTCATTTCTAAAATGATTTATTTTCTTCTAAGTTTGTATGGAGTTATATAATATATATAATTTTTGGATATTTCTAATTCTTATTATTCTTTCACAGCTTGTATCATTTTAAAATGTCATTTAGCTCACTTAGGAAATAGTAGTTTTTTCTGAATTTTAAAATAGAAAAGGATTTTCTAACTTCACCAAGATATCTTTTGAAAACAATGGTGTCTTGGTCTTAAGACGTCCTGGCTTTGTTCTCCTGATCCATTTTTCACCAGTCCTTCTCTTTCCTTCCTATATATTGTCCTCATCCAGTTTACTTTTGATTCTACTCACAGTAGCTTCTCCTCAACGTGGCTGGTCATATTTCAGAGTTGTGAGGAACTACAACTTTTCCCACCCCTTCAGAGCTTCTTCTTATAGGTCTCTTGCACTACCCCTTATTAGAGAGCAAAACCTCTCCCAATTTCAGCTCCTGGTCTCACGTTGGCTCATCACACTTTCCAGTGAGTACCTGTTGGCTCTTTTGGCGTTCTCCTGTTGTCAAGTCTGACAGACACCACGTTACTTCCATCTGCTTCCTTCCCCACAAACACTGATCCCATATGGGCTTAGGCTGTTGGTGGCTTGTCTCAGTTAACTTTATCAAAGGTGGTTCCTATGGATAACTAGTCACTGAGTTATGTTGCAAATTCTGGCCGTGGGGTTTCGGCTTTGGTGTATGTGGAGACTTGAAGTGATACAAAAGCTATGCTGCTGCTACAAGCGCTACCTTCCAACACTTTTATATTTTGATGAAACATTTTCCAAATCCCTTGGATGTGGAAAAGACCATAGATGGACAGTGCTCACAAATGAGGGCAAAGAAAAAAACACACATAAATAATAAAATGCAGTACTGATTAATCAAGGAATTGAAATTCACCACAAGAATTAACAGCTTATGACTTCACTAAGCAGGAACTAGAAGTGGGCAGCATTTCTTAAAATGTATTTCACATGAAGTTAACAGAAATAAGGTAGTTTTGGTATTCTAGTTAGAATAATTTCAGAAATAGTGGCCTGAGACAAAGTACTGTGCACCACTTCCTTTAAAATGGTACAAAATGAGGACGTGCTGAAATACTTCCATAAAGCTATTACGGAATAGATCAGATAATCTGAAGAGAAACACCTTTGCTTATAAATATAACTCAGCAAATAAGCATTATCATTTTATAAGCCATTAGAGAGAATAAAATGTAGTCTAATTTTCCTTACCATATACCAAGTGATAGTCGGTTTGACACTGGAAGGAAAATATCCATCTACATTTGGACAAGTGATCCTCTGAATGCCATATTCTATATACAGTTTATGCACTGGGAGTTTCATGGGGGAATTGAAACAGCTGTCTTTTTGAACAACTTCCAAGGGAAATGCAACTTTGCTGCAATATGTAGTGTTCCTGAAAAAAGAAATATACAATGAATGGGTAGTATTTGCATTTGATTTCATAGAGCAACCACATTCAAATGAACTAAGTGAAGCCAGGCTACATACGGAGACATCATTTATACATGTAAGTTCATGTAAGAGATAAAATGGTAGTGGAGGCATTTCCTACACGAATTGACATCACAGAATAAAAAAACAGGCACAATTAATTAACTACTATTAATGTACTAAAGTATATTTTCAGATGTGATCCTGTGTGTGTTTGTCAGTGTATATAAATAGTCATGTGTCACACGATGACATTTCAGTTAATGATGGATTACATATGTGATGGTGGTTTCATAAAATTTTAATAGAGCTCAAGAATTTCTATTGTTTATTGATGTAATCGTCATTGTAATGTCATAGGGCAACATATTATTCACGTTTTTGGTGATGCTGGTATAAACAAACCTATGCACCGTCAGACAAATAAAAGTGTATAGTAATGTCCTGGGCTTTCACATTCATTCACTGCTCACTCACCTACTCTCCCAGAACAACTTCCAGTCCTACAAGCTCTATCCATGATAAGTGCCCTACATAGGTGTACCGTTTTTATCATCTTTTATATTGTATGTTAACTGTGTCTTTTCTATATTTAGACAGATTAGGTACACAAATCCTTACCACTGTGTGATAATTGCCTACAGTATTCAGTACCACAACCTGCTATACAGGTTGGTAGCCTAGGAGTAACAGACTATACCATATAGCCTAGGTGTGTAGTAGGCTCTACCATCCAAGTTCATGTAACTATACTCTATGATGGTCATACAATGACAAAAATCAGCTAACAAATATTTCTCAGAACATATCCCCTGTTCTGCTGTTCAACACAGCAAAATATAACTGTGTATATATGTAACACCTAAAACATTCTCAATAATGCTCAGTGCTGGTAAGGCAGAGGCATGAATGGCATATTTATGCAGAGTCAATAATGGTATAAGCAACCTTTGGGAAAAACTATGTTTTCAGGATCATAAAACGCCTTTGTTTTTGCCCTAGCAATCCTATGTCTGGATATTTTGTCACATGATAGAACGATAGAAAAGGAGGAATAGAGACAGCAAATAGTCAAAATGGCCCATCCAGAGCCATATCGGCAAGGAAAACATTAAAATCAATAGAAGAAAATGTGACAAATGGAATATTATCAAGAAACCTGTGGTACAATCATTCCAAGTTGTTGTGAGAATGTATACAAACAATCAGGCATGAAGGAAAAAAACAAACACATAACAATTCCTTAGGATGACTGGGGAATTACATTGGTGCTATAATGTTCACACACGTTGTTCCGTCTGCCTGGAGGGCTTACTTCCCCCACCCCCTCCATTTCACATGCAGGCCTTCTCTGTTATCTTTTCCCACCTCATATCTAAATTTGATCTGTCATTTATTGAGCACCTTGGACATTTCCTTTATTAAATTTGTTATAGCTCAAAATTAGATTGTTATGTTATAGATACGTACGCTTATCCTCTGTAAAATATAAGTCCCACAACGCTATTTATGTTTTTTATTACATAAATTGCATCTAGTACAGTGTCTTAACTTTCAGTAACTGCTAAATAAATATTTGTTATTAAATAAATGGAATGGATGTAAAACTTGTGTCTAAATATAGGAAAACATGAAAAAGAACATACAATAATAAAAACAACTAATTTTTTACAGTGATGGGATAAGGAGTCTATGTGTAGCCATTTCTGTGATTTTTGTCTAAATAACATTTGGGAGGCATCACATAACACCTATTTGGCTTATCTGGTACCAAAATGACTTATGAATAAAGACTAAATATAGTGGAAGGGGTGGGGTATGCACTCTCAAAGAGGGAGGGAGGGGTGTTAAAGATGACTTGTGACAACGCTCAGAAGGTGGCAAGGGGGAGTGGTAGGCATGACCCCTACCTACAAATAACAAAACATCTGCCACGTGGAAGACAGATTCTATAGGTGGAAGTTATAGAAAGTAAATTTAAGTTTAAGGATATATTTTCTGATTTTAAAAAATATGAAGAACAGTGGTTCAACCGACTTTTTTTTAGCTCCCAAAGTTGAACAGTATTGGGGCAAGAATATAAATAAAATACTGAAAGACGAAACTAACTTTATGGCCTTAAAGACATTCAGGCCTATGGTTCTACATGTTTCAGTTTAAGGTCATTCTCAGATTCGACATTTCCTCAGTAAAACAGGAAACCTAGTAGTGCTCCTACCAGACAATTTCAATTCTAGATTTGCTTTAGGAACATGGAAGATAGAGAAGTAAACTGAAGAGGTGACAATCTGAAAGTTGATAAATAACATTAAAGGTATATGCAGGTCTTAATAGTCATGCAGCTCTACTCCTATAATGTAAAAGAAGATTAGAAAAGTTTGTGGAAGATCTACAGGCAAGTAGTAAGTAATTAAGGAAAAAGTAAAACTGATATTGAAGCACTAAGATACACAGTGGAGACCATAGTTAAACAGAAAGCTCCTGATGACTTCTTCCCGTTGGGAAATGTTAACAGATGAACAGTTATCAAAGAAAAAAAGGAGCTCATCAAGCATGTATGCCAACTCTCTTCCTATGTGGACGTAGATACCACAGCTCTCAGACATGGACAGGACTTGCCTAAGGTCACCAGCTAAGTAGTGGCAGAGTGGAAGTGATGGCCTGGTTTCTCTGTCTTCTCCTAATGCTCTTTCCACTATAATCTGCTTTAACTTCTACCAAGTTGTATTAGAACATAAATAATGACAACATGAGTATTTCAGGATCCTCAGAAACCCATATACCAGTCTAAAGTCCACTCCATTAAAATTCAAGTGTCCAATGAAAGCCTCAGAAGGACCTTCAGAGGCTACAGGGATCCCCCTTACCTGCAACCCCCAAGAACACAGTGATCCAAAGGCTTTTCTGTGATAGAAAAGAGATCTTTTTTCACATAATCATAACATAGCTTACATTTACCAAAGCATAGTCATAGTTTTCCATCAGGGAGTAGTTACTCTCCATGAGAGAAAAAACATTTGTGATTATTTATTGTTATGGACTGAGTTGTGTCACCCAACCCCAATTTATATGCTAAGGTCCTAATTCACAGTACATTAGAATGTGACTTTATTTGAAAACAGAACATTTAAAGACATAACTGAGCTCAAATGAGGTCATAAAGGGGGTCTTTAATCCCATATGACTAGCATCCTTATCAGAAGACGAGATTAAGACACAAACACACAGAGGAAGACCATGTAAAGACAAGGAGAGAAGATGGCCATATACAAGCCAAGGAGAGAGGCATCAAGAATGAAATCAACCCTGCCAACACCCTGATCTTGGACTTCCAGCCTCCAGAACTGTGAGAAGGTAATTTTGTTTGTTAAAGTCACCCACACTGTGGTATTTTGTCATTGCAGCCCTAGCAAAGCCACACACCGGTTAAATAGCAGGAAGTCGTTAAAAGAAAAAAAAATAACCCGGATGGGAGTTTAGAAAACAAAGGCAAGCCTGGCAGCTAAAAAGTGACTGTGAGTAAAAAGTAACCAAATAATTAACCCTGAAAAGGGCTATTCTGTGGAGAGGCCTCAGTTTTTAGAAGTTGTTTGTTTTGTTTTGTTTTGTTTTTTTGTTTTTTTCCCCAAAAACAACATTAATGCAGAAAAAAAAAAGAGGAATACTGAAGAGTAAAATATAAAATCTACAAAACTTTCAAGGGAAAAAAAAGTGGATTGAAAAGAAATTTTACAGTCATGGTAAATTGTTTGGATTATATCCTTAGATTGCCAGAGATATGGTATTCTCTTGCTTCTTAGGGGAAAGTTGGTAGAAGTTTAAAAAGCATTGTCATACATATATGTCATGCCTCCCAAAATAATATTTGGGAGAATATTATGACAGACAAAATTCTAAGGAGGAAATTGTAACTGAAAAGGCAAACCTTGGACAAATGGGAGAGAGGACTCCCAGTTCGTTCTAGGTCTTCTGATTTGGGGGCTAGATGTGCAGTGTCTGACAGAAATGATAATGCGAACCACATATGTAATTTTCGACATTTCAGTTGCCACACTCAAAAAGTAAAATAATATTTGGGAGGCATCACATCACACATATTTGGGAGGCATTGTGCATCACACAATGCACCTGAGTTTCTCTTCTGTGCCAAGTACTTTGAAAGATGCCAAGAAAAACAGATACAAATGGGCTCTATTCTCTGCCCTGTTCAATGTCTGGAGAAATGGATGTCTCCAGGTGGGGCATAAAGGCAGGCAGGAACCGGTGTGGTGAGAGGGGATTAATAACAAGGCTCCACTTTCGGACAACTTTGATATGTCTCAGGGTCTGGGAAGGAACTACCTCTGGAGAACATTCTAAGGGCCACAACCAATTTCTCTGCATACCTCCTTCAGACCCCTTCAGCTAAGCTGCAGACAATTACCTCACTAAACTCTATCTAAATGCTTCCGACTTCTCCCCAGCTTCCTAGCACACGGATCATCCGGAAAAGAGCCCAGAAACTAAAGGGAAAAGAGAAAGCCACTGCCAAGAATCAGGCTACCTTAACATGCAGGTATAGTTGCCAGTGTCATTGAGGAGAGTGGGCCGGAACCACAGCACATCTTTCTCCTTACTAATGCGGTTCTCGGGGAGGCGGAAGTTAATTGGCTCCTCAAGGTCCCGGTCCTGCCTAGTCCAATACCAGATCAGAGTAAGGCCAGCTGAATGGGCTGTGCTGTAGTTGAATTTCAAGAAGTGTTCAAAGAGTGGGCACTTGATGCGAGCTGGCTCATCTTCAAACACTTGGATTTGCCTCATGGTGTCTAGTCCCCAGTCATCGCAGCGTTCTGGAATAATCAAAAAAGAAAGAAAGGGGCAGATGAGTCATTTTACAACAAAGGCCTCAAAAGAACACACCTTCTCCTCAGTTCACCCGGTCTTTTCCAGAACCTCTTTCTCTGGTCATCTTCCAGCCTCCCTCTAATAATTGCATACAGTAGGCACCTTTGGTGTGAAGAAACTGCTGTTCCCCATTATTTATTATTTTCTGAGTATCTCTTGAATAATGATTTGATCTGATAGCTTGACCCTGTTAAGCCCTGCAAGGTATGGGAGAAAGTTTCACCTAAGAAAGACATCAAGTGTTTTTTCACTTTGTGGAACAGAGAATGGTTTAAGGAGGAAATTGTAACTGAAAAAGACAATCCTTGGGCAAATGGGAGAAAGGACTCCCAGTTTGCTCTAGATCTTCTGATTCATGGGCTAGATCTGCAATGTCCAATAGAAATTATAATGCAACACACATACGTGATTTTAGACATTTCAGTTACCACACTAAAAAAGTAAAACAAAGCAGACGAAATTAATTTTAATATTTTGTTAAACCCAATATATCCAAAATATAAAAAAATGAGCTATTTTACATTTACATTCTTTTTCTGTGGTACATCTTCAAAATTCAATGTATTTTTCACTTACATCTCAATCTGGACTAGCCACATATGTCTACTGTCTACTTTATTGGACAGCAGGACAGTAGACCTCAAGAAATCAAGAGATCTCAGTAATACTCCTTGGTGGAATACTCATTCAGAACTAAAGGTGCTACAGTTTCAATGACAGAGTCAAATAAAAAAGGAGCTTAGTTCTACAAGGTCACTCAATTCTTTAAATTCCTTCTGAGCTGCATACCCATTTTATATTTTTATCATCAAACATTATTTTTAACGATCACTTGAAAAGTCTGGAATACAGTCTGCAAAAACAGCCCTAGTTTTCTCTTTCCCCTGTATCCACATCCTCTGCAATTTGAAACTGTGAGTTTTCCAATCAAGAGTCTATCTTACCACCCCTCCAATCTGCACTGTCCTTGTGCGTAATGGCTTCTATAATTTATTCTTTATAATGAAAAGTAATCACTCATCTACTCAGAAAAAAAAACAAACTTCTTTTAAAGAATTTTTTCTTTATTTTAAGAAAACAAGAAAATATTTATTTTCTTTAGAGTGATATCTGAATGGAGGGCTCTAGAAGTCACCAGATGAAGAGTGAACAGAGGTCAGGGTGATGGAGTCCTGCGGACCACAAAACCATCACCTTAAAGTAGTTTTTTCCTCATGTCCCTAACATATGCACATACACATGCTTATGTATGTATTTTTTTAACTCTGTAATCTTCCCTACGTTTCCATTGACATCTAAAACTTCTCATGCCAAGTATAATTGGAAAGGATATATTTAGTGTCATAAGTAATGCCATTTTGAAAGAAAAGAGTTACATCATTCTTTTAATTACATCCAATGGAATAGTGATTTGCCATACACCAATATCCAACCTAAAAACATGTAAAAAAGCTTTCTTTAACCATTATAAATTCCATAGTTTCTTTTTTTCCTTGAACTTACATTAATTCCACTATCTCCACATGCAAATTTACTTTAATGGAATATATTCTTATGTTTGATAGTTTATGCTTTATTTTTCATCATTTTATTCTTTTGTGTAATATGTAAAGTGCTAAGTGTTAAAAGATTTTTGAAATGTCTTATAAATTTAAATAATATGTTTTCATTTTATAAGTAATTAATGATTATAAAATGTAAAGCTTGCATTGGAAATCATTTCTTAGTAATATAGAAGGGCTATTTTTGAATGAGAGTTTTTAGGTACTAGTTGAAAATTGTTTGCTTACACGTGAGAACTGGGAAAATTTGTTTACAGTAAGGAACTAAAGGAGCTTAGTTCCACAAGGTCACTCAATTCTTTAAATTCTTTCTGAGCTGTATACCCATTTTATATTTTTATCATCAAACATTATTTTTAACGATCATTTGAAAACTCTGGAATACAGAGTCAGCAAAAACAGCCCTAGTTTTCCCTTTCCCCTATCTCCACATCCTCTGCAATTTGAAACTGTAAGTTTTCCAATCAAGAGTCTATCTCACCAGCCATCAAATCTGGGCTGTCCTTGTGAGTTCTACTGGCAAACAAAATGCAGCAAAAGTGATTGTGTGGTGTGTGACGATCTAAACTTAAGAGTTAAAAGATTTTGCTTTTTCTCTTGGAACTCTGTTGTCACTATGAGAACAAGTCCACAAAAGCATATTAATAAATAAGAGACCACAGAGAGGACAGCTGAGACACCCCAGCTGGCAGCTGGCCCACCTCCAGAAGTATGGCTATCTGGCTTTCCACAACTGACCAAAGGTACAAGAGCAAGTCCGGCCTGGACGAGCTGAGCCGCACAAGATACAGACTCAGAAGCAAAAATACAAGTGAAATAAATAAAATGAAGTTTGGTCATTTAAATTTGTGCTTCTTTGCAAGGCACCGTTTTTGCAGCAGTGGATAACTGGCAAAACAACTCACTTGTCATTATTCTAATTTTGATAAAAGTGAAGAATCTGAAGCTTTCTGACTTGCAAAAGGATTTGTCAGGTAAGTAATAAAGCTCGGGGAAATTTAACAACTAGTTTTTCCAAGACTCAACAAATGACTATTTGTTGCTATGTTTTTAGTTAGAAGCAACTTTTAAAAAACATACAGAGAAATAATTGGAAAAATCAGTGTTGTTCACATCAATGCACACTTGTAACACAATGTATTTTATAAAGTATCACATTCTTTGAAAATATTTGCAAAGTTGCAGAGTTCGCTTATTCAGTTTATATAAAAGTATAACCAAAGTTTTGGCTGGGCATGGTGGCTCACGCCTGTAATTCCAACACTTTAGGAGGCCGAGGGGGCGGATCACCTGAGGTCAGGAGTTCGAGACCAGCCTGGCCAACATGGCGAAACTCCATCTCTACTAAAAATACAAAAATTAGCCAGGCATGGTGGCAGAGGCCTGTAATTCCAGCTGCTCGGAAAGCTGAGGCAGGAGACTTGCTTGAACCCGGGAGGCAGAGGTTGCAGTGAGCTGAGATCGTGCCACTGCACTCCAGCCTGGGTGAGAGAGCAAGACTCTGTTTCAAAAAAAGAAAAGAAAAGAAAATTAAAATAATGTTTAATACATAATCCCAAGTAACTGCAAGAGTAGGAGAAAAGACAATAGTGATACCAACATGGACAAGTGGTAACAGACTTAACACACCTAAAAAGACAAATCCTAAACCAGCAGCAGAGAACTGGAGAACAAACCAATCTGTAGTTCAGGGTGCTGAAAAGACCCAGGAATTATCAGCATCAAGATAAAGAGTCATTAGTGCTGTTCACCCACTATTTATGGGTTCTCCTCCGAGTATAAGATTGTACATTTCCACACCTCTGAAGTAAGGAGCGGCCATGTGACTTACTTTGACCAAGAAGATGTAGTCAGTCCTACTTGTGGATGTTTTGGATGGGGTATATTTTACAAAATTCCCTTTTCTTCTGCCTTGGCAAATATGAAAGCACAGAGACAGAGGCTCCCTTAGGTTGGGTACTTTGATGGATGGCATACCACACAACTTTGTTCTTTGAAGGCAGAGATGATTTGGATTTGCTTATTACCAATATCAATAATCTATCCTGGCACATGCAGTCAGGTATCTCAAAACCGAAGATATGGGAAGAATGGTAAAAGAAAGAAGACAGAATGACAGCTATATAAAAAAGTTACATGCTTTGTTCCAAGCCCACTCTTCTAGCACTGAACAGTTTTCTTCACTCAGCTCCAAGGATGAGGGCAGTCAGACATTTACTCTCCACAGAAGAGAAGGAAAGAATCTTCCGTGGAAAATCTGGCCAGTTTAAGAAGAAATATATGACAATCTTACTATCAGAAGCTCTTTAGAAAATTGTGCAGCCACATCATCCAACAGAAAAGCTCAAGTTTAACGAGCATCACGGCTTCACACTCACATTTAGAATTTCCAATCAGCTTCTTAATCACTTCTTCTTAAATCTGAGCAGATCATCTGAGAAAAACCTCTACCACAAAATGTAATGTCAGAAAAAAAAAAGTAAAAGGAACTTGGAGAAAATCAAATTATTCAAGGAAAAGTAAACATGTAAAAAATACTATCAACATTCTCAGAGCGATAAGGAACCTGTTTCATCCATGAAGCAGGAACAAATGCTATAACCAAGCAATATTCAGAGAACAAAAGCCCACTAAAACAAAAAACTTTAATAGATTTTTTTTTAGATGTTAAATTTAAAGATTTCCTAAAAAGCAGAGTAGAAAGAAAAAGAAATAGAAAATAGATAAGAAAGTTAGAAGCCCACTTCAGGAATCTCAATCACTCAATAAGAGAACTCTCTGCACCACACCTTTCAAAAAAAAAAAAAAACCCAAAATACCAAGAAAGTTCTCAATTAAATAATTCACAGAAAAAAAACAAAATCTGAGAACTGAAGTATACAACCTTCTAAGGACCTATCAATTGCCCCAGAATAATGGATAGAAATAGACTCACACCACATAAATATTTCAAAACAATTGCAGAGAAAGAGAGGATTCTGCAAACTGCCAAGGAGTAAGAAAGGAAAGGAAAAAAAAAAAGTCACTTTACGAAATATTAGGAATGAGAATGGTTTGGGAACTCCCAAACACAAGACTGGAAACTAGAAGATAATGAAGCGATGCATCTGAAGGAAAAGTATTTCCAACCTAGAACCTAAACATAATAAAACAATCAAGTGTGAAGGTGACAAATGCAGACACGTAAAGACTCCACAATTTATTTACCATGTCCTCCTTATCAGGGAGCTTCGGGGGATGTGTGCCACAAAAATGAGAGAATAAAACAATAATAGAGAAAACCTAGGATTGGGAATAGGGATTCTAATTCAAGAGAGGAAAGGGATCCTCAGAATGACAGTGAACGAGACCCAAGGATAAAATTTATGCACCAGGGCTTGGTAACGAACCAGTATAGGTAGTAGGGATTGGAAACCTCCAATAAGGGAAAAAATAATCACAACTGACAGATTATCTGATGTCATTAACAGTGTGAAAAATGTGAAAAATTATGCTGAAAGGCAATTGAAAGCTATAAAAATGGTTACAAAAACATACAAATTAAAATAAGCATATGAAAAGCAATGCAGTTAATAACTTCAAAAACTAAGAGACGTAATAGAATTATAGTTCATAAATATGTGAAAACATATTAATGAAATGATTATTGACTCGACCAAATATGAAATATAGAGAAGAATGGGTAGAAGGGATAGCAGTTTCAGTGAGATTATCCTCATTTACTATAATGAAAAAAGTGAAAAGATAATGCCTTGGGTTGACTACACAAAAGATAACAATGTATACAAATAGGTTAGCAAAATATAGATGGGAAATATTAGAAGAGATAAATAAGACATCCAAGTTGTTGTCTCTGAGAAGGGTAATTAGTAAAAGTGAGGATAGTTAAGGCAGAAAGTATATAATTATTTTGATTTTTTTTAATATATTGACCTTAAAAATCTGTGCATAATTTGCTTTCAAATTAATTAAAATAATAATTAGAATAAAAGGAAGAAAGGAAAGAAGGAAGAAAATATCCACTAGGTAATACAGTTGGCAAACCCATTCTATGTCAAACCATCCTTATCATAACTACTTTCTGTTAGAAAAATTTTTGATTTTATATTTTATTTCCAAAAATTGTGTTGTTATGTATTGGCTTGACAGTCATTTCACTTTGAATGATAAAGTATATAGAAAAAAAAAGAGGAAGAAAACAGTTGGATAGCAAATGGAGTCTGCAATTTCATTATACTGTTTGTTGTCTAGATAAAATAAGATGTCACTGCCATTGGTATTTCCTACAGATATTCTTCACGTGTTTTGCAAAAGCATCTCCCTGAAGACTGCACTTTTTGGACTGCAATTAGATGATGGTAGACGAAAGACTATTAAATGGAAATTAGTATCTTTCCTATAACCCACTCTACAATGTGTATCAATTCAGATCACTCCAACTTGGGCCACAGATCATATTCTGATGTCATGATTCACTCTTAATAGAAACATTGGTAAATTGGAGAGAAAAAGGAAGGCCTGCTGGGGTTTAACAGTGCCCTTATTAAGGAGACATTCTGACACCAATAAAATAAGTGTCATGTTAGACCCTGAAAATCTTTATAGCCCTGGGCAATAATTAATAGTAAGATAGATGATGAGCGACATGTAGATTTTTCTTTTGTAAAGTAGGAGAATGCCGATTGGGAAAGAGGAAATAAAAAAGGAGAGCTAACATAACATTTTAACGGCAAGCATATACTCAGACCAATTTAGGAGGAATTATAAAATGGATTTTTAGTGATCACGAGAACAGACTATGGTAGAGACTGTCTATATGCTCATTAATTCTGTTCTCCTTGACTCATGTGAAAACTACTTCTCTTTGGTAATTGGGTTGGGGCCATGTGAATTTCCTCTGGCCAGTGAAATGTGGGCAGAAATGCTGTAGAGCCTGAAATCCCCAGCATAATCTCTGATGCTCTCTTTCCCTGAAATGGAGGCCCTGAAGTCCAGAAACTGTTGAAAAGGTAGCATCACAGGATGGGAGGAATCTGGATTCCTGCCACTGCTCAGAGCAGAGCTGTTCAGGAATGCCACTTGACTTTCAAGCGGCTGTGACATGAGTGAAAAATAAATCTCTATTGTCTTAAGTCACTGAGATTTGTGATAGCAACTAGTACTGCCTATCTTGATTAACAAAAAAAGGAAGGTAGAATTTTCCTTTCATAACATAAGTTAATAAATCAAGACCAGACACTTTTTAAAAAAGCATTTGTTCCTTACATACTAAAATTTGAATACAAGTCAATCACCAAGATTTCTGGCCCAATCCATCGGCTTAATATGTCTTCAATTAAATTCAATACATTTTTAAAGGGAAAGGAAATAATTATACCTGCCATGTATCTCCCTTACATGATGTTTCATGGACCAAATGAATATGTGTGTAAAGTGAGTCAGCCTCCTGTACCACAGAGCCTGAAAATATATGTATTAGCATTCATAAACATTATTATTATTGAGCTTTTTCTTTGGGATATTTGCCCATTTGAAATTAGTTCTGTGAGTTTTTAAGTTCTCTAGACAGCCACCTGAGCGCATTTTGTCAGAGCTTTTTATATTATTCAATGAACAAATAAAAATAAAATCTATGGCAACAGGCTGGAGTGTCATGTAATACCAAATTAATTATATGATTCACTGCAGGCACCAGCCTCAGAAAAGACAGGAAAAGGCTGTTATGCAAATACATTTGTCTCTAATAACAGCAAAGGGAATTTAGCAAATTACTAGCACAAGAATTCCTTTTTTGTTTATAATGTCCCTTCTTATTCAGTTTACTCCACAGTGGAAGTCCTCTCTAAATTGGCCTCTCAACATGGGAGAACCACAAAGTCATCATTCCTCTCAGCCAAAAGGGTTTCTTAAGGCTGAGACTTGGTGGCACAGAGGACTAATGGAAATGTGCAAAGCTTTGCAAAGCCAAGTCACTGGAAGATCCAACCCACGCTCCTGACAGCAATTAGCATTTATATAGCAGGGTATACGTTTTAACTAATTAATCTCACAACACACTCTAGGGCTTTCATGCCCATTCCCACATTACATGCCAGGAAACGGAGACAGAGAGATTAATTGACTTACTTTTGCCTGAGTGGTAGCACAAAAAAAAAAAGCTGCCTGACTATAGAGCTAGGATGTTTGTCCCAAATGTATCCTCACACATTCAAAGCAGAATATTTTCCACAGAAAAGCTCTTCATATATTTGTATTCATTAAATATTTATTGAGAACCTGCTATGCGCAAAGCACTATGCTAGGTGCTGGGGTAGACAGACATATAAGTATAAAAAATCAGGAAACTCAGGTATAGAAAAGAAAGAGCAAAGATTTGAATTTTAGGAGACCTAAAGTGGAATTACTTTCCATAGTTAATTATTTTCCATGTGCCACTTAGTTGCCATATGGCCTTGGACAAAATGCTTCTCTTAAACTAGTCTCTGCATGTACACCCTGCCTATCTTACAGTGCTGTGTGAGAGTTAAAAGTCCTAGCATGCAAAACGAGCTCAGTACGTATTAGCTGAACCTGTATCAGAAAATTCCCATCAGAAAATTAACAATCTTCACAAAAGAAAGACATAGAAATAGAGTTAACTGAATGAAATCAACCAATTGTCATAACAGGTTTCTAAACAGAAGCATAATAATATTAAATGCTATTATATTATATTGTGCTACATTTTATATTAATTCTATTACTGTAAACAGGGCGGAGGGTGGAGGTGAGAGTCTTGAGATTTGGCTGAGACCAGAACCAGTCCCCTTTTACATTCCAAACTAGAAACCAATGCGGATCAGGCCACTTAGAAACTGTCCCATCTGCGTGTGCTAGTAGTCCTATCTAAGCCTGAGGCTAGAGACTAAGTCAAACAGGAACGCTGGTTTGACGTTAATTTTGGTAGTTTTGCTAAAGTTTGTTTTTCTAGTGGTATGCTTGGGTCCTCAGGAAATATTAACCTGGGACTGAGATAAAGAGAGAACTGAAGGTAAGAGCAAACTGGTTAAGTTGGCTAGCAACATTAAATGAATGTCACGAAGACAAGGAGGAAATCAATATGTTTAAGTGTGAGCACATTTCTGAGGCAAACACAGGAGTTCCAGAGTCTAAAACATTAGCAGAAGCCCTGATGGAGAAGGCGTATAGCATTAGGGTTGAAGATAACAGACATAATTCCAAGGCGGACTTTGATACCTAGTGGCATTATTCCTTCATTTAAAAAACTATGTACTGAGCATTCCGTCATGTGCCAAATACTAAATGGGTGCTTGGGATGCACTGGCAAACAAAACAAAGGTCTCACGGAGCTCACCTTCTAACACAAGGAGACTGACAATAAGCAATTGACATGCTAAATAAGAAAAATATATAGAATGTTGAAAGGTGATGAGTGAAGGGAACAAAGAACAATATAGAATCTGGTAAGAGGAATCAGGAATGAAGGAGGGAGAGAGAAGGGAGAGACAGGAATATGCAATTATAAAGAGAGTAGTAAGGGTAGGCTTTATGATCAATGAAGTCCCTCAACCATTTTGAACCTCAGTTTCCACAACCAAAAAAGAAGCTCATAATAGTGTAAAATAGTTATGAAAATGAAATAAGCCTATGACATAAAACAGCACCACACATAAACTGAGAATGTCCATACATGTACTGGTTATAATTAATCTATGAACTGTAATTTTTCTGTGATCTTTGGCAAACCACTTCTTGTGTCAGACATCCGCATCTGTGGCATGGACTGCTAGACATGCCCCATTTCCATGCCTCACACGCCCCTTCCCAATAGAGTGTGGGGACTTTCAGTTAGGCACATAGCCACTCAGTTTAAAAGTAACATTTCCCAGCTTGCCTCTCACCTGGATGTGGTCAGGTGACTAGGTTCTGGCTAATAGAAAAGGTTTGAAATTTGTCATATGGTAGATCCCAGAAATCTTCCTTGAGAGACACTGGCATGTTCCTATGGTTCCCATGCTCCTCCTACCATCCCATTTCTTCTGTCCTGCTGCGTGGGACATAGATAGATATGATAGCTGGCGCTACATAATGAACGGTAAGAATGAGGACCACACCCTAAAGATGGTGAAATCTGAAAGTGAAAGGAGGTGGGACCTTGAATAACTTGCGGAGTTGCCTTACCAGCCCTGAACTTTCCACCTCTACATTTTATGTGATAAATAAGCTTTTTATATCCTCATTACTTGGAGTCTGGTCCTCAACCCACCAGCATCATCAGTATTCCTTGCCACCTTGTCAGAACTGCAGATTTTCAGAACCCATCCTGATGTATTGAATCACGATCTGCATTTTAACAATCCCCAGGTAATCCCTATGCTCACTAAACTTGGAAAGGAATTAGTTTAAACAGCTGTTATTTTACATGTCTACTTATGGCTGATCATTGTCTTCACTGATAACAATGGTTTTATTTCCTCTGTTCAAATAAGTGGCTAGATGAACAATTCCTGAGATTTTAACCACCTTATGAGTCTATGTCTCTTTGACTTATATTCTTTTTGTTCCTCAATGACAAATTATTTTAAATATCTAGACATTTTTCTAGCAGTATCCTATAATATACCACTGGTTTCCAAAAATATCTGCAAACACCATTCACCTAGAGTATAATTTATATTATAGTGGAAGATATTTGATATGGTTTGACTGTGTCCCCACCCAAATCTCATCTTGAATTGTAGCTCCCATAATTCCCAAATGTCGTGGGAGGGACATGGTGGGAGGTAATTGAATCATGGGGGTGGGTCTTTCCTGTGCTGTTCTCATAATATGAATACGTCTCACGAGATCTGACGGTTTTATAAAGGAGAGTACCCCTGCACACAGTCTCTCTTGCCTGCTGACATGTAAGACGTGACTTTGCTCCTCATTTGCCTTCTGCCATGATTGTGAGGGCTCCCTAGCCATGTGGAACTGGAGTCAACTAAACCTCTTTCCTTTATAAATTGCCCAGTCTCAGTTATGTCTTTATTAGCAGTATGAGAGAAAACTAACACAATATTAAAACTTAGATATGTTTATTCAGGGTAGAGCTACCCAAACAAAGTCTAGAAAATGTTTCTGAAAATTCACATTCACTGACTAAGTCATCAAGAGGAGAGCAAGAAGTCAGGAGTGGAGGAGGGAGAGCTGGAGTGTCTGTGAGCATCCATCACGCATCCTCATGTTGCTGGCACTGCATACAAACCCGTGTTCATCACTGGGCAGATGGCTGCTTTCCAGGACCAGATAATTAGACATACCTTACTCCCACCAACAAAAGGAAGTTTTCTTGATTGAATAATTTGAAAAAAAAATGGAAAATAGCTCTGACAGATACAAGGGATGATAACATTTGTCAGATTAGGAAAGAATGCCAAATTCAAAAAAAAAAAGGGTTTGGTGAGGGAGAAATCCACAAGCCACGGTTTCAGTTTCATTAGAGTTTGCTCCTAGAATAATTTTTATTCCGAATAGTGTACTACTCCTGTTTATGGCACCAGGTATTTACACTGCCCTAAAGACTGTCATTTCATATCAATTTGAAGTGGCAGTTCCATCCAGTTAAAAAATAAAAAGTATGGACAAATCATTACAAAGTAAACCTGAACAAAGGAAAAAAGAAGAAAAGAAAGAGGTAAGAAAGGAAAGTGAACCCTGACGGATGAAAACAACCAATCCTACGAAGTTTAAATTCAGAATTATAATAGGCAATACTTAGAGTTATAAAATCAAATCTAAAAGAGCTGGGGTCTTTCAGAGTCTAGCATTATTAAAGGATGAATATTTTAGCACCTCCGAGCAGTTTGCAGTCAGTATCTGCCATGCTGGAGTTTCACTCTTAGTTTGTAAATACAAGCGTCACTTTCTACAAAGTTTTCCTTGTGGGAGAGCACCTGAATAAAAACCCTGGGTTTTCTAGATAATTTTAAAGCTTCCTGGTCTAACGAAGCTGCTGAAGGTCTCCAGGCTGTTTCCATATCTCAAATCATTTCATAACTGGGTTTTGGATTACCAGCAAAAAGACCCTGAATTATCATGTGTTTATGTCCCAGAAGGTTCCAGCAGCCACCCTTCCTGCTGTTGTGCAGAATAAGGAAGGTAATACAGTAACATCATCTAATAGCCACCTGTAACAAGCTCTGCTTCTCTCATCAAAGTGGCACCAGGGGATAGAAGCCCACATAATGAATTCTGGGCCAAGGCAGGACAGATCACCTGAGGTCGAGTTCGAGACCAGTCTGGCCAACATGGCGAAACCCTGTCTCTACTAAAAATAGAAACATTAGCTGGGTGTGGTGGCGCGTGCCTGTAATTCCAGCTACTTGGGAAGCTGAGGTAAGAGAATCACTTGACCCCGGGAGGCAGATGTTTCAGTGAGCCGAGATCGCACCACTGCACTCCAGCCTGGGAGACAGAGCGAGATTCCATCTCAAAACAAACAAACAAACCAAAAGAACGAATTCTGAGTATGCTTCTTCTGTACCATGGTTCATGGTTTTCTTTAAAAAAAATTACTGTAATGAGCAACCTCATGCTGCTGAAGGGAATGATTTTTTTTGCAGGGCTGTTGTGACAATAAATAAACAGGCTGTGTCAAGTGTGACACAGTACACTGGAGAAACGCTAAGCAGTCATTAGCTTGTTTTTGTGGGGGTTTTTTTCCCTCCAAGCTATCTTTTCTAATCCATGATTAAGATGTAAAAATTCAATGATTATTTTAATATAATAATCAAACAGCTTTTGCTCTCTTTATTCTTATTATTAGATAATATTTATTCAGGATCCTGTGAGTGCTAGGGGCTATGAAGAATATCTAGAAAATATACAGTCTCTGTGTTGAAATTTCCATTCAAGACTGACAGCGCATGAAATAAAGTTATTTCACATGTTATCATTAGAGTCCCAGAAAATACAGGCCTCAGGTCTAGTTGCAGCCCTGAATTCCAGTAAGATAGCTGAAAATACCCCCATTCCATACATGAAGTGAATGCAGTCGAGAGAGGACAAAAAACACGTCTGAGAGATGGGTAAACAATATATGATAGTGGTGGGGAGGGGCCAAACCAGGGCTCTAATGTCCCAAAACAACTGCTTTCCCTAGGGAGTATGCAATGGTAAGTCTCCAACAACCCCGTTCTAAACCTCGTTCTGCCACTTCCTATCCACGTGACTATGTGCAAATAAATTAAATATTCCCATGTGTAAACAAAAACTGGTTTGAAGATTAAATGAGGCAACACTGGTAATGTGTTTAGCGGAGAGCTGGTCACATAATCTTTGCTGTTGTTATGATTATATTTCTCTCTTTTTCACTTTCAAACTGAGTATAGCCCATTTCAAACTGAATTGTGCTCAACAAATGTTGTTGATGTTTAAGCTCTGGAGATTCACCTGTGACAAAGTGTCTGAGAGTGTTGGACGACAAGGGAGATTTTACAACATTTTAAAAAATTCTTCTCATTCTGCAAATGAGAAGATTTTACAAACTATACCCAGAAAGATAACTTGAGTAACACAAGAGTTTACTTGTAGCAAGTATAAAATCATTCCTCTCCAATCCAAATTCTGTGTTCTACTACATTGTCCCAGTGAAATATATATTCCAAATAAATATCTGCACAGACATTCCCACTTGGCACTTTGAATGTAAATAGTACAACAGTACACTCCTCTTCAAAACAGAGGATGAAGCAGGCTAAGAATCAAACCCAGGAAGACTGGAACAGACAACGTTAATACTGAGCCAAAAAAGATAACGCTGCATGTGTTCTATATGGTCAAGTCATAAAATTACTATTTTCACCCTTCCCATTTTACAAGTGAAAAAGCTGATATGTGGGTTTGTCCTTGAGGCTGAAAACAAGCTAAATGGCATCGCTGCCCATAAGTGTGGCACCTGGAAAGAAGAATCCTGGCCAGGCACGGTGGCTCACACCTTGTAATCCCAGCATTTTGGGAGGCCGAGGCGGGCAGATTGCCAGAGCTCAGGAGTTCGCGACCGGCTTGGGCAATATGGTGAAACCCCATCTCTACTAAAATACAAAAAATTAGCCGGGAATGTGGTGGGCACCTGTAGTCCCAGCTACTTGGGAGGGTGAGGCAGGAGAATTGCTTGAACCCGGGAGGTAGAGGTTGCAGTGAGCCAAGATGGTGCCACTGCGCTCCAGCCTGGGCAACAGAGCAAGACTCCGTCTCACCAAAAAAAAAAAAAGAAGAAGAAGAATCCTGTCCACAGTTGCCACATAGGTAACAGTACATGTCACAAATATATGTCACAAAATATGAAGTTAATCAGTGCCAATCCCATAGAGCTGTTGTTAGCGGTAAATAAGATGATACACGAAAATGCCACATGGACTCTGACACAGTAAGAACTTAATATGAATATGTTTTAGCTATCATGATGTGGATTATTACAGATGAGAAAATTGAGATCTGGAAAGAGAATCAGCAGAGAAAGGAATTATTATGTGTGTTTGATTTTGAGTTTTTATTGCCTTTTACCAGAGCCAAGGGCAGGAAACTCAAAGCTTGGATTTGAGTGGTAAAATGCAGAAGGCAGTCTGAGCATGAACTCTCTTCTTAATTACCAAGGATACGTCAGTGAACACCTTTCCACTCAACAGCATGATTGGAATTTAAAGCCCATCATGTATTTAATGGGTCTCTGTACCTTTCAACACCATGTCTTACACTTCCCAGTTGGGGGCTCAGAGAGACTCATTCCATAAAAGTACATCGGGGCCTTCAACTTTCAATTAGGAGCTTTCTAACTTCCCCGCCTCAAGATGTGCAGCCAATATTCCACGCAAAATTACAAAGTCAAAGGAAAGTGCATCTAGCAAACCTTGTCAGCAACCTCCCCAGCAATTCTCAGGAAACTGCCTGGAGTAAAAGAACATTTATGATCTTCATCACCTGCCAGAGGAAGAGACACAGGCGACAATCCTGCCACTGTGTTTAACAGAGGCATCACCTGCGAAACGCCGGTGCAGTCTCATTCTATCTTAATAATGTGTCAAGCGTGTAGATTTTTCTTGATGGCTGGTAGTGACAAGCAGAAAACAAAAGATTCTGAGAGAAAATTGGGTGAAGCAAGCAACAAAAGCTGAGAGCATGAGAAATGGGGTTTGGAGAAATGTCTGGCAGTGAATATGATGGGGTGACAGGAAGAATTCAAGAGGTGGGGGTGCTGAGTGGCTAGGTTTTTAGTGGTCACTCACCTAGAGAACAGTATCTCCTCCCAAGGAAAGAAGCAGGGTCTTGGGAAGAGTAAATGCTAAGATAAAATCCTGGTCTAAGTTTCTGAACACTGAAGTCCCCTATAATCCACCGTGCATCTTAGAAAACCACTGCATGTTAGAGCTGGAAGGTGGATTCAAAAATCATCCAGCCCCATGACACATTATACAGATCAGGCTCTGACACCAGAGGGGCTAGGGAATGCCTGAGGTGAAAGACTGGGTTAGTAGCAGAGGCAGGATAAAAGTCTCTCTGATAACCATATCATGAACATTACTTCTGCATATAAAACCAACTGCAAAAATAAGAGTTTATACTGGACTTATATCAATCTTTGTTTCTCTTTTCTCTTGGTATGTCAGGGGTTAAATTTTTATACGTACTTTTATGTTGAGCTTATTGACTTACTATAGTGCTAAGGTTGAGAACATTTGCCTCATACGTTTATTGGGAAAGAGAAAACTACAAACCAACTTCTCTAAAATCTAGAACAAAGGAAGCAAAACAAGAGAATGTACTTTTCATATGTGAAGAAAACAAACATTCTAGAAAAATCAAATTTAGAAAAATAGATGAAAGACCAGGAAAATAACTCACAGTCATTTGAAGAGGGCTTTTAGGAACTGCATGGTACAACTACAACTACACACACAAACATCTTGTGTGTGTGTGCATGTGTGTCCAGGTATATATTCCAGGACAACACTGTCAAGTCCAAGACACTCATCCCTGAGGACTTTTGGACTCCCAATGCTGCATGTGATTCCCTGCCTAGTGGAAAATGAATAATGAAGATGGTTGCTTAGAAAGATGTAGGCCGGGCATGGTGGCTCACGCCTGTAATCCCAGCACTTTGGGAGGCCCAGGCGGGCGGATCACGAGGTCAAGAGATCAAGACCAACCTGGCCAACATGGTGAAACTCCATCTCTACTAAAAATACAAAAATTAGCTGGGCGTGGTGGCGCATGCCTGTAGTCCCAGCTACTCAGGAGGCTGAGGCAGGAGAATCGCTTGAACCCAGGAGGCAGAGGTTGCAGTGAGCTGAGATTGCACCACTGCACTCCAGCCTGGCAACAGAGTGAGATGCCATCTCAAAAAAAGAAAGAAAGAAAAAAAGATGTAAGAGACCTTTTTATCTCCGTATGCTTTGAGGTAGGAAAATGTTTCAAATGCATCACTTAGAAATCATTGCCTTATTTCTTCCACCACATCCCACCAAAGACTGCAAATCCAACATTGTTGACATAATCCATAGTAATGTATAGTTTAGATGGAAGTTTTAGACATATTATATCCTTTGATCCCAGATATAGAGGATATTGCCCCATTTTGGGGTTTGAAAGAGAGGTTCAGAGAGTGAATTGGGAAGCTCACAGAGCTATTGGGCAGCAGTTTTTCTGATTCCAGAGTCAGTCCTCTATCCACTGACCTCAGGTTCTCAGGTCTTACTCAGCCCCTTGGTTTTTATTTTGGAGATTTTACATATAATTTCTTCCCTCAAACACTCCGCCCAATTTGATTCTTCATGTTGACAAACATCTCAAACCATGTTTTCTTTTCCTTCTGTGCTACAGCAAACTCGCTACTGATCCTTTCTTTGAATATAGGAATTCATCTTCAGACAGATCACTTTAAACTTCCTCATAGCTAAATATAGTTCCTGAGATACATCTTGTAGTATACCCTATGGAGAACAAAGACATAGGGTCAGAAGACCTGGTTTCTTGTCCTAATTCTGCCAGTGTGACCACCATTATAAAACTGCCACCACCATAGGAACTACCAGTACCATTCACTTAATTGTGAGTGTTTTCTATACGCCAGGTATTAAGTGTTTTACATTTATTATCATTTTCACTCTTCATAATGCCTCTTTCAGATAGCTTTATTATGGCCCTCATTTAACAAATGACGAGCATGAAGCATAGATAAGTTAAAAGATACCCACACAATTACACAGCAAGTCAGTAGGAGACGGGGATTCTAACGCAGATCTGTCACTCTCTAGAGTCTGAAATTTAATGCTGACTGTGACCAAGTCACTTTCCTGCTTTGGGATTCAGTTTTATCACGTATAAGAAGGTAAAACCAGATGATCTGTAACCCTGTCCATCTCTATAATATGATGGGTTTATAATCCATGCTAACTTCAAGAGTATTTTCTAGCCTGACTCTGAAAAATATAAATCAAGCCAGTTTTTCAGAGAAAAGAACGGAAGTGGGTGGGCACTCATTAATAGAAAGTAGAACAAAGTGAGTAAGCAAGTGAGACTCTTTCATGAAAAACATGACATCCTTGATTAGCACCTCCCAGCATCGGAAGGCACATATCACAGCCAAGAGGCAGCGGGGTAGATCACATCTGTCTAAATTAGAGAGTGTCACTATATAGTCCTGTTTCCAGTGGAGACTCCGAAGCTACCTTCATGCTTAACTTTCCCTCACAACACCCACTTTTAAAAAGCAGAGGAGTCAGAAATGTCAAGCTGTCCTCGAAGGCAGCTCCCTGGGGCATTAGCTGCCTCTGTCTTATTAAGTATAGTCAGGCATGACTCAGCTCCTCCATCAACTGTCTGGGAAGGAGAACATTTCATGCTGGTAGAAAATCACCTTAAGCAGAACAATGGAAGGCATTTAAGGTAGACAATTAGAGTCAGGTTGCTTATTGCTCAAAATCAAATCACCCTTTTCCTATTCTAGATAGGAGGGCATAATCACGGCCAATAGGGAAACAGGGCTGTCTTTGCTTAGAACACATCAGAGCCCCCTGTCACCTCCAGTTACAACTATCAGCCACTGAGACACCTCTTCTGTCTGGGTCACAAAGCAAGGTGAACTGTGGCTTATGGCATGTCCTTCAATCAATAAACCCTCAGTGAAAACTTACCACATGCAACAGTTTATGTTAGGCTCCAACGAGGGATAAAGATACAAGGAAGATATAGACTGTGCTCTCAAAGATCTCACTGTCAAGACTGGGTGGAGAGTCAGGCAAACAACCACAACACAAAGCAAAATGAAGCAAATGCTAAAAGGAAAAAATAAAGATGCAACGTGTCATAGGAGGGCAGAAGGCACTTTTAATTCGGACTTCAAGATGGGTGACACTCATCGGTGCCTTCACAGAAGAGATGGCATCTGATTTAAGTCTGGAAAAAATGCATAGAATGTGCACTGACTCCTCCTCCAAGGGGAGGAGTCCAGGCTGATGTGAGCCATGATGAGTTAGTCCATGAGTCAGCCGGGGTTAGATCACAGGGTGTGGGATGATTTCACAAAGCATGAGAATGGTAAAGGGTCAATGAGACTAGGGTCAATCAGGGTAAGAACAAACTTTATCCTTGTAGCAACTGAGAGTCACTAATGGTACTTAATGAATAAAGTGACTTTTTTTTCTTTTTTTCTTTTTTTTTGGAGTTGGAGTCTCACTCTGTCACCCAGGCTGGAGTGCAGTGATGCAATCTTGGCTCACTGCAACCTCAGCCTCCCGGGTTCAAGCAATTCTCCTACCTCACCCTCCCAAGTAGCTGGGACTGCAGGCACACACCACCATGCCCGGCTAATTTTTTGTATTTTAGTAGAGACAGGGTTTCACCCTGTTGCCCAGGCTGGTCTCAAACTCCTGAGGTCAGGCAATCCACCCGCCTCGGCCTCCCAAAGTGTTAGGATTGCAGGCGTGAGCCACCATGCCCAGCCTAAAGTGACACATGTTAATGATTAGTATGAGCAGAAGCAAAAGATAGGCTGGGCAGTATACTTGTGCCCTGAAGCTGTCTGATGGGTCACACACACATGCAACTCCACATGTGTCAAGCATGGAATTTCTTTACCCATTTGTTATTAAACGAAGTCAAATGGGACAATTACAGCAAACGGGCTGAGGGGGTGGGGAGATGCAGTGAGGCTAATGGCTTCTGATGTGGTCCTTTTGCTTGACAATGGTTAGAGTGGGCACTGTGACTGATCAAGTTGAGAAAGACTGCATTGCCTGGCACGGCCCCTTTTTCATCCCCTAATGCCCATCATCATCAAAGATAATACATGAGGCTGTAAAGAGGGAAGCCACTTTGTTACAGTTTGTAGGATGTAATCATCCACAGTCTTTATTGTTTCTCTCTTCGGGGCCTCAAAGTATTTTAGTAACCAGAAACCTCAATGAGTGACAACACTCTGCAGTATAGCACACCATCTATACATCCCTATGGCACTCGGGACATTATTTCGTGGGTTATAAATATTTGGATACCTGAATTCTCTTTCCAGCTACTCAAAAGCTCCTTGTTAACAGGGCAATGGTCATTTTCATCTTCCTAGATCCCCACTGTGTCTGAAAAAACCTAGAAGTTCTATAAACATACTGAGTAGACCTAAGAGACTATAGGAGATCCAGTGATGGGCCTGGGAGCAAGATTTTTAAAATAACAAGAAAATTAAAGGTTAGCAAAGACAAGCCACAAATCAGCTATTCAATGAAGAACTCATTTTCAGAATATATAGAGAACTCTCAAAAGTCAAAGAAAAATATCAGGAACTTAATTAAAAAGGGACAAAATATTTTAACAGACACTTCACCAAAGGAGATATACATATGACAAAATGGTCCAAATTATTAGTCATTATATAAATGTAAATTAAAAATCACACAAGATACTACTGTAAAACTATTAGAATGGTTAGCATTTTAAAAAATGGAAAATAGCAAGTGTTCATGAAATGTGCAGCAGCTGGACTCTCATTCATTGAAGACGGGAATACAGAATTGAGTATAGCTACTTTGGAAAAGAGTTTGGCAGCCTCTTATTAGGTTAAACATACCTAATGACCTTACCATATGACCTAGCAATATCAGTCCTAGGTAACAAAAACTTGTGTTGAGACAAAGCCTGTATATAGACGTTTACAGCAGCCTTAATCATAATAGCCAAAAACTTGAAGCAATCACATATCCTACAACTAATGAATGAATAAACAACAGTGGTATATCCATACAATGGAATGTTACTTGGTAACAAGGAATGGACTTCTCAAACATATGATAATATGGATGTACCTCAAATGTGTTATGCTAAGTGAAGGAAGCCAGACCAGTACAATTCTATCTATCTGATATTCTGGAAAAGGCAGAATTATAGGAGCAGAAAACGATCAGTGGTTGCTAGTGACTGGGTGTGGGGGGACGGCACAGTGGCAGCATGAGAGAAATTTGGGAGGATAATGGGACTTTCTGTACCTAAACTGTGGTGGTTTTTACATGGTTGTATGCATTTGTCAAAATTCACAGACTTCTTACACCAAAAAACTCAATTTGACCATATGTAAATAAGAGTGAATAAAAATAAAAATAAATTTTAAAAGGTTAAGTTCCTGCCTCTTGTTTAGAGACTTGGCTTTACTTGTAACAACCGGGCAGAGGCAATTATTTAATCATAGCTCCATTCTTCATTGCCATTTCTCACCTATCTCCAAGTAGTCACATCACACAAATTTTTTAAGGCCTAAATTGAACACTACACCTCTGGATATATAGATGGCTGCTCTCAGTTTGAAGCAATTTCTCTCAGTTTGAAACCACCATAGCTGTTTCTCTGAACCTCTCTTATGATACTAACCACTTCGTACCTTGCGTAACTGTTATTTGAGGCTAATTTGCTGCTAGATTGTGAGCTCAAAGAGAGAGCTTTAGTCCTGCTCATCCAGCTTAGTGCCCAGCACACAGAGTTTGGTGGATATTTGTTTCTAATGGGGTGGCATGAGTATTGTTTGCACTCACAGTAAAAACAGAGATCAGTAACTACATAGAAAGAAACGTCTATGCTTCTTCAGAACTCTCTGGCATATATACCTTGTTATCTCATACAAAATAATCTCATAGCTGATTTAAAGAATTAAGTGTTACCTATTTATTATATCCTTTCATTCATTCGCTGAGTATTTACTGAGCACCTACTAACTGCAAAGGCTTTGCTACACATAAAACATACAGAGGCAAATAAATCTGCCTGTTGTCATGGAGCTTTCATTCTAGAGAAGGTCACAGACATTAATTAAGTAGTTAAATAAATAATTACCCAATTAACAACAATTGCTATTGGAGTGATTATCATGAAAAAGACGTACAGCGTATAAAGTGGATATATTAACAGGGATCTTACTTAGCCTGAGAGGTCGCTGATTAGGGCAGGAGATGGGATGTTCCCTGAGAAATGGACTTTTGAGCTGAGTGAAATAGAATGAAGATGTGAGGGACAAAGTTGAGAGGAGAGTGTGTGAAGGAAGAACTTAGGTGAGAAAGGGAATAGTACATGTGAAGTTCCTGAAGAATCTCAGAAAACTTCACTGCCAGGGGCAAGGAAAACAGTGGAATATGAAGAAGCTGAAGCAACAGGTAGGAATTTGAACATATAAGAGCATATAGGCCGCTGTAAGGAACTTAAATTTAATTCTAAGAATAATGGGACATATTCCAGGGTTTTCCACAGAGGAGACACCTGATTTAATTTACAATTTGAAATAGGTAACACTGGTTACTGTGTGAAGAATGGACTGTAGAGAGTAAAAGTGAAGGAGAAACAGCTAATTATGAGGCTACTGCAGAAAAATTTAAGAATGTGCCAGGCAGGGTGGCTCAGCCTATAATCCCAGCACTTTGGGAGGCCGAGGCGGGTGGATCACCTGAGGTCAGGAGTTTGAGACCAGCCTGACCAACATGGTGAAACCTTATCTCTACTAAAAATACAAAATTAGCCTGGGTGGTGGCGCACGCGTGTAATCCCAGCCATGTGTGAGGCTGAGGCAGGAGACTTACTTGATCCCGGGAGGTGGAGGTTGCAGTGAGCCGAGATCGTGCCACTGAACTCCAGCCTGGGCAAAAACAGTGAAACTCCATCTCAAATGAAAAAAAAAAAAAAGAAAAGAAAAGTTCAAGAATGAGATGATGTGGCTTGGACTAGGATAATACTTAAGATGGAGAGGAGCAGATAAGAGCCACATGGAAAATGAGCAAAGATGGATTGATCAAAAATGTAAAGAAATAGAAAGGAAACTTGTTTCAGAGGCTCTTAAATCTCAAACTACAGAATGCTAGCTTGTTAGAGTCAAGAACTAAGCAAATTAACAGATGTGGAAACAGATTCTGAGAGGTTAAGTAGCTTGCCCAAATCACCCAGTAAATTAGCAACAGAACTGAACTGCAGCCTCAACATCTTTTATCCTCCTTATGTTATTCCTCATTTTTATTTTTTTTAGAACCTAACTTTGACCTCCACTTTGCTTTTCATTTTTAAAACACAGTATTGGTGCCATCTGTGAGTCACGGTGAATAGCAGGGACCCTGAAACAGTTAGACATATGAGACACAAACGAGCATGAAGAAAGGAACAGGGACTATTTGTTCTTCACCATATCCTAATGCCTATCAAATACCTGGCTCATGGAAATACCTCAAACAATGGCTGTTGAATGAATAAAGTTTCTTTTCCCATATTCTTTGGCAAATATATTGAAAAATACAATAGAAAAATAATACAAGTTTCAACTGATTTAGAGTCGTCAAAACCAGGGAAGGTGGCAGAGAATCATAGGACCATAAACTGGTTGTCAAGCAACTGATTTTGAAAAATATGCTACTATCTGCTTTTGAATTCTTAAACAATTGACACAAAACTCAACATCTGGATTTTGTGAAAACTCTGCTGGGCAAGGGTTTGCTCACATTTGGAAATACGGATTCTTGTCGGCAAGCACCCAGCTTCGAATGTAAAAGGTCTCAGTCCTAATCTCATAATACAGAGCACCAACTGGTGCTTACCTACCTGCCAAGTGTGTGGTTTCTAGGCTCATTTGACTGAGCTTCTGCTTCCTGATTTGCTTTTACTGGTTACAGAAAACTTTAGATTCATTCTCTCACTGGATCTCCAAAACAGCTCTGTGGGGTATGCAGGGCTGATACTATCAGCTTCATTTTATAGATAAGGACACTGAGAGTCATACGGAAACCAGGATTTGACTTGAGTCCAGGTTTTTCTTCTCTGCCTTATACACTGTGAATTACCCAGGGCATGTTCTGATCCAGAACACTTTCTGAGCTCCCATAGCACTGAGATTTATATTTGTTACACTAACAAAAAAGGAAACACTCGAATGCCACTTTACTGAATCAGAGATTAAAGGGCTGAGTCCTCTGAAGACCTCTGAATTCACAATGACCTCTTCTGCTGTTTCTTTTTTAAAAACCACTTTACTGAGGTATGATTGACATACAGAAAGCTGTATATATTTGATGTGCCTAAAGTGAGGAGTTTGGAGATATATACACGGGCAAGAAACCATCATCACAATCTATGCCATAAACATACACATAACCTCTAAAAGTTTCCTCCTGCCCTATTTATGTATTCATTTATGTATTAATTATTTTAGTGATAAGAACACTTTATGTAACATTTAATTTCCTAGCGAGTTCTTAAGTATACAATACAGAATTGTTAACCATAGGCACTAAGCTGTAGAGTAGATTTCTAGGACTTACCTTGCGTAACTGAAACTTTGCACCCTTTGATTAACACCTCTCCATTTCTCCCCCTTCTCAGCCTCTGGCAACCACCATTCTACTCCCAGCTTCTATGAGTTTGACTATTTTAGATTCCTCATGTAAATAGCATCATGTAGTGTCTGTCCTTCTGTGCCTGGCTTATTTAACTTAGCATAATGTCCTCCAGGTCTATGCATATGGCAGGATTTCCTCCTTTCTTAGGGCTGACTGACACTCAATTGTATGATATAATGCATTCTCTTTATCCATTCTGGAAAAACACTATGGAAGTTTTGCCAAATAATTAAAAATGAGAGTAGCATTTCATCCAGCAGTCCCACTTCTTGGTAGATATTCATTGGAGTTGAAATCAGTTGAGCATAAGAGTTGAACACGAGATACACAAGAGCTGAAATCAGTTGAACATGAGATACTCACAGGAGATGTTCTCAGTTGAATATGAGAGTGCAAATACCTCAAATAGGTATATACTTCAAAATACTTCAAAAAGACATTTACAATGGCACAGTTACGTTGGAACGTAGTTGGCAGTTCTTCAAAATGTTAAGCATAGAGTTACCTTGATCCAGTAATTCAACTTACAGCTATATACCCAAGAAAAATGAAAACATATGTCCACACAAAAACTTGTACACATATGTTCATAGTAGCATTATTCATGATAGTCAAAATTTGGAAATCACACACAGGTGCATCAGGGATGAAGAATATTTCTCAATTATGATTCAATGATGAATATTATTCATCACTAAAAAATGATGTAGTGATACATGCTATATCATAGCTGTACCTTGAAAACATTGCATTAAGTGAAAACTAAATCAATCACAATATGCCACATATAATATCATCCCACTTGTATGAAATATCCGGAATAGGCAAATCTATAGAGACAGGAAGTAGACTACTGGTTGCCTAGGGCTTGGGTGGGGGAGAATGGGTTGTGGATTGGCTGCTAATCCTCAGGGCTTCGTTTTGGGGTGATGAAATGTTCTAAAATTAGATTGTTGTGATGGCAGCACGACTAATGTGTCTGGTTTTATTGCTTGCAATAAAAGGAATCTTTAGAAAAAATATAAAATAAAAGATGTCCTCAGTAATAAAAAGGTAGGAATCCCTTGGGTCTGCCAGGAAAAAGAATAATGGGCTTGGGAACAGAGGACAAAACCTTGAGTCCTGGTTCTACTTCCTATATGCAAAACTACGTCTAAACCACCTAATCTCTCCGGGCCTCTATTTCCTTATTTGTGAAGTGACAATAATAATATATTTTACAATGCTATTCTAAGATCAAATAATATAACCATTTTAATACTGTAAATACTGTATGATATCATTCATCCCTGTAATGGTTAGTGAATATAATGATAATGTGAACTGTATCTAGCACACAGTGTAAGCCCAATACAACATATGTTTATTGCATAGAGAAATGAAGAAAGGCTGATGGTTGAAGGAAGAAGTATTAATTTAACACATGCATAACCATGCCTACAGATACGGAAATGTTGATAACTAGCTTACTATGTTCTGTAGTACTGAGCTTTTAAAAACAAAACCAAAAACAAACAAAACAGAAAGCTGCCTGTAACAAAGAGATATGTTTAAATGAGTAGATAAAGTTGGTAAGAATCAGGGTGTATAGATAGGTTTAGGGCTAAGTATCTGATATGGTTTGGCTGTGTCCCCACCCAAATATCATCTTGAATTGTAGCTCCCATACTCCCCACATACCATGGGAGGGACCTAGTGTGAGGTAATTGAATCACAGGTGCGGGTTTTTCCCATGCTGTTGTCATGATAGTCTCATGAGATCTGATGGTTTTATAAAGGGCAGTTCCCCTGCACACGCTCTCTGGCCTGCTGCCATGTAGGACATGCCTTTGCTCCTCCTTTTCTACCTTCCTCCATGATTTTGAGGCCTCCCCAACCATGTGGAGCTGTGAGTTCATTAAACCTCTCTTGCTTTATAAATGACCCAGTCTTGGGTATGTCTTTATTAGCAACTTGGGAACAGACTAATACAGTATCCAATATTAGTAGACTGATGGAGGAAAGTGGGGAGTTGCTAATTTCAAATTCCAAGTATTTGGGTAGCTAATGCTTATTTTCTTGACACAACATGCTAACAAATACACAAACACAAGCCATGGTTATAATGCAGGAAAATCTATGGTAATATCTATTTTCCATTACAAAGTTTCTAATTTAGTATTCTACTGAGGTCATTTCATGAATATTGAAGTTACCTCTGTGCTAGAGAAGTTATTAACATACCAATTTACAGACAGAAACAAAGAGCCAAGGCTTAAACTATCATACCTGTCACAATTGCCTCTTGCTTGCCATCCCGAGGAATACAACAGCTCAGATCTATATACTTTCTTACTTCTAAAAATTAAGTTACCCTTTACTTCCAATTATAAATTTAATTAGATTGAAATACAGTCAGACAATAAGTAATTTCATTTTTGAATTATTTTTCATTTCAACTTTCATTTTAGATATGGGGGTACATACGCAGGTTAGTAACATGGGAATATTGCATAATGCTGAAGTTTGGGGTATAGATACCCGATAGGTAGTTTTTCAACCTGTGTCCTCCTCCCACCTCCCTCTGGTAGTTCTCTGCAGAGTCTATTGTTCCCATGTTTATGCCCATGTGTGCCCAATGCTTAGCTCCCTTTGCAGAAACACCGATGCAGTTGGAGGCCATAATCCTAAATGAATTAATGTAGTAACAGAAAATAAAGTTATTTTAAAAGGGGCAGAAATAAACCCAAACATAATTCCACTTTTCAAAGATAATCACTGTTAAGGGTTGGGTGTAGGCTGGACATGGTGGCTCACACCTGTAATCCCAGTACTTTGGTAGGCCAACACAAGAAGATCACTCAGGAGGATCTCCTGAGGCCAGGAATTCAAGACCAACCTGGGCAACATAGCGAGACCCCATCTCCACAAAAAAATTAAAAAATTAGCTGAGCCTGGTGGCATGCCCCTATAGTCCCAGCTACTTGGAAGGCTGAGGCAAGAGAACCTCTTGAGCACAGGAATTTGAGGCTGCAGTGAGCACTCTAGCCTAGGTAACAGAGCAAGATCCTGCAGGGGGGAAAGAAAAGGCATGTATCTTCTGCCAGAAAGGTTTTCCACATGCTTACACATGCATGACCAGAGTGGCGTGCTGGTAAACAGCCGGGGGTTGATGATGACAAAGCTAATTTCTAGCATCGGTTTACCAATTTTCATGTGGTAAAAACTCTTACCAAAGCCAACTTCAAATGACTAATTTGACAAATGACTCAAAAGCTTCCTAAAAATTGAATAGTTGGTTCTTACAAGCCCATACCACCTAGCTCCGGCAAACAACTGCCACAGTTGGTAAAGGTTTCACACTAGTTCTGCTATATGGTATTTGTTTTTATACAGAAACATCTACCATAAATGAATCCATCATATTCCATTGTATTGATATACACATATATATATAGATTTAAGCTCCCTTTATCATGAATATTTATATTGTTTCCAATGTTACTTATTGTAACAATCCTTTTTTTTTTTTTTTTTTTTTGAGACGGAGTCTCGCTCTGTCGCCCAGGCGGGAGTGCGGTGGCGCGATCTCGGCTCCCTGCAAGCTCCGCCTCCCGGGTTCACGCCATTCTCCTGCCTCAGCCTCCCGAGTAGCTGGGACTACAGGCGCCCGCCACCGCGCCCGGCTAATTTTTTGTATTTTTAGTAGAGACGGGGTTTCACCGTGCTCTCGATCTCCTGACCTCGTGATCCGCCCACCTCAGCCTCCCAAAGTGCTGGGATTACAGGCGTGAGCCACCGCGCCCGGCCATTGTAACAATCCTATGAAAAATATAGTTTTTGAGCATGTCTTGATGCATTTCTCCGAGTATTTTCTTAGAATATAGCATGTATGGTTCATTACAAGATTAAAGGGAGGCATTTTGGTGGTATCTTTGAAACAAATAGCCCAGGTCCCCTCCACAAAGCCTATTCCAGGTGAGCTCTCAACCACTGTGTGTGAGAGACCAGCATACCTGGTTATTAGATCACCATATCCTGACCAATGCTAGGCTGGATTGTTCTTTAATCTCTGCCAGACTGATGAGTGAAAAAAAATGGCATCGCATGTTGGTTTAGTTTGAATCTATTTTGTCACTCGTTAACTTGAGCTTCTTTTTAGACTGATCAATTTGTGTTGATCTGTTTTTGACTGCCTGAACTGCTAGTTTCAAATCTTTGCCAATTTTTCCATTAAAATGTGCGTGTGTGTGTGTGTATATATATATAATAGCTCCTTGCATTCTGATGACATTAACCCTTTGCCATATGTTTTCCCAATTTTTCATTTGTCCTTTAACTTACAATATTCTGTGCTATACTAATTTTTAAAATCTTTATGTAGTCAATTATGTCAGACTTTCTTTGCTGACCCTTACCTTTGATGACATATCTACAAATGTATCCATCCCAACATTATAATAAATATTTGCATGTATTTTTTCTACTACTCTTAGGGTTTTTTACATTTAAATATTTAATTCAACTGCGATTTGTTTTGAGGTAAAGTACAAGGTAGGAATTTAACTATTTTTTTTTTCTAAAAATTATCCAAATGTCCTCGCATTTAAATATATCTCCTTCCTCTGACTCTGGATGTTACCCTGGGTAGCCGCCAGCTGCAGAGCTGGCTTCCTTTCTTTTCTGGATTCCTGTTTTCACTTCAATTTTGGCCTCTAAGGATTTCTTACCAACTCAGCAATTCATTTTAAATGACATTTATTTTTAAATGCAGCATTTCTAGCTGCTTTACAGCAAAAGGGGTGTTTAGAGGACCTTGTCCGCCATACTGGGAAAAACAGAAATCTTTTCCAATCTTATTCCTACATAGCAGCTCACAAGATCATTTAATACCTTAGCTGGATAATGTAACAGTCCTGCCCAAATCCTTTCAATGGCCTTTTACTGCAGTTCAAGTAAATGTAACAACACCCTCAGTATGTGCTGCACTCTGACCACGGCTTCCTCTTCGTCGCATGTTTCTTTCCCCATAGTTCTCAAAGCTCCTGCAACCCAAGGCCTACATCTCATGCCACTGCCTTTGAAGGTGGCTCTTTCTCATCCCTCAATTCTCAATTAAATAGCATATTCTTTAATAGATTTTCCTTAACTATGGGATAAGGAAAGGAATATCCCATTACTTTCCATCAATATAATGCCTTATTTATAACTATAGAGAACTTCTTATAAAAATTTGTTTACTTACGTTCTTCAAGTAAGAAAAGACTTGAAGCCATCCCCAAGACTGTGAATTTCATGAGGGCAAAGATAATTTTTGTTTTGGTTACCAATACAGGCAAGCACAGTGTCCAGCACATACACACTACAGATGAATGAATGAATGAATACACGCACAATGTCTTCATCTTTGCCTACCCTACGTACAAAGGTCTGCACATAACAGGTGCCCAGGAGACATATGCTGAACTGGGTTTCACATCTAATCATGAAGGACCAACCTCCCTAAATGTGGAGGTTATATAGATCTTTGACCAGTTTCTATTAAATCACAAAGGTACATATTTAAAATAGGAGGGCAATACTTATCATCCTTTTATGACAAAAATATTCCATGTTTTGAAATGAATAATCAGTCTGTTAAAAAAAAACTCATTTCCCTAGGACTGAAGAGGCTTTGTGTATTAAATCTGCTGGGATTTCAATTCTGGAGAGTTTGCAGTAAGTGGAATAGCTTACCTGTGTATGAATATGGATTGGTTAAAATGCCCCCAGCCCATACTTTTGTGTACTTGCTGAGCCCAAGTGACAGTTATTCTAGCTGTTTTGTTGCCATACACACAAAAAGTGATCGTTTCCGAGAAAGATAAAACATTCCAGCTCCACCAGAAATAAAATAGAACTTGGAGTGAGACCACAATCAAATTTCACAATTCACATTCAATCACTGCCAAAGACTAGCAGAAAAGAACTGGCATTTGTAAACTGAAAAGAACTTTCTAGAACTCTACACTGCTGGGTACCCAAAAAAATCTCTGAGGCACATGTAAACATCCTTGACTGAGTCCCTTAACACCTAAGTGGAGGGACAGAGCCTGCAGTCAGTCATTGGAAAAGGAGCAAAAGCTAGGGAGTTAGAGTTAGTATCTCTGAGTTAGCCACAGGGGAAGCCATATGAATAATGCCAAAGCAACCTTGCAGAATACTAAAGTTAACAGCTTCCCACTGCACTCAAACCCACTGCACCTGTACCAAGCCACCTTTCCTTCATTCATCTGCAATCTTCTTCCTGTATAGAACTGCTTTCCTTTGAGAAAATTTGTATAAACTTGGAAAGATGTATATTATCTAAATATACACAATTAAAATGTACTGTATATGTTTCAGGAAGACTGAAGCAAATCACCTTGAAATTTTATTTGCAACACGAAAAATCACATACTAGATTCTGTTTTGGTAACTGGTTAAACGTTTCTTTTCAAATATGTGTGTTCCGTATCATCAATTATTGACAGATTTGGTTGGCATGTTTTAAAATGAAGTTTTAATTATAAATAACTCAGTGGCAGCATGGTGTATTTTAAATGACAGTGCATCTTAAAGTCAAAGAGCAATACAAATTTTACCACTTACTTCTATAGTGATATTAGGTAAGTTCATTCAATTTTTTGAATTTGGAGTCCCTCACTTGTAACGATGGAAGAAAACATGTATTTCTGAATTATGAGGCTTTTCAGAAATGAATATAATATTATATGAATATAATCCTTGATTCAAAGAATGTGAGTTTCCTCACCTTCCTTCCTATTACATACCTACCCACCACTATATAGTAATTATCAATTTACAGAGAATTAAAATAAAATAGATTTAAAGCCATGTTTAGCTTAACATGGTCTTCTTTTAGTGATTAAAAACCCAATACTGTAAAATGCTTCATGGCTATTATTGTAGTCATCAATTATTACTGCATTATAAATGAGAGGAAGAATCCTTTTTAAGAACAGGATATTTAGAGTAATAAAGGTGAGAGAGCTAAAAGTTTGCCTTAATAAAACAACCAACCCCGTCTTCACTTTCTTCCTGAAATTCCCCTTAGCATTTCACTAAGAATACTGCATGCAGCGGGAGGGAGAAAGTCCTCCAACACTTCCGATTACTAATTACTCCATTCACAATTTCCATGATTTCAATCAACCTCCAAGTAAAGCTACACCCTCCTCTTAGACTTGAATATAGATTGGTTGGGTTTCTACTGTGCCTCAAGAAATACACTGCTACTAGCAAAAACATTTCACAGCTCAGTGTCAATTGCAAACAGCAGATTGTTTCTGCCTTAGAACGTATAAACTTGCAAAAGGGGGTCCAGAGTCTTACACTTTTGCCCGCCATCTCTTCTTCCTTCATTATCCTGAGGGGCATGCAAAGCTTTAAGTCTCCACCATCTCTGCTGTACACTTTTTTTCAGAATAAAAGTATCCTGATTAACAAAGCATTCTCACGCCTGTAATCCCAGAACTTTGGGAGGCCGAGGCGGGCGGATCACGAGGTCAGGAGATCGAGACCATCCCGGCTAAAACGGTGAAACCCCGTCTCTACTAAAAATACAAAAAATTAGCCGGGCGTGGTGGCGGGCGCCTGTAGTCCCAGCTACTCGGGAGGCTGAGGCAGGAGAATGGCGTGAACCCGGGAGGCGGAGCTTGCAGTGAGCCGAGATCCCGCCACTGCACTCCAGCCTGGGCGACAGAGCGAGACTCCGTCTCAAAAAAAAAAAAAAAAAAAAAACAAAGCATTAACCCTGGACATGCTGACCACTCTCATGGCTGTAGGGGCACTAGATGTAAGGAAACTTCTGGAATATTTAAGGTTTCTATTTTCTCTCACCATTTTAATATACTCGGAAGGAGGGAAAGAGTAAGAATGTAAAATAAACAAACAAAAAAACCTAGAAAACATTAACTGTTCAAAAAGGAAACCATTCAATGCAAAGCTCAGGAAAAAAAGGGGGGAGTATTTAAATGTGGTATTAAAAATGGTTTAGCTTCTTTGGTAATCTGAAAAAAGTATATAGCCGGGTTTACATCAGATCCAGGAAACCCGTGTAGGAATATTTTATCTCTATTTTTCTCTTTGCATTTTATGCCTCTCTCTCTCTTTTTCCTACTATCTCTCTTTTTCAAAAAAAGGTCTCTCTCTCTCTTCCTCTCTCCCTCATTATTCCTCTTTTCTCTCCTTCTTCTCTTTTTTCTTATTTGCCTTTACCTTGAGTGGACACCAGAAAATGACAAAAAGACATGTAGAATCAAGCTGTGAATGTCAAAATATCTGTCATATAAGAAATTCAGTTTTCTCTAGATGACCAGATAAATTTAAAAATTCAAAAAACATTGAAAATATAAGAATAAAATTAATGTTTTCACTCTAAAAATCAAACATCAGTCCATTAAGCAATTTTGGGATAGTCTGAAGTCCCAAACGCTAGAGAAGGATAGGGCATTCAGGTTAACTCAGGTGCATCAATTTAAAGCTAGTAGGTTTTTGCATCTGGTCATCAGATAAGTCTATGGCAAACAATTAAAGATTTCTCCCCCTTGAAAAAAAGGGCAAACAAAACTACAGTAAATAATAATTAATAATGGTTGGTATCCACTTGGGAACAATAATTTGTATATCTGTTTGCCTTAAAGCAGATGTGTCCAATCTTCCGGCTCTCCTGTGCCACTTTGGAAGAAGAAGAATTGTCTTGGGCCACACATAAAATAAGCTAACACTAACAATAACTGATGATCTAAAAATGAAAATCACAAAAAGTCCATAATGTTTTAAGAAAGTTTCAAAATTTGTGTTGGGCCATATTCAAGGCCGTTTTGGGCTTCATGTGGCCCGCGGGCCACGGGTTGGACAAGCTTGCTTTAAAGTGATAACAGTGAATCTAAAGTCTTCTCACTCCAAAAATGGTAACTATGTTAGGTAATACATATGTTAATTAGCTAGATTTAGTCATTCCACAATGTATAAATACTTCGAAATGTCATTTTACATATGATAAATACAATTTAATCTCTCATCTAGTAATAATAATAAAGGTCTATATTTCAACTATAGTTGTACTTTTTTTTGAGAAAGAGAGAGACAGGGTCTTGTTCTGTCGCCCAGGCTGGAGTGCAGTGGCGTGATCACAGCTCATTTTAGCCTTTACCGGCCAGTCTCAAGTGATCCTCCCACCTCAGCCTCCTGATTAGCTGGGACTACAGGTGTGCATCACCATACTCAGCTATTTTTTTAATTTTTTTTTTGTGGAGTCAGGGTCTTATTATTTTGTGCAGGCTGGTCTCAAACTTCTGGCCTCAAGCAATCTCCCCACCTCAGCCTCCCAAAGTACTGGCATTATAGGCATGAGCCAGTGTGCCTGGCCCATAGTTATACTTCTTATGCAAGGGTAAGTAATTAGGAAAAAATAAAACCCACCATAATAAATTAATAAAAAGCAATAGTTAACAGAAAAAATCACACATAAAAAAAATCATGATCGATGTGCCTGTTTTCTTTTTCTTTCCTCTTGAGTATCTACACGTATGCAGTAGGTCCTGGAGAAGGTTCCACTGAGGAAACGTAATTGGCAAATAGACTAAATTGGTCAGTCTTGGTAGCACTGGGTGGCAAGTCCAAATCTCAAAGAGACCATAACATTTTCTTACATAAGGGAAGGGGGAAACGCAAACACCAGTATCTTGGTGCACATATCAAAATGAACACTACTATAAACCTTAAAGAGCACTTTAAAAAAAATATGAAAGTAGCCTGCCATTCCAGCACTTTGGGAGGCTGAGGCAGGCAGATCACCTGAGGTCAGGAGTTCCAGACCAACCCGACCAACATGGAGAAACCCCATCTCTACAAAAAAATACAGAATTAGTTGGGCATGGTGGCAAATGCCTGTAATCCCAGCTACTAGGGAGGCTGAGGCAGGAGAATCACTTGAACTTGGGAGGTGGAGGTTGAGGTGAGCTGAGATCGCACCATTGCACTCCAGCCTGGCAACAAGAGCGAAGCTCCGTCTCAAAAAATAAATAAATAAATAAATAAATAAATATGAAAGTATCTCAGAAGTAAAAAAAAATGGGCTGATGGATAAGAGCCTTAAACTATTTCAGACCCTACAAACACTGCAGAAAAGTGCTATTTATTTCCCAGTAATGTATAGCTATACCAAGCATTTTGGTTCCTATGGTAGAAGGAGAAATGAATGTCATAAAACACAACAGAATATGGTCTAGGTTGCTGAGGAAGTGATTATTTTATTTATTTTCTCTCATTGTCGTAGTCATCTTGCATTTTCATTATTCCCACTATCTCTAAAACACGCAAAGGCAAAGCCAGAAAATTTTGTACATCAGCTTTTATAGGTTTGGATAGCAGGTAACTTGAAGGTGACTGAGGTTCCCAAATTATTTGTTAAATGTATCCATTTTCTCACTGTTCCTCAAAAATAAATGAGAGATGGCAGCACTCAGTGGATTTAAAAATAAAGCAATCATTGTGTTGTTATCCTGGGTGGGTATATATTTTATTTTCTAAAAAGTTAATCAGTTAAACAGAAAAGAAACTTTTTAAGTGGTGAAAGAAAAGTGGGTAGAAACTGGTCTTGGTAGTGAGTCACTGCTAAGGTGGCAATCTGGTCCCTAAAATATGGTAGAAATGAATATTCAGGGTTGGGGGAGTGAGGGAAAGGATAGCAAAAACAAAGGTAATTCAAAGGGTAGAATAAATTCTTGTAAAACAAACATTTTTTCCTACAACGGTATGCAGGAGTTCCTACAAAAATACTGGTTTCCTTTAACTAACACAGCCATGTGAAAAAGAACCAGGTCATTTTTCTAAACTTAGAATTATCACTGTGATACAAGAAGCTGTGTATTTGCAAACTCAGTATCAAGCCAATTATGTGGTACTTAAATTTCTTTTCAATCAGGCTACAGTAAATCCACCCTTGGGAAATATAAGTAACTAAAATATAAGTGTGCTTCAAGCTATAAACACAGCTAAAGAAAAAAAAAAAAGTGAAGAGATCTGCTTCCGAGAGGCATCATTTAAATGACAACAGGGTGAAATTCTGTAATTCCAATGACCTTTAGGACTAAGAATAAAATGAAACAGTATTCTTCATACATTTTCCAAATGTTTGGACTAAATTACATAGAAATGAAGAGTGTTCAGGATGACCAGCCATGGGCAACTGGGACAGGACACAATGTCACAAGTATATCTGAGCACGGAGTTATTAAAGCAAGGATATTCAAATAAAATGAGGCCACTGGGGCTGGTAACAAACTGAATTCTTACCAAAAGGTGAAAGAACCATCACATAGAATTAATAATAGTGTATGTCCTTGCAAAAATACGACAGAATTTAAAAAAAGGAAAAGAAACCTAGCCAACTATAACCAAAATACATTAAATGTGGACATTCTCTTTACCTGAAGTAATTCCCGTCCTGCATAATTTGTTCCCAACCTACCTTTCCAGCTTGGCTTCTAAATGCCTTTGCACTATCTTTTGAGTTGCCCTGAACTATTTCATTCCCAAATAAGAGATGCGTTTCTTCCTAGGAAGGAGCAATGATTAAGTCTTCCCCAATATCTCCTGATAGGATTGGTAACTTTCTCTGCTCTCACGGAATTCTATTTGGTAATTATTTCCTCTTCCTTCTCTCAAACTTTACTGTATTCCTCTTAAAATAAGAAATTCCTCTTACTAACCCTGGATTCTACAATCTAAAATGGTCAAACGCATGATCTTTAGAATAAAGTGAAATCATTGTTAACATTGTTATTAGAAAGAATTTAAGTAGCTAATAGGAGTATACCCTGTGTGTGTCCATGATGCATAGTGTTCCTTCATAAAAATCAAGAAACTGGAATTGACTGGGATCTGCTGCTATTGTTTGTTAATTGTTTGGTTGGTTGGCTTGGTTTATAAATAAGGATGCAATGACAAAAAGTGATGAAATGACCCCTTTACTGTCATCAAACAAGTCACAGAGTAAAACAGAACTTGAATCTCTCAATTACTAGGAAACCACAGTGTTTTTTACTATTTATTTATTTTGCATTGTATAATTCACTCCCAATCATTGGATAGATGATTTCCATTCTCTACCAATTTTGTAAAATATAATGGAAAAGGAATCAGAGGATCTTACTTCTAGTAGCAGAGCACAGTCCTAAAGAAAGGCAATTATAGTATGGAAAAATAAAAAAGAGCACTGTTTCTGGAGTCAAGGCAGCCTGGCTCTATCAGGCAAGCCAGGCTATCATGAGCACTTGGGCCACCTCCCTGGATCTTCATTTCCTAAACTATCAAACAGGTAGAAGAGTCTCCAGCCCCTACCCCTGTACAATGGTTCCTGCGAAGTTCCTGATAATGTGTGTGAAATCCAGCCCTGCACCTGGCACACAGTCAACTGTTGACTTTGAAATAAAATCTTTCTCAAAGATCCGTGTGTGTGCCTGCATTTTGGGGTGGCAGTGTACTCTCTTTTTCATGTGATTTGTCCAGCAAATAATTTTGATATGGTAATATTTTTTAAATTCACTATATTCTATATGGTGCTATTTTTATTACCTCCTCAACTTGGGATCACAGGTTCCAAAATTTATGTCTACTCCAAAGGCAGCTTTTAACAGTTCAGCTTCCTGACACACTGCCAATGAGGCACAGCAAAAGAGACGTGTATTGAGCTGAAGTTTCCATTTCGAAGTCTTACAAACAGAACTTCTTCGAGTTTATTAGTGAAAATATTTAATACTATAATAAGCAAAAAAAGGAATATTGGGTTTGAATTTTGTATTACAATCATTTTCCTCCTGAAGAAAATGTTTCAGTGCTGTGAGGGGGCAGGATAAGCGTGTAAGGATATACCTTACCTACAAAGCATAGAAACCTATCACAGAGTGGTTCTTCAACAGTTTGCAAAATGATTACCTGTGATCCCTTAGATCTTAATCTTTTTTCTTAGTAATTTATATTCTAATAGACCCCAACTGGAGCATATTTCGTAAAAATAATATGGATGTCAGGAATCCAGAAACTCGTTGAAGTCACAAGCATGCTAAGTATAGCTGTGTGACTTCGAGTAATACAATTAAATACTTTGATCCTAACTTGTCTTACCCAACAAAGGTAGTTACAACAGCTCTGACTACCCCATGGTTTGGGTGTGAGACTGACATTGAATATGTACAATGCAAACTGCTTTTTTAAGCAAAGGGAGCTTTATTATTATTACTATAACTAGCACATTATAATTATAGAATCGCTATTATAATTATCCAAGCTTTAATTCCTTAAAGGGAAATAAAGCTTTCTTAAAAAATCATTTGCTTTTATCATCACCTAAGATGAAAATGTTGCTCCCCCATTCCTGAGGGGATAAGGGGATCACAGTACTGCTACCAGAAAAATCATGATCGGAAGTCAGAATCGTATGACTTCACGGCCAGTTCACTGCGTGTGAAAACACATTGCATGGCGCTAAGTTCTTATGCTTTTATGGTTTCTTTTTTATATTTGAGGATTCTCTTAAAAGGCCCACATGGAAGGACTCAGAACAAAATAAATGTCTTACTAATATGATACGCATGTAGATTGCTTTAGGGTTTTCAGAACATTTCTGCTTTGTTCCTCACATCAACCTGTGTTTCCGTTGAGATGGGAACCTGAGCACAGGGAGAGCCTCATGAAAGACCAACAAATCTGTCAGCATCCACAGATGCCTTGTAAAAGGCAATACTTTCATGTGCAGAGAGGTTGGTTGATCCCTCAAGATGCGCAATGATTTCTTTCTTCCCCCACTAGCCCAGAGCCAGTTGCTCTTTTCGTTTTTGTCAACAACATGTCCTTTTTGTTCCTCTCCCTCCAACTAGGAAGTGGCATCACTGTCAGACACAATACACCTCTTCATAAGGAAGGCAAATGAGTACGTGCCAGATGGGCTGAGGGGATTACAACATGTTTCCTGCTCCCACGGTGACGCAATGTGGCTGGTATGAGAACTTATCTTATTCAAGAAGTTAGCTTCCCCTGGCAGAATTATGAGTCACAGTTCCTGGATAGAAAGCTCTCTTACCAACAGCACTTGAGGTGGGGGCTGGGGACTCCTTGGATGGATTACAGTAAAGGTCATTCAGAAAAGTAACATGGTCAGGACTGCTGGGAAGGCACCAGCACTCATTAGCTTCTGGAACCTCCATGATCCTTCAGCAATGGTAACACAGTCACCTGTCCCTCTTCCTTCAGGATGAGGGAGGACATAAAACCACATGATGAATTACTGGCATGAACCCAAACACGTTCCATTATAAAACTGGACAGTCTGGGGGCAGGGGAAAGGATGTAAAGGGACATGTATTCAACCATTTAACACCTATGTATTGAGCATCTGCTATGTGTCTATGTGTCAGTATTATTCTGAGTGTTTGGATAACAAACAAAAGTTCCTGAACAAGTTCCTGCCCTCAGGCAGCTTAAAATCCAAGACAGAGGGAGGGAAGGAGGAAGAAAAAGAGATGGAGAGAAAGGAAAGAAGGGAGGCAGAAAAGGAGGAAGGACAGGGAGTTCAGGAAGAAAAAAAGGAAGGAAAAGGAGGAGGAAACAAGAGAAGAGGAAGAGGGAGGAGGAGGAGAGAAGAGAAAGAAGGCTAATATAATATCAGGGAATGTGAGTGTTACAAAGAAAACTAAAACAGGATGGAGGGAGAGAGAGTGACTGGTAGGGATTTTTAGTTAAGATGGTCAAGGAAGCCTCTGTGAGCAGATAGCATTCAAACATAGAACTAAATCAAATAAGAACAAACTAAAATCAAGAATTATATTTAACATATTTGAAAATCAGGACATCAAGAAACTCACCTATCAAACGCGACACCTAACCAAGCAGGACAGATGCTGGACTAAACAGCCAAGGAGCTGTCTCCTAGCGCATCCCAGCCGAATAACATCTCCGGTTATCTACAGCCATTCCTCTGTGAAGCCCCAAAGGGCCAACAAGGCTAGAAGTTACTGCTAGTTTCAGCACTGAGCTGTACTCTGTCCTACTTATACCACTCCTTTAGTACTATTTTTGGTTTCTAATACAATGTTTTATGTGGCATAGAAAAGCTGAAACGCACCCAGAAAAGATGATCAGGATGGTAGGAGAGCTCAAATCCATGTCATATGAAAAACAGTTGAAGGCATATATTGCAGAACACTGAGGTCATGGTTATATGGTAGCTAACTTAACATTGCAGAAGCCCTCTCACAAAGAAAAGGAATTAAAGCAACGATATGTAAAGTATGGTTTATGGTGTTCAGGGGAATTTTACATGAAAAGCTTTATAAAATGAGGACCTCTAGGTTCCCTTCATTACAATTAGAGAACCATTGCATTAGGTTTTGGTTGTTTTGTTTGTTTGTTTGTTTGTTTCTTTTTTTTTTTTCAGTCCTACAGTTGAACCAAGTAAATGTTTGGAAAGAGACAAATTTCAGTTTTAGATACTAAAATCAAAGAGACAAATTTCAGTTTTATGTACTAAAAACTTTCTAAGAATTTGATTAGTCCAAAAACATAGGCTGAAATGTAATGATTAATAGTCAGAGATAGAGAGTGATTCTGGGCATAATTCTGGGAAGAAGAGGAGATCTGAAAAGATGGACTTTCAAATAGCAAGTCTCTTCCATATCTAATTTCACGTGATCCAGGCCCATGATGACTGAGTTTGGTTTTCAAACTCTATAAAGGTCTTAGCTGGTTCCTCTTATAAAGCAACATCCAGAGAAAGAATGAGTCTAAAGACAGATCCTTTCTTTTTCCTATATAGAAACAATATGACAAAAACTCATTATTTTATTTAACATCTCAATGGATTATTACCACTGATAACTTTTCCACCACTGGCTCAAATTTGAAAAACAGATTGTGCTATTATCACTCCCATTTTTCCCCCATAGGACCTGAGGTAAGGGAAAAAAGCAATATTCTAGTTGGCTGAGTGTGAAGGTAATGAAAAATACCTGTGTTTAAACACAGCGGCCCACTGCCCCCTGTGTACTCTATCCCATGAAGACTAGAGACAGCAATGGTTCTTTCCATCATCAAAATTCTATTATTCTGCTTTATGATTATTTGCTACCGCAGAAGACAATGGACATGAATAACATTATGTTTATTTAAATTCATTTTCAGGAAGAGTGGACTCATTACCCTACGCATGACTTGCATTTTAATACATTGTCAAAAGCCATTCACTTACCTGAGGCATCACTTTGCAGGATTCCATAAAAGTAGAGACTCACTACACACCACAGAAGTGTCATCCTGTAACCATAAATACAAAGGTAAGGGAAATCACTTACTACTTTCAAGGGCTTAAATAATAATAACTAGCATTCATGCCTGCTGACTATAGACTAGGGACTGTTCTAAGAATTTTACAATATTAACAAATTTCATTGTCAGAACCAACCAATAAGACAGGTTTTATTTTGTTTCTGTTTTTTTGTTGTTTGTTTTTCAATTCCCATATTACATGCAGATAAAGAAGTTTAATACACAGGTTTAAATAACATAACTAAGATCCTTTGGCTAGAGACAAGTTTCAATAACATCACCACGATCCTTTGGCTAGAGAGTGGTAGAGCTATGATCAAACTCCAGCTTTCTGGCTCCACAACTCTCTTTTTCACTGAACTATAACTGCCTACTTAAAAAATATTCATCTGGATTTTTTGACCAGGATTTACATTTCTGGCAGATAAATTCAACCTTCTTACCCCTCTTTGCATTCCCTTGGTCTATTTCTAGTTGGAATACTTTACAATCCAGGTACTTTTCCCTTTTAGTGACACATAGACACATAGAAAGTCTAGAAATCCTGGATTCAGACTTTGTCTGCAATCTACCATACTGTGAATTTATATTAAGGAAAATATATAAATCTAATTCCTGCTGTTCGTGCTCTCCTCTTCTCACTGGAAGACAGAAATGATGAGGGAGGAGTCAACTTTCTATGATCTTTCGCCTTCCTATTAATAACCAGCTGAAACAGCCAACTGCTGTGAACCATACCCTTACATTTGGTTGCATGATATTTAATGCTGAAGATGTGGAGATTTGACAGCTCTGTGAAGTATTTCTTTTTCTACTACCCAAGAAATATCTGGCCACTGGTAAAACCTCTGTGGGTTATAAATACTGAAACCTGAAGATGATGCAGAAATTCCATGCTCAAGAACTCTGCTTTCTGTGTCGAAGGTAACAGCCATATAAGAATGCTTGCAGAGGTCTTGATAACTTGTCCAGCTCATATTTCCAGTAAGTGACAAAGATGCTATTTATATCCACATTAGGCTAACTACAAAGATTATTATCTCAAATAGCCTATGCCACAAGTTTCACAACCACAGGTATGCAGCAGCTTAAACAGATCAAAGAGGTATTTGATAAATAAGATGACCATATAACATCATTTAAAATGGGCCAATTTTAAGAGCATTAAATTATAACAAAAGATATAAACTACACAAGGAATCCAAGAGGTGTGGCCACCCTAAAGGACTATGCAAGTTTCCAACTCCCGTCACCTCTCTTGACCACACCTCTCCAAAAATCTCTGGTTCATGCTTCCTTTTTTAGCCTGGTTGTACACAAATCACAGGTGAGCTCGTCATATCACAAGCTGTTGTTTCATCTGATAAATTAAATGATGTTTTCTTCCCAGCACCTCTTCCTTCCAGCTCTTATATTATGACCTTGGGGAAATCTTTTTCTCTCCATCAGTCTTTCATTTATTCAATAAAACATGTATTGAGCATTTTCTCCTTCTTTTCCAAATTTTTTAGTTTGTGTGTGTGTGTGGTTATGTAGCAGATGTGTGTGTGTGTGTGTGTGTGTGTGTGTGTGTGTGTGTGTGGACGAGATATGTTTTGATACAGGCAAGCAATGTGAAATAAGCACATCATGGAAAATGGAATATCCGTCCCCTCAAGGATTTATCCTTTGAGTTTCCAAGTTGCTATGATACAGCTACGAAGCCTCTCATGGGCAAAATGTAGGGTCTTCTCTAAAGGCACTTTTCCACAGTAAAGATGAACCCCCAGCAAGACACTTTAGTATCATCAACTATGTATAGAACACACATCTAGAGACACTTAAGAGATAAAAAGAGTTACCAGACAGAAATTCTAGCACTAGGCAGGGTCTAACAGAAACTTAAAATGTGCACCAAAAAAAAAACCCCCTGCAATATGAAGTAAAAAGTGATAAAAATAGAGAGGAACAGATAAGTGTTATTGAAGATTAGCAAAGGAAAGAGGTCACTCCAGCCAAGACAATAAAAGAAGACGAAACACAAGAGGTGACATTTGAACTGGTATGGATATTTAGACTTGAGACAGAAGGAACATGTGAGAAAAAGAAACTTTCAGTGGAGAATAATGCTCAAAGGTAGTGAAAGCATAGAACACAAATGGAAAATAGTATATAAAGAACTGAGTTTTGCTCAAGCACAAGGTTTTAGAAAAAGAACTACAGAAGATTTTGTTGGAAAGCAGACAGTGGTAGAATCATAATATGGCAAAGCCTTAAATAACAGGCCAAAGGCTTGGGATTTAAAGAGCAAATAGGGAGTCACCAAAGTTTTCTGAGTAGGGGAGCAACATGACCCTCAAATTGTACTTTATAGAGCACTGCCAGGCGCGTATTAGATAGATGGCTGCTAAATTCTGTCTTGAAGTCATTTTGGCTCCTGAATCTGTTATCACAATAATTGCTATCTTCCTAGCTTTGTGACATCTACAGACTTGATCAGCATGCAACCTATATCTTCATCCAAGTCATTAATAAATGTAATTAATAATTCTGCATTAAACTTGCCAGCAAAGAGCAACTAGAGATTTCACTGCATTCAGGGAACCGTAATTTCAGCCCCACTTCTCAGCTATGCTAAAGCAATACGCCCTCCCAAATTGCTGTCAGCTATTTAAAAACCCCCACATACCTCTAGATTTTCCCAGTTTGCCTGTTTATAAGCTGCTGAATTCCTAAGGCAACATTTATAAGACATTCTAATTAGTGTGATTGAGGGCCTTAATTGATATTCCCAAGAGTAACTGGATTATGCTGAAGGCAGCAAAGAGTCAGGTCACCAAGGCAAAGCTAATCTAAAGATAACCTGTCTGCGAACACACATCCAGGGCCAGTCCTGCCCTGTGATGAATTAGAATAAAGCAGACTGAAAAGGAAACGTGATTGAACAGGCTGGTTTTGACAGATTAAAGGTACCAATGTTATTGGGAGGCGCCTGGCTGATCTGAAACCTCTCAGAGAATGCTGGGTCATTTAGCATTGTCTTGTATTCAGCCTTAGAATTTTATTATCGTAAAGAGTAATACACTTTTGGTTGTTGCGTCTTAGAGTGAGAGGGTGCTGGGTCAGAGATGGAGGAACTGTCAGAAAGCAAAGGGACGTGGGTAATAAACACAGATTCTCAGTGTCTAAATTAGAGCTTAGCTTTAGATTATTGCAATGGGGCCTAACAGACCCTGCTGTTGCTTCAGATGATTCTAACCTACATATAATATCTTCCCAGCCTTTCCTGCATTATCCGTGTAATTTACTGCATGATAATCCTCATGCTCCCTCCCTTATCTTTTGGTACATCTCTCATATTTAATCCTATTGTTTCCCAGTATATCAACTTTAATGACTATATCATTTAGCAAGAAGATTTAAAATGTACTTAGTTCTCTGTAATCGACGACAATGTTAAAGATGGGTCTTCACGTGCTCAGCACCTTAACATCTACTTCCGCATATGAAACTTTTTATCGTCTGCATTCTCTAGACTTGGTAATCATTAGCATCTCCTTATCTGCATCACTCTGACCACTGAATTCTCTCACCTAGCCCGCAGGTGACAGGCTGAAACTAGGTTTGCTGTGCCAAGGGTGGGATTTGCCATGAATCACCATTTGTTCTGCCTGCCTTCCGCTCAGCAGCACTTCACCAGATCACAGGACTGGATTTGTCCCTCAGTTTCCTGATCCCATATATAGCTCTATACTCAGAAAACACCCACTTAGGCCTTCAGCCTGGTGCTCGTCAGCACCCTCTTCCAGGAGCCTACCTTATGTCCCTGTAAAGACTTGCAGTCAGCTAGATAAACCTCCTATAACCATGAAACTGCTAAACCTGCTTCATTCTGCCATGGTTGACTGACACCCTTTTCTATGACCTGCCCACTGAAAACTACGACCATTCGCACTTTTGAAAACTTGGCCATTCACGCCAAGGAATACACCCCAGAAGGCCATCCCCATAAAAGGTCAACCCTGTAGTCAAATCACTTCCTTGAGTCCCAATCCTGCCCTAATCCCATTCAGATCTTTCCTTTTATTTTCTCTAAGTTACTGCAAAAAGTCTGAGTAGGTCTGGCATTTCTGTGGTTACCTAAGATACAATGAACAAGCCTTTGAAGAAAACAGGAAAAGCTACTAATTATTCCATTCTACACAAAAGGGATAGCATTTAGTAAGACATGAGAGTTATTTTCATCATCAGTCTTTTGTGGAGTTTACAGGGCTTTTTTTGAAAATAGGATCCTTGTGCAGAATATTTCAAATCTAATATTTATCAGCAAATGAAAGTTTTGGCAAAGTGACATGGAAGACTCTGATTTGGGGTAAAATGAAGTAAATATTCTTCATCCTGTCTTTGCAGTTATAAAACGCGGGCATATTTGATGGAACAACTGTTTGAGGATTCTAAAAGTAAAAAATAAGGCATTCTTTTCAATAGGACATTCACCAGATACACCGTATCATGTATCATAAATCAAATTTTAACAAATTTAAAAGAATTCAAAGTATGTTCTCTCCCCATAGAATTAAACTAGAAATCAATAACAGAAAGATAATAGGAAAATCTCCAAACACTTCAAAATTAAAATACATGCCTTAAAATAAAGTATATATGGGTTGAAAAGAAAGTTGTAAGGGAAATTAGAAAATATTTCTAACTTGACAAAAATAAAATAAAACATACCAAGTGTGTGGGATGCAGCTAATGTAGTGATTAGAGGATAATTTGTAGCACTAAAGGCTTATCTTAGAAAAGAAGAAAGATAGCAAGCCCATAATCTAATCTTCCACTTTAAGAAACTACAGAAAGAAGAATAAATGAAACAAGCATAATAAAGGAAATTTTATAGAGTAGAAATCAAATAATTTCAAAACAGGAAATATATACATATAGAAAAATAAAGAAACCAAAAGTTAGTTCTTTGAAAAGAACAATAAAACATAAACCTCAAGCCAGGTGATACGTTAAGTAAGGAAAAAAGGTACTATCACTAAAAATAGAAATGAATGATGGGACATGACTAGTGATCACGGAGATATTCAAATGGTAATAAGGCAATATTACAAACTCCAGGCTCATACATTCCACAACTTAGATAAAATGGACTAACATCTCAAAAACTACAAACTACTAAAGCTCAGCTAAGATGAAACAGACGACCTGAATAGTCCAATAACTATTAAAGGAATAGAAATATATTCATCTCCAGAGTCACCAGAAAGGAACACAATACTGCTGACACCATCATTTCAGCCTTACGAAACCCTAAGCAGGGAACCAGCTAAGCCACATTGTTCTTGGCCTTCTGACCCACAGAAACTGTGCAACAATAAATGGGTGCTTTTTAAGCAACTAAGTTTTTGGTAATTTGTTAAAATGGTACTAGAAAATAATAGAAGAGACATACCATATTCATGAACTGAGAAACTCAACATAGAGAAGTCAATTTTCTCCAAGATGGCCTAAAGATTTAGTTAATTCCAATCAAAATCCCAGAAAGATTTTTTCTAGCTATAGAGAAACTGATTCTGATATTTATATGAAAATAGAAAGCCCTAAGACATTGAGAAAAATTTTGAAAAAGAAGAATAAAGTTGGAGGAATCATACAAGAAACAACTCAATTTTAAAATGTTTAAGTCATAAAGAAACACTTTACCAAAACGATATGCAAAAGTCAAATAAACACATGAAGAGTCATTCAATGTCATTAGCCATCAGGGAAATGCAAATTAAAACCACAAGGAGATACCACAATACACCTTTCAGAATGACTAAAATTAAAAAATAAATACTGACAATACCAAGTGATGAAGAGGATGCAAAGCAATTGGAACTCTCATACTGGTGGAATATGAAATGTCCATATACCCTCTCTGGAAAACAGCAGTTTCTTAATAAAGTTAAACATAAACTTGCCATACAACCCAGTAATCTCACTCTTGGATATTTGTCCAAGGGAAATGAAAACTTACTTTCATACAAAAAGCTATACCTGCATGTTTGTAGAAGCCCTATTATTAATTGCCTAAAGCTGGAAACAATTCAATTGTCATTCTACAAGTGAATGGATCAACAAATTCTGTGGCATCCAAAAAAATAGAATAATACTCAGCAATACTAAGCAATGAGCATTATATATGTTGATATAATAACTTGGATGAATCTCAAAGGCATTGTGCTGAATTAAATAAACCAACCTTAATAGGATGCCTATTGTATGATTCCATTTAAATAACACTCTCAAAAAGACAGAACTGGAGTGACCGAGAACAGATCAAGGGGTTAGGGATAATGGGAGAGTATGACTGCAAAAGAAGGGCACATGAGAGTTGTTTGGAGAAACAGAACAGTTTTGTATCCTGTTTGTCACAGTGGTTACTTGATTCGATACATGAGTTAATATTCAAAGAGCTGTACTCCCAAAAAAGTTAATGTTACAGTGCATTAATTAGAAATATATTTTAAGTGGTATGATTTTTCTTTTTAAAAACTCAACAAATGATTTATGGAGCCTTTTTGACAGTTTAAAGAAAGGTGTTTTAACCTAAATATGGTTTCTATTTTCAACATTTACTTTGAAAATAACACAGCCTTGTCATTAAGCACTGAATATTCCAGAAATGCCTAGCAGTGGAGGTACATGGAGAGATCAATGAAATGCCCCAACTTTCAGCTTACCAAGCCAGTACTGCTAACCTTTACTGATATAACAGCAGAGTCAAAGTTCATAAGAAAACATTAGCACACTCCTCTTAGATACTGCCTTCTCCCTTTTTAGGAAATAGCTTCAAAGTGCTCAGCACTCTGAGAGGACATATATACATAATATACCACCTGCCATCTTTAGAAGCTTGGAATAGAATGTGAGCAGATTGATTCCCTTTTGTGCTTTAATATTTTGAATAGCAACATGCTCTGTGGGGTGAGGTAAGAAATACCATCATGAAGTCCTGTCCCTCACAAGGGAGAACTAGAACTGGGTTTTCAGTGAGTGGAAGGTGAAAGAGCAATTTAAAAAGAGCACTGAACTTGCAGTTCCTAGTTTGTTTGACTGTGTGATACTGGAGAGCCTGAGAGAAGAGGTGAGGAATATTCATACTGACCTCTTAGGAAGATCTGTAACTAGCTCACTGTCTTGATGGTTAATTCAAGACTGATGTGCTAGGGGTTCATGGATCCTTCTAAACAAGGTAAGGAATTGTTCCATTGTACCCTCTCTCCAGAGGACAATTTGATGATTAAGTATTTCTCTACTTAGGGACACTGAGGCTGGGGAATGATAGAAACTAATACAACTACCTCACCATTTGTTGAGAGGAAAGTCTTAACAATTGCTGTAAAGTGCTTAGCACCATCCAGGAACACAAATTGCTCTCAGCAAATGCTGTTTATCATCAACTCTTATTAAGTGAGATAATAGATGTGAAATAATTGAGGAACTATGGAGTAGTAGACAATGTGAGCTACCACTAATATTATTTACAAAAAAGAGCCCAAATTACGTGGTTCAAGTTGACCATTGAGTATTTGGCAAAACTTGCCATGCCCTACACTTTGTGTGTACTAGGTCCAAGTTTAGTGCTCTATTGTCAAAATATTTCAAAGAAGATAGTTTTAGTTGTCAAGTCTGGCCTTGACAAATTACAGAAAAGCCAAGATTACTGTGATAGCCTCTATGATGAAATTGGAAATTGGAAAATCGTGGCTCAGGAGGTTTCCCTTCTCTAGGCCTCATATCCTCATTTTTAAAATAGCAGTAAAAATCCCTGTGCTGACTATCTGATAGGGTAGATGGAGAGGATCAAAGGATGTGACATGTGAAAACATACATATGTGTGTGTGTGTGTATACATACATATATATATATAAAAAATGCTATATATTATGACAATTAGTGTTTATTATGAAATAAGCTAAAGTTTTTGCTTGGTTTTGTTTAAATTTGAAAGAAACTGAAGGGGTAGAGAACTTAAAGTCGATAAGGAAATGTTTTATAAATTGCTTAATTTAAATCAGAAAATGAATTACCTTTGAGATATTAAAGGGAGGGGCAAGAGTGAGGCTTCTAGGGCCTGCTGATGTTCTAGTTCTTAGGTGATGATCACATGACGATGCCTATGTAAACAAAATGAAAAAGTTGAACACAATATTTATGTACTGTCAATATGTTGTGCTTCTGTAAAAAATGTGGAAAAACTTTTTCGTTGGTTAAAGCGTATTTAAGACAACAGGAAGAGGTTACAGAAAGATACAGAACTAACTATAGAAGATAGATAGATAGATAGATAGATAGATAGATAGATAGATAGATAGATAGACAGATCTCTATCTATCTATATATATAATTTTAAACCGAGGAAGCAAATTAAATCCAACACAGAATGTGACAGGGAACTTCAAGGCTGGAAGGAGGAGTAATTTATGATGAGATGGTCAAACACTACTTTTAATTCACTCAGCAAATATGTATCATGCTCTGGACAGTCTGGAGGAAGAGGGAGAGAAACTATCCCCTTCCTCATGAAGCTTGCAATTTTTGGAGGTATTCAAACCACATACTTTTAATTATAACAATGAAAAAACATTAGACAAACCCATAGGGGAACATTCTACAAAACAACTGCTGTGTAAATTTCAAAAGTATCAAGGTAGGAAGTTAATGCAAAATGGAAAGGCTGTTCCAGGCTGAAGGAAGCAAGGCAAGAGAACTAAATGCAATGCCTGATCGTGAAATGAATCTTTTGGCTATAAAAACATGTTTGGGATTATGGATCAGGAAAAAAATGCTCTTTCTGCTGTACTGTAACTTTTTCTGTATGTTTGAGATTATATGTTTCTCTTCTCATCCAAACCTCCCCCCACACAGTATAGAGAACAGTGCTGCAGCAGAGGCATTTCAAAGCACCTGAGAGTAGGGAGTAGAGAAGGAAGCGGAGTAGAGAGGAGGGAGGAAGGAGCACATCACTTGGGCAATGTGACGCCATTTGAAGTTCAAGTAGGGAATTAGGTGAAATTATCACCACCACAGGCCCAAAACAGACATATCACCTGTGGACTAAGATCCAGTCACCTCCAGGTTAGGAAATTAATTACTTTTCCCAGCATAGAAAAGTTTCTTAGCCATCTGAGGTTTTCTCCCCTTAAATTTCACTTAACGACATTGCCACTAATAACCTCTCTAATTCAAAAGGATGGTCTGAAGATCACGATCCTGTCTATGAGACTCTCGAGAGAAAGGCATTTTCTACAAGCTGTTAGAAAGGACAGAAGTAACAAAATTGTGGCTGAGTTTTCATAGATTTCTCTACAAAACCTGTAATTCCCTAGCTTCTGAATCTACAGCATCAAATTTGATTCAAATCAATGTATTTATTAAGCCCCTACTTTATACACTTTAATAGAAGTTGTGCAATATATAGAAATAAACACACTGTTCATTTATTTAATCAGGGATCTCACAGGTAGGGAGCAAAGTTAGAGACACACACACACACACACACACACACACACACACACTAAACAACAAGAAAGCAAATGGCCAAAAAGGATACAATTCCTCCAAAATCCGAGATGAAAATTATCATGTCCTGTGCTGAGCAATCTGCAAAAGGACTGCATGGCCAAAAAATAAATTTGAAAAGTAACATATCACGTATCTCTTGGAGATTCACAATACACACTGGCATTTTAAAGGTTTGGAGTAATCTGCCCAGTGAATACTGTGGTCCGCTTGGCTTAACACAACATTAAGCAAAGTTATTTTGAGACAGCCAAATATAAAGGGTCCCCAGGAGAACCTCCGGCTGGTCTGCACACTGGTTGAACGGGGTGGAGCCATGAAAGTTTGCACCATTTGCAGGGGGGAGGAGCCTGCCTCTCCTGTTCCTGGGTAGTAACCAGGGTTTCAATCTGTGAGGCGGGAAGCCTGCTAGCAGGACTCTCTCACTTTGCTGAGAGCCCGTTTCCTTTTTTTTTCCTTTTTGCCCAATAAATTCCATTTTTCTCACCCTTCTGTGTGTCTGTGAGCCTAATCTTTCCTGGTTGTGTAACAAGAATCCTAAGGAGAAAGTCCTACAACATCTTTGGTGCCCAGAACATGGGGTTTGAGAAAGGGTGAGTGAGATGCAAAACAAGAAATCTCTTTCCCTCTCATTTCTTTTTTTTTTTTTTTTTTTTTTTTTTTTGAGACGGAGTCTCGCTCTGTCGCCCAGGCTGGAGTGCAGTGGCGGGATCTCGGCTCACTGCAAGCTCCGCCTCCCGGGTTCACGCCATTCTCCTGCCTCAGCCTCCCGAGTAGCTGGGACTACAGGCGCCCGCCACTACGCCCGGCTAATTTTTTGTATTTTTAGTAGAGGCGGGGTTTCACCGTTTTTAGCCGGGATGGTCTCGATCTCCTGACCTCGTGATCCGCCCGCCTCGGCCTCCCAAAGTGCTGGGATTACAGGCGTGAGCCACCGCGCCCGGCCTTTCCCTCTCATTTCTAAACCTTCTCAACCTCAGACTTCTGAGGCTAGAGGAAACTGTGCCCCCACCACTGTCACGCTCAGGGGTCAGAAAAGACGGCCTCAGTCCAACCCAGCCTTTCCTTGGCCTTTTCCTTCTTTTTTCCGGATGGACGGGCAAACGGCAGCTCCCCGTTCCCCGTCCCATCCCGGCTGGGGCTGGGGAATGCTATGCATCCATGGCCTCTTCACCTCCCTTGGCCAAGGGGTTCAACCCCATTGGAGAGCAATTAAGTTTCTCTCCCCGGTGGAGGAACGCATTTGCATAAGAATAAGAGGTTCTTCCCAGGCATTAAAAAAAATTTTTTTCTTTCCTTTTCTCCATCAGGTCAGGAGTTGACTTTTAAGCGTGGTGGTTGTTTATTTATTTTTTGTTTGTGTTTTCCTTTTAGAAGACATTTTACTAGGCTAGGAATGATAAGGATCAATGTTTATATTCTCTGTAAAGTTTTAATTATGAAAAAGGATTTGTGAGGCTGGTCTTAAGTTGTAGCCAGTCTGGTGTGCTTTGCAGTCTTTCTGTATGGTCTGTAAAATACTTCCTTGCGGGCCTCCATCTTGTTGTACGTCCTCGGGGGCGTGGCATGTAACCACATGGCAAGGCTTTGTTTAGCTTACCTATGGCCGGGATTCAATCCTGGCTTAGGAAATGAGTTCTTCAGGGTTTGATATCTGTATGACTTTTTTGCTTTTGCTATTTGTTGATTCCCTTCCCCTCCACAAACTGCATTGGATTTTCCTTGCTCTGAGCCTTTAGTAAAATCTGAAAGCCAGAAATATTGGCCACTTGTCGAGTATTAAGGGAGTTAAAAGGATTTTCTTAAGGACCGCTCAGCTTAATTAAAAGTGGATATCCAAGTTATAGTTATATTTAAAAGGCCTTTATGTTTTCCTTTTCTTGGACCTTGTTTTTCTGGAAAAAGTGCTTTTTTCTTTTTTTCAGTCAACCAAATTATTTTTCTCCATTTTGCCTCACCACTTTTAATGCATGCATGAGAGGGGAAAGACCTCTGTTTTTCTCATGGAACCCCCAAAATTAAAGCACTCAGAGGCTAATAATCCAAATATGAGATTGCCAAATGAAGGATCTTGTGGGGACTGGGTGTAGTTGTATATGTGTTTTGTGTGTGATGTCTATAAAAAAAGCTCTAATTAATTGTCCTAAAGGAAGATAAGCACTTGGATCAAATGTTTTTAAAAGGGAAGACAAAAGCTGTGGTACCTTTCAGTTCACGTGACTTTAATCTTTGAGAAAAATGTAAATTCTTGCCCAGGATTAAAGAATTATTTTAAATTAGATAAGAAAGCTAAAACTTCAAACAAGCAGTAGAAGGAGTGTAAAAATTAATCTTGCAAAAATTCCCTGTGTGAACATATTGACTAAATTCAAAAAGGTATTATATGGTTTTTCTGTAAATTGAGGATTGAAATCAAAGCACAACAAGGGACTGTTAAGGCACTAATTTATTCTTTAGCAAAATTTGTAAAGGGCTATAAAAGGATTTTTGCTTGTTAAGTTCCTGAGTCATCATTTTTGTAAAATAATTTATCATAATCTGGAATTCTATTTCAGAACATCAAATGTTTTAAACTTCTTACATACTTATCAGGCTTCCCAAAATCAAACTTTAGTTACAAAATTGTCTTTCCTGACACCTGGCTTTTTGGATACTTCAAAGGGCCCCTGGAGTGTCCAGAAAAGAGAGGTAAACAGGATTATTTAACATGTTTAGGTACGTTGGATTGCCAAAATGATGTTCAATCTTCTTTAGGAAATATTTTGGTGAATAATGCTAATATATGTTCCAAAATTGTATGGAATTTCTAAAATTCTAATATCTGAGTATATGCTATCAATCATAACAAGCTTGTTATATTAAGTTATTGTAAACCACAGAGATAACCAAACTTTGTCAATTGTGTTTCTAACTGTAACTACCCTGGACATTTTGTTATTCACAGACAATTGTTGACTTGTTTTAATCCTTTTCAAAAGATTGTTTATAATGAGCTATAGAACTTTGACAGGGGCTCTTAAATACAGGTTTTTGATAACTTTGGAGATTGTAACAGTGGAATAAAAGAAAAATGTACAGGACTCAAAGAGCTGTAGTGTTCACAAATATCAAGCAAAACAAGAACTAAACAGACTGAACTGAGAAAACTGAAACAATCTTTCCAACTTTTACTTGGAATATTGCTGATCTTTGTTTTGTTTTTCAGAGTCAAAGAAACTTATTTTGAACTATTTACAGCCTTTAATAATTGAGTAAGTATCCTCCTGTGAAGAAAATTTGAAGCATGTTTGTTTCTCTCTGCCTGGTTCCTCTAGAATTTGGAAGCTATCTGTGAGTATTTTTAACTTACGGCAATATAGTCGTTTGCATCAGTACAATAAGCATCCATTTTTCTTTTGCAACAGGACACAATTGCAGAAACTGTTTGTTTTACCAAGGGTTTGACTGAAGAATATGCTCCCCTTTAAGGAGTCAAGCTCAACTTGCAGAGCCAATGAAAGCTCTGGGGAAAAAAACTGGCTTCATACTCTTGTCTACACAGTCCTTGTACAGGGTTCCTGACCTGTGGTCAGTAGAGAATGTCACTTTCTAACAGGCCCAAGAGCTCCAAATTTATCTTGGGACCTTAAGAGGAGAGGATCACCCAACTCATAGGTATTTGAAGATACAAACCCATGGTTAGGCTCAGCTTTAAAAGGTCTTATCTGAAATTCCTTGTGGAATAGAGTTCCACCAAAACCAATCTAAAAGGTGTATGTAGAAACAGATATTCTTGCTGTACTTTATGCAAATAATCAGGCCAAATATAAGACTAAAGTCTATTTTGCAAACAAGTCAGTCCTACCACGATTTTTCTTTTTAACAAAAATAAGGACTGGAGAGAAACTATGCTTGAAAACTTCTCACACCTTTGTCATTAAATTCTAAATTCATTAGTTATTTTTAAGTTTTTGCCTACATTTTAGACTAATCCTGCTTGTTCCTGTGAACCAACCAGCAATCTCTGGCTGCAGCTCAGAAAGAGCAAATGGGATGGGTAATGTAGAAATCTGGATCAATATTCTAGTTCTGAGCAATTATCGTGCAAATTCTGCCAGGTGATGGGAATAAATAGTATATCCATCAGCTGGAGGTTTCCTTTTTGGGAAAGTAAGACCAAGGGAGCTAACCAAAGCCAAGCGCCATGCACCCAAATCTTAGCAAGCATAACTATACCCACCAGTTATCTGGAAATGTCACAAGACATCATTTTCTCTCCCTTCTTGGAGGACGACTCAATTCCGCAGCTTTACCTCAGCATTTGGCTTATGATAAGGAGTCCATGCAATTCCCCATGAGACACATTATTGTCCCAAACTCAATTTCAAGCTTCAGGTCAAAGCCCTAGGAAAGAAAATTGGATCTAAGGGATCCAGAGGCCATGATAACAGAGGTTAAAAGGCACAGTTGAGGTGAGAATGGCTAATTCCTGCCAATTAAGCCAAGCCTCCCATTTCATGGATAAAGGTCATGCTAGTATCCCTGGCACAAATGAGGTCTAGGGAACTCCAAGGCTACTGACAGTAGGGGGAATAGAGGCATAGGTGAGAGAAGATACTTCCTATTCTCTAAGCCCCCCCTGTTTCATGGGTGCCTGCTTTGGCAACCATGGGCGGCACGTGCCAAGGCTGCCAGGACTCAGAGATGCAAGGATGGAAGAGGGAAAGAGGACACTCTTCCTTCTCTCCCTCACGCACCCCAGGTATTTGCTAGGAAGAGAAGGGAACCAGGGATGCCTGCTCCCCTCTTTCTAGATGAGTAGCCATCCATCTTCACTCCGTACCCCTTTAAATGCATCCTGAACCCCTGGAACTCCTTTGAAAAAAGCAGCTTATTTTTTCCTTTCTCCTCCTCTGCCCTCTCTTCACTGATAGGTAATTTTGTCTCTATACTACAGAACACTCCCCTTGGATGCAGGCTCCAAACTGGGAAAGTTAATTTCCCAAACCTTAAACCAGTTGACTTAGTATTGGGCTCGGGAGAAGGCAACCCAGAAGCCTGACATGATGGTAAAAGGGTAAAAGTTGTTTTACCAATCAGGCTTTTGGCCTCTCTCTGTGCAAACTGGTAAAAGGCCTCAGGATTTTTGAGCTGTCCTCACCCCCGACTTGTTTCATTTAAATACATGTTTTCTAATAACCCAGTCTGTCTCTTCTCACATTCAGGCCATCAAACTCCAAATGGTCTTGCAACCGGAGCTTTGGATGATGGCCCCTTCTGCTGGGGACCCTTACATAGGCCTCTGAGGGAGCTCTGACTGTCATTTTTCCCAAAACAGCACCCCCTGTCAGCAGGAAGCAGTTAAGATTGGTCTCCATCTTTATCCTTATCCTTATTCTAATGGCAGCTAGATGTACTTCTTTCAGGGGGAATGAGACAGTCAAGTGTAAAGGGGTCCCTAGAGAACCTCTGACCAGCCTGCGCACTGGGAGAATGGGGTGGAGCTACAGAGGTTCACACCGTTTGCAAGAGGGAGGAGCCTGGTTCCTCTTGTTCCTGGGTGGGAACCAGGGGTTCAATCTGTGAGGCGGGAAGCCTCCTAACAGGACTCTTGCTTTGTTGAGAGTCCCTGTTTCCCTTTTTTTCCTTTTTGCCAAATAAATCCCATTTTTCTCACCCTTCTACGTGTCTGTGAGCCTAATCTTTCCTAGTCACGTGAAAAGAACCCTAAGGAGAATGTCTCACAACAATTTGACCATGAACCTCTTTTTATGCAATATACCTATTAAGGTCTCATGGAAAATACTGCCATAGTGAAAACTCTAATTGCAGAAGGGGGAGCCCAAGCCATAATTCCCAAATCAATCCTCAATCCACAAGATACAGATGATTTTTAAAACTCCACTTGAGACCAAATTGTCTATCACTGAAAGGAAATAAGTCTTAACTTTCCCACAGCCTAATTCAAGACTCAGGTCCCTTCTGCAGCTTCTCCAGAGTCTCTCTCATCTTGCCTTTGTCTAAAAATAAACTATTCCTTTTCTAAAACCTCTGGGTAGATACCTACACCTGTCTTAGAGGCCTGAGAAACTTCTGCCCTGATCTGTTTTGTTTAGATTTTTTCTTACTACTCTCCTTTTTTGACTGGGAATCTAAGTTTGTGTCCACAGTGTATAGTCCAATTTTGTTATGCAATAAGTACATATAAATACAAGGCAATTTCTGGGTAGTAGGAATAACATTTCTCTAGGACACAGTCAACCTCTGTTCTAGTTTGCTGTTGATTACTTTTTAACTGTGTGGCCTTGGATAATGTACTTAACCCCTCTGAACCCTGGAATCCTTATCAATAAAATAAGGATTACCTCATAGGATGATATAAGGATCACAATAGATCATGTTTATGATAAAGCTTAATAAATGGTGAAATATGATACAAATATGAGACATTGATACTTTTATTTTACATATGGATTCACAGGCACGCTGCATTATCTAGTCAGGCCACAGGTCATCCTAAGAATGGAATATTCTCAAAAGGTTGGTTCAAACAGATGCCACCGTAAGTTCTGTGACAGCCATCAAGATCCACTGCCTCTGAAATGAACCTGTCTTCAGAAATTAGACTTGAATGGATCCAAGGCATCCTTGGCCTCACAAAACAGTCAGTTGTCCCTTCACAGAGCACTTCCTAGTATCATTCCCCCAATTCTTTCAGAAAAATGATTGGCTCAATAGAAAGCATCCAGCAGAAGAGGGCCTCAGTTCCCCTCCTGTTCAGGTGCCCAGAAGCCTCGGAGAGGCCCCCCTTACTCCATCAGACCCTGCAACACCCAGGGGCTCCTCATTCTCCATTACACAGAGAGATGGGCAGGACGAGCCCTCTCCTAGTTCTGACTCTGGCATTAACAAGTGCTATAACATTGGCCACATATTTCATTGTCCCTATGCCTCAGTTTCCACAACTAGTTTTATTAGGAAGAGTTAAAGTCAAGAGTTAAATTAGAACATTCACAGCAGACTTACAGTGCACCAGGCCAACACTTCGCCACCTGGGAGAAAGCACAGGGGCTTCAGTGCAGCCTTTACCTTCAGGTATTCTCAGCCTATAGGAGAAAACAGCCTATTATGCATCCTCACTGCTCCAATCCCCACTTTTGTCCCTGAAACACAAAGATAATATTCCAGGTTTTCCTGGGAACTCATATAAGCCAAAAAAGTAAGCCCTAAAGAAATATCATGTTTCTGTATCTAAAGTGTTAAAGAAAATCCCCTTATGAACTAACACTGAGGAGGTCTGTGTGAGTCTGTGTCCCTGTTGAGAAAATTCTATGGCTTCTTTCACTAATTTTTGGGCACCAGGATCATCCTGACAGATGGCAATGCGCACCCACCAGTCCCATAGTCTGGGCTGTGACCTCAGTCCACCAGATCACACTGGATGGGGGGAAGGGGCGGAGGACTATGGCCAGAGTTCTTTTCATATGCATTGACATTTGGTGACTTTATTGAAAATAAAGTAACACCATGCAATTCCCCTTTCATCAGAATGCGAATGAGCTGGAATGTTATAGTGCTATTATCTACTGATCCATAAACCACTAAAGACTCAAGTAACCCTAATTTCAACAAGTATGCCTTATCTTTACCACACAGCTACTTACAAAAAAACAGAACACTGGCCTCCCTCACAGAGAGGTGCTCAAGCAGTGCTTATGTGAGGTTTTAAAATGCTCTGACAAGCATATTGAGCAGGAATGCAGAACGTATACTAAAAACATATTGACAGAGGACAAGGGGGGCATTTTGTGGCCACATCCTAAGCTTTCAAGGGGCGATTTTCTCAATGCAAAGCTATTTCGTGTAACTGGATACCTACTATGCGGAGCCCTTACGCTAAATGTGAATAGATGACACAGATTTTCATTGCCTCAGACATCCAGGAACTCACAACCTATAGAAATCTCCAATTTGCATAGGGCTCATTGTAACCTCATAGTTTAAAAGCCTATTATTTTAATTACCAATTCCTGGCTCTGCCCCCATGGTACCCATGAAATATTGGGCCAGTTACTTAATCTCTTGGTGACTTACTTCTCCCATCTGCAAAATGGGGAGAATAATAATTTCTACTTCCTAGGATTGCTGAGGGGATTATATGAGTTAACATATATAAAATACCTAAAAGTGTATCTGCTCTTATTATTTCTTTAACTCTACAAAGCTATGTAGCTGTGTTTGCTCATGCTATTATTAAGTATACAAATCAGTCCAAGCAACATGCCAGCATGCTGTGGGGAAGGAATTACTTGCATTTTAATGTGGTAGAGAGTAGGAGTTGTGGGGAGAGAAAAGGGGTTTAGACTGAGGAGTGAGGGTGGAAAGATTCCTTGGAGCTGGCACTACAGCTGGTCTCTGAAGACAGGTAGCGTTCTGTGATGCAGCCACGCATAAGGGAGAAAGCCTCTTAGGGGAAAATTAAAACAAAACAAGCCATACTTTTTGCCACTGATCTATAGAACAGAGAGGAAAACTTAACTGAAAAAAATGCAAATCAGATGAATGTTATCTTGCAGGTTCGAAGTCCCTTAAAACCCTGGGCTGAGAACAGCAATAGGAAATAGGAATTTTATTCTGTGCATCATTTCAAGGATGTACACTGCATGCAGCTGCTAATCATACCGATGCATAGTCACTACATTCTGTGTGAGGTGACTACAGGCATCGATAGGTCATCACCCAAGCAGTGGGGCCACGAAAAGGATGTTCCATTATGACTACGCGGGGAATGAAAGCCATTCCCATTAGCACAAAAATATTTTTAAAACACTCTGTCACTCACAAAGTTTTTTTTCACACATGTATACATTAAAACTTCACAACCTCGTAGGGATTCACACATATATACATACCCTAGCAGGGATTTCACACATATATACATTTCATCTCACAACCTAAAGAGATCTCCAGATCCTCAAGCTGCCAAGAGTTTGTCATTTAATTTCAATCCCATTTTACAGAAGAACTATAGCTTCCTGGACACCAAATAGTGAAGCCAGTGTTCAAACTCAAATACCTTGACACCAAATCTCATAATATTTCCATTGTATGTTCTTGTCATTGCCTTAAAAGTTTGTGTTAGAGAGCCACTGCAACACTATTTTCTACTGGAATCTGAATGTCTATCTTCTGCTTAGCAACAATCTCAGCATTTGTCATGTCCTACAGAAAATCCCATGTTGCTTCATGTCATTGATCTGTAGCTGTCTCCGATAAAAGGATGCGAATGCCTGCTGTGGCCCTGGGAATTTTAAATAAGAAGTCAATGAGAGATGCTGGTAAGTGCTTCTGTAATTGTCTAGGGGCAGATAAAAACCTTGGTGGAATAATAATCATATCAGTATGCTGGCTACATGAATGATCCGGCAGTGAATTACAGCAGGGTACTTCAACTCCAAAGCCTAGGGTGGCAGATATGCATAATTAATCTCCCTCTGCAATAACCCTGCAGGGTCAGCAACATCGGCATTCTACAGCTGAAATTAATGTCTTATTATTTCAGTCCTCTTTGGTGTTTCTTCAGATTCCGGAAAATAATATCAGATGTAGCAGCTCTGTTAACACAGACAGGGTTTGAAAGGATCTCCAGGCTATGAAAAAATATTCACGTAAATCCTGGTAGGTAAATAGAGGATGGATACAATGCAGAGTCCTAATAAATGTACCTACTTAATTCGAGTCTCCTGATATTTTAAATTTCATTCTTAAATTATCTTAGACCCTCTGAAGGCCACATATTGAACCACATTGTTCAGCTTAGGCTTTTACAGAATGATTTTGAAAGGCTATGCTTTAGTAATTCACCCTCAGTTTAGAGAAACATTAGGTTATTAATATTAGGTGAAAGAGGTTCAAAAGTTATCTTTTCCCACAGGACTTCTTTCAGGGCCTTTCAGGATGCTAATGCATGTTGTGAAACTCAATTACTTAGTAATAATATACAGTGTTTCTCAAATCTAATTGACTTTAGTAATTCTTGTTTAGTAACATCTGCAATCATCAGGTTCCTTGCCACAGTTTGGAAATGCTGAATGAAGTTCTTTCAGAAAAACACGGTGGAGGTGGAGTTTGACTGTGTAAGGGCCCCCAAACAGTAGACCAAGCTTTGAGGAATTCCTAGGAATTCTCTCACTGGGTGTATTACTCCTACTGGAGGTAGTTTTAGAGTAAGGCTCATGAACTTTTAATTGGGAAAAAAGTAGGAAATTCAAATCAATTTTCTAATTTGCTAAACCACTCCTGTGGCAAGCTGATGGAGGAACAATGGCATAATGACTAGCTAAAATGAGATGTAAGACATGCTGGTGGATTTAAGTATGATAATGCTATGCTCCACCAGTGTAGCTAATTGGAGTTGATTATAATTTCACTACTTCCAGAATTCTGGATTCTTAAAGACTGTTGCCAAATCAGAACATAAGACACCATCCAGAAAAAGTCAGAAAACAGAGGGGAGCCTTTATTTTTCCAATGATAAAAGGAGTAAGCACCTATGAGACCCAGCAAATAACCCTTTCACCTGTGTGACCTTAATGTTAGAAAAATTAAAAGGGCTATTATTTTCAATTGTTCTGCTCTTTCTGAAAAAGGGAAGAAAATGCATGTATGTATTAGGGTGACCTAAAAACTGAGAGTTTTTGCATGCAAATGTTCTTTCCATTCTCTAATATATAAAAAACAGCCTGAAATCTCCTTCTCTAAATCCAAAGGAAGAGATATTTACCACACTGCAAACAAGAAGGCTGTAAAAGCCTCAGGTAAGGGTTGGGTGCCATGGGAACACCTGTAAAGGCCGACTGATGACAAAGCCCAAAGCAATTTGCTCACACATCATATCCTAGTGCTACTTCCCTGATGTCCGTCACTGACATTCTGAATCCTCCCACGATCTGGCAGCAAGCTCTCTTTCCAACCCTTTGCTGTACCACTACTTCTCACATATCAAGCACTCCCACCACAGGTACAAATAGAGATATTGCTACAGATCACCCCGTGCCTTCCTTCCCCTTTACTCATCTCTTCTGCCTGGGATGCCCTTCATTACCCTCTCCAAGTGTACACATACCACCTGTCCTTCAGGACATATTTCCGAAACCACTTCTTTCATGAAACCTCCCTGCTTCCCTCTGCCAGATGTAATTTCTACCTTCTTCCTAAAACGTTAGCTATGCTTCCCATATAGTCTCAGTAATGTGCTTTTTTATCTTGTACTATTAAATAAGTGTGTATGTCTTCTCTCTTAAGACGTTTGCAGACAGGGTCCACTTCTGATTCATTTTTGACTCCCAGGGTCTAGCATTGAAGCCTGGCATATAGAAAACGCTCTGGATTATTGAGTGAATGATTACATTCTTCTAAACAGAGTGATTCTACAGGCTGTTTCTCAATCCAGGAAAATACTATAATTCCTTTATGTGTTTTCTGCTCCTTCAGTCTCTCAACACTCATTTCTTTCTCAGATCATCATGGGTGGGGGTGATTTTTCCACTAAAACATGTCAGGCAAGGCATGTTCAACAGAATACCTTTGGATTGTCATCTGCCTTTGTCAGTGTAAGCCTTGGTTATGCTGCTTTATAATACATACATTTGCATTTATCATGTGTATGGTGACACTGAACAACAGAGTTGCTTAGTGAGCCCCCACCCAATGACCATCGAGGGAACAGCCTGGAATTACACCAAGAATTCTGTTTAATTTGGATTCACATGTCTGATTTAACATTATTGCAGCTCATCATTTTTTTTTGGCTAGGGTGAACTCCCCTGAGCCTGTTGATGCTAGCCAAAAAAAAAAAAAAAAAAAATTCCCTTAATCTTTGTGTATGTTACAGTGGATAACTCGAATGGCCATTTCTAACCCCCAAAAGCTTTCAGGAAGCAGTTCCATTTAGAAAGGAAGAGTTTTCTATGAAATAATATAACAGAAATTCCTTGAGCCCTTTCAAATCACTACCCAAACTCTGAGATCTGGAGTTTTTAAACTGGAAGCATAATTTGGGTAAGGAGAAGAAGATACAATCAGGAATCAGAGGAAAGCCAAGAGAGGGTAGGTTTTAAGCAAAGACAGGAGTATGTGTGTAGAAGAGAGAACCCTAGAAAAATTAACCTTGAGAATAACATCTGTTCATTCACTCAACAAGTATTTTCCAAATTTCTGCCATATGTTAAGTACATTACTCAGTTGAAATAATTCATGCTTTGACACTATACACAGTGCTTCTTTTCATGTCTTATTTTACTTCATATTCACACAACTTACTCAAAAAGGAATATAATTTTCCTGTCTTACAGATGATGAAATTAGGTGCAGAAAGGTGAAGTGTCTAACTCAAGCTATCACGACAATCAAATAGCAAAGCTTCATTTTAATTAAGGTTCTCTGACTGCAACAGATTGTCTGCCCTGATTCTTTCACATCATTCTCCTTCATATCCACGACAGTTTATAAAACAAAATATATGAAGTGTTCAATATTTCGTTTGCTGTGTCCAAAAGATCAATTAAGAAAGATAAAAATTCACTGGAGCAAGGGTTGTGAAAAATGCCAAATCTACAATAGTAAAATCCCTGAGTTACATGCAAAAAAATATTTCACTAGGAGGGTATTTTATTATCAGTTTGAAAGTAATGAAGTGGCACGAATGAGACATTTCTGGGGAACTGCACAGACTTAAGTTATTTATAATTAGTGTGGCATCACTTGTATAAATGGGTGCACCACATTCAAGGTTTTAAAGTTGTTTTTCTCAGTCAGTTTCCCAAGAAAACATCTTTATCTTTAAAATCCTGGGCAAACACAATTCTCCACTTCTCATCCAGAGACAGGATATTGAAATTTCATGGGCATTTCGAATAGGTTGGTTAAAGTGATAATGATGGTTGTTGCCAGGGGCTGAGGGGAGGACAGACTCAGAAGTTAATGTTTAAAGGCTACAGTTTGAGTACAAAATGTGAAAAATTCTGGGGATGAATGGTGGCAATAGTTGCACAATGAAAATGTACTTAACTCCACAAAACAGTAGACTTAAAAATGGTTAAAATGGTCAATTTTATTACAATAAAAATACAAATTAAAGAAATGCTAATGAATTGTCAAATCAGATTCCAACTTGGAGGCGTATAATTTGTTACCACAAGGCCAAAGACAAAAGTCAGCTGAATGTCAAACTCAGAAAAAGTAAAACTTTAATTCTGAACTGCTTAGTTAAACATAATGAAATAGGACCTATCTTCTGTCAGATTAAGTACAAATTAAAACTAAGAAGCATAATTCTTGTTGAAAATAAGGGAAAAGATTCTTCACCTTCTTTCTTTTTCTCAGAGCATTTACTTTGGCCAACTTGCAATTACTGAGTACTTTTTGTACTCTTTGAAATGTATATAAATCCTTTTGAAGGCTAAGCAAGGCCTTTTGTCAGCTTTGTGACCTAGAAATGCCTTTTACTAGGAAGACCTGGAGGCCATCTCTTTGAAAAGTGAACATCACAGGAGATAGCACCCCTATCTCCCAGTTTCTATGGGAGAGTTGGGCCCTAACTTTGGTAGATAGCACCCCTATCTCCCAGTTTCTATGGGAGAGTTGGACCCTAACTTTGGTAGGCAACTTGCACCAAGTTAAAAAACTACCTCCTGTCATAAAGATATGTGAAGTTTGTTTTTCCTCTGGCCAAAACCAATCAGCTAACATGGATGGTCACCTCAATTACCAGGTAAAGTTAGGATGAGCTATGTGTGACAAATGGTGCTGTCAAGCTTACTTGAGGACAAGTTATTGTTTATCTTGAAAACACGTATGTAATGGGCTGTTTGGCTTCATAAAAGAGTGAGAGTTCTTTCTGTCTTTGCCATCTCTTAGTGGATTACCTGTGATGTACATCACATTCTGATTTAATGCTTGTTTAAGAATAAAAAATAGATTTGTTTTCTTTCTCTCTTACTTTTATAGAGAGAATTTCTCAGTTGGGAGACTTTGGTTTTAAATTTTATTTCCCCAACAGCTCCTAAACCTGTAACCTCTATAATTTTCACTAAAGTAATATTAAAAAAATCAACACAGACACATGGAAAGACTAATTCCTGTTATTACAAACAGGTAGGAAAATCAGAAGAAAGAGCAAAATGAACTTCTTAGGAGGAAAAAAAAAAGAAAATACAAAGTTTAAAATAATGAATAAGTATTGGTATCCATGAGAACAAATAAATGGTTCATTGCACAGCCAGGACAGGAAGAAATTTCCCTATAGACAGGTTCATAAAAAGGATTTTGTAAAATGACTTCCAAAAAGAGAATTATCTGCCTTTGAGCCTTTGAGGCTTTCAGCTTCAAAATGGACATCTTACAAACATTCATCCACCAAAGAAAAAAACAGAAGGACAAAGGGAGGGAAAGGTAATAAGACACCTTGGGAAGGAGGGAGGAAGGCAGAGAGGACGGAAGAGAGAAGAGAGAGAGGGATATGTGAATGGGAAAAACAAGTAACGAGAATTCATCTAATCTGTCCCTCAATGTTCTACCAACCTTGTCATTTTTGCATATCCAAGATGTCCTAGATCTCTCTAAACAAAAACTCTATGACAGTGTTTTCTCTTTATGTGGTAACATCTTACCTCCTTCATTTCATTGTAAGCAACTTAAGGTTTTAAGATGAAACAAGTAGCATTATGTTTTGGTTCCTATAATTCATTTTTGTATCATTCAAATGCCAGAGGGAGAGCACGGAACCATAAAATATATTTTTTAAAAAAAATAGCCAATAAAAGTAGAAAGAAGTATTTAAACAATGTCTTAATCTTAATAATCTAAAAGAAATGGATGTAACGGGCATTACATATTCAAGATCTGCTTTAAAAACAGAAATAAAAATGGCAAGTCCCTACTAGGGTTGTTCTTATCTATGTCAAAAAAATCACCTGTTAGGTTATTTTTTACATTTTATCTTCATTTTATTTTATTTATAATTATATATTTCATTTTATTTTTATTTTTAATTTATCCTTATTTATTTTTACATATTTATACACACTGTAATTTTATTAATTATACACAACATTTTGTGAAGGATCAGGAATATCACCAGAGTTATATGATACAGATGTTTTAAGTATTGGAATACGAGTAGAATAACTAAGAAAACCGCAAAAGAAATATGTACAGATGAGAGGAGAAGGCAAAAGTGACACTAAGAAAAACAGCAATACCAGGGGAAGTGGGGAAGATGGAGATACTTGGAGAACAAATCTGAATATAAGTCTGTTACAATCTGTATCACAAGATAGAAAAGCATTTTTGAAATTATGAAGCTTTTCCTTGTCAAATTTTGCAAAAGGAAATATAATAAACTAAAACAATGTTATTTTCCTAAGTTCAGAGGCACCAAATTCTGATTCTGGATCTTACTCTGACCTTGTGATCAGGCTTCCAATTCTTGGACAAATATACAATCATCACAGATACACAGATATAGTCCTATTCATAAAATATTAATACAAAGTATTTCCCTATGCTTTAAATACAATCCCCTGGACAATGAACTCACCTGAGCTTCTTTCTGAAAGCTGTAATCCTCCACACCACTGTAACTCTTTCTCAAAGAGGTGAGAGGAGGAAAGAGATTTGATAAGGTGGTAAGTCTCTGTATTAGTCTATTCTTACACTGCTAACAAAGACATATCCAAAACTGGGTAATTTTTAAAGGAAAGATGTTTAATTGACTCACAAATCAGCATGGCTGGGGAGGCTTCAGGAAACTTACAATCATGGAGGAAGGGAAAGCAAACACGTCCTTCTTCACATGGTGGTAGGAATAAGTACTGAGCAAAACAGGGGAGAGCCCCTTATAAAGCCATCAGATCTCGTGAGAACTCACTTGCTATCACAAGAAAGGCATCATGGGGGTAACCGTCCCCATGATTCAATTACCTGCCACTGGGTCCCTCCCATGACACATAGGGATTATGGGAACTACAAGATGAAATTTAGGTGGGATACAGCCAAACCATATCAGTCCCTTTGTACTAGGGTCTATAAAACCCAACCACAGCAATGATGGAAACCAGACAATCTGAAAGACATCGTGCCGACAAGAATCATGGAAATACCCTGTATTTGTTTTTTCCCTCAAACACCCCTCTTCATTGAAAATGCAAGCTTTTATTCAACAACACACAGTTAAGAGCTCCTGCTGTGTGCAAAGCACTCCATCCTGCCTTGCAGATGAATGCTGAAGATACAGTCTGTGATCACAAGCCAGATTCTATCAGAACCCACTCACACAAAAGCAACCAAGTGAAGGCAAAGTTGGATATCTGCTCTAAGACAGTGCTTCTCAAATGGTAGCATGCATAAGGAGAATCTGGAAAACTGGGTAAAATGGAGATTCACACATTCCATAAGTCTAGGACAAGACTCAAGATTCTGCATTTCTAGTCAACCCCCAGAGGCTGCTATTGCTGCTGCTCCTTAGACCATACATTGAGAAGCAACAGTGTAAGGCATAAAGTGTAAATAAAGGGCTGTGGATGCCAAGTGAGCAGTGATTCTTGCTAGCTAATAGTGGTAGGGAGGGTTCATGGGGAAGATCTTGCATCTAAACAGGAAGAGGAACAGAGGTGTGTGCTTCTGTGTGGGTACTTAGGGACCAGAAAGAATCACAGAGACAGTGGAGAGCAAAGAGAAAAGAAGGGAAGAAAAGAGAAGGTATTCCAAAAAGCAAAAATAATCTGAGTAAAGTTCTCAAAACAGAAAAGTACATGAGATATTTAGAGGAAAACAAGAAATCTAGTAAGACTAGAATATAACCTGCAGGTGAGTAGGCAAGGAATTACAGAAAACAGGCCTAGAATGATATGCCATGGAGAAATCGTATACGTCTTATGTAGATTTAACCCTGTATTTTGGAGGGCAGGGGGTATCTGATCGCCAAAAAGATAGGCACATTTCAGCTGTAAAAATTAATTATGTAGAATAAAAGATCTTGAAATTCTGAAGTTATTCATATTCTACATTTTGATATGTATTACTAAATGCTCATTATTAGTCTTCAATATAATTGCCTTTCTGTAAATTATAGCCCATCTTCAAATGGATAACCTTCCTTCAAATGAGACTGTGTAAGATCAAAACAAAATATGGCCTGTTCCCACGCTCCTTAAAGTGTTCACCATTCAGCAGCCTAAAATTAAGCAGTGGCTTAGTGGAATCACAAATCATTCGTATTTACTGTCAAAAGCTGCTAATTTCCCAAAATGTTTCATAATGTAATATCTTGACAAAGGAAACCAGATGAGGCTATAAGAGTGCATAGGTTTTCGTACAGCTGCCTGCATGTAAAGGAATAGATCTGAGTCAATGCTGTGTGGCAAGAAACAGAGAGGACTCATGGGATGCCTAGGAAACTCAAGCAGGTTGCCAAACTCTAATGGGCAAGTTCACTGCCTCCCTGCCAACATTATTAATAATAAAAAAAAAGAAGAGAAAATGTATCTAAAGTAAAGCATCTAATAAATTCTCTATCACTTCTTGTTTCTGTTTCTGTCCAAATCAGCAAAATCTTTAAATATCACATTATCGCTCTTTGAGATAGGCTACGAGTCTCACTTAGTAAGAGGTTCCAAGTTAATTTTTTAAATAAGTAAATGTCTAAAAGTTAAAAAAAATATCTATATTAGGTAGGAAGTGTAAACACTGTGGCCCCTTCTCCTCTCCCTTTGGCATTCATCCAGTCTCTCTCTTAATATAACCATATATAACTACTAGACTCAGACTCTTTCATTTTTTCACATATAACTGTTTTTCTTTTTACAAAAATTGAATCATATGTGTATATAAAAGATGCTTATTTTATTTAGTAATGTGTCTTTCACATTTTTTCCAGATTAGCTTATGTAATTACATTTCTTTTTGTCTGTTTGTTTTTTAAATTATACTTTATTAGGCAAAGCATAGACCATGGTTGTCACCCTAATTCACACTTATGTAGCATTATGATCTATTATACATCATTTTTAATGGCTAAATATGATTACATTGTCTAGCTTATGATAGTGTATTTAACCATGTCCCTATGGATGGCATTTTGATTATTTGCAAAAAACTGTCATTTTCAACCACCTTTAGGCTTACGGTAATTTTCTTCAGGATTACTTAAAAATCATTAGGGTCCCTAGCATCTACCCAGAAGATCACAGTAAAAATACAAAACGAATCTATTGGCCAGTGAAAACATCCAAAGAAGAGAAAAGTGAGACCCACAGAATCAGAGGCATGCAGTCATACCTCAACAGCTGGTAACTCAATTACTAGACAGTGTCAATTATCAAGTAAATACCAGTAGCCAACAGCTAGACAAACCAGAGCTGCAAACGGTAACTAAGATGCATCAACTTAAAAAAAAATTAAAAAAAGAATCAACTTTATTTATAGTACAGATCTTCAGATAACAACTTGGTTATCTGAGTCCTTATGCCTAGGCAGAGAAGAAGTCACAAACTTGCATGAAGGACAAATGGCTTTTATAAGGAGGCATGTTGATGGCAGGTGTGAAAGTTGAGCTACTAACACCCAACAAGAAAAGAAACCCAACAAGCAAAAACTGGTAATATGGGGGTCTGGGGCCATTTCACGTTAGAGTCTTACGTATTTCAATAGGTTCTGGGAACATCATTATGCACAGTGAAAAATAATTCATGTTCAAAATCACAGCCCTGAATTGTTCATGAAAGTATAATTTCTCAGGATCTTTGCTATATGATAGCAGTGTAGCATGGAATACACCTGAGAAAGACAACCTATCAAAACAGTTAAAACACGATCCTTGACCATAGGAGACCTGAGGAAGACTGGGCCAAACACAGCACTTAATAGACAGAAAAACAAAAGGACAAAGGTAGCATGATTGATCCAACGTCAGTGGGTTTTTGGAAATAATCTGAGCTATTAAGCCAGGATACATGAATCTTATGCCACCGTGTTTGTGGCTGTTCCACAATTACAAAATTGGTCATTACAAACTGTAACTTGAGCTAGAAGACACTCATTGTTCAGCATTCTCAGAGAACTGAAGATTTACCTTAAGAAATATTGTGATCAGAAATGTGAATGTAAGTGGCCCTGGTGGGGAGCTGAGAGTGAGTTATAAGTCGTAGTTAATTGCTGTTGTTTGGAGGAGGTAGATCTTCTAAAACCCGAGAGAAAAAAAATAGCACTAATTGTTGGCCAGGAATAGAGCTGTACAAAGAACTTATGTTTAACACGTGGATAATAGGGAAACTAAGTCACACACATATGCAAAACTAGCAAATCTCCTTGCTTCTGTTTGGCTGACCACTAAACTCTATTGTTTTGAATCAACTAACTTTCAAAACATAGCTTGATGGTTTCTGTAAGCGTTCATCACTGCTAAATAAACTGAATAGGCAGTGTACTTGAAAGCACATTGCACAAGCAGGCAGGAGACTTGAGTTCAAGTTTCAGTGTACCTCCAGAACAAAGGCCGCAGGGTTGATATGTCAAATGAGTAAACTGAATGTGATAGCATCTTTAAGCTTCCTCAGGACTACTATTCATGTTTCTAGTCAGCTCTTAGCAAATAGAACTTAGGCAAATACAGGAAATCCATATACCCTGCAATACACAGTACAGACTAAGATTCCTATATTTGGGACCTTTGTTGCTACCAAGGCTCTCTGAGACATATTTTAAACAGAGGACTCTCATTTTCCTAAGCCCCACACTTCACTTTGCTGGTTTTCTTTTTTTTTTTTTTTTTTTTTAATTCTCTTACACTTTATCTTCTTATCCGGATGACATCTAGAAAATTAGACAGGACCTCAGAAGTCACTAATGTTATTTGGAACACTATTTGGGAAGTAAAGGCCCAGGGAGGAGAGGTGACTTTCATGAGGTCAATAACTCACTAGTGGAAATGTGAGAAGATGGCTTTTGATTCCCAGTTCAGGCCTGTCTACCAACTCTGAAAACTATTAAGAAATATAACTGCCCCCTAAAAATAACATACCATTTGTATCCAGGAAAAAGAGTCATGTCTGAACAGGCAATGGTCCTATATCAAAAGAAGACAGCTACTCGGGCCCAGAAGCAATGATCAGGCTGCAAAAGGAGCTGAAGTTGCTGTTCTTTTCCCACGACTTTGTGAAGATTTATGGTGTACATGGGAAATCTCGGCCCAAGGTCCTATAGGCAGCACTGGATCGGATCTCTAAGGAGTCCCTACAGCTATGAAGTTCTTAACATCTTTATTTCCTGGGAAGAGCTGGACTGACCTGACTTAAAATATCTGGTGAGTTTCTGAAGCTTTTCTACAAGGAATGAAACTTCCTAGTTTGAAATATCCAAACATGATAGATTTGAGCAAAGCATACCGAGCTGTAACATTACATTAAAAAAAAAAAATGAAGTGGGCTGGAGATTATGGAAGTCTCTGTAAATCCTGAGGGGAAAGATCATCTTATTTAAATACTGTCCATTCTTAGTTGCAGCACCGATCGGTAGGACCCACTGCCAGTTTTTGTATCTTTCTTTTTATTCTTTCAAATCAAAGCTGTTAATCAGCTGCTGGAGACTTCCTAGCATTGCAACACTCTTTCCTTCAAGAACCAGAGAACTGTCTCAATCCTGACATTAAATCAAAGGATTATCATATTTGACTAGCAGAGCTTTCAGATGAGTAGTAAGCCAATTAAAAGAAAAGAAAAAATAGAAGAAAAAAAAAAAGGAGTTTTTCACTCCTGACCTCCTGGCCTGCAAGCAGCTTTCCTTTGAAACGGCAAGAAGAAACGGCTCTCAAAGATACTTTCTCATATGCTGCCAACCGCAAAGGGAGTATTTTTCAGGGGATGCTTGTCTGGCCTGACTCGGACTTGTTTCAGGGTGTGTCATCATTCCTGTAAGAGGTTTGGCCTGGGCAAGACTGCATTCATTAGGAATTATTTCAAAAATCCAGAGCTGGCAGCCAGTGGGAGGTTTTTCTACACGGATGTGCACCTCCCACGTGCTCTGGTCACAGACACGACTGGGCTGGTAAGAGGGCCTGACGGAACCGTGCCAGGCCCAGACACAAGTCTTCCATTCTGACACGGAGTGCTGCCAAGTGGGAAGGAACCACATCCTTCCTCATCCTAAGTCCCCTTCTTAAATCGAGTAGTTGTTCAGACAGGGGAAGCACAGGGGGGAGGGAGGAGGAGACATCACTAGTTGGTGTTAATTATAACAAGGGGAAACCTTTATTCCCAATATAAAGTTTCTAAGTGAATTCAAGACAGAATCTCAAGGCCGGAAAGGCCTTTAAATGTCATTTTGATTCAAACTCCTTTTTCCAATATTCAAATCTCCCTGTGACATCCTTGCCAACTAGATGTCTAGGCCCTCTTTTAATATCTCTAGTGATGGTGAACTCATTACTAATGTAGTTTTCATATGGCCCTAATTGTAATAAATGTCTCTTTATGTTGAGCTGGACCCAAATCCCTTGTCATGTCAACCTACTTATCCTGGATGAAGTCTTTCGAGCCATGTTGGGCCTACGGTTCCCTCTTTCACAGACACCTATGGGCATTCAATACAGCAGTTCCAGTATTTCAAAGCAGCATTTCCATAACGTCATGGAACTTACTTTCAAAACTAGGAGACTAGGGGTTTTTGAAAGTATTTGTTCCCTTACTCCCCTCTCCAACCCTCAAAGTGAGAAAAACATACTGAGGAAATGAGAATGTCATTAAAACAGAAGGAACTATCATCAATTGATTAAGGCATCTCCCATGCTGCCTGAGCCGAAAAAGGAAATTGAAAAAGGAGAAAAGGAAGCAAGAAGAGGCCAGAAACGCAAATGGGCTGGCTCAGTCCAAGCTGAGCTTCTAGGGAACTGTCAGACACATCAGAGTACTAACTAAACGCCTGTTATAAGATGTTCAGCTGTACGTGCAAGCAAACTGGATAGGGGCCATGGGATGCACGGCACGCCTCAGCACAGGGAGGCAAAGCACGGGGTTTCATCATGAGCTTTACAGCCATATAGACCTGGGTTCAGGTCCTTCTCCACAGCTGTACAAGCTACTTAACCACATTGACTCTCAATTTCCTTATTGGTGGACAGGGTCAGTAAAGCACCTCACATGGAATTAGACAAGATGATTATCCCAGCACTTTGGGAGGCCGAGGCGGGCAGATCACGAGGTCAGGAGATCGAGAACATCCTGGCTAACACGGTGAAACCCCGTCTCTACTAAAAATACAAAAAATTAGCAGGGCGTGGTGGCGGGCACCTGTAGTCCCAGCTACTCGGGAGGCTGAGGCAGGAGAATGGCGTGAACCCAGGAGGCGAAGCTTGCAGTGAGCCGAGATGGTGCCACTGCACTCCAGCCTGGGCGACAGAGCAAGGCTCCATCTCAAAAAAAAAAAAAAAAAAAGAAAGATGATTATATGAGGTAATTTTGTAAAGCACCTGGCACACAGTAAGCACTTCAACTTGTTAGCTATTATCCTTTTTTCCCCTCATTACTAGAAGACTTGCCTTTGACTCTCTCAAACTAGAGCAATTAGGCCAAAACTCATGTGTGAGAACCAAGACAAGAGAAGCAGCATGATACCAGAAAGTGCACTATGCCAGAACTAGAAAGCCAGTTACAGGTAGGTTTGGCTGACTTTATAAACACAACATATTCCTCTGAGGCCTTTCTGCAAAGCCAGAGGTTTAGCCTCTTTGGCCCCAGCAATCTAGTATTCTTTGAGAACGATTACACGTATTCCATTTAATGGCTGCTGCGAAAGCTTGATTTCTATATGCCTCCTCCTGTTCCCCTAAGTCCATGTCTCAATATCATTAACTACAAAAACCCTAGATTCCCCACAGCAAGAAGCTGGGGTAGTCACCCGATTTCATGTGCCCTAGGGATCTCTTTAGGGGTGCAAAACCCTGCAAGGGTGCATTGAATGGAGGATATATTACGGTTTCTTAATTCACTTGCTGCTGGCTGTTGAAGTCTTAGGTGATACAGCACTGACTGTAAGTGTGTGTTTTACATAAGTCAAGACAAGTGAGTAAGTTCAGCTGTGTCTTGACAAGTAGGAAGCCAAGAGATATGGTTGGTTTTTAAACATTCAGGAGTATGTGCCGGGAAGTGCTGACAGGGAAGACTTATGGAATGCCCTAATTCAAAGATGTGTAGATTTCCTGAGGGTGTTAAGGTATCCACTCAGGTATGCTTTTGTAAAGAACCCTTTCCTCTTTACCCTGTGTTTGGTGTCCTGTGCTTTGAGGAAAGGCAGTAAAAATACTTCAGGAAAGTGAGGAAACAGAACAGCTGAAATTGTAACACCTGGGTTACAAAAAGCCTGTTCTTTGGGTGGAAAGAGATCTTTAAAGTGAGAATGTCCAAGAACTATGGGTGGATTTTTTTTAATTATTATTATTATTGTTACAGACAGGTTCTTGCTCTGTTGCTCAGGCTAGAGTACGGTGGCACAGTCCAGACTCACTGTAACCTCAAACTTCCAGGCTCAAGGGACCCTCCCACCTCAGTTCCCCAAAGTGCTAAGATCGCAGGTGTGAGCAACAGGGCCCAGCGATGAATGGATTTAGAACAAGGACACAGCATGAACAAAGATATGTCCCAAGATTATCAGGCAGTGGTGCATAGAGCGAAATGGAAAGTTGAGCAATAGAATGGTGCCCTTTGAATATATAGAACACCAATGAGCTCTTGAATCATCGGGGCTAAGTGGCCACTTGATGGTCATCACAACCTCTGAGCTTCAGTTTTTTCACTTGTAATAATTCAGATAAAACTGACCTTGCAGAGCTGTTATCAAATCAAATGAGATAATGAACATGTAAGTGGTCTGTAACTTGTTGGGCACTTGGATACACATAAGAGAATACTGTTGTTACCACTCAGTAAAGCCCCAAAGTCTTAATTTACTACGTAATAAGTATTTGTTTTTATAGGATCTCTCCTCTCAAAATGATACTGACATGATTGCATAAGCCAATTTCATTTAAGCCGATGTTCTAATTGTGTATACACTTCTCCTTGTTCTTCACCTACTAGAAGCAAACTTATCAGGGAGTTTTTAAGAAGAGTTATCTAGGCATACCATAAGGGCATCGGAGTTGACAATAGCAGCCATAGGTGAAATCACTTTGGCTTGTAATGTACACTAGCATTTTTAATTCCCAGAATGGTCCAGAACATCTTATGATGACTCTGGGTCACCTCCTTTAGTGAGAACAGAAGAAAGTTCTGGGAATGCAAATTTTCCACCTTGATTATTATAATAGAATCCTCATTAATTGCCCCACTTATTCCCTCTCTAAGCCAGATCTAAAATACAGATCTGATAATGCCCCTCCCTTACTCGAGAATATTCATTGTGTCTCCATGTCTTATAGGATTAAGTATGAATTTCTTAACAGAGCATTTAAGGTCCCCAAAAAATAGTGCCTCCTTGCATTCAATGATGATGTATTCACATATTATCTCCCGGTCAGACTGGGCTCTCTCCAGGGCAGGTTCCTGTTTCCCTCCTTCACTTTATGTTTTCATTATCTTCCCTTTCTCTAAGATAAAAGTCACTTCTGTTTCCTAACTGTGCAAAAATAGTTAAACTGGAATGATGTTTCCTAGAATTCCTTACTCTTTATGGTTCCAAGTTAGGGCTGCCCATAGAGAACTTTATTCAGAGGGTCTGTCTAGGCCTCTAGGTAGTACTGCAACTCACATACGTTGTTGCTGATCACTGGCTCACCTCCTAGATGGGGCAGCAGCCAGGCCCACTGCTCTTTCTTTTTCTTTTCTTTTTTTTTTTTTTTTTGAGTCAGAGTCTCGCTCTGTTGCCCACTCTGGAGTGCAGTGGCGCTGTGATCTTCGGCTCACTGCAACCTCCGCCTCCCGGATTCAAGCAATTCTCCTGCCTCAGCCTCCCGAGTAGCTGGGATTACAGGTGACTGCCACCACGCCCGGCTAAATTTTTTTTTTTTTTTTTCTTTTGAGACAGTCTAGCTCTGTCGCCAGGCTGGAGTGCAGTGGCGCGATCTCGGCTCACTGCAACCTCCGCCTCCCGGGTTCAAGTGATTCTCCTGCCTCAGCCTCCCAAGGAGCTGGGAGTACAGGCGTGCGTCACCACACCCAGCTAATTTTTGTATTTTTAGTAGAGATGGGGTTTCACCATGTTGGCCAGATGGTCTTGATCTCTTGACCTCGTGATCTGCCCGCCTCGGCCTCCCAAAGTGCTGGGATTACAGGCATGAGCCACCACGCCCGGCCATTTTTGTATTTTTAGTAGAGAAGGGGTTTCACCACGTTGGCCAGGCTGGTCTCTTGACCAGGCTGGTCTCGAACTCCTGACTTCATGATCCACCTGCCTCGGCCCTCCCAAAGTGCGGGGATTACAGGCTGAGCCACTGCGCCTGGCTGCCCACTGCTCTTTCAATTCCTGCCAGATCTTCCCTTTAAACTCCTCCGTCTGAAGCCAGGCAGATGTGAAATTCCGTGGCTAAGAGCACCAATCTCTTCTGCAGAACACCTATATCATCAAACTAGAGACTCAGGGGCTCCAATCTGTCCTTTTCCACGTCACATCCAGATTTCATTTCTGACTGTCTGCCTGCCACAGGCAGAGGCAACAGCCCTCAACAGACTTCCTAACCAGTGCCTTCTCAGGATTTCTTAACTGTTCTCTCATCTCCCAAATATCCTGCCCTAGGCCTTCAGTTGCCCAGTCTCTCCCACAATTGTAGCTCTCTCTGATAAATCGCACAATCCATATCATTCACTCACCCCGGTCAGACCATAATTCATTTACCACTTCTCCTTACCAATCTCTCTCTGTCCAACCTGTCCATCACTTCAAGACTCACTTTAAATACAACTTCCTTATAAAGCCCTTCCTGAGTTACACAATTGTCTTTCCTCTGAAATACAAAAATGTTTTATTACCTTATATATCTTTTCAAAGTACATTATGTATTCTCATGCTATTTGAAATACTGTATAAATTGTATTATAAACCCCTGTGTATGTTTTATCTTTCAGTTGTGTTTGTGTATTTGCTTTTTTAATTCTCTATATCTCACCAGTGTCTTGCCTACAGAAGTTTCTCAGAAAATGCTTATTGTCCAAAAGAGTAAATGAATTATCCCTACCAAGCCTCCCTTTTTATTAACGCAGGCAACTGAAACCCAGTGTTACTATGTGTGGTATCACCTTATATGAAGACTGTTTCTATAGCAGCCATAACTTTTAACTTCCTTACCTTGGAAAAGAGTCTCTCTAGTCCACATTCAAAGCTATGTATTCTTATTATATGCCCGGTCCAACAAATTCATTACCCAGCTTCCTAGTCTGCAGTAAAGTAGAAACTGTTAATTGTATGGGGAATGGAGAGCCAGACATGCCAAAAGCAATGAGAATTAGCAGACAATAAGAGAGAGAAAGGCCAGCAAATTTATGAAAATCAGACTACACAAATTTAACAGTATATCAGTCTGGGACCATTTAGTATACAAGTAAATGATCTCACCTCAATAAATTCCAAAGGAATTACAGTCCACTCCAATTAGCTGTGCTGCATAACTAAGATTAAGTAATGCTCCATATTTTAGAATAATCTCCTTCTGAAATTATTCTTAAAGCAAACATTTAAGAAGAAAGGTATATATTGAAACTTGCCATTTAAAAAAATCCTGCAGCAGTTCCCATTCTCAGAGAGAGAAAGATGAAAAAGGAAATGCATTTATTTTCTTATGTATTCATTCAGCAAATATATAGTGAGTGCCAATTATGAATCAGGCACCATTCTCGTGTGTGTGTGTGTGTGTGTGTGTGTGTGTGTGTGTGTGTGTGTAGACCTTTCCTTAAAATAATTTATCAAATAGTGTCAGGAATATCGAAACATCTGAACTTTACTTGGAAAATGTAGAAGGATAAAAGTTACACCTTTTAAACATCCCATAACAAGACCAAAAGCAAAAAAAAAAAAAAAAAAATGTAAACAAGCACCATATTGGTTCCCTACAAAGAAGCAAACAAATGTAATCCACAAAATAGAACTCAGCTCATTGGTACCAGCTTCTTCCAGGTCAAAGTAAACTGTCAACTGGAATGAAACTTCCTGCCTTCCACATGCAACCTTTGCCTCATTTCTCTGCCAAATGTGTCTTCACTGCAGGGGAGGTCCCTGGAGACTCCAGAGGTGTTGCAACGCTGCAAAATTTGCTTTCAAAGAAAAATGTGGCAAAACACAAGAAATATTTGATTTTATCACCACAGCCCTGCAAAACACACGTAGAGGCAAGCATGTCAAGCATGTCACTTTTTATTTTTATTTTTTAGTTGTAAATTTGGTTTACGACTAAAATTTGTACATGGCTGCAGTAAGGATTGAATGAGATAATGAAACTAAGACATTCAGCACAGCTCCTGGTACACAAGAGGCACAGGATCAATATTAGGTCCTAAACCTCCAGCAAGTTCTGTAAATTAACCTCATTAAGTGTTATCTGGGGCAAAACTTTAGTCTTCTGCTGTTTTTTCCTTGTCACCCAAAATGCTCTGGGATCATCGCTGGAATACAAAGTAACTTTCCAGCAAGGTAGATCCAGGCTAGGGAGATAGACAGGCAAGGTTGGAAGTGCTGCCTTTAGCTATGTCAGATGTATGGAGGAAAAAAGCGTGGTCACACAGCACCTTTTGCTCTCATGCTGTTCTCCAGAACTGGCCTTCCTTCCTATAAGAGGGCCTTTCAGAATCCACACTGCATGCCCTGCTGAGGGCAGGATGCCAGGATGAGCCCTGGAACAAAATTAACATCACTGATTATATGATTGAATCTTTGGCTTTGATTTTTAAAAGAAAGTTAATAAAACAAGCACAACTAAAAAACTGCCTGGTACATAATTGTAATCATGTTTGAGGAGGTTATTTTAGTTCAAAAAATAATAAAAACAGTTCAGATAGACTCAGCTCTAATTATGTTCCAGGAACTGTGCTAAGTGCTTTACATGCACACTTCATGTAATCCTCACAATGGCCCTACATTTGTGCCAACAACATAGATGAAGAAAGAGGTTTAGAGATGTTAGTAATTTTACCATATCACAGAGGTAGTGAGTACCTTCTGCTACCTAGGTTGCCTCAGTCTAAAACCCACGTTTTTATCACTATTTGCTAATGAAATGATACAACTTGAAAGAATAGGTCACAGATTAATTCACTGATTCAATACGCTTATTGAACTATTCCTTCATATAAGGCACCACAAAGTAAGTGGGACAAATAGAGGTGAATAAATGTGCAGGTTTACTTTTTACAATCAAAGAGCAGAATAGTATAATGATTAAGCTTGCTCAATTTCCAATATTGACACTACCACTGATCAACTCTGTGATTCCGGGTCTCAGTTTTGTCTTGTGTAAAATGGTGATTATAACTTCACCTGCCACATACGGTTATTCCGAGACTTCAAAAAGAAATTATTTATAGAAAATTTGAAATGGAGTCTGGCATATGTTATCAAGCTATTTTAAACTCATATTATGAAGAGGCATGTATGAGATTATATGTGCACGGGCCCAGTAAACACATCACGGAAGAGATGACCTGTAAGCTACTTCTTCAAGAGTTAGGTACCATTTAAATTTGTAGAGTCAGAAAGAAGAAATTGATCTTGTATGGAATTTAATTTGCCTTTCACATGCTTACTCTTCACTACGACAGATTTCAGAAACTGGTAGCTAAAGTTTCCTAAGGAAATAGCTCTAGGTTCAGTGTTTTGGGGAATTGATTACATAAAACACCTACACAAGAACTGTAAAATTTCCAGCTGAATTGAATTGAGCAATAGTGCATACATTTCCATCCATTACTTAATGCATTTGGAAATAAGAATGGTATCATTTGAGAAAAAGCAAAGCCACATCTAGAATATATAGGTTTTCCCTATTTTAGCTGGGTTTTTGTTTTCCCTTTTGAAATGTTCTAATGGGAACGAGAGCCTATGAATGAAACATCAATGAAACCAAATTGTCTTTCTCATCTGTTCATAACAGCCTACATGATGAAATCAGAGCAGTTGGTCTTCTCATCTTATAAATAAGTTCTTCCATTTTCCTTCACTCTCTGTTCAAGGCTCTAAACACCTTTGACCTGCTCATCATCCTGCTTCTGTCTGTTCAGTGACTTCCTGCTACACTTTGCGTAAAATCCAAACTCCTCACCATAGCCTGCAAGACCAGTCTGACCTAGGCCTTGCCTATCTTAGAACCTTATTTCCAGCTCTTCACTGTCTCTTACTTGGCCCACCACCTCAGTGACGACCTCAGGCCTATCGTGGGTCCTTCTCAGGCTTTTGTCTTAGTTCAAATGTCAGTTTCTCGGAGATCACTTCTCTGACTAGTCTACTTAAAAACTGTCCCTCTTCTATGTCCCTCCAATGTTGGTTGCTGTTTTAATCTTAGCCTTTCATTTCTTGTCCTGAAATCACTTCTATTTCTTCTGTTTGTCTGTTGTCTCTTGACTCATATGTACATATTTTCATCTTTCTTCCTATCACTATAGCAACCTAACAAGTAAACACTTCAACACCTCTGTTTCCTCAGGTAGCTTTGAAAAACTCCTAAATATATAGATAAATAGACACTTATTTTTACATACACATATATACATGTACACACATATATATATGTACATAGACATAAATTATTACTTCAATATTTAAATATATACTCAACACTCCAAAAATACACACATACACTTATATATACATATGTATATGTATGTGTGTAAATGTGTATATATATGTGTGTATATGCGCATATATGTATGTCAAATTTTATTTGAATATTACATGTATAATTTACTGTCTTATCCGGTTCTATCTCTTTCTACTTCTTGGGGACAAATAATCACACTAACATCTATCCATATACTTATTTATGTATCATTGCCTCCTTATTGGCCATTTGCTATTTGCTAGAAACTATTCTAGGCACTTGGGATACAGCAATAAGCAAATCAAGTGTCCCTGTCCTTGTGGACTTTATAATCTACTGGAGGTGAAATAAAAAATAAGAAATGAGGAAAGGATTTCCTATTCAATAAATAATGCTGGGGTAACTGGCTAGCCATATGAAGAAGATTGAAATTGAACCCCTTCCTTACATCATACGTAAAAATTAACTCAGGATGGATTAAAGACTTAAAACCCTGGAAGACAACCTAGGCAGTGCCATTCTGGACATAGGAATGGGCAAAGATTTTTCATAATGAAGACACGAAAAGCAGTTGCAACAAAAGCAAATATTGACAAATAGGATCTAATTAAAGAGCTTGTGCACAACAAAAGAAATGATCAACAGAGCAAAGAGAAAACCTACAGAATGGGAGAAAAATTTTGCAAACTATGCTTCTGACAAAGGTCTAATATCCAGCATCTAGAAGGAACCTAAACAAATTTACAAGAAAAAACAACCTATTTAGAAAAAATGAGCAAAGGACATGAACAGACCCTTTCCAAAGACATACATGAAACCAGCAAGCATATGAATAAAACATCACTAATCATTAGAGAAATTCAAATCAAAACTACAACGAGATACCATCTCACACCAGTCAGAATGGCTACTATTAAAAAGTCAGAAAATAACAGATGCTGGCAAGGTTGCAGAGAAAAAGGAACACTATACACTGTTGCTGGGAGTACAAATCAGTTCAACCATTGTGGAAGACAGTGTGGCAATTCCTCAAAGACCTACAAAAAGAAATACCACTCAACCCAGCAATCTCATTACTGGGTATACACCCAAAGGAATATAAATTATTCTATTATAAAGACATATGCATGTGTATGTTCACTGAGCACTATTCACAATAGCAAAGACATGAAATCAACCTAAATGCCCGTCATTGGTACACTGGATAAAGAAAATATGGTACATATACACCGTGGAATACTATGCAGCCATAAAAAGGAATGAGATTATGTCCTTTACCGAAACATGGATAGAGCTGGGGACCATTATCCTTAGCAAACTAAGAGAGGAACAGAAAACCTAATCCTGCATGTTCTCACTTAGAATTGGGAGCTAAATGAGAACACATGAACACATAAAGGAAAACAACACACACTGGGGCCCATTGGAGGGTGATAGGTGGGAGGAGGGAGAGAATCAGGAAAAATTACTAATGGGTGCTAGGCTTAATACCTGGGCAATGAAATAATCTGTATAACAAATCCCCACGACACAAGGTTACCTATGTAACAAACCTGCACATGTACCCCTGAATTTAAAATAAAAGTTAAATTTTAAAAATAGACTAAATAAAATAATAAAATAGTATGTGTAAGCTTATAAGGTACCAAATGCCACAGAATAAAGGAAAAATAAGAGTAGGGTAAGGGAGATCAGGATTTCAGAGAGCAAGCAGCCCTATTCCTGCTTCCCCTACCCCAACCCATGCAAATTCAAGCAATCCAAGTAGGCTTCCCTGAGGAGATATTGAAAAAGACTTTAAGCAAATGAAAGAGTTAGCCAAGTAGTTATCTAGGACATTTAGTTAGAGAGGAAATAAAATGTAAGTTAAACAAAGTCATGCAAGGTATTTCAAAGACTGGCTTATACAGTAAGTAAAACTGTGTTTTAGGCACTTCATATGTATCAAATTACTTACTTCTCCCCACAACCCAATGAGTAACATAGAAAAGTTAAATAACTTCCTTAGGTTTACACTGAGGGAGCAGAATTTGAATCCAAATTCAAACCCCTACAATATCCTGCCTCTGAGTACTGAAAATTCTAATCCAGTGATTCTTAGATTTCAGTGCAGATATCCTAGATATCTGCTCATTTCAGAAGGTATCCACATGATTCTGTTGTGAAAGATCCATGCACTGCAATTTATCACTGGTCTAATTCCTCCTACACATGAAAGATTCTGAGATATTTTAAGGTAAATATTACATTCATTTCCTATCCTTTGCCATCCCAATTGTTTGCCAAATTGTGGCACATTCTTAGACCAGCTGGGGCATCTACTTGATATACTCCCCCTCTCCATCTGAGATTCATCAAATGAGAGAGGCTTTGGGTAAACAGCAGCACTGAATGAAGAGGAAGGAATGAATATTTACTGAGTGCCTTCTAGGTGCCAGCTATTAAAAGCTAGAGGCTTAATATATTTTTTCTTACTTGAACCTTATTAATAAATAGAGATAGATAGATAGATAGATAGATAGATAGATAGATAGATAGATACATAGATACATAGATAGATACATAGAAAGATACATAGATAATAGGAAGGAAGGAAGAGGAACGAAGGGAGGGAGGGAGGAAGGAAGGAAGGAAGGAAGGAAGGAAGGAAGGAAGGAAGGAAGGAAGGAAGCAAAGGAAGGCAGGCATGTTTATTACCATTTTACAGGTGAGAAAACTAAGTCTGGACAGGCTAGGCATGCAGTATCTAGAATTCAAACCCAGCCTGATTCCGAAGCTCAGCCTACTTCTTACGATCTACTCTATTCATTCAATCTGCTGCCCCCACCACTGTCTCACTCTGTAATTGGGAAACTGAAGTATAATCTTCCAGAAAAGTGCTACTTAGTGTGTATTACCATTCTCAAGTCTCCATCATTTCTATAAACAGAAAGAACTCACATTTTAATGAGAGTCAAGCCTCTTCTGTGGGCACTAAGAGCTCAAAAGAAGAAAGCAGAAAATGTGTACTCAACGCTAGAATCCAAACTAAAGCAAAATATTTTCTCCTTTATTTTGTTGTAGAAAACTATGGAGATTAACGGTGATACAGAACTTGCTTTTTTTTTAAGAAAGGCTCTATTATCATTTCCCAAATATTAAATGTCCATGTGCCTAACCGAGTCATCTACTTTTTCTTCCCATCCCCAAACCTGGGTCCTGAAGGGGATGGGGCAGATGGGGAATGATCTGTAGGTCAGAGTAATGTGGCAGAATCACATCCTTAAGGACATAAAGGGTTCTTTATGGATCTGACTCTCCGTGCAGTACCCGGTTGTAATTCTCACCGAGGCCAATGAGATACCTCCTAAGACATTGTTCTACAGTCACAGATTTATAAAACACTCTACCTTAGACATAATATTTTCCAAATTGCTCATTTTCGGGGTGAAAGCAAGGAGTCTGGAGAAGGAAACGCAACTAACCAGGACCAGGGCTGATTGACTGAGGAAAAAAAAAAAAAATGACATAATCTTGGAGTTAGAAAACTAGGGTCCAAGTCCCAGTTCTACTATTTATTAGCTGCTTGGCTGTAGTAAATATGTAGCCCCTTTGAGACTCATGATGTAAAACATTAGCAACACCTGCCCTGATTACCTCAGAATTATTGCAAAAAAAAAATGTTACATGTGTATACATTTGCATATACAATAACAAGCATTTTGACGACTTAAAGTTCTATATTAAAAAAAAGCTGTTATTATTTCAACCTGGATCTTTCTTTTTCTAATTTAGTATCCATCTGGGCATGCAATGGAACAATTCTCATTGCTGTTGTTAATTGTAATAGAGGTTAAAATCCCTATGCATAAGCCTCTTGACAAATGTCATGGCATATGATTGACACTTACCAAAGGCCTGACAAGATGGGTTTTATTATCCCCATTTTACAGATCATAAAAATAAGGCAAAGATAGACCAAATAATTCGGCCAAAGTCAAACCCAGGCAGATCAGTTTGACATCAATGTCCACTATATTATGGAAACACAATTTTAAGTTGCCATAGCATCTAACCATACTGGCGTTAAGAAACTGCTATCAACGAAAGGAACATTTCCAGACATAATGCTTATAAAATGACTGCTTCTCATTTCTCTTGCCATTAGCATTGATTGGCAGAGGAGGAAGCCGTGTAATCATGAGGACTTTTGTGCCAGAAAGGTAGAAATCACAAGCATCTGCTGGATATAAACTAGACATAAAAGGTTACCTGTTCTCATGTTCAACAGAAAATAATAGTTGAAGTGATGTAAATTCTTCAATGCTTTTAGAAATCTTGAGATCGAAGCTCATTGCAGCTGCCCACTTCAATGGAAACTTCCTACTTTCTCTCTGGCAATTTATTTATGATACTTGACACTGGTCTTGCTGTCAATATATGCAAACGGGCACTTCAGCATCATCCTTCACCGTGTTTTCTGCAAAATGCCCTTTATTATTAGGACAGAAATGGGTTTTCCCATCATTGAGCTAGTAATGTCTAACTTTCTTGGAGCCTATGACTCCTTATCATTGTCTGATTTTGTGACCACAAAATTAAAGGAAATTAAAACTACTTTATTAGTCTGTAGAGGCAAACTTTGACACAACTAATACTATTGATAAAGCACGAGAAATCCAGAAAGTCAATTTTGGGCCCACTGACATAATATGAACCCATCATCCGTTCAATTTTGCCCTTCTTATGTATGAGTCACTGTGCTAGGCACAGGGCAGAATAAACCATATCCTCAGCAGATATTTTAAGGTAAATATCACATTCATTTCCTATCCTTTACCATCCCAATTGCTTGCCAAACTGTGGCACATTCTCTTAGACCAGCTGGGGCATCTACTCAATATACTCCCCCTCTCCATCTGAGATTCATTAAATGAGTAATGATTTGGGTAAACAGCAGTGCTGAATGATGAGGAAGGAATGAATATTTACCAAGTCCCTTCTAGGTGCCAACTATTAAGAGCCAGGGGCTTAATATGCTCTATCTTTCTTTAATTTCACTAATAAATAGAGCTAGATAGAAAGATGATTGACACACAGATTAGATAGAGACATTTGTAAGTCTCTCAGCTGATGGCATAGCTTATTCTGTCCTGTGCCCAATGGGGATGAACAAAAACAAAAGCACAAATTACAAATTCCAGGACCACAGTAAAAAAAATAATAATAATAACAATAGAGATAGAAGATGTTATATGCATTTAAAAGGGGTTTTGTGAGCTGGAGAGAATCAAGAAAGGATTGGAGCAGTATGTTTGGAAAGGAAAGAGTAGAAGAAGAGGAGAAGACAGAAGCTGAGGTAGTGTGATGTGAGGATACAGAGATGGGGCATTTACGAATCTGGTTATATGAGTTTCCAAATTTCATGGTGTGGTATCTAGTAAATATGCTGTAGTGGACCAAAAGGCTTTGCACTCAGGCACACGCAGGTTCCAATCTTTACTAATTAGGAAACCTTGGGCAAGTCTATAAGTCTCTCTGAGCCTCAGTTCTTTCATTTGTAAAAGGCAAATAATAATATATATCTGAGAGTTATTTTTATGTTTAAATGAAATGACAAAAGTACATGTGCCGATGAAATGCTGATTTCTCTTGCTCATCTTTGTTTGTTCAGAAAAATACATCTCCAGGGAATAAAACAATAAGAGTATTTTCTTTTTACTCCCCTTTCTCCATTTTAGCTTTAACTTTTGCAAATAGATGTGATTACAGAATCTCAAAGTTGAAAGGAATCTTAAAGATACACAATGCGTTATAGCAGAAGAAATTTAGAGATCATCTAGTTCAGCTCTCCCACATTTTAGGTCCAAAGGTAAAGATATTTCTCAGTCACAGGCAAGGTAGTACCGGGATGAGGATGTAGGATGATGATTGGGTAGGTCATTGGTCTTAGTCTAAGTCCTCAGTTCTAGTCCAGAGGTGGGACAATTGGAAGTTCTTCCTAACTCTAGAATAAAATGCGTAGATGAGTCTCAGCATCATGTCTTGCTTTGTGCTGTTACACAGGCTGATATGGTTTGGCTCTGTGTCCCCACCCAAATCTCATCTTGTAGCTCCCATAATTCCCACATGTTGTGGGAGGGACCCAGTGGGAGATGATTGAATCATGTGGGGTAGGTCTGTCCCATGCTATTCTCGTGATAGTGAATGGGTCTCACAAGATCAGATAGTTTTCAAAATGAGAGTTTCTCTGCACAAGTTCTCTTTTTTGGCCTGCTGCCATCCACGTAAGATGTGACTTGCTCCTCCTTGACTTCCGCCATGATTGTCAGGCCTCCCCAGCCATGTGGAACTATAAGTCCAATGAACCTCTTTCTTTTGCAAACTGCCCAGTCTTGGGTCTGTCTTTATCAGCAGCATGAACACAGACTAATACATAGGCCATGCTACGTAACTCTATGAGCCTCGGTTTCCTAAAAAAATATACAGGATTATTGTGAGGATTGAATGAGATGATATATTTAAGATACTCAGCACAAATAATGATGGAGACAAGTAAAGAGTACCTGTTAAATTATGATGATCGTAATTTAACAGACTAATACATTGAAGGAGTTGTTAGCAGAGGACAGAATCAGTGTTTATTAAATGTTTTCTATGAATAAGATGTTGAAATAAATAGGGACTTAAGCTTCTAAGCAGGCATCAGTGTCCCTATTTCCTAGCTGCAGAGCCAAAAGATCATCTCTATAGAATAACTTGCCTCAGATTTCAGCCAGACTCTCAAAATCCACACTACCACAGCTGCTACAGAGAGTTAGAATAAAGTCAGACCAAAGGGATGTCTCCTAACAACCCTATCAGTGTAAACCATGCATTATCATTTAAAAAAAAAAAAAAGGCAGCAAATGAATGGCTAACCTGAATTTATCCACCGAAATATCACTTACCAAATGTTCTGTAACCTTCCTATTCTTTGGTGTTTCTTTTTTCTTTTCTTCTTCTTTTTTTTCCATGCAGAACAATTTCCAAAATGGGCAAAGAGCACAGTAGGTGGCTCTCTTTAATATTTCATGGGCAAGGCAACAGTGACTCACCAGATCCTACATCTGTGTCACCAGCAAAAGCCTGATGAAGTTGAGCAACAAATGAAGCTGTGTATAGGCTGGAGATAATCTTTGTTTTTTTCTACGTCCTCTGATTTCCTCAAGCCACATTCTGCTTTCCTAACCGTGCCAGGTAAGATGATGCTAACTGCTTACCTATAGGAGCAAACATATGCTCCAAAATGCCAAAAGCAAGGAGCAAAATGTTCCTTCTACATCTGCGTTTGCAAGCCTGTGTGCTTGCTACAAAGAAGAGAAATCTAATGGCCTATGAGAAGTCTCAGCAGATGAACAGCCCCACTGCCTGGGCCAGAAACAGATCCCTTCATCTTCCAACATGAGCCTCCAGCCATCACTTTCCACAAGGAGGAGTGAAACTCCAGACAAGTAATCAGCACCACCAGGAAGCAGTGGTCTCTTTCTGCAAATGCCACCTTTGCACATTATTCTGTCTACTCTACTCAGTACCCACAAAATTGTCAAAAAAAAAAGTTGAATAATGCCATGGACACTCATAACATTTGTTGTTCAATCTTCTTCCCAGCCTTTGAACTAGCATGAGGATGGCAGAGGGAAGAAACCACTCACAACAGGAAGAAAAGAGTGATATAATTCTGTACTTTATGTCTTCTTAGTTAGTACCCTTTCTCTTAGGAATCAAAGGTGTATTACATCCAACACAGGAGAGTAGGAAGGTTGTCTTAGAGACCATTGCTTTAAATACCCTCTTATGACAGTTGGCTCCACTAAACTCTACAGAACTGTGCTTAAGGATTGTTCTCTTTGCAAGAAAATACCTGCTTTTCAACAAAAAGGATATCCTGAAATAACCAGACAAATAAGGTCAACTTTATAACTGAAGTAAATTGTTAAATATCTCATTGGCGAGGAAACAGAGTGTGATGGGAAATGCCCTAAACTAGACATGAAAAGGTGTGAACTGTATTCCCAGAGTTGAAACATACTAACACATGACCTCTAGCAACTTTTCATTTCTCTGAGTCTCATTCCAGTTATGTTCTAAATAAATTGAGACTAGCTAAGAAGAGATATCATTTAATGAGCACCTATTCACTACATGTACTTGACATTATTCTATTGAATTTATTCGTTATACAGATTTTTAAAGTAAGCATTTTTTTTTTCCATTTTAGAACTGGATAAAACAGAAACTTCAAATGATTAAATAAACTGCTCAATATCACCCAACTACTCAGGCATGAGAGCTGGAATTTGAAATCAAGTAGGTCTGACCACAAAACCTGGGCTCCTTCCTCTATTAATATTCTTGCCATGTCCTCCCAGGGCTATTGTGAGTAACAAGGAGTATCATATATACAGAATGCACTTTGGAAATTTTAAAGTTCTATACATATATATGGTTTTGGTAACAAGTAATAATCTGTATGAAGATATGGGTATAATTGACCAACCTTTCTTTGAAGAATCAGAACCAAAGGAATTAGCTTTTAATCTCCCTTCCATCCTCATGATCTGACCTTATTTTGAACATTTTCCTTTTCCCCCACAAGGCCCCTGTCTCTCAGGCACACATTCAGTCATATCCCAGCCAGCTCACCACAATGCATGTACATGGAACAAGCTGATAGAAGCAGGTGATCCCATCCTTTACTAATGCTTGGTGCGGGAGGTACTTAAGTGGGCACCACTGGGCTCTTATCTTCCATCAAGATGTATCACACTCTGTTCTCAAGCACTTACCAATACTGCATACAAATGCTATGGCCTGTGAAGGAGGCAGCCAACTACAAATGCTGGACACTCAATTTAAGGACGCATGGCAAAGCCAGTAGATAGTAGTAAATTATTGCATGAAGTTCATCAGAATAAAATCAATTGTCATGAGAAGGGTTAAGGGTGTGGGAGGGAATCCATTTAACTTTAAAATACCAATAATACAGGAAGACTAGTGTGGGCATGTGAATGTCTGTGTGTTCGTGTTTAAATAAGGCAAGTTTGTGTCCAGAAAGGTTTGCATTTAGCAGCATCTCTGTACAATCCAAAAGAAATATATGAGAATTTTGTTTGTTTTCTGATACTAGATGAAAAATGTAAGGTTGCTCGACTGACCTAAGAGAGCAAGGATAGAAGGCTTAGAATAATCTGTAACACAGCTGCAACTTCCAACTTTGTCTTCTTGTCTTTCTGCCTCTCACCCATTTCAAGACCCTCTTTGTCAATAAAGGATGTCTCAGATCAGGGCAGTTCACAGGCCTGAGGTTTGACCTAAAAACTAGTAGGAAATTCATATCACCGAGAAACATCAATTTTACATTTCGAGCTAAGCATCCATGATCCACATCACATATGGACAACATTCAGAAAATTCTTATTATAAAAGAGTTGCTCAAATTCAAAAGAAGAAAGACACCACATTTACAGATTTTTTTAAAATGCCTCTGTAAGATGGTATGAAATCACCTTTCTGAAAACCCACTGTCTGCAAGGTTACTATGTAACAATATTTACAATAGTTGCCATTGGTTTTGAACCAACCAGATGCCAGGCCAGGCACTGTGCTAAACATGCTACTTGAATGATCCCATTTCATCCTTCCAACTACCCAAAGGGCTCATTGTGACCATTATAAATCTCCATTTTTTGGCTGGAAAAAAAAAAAAGGAAGAAAGAAAGAAAAGAAAAACCCAGTATCGGAAAGGTGAGATAACTTGCCCAAGTTCACACTGCTAATACATGGAAGAGCTGGAGTCAAAACTCAAGTCCTCTTTCTCATCCAGTAGCTAAACCAGGGATCTGTACAGCAGAGCAGCAGAATGCTTCGCGTGGCGCCCTGGTTCACAATTTCACAACCAGAAGGTGGAGGGAAGACAGGCTGTGGGCTAGCTCTTAAAGGAAACAGCCGAAGTTTGCTTTTATGTTTGTGATTTTCTCTTTAACTCAGCTTCCTTGCTCCCTCTCAGTATTTAGAAGAGGGAAGGGGCTCTATGGTTCCATGAAGTCAGCTCTTCCCAAGTGAGGGGCACCCTGTGCCCCACAGGGCCACTAGCTCCGCTTCCTCCGGGGCTGGGAAGAAACAGTACCATAGGAGGTCACTGGCGCCCGGGCCTCGCTCCTCTCTCCCCGCGCTCCTCCAGAAGCTGGTCCGACACCCTCTGAAGGGGCATCTTTCTGAGAAAGCAGGTCAGGGGAAGAGGGAGTGAGGCTGCAAGCAGCATTTTCCCAGGCTGTCACAGCTCTGCGCTGAGAGCGACGTGATACCGAGTGGGCGTGCTGGGACACACCGCTTCCTTCTGTCCTCGGCGCTTCCAGCAGCGGTCTGGAGAAACCAAGGAGGAGATGGGGGCGGGGGGTGGTAGCGGGGAGGGGGCGGTGAGGAGGAAAACAAGGGTAGACCCCTCAAAGGGCTGAGGATGGGGGCGGCAACGAGCAGACGTCCCACAACCGCGTTACTTAAATCCCTGCAAAGCAAAGATGGGTCTCTGAACGTTTGGGTTCGAATCCGGGCTCCAGTCCTAACTAGCAGTATGACCTATCCCAGCCGCTGCCTCGTTCTGTGCCTCAGTTTCCTCTTCTGTAAAGTAGGAGGGTTTAACGATAGGATCTCTAAGAATCCGTCTACCCTGAGATTCTGCGGCTTGGTGACTTCTGAGCCCTCACGGCGGCGCGAGACTCACCTTTCTTGGGAAGCTGAGAGGGCGCAGCAAAAGCAGCCGGGATGGGTGCAGTGTCGCCGGGCACTGCTTCCTTCCGCGCCTCTGGCCAAAGCGGACCCCGGAGACCTGGATCCCGGCAGTCTTCCCCAGTGAGCCTCTTACTTTCCGCCGCACTTTCTTTTCCCCCTTTGGGGCTCCTCCCCCGGAGCGGCGCGATTGGCCACGGCCTCACGGCTCAGGCTCCACCCGCCGCCTTGGCTCGCGATCCACCGGCGCTCTGGGCTTCCAGGAGCTGCGGCCGCGGGGCGGCGTCCTGGACGGTCCCGCCCGCCGCCAGGAGGCGCGGCGCCGGGCCCGCCTGCGGACGGATGCAAGGCTGCGCTCGGCCCCTTCGGCTCCCTGCCACCGCCTGTGCGGGCTTGAGCGCGCGGGGAAAGGAGAGGGTTAGTCCTGCAGCGCAGCTCGGCACGCTGCCAGGCGCTGTGGGAAGCTACGCCCCTCACTACACACCGAGGCGCACACATGCGCTCATTGCAAGATCGTGCTCTCGCAGTTGAGATCGGTGCCACCCTGCCCTTTCTTCCTGTCTCGACGTATTTAGCAATCATGCTGCAAGGCCTTGAATCAATTCAGACTGCACGATTTTCGCAACCACCCTGTGCCGGCACAGAGCGCGGCAGGATGTAGATGCGATCTCCGCAGTCCTGAGCTCTTGCTGTCTTGAACTGACATTCATATGAGCAAGCAACAGGACATGACAGCAAGACTAAATCTGTATTGTCCACTGGTAATATACCCATTGCCTAGCACAGTGCCTGGCACAAAGTAGGCACTCAATACATGTATGGGGAACGAATAAAAGAACTAATAGGTTACATAGAAGGAAATAATCTCAAAACAAATATTTGCCTTCATTCATTTCCATTTCCCCAAGTTTTTGCAAGAGCCTTCCTTCAGCTGCCCTCTGCCACTGTAGATGGTAGTCTGTAATATATCCCGGGAAGCGTTATAAAGGCTTTCATTAAGTCATCTCTCTTGTTCAGGCACCTTCTGCTGTGTTCCTACTGCTAGTGCCTCATGATTTTTCCTGACTGGCAAGGCCCTTCATGACCTGTCCCCATTTCTGAAACCCCCTAACCAAAGCCACCTACCAGACTGACGAGTCTTCGCACATCTTCTTGCTCATCACATCTTCTTTTCTCCTCCTCCTACCTAACTGAATCCTACTAATTTATTTTCAAGAATCAAGATTCAGAGAAAGCATTTAAGGAAAAGGAGAAAAAAGATGTGAAATAAGAAAAGGGCCCAGGTGAGTGGGAAGGAAATGAAACCAGCAGGTGCCCGTGCTGCTAAAGGTGCACAGCAGTACGAAACTCAGAGGCTGCCCCTGCCCTGGCGGAGCTTCAGTTCCTAAGGTGAAATATCAGTGTAATTGGAGCCATAGAAATGTTCATGATACTTTACTTCTTGACATCACTTATGAAAATTAATTGCTCAAAATTTTTATTTATCTCAGGATACCTGGGACCCAGCACCTGCTCACAACATTGTCACTGAACCAAAGAGAAAATAATCCAAAAGAATTTAAAATGTTACCTGTATGAAGCAACAATAAAACATTTTCTGATTTATTATTCATTCCTTAAATATATTCTGGGCACAGACTTTTATATATATATAGTACACTGAAGCATTTACACAGTGCTTACAAAATAAAAAGGTGCAATCATAAGGACTTTGTGTATATTAATTCAGGTAACCCTCAATACAACCTGGAGGGTGCTATTATTATCTCCAGTTCATAAAGGAGATAAAGGGAATTTAAATAACTTGACCAAGGCTACAGGCCTACAAGTGGAGAATACAAAATGAGACTAGAGACACTCGACGTTCATGCTCTCAGCCGCTACTCAGTCTCATGTACTACCTAGAAGCCAAACAGATGCTAGTAATTCAGAATTGAACCAGATGTATATTCCCGGACATTGAAGGGCTACTCATAGCTTAAGGAAGATAACATTAAGATGAATAATCATATAGACAAATATTCATAGTATATTGTAGTTTGAACACAATATAAATGGTTGGAAATGAAAATGATTAGTTAACCAACGCTGTCTACGCACAGAATAAAATATTTGCATCATAACTATCATATTATGGAAATATGTCTACAAAGAAAAAGGCTTACAAAATAAGGTTGAGTAAAAGTTGTGGAGAGATGAACACCAATTGAAAGGAATGTGAAAAAATGTTGATATGTTAGGATTACAGAAATAGAAACATCTCTTTTTCCTTTTACATTTAAGTGAAATAAACCAAGCACAGAAAGACAAATTTTGCAAATTCTCACTCACACGTGGGAGCTAAAAATTAAACAAAGGAACTGAGATATGAGAGTAGAATGATGGTTACCAGAGGCTGGGAAGAGTAGCAGAGGCAAGGGAGTTGTGGGGAAGGGAGGATGGTTAACGGTTGCAAAAATATAATTAGCTGGAATGTATAAGACCCAGCACTTGATAGCACAACAGAGTGACTACAGTCAACAATAATTAATTATGCATTTTAAAATAAGTAAGAGTGAAATTGGAATGTTCCTCAAAGAAGTGACAAATGGTCAAGGTGATGACACCCTGTTGTCATTACCCTGATGTGATTATTACACATTGTATGCATGTATCAAAACATCACATGTCACCCATACATATATACACCTATTATGTACCCGTAATAATTAAAAATGAAAAAATGTTATGCTAACAATTGAGAAAAATATTTTAAAGCTATACCCATTAAATATCCATCACATACTAAACATTTGATGAATAATAGTTGCCTAAATGAATAAATGAAGCTACAAATTCATTGATGTCAGTGACTAATACTGCTGGATGTATAGAAGATGCACAATAAAATATTTTGCAATTGATTGATGTATTTGGAAAGGTATTATTATTCTCTTCTTCTCCCAGCTTTTACCCTCCACCTTTTTTTTAGGTTATCTTTAATTATCTTGCTGTAGCTGTAAGACGCATCAGGAGTTTGCTAGTCTCTTGAACCCAATCCATTCAGACATTTATCTCTACCACTCCACAGTCAGCATCTGTAATGATCTTCACTTTGCCAAATGTGGTGATCAATTCTCTGTCTTCATTGTACATGTATCAGCAGCATTAGACACAGATAATCTGTTGCTCTTTCACACTCTCTCGTACTTGACTCTTTGTTTTTCATGTATTTCATCTGCTGTTCCTTATCAGATTCTTATTGAATCCTCTACCTCTTCATGATCTCTGAAGGTTCCAGTGTCCTAGAGCTCAATCCTTGAAGTGGTTATATTCTCTACCTAGGGGAACTCAGACAGACACATGGCCTTCTAAAATATCAATATGATAATAACTTGCAAATCTAAATCTAAAGCCCAAACCAGACTTTGTATACCATATTACCTCCTTCATATCTCCTTCTTGGATGTTTTAAATACATCTCAAACTTTACATGTTCAAATTCAAACTTTATTTCTGCCCCACACCAAACCAGAGCTTTGTAAGCAACACTGTCTTTTACCCAGTTGCTCAGGTCAAAAAGTTGGAGTTATCACTCTCTCTCATTGCCTGTACACATTATATCCACAAACCTTCTGCTTCCTCTACATTCAAAACACATCTCAAATCCAACCACGCTATTCCTCTTCTCCATCACAACCACCATGGTTCAAGTCATTGCCATCTCTCCCCTCACTGGTGTCCCTGCTTAAACTCTTACCCAAAGAGTCTATTGCCCTTACTTCAGAGACCCTTATAAATGAAAATAGAATAAATACAGGCTAGTGATTGAGGTCAAGGAATCTGAAGCCCGACTACCTGGGATCAAGTTTACATAATGTGGTCAAGTTACTTAATTTCTTTTTTTCACAGTTTTATTCTCTGAAAAATATGAATAACAATGACAATAATATACATTATAGTGCTGTTTTTAAATTAAATGAGATTATATAAGTAAAACACTTGGCATGGGGATTGGCATGTAGAAATGCAATATAAATATTCATTATTCTTTTACAAGAAATATGTCATTCTCTGCTTTCAAATAGTGATTTCTTATCATGATCAGATAAATTTCCATAGTCATTTATGGCCTAAAAGTCCTTGTGTGGCCCTACATGATCCAGCACTGAGTTGCTTCTTTCAATCTCCCATAGCATGCTCCTTGCTGTCGACCAAACACACTAACATGTTCCCATACTAGGGTGTTTGCACCTGCTGTTCCCCCTTGCTGGACCGCTGTTCCCCTGTTGCTTGTTCTCTCCTCTTACTCACATCTTCATTAATGTCCCTGCTCCACTATAACCTTCCCAGCAAAGCTTTTCCTGACAACCAAGTCAAATAATACATTACGTAACATTTTAATTAATTTACTTATTGAATGCTGTTTTCACTAGAATGCTAACTCCGGGAGGGTAATATAATGTTTCCCTGGCAAACAGACAATATTTTGCACGTAGTACTCATTGAATAAACATTTGTTGAGTTACAATTCAGTCCAAAACTCTCATGGTTAAACTTTGATACAAAGATATTAAGTGACTTATATATCGCCCTCTTCCTTTGATTTACATTTTTTTGGGAGATCAGAATCATTGGAAGACAAAAACTAAAACAACAAATTATATATATATATATGTGTGTGTGTGTGTGTGTGTCTATATATATACGTATATATGTTTAATATATATACATATATATACGTATATATATATACACGTATATATATGTGTATATATTTGGCTGGGTACAGAGTAAAGAAAGCACATTATAGAGACATTTTATTTTGAGCTTTTGGAAGGAAGGTGAAGGGCAGGAGCCAAGAGAAAAGAAAAAAAAAGTGAAAAAAGGAAAAAGTAATTATATCACCTTCCAAACCCTTTTACGTTTCCACCTTTTATACCCCTCAGCTCTTTTCTCCTCCATCCCCAGCTGACCCTTGTACCTGTTCTCTGGGTGTTCACATTTCCCCTCGCAGCACTTAGTTATGCCTGCCCCCACTTCCTCTGTGGTGCCCTGGGTTTCCAAGTCAGGTATCCCTCTTCCTTTTTATTGCATCTGTTTCTGACAAAAGCCTCTCTTCCTTCAGTTTGATTCGGCTAGGTGTAGGGAAATAAGCAGATTAAACAGTAATGATAAGGTGTTGATTACTAAGAGCTCAACTCTACCTTGTTGAAGAGATATGCTAATTTGTTCAAACACATATACCCAACTATTGAAATTCAAGTCGTTTGGAAGAGGAAATTGGAAATTTGACTGTGCAGTGGGAGGCTTCACTCATTTCTTTTCTTTTCCTTTTTTGTTTTTTTTTAGACTGAGTCTCGCTCTGTCGCCCAGGCTAGAGTGCAGTGGTGTGATCTTGGCTCACTGCAACCTGCGCTTCCCAGGTTCAAGTGATTCTCCTCCCTCAGCCTCCAGAGTACCTGGGACTACAGGTGCCCACCACCACTCCCAGCTAATTTTTCTATTTTTAGTAGAGATGAGGTTTCACCATGTTGGCCAGGCTGGTCTCGAATTCCTGACATCAGGTGATCCACCCACCTCGGCCTCTCAAAGTGCTGGGATTACAGGCGTGAGCCACCGCGCCTAGCCAGCTTCACTCATTTCTATCCTTCAGACTCACTACCTGGGTTACATGCAGTCCTGAAAGACAAGAGGGGAAAGGGGAACTTCTGGAACCCTTCCAATCTCTATTTATCTGCATAGGGTTGAAGCTGACTCCCATCACAGGGCACTACTCCCACGTGGAGGTGTCAAAGAGAAACACTGCCTGACGTTAGTTAAAGCCATGAAAACAGATTTTATTTAGTAACTATTGATAGCAGAGGAAACAGCTGAGCTTCATTCCTATTTGTGTAGAGGTTGTTTGGCCTTTTAAATGGAGAATGAGGGAGGTAGCAGAGCAGGATCTCAGTAGAGCCTGAGAAGTGAAATATTACTAAGGGTTTGATCAGTGCAAATGACTAGCTGTGCTAACTGTGACTGCTGCCTGACACTTATTGAAGTTAGAATTCTATTCTCCCACAGAGATTGGGAGACAGAGGCCCCATCTTTCCTGGTTATTACATTTAAAGGAATGGTGCACAGGTCCCTGAGAGAGACACTACTGAGTTGTAAAATATAAGCATTCACAAAAGTAAGCATTTCTAAGTTGATTCTCTAAGAAGAGGAGGTCAAGAGCCTATAATCAGGTATTGGCTAGAGCAAACAGCAACCTCCTGGGAGAGTTGAGCTTTCTCAAGCAGGCGTTTTAATATGGAGCTGGGGTCGTCCTAGGGACATGACCTCATGCTGCTAGAAGCTATGCTAGAGTTTGGTCAAATCATTTAGTGCAGGGCTTTGGATAAAGTTAATATGTTCTTCCTGGCTAACACCGTGAAACCCCGTCTCTACTAAAAATACAAAAAATTAGCCGGGCGTGGTGGCGGGCGACTGTAGTCCCAGCTACTCGGGAGGCTGAGGCAGGAGAATGGCGTGAACCCGGGAGGCGGAGCTTGCAGTGAGCCTAGATCGCGCCACTGCACTCCAGCCTGGGCGACAGAGCCAGACTCCGTCTCAAAAAAAAAAAAAGTTAATATGTTCTGAGAGTTCTGCAGTTCTCAGAGGTCAGTAGATACTTGTAGTAGCAGAATCAGAATCCTATTGTCTGAGTTGCTTCTCCTTTAATGTCTGACTTCCTGGTGATGCTCCTCCAGTGCCACCACAGGGCAATATCAGTGAAGGTGACAGGCAAAGGCATGTTTTCCAAAAGACAGCCTGTCTTCCTGGCCTATGGCCTAAAGCTCCTGGAGGCTGTTAGAAAGGACCTACTTTTCTTTCCTCGTTTTTCTTCTTCCAAACAGAAGCTTTGAAGCAAAGGTCAGGATTTTAATAAAGTCTTGGAGGATGGTTATTATGCATTATTGACACTTTACTACATCAGGAAATTCAAAGGCAAGAACTTTGCATGCAAAAAGGGAAACTTGCCTTTATGGTTCTAACTTGGCCTTGTAAGTAGTTAAGACATTTATCAGCTTCTAGCCTCCAACATCTGATCTAAATGGAAAGAATGTTCTTCATAGAGATACTATCACCTGTATTATTCCATAAGCTAAACCACTACAGTATTTAAGGGCAGACCTAATCTAAATTGGTCACAATCTGGTGAATAACAGCCAATTGGTGCCAGTTAAAATTGTGCTAATATGTGCTTGTTCTCACAGCAGGATGAGTGAACTGTGCCATTCAGTTCTATTTTTTTTGTGCAGCAACAGGAAGACTGAATGATCCACTAGCAGAGAGGCACTTATATTATTCACCTTTGGAGAATAATTTTCAAGTACTCATATGAGATGCAGAGACTTTGTATGATATTCTTTCTCTGCCACCAACATTGAGAAATTTATTTTATCTTTTATTCATACATCTTTTCAAACGTGTTGAACATTTGCTCTACATGGACAGTGTGAGCATTGCTGAGATACAGTAGCCACGGTTCCTTCATTATAGGCCAGAAGAGGAGAGAAGAGAAGAAGATAAAATGTCTACATGGTTGTCAATACAAGGTTGAAATAATATTTCCTCTTCATTGAGCAATTGGCATTGAGCATGTGACAAGCCCTTTAAACATCAATTACTTCTAAACCTCACAATATCCTTAAAAAGTAGAAATTGTTTCTCTACTTTTAGCAATGAGAAAATGGAGTCAGAGAAGCTGATTTATCTAAGGCCACACCACTAGTTAATGTTAAAGCCAGGAGCAAATCCCAGGTCTAACAGAGTCTAAAGGCCATACTTTTCCTATGCTACACTAAGGTCAGTAAGAAAGTTAAAATATAGTAACATCGGGGTATTGAGGAAGGAGTATTCTTTTTTTTGAGGGAGTCTTGCTCTGTCGCCCAGGCTGGAGTGGAATGCCGTGATCTCGGCTCACTGCAACCTCCACCTCCTGGGTTCAAGCAATCCTCCTTCTTCAGCCTCCCTAGTAGGTGGGATTACAGGTGCCTGCCATCATGCCTGGCTAATTTTGTATTTTTAGGAGAGACGGGGTTCACCATGTTGGCCAGGCTGGTCTCTAACTCCTGACCTCAGGTGATTTGTCCAACTCGGCCTCCCAAAGTGCTGGGATTACAGCTGTGAGCCACCACGCCCGGCCAGAAGGAGTACTTCTATTTAGAGCGTATCAAGGAAAGAAAGAGAGAGGGTATCACTAGAAGAAATTAGAAGGAGAGATCGAATTAAGGTTTATGGTGACCAAGGAGGAAGGTGTGAGACGTAATGGGGCAGGGGAAGAGTATGCATCCATTCATCCACTCAGGTACTATTTGTTATAAAAATAAAATAACTGCAGAATAATGTGGTGAGTGCTTTATGAAAGATGGTATGGTACTCCATGTAAGCCCATTGGAAGGTGTTTCACACACCACTGAGAGGAGGGAAGAGTGAAGCAGGGTCAATTTTCCTACTCTAACCAGAGAACATGTGGCAGATGTTGGAAGAAATGGTTAGAAAACTATACTTGAATCAGGCATCGGAAGAAAAGGGGTGGGGTGAGGGAAGATATTACTTATGCTACTCAAAAAGCAAAACTGTAGCTTATCTATTTGCCTTTGTGTTCCAGAATGGTGTTTGACAGAAAGAATGCTTGAACAAACAAATGAGAACAAATAAATGAGTTACTGATTTCTGCTGAGAGACAGGTGCTTTTTAAGTCTGTGCTTTTTGTTTAACCAATATTATGTTATCACACCATAGGATCTTCATGAACTGAGTATTTATTTTTTCTATTTAGGAGATATAGAAAAATCTGAGGCTCCAGAAGGTAATATGGCTTGCCCAACATTGCAGAGCTAGGAATTCAGAAAACTGGATTTTAAAGTGTGACAACATTAAATTATTTGACGTGGTTGTCAGGTATAATTTCTTGTAATTACTTGCCACTCTCTGCCTTGTTCTAAATGACAAAGTAAGGCAGTGCTATGTTATTATTATTTTTTATTATATTAAATCAACATTTTATTGAGGTGTAACATGAATACATAAAACTGCACTAATCATATATGTAGAGCTTGATGCCTTTTAACAAAGGAAGTACAACCATGTAACTAGCATTCAGATCAAGAAAATCATACTGCTACAGGCTGCATACTTTTGACTTAATATAATAGTCAATATCTTTATTCCTGTTGGCATTAAATACTTCCCCTTGTAGCTTTTATTCATGCACGCACTATTCCTGGAAACTCATGAGCTATTGAGTCATAACTTGCCTAGAAAATGAGCTTGTTGGTGAATGATAGCTTCTCTTTGGGGAACATGTGTGCTCCCTCAACTGAGAGGTTGTCTTTATTAAGTAAGAGCACTTGAGGTAAACCTTGAGATTATTGGGCCTGAGGCAAATTTGGCTGACTGAATTCCAAGCAGCAAAAGAAAAGCAGCAGTGAGACTTCTGCATCGAATTTTTAAGATGATCTATAATTAACATACTAGTTTGTAATATATTTATAATTGTAACCTGTAAAAGTTAAAATAGCCATTCAGATAGCCCAGATATAGAACCCTGGAGATGGTAAATAGGGGTGGAGATATAGAGAACAAAGGGGTCTGTCTAACTGCTAATTCACCTAACTGCTGCTAGATGGCCTCAGTTCCAGTCTAGGTTTGGCTGCAGAATCCCTGTCTGTTCTCGACACAATCATTTCTGCTTTCTGAGCTTCTGCTTCCTAACCTTTAAAATGGTCTGAACTGCAGTATTGTCCTAGAACAGTAGTCATCAGCCGTTGCTAAACATCCAAGTCACCTCTGTTTTTCAAATTTCCTTTTATAGGTTTTTGTATGGTTAGTTTTGTATTTAATAATAGAGGTGCCCAATCCCTATCATGACTCTTAAAACTGAAATTTGATAGAGGGAATGACTAGACTTGCTGATTCCTTAGTGGTCTTCCAGGATGATATACTTTGAATATTTTTCCCCACCCAAATTTCATGTTGAATTTGTATTCCTCAATGCTGGAGGTCGGGTCTGATGGGAGGTGTTTGAATCATGGAGTCAGATCCCTCATAGCTTGGTGCTGTCTTTGTGATAGTGAGTTCTAGTGAGATCTGGTTATTCAAGAGTGTGTGGCACCTCCGTCCCCACTACCCCCTCCCCACTCTCTCCCTCTCCTGCTTTCACCCTGTGGGGTACCTGTTCCCCATTCACTTTCCTCCATGACTGTAAGCTTCCGGAGGTCCTCACCAGGAGCCAACCAGGTGCTGATGACATGCTTTTACAGCCTGCAGAACCATGATCCAATTAAACCTCTTTTCTTATAAATTACCCAGTCTCAGGTATTGCTTTACAACAATGCAAGAACGGCCTAATACACAGGACAATCTTTCTAAGATCAGTTGGGCACAGTGGCTCACGCCTGTAGTCCCAGCTACTTGGGTGCCTGAGGCTCAAGAATCGCTTGAACCCGGGAGGCAGAGGTTGGAGTAAGACAAGATCATGCCACTGCACTGTAGCCTGGGTAACAGAGTAAGACCTTGTCTCAAATAAATAAAGAAAGAAAATTTTAAAAATGTATTTATCAGAGAGAATAATGCCACAATTTTTGTCACAAGAGGTGATGAAATTTAAAATACATTTGATAAAACTTGCACATATATAGTTATTGAATATAACCAAAATCCCACAGGAAAGAACAATTAAGAGATGACTGTGTTTGTGTATACTTATTAGCCTCAAGCGAACTATATATTCCTTCCTTTTTCAGACCTGCTTTTACATTCAAATAGGCTACTATATGAAAATAAAGATTAAAACAATTCAGTTTTTAAAACAGTAAATGCAAAATCCTGTATTGTGTTCCGCAGGAAATGCAACGTACACTTAAAAAGATCAATTTCTAAAACGAAAGCTATGACAACTATAGACATTCACATTTATACTGTGGAATACAACACGATTTGCAGCTGAGAAATCAAGGAAAGGTTTCATGGAGTTGATATTTAGGATCAGTATCGAGAGACAGATAGGATTTTTCTAGAAGAGAGGAAGTTGTGAGTCACTTAGACAGTAGAAACAACAGGGGTATAGGCAAAGTGCATGAATTTGCACAGAAAGGGAACAGAAAATGGTCTAGTTTTTTTGACTGAATCTCAATTCCTGGGAGTAGGTATAGATAAGGTAGGAAAGACTGATTGCAGGCTAGTTATGAGGGGCCTGGCTATGTTAAAGAATTGTTTTGTTTTCTGAAACCATGAGAGGTTCTTGAAAGTTGATAAGGGAGAGTTGCTTAAGGTCACACGGGTAATAAGAACTAGAAGAGTTGGACTGGAAATCAGATTGTATAAAGTATAAAGTTCTTTGTATCTCCCCCAACAACCCAAACCTGGGTGGTAGGGTCATGGAAGAATACCCATGCCAAATACACCACACTTAAAGATCCTTAGACTTTTCTATAATAGCCTACATGTTTGGAAGTGGGATTCTTTAGAAGTAAAAGACAGAAATGACATTTATAATAAATTTTTCCCTCGTGGCTTCAAGGCCTCCTTCAGGCTAGAGGTCAACAGTTACCTATCAATGCAGAACAGCAGCATGCAGTAGGTTGGCATCGAGAAGCACAGAAGGGGACTGCATTAGAAACTGCGCAGGGAATTTTAAATTGGCCGAATGTAATTACCCATGTTGGAATTTGGCCAAGGTCTCAAGATTTAATATCACCACTCATTCTGGTCCCTGTAAAGACCCTTCATGGTCACAGACCTTAAGGTTATTATTCCTTTAAAATTCATGGGACAGCATTTCTCAGCCTTTCCCCCAACTGAAGCCAGGACCCTTTACTTTCTTTACTTGGCCATGTTGCTTCCAATATGGCTTTGATTGCTGCTGCTGACACCAAGACACTTTCACTGCCCCGAAGACCATTTTATTTATTGGTGCTATGTTTCCAAAAGATGCATTTTCCTCCGCCAATATGTTCAGCTGGCCACATAATAGCGTAGACTGACATTTTGGTGACCATTCAGGAGAGCAGCAGATTGTGTAAATTTCACAGCTCCCGTATGTCAATTCTGAGGTTCCTTGAAAAAGCTGTACAGGTTGACCTTGCTTTAAAAAAATGAATCATAGAAATACAGCAGGAGGAACAATCTAGTACCACACTTCAAAAGTTAGAAATATGTAATTAATGATTATGCACATGCACATATAGCTTTATGTGATAAAAACTAAAATATAACTAAAATTAAAAATATGCACAGAGGCAATATTGCAGTATATTTGTTATGTAATGAGACAAATATCCAAATTCTAATAATTAAATACACAAGTATGTGATCAAACCATGAATAAATAAGGGAAGGTCGTCACACCAAAAACACATGGAACAGTATTCAATTTTAAAATTGTGCCAGTAATCAAAGACATGCAAATGTAGATAAGGGAGGACATTTTTACATGTGTCATTGAAAAAAATTAAAATTAATTTCACTAATACAATTCTGGGATTACAGGTACACTGTTACATTTCCATAATGCTAAAGTTATTAGACACAATTCTTTGAAGAAGCAATTTGGCAAATAAGTCAAGATCTTCAAAACATATTTTTCAAACCAGAAATTACAATCCTGGCAATGTACTTAAAATAATAATTCAAACCAAGAGGAAAATGTATTAACATAGATATTCACTGCAAAAACAATGTTGACCAGGTGCCAATAACCAGATATATAAAAACTCCCATAACTCAACAGCACAAATACAAATAACTTGATTAAACAATGGGCAAAGGACTTGAACAGACTTAGTGTTTTCAAAAAAACCAACCAACCAAACAAACAAAAAAAACATGGCAATAGCCAATAAGCATGTGAAAAGAAGCTCAATATCATGAATCATTAAGGAAATGCAAATTAAAAACATAATGAGACACTACTTCATACTCAATACAATGGTTAATATTTGAAAAATAAAATAAAAAGAAATAAAATAACAAGTATTGTTGACAATGTGAAGAAATTGGAACTCTTGTGCACTGTTCATGGTACATAAAATGGTGTAGCCTCTAAGGAAAAGGGTATGGTAATTCCTCTAAAAATTGAAAATAGAATTACTATATGGTTCATCAGTTTTGGTTCTAAGGAAATACTCAAAAAATTGAAAGCAAGTTCTCAAAGAGATATCGGTACACCCATGTTCATAGCAGGACTATTTCCAATAGCCGAAATTAGAGACAACACAAGTGTTCATCAGCAGAAGAATGGATAAACAAATTGTGGTATACACATACAATGGAATATTATTCAACCTTTACAAGGGAGGAGATTCTGACACATGTTACAACACGGATGAACTTTGAAAACATCATACTAAATGAAATAAGCCACTCACAAAGAGACAAATATTGTTTGGTTCCAATTATATGAGGTACCTAGAGTACTGAAATTCATACAGACAGAAAATGGAATGGTGATTGCCAAGGGCTTGGGGAAGGGGGTAATGAGAAGTTATTGTCCAGTGGATAGGGTTGCAAGATGAAAAGAGTTCTAAAGATTGATTGTACAACAATGTGAACGTAGACAAGAAAGGATATTTTTACATGTATTATTGAAAAAACTTAAAATTAATTTAAACTTATTAAACCGTACACTTAAAAATGGTTAAGATAGCAAATTTTATTCTATGTGTATTTTACCACAATTTTAAAAAATCGTAATCTGATTTTGTGAGAAAGTAGAAAAATGATTTAGTCAATTTGGGACATCATGTGGTAGAGTATTATGCAACCATTAAAAATTATAATTATGCATATAAAAATTCTTATATTTAAATTTTAAAATAAAATTCAAGACCCTTATATTTATAGCCATGCAGCTGTATATAAAAATGATAAGGAGTAAAGTGTTAAGATGGTAGGATTGTATGTAAATTCTGTGATGTTTCATTTTTATATTATTCTACAATAATGTTATTTATAAAAGAAAGAAAATTGGCAGTACACCTCCATAAAGGGAGTTTGAATATCTTTTCTCTTATGGGAAAGCATTAAGTATAAATATTCTTTTTTCCATAGAAAACTGAAACAATAAGTAATTTGTTACGTATTTGAAAAGAAAAATCAAAACACAGTATTTAGTTTGGGATAAAAACAAAGCAATAAACTAAAAGCTAAACCATGAGCTATCAGTATAGGAAATCGCAAAGATAGAAAATGAAGGGTATCATTTATGATTTTCTGTTTTAGTATTTCTAACTTGTGATTTGTTTTTAATATTATTATTAATGCTATACTGATGAGTTTTTTCTTCTAGATGTGAGATTTTATGAGGTTAGTAATTTTCTTTTGTATGTGTTCATATCTAATGCTGCAAAAAGTATTTTCTGTTGGAATGTATCTCCAATTTTGTAATGGACATCAACAGAAAAATATGATTTGATATATATAGTCTTTGTAATAAGTAATTTTTAGAGAATATTAATACATGCTTTGAGTATTTATTCATTCAATAAATGCTCATTTATTTTTTCTTTGCTAAGTAATTTGTGATAACTGATACTTAAATCTGATCTTAACAAAATGTGTTATATGTTTCTGATATGTTATTTAACATCTCTCAATTTGTCAAACTGTAAAAATTATGAAAGAGCTCCCATTCCCTTTGTGATATCAAATATTCTATGAGGATAAATGAGCTCGTATGAAACCACCATCTACAAAGCAACATTTAAATGAAGAATTTATTGTGAAGCAAACTACTGGATAAAGAGAGAGAGGAAAGGAGGGGAGAAAACGATGGGGAGGGTGTGCTGGGGGGTTGGAGAGAGAGAGAGAGAGAGAGAGAAAGCAGAGTTGTGGAAGACGTGGAAGTGAAGCCACAGAAAACAGAAGAGGAAGGGATTGCTCCCATGAGGCCCTGCTATACTTAGACAGCCTTTCCCATCATTTGCTCATGCTCTGGCTTGGGTTGAATTTCCAACTTTCTGATTGATGAGCTGTGGGTTCTGGAATATGTTATTTCACTTCTCTCTATGGCTCAGTGTTCATACATGAAAAATGGAGATTTAAAAACCTCTATCTCAAAAGGTAAGTTATTATAAATGGAATAATACATTCAAAGCACATACATAGTGTTCAGTGCATTATATGGAAACAAAATGAAAGCTCCTGCCCCACCTCCTCAAATCAACATGAATTTCTAACTTGTCTCCTGTACTTGAAAAACCACAGTCACTTTAAGGGACTGGTAGAAAATACTAATTCTTAGTCTCTACAAAATCAAACACAATTTTTAACATGTGATAGGTATTTGATATATATTTATTGGTTAACACAGGCACTCAACAAACTTTTTGATCGATCAACATTGCAGCAGAGAATATATGTTTTTAAAATGCTTTCCTGATTTATTGTGAGAAGTCTGAGGAACCAGGTGAAGAGAAGCTAAGGAGTCGGCTTCTACATTAATATTTAAGAATAGGGAAAGGTTTGTTCATGAAGTTGTTGTAATAATTACAATTCTTTATGTTGATGTACTTCAATATGCCTTACAAAGCATTATCACCTGTAATATGACCCTTAAAACTACTATGTAAGAAAGGTAAAAAGGCAGAAATTATTATTCTCATTTTAAGATGAAGCTCAGATTGAGTGATGTGACTTTCCCGGAGGGCAAATACATATAGCAATTGTCAGCAATGGAAGCTGAATCCAGGAGTGCCACACTAGGTTCTCATCATGATGTTGCTTCAGTGTAGTCTTGTTCTGTCACAAGCCTGCATGTAGCCTTGCAGTTTTGGCTTTGTTATTTGCTTATATACATGTAATACAGAGATAGTCAGTATCTTTATTACTAGACTTCAAAATGTTAACTCTGAGCCTCTACCTAATATTGCATTAAGGTTTAATTAAACAAGTTGACTTCCCCTCGAGAAAGACAAAAAAAGACAATTTTATTTAAATTACTGTAATCATTTTTTCACGTGGGTTATGCCACTAATGCTTTTCATACTCCATTTATGTTAAATAATCAACACTTTTTAAAGCTAGTTACCTTTGAAGACCCAGAACTCAAAGCTGAGGCTTTGAAAAGAGCCTCAGTGTATAAAACGATTCGGTGAAATTGCCTTGTCTGAAAGCTAATTAAATGGAGTTGGCATCTCAAGAGGGAGACTGCCAGCATCTTTCACAGGAATGTTGACAGCAGCTGCCTGACATGAGCATGAACACCATGTGACTTGGTTCCATCAGGCCAGCCCTCCTAATACAATGAGCCAATGTCTTTTCACCTAAGAAACCCTTATGCATTTGGCAACATTAAATCATGTGTCTGTCTTTCTCATCCCATTGGCATGTCTTCCTTTAAGAACTAGGGACGAAATTGATTCTCTGAAACTGATTGACAGCACTATGCAGGGATACAGAAATCACTCATTATAAATTCATGAACCCTTAAAAATATATGTATGTATACATAATTAATATATAAAACATAATGTGTCTTGCAACCTTTGTCATGCCTGCAGCCAATCAATCCTCACTTACCGGACACCTACTATGTATAAAGTGCTGTGAAAGGCATAATGAAGAAGAACGTTCTGAATCAGACCCACTCTCTGCCCGTGATAAATTTTTGAAATCTCACAGGAGGTAAGAGCTCATAAATAGATATCACAGAAGGAAGATGGGACAAGAGCCATTGACAGAGTGCAAAGAAGTTTAGAGAAGCTTTAAAAAAAAATCACTCCATTGGTTCAATCTGGCAAATTGTCTTCTTTATCTATATTCCCTGGTTTTAAACAATTCTGTTAAAACCTAAAATACCATACTGTTCTTTTGTATCTTATGTTGGTTCTTTATTAAAAAAAAAAAATAAAGGTCTCTTTTTGACTCTTCCATCCATCCTCTTTGCTTTAGGGAGAAGGAGGCTAGTTCTGCTTATTAAGTTACTTTAAGTAATGTTATTTAAGTTACGTTTTATTTTTTGCTTATGGAAGTCTTGCATGCATATAGCTCAATTTGCAAAGGGGATTTTAAAAAGAAGTAGTTGTCCAATTGTCTGGACACAAGCTCATGACTTCTGACTTAGGACCATCTCTTACAAAGGACATTGGAAGAGAGACAACATCCAAAAGAAAAACGTGCAGCCCATTACTAAGACTTTTTAAGGTCAGACTGCAAGTGACCTGCTTTTATATGTGAATTTCACAATGACTAAAGAACAAATGTTCTGAAGAGATTAGCTGGGTAAAATGACTATTATAAACTCACCATTTCTGTATGTCAGGACAAATGGAGCACTGTAATAGCATTTTTTTCTGAATTTCTTTGAGGTATGACAGAGAAAATTAATTTGAGACTAGAGAATAGGAAGGGAGAGTTATAAATTTGGAATTTGACAAATAAGGCATGCTTATACAATGTGCCAAGTCTGAAATAAAAAATGAACGTGTTAGAAAATCTCAAGTCTTTGTGAGAAAGTCTCTTCTCTTAAAAATTTTGCCAGTAAAGCCTTTATTTATTTTTTGTTGTTGTTGTTCCTTCTGTTTTTATTGTTTCCAAAATCTTTAGCCATGTTTAGATTATTGCCACTATCATCATCATGAGAAATATATATATAAAGCATGTATAAGTTTTTGAGTTATGTACAAGCAGGCTATAAACACTTTAAGCTTCACAGTCACAGGGGATAAAATTTAAGGAACCTACTAAAATTACACAATAGCATTTATATGCATATATTTACATATACGTGATATGCATATAGGACAACTATAAATTTATGGTGCTGATTTTTCATATGCATACACACACACCAGTCAGTATGCTTACTATATACAAACACACATGTACAACACTTCATAAAGCACTTTGTCCATCTGTTTAAGAAATTTTCATTATAGTCCCTTCAATTGGAGTTAAATCTGAGTGTGTGTTTCCCATTCAGGATACAAATGAATCTATCTTTTTACTTCTGCCCAGCACATAGGATATAGTGCCCAAAACACAGAAGGAAGTTAATAAATATTGTTTGAGTTAAATTGGATTGAACGAAGAACACCACGAATAATTAATTGAATCAACACAATGTTGACAGGATGTGTAACAAAAGCACAATGAAACTTGATTTAAAATCTATAAGCAGAATTGTTCAAGACTTGGAGTTTTGAAATACTGTAGGGTAGTAAAGGCAACATATCCAGGCATGGGAGTCATAGAGCCTATGAGTAAATTTCTGCTCTGTCACAAAATAGCTGTGTGACGGGGCAGGGTGGGGGTGGATGGTGGGGGCGTGGGGGCGGGGATTTGTTTCACATCCCAAAACTCATTTAGTTTCAAAACCTTAAGTTGATAACATGTAAGTGCAACTTGTACATTGCAAGTACTTGATATATGTTGTTTTCTTTTCCCTGTTCTATTCTGATTAAATGTTAGCTGTTTATTATTTTGAAATAATAGCTTTGTCTTTTATAGATTTTAAATATGCAGTTCCTCTTCCACTTAAAAGAATATTAAATGCTTTAAAATTATTCAACCTTTGAATTAGTTCTGTTACAGTATCCATTCTTTTATTCAACAAACATGTATTTTTCCACATAAAAGTTAACTATGAAGTATCCATTTGCATGCAAATGTATTAATATTCATGGAGCCCTGTTGGTAGACAGCAGTGAGGCTGACATCTAAACTTAGTCCTGTGTGACCATGAACAGATTATGTTACTCCTTGGGCCACAACTTCTCTCTCTTTAAAATGAAGGAGTTAAACCATACTTTAGGAATATTTTAAGAGTTTTATGATTCTGCATTCAGAAAGAGACTGTTGTTTCCTAGAATTTATGGAAAACAACACAAATAAGTGGGGGAGAGAAGGTAGTTATTTAGCATTAGTTGAAGAACGAATTCATTTTTAAGAATTTTTTCTGACTCTTAAGTGTTCAAAATTGAAGCACACTCTTTTTCAGGCAATTGTTCTATAGTTTAAAAGCTTAGATCTTTGATTATGCTTGCAGTGGAATTTGAATTATTATTGCCTCAATGACAGTTAATATTATTCTCATATTTGCTCTTTGTGCTACTCATCATTTTATCCACTTGCTGAGCACTTCCTGTGTGTCAGCTCCCTTGGGTGCTTTGGGCACTAAACAAAATAAGACATGATTCTTTTCAAGCTATTCAAAGCCTAATGAGAGACAGCAAGAGGCAGACAACTAAGGATAAAAAAAATACATATTTAAGTAGGGAATGAGAAAATGGAAAGTATTGAGTAGACAGTGATTGATTCTGGCTAAACAAGCAAAGCTTATAATTTTAAAGTAAACAAATTGTGAGTTTTCATACACTTTTCTTGGGATGATTGCTCCCCAAATAGTAACATTTGAGAGGGAAGCAAATTCAGGTCCTGCAATAGTGCCCATGAAACGTTTTATCCTGAAGTACTGGATCCCACTTGCCATGATGAGAGGAAAGTCAGATACGGGGAGGGACTTTTGACACTAACTGCCCTATCCATTGCCTTTGCTTCCAATTTATTAACTTATCCATTCAACAAATATTTATGGAATAACTCTGTTATGCCAGGTAATGTTCTGGGTGCTGGAGACATAGAAATAATTTGATTGACAAAGATTCACTGCTACCTTAGAAAAATGGCTGATTTTAGGACTGGGGCAGGAAATACAATGAGCCTGGAACATCTTGCAACACCAGAAAGTTAGAAAACACTAAAAAAAAGAAAAGAAAAGAAAAGAAAAACTAATGGAGATGTATTAAATGGGTATAAGGGCAACTGAAAGTGCTCCTAATGGCCAAAGTTGGAACAATTAGAGCCACAAAATATAATAGTATTGGATTATTACCAAAATAAATATCCATGAGTTTATACTGATAAAAAATTGAATAAATTGACAAATAGGTGAGAAGAGACAAATCTCCATGGAGTAGAATTTCAAATAATTTACATAGATACTGTTCCTTCCAGGAATTAGAGCTTCTTAAGTGGGAGCTGTGCATAGTGACTTCCTCTTCCTAAGAACACAGTAAGAAAAAGAGTGGGGAAAGGAACATTGCAGTGGAGAAATCTGACAAACACTATCTCAGCCAGGTGATCACAGTCAGCATCATCAGTCATAATTTATACTGATAGTAAGACTCTTGATGTAACAAAAATGGCGCTTTCCCTCCGTGAACTTTGTCTCCCAAACCTATAACCTCAGTCTAATCACAAGAAAAACATCGGAAAATGTCCAACAGAGCAGCATCCTGCAATACCTCTGATGAGTGCTCCTCCAGGTTGTCAAGGTCAATAAAAACAGGAAAAAGTCAGAGAAATTGTCATAGCCAAGAGGAGCCTAAAGGAGACACTACAACTTAATTGAATGAATATTCTGGAAGGAATCCTGGATTAGAAAAGAGACATTAGACAAAAACTAAATAAATCTGAATAAACAATGGATTTTAGCTTGTAATAATGTATCAATATGGGTTCCTTAATTATGACAAATGTATCATGCTAAAGTAAAATATTAATAATAAGAGAAACTGGATGTCAGGTATGGAGGAATGCTCTGTGCTATCTCCTCAATTTTTCCGAAAATATCAAGCTGTTCTAAAAATTAAAGTGTATTGAAAGAATTTCACCATTCAAGGGAGCTTACTAAAACTCTATTTTCCACATTTATGTAAAATAAATTATAGAATATATAGTATGTCAGATGCAATAAGTTTTATTGAGAAGAATAAGGTAAAAAAAAAAGAGAAAGTGCTGGGGATAGTGCAATTTTGTATATGGTCAGAGAAGGTCTACTTCAGAAGGTGACATTTGAACAAAGACTTAAATTAGGCAAGACAGTAAATCATGCAGTTAACTGGAGAAAGAGATTCCAGAAAGATAAAACAGCAACTGCAAGTGTCCTGAGGTAGGAGCAAACTCTTCCTGTTTGAGGAACAGCAAAGACGTCAGTGTGGCTGAAACGGAATGGACAAGGGGAGGAGGAGGAGTCGGTGAAGTGAGAGATACAGTGGTTGGCCAGAGATACAAAAGGTTGGCCTTTTAAGGTATTTTTTCTCATGCCTAAAGTGGGATAGGAAACTGCTGGAGGAATTTGGGCTGGGGATTACCGTAATCTGATCCATTTTTAATGGATCTCTTTGAGTGTTTGGGGAATCATTGACTGCAGGCAGAAAGGCAGAGCAGGGGACCAGTCACAAAGCCATTGCAACAATCTGGATGAGAAATGATGGTGGCTTGGGCTAAGGATTTAGAAGTAAAGTTTGCAAGGAACTCTTGACACTGGATGTATTTTAATTGTAGAGGCAATGGACTGCCCACCTATTACTTCTCACAGCCCCCCACACTCACCCCAGCCTCACCCAAACATTTTCAGGAACTGATGCTTCTGCCTGACTCCTTCCAGGTCTTTGCATGTAGGCCTCAGATAGCCTTCCTCTTTGTAACCTACTTAAAATAAACTCCCTTTCTCTTTGCTATTCTTTCTTAGCAACATGTTTATTTCTTATCACTATTTGTCATTTTGGCACTTCTGTTTTTTTTGTCTGTCTTTCCATCTACTCTATAGGCAGTATGAAATCAGGGACCAAATTTGTTTAGTCCAATAATTTACTCCAATTGCCTAATGCAGTACCTTAAACATAGTAGGTGCTCAACCAATACTTGATGTCTGTATTTATGAGTTTTTCCAATCATTATATCAATACCTACCTTGGGCAGGCCCTTGGTCTAAATTTCACACTCTTGCCCCAGATGCCTTGCTATGGATTCCACAGAGAAACACTGATAAATTTTTAACCTGTAGTAGCTGTTTCATCACTAGTCTCAATGATAGAAGCTCATTGAGTGGGTCTCTATTCTGCTCAACTGGAGTAAAAATAGGCACTGCTTAGCAACCAGCATTTTGTACTGTGCTTTCTCCTCTGAGAAAGGCAGAGCAATGCTAGGAAAGTCAGAGCAATGCTAGGACTCAAACAGTGAAGGGATTTAGGAATGGGTAAGTATATTAAAAAATTGGATAAAAGTGTTTTTGAGAAAAAGCTCCAAATGGTTGCTCCAGAAAGGGTGAGAACATAACATGCTAATGATGAAAGGATCCCCTCGGACAGAAAACCTTTGCATTTCCCAAATTAGATAGTGCACTCGGGTCATAGCACAGAAGGTTCTTAACATAAACCAAAATGGACTAATTGCGCACAAATGATTAAGCTTGATTCATTGTTCTTATAGCTATACTCACCAGTTGTGGAAATAAAGTTAAAACAAAACTAGAAAGTGGCTTTGTGTGTTAGTCTGTGGCTTTGGTTTTGATTTTTAATCCTAACCTGCCAGCCATTGTATCCAAACCTCAATTTTGTTTCTGCCACTCTCACTACACCTTTGTACAAATGTGGGAAAGTCCCTTTTGCTCAAGACTCACTTTTCTCAACTGTCAAGGAAGGTGATTCAGTGACCTCCAAAGCCACCTACAGATCTAAAAATAACCACCTGTCCAGACTGTCTGGATAAGCCCAAGTGGCCAGTAGCCTGGAGAGTCATGTGCCCAGCGTGGCTTTATCTGCAAGCTTGTTCCCATCCTCTGTCAGTACCAGGACACTGAATACACGGCTTCAACGCAGGTTGCCAATCACCTACAGCTTACCTGCTCCCTAGAGAGTTGCCTATTGTTTGCCCTGTAACTGCAGACCAGCTCTGGCCATCTTTGCTAACCTATGACAGAGGTCTGAATGCCTTCCAATTTTATCCCTTCTTTGGTACTCCCTCCACCCTAGAGTACCATACTTTCCCTATATCTGATAGTTACTCTTTTGTCATCATTAATAATTCTTTATATTCAGCTTCCTCTGTTTAACCAACTAAGTGTTTCCTATCTATCTTCTGATTAAACCTAGACTATTGGATCATTTGAATTAAGTTTGTAATACATTTCAACGGAGTTATTTATTAGAGAAAGGGTGAATCTCAATCATGGGGAAAAAGTAGCATCTTAGAGAATATTATACTTTGGAGAAGATAATTTTTAATAATCATTGATCTCAGACTCCTCCTAATTGACTTAATGAAGCAAGAAAGGAAAACTGACAAAGGCATAGCAACTAACTTTAAGGAGGAATTACGTAGCAACTTGAGTCGCTGAAAAGTGCGTATTCAATTTTGGTTTGAAATTCTGTCCCTTCTCCCCCTGTTTTGAATATTATGAATCCACTTGGAATTAAAATAGAAGAGTAGGAAATGTCAATACAATAGAGAGTAAAATTGTCCTGTTACGATCCTTAGGAAGTAATTGTCTGGAGAGGTCTATCCCTTAGGAGCTTGTATATTATCCATCTCAACTTGGAGGGAAGTCTCTGACGGGCGAGACAGGATTTTGTTTTATGCATAATTTGATTCAATGTTTTTGCTACTGGGTAAAAACAAATGAGATGATTTATAGCTACATAGTAAAGAACCACAAGATCTGTATAGGATTGAAGCTAAAGGCTGTAGTTTAACGGAACTAAATGAAAGTTGGGTCTTCAGTAGATTTATATTTCAAGACAAGTTCCTAAAATTTTACAGCTCTCCCCAAAGGAGAGAAGGTTTACTATTTTCTTAGCAAAAGTTATGTGTATTGCTTGTCTCTGCTGATTTCTCTTGGTGAAAGTAGAATCCTTAATGAATTTTCAGAGAGATTAATAAATACAGAGGATTTGTTTTCTTAATCTTGCTTTTTCCTAACAGCGCCTAAGGATCTGCCATGAGCTGTGCCTACAAAAAGCCATAAATCTGGTCAATTCATCTTGAAAAGATGAATCAAGTCAAGTGAGTGAGAAATAAATTAAAAAGGATGTTAGCTATAAAACAGCTTCCTGCATGATTCAATTTATCAGTTTGCAAATGTCAATAAGTGTCTTATACAGTATTATAAATAACCACAGACAATGTGACATGAGTTTACAAAAGCTATAAGCATATATTATCATCAGCACATAATCAAAAATAAGCTACCATATTAATATATATAATATATACACATATGCACATGTCTTAAATTCACTTTAAAAGATTTACAATAAACAATTACAGTATAATAGTAAAAGTATCTAATAATTATTGAGAGCATTCTACTTGTGAAGTACTGTAGTATTTTACTTATATTAGAGATTAAGTAACTCGTTTCAGGTCATACAGCTAAGAAAATTGGAATTGTTATATTGGAATCCTGCTGTGTCTGACTCCAGAACCATTTTTATGCACAACCAAGGCTGAAAGGAGACTGGAGATCATTTAGTGTACACCCTGTGTTGTTGGGTAAAAAGGACTGAGAATAGAAATGACTTGTAAAAAATGGACCCACACGATCAAACCTCAAACCTATACTTTCTGGTTCCTTGTCGGTTGTTTTCCATTGCATGAAGCCCATAGGAATATTAAATTGTACCTGGTGCTGTGAGTAAGTGTTTCTGACTCTGACTGTGTGAAAGGAGGTGGAAGGAGCAGTAGTTTAATTAGTTTAAGGCTGAGGGTATGGGATTTGCAATGTTCCAGTGTAAATAATCAGTTCAATACCTATTTATCGATGCTTGCTATGGAAGAGTTACTATACCCGGTGCTATGGGAGAACAATAAATCAATCACATATAATTCTTCGCTTCAAAAACTCATAGTATAGTTGGGGAAATGTATAAGTCTGTAAAGTAGTTTAATACATGGCAGCCCTGTTTAAATCCATATAAGATTTTTTTAAAGGAGTAATGGCTTGGGTAATTAACTGCTGTGTCTTCACCAGATTATAATTTCCATGGTACATTGGTTAAGAGCTCGGTCTTTGAATTTACACTCCCTCTTGAGTCTGAATCTGAGATACACTGTTAGTTAATTGGATGACATTGGGCAGATTGCTAATTTGCCTGAGCTTCATTCAACCTGTATTTAAATGGGCATGGGACAATAAAAGCAGTCACCTGCTAGGGTAAGATCAAATTAGATCAGGGGGAAGGAAGGAAGAAAAGAAGGAAGGAAGAGAGGAAGGAAGGAAGGAAGAGAGGAAGGATGGAAGGAAGGAAGGAACGAAGGGGGGAGGGGGGAGGGAAGGAAGGAAGAGAGGAAGGAAGGGAGGGAGCGCTGTCAGATATAGAGGAGATATCAATTAATTTCATTAAGTGAAGTAGTTTTTGGCTCCATGAAAGTCACAGAAGGTATCTGAGCTAAGCTTTGAAGACTGTAGAGTTTCAGTATGGAATAGGATAATTTATCCAACTTCAAATTCTGTCTTATTTTCAGAGTTGTAAGAAATTTATAAAAATGAAAAGCTATTTTAAAACCTTCTTCTTTACCTCCGTTTTCACCATTCTTGATGGATAAGCAAGACTTTGTATCCTAAAGTCTAAGACAGGGGTTGTGAACTTGCAGCCTGCGGGCCAAATTTAGCCATAGACATGTTTTGACTCACTCGTGAAGGTTTTTTTAGACATTTAATATTGTTTACCAACCTTTAAGAAAATTGTATAAAAGTGGCATTTCCTTTATCTTCAGGACTGGTGGGAGCAGCCATGAATAAGTAAGATTGAGAAACTATTTTCCAAGGTTTCTGGGCTCTGCAAGCCCTCCAGTTTCCTGCATGACTCAGAAGGAGCGGGGAGACCCCTTTTCCTCTTCATGATGGCTGAGATCAGGCAAATCTACATATATTTGATGCAGGGTAACAAAAAATGTGAGTTTTTTGCATATAAACAACATGTATCATTTTCACAAATATGGTTATATGGGGAAAAAAGGAATTCTAGGTTGAGAGAAAAGGCAAAAAACAAAGTATTCTCAGGGAAGGTAAAAGGTGAAGAAATAGTTGTGTGGGGTGGAGTGAGGTGGTAATGAAGAGAGGAATAAAGTGGGAAATGTAAAAAGGGAGATGTAGTCAGATCATAGAAAGTCTTGAATGCCAAACTAGGGAGTACCTCTTAAGCTCTTTCCTCATTCCTATTTCCCTTTGAAAAAGTTTTAAAACTCTTAAACACATATACCAACCTAAATAAAAATTAAAATGAAAGAAAAAATATTCAACCATAATCCCACTCAATTGCAGTAGCTTTTTTCCCCGTATTCCTCTTGAGTTCTTGTTAATTATTTATTACATTCCTTAAATATTTCCTAAAACATAGTTATAAGAGGGATGCAATGTGAATAAATGATTTGGTCCCATAACCACCTCTCAGTCCAATAGTGCTTTAATGCTTGGTTTTACCATGTGCTTCGATACATATTATTATTCAAATCCCACAACAACTCTAAAAGTGGCTGAAATGATATTGAATTATGTGGAACAACCCTAGATGTGGCCGCTCCAGTAGCGGATGGCCTGAATATCAAGTCACAACACCAACAGGTGAAGCTAAAACAGCAAGCTGGGGCACATTAGCTGCCAGGGCCCGTAGAGTTGCCTTAGATGAGGATCCATTCTTAAAACGCTAAGTTCCAGCTAGCAGATGGGGATCACCAACCTCTACTACCTAGAATAGGAGACTGAGAGAGCACAGCTTGACCTACCTCCCCAGGCACTGTTTGATGATGGTGGTGATGAAGAAGACTCCCAATTCAGCAAGCCAGAACTCCTCAGAGATCCACAAGCCATGCAGAACCATTCTGAAGTAATAATTTCATAGACCTATACTTTCCAATCGGGCTCTCAAATCTTTGCAGAAAATTTGAAGTTCATCGTTTCAGACCCTGCCTGGGTCAGTGGGAAATAATAACTACTAGATTTTTATTGTTTTAAAACCGGCAGTAAATTTGGAAGCAGAGCTCAGCTTCTGTAGCCTGCCCAAGAGAGCTGAAAATAGGACTTGCTGGCAGAGAATGTCATCTGCTGTGTTAGAGATTAAAACAAAAGCCAGATGGGCTCCAAAGACAGAAGAAGAGATGGGGCAGATGGGAAATGCCCACCATGGGCTATATAAAGTACAGAATGAAAAACTGGTTTGTTTTTTACCCTTTTGAACCAAAAACATGTTAGGGAAGAATTCACCTGGAGATGAAGTTGGAAGCTGTCTAAGAAGCATGCTATTGAGGCTGCTGAGAAGTTCCTGAATGGCTCCACTTCTGAGAAATTCTGGAGCTTAAAACATATGCTTACAGGGTTAGCTCTTTGATATGATGCAATCATAGCACGAAGGATATTATTTAAAAGAAAAACACATAATCATCTCTTATAATAAGAGTGAAGTAAACCCATAAAAGATTAGTGCTGAAAGGACTTAAAGAGTTAAACTAGATAGCCCCATCCTCACCATTCCCAGTTCAGGTCCATTTCATAAATGTGAGAAAGCAATTAAAGAAAGATAAGTGTCCTTCCCAAGAGAGACATGCTAAAAGTTAAGGAAAGGGTCAGATATGTTTTAGTCAAAAAAAAAAAAAAAAGTTGCTAAAGCAATGTGGGATTTGAATTTACAAATGCTGGGGATTCTCCTCTTCTAAATAGAGTGGCTTCCAAAGTCTCCTCACACCCACATCCATGCCTATTCTTATGCAGCATCCATAGGCTCAGGTGTAGTGGGAGGCAGTAAGTCCCCAGTGCCATCTGTGCTGCTAGGATGCCCTGGTATTTACACCCTCCACCCCCTACAACTTATCTCCACCGCTATGTTGTTTTTCCTTTAGAAAAATCTGTAATAAATGAAGAGAACTGTTTGATCTCATTCTTCTCCCTCTTTCCACTGCCCCCACACCCGGCCCCTCCCCTCAGAAACACATTTATCCCTTGAGTCAGTTTGTCAAACCTTTTGTTATTTACCCTTTAGAGTTACAAATAAGTCTGGTCTTGCCAACATTAACCACATTGCGGTATTATTTATATAGCAGCAATTGCTTCCTGCATCTGTGATTATAACCTAGGGAAAGAACTAGAGCACCGGCTGGTCTCTCAAGTGTTTCCTTTCTGCTTAAGTCATTAACGTTCCAACATTCGGTGCAGGTCCTCTGCCTGCCACTAAACTAATGTTACATTAAAGTGATAAATGATGCTACAAAAATGAGGAACCCCAGCTGAGGGATTAATGTGAGGTGCCCTTTAAAAAGGATTTAGATTGTGTGTTTTGAATGTATTTGTTATGGGATTCCTTGAGCATTTTAGTAATACACCAGCATTAAACCCCTGCATTCTGATGTTGCCTGTTTAAACAATGTCAGATCATCTCTCTCTACATAGGCACCAAAGATAAATCTTCTTATTAAATGAAGCTTCTTTGGTCCTATCCAGATAGAAGCCCATGGCAGACAAATGATTAAGCGGCTCCTCTGAACTCATTACCATTCATTTGGTCCACTGCCTTCTTCCTCCTGATCCCTTCCTTTCTTTTCACCTTCACAAGAATCACTCTGCTTTTTCACACCAAAAGGGTGAAGCCCTGCTCTGACATCCTACCATACAAAGGCTGTTTGGCAGTGGATAAAATCTTCACTACTAAGAACTATGCTACTGAGACTTCTCCCTAAAACAAGGACGGTTTTATGTGATCATTCAGTTGTTCCAGGCCACTTAGGAATACATTAAGGAAAAGCTCAAACATTTTCCCGGGTGTATATATGTAGATTTAGTTTATTTTACTTTTTACTTTTGTGGAAAGCTTTACAACTGAAACTCTTTCTCAACCAGTCATGCAAGTACCAGCTTTTAAAAGTCATTGCCTCATAAGACATATGTGCTAATATTTGCTATGAAGATAATTACCTTTCAATTGACTAGAATACTGACATTAAATTATTCCTTAATGTTACCTTTAGTAACTAGATTTTTTTTTCCCATCATGTCTTTAATCTTATGTCACTATTCTATCTCCTTTACTAACACTGAAAAACACTTTTGATAAAGGGTGACGTAAGTTTAAGAGGTGTCATCGGCAAAGAGAAGAAGCTATAATTATTCTGCGTGCTATCAAGACAAGCAGTTTGGCTTTGCCGGCAGTTACGTTCTTTTTTCTTTTTCTTTTCTTTCTTTCTTTATTTTAAGAGTGTAATTCCTTTTCAAGTGAAGGCAATTAGAAGTCTGTGCAGATTGGCCATTACATGGTGCCTTCAAAAGCACATCTGAGCACAGTTATTCTGCTTCTTATTTGCAATAGAAATAATACAGATTGGTGTAAAGGAAAGTGGGAAACTAAGGGAATTATATTGCTAATTCAAACCAAAATGCTTTGGGGGATTCCTATGTGCCTTTTATTTTATCATGAAATTCCTGACTAAATAACTGGAAGTCTTAAACTTATCAAGTCTTCTTATTTCTCTAGTTCTCTTTCTTCACTTTTCAAGAATTAATTCACAACTTGATAGATTTTGTATCTTTGGGCACATTCAGAGACACAGAGAAATGGTTTCTGGTTCTTAAAATCAAAACCCCAAAGTAAATCATAGTGATAATTCAAATATCACTTTCTGTTGATGGCTAATAAGCAAAATCAGTTTCCTATTTTAAAGGCCCCAAACCAAAAACTCATTTAATATGTAAGAATGCAGTAGAAATACTGGAGTCTGGGCTTTACTTCACCCAGGCCACCATTTTCAACTCCCTGTCACTCATAGGTTGCCAAAGTCATGTGTTAGTTTCTTGCTATTTAAAATAAAAAAAGATTTCTATTATAGGTAAATCTTCATTATAAAATTACTTGTGCCTGGTTCATACATTTCTTATTGCATCTTTTTTTAGGATTTGTTTATCAGAAACTTGTAGGGTGCCTTTATGAATATCTATGTGGCACATCCAACATAGATGATATGATGGGTGAAAATGTTATGTATTGCTTGCTATTTTTATAACTCCAAGGGTATTGGTTCTAATAAGGGTATTATCAATATTTTGAATGTTTGCACAAATGCAAATATTTAACCAATACATCTTTGTTCATCATATACAAGTTTAAAATGTATGTATTACCACCTCCATTTTACCCTCCTTGTCTATTTTCTACCATATAATAGTTTTAAGTCACACTTAATGATATAAATGATCTCTTAGCTTTAAGATATATCCCTCTATATTATCATATCTTCTTCATTCTGGCTAAACCTATATAGTCTTTCAGGAGTTTCTTAGCAATCTCCTAAACTAATTTTGGTCAAATGAAGTAATCCTCAGATCCATCTTGAGAAATATGCTCAATTGCATTGGAATCGACAAGCCACAGATAGAAAATAATGGAGAAAGGTAAGCAAATACAGATGAGAAACTAAGATGGTATATGTAGTTTTAATTGTAATAGAGAAATATTATTAAAGGTTATTTGTTTTATCAACAGATAGGTTTTCTTCCCACAATTACTTATCTCGCATCTATAATATTTTAATAAGTTACTTCTTGGTCTCTCTCCTTCTTTGCATCATTGCCCTGATTCTATCTTGCAGTTTTTCTCCATATATTCTCTTCTAGTTGTATCTTCCACTGAAACATTGTACATCTGAGTTTTAACAATCAAGAGTGTGATTAGCCTTTTTTTTGCCAAGCCAACATATAGGTTTTAGGCCAGCCTGTGAAGTAGCTGACTTCTAATACAATGAAGGACACTTGGAGACAAGGACACGTGGTCATAATCACCTCTATCTAAGAGAAGGCCATGAGTGAGGGCTGGACGCATGAGTGGTCTCAAAGAAGAGGCTTTGTATAGGGCAAGCACTGCAATCAGTAAGCCAACTGCACCTCCACCTTCTCCCCCTCACGCTAAATATACACAGCCGGCATAATTGTCTTTCCTAAAAACCATTCTAGACTTTCCTATTTCTCTGCCTTTGTGTGTATATTTCAATCTGAAATGGCCTACTTTCCTCATCTATGTTTGAAGTCTTATGATTCCTTCAAGATCCTTTCTCAGTTTCATGAGATTTCCTGAGCTACCTAAATAGAATTAAATTCTTTGTAATCTATTTTCTCAATGCTTCTTTTAAAAGGTCTTCATTTATATGTATGTATGTTTTTTCCTGTAAAGTCTATAGTGTTTGTCTATACCTAATGTCCCTTTGATACTGGAATCACCAGAGGTTGGAAATCTTGTTAAATTCATTTTATTGCTCCTCTAGATGGTTAGGCACAGTACCTATAAGAATTAAGCATCAAAGCAGTGGTTTTGAATTTTATTTAATGACGTGACTAATATAAAATTATAAATTTTGAATCATTATTTTTGACTTTGGATGTGATTTAACGTAGTATTATATTCAGTATGGTTGAATCTTATATAATGTTAAAATTTAGATGTTAGTTGAAAGGAAAGAGTACACAAAACAATACTGTATTAGTCTATTCTCATGCTGCTATGAAGAACTACCAGAGACTGGGTAATTTATAAAGAAAAGAGGTTTATTGAGTCACAGTTTCACATGGCTGGGGAGGCCTCAGGAAACTTGCCACCATGGAAGAAGGCACCTCTTCACAGGGTGGCAGGAGAGAGAATGAGTGCAAGCAGGGGAAAAGCCAGACGCTTATAAAACCATTAGATCTCATGAGAACTCACTCATTATGACAAGAACAGCATAGGAGAAACCAGCCCCATGATCCAACCACTTCCCACCAAGTCCCTCCCATGACACCTGGGGATTATAGAAACTACAATTCAAGATGAGATTTGGGTGGGGATACAGCCAAACCCTATCAAATACCTATGTGTTCCTTCATAAAACAAGGAGATTCCAAGATGTATTGTATGTTTTATGGTTTATCTGATGATAAATAAATCAACATTAAAAATATCAACGCTTATTACGTTAGCTTCTCTGGGCCTTACTTTCTCATGAAAAAATAAAAGAGTTGGTCTAAATGGTCTGGATGCTCTATAAAATAACTTTGACTTCTGACATCCTGTAATCTTAGGGGATTTTTGTGCCATTACCAATATCATTCACCCTTCCTGTCACTCTTCTCTTTATTTCCCAACCATGAAAAATTTTTGCCCTATTTTTCCTTCGTCATCTTTAAAGATACAAATTAGGCATTTAAATCGATTGAATTTGCATTAGTCAGACTTAACTTGCTCACCACCTTGGGTTTATAATGGGCTTTTCACACTGACCCTGTTTCTTCTATTTGAAGCTGTATTGAAAGAAATGCTCTACGTCTCCTATTTTTTGTAGTTTAATTTCCTGGAATCTAACTTAATTAAGATGTTTAGAATATTTTGTGTAACTACACAACCTAATTGTCATGACAAAATGCATAGGGAGTTTCAGGAAGTTTGTTGGAGCACATGCGCTGGGGATTCTCTCTGCTCCTGTCTCTGCTCAGGGAGCCCCAGCTGGTGAGTCAGGGCTATGCTGGCAGAACTTGTGGAAGATCCTGGAAAATAAGATTCTGTAGAAAAGCAGATTATTCTTCTCTGTGGAAAATGCCAGGTTGTAAAAACAGAGGCTGAATGACTTAATTTACAGTGATAATTATCTCAGAATGATAATTAACTTTTTTTCTTCAAGTTTTCAGAGAACTAAATGCCACCTACATTGCTATAACTGTGTCTGTTTTAGTTAGAGTGTGTTTGTGTCTTCTTTTTGGATTACAGAGAATGATTGCTAATTTGTTTTTCTTTTCCCTTTTAGGGTATTTTACACTCATCCCCCCACTTAGTCTCACGGTCTATGATAAAAATTGCTTTGGTGTAGATATTTCTTTCCAATTAAAATGATCATGAATGAATATACAAATTTTTAGACATTAACATCAACATATTTTTAACATATTGTAATAGTTAACATCTCAACCTACTTGGCAATAGATAATTTGGGGTCTAGTTTGGTTTTTAATACACAGTGTTGTGCCAAGGATGGGATGATGGGAGAAGTGTACCCCAGGTGCAAGCAATAAGAAGGTACATTGTTGGTCGATAATTCATGAACAAGAATAAAACTAACTAAAAATCTGATTTTTATTATCCTTGTGTGTAGGCACTTCTAAGAAATATCAGTAATAAAATGTTCCTTCTTGAGAAAAAAATTTTTTGGTCTACGTTCTAAACCAGTGGTTTTCAAAATGTGACCTCTAGACCACTGGGAGTCTTAGAGACCCTTTCAGAGGGGCCATGAGGTCAAAACTATTTTTATAATAGTACTAAAATGTGATTTACCCTTTTAAAAATATTCTCTCATGAGTGTATGGTGAAGTTCCAAAATCTGAATGAAGTGATAGTATGACACTTTGGATACAGAAGCAAACAGACATATTCTATATTAGTCAAAATATAGAGAAATACTTCAAGCTAATTTTACATACAGTGCAGTTTTTTATTAGAAATAAATTTAGCATGTAATATCTTCATTATTGTTATTCTAAAATGTATGATAAATATGTATTTTTTCATTCTAATTTCTAATGTGGTAAATATCACCAGATATAAGGCACAAAAACAAAAGATGTTTGAGATTCTCAATGACTTTTAATACTTTATGGGGTCCTGAAACTAGAAAGTTTGAAAACCACTCTTCTAACAGTTGCTGGGGTTAATTTTCTTTTTGATTGTTGCATAGTATTTCTCTGAAGGGATGGACTATAATATATTTAACAAATTAATTTACTGATGGGCATTATTTCTAATCTTTCCTATTATAAGCAGTGCCACAATTAATATCCTCACATAGAATTACTTTCATCATTACTTATAAAGTGTCTATATAATATATCATCTAAATGAGGGCATCTGGTGAGATGAAAGAGTAGAAGTATTAGTAATTATGTTAGACAGGCAAGTGTAAACAAGGACTATATCCCAAGACAAAGGGGATGCATGACCACTCTACTTCTATAGCACTTATTATGTGCTAAGCATTTTACATACGATATCTTGTTTAATATTTATGGTAACCTTATGAGATACTTGCTATTATTATGCCCGTCTTATGGATTAGAAAACTCTGGAATAAGAGATGTTAAACAATTTTTCCCAGTACCACATCATTAGTAAATGCAGAACGAGAATTCAAACCCACACATGTGACTCCAGCATCTATGGTTTTAAAAATACATTAAATTTCATTTTTAATCATTTTTTAAAATGCCATTCTGAAATATGAAAATAATATCTCTATGTATTTGCCTTCTATTACGACTGTAATTGAATATATTTTTATATGTTTGAAAGTTACATATTCTTCCATTTCTATTTGTAATTGTTACACTTCTTCAGTTCTGTTGTTTATCTTTGGCTTATTGATTTGTGGAGACACTTTATGTATAATGGAAATCAGGCCTATTGTCTGTCACATATGTTACAAATATCATCCCTCTTCACTGTGTTAATATTACTTCGCCATGAAGATTTTTTTAAATTATAGAATGGAATTCAACAATTTTTTATTTCATGGCTTCTGAATTTTCTTATTGATGCATAATAGATGTACATAGTTTCAGGGCACATGATAATTTAATACATTTACATAAGTTGTTAAGATCAATCAGTGTACTTGGAATATCTATTAAATTAAATACTTGTTTTCTTATTAATGCTAGAACCATTCACATTCTTATCTTCCAGCCATTATGAAATATACAATAGATTATTGTAAAATATAGGTAATCTACTGATCTAACGCTAGATCTTATTTCTTCTATGAAATTGTATATTTTTATCCATTAATCACCTTCTCTTCATCCTACCCGCTACCCTTCCAGGCCTCTTGTAACCACCATTCTACCTTCTATCTTCATGAGATCCACTATTTTAGTTCTCACATGTGAGTGAGAACATGAAATAATTGCCTTTAGTGCTTGGCTTACTTCACTTAATATAATGACCTCCAGTTCCATCCACGTTGCTACAAATAACAGGATTTTATTCTTTTTAAAGGATGAATCACATTACATTATGTGTATATATCACATTTTCTTTATCCATTCATTCACAAATGGGAACTTAGGTTGATTCCATATTTTGGTTATTGTGAATAGTGCTGCAATGAACATGGAAGTGTAAATGTCTTTTTAATATATTGATTTACTTCCTTTTGGGTATATGCCCAGAAGTAAAATTACTAGATCACATGGGAGTTCTACTTTCAGTTTTTTGAGAAATCTCCATTCAGTTTTCCATAGTGGCTGCACTGATTTACATTCCCACCAGCAGTGTATGAGTGTTCCCTTTTTCTGCATCCTTGCTAGATCTGTTATTACCTGTCTTTTTGATAAAAGCCATTTTATCTGGCATGAGATATCTCACTGTAGTTTTGATTTGCATTTCTCTGATGATTAGTGATGTTGAGCATTTTTTTCATATATTGGTTGGCCATTTGTATGTCTTCTTTTGAGAAATGTCTATTCAGAACTTTTGCCCATTTTTAAATGGAATGATTTGTCTTTTTTGCTGTGGAGTTGTGTGAGCTCTTTAAATATTCTGGTTATTAATCTTTTGTCAAGTAGTTAGTTTGAAAATATTTTCTGCTATTCTGTATGCTATCTCTTCACTTTGTTGATAGTTTCCTTTGCTGTGCAAAAGCTTTTTAGCTTGATGTAATCCCATTTGTCTATTTTTGTTTTTGTTGCCTGTGCTTTTATGATCTTACACACACAAAAAATCTTTGCTCCGAACAATGCCTTGGGGAATTTCTCCAATGTTTTCTTCTCATAGTTTCATAGTTTGAGGTCTTAGATTTAAGTTTTTAAGCCATTTGATTGCGTTTTTGTATATCGTAAGAGATAGAGGTCCAGTTTCATTCTTCAAGGAGTTATTCGGTTTTCCCAACACCATTTATTGAAGAGACTCTTTTCCCTGTTGTATGTTCTTGGTGCCTTCGTCAAAGACTAGTTGGCAGTAAATGGATGGATTTATTTCTGGGATCTCCATTTTGTTGCATTGGTCTTTGTCTTTTCTTATGCCCGTATCATCCTAATTTTGTTACTGTAGTTTTGTGTGAATTTTGGAGTCAGGTAGTGTGACGCCTCCAGCTTTGTTCTTTTTGCTCAGGATTGCTCTGGCTCTTCAGGGTCCCTTGTGGTTTCATATAAAATTTAGAATTATTTTTTCTATTTCTGTGAAGAACATTATTGATATTTTGGTGGATTGAGTTGAGTCTGTAAATTGCTTTGGGTAGTATTGTCATTTCAATGATATTAACTTTTCCAATCCATGAGCATGGAATATCTTTTTTTAATGTGTTCTCTTCAGTTTCTTTTATCAGTATTTTACAGTTTTCCTTGTATAGATCTTTCATTTCTTTGGGTAAATTGATTCCTAGGTATTTTATATTCCTTATACCTCTTGTAGATGGGATTACTTTGTGATTTCTTTTGCAGATTGTTTGCTGTTCATGTATATAAATGCTACTAATTTTCATATGTTTATTTTGTATCCTGCAACTTTACTGAATCTATTTATCAGGTGTAACAGGTTTTTTCTGGGGGGGAGGGTGGGGGAAGTCTTTAGGCTTTTCCAAATGTAAGATCATATCATCTACAAACAAGGATAATTTGACTTCTTTCTTTCAGTTTGGATGTCCTTTATTTTTTTCTCTTGTTTGATTGTTTCAGCTAGGCCTTCAAACACTATTAGGTTGCTGCAAAAGTGACTATGGTTTTTGCCATTTTTTAATGGCAAAAACCACAGTTACGTTGCAGCAGCCTAATATGTTGATAACAGTGGTGAAAGTGGACATCTTTGTCATGTTCCAGATCTTAGAGGAAAGACTTTCAGTTTTCCCTATTCAGTATGATAATGGCTATGGGTCTGCCATATAGGGCTTTTATTATGTTTAGGTATGTTCCCTCTATCTCAGTTTTTGAGGGTTTTTATCATGAAGGAATGTTGAATTTCACCAAATGTTTTTTCAGCATCAATTGAAAGGATCACATGGATTTTGTCCTTCATTCTGTTGATATAATGTATCACATTGATTGATTTGTATATATTAAATCATCCTTGTATCCCTGGGATGAATCCCACTTGATCGTGGTGAATATCTTTTTACATGTTCTTGAATTCAGTTTCTTAGTATTTTGTTGAGAATTTTTGCATTTATGCTCCTCTATGATATTGGCCTGTAGTTTTCTTTTTTTTGTTTTGTACTTATCTGGTTTTAGTATCAAGATAATGCTTGTCTTGTAGTATGAGTTTGCAAGTATTCCCTCCTGTGTTATTCAGTTTTTGCATTACTATGAAAGAAAATCTGAGACTGGGTAATTTATAAAGAAAAGGTGTTTAATTGGCTCATGATTCTGCAGGGGGTACATGCATTGCATCAACATTTGCTTAGTTTCTGCTGAGGGCCTTAGAAAGTTGACAGTCATGGTGGAAGGTAAAGAGGGAGCAGGCACATCCCATAGCAAGAGCAGAAGAAGAAGATGGGGAGGTGCCACATACTTTTAAACAACCAAATCTCACATGAACTAACTGGGTGACAACTCACTTAACACCATGGGGATGATGCCAAGCTATTCGTGGGGGATCCATCCACATGATTCAAGCACTTGCTACCAGGCCCTGCCTCCAGTAATGGGAATTACATTTTAACAATAAACATCCAAACCATATCACCTTCTCTCTGTTTTTTTTTTTTTTTTTTTTGGAAAAATTTGGCTAGAATTGGTATTACTTCTTTTAAATGTTTGGCATAATTTAGCATTGAATCCATAAGGTCCTGGATTTTCTGTAATGGGCAAATTTGTATTATGGCTTCAATCTTGTGACTCATCATTGGGTTACTAAGGTTTGCTGGTTTTTCATTGTTTGATCTTGGTAAGTTGTATGTTTCCAGGAATTTATCCATTTTTTCAAGATTTTCCAATTTGCTGGTCCATAGTTGTTTATAATAGTCTCTAATAATTCTTTGTATTCCTGTGGTCTGAATTATGTCTTCTTTTTTATTTCTGATATTATTTATTTAGGTCTCTTTTTTTTCTTAGTTTAGCCAAAGGTTTGTCAATTTTCTTTATCTTTTCAAAAACCCAACTTTTTGTTTTGTTGGTCTTCTGTGCTCTTTTTAGTCACAATTTATCTCTGCTCTGATATTTATTATTTATTTTCTTCTACTAATTTTGTGTTTGGTTTGTTCTTGCTTTTCTAGTTCCTTGGAGCACATTATTAAGTTGCTTATTCGAAGGCTTTCTATTTTACAATTTAGGTATTTCTCAGTATAAACTTCTCTTTCAGCACTGCTTTTGGTGCATCCATAGATTTTGGTATGTTGTACTTCCCTTTTCATTTTTATCAAAAAAATTTAAAATTGTGTTCGTAGTTTCATCATTGACCCATTAGTTATTCAGAATCTTATTTTTTTCTCTCCATGTGCTTGTGAAATTTGTAAAGTTTCTCTTGTTATTGATTTCTACTTTTCTTCCGTTGTGGTAAAAAAATGTACTTGATAAAATTTCTAATTTTTAAATTTGTTTAGACTTTTTGTGGACTAATTTGTGTTCTGTTCTGGAAAGCATTCCACATGCCAATGAAAAGAATGTGCATATGGATTAAATATTCTGTAAATATTAGTTAGGCCTCTTAGGCCTAATGTGTAGTTTAACACCAATGTTTCTCAGTCTTTTTTTCTGTCTGGATGATCTGCCCATTATTGAGAGTAGAGTGTTAAAGTTCTCTATGATTATTGTATTGTCGTATATCTTACCCTTTAAATTTATTAAAGTTTGCTTTATGTACTTGGAAGCTATGATGTTGGGCACATAGACATGTAAAATTGTTATGTTCTTTTGCTGATTTAACACCTTTATAATTATATAGTAACCTTATTTGTCTCTTTTTACAGTCTTTGATTTATAGACTATTTTATCTGGTATAAATATAGTTGTACCTACTTTATTTTGGTTTCCAGTTACATGGAATATCATCTGACATCCTTTCACTAACACTCTCTATGTACCTTTATAGGTGAAGGTCATTTCTTGTAGGCAGTGTGTAGTTGGGTCTTGTTTCTTTAACCATTCAGCCACTCTATGCCTTTTAATTGAATAATTGAGTTAATGTATAGCCATTATTACTATTGACACGTACAGACTTATATTGCCATTTTGTTAGTTTTAAAAAATTTGTTTTATAACTCTGCCTTTCTTCCTGTCTTCCCTTGTGGCTAAGTAATTTTCCCTGGTAGTGTGTTTTACTTTGTTGCTTTTTTTTTTTTTTTTTAACTTCTTAAATGCACAAATTTATTTTTTCTCAACACACATCTTAATGCCTTTACAACTTTTATCTCCCCAAATATATCTTGCTTTTCTTTATACATGCTGTATACAGAGTTGTTTTCCTTATATTTAGTAGTTATTGCTTTTTTGTGCCCTTTTGGGTCCTGAATTTACACATCAGGCATAGAGCTTGGGACAGGAAAGAGCTGTGAAGCAAATTCCTGGAAGATCAAACCCCTTCCAGCATGGCCAGGTAGCACAGCTGAGCCAGGGATGATGGGGCCATATTGGGTTTGGCTCTGCCTTGCAGCTGGCAGTCCAAACACTGAGGACATGCATATTTCTGCAGGACTCACTATGGTCATCTGTCCAAACCCCAGAATCCAGAGACTCAAAACGAAATACAGTCATACAGTAAGATATGTGCAAGGTTTCAGGGAGCCCAGCAGCCAGACCTTACAGCTTTAGCTCAATTTAGACAAATCAAGCAAGTTTAAGAAATATTCCAGAAGTAGCAGTTTTATGACCTTAAAACATGTAATAGGCTGGGCACGGTGGCCCATGCCTGTAATCCCAGCACTTTGGGAGGCCAAGGTGGGCAGATCACTTGAGGTCAGGAGTTTGAGACCAGCCTGGCCAACATGGTGAAATCCTGTTTCTACTACAAATACAAAAATTAGCCAAGTATGGTGGCATACACCTGTAGTTTAGCTATTCGGAAGGCTGAGGCAGGAGAATCACTTGAACCTGGGAGACGGAAGTTGTGGTGAGCTGAGATCTCACCACTGCACTCCAGCCTGGGCAATGAGAGCAAAACTCCAGCTCAAAAACAAAAAACAAATTAAAAAAAAAAAAAAAGTAATAGAGGCAATGTAAACCTGTCTGTCAGTAGACCGAGGCAAAAACAATTATATTTAACTGACAATCCTGAAGCCTTTCCAATTTTCTTTTCTTTCTTTTTTTTTTTTTTATTGATCATTCTTGGGTGTTTCTCGCAGAGGGGGATTTGGCAGGGTCACAGGACAATAGTGGAGGGAAGGTCAGCAGATAAGTGAACAAAGGTCTCTGGTTTTCCTAGGCAAAGGACCCTGCGGCCTTCCGCAGTGTTTGTGTCCCTGGGTACTTGAGATTAGGGAGTGGTGATGACTCTTAACGAGCATGCTGCCTTCAAGCATCTGTTTAACAAAGCACATCTTGCACCACCCTTAATCCATTCAACCCTGAGTGGACACAGCACATGTTTCAGAGAGCACAGGGTTGGGGGTAAGGTCACAGATCAACAGGATCCCAAGGCAGAAGAATTTTTCTTAGTACAGAACAAAATGAAAAGTCTCCCATGTCTACCTCTTTCTACACAGACATGGCAACCATCCAATTTCTCAATCTTTTCCCCACCTTTCCCTGCTTTCTATTCCACAAAACCGCCATTGTCATCATGGCCCGTTCTCAATGAGCTGTTGAGTACACCTCCCAGACGGGGTGGTGGCCGGGCAGAGGGGCTCCTCTCTTCCCAGTAGGGGCGTCCGGGCAGAGGCACCCCTCACCTCCCGGATGGGGCAGCTGGCCGGGCGGGGGGCTGACCCCCCCACCTCCCTCCCGGACGGGGCGGCTGGCCGGGCAGAGGGGCTCCTCTCTTCCCAGTAGGGGCGGCTGGGCAGAGGCGCCCCTCACCTCCCGGACGGGGTGGCTGGCTGGGCAGGGGGCTGACCCCCACCTCCCTCCCAGACAGGGTGGCTGCCGGGCGGAGACGCTCCTCACTTCCCAGACGGAGTGGCTGCCGGGTGGAGGGGCTCCTCACTTCTCAGACGGGACGGTTGCCAGGCAGACGGTCTCCTCACTTCTCAGATGGGGCGGCCGGGCAGAGACGCTCCTCACATCCCAGACGGGGTGGCAGGGCAGAGGCGCTCCCCACATCTCAGACGATGGGCGGCCGGGCAGAGACGCTCCTCACTTTCCAGACTGGGCAGCCAGGCAGAGAGGCTCCTCACATCCCAGATGATGGGCGGCCAGGCAGAGACGCTCCTCACTTCCCAGACGGGGTGGCGGCCAGGCAGAGGCTGCAATCTTGGCACTTTGGGGGGCCAAGGCAGGCAGCTGGGAGGTGGAGGTTGTAGCGAGCCGAGATCACGCCACTGCACTCCAGCCTGGCCACCATTGAGCACTGAGTGAACCAGACTCCGTCTGCAATCCCGGCACCTCGGGAGGCCGAGGCTGGCGGATCACTCGTGGTTAGGAGCTGGAGACTAGCCTGGCCAACACAGCAAAACCCCGTCTCCACCAAAAAAATACGAAAACCAGTCAGGCGTGGCGGCGCGCGCCTGCAATCGCAGGCACTCGGCAGGCTGAGGCAGGAGAATCAGGCAGGGAGGTTGCAGTGAGCCGAGATGGCAGCAGTACAGTCCAGCTTTGGCTCGGCATCAGGGGGAGACCATGGAAAGAGAGGGAGAGGGAGACTGTGGGGAGAGGGAGAGGGAGAGGGAGAGGAGGGAGAGGGAGAGGAGGACTACTTTGTTGCTTTTTATTGTTAGTAAATTCGTTATAGATTTTTGTGTTATGGTTACTATGAGGCTTATAAAAACACTTCATGGATATTACAACTTATTTTAAGGAGATAACAACTAATCTTAGATCACAAAGCTTATAAACGATCAAAAAGAAAAAGAAAACCCTCTACACTGTAACTGTAACCTCCACAACTTTTGACTTTTAGTTATCTCGATTCATGATTTTTATATTACCCATCTTGTATCACATTGCTGTGTCTATTACTATTGTTGACAGATTTGCCTTTAGCGCTTTACATTAGATCTATGAATAGATTTTGCACCACAACTTCAATTGTTAGAGTATTGTCGATTGTCTGTGTACTTAATTTTACCAGTGGGTTTTACACTTTCTTTATACCTTCACATTTTTGTTGTTGTTTATTTCAGATTGAAGAATTTCCTTTAGCATTTCTTGTAATATGTGTCTGCTTGTGGTGAATTCTCTCAGCTTTTGCATAAGAAAAGGTTTATCTGTCATTCATCTGTGAAAGATAAGCTTATTGGATACAATTTTCTTGGATGGCAGTTTTTTTTCTTTCAGCACTTTGAAAATATAAAGTTATTGAACTCTATCCTGGCCTGTATGGTTTCTGTTGAGAAGTCTGTTGCCAGAAAAATTGGAGCTCCTTTATATGTTATCTGATTCTTTTCTCTTCCTGTTTTAGGATTCTCTCCTTGTCCTTGACCTTTGAGAGTTTGATTATTATATGTCTTGGGGTAATCTTCATTGGTCAGATCTGTTTGGTGTTCTTTGAGCTGTCTGTTCCTGGATTTTTATATCTTTCTCAAGTTTTGGAAAGTTTTCTGTTATTATTTCTTTGAAATAATCTTTCTACCACTTGCTCTTGCCCAATTCCCACTGGAACATCAGTAATTCATAGGGTTGGCCTTTGGAGGTGATCTTCTATATCTTCCAGAAAAATCTGCATTGCGTTTCATTCTTTTTTCTTCTCTATGCATTTTTTAAGTAGCTTGTTTTTGAGTTCACTGGTTCTTACTGTGCTTGATTCTTTCGGCAGTTGAGAGCCTCTAATTAATTTTTCAGTTCAGAAAATGTATTTCTTAGTTTCAAATTTTCAGTTTTTTATTATTTAAATCTCTTTGTTAAATTTCTCTGATAAATTTCTAATATCCTTTTATTTGTTATCTTGTAGATCATTGAGTTTCATTAAAATTACCATTTTGAATTCTTAGAGAACTCACATATTGCCATCTCTTTAGGGTCAGTGACTGGTTTCTTGCTTTGTTCATTTAGGGAGATCATGGTTCTCTGTTTTTTGTTGTTCATTGTGGATGGATGCCTATGTCTTTGCATTGAAGGATTATTTATTTATTCCAGTCTCCTCTGCCTGGTTTGTTTTGGTTTTTATTGAATACATTTGTTTAGAATAACCCATATATTAAGTTTTTTACCACTAGGTCACTGCCTCCTTTTCAGCTGTAGGTAATACCTTAAGCCAGGTTTGTCTTAGCTCTTGTAAATGATGAAAACTGCTGTCCTTCTTGAATGAAAAAATGAAAGAGGCTCCAAAGAAGATATCCCAGCAGTGTGGGAAGGCTAGACAAAGGTTTATGCTCAGGAGGCCTGTGGGATATACCTCTGACAGTATGGTGCTGCTGAACAGCTATTCTGATTTGATATCTCCTTTGGCCAATTACACAGCAGAGTTCTCTGGGCTGGGGATGGTGGTCCCACCTCCCTGCTTTGTCTCTGCCTGTTCTCAAAGATATTTCTTTCTTTGTTTATTAGCAATGCTTCCCGTGGGTTAAGGCAGAAATGGCTCTTTTGCCGAGAAACCCAAGAGGGTGAGGAAGCTGGTTGTGCACCTCCATCTTACTTTTACTTGTGTAGAAACAGTGATTTAGGGGGAAAACTTTCCACGTGTTTGGTTTCAGGCAGAATTGGGGATGGGGTGCTGCAGATATGGAAGTCCAATTCTCTTGCCATCTGCTTGAAGTTTTTTTCACTTCTCCATAGTCCCAGGAACCACTGTCTCATCTTCATATTTGAGTTCTGAGATATTTCTAATGATTATCTTGGTACTGTAATTTTGTTTTTTTGTTGTTTTTTTTTGGGGGGGGAAAATAGAGAGTGAAGCCAACTTGTTTCTATACCACCATTTTGGAGCCATAAATTCACCCCTGTTTCTGAGTTTTGTTTTATACCCAGAAAAAACAGCCTCACTTCATTTATGGATGCCTGTGTTTCTGCATGTGCATGTGTATAACTCTAATGATAATCTTTTTGGTTCTTTTGTGGCTTAATTTTTATATTCTAACCTCTAAATTATTTGTTTTTTTAATATAGAAAGTCGGGTAGGTAGTCACTTTAATTTTATTTTCTAATATATATTTTAGATTATTATATTGTCATAATAAGCTTTATATTTAGTAGTACTAGTCATCTCTTATTTCTCTACCTTTTCAAAGTTTCCTGAATATTCTTTCTCATATAATTTTCTATATGAATATTAGAATCAGTTAATCTAGTTATTAAGGCAAAATTATATTCATATCTTTTAAAATAAAGGAGTAGAACAAAATAAATAAGCAAAGTATATTACTCTGTTTTCACACTGCTATAAATATACTACCTGAGACTGGGTAATTTATAAAGGAAAGAGGCTTAATTGACTCACAGTTCTGCATGGCTGGAGAGGCCTCAGGAAACTTACAATCGTGGTGGAAGGTGAAGGGGAAAGAAGCACCTTCTTCACAAGGTGGCAGGAGAGATAAGAGAACGCGAAGGGAGAAGAGCCCCTTATAAAACCATCAGATCTCATGAGAACTCACTCACTATCATGAGAACAGCATGGGGGAAACCACTCCAATGATTCAGTCTCCACCTACCAGGTCCCTCCCTGACACATGGGGATTATGAAGATTACAATTCAAGATGATATTTGAATGGGTAAACAGCCAAACCATATCACAAAAGTTACGTCCAGAGGCAGGTAAAGACTAATGTTCCAAATCAAGGCAGTCAAACACGAGGAGCTAACACTGATAATTAAAAATAAAGCTAAAGAAAACTTCACAGAAAAACAATAATCAAAGCCCTCAGAGAGATTAGAGAAAATATTTCATAAAGAAAATAAAAACAAAATGCTATGGAAAAGGTAAAATGAGTACAAGACAGAGCTCTTGGGGTTTAAAAATAATTGCTGAAATATACAATTCAAGGCAAGTTTCGAAAGATAAATTTTAAAATCTCCTATTTTTATGCAAATCTAATATAATTCTTCATTTTGGAAGGAAATAATTTTGTTAGCATTAATGTAGACACTACAGTTTTAGTGTGTTTTGATTTACTTTATGAAATCTCCTTAGTTCCTCCAGACCAAATAAAACACACTTTCAAAGTAGTTTGTGATGTGTAGAAAGAGGGTGTTCATTGTTTGTTTTTCACTGATTCTGATAGTTAACTTTATGTGTCAACTTGATCGAATCACAGGATGATCAGACATTCGGTCAAACAATATTCTGAGCATGACCATGACAGCGTTTCTGGATGAGATTAACATTTGAATCCCTAGAATAAGGAAAGCAGATTGCCCTCACTGATGTGGATGGACCTCATTCAATCAATTGAAGACATGAGTAGCCCAAAAGTCTGAGCAAAAGGGAACTCCTCCTGTTGACTGTCTTGAGTTGGAACGTTAGTCTTTACCTGCCCCTGGATGTAAACTCAAACATTAGCTCTTACTGGGCCTTCAGTCTGCAGCTATTTAGAACAGATCTACACCATTGGCTCTCTTGCGTCTCTGTCTTACTGACGACAGATTTTGGGATTGTTGGCCTACACAATTACATAAGCCAACTCTTTATAATAATGCTCTGCGTAAACACGCACACACACACACACACACACACACACACACACACAAATACACAAAATATTGGTTCTGTTTCTCTGGAGAACAGAATTTGGTAAAACGTAACATAATTTGATAAGACCCTTGAACAATGAAGGTTGAAGAAGGGCAATGGGTTATAATGGAAATAAATAGACAGAAGCCTGAGTTCCAATTTAGGCTCTGCGAGGAACTCTCTGAGACACTGTCAATAACTTTACCTATCTAGAACTCAATTTCCATTGTCTATAAAATTTGGAGTTTAAGTAGATGAACCCCAAGGTAATTTTCTGCTTTACATTTCTATGAGTTTTTGAATTATTTTTCTTTCTTCAAATTCTAATTCACTGCCATTTCTTAGGTAAAGCTTTCTCCTCTAAGCCAAATTAGTCTCCATTTATTTTGGCTTCTTTTTGCATAATTTTATTCTCACATTTTTGTTTAAGTATGTACTGTAGTGTACTATAAATTATCCATTTATACATTTCTCTCACTCTTACACTAGAAATTTGAAGAGGATAAAGACTACCTGTTTATGCTTTTTAACACAAATTCTAAGGAAAGTACATAGCACACAAGACATAGTGGTCACTAAGGATTGCTGTTGAATGAAAATTCAGTTAAACAAATGCTGATTTACTGTGTAGCAAACACAGTGCTGCATATTCTACATATGGAATCCAAGATGAGTAAGACACAATCCAAGATGCTTATAATATAACTAAAAGGAAAGAAGCTAAAAATTCCAAAAAAACATATTATACACAAAAGCAGAATTTCTCATTCTTAACCATATCACTGTTGACATTTTGGGCCAGATAGTTCTTTGTTGTGGAGACTCTCCTGTGCATTGTAGGATATTTAGCATCATCTCTGGCCTCCACTTATCGTAAAATCCCCCAATTTGTGACAACCAAAAATATCTCTAGACGCTAACAGATGTCTCCTGGTGGGCATAATCATCCCTGGTTGAGACCTCTGAGTTTAAGTAAGGAGATTGCTAAACTAGCAAAAAGAAAGTGATTTAGGGGTTCAAAATAGGGAGAGACACACCTAAGTGAAAAGATCAGGAAAGTTTTTATGGAAAAGATGTTTGAGAGGGGCCATCCTTAGCACTATGTCTAAAGCACATTTGAAATTCTGGCTAAAATGTTTATCTCTGGAGCTCCAAGCAAGCTTAATTTGTTAGTTTTCAGCATGAGCATCAGCAAAAGAAATTTATAAAGCTAGAGAAAAACTATGCTGTTAATATTTTCTAGTATATAAATACGAACAAGAGAATATTATTATTTAGTAAGTTCTTTTTATATTTTCCAAATAAATCTTTTGATTTATAAATTTTTGCTATCATTTTGAAAACACAATTTGCTAGCCTTAACTACATTCTTGATAAATTGTTCCAATTTTCAACATTTAATAACCCTCTTAATTCTTAATAATACATTTTGCCTTAATGTCTTTTGCCTATTATTAATGTAGATAAACTAAGCATCCTTTGGTTAGAGGTTGTTTTGTATTTTTTCCCCTTTCTATACTTTTATAAATATTTTTATTATTATTTCTTTTTTTGTAAATAGCATATTTTGTTGCTACTTTTTAAAAGTCCATTCAGAAAGTCTTTTAAAAGATAACTTTATACTTTTATATTTAATAGGCAAATTTAGCTGTTTTACATTTATTATTATCACTGATATAGTTAGACTTACTTCATCATGTTAATTTTGTATATAGAAAATTTATAGTGGTAAAAGATAGGACTCTAAAACCAGACTCACTGAGTTTACCACTTACCAGATGTGTGAATTTGGGCAAACTATTTAATCATTTGCATGTCAATTTCCTCATCTTAAAAATTAAATAATTATATTTCTTATTTGACATCATTATAAAAATTCAATGAGAGCACATCTAACACAATTATAATACTGCCTAATTTTACTGTATGCACTCAATAACTTTATAGCATAGAAACTACGATGCATGTCCCCAGGGCACCTGAGGCTGCCCTGTAAGCAGACATGACCAGGCTAAGGCCCTTGGAGAGGCCAGCAGACTAAGGGGTGGTCAGATCAGATTGGCTCCTTCTGGTGGGCAAAACGGTTCTATAGAGTTCAGATCCAACAGTTCCCCTAGGGCTAAAGCCTGCAATGGGAGGAAGTTGAGTTTAGTGGGATGGCTGTCCCTGGTCATGCTCTGCTACAGACACACCTGCACCAAACCCTCTGGGCTCCATATCAGCTGGCTTGCTGCCCTTACCACTTCTCTAAGTAGCTCTTCCTGCCAATTCCAATGTCCGTGGTGGTTGAGGGGTCTCCTCCTGCTGTGATTCCAGAGGCCTATGGCCACAGCAGGGTGCTCCTTGCTAGTTCAACTCACCTATTCTTCCAAAGTCACTGGGGGCCAGAAAAAAGTCCCAGTGAACAGTAGCCCTGTGCAGGGTTTCCAGATTCCTCCCCTGTGAGTCCAGCTCCCATGTCTTCCCTCTATCCACTCTCTATCCTTCCCTCTGAAGATCTGTTAGGAGTGTACCAGTCATCTGGTCCCTTGGTGGTAGCTGTTTCACCAGTCTGTGTCTAATTGGCCATTTTGCTCCATATATATTTATTTAATTTTCTCATACCATTCTTTCTCCTTTGCTATTTTTCTATATTTTCATTAGATTAACTTTAGTGTAATATAATATATCACCTTTTTTTGGAAAAGGATACTTTACTTTTTTTTGACACTATCTAGGTAAGTTTTCAAAATTGACAAGTCTTCACTACAGGGACAGACACTTTTAATATCCTTCCACTTGGATTGGTATCTAAGAGGAATCTATCTCCTTTTTTTGCCACTACTAATTTTAAACTTTTACATTTTCATTTACATATATTTTTGTGCTTAAATTTAACTTCAGATTGATGTAAACTTCAAACAGTAACTTTACCTTTCAAACAAAGAACATGAAAATAATAAGAATGCTTCAATGTTTATATTTTCTCACACATTTCTTAATATTTTGCTCACCATTGCTTCTTATATTCCATTTATTTCAGGAGGTAAAACCCTTCTTCCTGAATACAAGCCCTGCTAGGGAAAAGCCTCTCAGTCTTTATCTGAAATTTTCTTTATGACCCTTACTCTTTATAGATTAGCTGGATAGAGAATTATAGGTTAGCAGTTATTTTGTCTTCAAACTGAAGGTGTTTCAAAATCTCGACCTTCATTGTTTTCATTGCATTATCTATAGTCTAACTGCAGTACTTTAAATGCATAATCTATATTTTCTATTTAGTTGTATTTTGCATATCTCTTTGATTTGACATTCTGAAGTTTCACTAAAATGTGTCTAAGTGTAGACTTATTTATTCTTTATATAACTTTTAAATGTTATATAAAAAGTATGTAGAATTTTAATTGGAATATGTAGCTTTTGAATACGTAGAATTTTAGTTCTGAAAAAGTTCAACCATGGTCTCTTAAACTGTAGACTCCCTCATTTTCCATTTTGTGTTCTGGAACTCTTGTCAAATATATGTTGGGCATTCCTGTTCTATCCTCCCTGTCTCAGAACCTGTCTTCCACTTTTTATCTCATTGTCTCTGCTGAATTATAGATAATGTCATTTAATTTATTTTTTAATTCTCTAATTCATCTTTTAGTTCTTACTAATTTCTGGTAATCTACTTTTATTGTGATATTTTTCAAAAGGCCTTCTTCTGTAATATTTCCTTGTGACCTGAATTGTAGAATGTCTCTTGAGGGTTATTTTGTATTTGTTTTTGTTAGGCACACACTGGTTTGTGATCAATATTTATCTTAATGATTGAGACAAGGATTTCTGTATCTTGCAGTTTTGGGCAATTTAGACTCTAATATTCGGACTTGAGTTCAGATTTACAGATTCTTCTATTTTTTTGTTTCGATACAGAATCTAGATGGATAGAAACATCATTCTTTTCTGTCTGCTTCCAATGTCAATGTGTAGATTTTATTTGTTTACCCTTTCACTGAGGTTTCAACCCTCTTAGGGCCCAAGCCCTAGGCGTCAATCACTTTTACAACTTTTTTCTTGAGCAAGCTAAATTTACATCATTAAAATCCAAGTGCTAGATAGACTGAGTCTGCTACTCAACTGTTCTATTTACTCTATTCCATGGTTTCCAGAGATTCAGCCCATGAATATATTACTCTTCATTTCTGGCACTTAGAGATTCTTTTCCAACCTGTTAGTTCAGCTATACCCTTTCTGTATTCTATTAAATCAAGCATCTTTAGTTGTCCATATGGGGAGGAATTTTATACTGCTTAGCTCACCATTTAACCCAAATAAGATAAGCTGTAACTTTTTATCAACATCAATAACTTATATATCAAGATATCAGCATGCACAAGAAATCATGGGAGAATGAAATGACACTTTTCAAAGAGTTTTATTTCAAACTTCTGTTGTGGTAATGGAACAAGATTTCTCTCTTTAGAAGTGGTTGGTAAGCAAGGGGTTACTTGGTTTATCAAAAAAATCATTCAACAAAACTCAGAGAAGACACCCAGAAACAACTTCTAGCTTTACTTCTAGGGTCTACCTATACATCACACAATTTGAAAGAGCAGAAAGAAATATTCAGGACATCACAACACAACAAACCATTATCGTAGTTCCAGAGATTTTACTTATGAAAGAATTATAGGAAAAAATAGAGACTGAAATTATGTTAAAGTGAGAATTATGGACAAGTTCTTTGAAAATCTAAAATGAAAAAGAAAATAAATTATTCACAGTCATTAAAATTCTGAGGTTCTCAACAATCATTTTTGTTATTTATCAGGCTGCATTCAAATATACTACCCAAATGTAAAATTTCAAATACAGTATTCATGAACTAGCTGATAAAATACCTTTAAGCAGAATATATTTCAGTATTCATTGCTAAATGGTTTTGCCAAGGAAATTGACTTGATAATGCTTCATGAAAAGTGCTGGTTATTATCATATAATTTCAAAGTCCAGTCTAAAACTATATCAATCTATCAAAAGGGAATAAAAGTTACAGCTTTTATATTTTCAAAAGTTATTTGCTTTCCTTCTGTCCTTTCCTTAACAAGATTAAATGAAATTTAAGACTTGAAATCTCAAATAACTTATTTTTGTCAGAGGTTTTTTATCTGTATGCCAGTTACAAGTAACATCTGGATACAAATTCTAATAAACAAATGGGCATGCTATGGAAGGCAGAAATAAAAGTAACTGGATGAAGGATCAAATGTAATTTAAAAATTATTCCTTATCTCTTTACTGAAGACTAAAAAGCTTATTAAGATAAAAATTATAGTCACGGTGGTTTTCATCTTAAATCTTTAAGTTTCAGTTGTATTTTATTGCGTAGCTATTCTTCTAAGTGATGAGGACCATAAAGAGCTTTCAAACAGTGTATTTTTCTGGGTTCATCATATTTTTAATTGCCTTCATTAAAAATGAAACAGACCTATAAGTTAATAATCAGATAAGATAATTTCTAATTTAGATCCTTAATTCCAAGACTGCCTGAAATCTTGGCAAAGAAAAATATGCTTAGAGCATGATAGATCAGCAGATGATGATTACTTTAGCTTTAACTGTGGGGGTGGCAACAATGTAGATAAAAAACTAATTCCTATATGCTTCTTAGTTTCCTCTTTTAGCTTTTCAAAATGGATGCATTCATGCTACAGTGCTTCATAATAATCAGAAATAGTAAGTAAAATCTGTTGAGATAACTGTTCAGGATTGTGAGTGTAATAATCCTGTATTTTCTATAAAAGTCTGGAGTTCATAAAGATTTTCCACAGTAGGTCTGATAATATAACCCCAAGTAAATTGAGGTGGTCAGAAGCAAAATCCCTTTTCCAAGTACAAACAACTAAATAACTTCAACTTCGACTGAAACTCAGACTTTCCTTCCCCTGTACTTTGAACCTCGTCATGTACTAGAAGTGTAGGATAAATAATTGAATACAACTTCTTTTGTCACAATGCTTTCTCCTTTCCTATAATCCAAAATGTAATATCTTATGGAACATATGACCAAAAAAGAAAACAGTGCAAGTTCCAGCTCTAGTATTGTGTGAGCTCCTAATAGTCCCACTCTCCTACTGATAACAACTATAAATGCTACACAAAATAAGACAACTACATTTTGCTCAGTCAGGATAGTAAACCAAAATAAATAGACTATGGAATGGAGTCAAAATGTGGAGAAGAAACAAGAATGGGGATGGGTCATCAGGTTTTGTTTTTCCTTTGGTGATACTTGAAAATGAACCACAGCTACAGAGTAGCACCATGTTATCAGCCAAGGCTCCAACAACCCAGGGTTTTTTTGTGGCCACAGGAAACAAGGAAAGGAACTGAGATGGAGTAGGATTGTGGCTGGAGGGAAGCGAGCAAGAAAAATAACCGTTAATTATGGGAATGAACCCACAGAAGTCTAAGTCTAACTACCTATACCAGACTGACCCAGAATTATAGCCAGAACCCAAAGTATAGAACAAAAAGTTGGAGAAAGGGTGAATTATGTCTTTCTTTTGGAGCTGGGACTTTCATCTCCTCTCCTTTTACATTGGAGCTTTCCTGGTTCTCATGGCTTTGGACTCTGGGGCTTATACCAGCATCTTCCTACCTCCTTCCCAGGCTCTCAGGCCTTTGGGCTCAGATTAAGAATTACATTATTTGCTCCCTTAGGTCTCAGTCCTTCTGGCACCAACTGAATTACACTACTGGCTTTCCTGGTTCTCCAGTTTGCAGATGGCATATTGTGGGACTTCTTAGTCTCCATAATTGCAAGAACTATTTCCCATAAGAAATCCTCTCTTATATATCTGTATACAGATGGTCCCCGACTTACAATGGTTCAATTTACAATTTTTCAATTTTATGATAGTGTGAAAGTAATATGCATTCAATAGAAACTGTACTTTGAGTATCTTTGTGATTATCTGGTTTTTCACTTTCTGTGTAGCATTCAACAAATTATATGAGGTATATATTTTTATAAACATTTTGTTATAAAATAGGTTTTGTTTTGTGTTGTGTTAGATGATTTTGGCCAACTATAGGCTAATGTTAGTTTTTAAAGCTTGTTTAAGATAGGCTAGGCTAAGCTATGATGTTGTATAGGTTACATGTATGAAGTGCATTTTCAACTATTCATATTTTCAACTTACAATTGGTGTATCAAGAAGTAACCCCATTGTAAGTCAGGGAACATCTGTATATCCTATTCATTCTGCTTCTCTGGAGAACCGTAACTAGTATACCACCAAGTGTCATACAGACATTAAAAAGATAATGAGAAAATATAAGAACATCTTGATGCCAACAAATTGGACAATTAGACAAAATTTGCAGGAAAAAATACAATAACAAAACCTGACTCAAAAGAACAAAAAAAAATCTTTATATCACTTATATAAATTAAACTGATAGTTAAAACATTTTCTTAAAAGAATCCCAGGCCCATGAGGCTCATAAAATTTGAGGATTTATTGGTAAATTCTGTCAAATCTTCAAGTCAGATTTATCATGAGTTTTACACATAATTTTGCAAAGAAAAAAGTAAATATCCAAAGAAGATACATGAATGGCCAATAAGAACAAGAAAAGTTGCTAAGATCATTAGTTATCAGGAACATGTTAATCAAAACCACAATAAGATTCAACTTTATACCTACACCTAGACTGGCTATAATTTTAGAACATCAATAATAAGTATTAACAATGATGTGGAGAAGTCAGAACCATGACACAATCCTGCTGGAAGTGTAAATTGGTACAGTTGCTTTGGACAAGAGTCTGGAATTTCCTCAAAAAAACTAAATATAAAGTTACCATTTGACTCAGCAATTTGAATTATTTATATACATATATGAGATATGTAATTGTTTCATAAACAAATATATTTATGTCTTTGACTCTACATATGATATATATCTATATGATCTATATATAGACAGAAATAAACATTTGTCCACACAAGAACTTGTACATCAATGGTCATAATATTATTCATAAAAGTTAAAAGGTGAAAACAACCCAAATGTCCATCAGCTGATGAGCACAGAAACATAATGTGGCAAATCCATACAATGGAATATTATTTAACAACAAAAAGGAGTGAAGTGATAATACATGACACAGTATGGATGAACCTTGAACACATCATGTGAAGCAAAAGAAGGCTTTAAGTAGAATATATTTTAGTATTCATTGCTAAATGGTTTTGCAAAGATTTTCCTATTTTGCATATATAACACAAATGAAATCATACAATATGCGATCCCAGAGATCACATATTGTATGAATTCATTTGCGTTATATATGCAAAACAGGAAAATCTATGGTGATAGAAAGTAGTTTAGTAGCATTTAGGGATGGGGAGGATAGACAGTTGGGAGGGCGGATGATAGCTAAAGGGTACAGGGTTTCTTTTGGGGATGATAAAAATATTCCAAAATGATGATGTAGCACAGCTCTGAGAATATATTAAAATCATTGAATTGTACACTTTAAATGGTAACTAGTATGATACCTGAATTATATACATCTCCGTAAAGTTGTTACTAAAAATAAGATCGTATGTTAAGACCAATTCCTATCTTAAGAAAGCAAGGAGGTAGAATTTGTGTGTTGTGGGGATGAGAGCAGGCAATGAGAATGATGGTCTAAAGGGGTAACCATGTTTCTTCTTTGAGTGATGGGTGGATAGAGATGATGTATTCAAGTTGAGGATAGATTTAGCTGGAAGGATATGTGAAACTTCCAAGTAGCTATGTCTGTGAGACAGTTAAATACACAGGTCTTCAGTTCAAAACTTTTTTTTATCTAGAGATATAAATCTAGAAACATTTAGCATACTAACAGTAGCTGAAGATAAAGGGCAGAATGAAGTCATCTAGTGTATCTTTAGAGAACATGGCAAAAGGATAAGCTACTGGGAACATCGATGGTAAAGGGGTTGGTTAGTAAAAGAAAAAGAATCAAAAGAAAATGAAAGAAAATCTGAGATGCAGGAAGAAAACCAGAAGACAGAAATGTCTCAGAAACTCGAAGAGGAGAAAATTGAAAAGATGAAATAGCCAACATTTTCAAATGTCAATTTGGGATGACCACATTTTAGGTGTAGCAACTAAAGTGTTTAATCCAGAGAAGTGAAGATGATAGGATAGAAGCAGAAATAAGTGCAGAGTTTGTTACCTGATATCTGAAGACTAATCATATATAAACTGGAATAGATTTGTCTTTTTGTGGCTCTAAATGCCAGAAACAACATATCCATTTCCTCAGTCGCTCCTTGTTTCTTTGTGGTGAAAACACTTAAAATCCATTATTTTAGCTATTTTGAAATATACAATACTTTATTAGCTGTACACCTCATATGGTGTAACAAATTACCAGAGCCCATTTCTCCTTTGTACCCTTCGCCAACATCTCCCCTTTCTTCATCCATGTCCCCAACCACAATTTCACTTGATAATTCCAAATTAAATAAGACAACATTTATTAAAAATACTTTAAAAATCCAGAATTAAAACCAATGTGTGGGAAAAAATTCAGTTCCATTAAGGAAGAAAAGTTATGTATTTTGTGAGAATTACCCAAAGATAAAATCAACTGCTCCAGTGGGTTTTTCGTACTAGAGTGATAAAAGTGTCCATGTTCAAAGATATGATATATCTATCATCATCATCTAGAAGTCCTTAATAAATAGCAGGTTGAATCATATATAATTGAGAGTATTAAATCATTTTAACCAACAAAATATAATTTTATATGGTTCAATCTAATAATTACTGAATGAACAAAGGAATAAATGAATATTAAATTAGGAAGTCCTTTTAATTTTCAGTAGATAAAAATATAACTCCTTTAAAAAACAGTTTTAGCAGGACAAAAAAAAATAAAAACACAAATTTACTACAGCGCTTGCCAGAAAAAAATAACCTTTTCTTTCACTGTGTGCTAAACATTTTTGAAGAGGTCTAAAGCAGTTAGTTAAGTATTGCGTGTACATTTATTTACTCGAGTAGATTTACTCAGAAACATTATATTGAAAATCCATTGTGCCTTTTATATACTGATAAGCAAAATTGTTATTTTACTATTTATTATTATTATGAATAATGCCAAAAATGAAAAAAGCTACCTAAAAAAGTGACAGAAAATGTAATAGCAAGATATTTTTTCATTTAAAAGGAAAAGGCCTTATCCTTTAATTCAGCTTATATAACTTATATGATTCAATATTTGTTGTTTTTTGTCATCTTTGCAAAAGAATCTTAAGCTTCACAGAAAGAAAGGAGTGGCTAGTTTAAAAATTTTTTCAAGATTCCAAGTTACTCTGAATATAATTTTCTTATGTTGTTGTCAGGGAGGCATGAATGTCACCACAAGTGCAATTTTTTGTTCTTATTTTGATTTCCATTAACTAAGTTTTCCCTTTTCAGCCACTTAGTGTCACCCTATCACAACCGAAATTACAGCCTAAATTACAGAGACAAAGTGCTCCTGTCCTCAGCCATAGTGGAATGCAGACTCCACGGAGCAGAAATTCTCCCTAGGGCATTCACTGGTCAATCTTTCCTTTTCCTTTACATTCCTCATTCAAGGGAATTGCTGGCAAAATTATGTGATGGGAAAATGAATATTTGGTTTCCTTGACATTTTGGTACATTTACAGCCTAAATTACTTTCATCATACTGTTAAAAATCTGATCAATTATTAACATGTTTAACACCTAAATAAAAACTAAGTAAAGACATGATTAATTATTAATAATATGCTGAAGTACATGCAACCATTTTTTGGTTTAGATGTTAATAGTAGCAAGCACGTCACTTGACATTTTCTCCAGCCAGAACGATCTCTCAATGAGATACTAATCATGGTGTCACCTTGCTTAAAAATCCTCGAAGCAATTTCGTTTCCTGAAGGGAAAGAGTTGTGCAGTCTCCTTATTCCGATAATCAAACCTCCACGGTATGTCCCTGCATTCCTGTTTCTAGCTTCATTGAACTCCCCTGTTGCCATACCCCAAGGATACCTTACACATTCTTGACTCTGTACCTTTGCTCATCTGTTATCTGCCGTCTAAGATGCTCATAACATTCACTTTTCTTTTATGCATACTTAATGATTTATCTCTAATAATGTCTCCTCCATGAAACTTGCTATGAAATAGACACAAGGTTATAACACAAAGAATTCAGAGTCAGAAAGTTTCCTCATCCTCCAGTTAATATTTTATAAGTGTGGAGAAATGTTTCTATAATCCAAATTCCCCATGGTATAAATTTCTTCTCGTGTCTCATTATCTAACACTGGACACACCTAAACTAATACCATGCCGAAACTAATTGTTAACAAAGTGAATGAATGTATAACACAAATGGTTGAGCCTTCCATGGGGATAAAACCTACGCTACATGGAAGAGGAGTAAATAGTTCAATAAAACCACTGCTATAAGAAAAGAGGAATCGATTTTGATTAGGCAGTCATTATTGGTTTTAGCGCTTTCCAATGCAAAACTAATTGCTATCTCCTTAAATCCAAATTGCATTTTCTTTACACTGTTATTAAAGAAATCATATTCCAGTCTCCTGTGTGTCTGACATGAGAAACAGACTTGAGACTTCATCTCTGTATCCTCAGTATCGGGCACACAGTGAATACCAACAAAGGTCTGTGGAAGCAAATGCCATCAGGTGTATTCCTGAATAACAGAATGATGACTCTGTATGTACTTCATGTCTAGACAGCAATACATTGAAGTTAAAGGGAGAAGAGGAGCATTTGTGTACACATGCTGCTGGCAGGCATGGTAGTTTCTTTTTCCAATTCCTCTTCTCTCACTTCCTAGCTATATGAATGTTGGCAAGGTACACAAGTTCTATTGTTTTACCATCTCCATCTGTAAAATGGAATGACTTTACATGAAAATAAGTTATGGTAAGGCTTAAGCAATCACTAATTGTAGATTGCTTAGCCCAGTGTCAGAGACTTGGTAAATAGTATCTACAGTTAGTACAATCTGCTTAGATCAGAAAATTCTGGCTATTTTGGTCAGTGTGATATGTGGAAATAAAAGAAGCTTCCAGGAGCTTGTATTCTCTCCACAAACCAAACAGAGCCAATTTTCATAGTGATGGATAGGCCTAACAAGTCACATTTGTCCTTTACTAACTGTCATGGAAACAGCAAAATTGATAAATTCTGAATTCTCTCATCACTTCTTCTGGATTTAAAACAACAAAGCGAACAGCTCAAAAAGCATTCTTGATTATTATTTTTAATATAATACTGACTCTAATATTTATGTACAAACTGAGAAAACTTGGCAGCCCAAAATGAAAGTAGGAAGGGAGGTATGTAAAGTGAGATATAAAAGAAGAACTAAGAGTATTTATTCTTCATGCATTCACAAAGGTTTGGGTAATACTTTGCATAACCAATTTTGAAAGTTAGAATTCTAAACTTTTAATATTTTACAATGAAGAAAAATCCGGTAAAATGTGTGAAAGGAACTATGGAATAGAGTTTAATATCTGCCACACTGTATTTAGTAGACCGGTAAATTCACCTATTAAACAACTGCAATGTTTATTCAATGATTTTAAAAGCAAACCAGAATTTGCAATTTATCAGGAATTCGATAATGTTGTCAGTTAATAAAACAACTCCTACCCTTACACACATCTAACCTAAGCATGGTTTGTCAATTATTACCATAAACAGTGCCACTTATAGCAAATGTTTAACTCCAAGTTATGTCAAAGCACTTTTCAGAGTGATATAATTTGTGTTAAATTTGCAAAGGACTACATTTAATGGTCCATTTCAGACATGGCCTCTTAGTTGCTGGTACAATCTAGTAATGAATGTAGAACAAACCAATGTCAAGTTTTCTGTTCAAAATGCTGTAGAGATACTATTTCCCCAACCTGGCCTTAGATTCATCTACCGACTGAGCCTATGTAGCAACATTGATTCTCTTCTCTCCCCTTCATATTTTTCTGGTTGACAGTTTCTTATATTCACATGACATTAGCTTAATCAGTAAAATTCTAGCAAAAGTGACCTAAGCAGCTTACTTTCTAGTTAGCCAACTGTTATGATGATTTTTAACCAGCCTCTAGGCCAGGTCATTTAAACGTTACTTAGTTAATCAACTAGTTCATCCATTCATCAAATATTTATTGAGGACGTAGTATGTGAAAGGTTCTATTTTAGGTATTGGAGATACACAGTGAATAAAAGAGGCAAAATTCCCTTTCTTCATGAAGTTTACATTCCAAATGATGGGGAAATCAATAAATAAATATTGTATATGTAGTATTACAAACGAGCATTTTCCAAAATTTTTTTGAAAGCATAAATTACAAACGTAGGATAGAGAGTGTTGGCTGGGGAGGAGATTGTTGTGATATCTATTATAGCAGCTGAGGAAAACATCAATGAGAATGTGGCATTTCAGCAAACACCTTAAGGAACTGAGGAGGTAAGCCATATGGAAAATGTGACAGGTGCATTTCAGACAAAGGGAAGATCATAGGAAGCCCCCGAGGCAGGAGAATGCCTAGGAAGTTTGTAGAAAAGCAAGAAGGCCAGAGTGCCCAGAACAGACTGAGTTGAGAGGAGATTAGCAGGCCAGAAACAGAAGGGAGATCAGACCTCGTGAGGCCTTCTAAGCCATTATAAAAACATCTTCGTTTCACTTTGTGGTAATTAAGAAGTTACTTGAGAGTTTTGTATGGAGAAGTGACAAGATCTGACATAGTTAAGAACATCATGGCTGGGCACGACTGTAATCCCAGTGCTTTGGAGGCTGAAGCATGTGGATCACCTGAGGTCAGGAGTTCGAGACCAGCCTGGCCATCTTGGTGAAACCCAGTCTCTACTAATAATACAAAAATTAGCCAGACATGGTGGTGGGCACCTATAATCCCAGCTACTTGGGAGGCTGAGGCAGGAGAATCACTTGAACCTGGAAGGTGGAGGTTGCAGTGAGCCAAGATTATACCACTGCATTCTCCAGCCTGGGTGACAGAGGGAGACTCTGTCTCAAAAAAAAAAAAATCATTCCAGTTGCTATATTGAGGGTATATTGCAGATGGGCAAGTGGAAAAACAGAAGTACCTGCTAAGAACCTACTGGCAGTAATTTTGGTAACATATGAAGGTGGTTGGTGAGTAAGTTAGGTAAAAAGTTGTTAGTCAAGGTAGTAGAAAGTGCTGGGGGTCTGTATATATTTTGAAATTTGAGACTACAGGATTTACTGATACATTAGGTATGGCATATGAAAGAGAGAACTAAAAAATATTTATAAGATTTTTGGTCTGAAAAAACAAAAAGAAAAGGCTTTAACTTACTGATCTAGGAAATATTTGGAGAAAACACAAAGGATAGAGAAGAGATAAGCAAAATGAGAAGCTAGGTTTGGGTTAAGTTTACTTTGCAGAAGTCTAATATATCCAATGATGATATGGACATTATGTGACATGTGATGTTTTCCTCAGCTGCCATCACAACAATCTCCTCCCCAGCCAACTGAGAGTCTCCGCTCAACTCCGTCTGTTCTAGGCACACTCTGCCTTCTTGCTTTTCCACACACTTCCCAGGCATTCTTCTGTCTCAGGGAGCTTTGCATTTGATCTTTCCTTTGTCTGAAATGCACCTCCCACATTTTCCACGTGGCTTACTTCCTCACTTCCTTAAGGTCATTGCTGAAATGCCACATTCTCAGTAATGTTTTCCTCAGCTGCTATATTAAATATCGTAACAATCTCCTCCCCAGCCAACTGACATGGAGTTGACAGTTAATCTCATGAGTTCAGGGGAAATATCTGGATTGAAGATACAAATCTCAGAGTTGTCACTTTATGGATGATAATCTGTAAAACTGACTGAGATTCTTGAGAAAGTGGATATATACAGAAGAGAAAGAGGTCTGAGAACTGAGTCTTAGGGAATTCCTAACATGGCAGGTCTAGAGAATTGAATAGAAATGGTCAGCAAACTGGGAGGCAAATCAAAAACGATATCATTCTGGAAGCCAAGTGAGGAAGGTAAAGGAGCAAGAAGTGATTAACTGTGTCAAATGTTGTCCATTACTTAAAGTAAGATGACTAAAAGTTCACCATGGATTTGGCAATGTAATCAATATTTCCTTTCACTAGGGAGAAGAAGCAAATGGAGAAACTAGAGACTCCGACAGCTTGCTGCCTCATTTTATGTCCTCCTTATATTACTTCAACTCCTATTGTTTCCATGGATCTCTGAATTAATTTTGAAATTCTCGTTTATTTTATTGTATTTTGTTGTGTTTTATGCTCCAGTAATCAACATCTTACATCTGTGCTATATCTGATTTCATGTTGATATTTTCAATGTGATCTTTAATGAAATTATTAGAGAAAGATAATTCAATATTATTATCATTATTTTAGAAAATGCAGTTTTTATAAATAACTGTTTATTGTCATACTGCTGATTATTAGTGACCAAGGCTTCCTAACTCCTAGAACCTTAACTTGTGCCTTTAATTTTGATAAAGAGAGTAGCTGGTGATCCCTTGCTTGCTCTTTGGACCTTCCTTTATGCATGCCCACTTTTATTCATACCTTTTATTTATTCTCGCTTAATTCCTTGAATTTTGGTCCTCAATCCTTTCGAAGAGCTGCATGCCATGACCTTTAAAGACAAATATTGATATGACTTCAGAGCTTCAGGGAATTTTGACTTATGTCAGGCTCCAAATCCAGAGGATAGTTTTCATATTTCCTGAACTCCAGCCATTTCGGAAGGATTAATCTCTTCTCACAAAGAAAAGAGATAGGTGAATAACCAGAATTGTGAAGTTGAATATATGTGTGTCCATTCTTTTGTAACAAAGATGTAGATAAAAGGTCCACCATCCAAGTACTGGGTGAATTTTATACACTATCACAGTGCATGTCCTCTTTCTTCTTCTACAGATTCTTTTCAAGTTTTGCCTACTTCTATTTTTATAATCAAACATAAAAAGTCCCTAGAATCTTAGTGATCTAAGAGACCATATTGCTATGTATAGCAGTCAACCATCTTCAGCTTGACTTTCCAGTGATGACAATTCACTACCACAAGTTCATGCACATAAGGATGTAGTTGGACTTACAAAATTGATCACACATTTTAAGTGATAAAATATCACATGTACCCTATAAATATGAACGACTGTTATGTACATATAAATTTTTTTAAAATCATGCCGATGGTGGATTGCCTCCATGTCAATTTTCTGGTTGTGATAATGTATAACAGTTATGTAAGATGCTACCACTGGGGTAAGCTAAATGAAGAGTATATGGGATCTCTGTAGTAGTTCTTAAGACTGCCTGTGAATTTAAATTTATCACAAAATAAGCTATTTTAATTTTAAGTATCTATTAAAAAAATTTTGCAGGTAAAATTGCACTCATGGTCAGATTTTGTATTCCACAACCACCAAACTCTCATGATGCTAGGAAGGAAATGTACTAGAAAAACTACTGTCTTAGAAACTGTTATGCTGGACGTTGGAAGTGGCATGGGAAAGTCACAGAAGTAAATGGATAAATGGCAAGGTGGAAATGAATATAAATTTTGATTTTAGCACCAAATATAATTGCTGTGTTTGCATTACTATTGTGACTATAGACTCCATCTCCATTCAGCTGCCATACTCCTAATCAGGCAGCTGCTGCAGAATCATGCATTTTTTTTGACAATAATTACTTAATCCATGTATGTAGTTGGTCATTATTGCAGTTTCTGAGGCAAAACCAAATATGCTGCCCTTATTTCCATTCTGTCTCTTCTCTAGTCATCTGGCCTCTTCCTTTCCCAGAAATTCTTAAGATCATTGACTCCACCGACGGAAGTCAGGCTTCTGACTGCCTAATAAATAAGTTCACCAGTGAAAAGCCTATTTTTCATTCTGTTTAATTACAGGCTTCAGAGACACTCAAAATGGAGCGTATCTGGGGGATAAATAATACTGTAGGTTTGGTTTACTTTTCTCCTATTGGCATTGGCACCAAGCCTTCCTCTGCTTTGAAATTCATGGCTGCGACCGTGGCTGCATACTAAACAGAGCGTAGTCACCACACAGACGGCTTCACCCATCCAGATGCAGCTCAACTAGTCCATATACCGCGATGGCCAACTCTGTGCAGTAGTTTAGATACCTAATACTGCTGGTTTGTTTCTAGAGCAATCTATGTGTGTGATTGTAAATGGGTTCATACATTACAATTTGAATTGGATGTGGTGAACTACACTGGAGCTTGAATTACGATATTCTCATTCTGCATTGTGGATCATTGCCTTCAAAATTGGCTCTTAGAAGTGAATATATGTAAAAAATAATTAGATGACATATAGACATTGTAAAAAATATCAAAAATACAAGGAAGTAACAGTGAAAAGTAAATTTCCTTCCCACTCTGGTCTTCTTAGTTTGCAATTTCCCTTTCACAGAGCAACCACTGTTAGCAGTTTCATGCAGAGACATCCTATGCATATATAAGTATATATGCATAAGTTTTGTGTACGGAGAGAATACTATAGCTCTACCTTCCTATTTTTGCATACAAATGTGACATGATGTACACAAAGTTCTGTGATTTTTGTTCCTTTTATTCAATAACTATTACAGACCTCTCTATATCAGCATCTGTGATCTGTCTCCACCTTTTAAAACAGATTCCTAGTATTCTGTTGAATTTATATAACCATTTTGTACTTAGTCTGTCACATTTTCATGAATATTTGCTGTTTCCAATATTTTGTTAACACCAACAATGCTTCGATGAACATCATTGCATATAGTAATTTGTGCCATGTGTAAGGGGTACATTCATGTATCTTGCAAGGAGAATTCTTGCTCTAAGGGCATATTTATTTTTTATGTTGATGTATATTGCCTACTTGTTTTCCAAATAAGCTGTACAGTTTTCCCAACCGTATATGAGAGTATTTGTTTCCCAGTATTTATCCCTCTTCCCTATATTATCAATTTTTTGAACTTGCCAATCTGATTATAATTCTAAGGTATGTTTATCTAATTATGACTGAGGTTAAGCATCTTAACAATCATTTGTTACATTCTTTCCACATAACCATTTAGCTCTTCATTATACCCTGAAAGATATCCATCTTCTCTCCACTAGTTTCAAATGGAAGCTTAAATAAATTTGTTTATTTGAGTCTAAACTCTCCATTTCTAAACTCTCTACTCTTTTACATTTACCTTATTATTTACACATATCAGTACTAATTTTTGTAAAATGCATAGATTAAGACATCTTAATGTACAATAGGTTAGTGCCTTTTCTTTTTCTCAGAATTTCCCTAGATATTCTTGCTTTATTTTTCAGTGGTAGTGATGGAGTTGTTTCATAAAATAAACATTGAAATATACCTTGTTTAAAAGAGGGGTATTATCACAATAAAACAAGGAAAGCTTTATGCCTAAGTTTGGGTTAGACCTGGAACTGAAAATGGTGTGTAGGAGAACAAAGAGTACCAACAAAGGGAAGAAAATTGAATAAATGTTCCAAATATGAAATACTATTAGAAACCCAGAAGTTCCCTGGAATAAAACATGCACTTGAATGTGGAAAGTTATTAAGTAGCCAGCTAGCTCTGTAGGTCAGCATTTATAACCCCTACTTTTAAAGGCCTTGACAAACAGTGCTAAAGTTCTCACCTTAAACTTAAATTCCTTGGGCTCTTAGTACCTGTAAACATGTACCCAACATTCCTTCCCCTAGCATGCACTTTACGAGTCACAAGGAGCCATTATTAATGCATGTCCTGGTAGGAAGCATAACTTATAGAGAAGCTAGTAAGTTCTGAGAAAGAAGGAAATAAACACAGGCACCAAACCACTATCCTAAGTTGACTGTCCTTTAAATATGTCAAGATCCAGACTTTTCAGTGTCACCTCAGCGATCTCAACGATAGGGATCTTGTGTTTGCCGCTATTCCAGGTAACTATCTCTCTTTCTGGGTTAAGGTTTTCAGAGGTACTCTGAGGTACTCTGAGGACTTGATTTGCTATAGATTTATATGTGAGCAACTTAACTGCTTCTACATTTAAAAGATTTCCTTCAAGCTTTACTAGCATCTTATGATTTCTTGTATTCACTGGTCAGAGGGACAAAACAAAATGTCCAAGGCATTAGTCTTATTTCTCCTTCAATTAGTTCTATTGCTACTGAAATAACGTGATTGCAAATTTAACCTTTGTTTAACTTTGCTATGCTGTAATTTTTTAAATTCAAAATGCTATTGACACAGAACAAAATGCTATGGCTAGATTAATTTAAGACATGTTTACTATTGCCTACAACCATACTTGATGCTTGACAGTTTTTCAATGCTGACTGATGTAGACAGAACCATTTTAGGATTTATTTCAGTTCCTCTGCTCCAGCATCCCCTTCTGACTAACACGTGCATCTCTAGATCTGTGTGACTTCAATGCAAGGTATCTGAAAGATTTAGATCTAAAGTAAATTATAGCTTTCCTTACCTCTTCATAATAACTGGAAGTTTGACAGCTAATGTGTTGGCAGTGAGGTGCTAATAATTTAATACTGTGTACTATTGCTAGGGTACAACACACAGAAAAAACACGGAAGTGACTTGAAAGTGAAATACTGGTTTTATTTGTTTATCTGTTAAGCTGGATCCCAAACGATTTCATCTACTCATAAATAAACTTTCTTTATGGACAAAATGTGAATGTTCATTTTCCTTTCACTTAGTATGCAAATCTATTTGCAGCATTCTAGCAAAAAAGAATGCAACTCATTTTCTGTGCTTATAAATTGTTCATTACCATGCTCTCTGATGGCCAATTCATGGCTCCATCTGCAACTCCACAAATCTCTTTGCCCAGATAAACTTGGTGGAGTAAATACAAGGTGCTGAAGAAGATGCTTTTGGGATTAAGGGGGGAAAAGACACATCTCACACAGAACTCCCAAGTCTATCACTTTAAATTTTGTAACTTCTTACTTGTACTTTTATTTGCGTGTTATAGTCCAGGAAAATAAATACTTCAACTGACTTCATCAACTAAGTGTTCAGAGCTACACATAAATGCCGTTTAAAGACTTTCTCCTTGTACAAGGAAGGAGTCCTGGTTCAAAGGGTCAAGCAAGCAAATAGATAATAAGATCTTTAGAAAGAAGTGCCTTTTTCCTTGTGATTTAGTATATGAGATGTTGTAACCTATGACACTCAGTGCAGATAACTAAGAGCATTATTTTAGAATGCTTATAGTATTGGACTTTTCAAACAAAGCAACAAAGATGATTACTTTTTTTCTCTTCTCTGATAAAGAGAAGACTGTAAATCTCAACTGGAATGTCATGTGATCTTAAATGGACCTTACCCTTAGAGCAGGTTAAAGTCGCCCTTTCATGAATATATATTTAATGCCCATTAATGCTAATAGGCTTGACTTCTGTTTCCATGTATGTACTTGGAACTTGTTTTTTTTTGCGTGAAAATAATACTCACTAATAATGAACCTCTGACCTCTAGCTACAACATGAAAACAAAAAATGCAAAGTGCACAAAAGCTCTTTAGAGCAAGCAAAATCTGCATATAGAAAAAACAAAAATTGTCGTAAAATCCATTTATATTGGTATGTAGAAATGGAATCTGGTTCACAATATATATCTTCTGCCACTGCTGAGCTTAAGAATCCACCCAGAGATTTTTTCAATTAAAATTCTGTGTACCAACAATAAACTCTGCTATAGAGCTTTTAATTAAAAAAGCAAACGAAATGATATAAACCCACATTGTCTCTAGGCGCTGCTTGTATTAAAGGATTAGACTGATGAGATGTTTGGATTTTATTGTTCTAAACATGTGTTTCAGTTGGTGCTCTCGGACCTACCATGCGAAGAAGATGAAATGTAAGTAAACAGCGAAAAACTCCATGTTTTTATTTCGCATTTAAAAAATTCAAAGTATAAAAAAGGCTCAAGCCATTAGAAAAAGCCCAGTTGAGTTTCAAATGATCATTATAATCAGAAGAAAAGTAAATGGTTTGTAAATGCAGATGGCTCCATTTTTTTTTCTGAAAACAGGAAAGATAATTTTCATTACGATCAGCTTTGTTAAATAAATAAGAGGCCTAGTTGATTTCTAGATATTTTTGCACACTGAATTTATCTTCCTTAAGGTTTCAAGGGTACTTTAAGTTCATAAAAGAATCATGATGTCATCTATGGCTTCATCCACACTCAAAAATCACAGTGACCAAGGGAGGCAGTTTTCTGTATAACTCAGTTTAAAATACAAGCAAACTGACCAAAATTCTAACCTGTACTGTGTGTCTATTTCAAAGTGCTTGTGATATGAATTATGTGAACAATTGACTCAATTTTTTCACTTTTTGTGCGATAGACTTAATGGTTCTCAGAATTCTATTCAGGAGATGAAGAGAAGGTGCCATTAATAATGATACTGATAATTAATATCTGTAATTCATTGTGATTTAGTATCAGAAAAGCACTTCCACCCAGCACTATCTTCTCCTGCTTGCAGCCCTTACTGTTAGCAGCTGTTTTCAGTCTTCATTGCCTGTTACACTCAAAGCCATGCTCTCTGTATAGCAGGAGGCTATGACTGTATTTCACAGCAGAAATTGGGACCATTCACCTGCTTCTGGTGGATCTTCTTATTGTTAACAATCTGCTTATTAAATTTGTGCTGCTCTTTCAGCTTTTGCATGGCTCTCGATTGCTATTTCTTTACGTTAATTTTGGAACTGCTTTTTCACTCTGTCTTATGCTGTTTGTGATGTAACAGAGTATTTGATTGTTTGCATGCTTATCTGACTCAGGATTTCCTGGCTGCCCTTATCTTATCTCCTCATCTTCTGCCTTTGACCCAGACTAACAAAATAAAGAAGTTCAGAATTGGAAAGGATCTTAAATGTTGAATCTAACTCTAATCAACGTGACAGAAACATACGGTATTAAGAAAGTTTTTATGCTGACTTTAGCGGTAGCTGAGGCTACCGCTCTCCCTTTTAGGTGAAGGGATTGAAACCTAAGAGAAATAGTAAATGAGTAGTAGGGCTTCAACTGGTACTTAGGCATCACATTCTCTGGCTACATCATTTTGCAACTAAGTGTCTGTAATGGTTATCATTATTCAATACAATTGCTTTTGAGTAAAAACAAAAAAAAATTAACCCTCAAATGAAATGTAAATTGGCAGAAAATAAACACAAAAAAGAGAGTGGCTGGGAATGTAGGGTGGTCATATAAGGTAAGTAAATGTATTGAAGACGTGCACAATATCTCAAATCTTTTGTTATCGCAAGACAGTGTCAGCGGAATGAATCTGTAAGGAAAGTCATGCTGTTTTCTGAGGGAGTAAAAAGTCCCCTCCAAGAAAAATCCTCTTTCTCTAACTATATTTATACAAGAGATTTCAGTTTCAAATCACTTCTTTGATCTGAGACATTATCTCCTGATAAAATACACTACCCAGCCAAGAGACCATATTCATCCATTTACCAGCACTGCTATAAGAGAGTAACACACAAACATGGCAGATTACAGTGAAAAGGACCGTAAAGATGGCCTACTCCAAATGTCTTTTAAAAAATGAGAAACACAAAAGGACAGTAGCTTGTCCAAAGTTCACATGCAAAATGGACACAGAAAAGGGAGACTTGGATTGGAATGCAAGGGAGCATCAAAGTAAAAACATGAAACATGGATCGCCTAGGTAGAGGCCATGGTGGAGGAGGTGCTGATTAGCTAGAAATAAAAACATATGTATTAATCAACTTCTATGTTCCAAGAATTGTGCGAAACAATTTGCATATATTTTCCATTAAAACAAACAAACAAACAAAACTGGTCGACCGGGCGCAGTGGCTAACCCTGTAATCCTAGCACTTTGGGATGCCAAAGTGGGTGGATCACCTGAGGTGGGGAGTTCGAGACCAGCCTGGCCAACATGGTGAAACCCCATCTCTACTGAAAATACAAAAATTAGCCGGGCATGGTGGCACGCACCTGTAATCCCAGCTACTCAAGAGGCTGAGGCAGGAGTATCGCTTGAACCTGGGAGGTGGCGGTTGCAGTGAGCCGAGATCGCACCACTGCACTCCAGCCTGGGTAACAGAGCGAGACTCCGTCTCAAATAACAACAACACTGGTCTATTTTATTATTCCCTATTTAAATTTGTTTTCAACACCAGGGTACGTTTTTCTGATCCAATCCAATTATTTTACTTTTCTAACTGTATTTTTAACATGAACAAAGCTTTGCTGTGCTGTCTTTGTATAAAATTTAAATGCTATAAGTAATTTATTTTATGAAATAAAGCATGACAGAGCCCCTCTTATCATACTTCTGACTTAGTCCTCTTCTGATAAATAGCCAAGGACACTGATGTGCATGAATGAACAAAAATAGATTGATTTATGAAATATAAATATGACTATACATATAAAAGATTCTGTAAATTAATTGCATTGATAGATTTTCTAATGATATACCACATCTTGCTTGGCTTGATAAAGTGAAATATCTTACTCAAGAGTAGGAAAGCAAGTTAAAAGGCAGAGCTTGGACTTGGACCTGGGACAGACTCCTGAGCCCAGAATTTCAACCACAAAGTTATATTGTATATCCAACATTTAATCAATTATACATCTGGTGAAATACCTGAGATATGCATAGTCCATTCATTCTTTGAGATACTATACAATTTACTACCAGTTTCTGGGTAATATGATTTGTGACTCATCCATCCCTCAAATTACTGTAGCTGAATTGCACTTTGGCCTATGTTGAGGAATGACTTTTTAAAAATAAAAAAAAATTCATGCAATTTGTTACTGAATTTATTCTGAGAATACTATGGAAAACATTGTTCTTATGTTAACAGTGTTCTCTTTATGAGGCCTCATAGCTTGAATTTTTCTCTGGTTTCGATGCCAGGAATAGTTGTACATCTGGTGAGTAATGCTGTTCATTTTGTTAATTTTAGAGGACACTATATAACCAATATTCTCTCTCATTATGCTAGCTGCTAGGAAGCTTAAGTCAGATCTACAGTTCAATTCAAATTTTATATACGGTATTTACTATATTCGGTTTACAAACTGATCTCACTATTGGCCTATTCTCTGTCTGATCCTCACCAGGCTCTCATTTCTATTTTTTTTTTTTTTAATTTTCAGTATTTCCTTAAAGCATTTGGAACACGGGATACTGGATTCATTCAGGCAATACTCCACATGGTACTATGAGGTTAGAGCTGGCTATTACTGTCCCAGTCGCACCACGACATGGTGATAAGAGACATGAACTCTGCAGACAGAGCATTTGGGTTGAAAACCTACTTCTACCACTTCCAGCTATGCTAACTTGCGCAAGTTACTTAATGGCTCTGTGACTGAGTTCTCTCAGTTGTAAAAGGAGAATTATAATAGTATGACCCTACTGTATAGTGGTGTAAGTTTGAGAGTCCGTTATTTCACATGAAGTTACGCATCTGGTTTTAGAAGAGTGTCTGCCCTAGAAAATGCTGAGTGATGTAACAGAGAAACCAATGAAGCAACTCTGCATATTTCTTCCTGAATTTATCAAATTCATAAATGTGTAATCTAAGGTCCACAGATTCTCAGCACAGAGAAGAAGAATAAAGATCAACTCATCTAACCATTCGTATTGCACAGAAATCATCTCCATGACATCAAAGTAACAAAAGGAAATCGTTCTGATAAGGACAGAAATTATCTCCCTCAACAATTAATTCTAGATAATTCTTATTCCAAATGTCTTTCTTACGCATTATAGTCAGCTCTCACTTCCCCCCGATGATTTTCTTTTTACCATAATCATACCAATTTGACCAATCCCTGAGGAATAATTTCATTTTCAAAAATATAACCTTTCCTATACTGAATATCTTGGAAGTAATATTTGAGTAATTAGAATACTCTTACTTTTTTAGGAACTCAAAAAGTTTCTGTTTACAACTTGAATTTAAGAGAGAAATGGAAATAATGATTCGAGGAGGGGAGCATATGGAGCCAAAAGACACATGTTCCAGTGTAGTTCTCTGACTACGTAGTGAATTCCCCTCTTCCTCTCTCCACCTTAAGTCTCAGTGGTACACTGTGCAAAATCCTAAAGGTCAATAAATGATCTCAAAGATGCCTGCGATTTGGAGCTTACATGATTACTGCACTTCTCCAGCTAACTGCTTCCTAGCCATGTTATTTCTTATCAGAAACTCCACCAGAGGGTGCACCAGCTCAGAAAAAAAAGTGAAATAAAGTTGGTTTGGAAAATTGTTAGCCCAGGAAGAAAAAAAAATAGAGGGCCTTAAAAATTAGATTTAAGAAACACAATGAGGTGGTTAATATTTAGAATTGAGTTTAACGATAAGTAAAGGGGCTATTTTCAAACAGAAAAAAAGTAAAGGAAGAGGAGGAAGATGAAATAATCCATACTCCTGACCATGAGCTTAGATGTCACAATTCAAAAAAGAAAAACAAAACAAAACAAAACAAAAAAAAAAAAAAGCTTTTTTAATTGTGTCAGGACACCAAGAGAATTTCCCCACATCTGTCTCTTAAAAAATGTATATTTTTAAGGTTTTAATTTTTTAATACAATATTTTAAAGTTCTTTTTACTACAAAGTGATTCGTGTACATTACAATAATTCAAACAATATGAAAGGGATAGAGTTTTTCATAATGCCATCTTCAAGAGAAGTGGGCACTTCAGTAGTCTGGTGTAAATTTATGTCTGGTAGTAATTTTGGCGAAATCATTGTACTTGTAGAAAATAATATATACAAAGTAAGATTGAAGTCTCTATACTATTTTATGTAGCAAGACTTATTTATAAACATGTTTACATTATTTTTGATGATTGAATAATATTCCCTTGTAAGTATGTCCCATTAATTATTTTTCACATCTTTTATTCATGGCCATTTGTCTTAGGATGCTTTTCAAAGTCACACTTCAGTTGCCATTTTTTTTTTTCCAGCCATACCTGTGAATTTTGCTAAACACTCTGGGCGCTCAAAAGAACAAAGAGCAAATAAACAGAAAACAGACAAAAGAAAAAGACGCAGAGATTTATATGTGGAGGGGAATGAAATCATCTGTAGGCTGGGTGATTGGTTTTTGTCTTAAATGTTTGTGATAGAATTTTTAAATTGACACTTCACATATGTTAAAAGTCATTTCTGACTGGTATGATGATGGGATGACACACTGCCTCCTCAGGGAAGCTAGATGCAATAAATTAACTGACATTTATGAATGTCTTCAAACTGCAATGAACTGAGTTATTTTAACAATGGCTGAAGAAGATATGATTAAGTATAGTGTCTTCTCAGAAGTGTATCTGACTGTGAATAACAGATTTCCACTGTTCAAGCTCAGTTCAGAATACCTTAAAAGTAGCTTGTATATTGAGGTATGAAAAAAGTCCATCAGCCCACATACATTTAGTGTGCCATGTTAGGCATAGTGAGGGACTCTACACCTACGGAGTTATACCTCCCAAAAATCACTCTGTGAACTTTGTCTGTCTGCGATATTTTAAAACTTCTCTCAAGAAAGATTGAATTGTGGCTAGACACACACAGGAGGGTCAACTTCCTGACTGAAGGAGTCAACTTCTAACTCCTTGGTAAATGGTAGGTATGGCCACGTTCATTCATTTTCCTCCTAGCCTAATTTCTTTCCTCACCAATTGTATAACAAGAGGGCAAACAGTTGTCCAATGCCTCCTATTCTCTACCAAGATATTCTTCCCTGGAGAATTTGAGTTTTACATGACTGTAGGTCTCTAGATGAACAGAATATAGCTATAATGGTTATCTACCTAATACCAAACACCTACGATTTGTTGTCCCTGAAGAGTTAAGTCACTGCCTTCTCAATGCTTAACAGTATTTGTAACTCTAGAATCAAACCCATTATAATGCATTTATCTGTTTATGTATCAGTCTGATAATTTCACATTTACTTGTATTCTCAGTGCCTTGAATTGAGTGGGCATAAACATTTGCATAATTGTGCTGGGTGCGGGACGATATGGGCTGGTATGGGAATATGTAGGTGACTGTTCTGGAGAAACAAGTGTGATCAGTACCAATTTTATTGGGTGAAAGAAATAGGCTTTGGCTATCCTGAGTTCCAGGACTAACGCTCTCCCTTTATCACCAGGTGTGTAAATTATAATGACCAACACCCTAATGGCTGGTATATCTGGTAAGGATATCTTCCATTTGTTTTATATGACAGTTGGTGGTATATACAGTCTTTGTCCTAAATAATTTGAGATGGTACATGAAATCATACAGCTTAAGGAAAGATTAGGGGTCATGCAAATGAATATAGAAACATCACTTTCAGATCGTTGGCCAATGTTTACTTAAACACTTCTTGTGACAAAAGGACTCACTATTTTAAAAAATAAGCTTATTCTAGAGTTGAAAATCTTTAACAGCAAAATAATTGTTATTTGTCTTGAAATCTCCCTAAATGACCCTCCACTGATATTAGTTCTGGCCTTAAAAGGCATTCCAAATGACCACTGTCTCTTCTATGAGATAATCCTTCAGATTTTTTTTTTTCTCTGAGACACAGTTTTGCTCTGTCGCCCAGGCTGCAGTGCAGTGGCGCCATCTCGGCTCAATGCAAGCTCCGCCTCCCGGGTTCCCGCCATTCTCCAGCCTCAGCCTCCGGAGTAGCTGGGATTACAGGCGCCCGCCATCACGCCCAGCTAATTTTTTGTATTTTTTAGTAGAGACGGGGTTTCACCGTGTTAGCCAGGATGTTCTCGATCTCCTGACCTCGTGATCCGCCCGCCTCGGCCTCCCAAAGTGCTGGGATTACAGGCTTGAGCCACCGCGCCCGGCCCCTCTGCCTACTTTTGAATTCCTATCCCCAATATCTAAAGTGTGTGTAGTTGCTTAAATACTAACTGAATGGATGGATGGATGAATGGCTGGATGGATGTCTGAAAGGAAGAATGGATGAATGAATTAAGACTCTGTCTTTTAGAATAACCCTCCAATTTCTAAGGAGAAAATGATTATTACCACCTGGAAAGATCAACCCTTTCTGAGGCCAAAGAATATTTTCAGTTCAGTGGAAATGTATGGGTGGTGGTAGGAAATTGCTTAAGGAATTCAGTGTCCCACATTGCTTGCGGCCAGTCTAGCTGAGTCTTCACCCCACTTCTAGGTAGTGATGGAAGCTCTTAACTTCCCTGCATACTCTACCTCATTCTTTTCTCGGTTACTTTTGGAGTCAGGATCCTCCTGCTGCTGGTTTTGGTGGCAGCTCTTCTCTGTGGAGCTGTGGTCCTCTGCCTCCAGTGCTGGCTGAGGAGACCCCGAATTGATTCTCACAGGCGCACCATGGCAGTTTTTGCTGTTGGAGACTTGGACTCTATTTATGGTGAGTTGTCTGCACGCTTCTGGACTCTTTTTTGATACTTTGTGGTTTTGCGGTTAATTGAAAAACTGTTCTCCCAAAAGCAGATCTGGGAACTTAGAAAAAGATGTGGCTTATTGGAGACACCAAGGCCTGCACTGAGGAGAGTTTAAGGGAGAAAATTTCATAAGAAAGACAATCCCAGAAGAAAGAAAATGTGTCTTGGGAACTGACCCACAGTTAAGTATAAGGAAAGCAACTAAATATTTTGTTGTTCAATAAGCAGAAGAGAAGAAGTATGCAGGGCTGGGCAGTCCAGGTGAATGGTAGGGTTTAGGGTACTGCAAAGCATCTCTGAGCTTTTATTATCAACCTGTCTTAACTTGTATTTATAAATTCATTTACTGAGCTTTCTATGCTTTACTGAACTCATCTGAAGTAACATTGAACGACACTTTCCAGATGTCTGCGGTCAATGCAGAATCTGAAATTCCATGGAATAGTCAGGGGAATGTCAATTTTCATGCCCTTTCATCTCAGCGTCCTGATCCTGTCAGCTCCCAACTTCCCCTCCCAAAACCATGCCCTTCCCTTCATTTTCCAGTTTGCATAAGGAAGTAAAGAACAGAGGAAATTCAGGGCTTAGAGTTATTTGCAGCTGCCAGCCTTAGCTGTGAGTAGAAAAAAACAACTTACTGATTTCTGGGAAGCCATAATTGATAGCTATTTCTTCATCTTAAGTATTGGCTCAAGCAGGGACTGTTGTGAGACTTTATTCTAAGTTACTGCATTACACACTACAGTTACCTCGGGAGCGCTTAACAGAGATAATAGCTAAAGCCGTCTTTCAGAAACTGGGCCACCATGAAATTTACAATAGATGGAGCAGGGTGTGCCCTGGGGAAAACTAACAGCAAGATGAAAAGTGGGGTAAAAATAAACAAAAATTTGTTAACATCAAACTTAGTTTTCCAAGATAATGATTATATTGACCTCCAGCTTTTTTTTTTTCCTTCAAAGGTTATTACTTAACAGAGGCAATGCATTATCAGTTTGGGAAATGGTTCTTTTTTTTTTTTTTTTTTTTTTTTGAGACGGAGTCTCGCTCTGTCGCCCAGGCGGGAGTGCCGTGGCGCGATCTCCGCTCACTGCAAGCTCCCCCTCCCGGGTTCACGCCATTCTCCTGCCTCAGCCTCCCGAGTAGCTGGGACTACAGGCGCCCGCCACCACGCCCGGCTAATTTTTTGTATTTTTAGTAGAGACGGGGTTTCACCGTGGTCTCGATCTCCTGACCTCGTGATCCGCCCGCCTCGGCCTCCCAAAGTGCTGGGATTACAGGCGTGAGCCACCGCGCCCGGCGGGAAATGGTTCTTTTAGGAAGGATAATTAAAGTCTCCAAAACAATAGTTCTTCCTCCTAAAATCAAAAGCACCTTCCACAGGGCATAGAGGGAAACAGGGTTATTGATATTTTAACAAAATATGTTAGTCAAAGGAGTCAACATGCTAACATTGGACTATTTTTCTTTATTTACCTCCAGGTATTTAATAAGTAAATGCAATTATGCTTCTTTTATCTGAACTTAAGTTTCTAAAAAGAAAAATGCAGCCTAGTATTTTCAGCTCTTCTCTCACTTCAAGAAAGACCTTTTCCTCGACTATCTTGAATCTTAAAAGAATTTTCGTTTTAATTTTAAGTATATTATTAAGCTAGACAGTTATACTGTTAAACATTTTTAAAGCAGCTTATGTGCCATGGTTATACCCTTCTTTATCTAATGTTTTTATATTTCTTGCATGGCAGATTCCATATGTGCTCTTGAACTTGCCTGAATGTCATGAGTGTGAAGGAAGGGTCAAGGCTGATATACTGCTTTAGCAATCTGCATGTGCTAGCACTGAGTGACGGGCAATAGACTCACATTCTCTATGTTACTCTGAAATCATTCAGAACAGGCAAAAAAAAAAAGAAAAAAAAACCAAACAACCTTGGGGATAAATTGCTTTTTTTTAATTATTATTATTATACTTTAAGTTTTAGGGTACATGTGCACAATGTGCAGGGTAGTTACATATGTATACATGTGCCATGCTGGTGTGCTACACCCATTAACTCGCCATTTTGCATTAGGTATATCTCCTAATGCTATCCCTCCCCCCTCCCCCCACCCCACAACAGTCCCAAGTGTGATGTTCCCCTTCCTGTGTCCATGTGTTCTCATTGTTCAATTCCCACCTATGAGTGAGAACACACGGTGTTTGGTTTTTTGTCCTTGCGATAGTTTACTGAGAATGATGATTTCCAATTTCATCCATGTCCCTACAAGGGACATGAACTCATCATTTTTTATGGCTGCATAGTATTCCATGGTGTATATGTGCCACATTTTCTTAATCCAGTCTATCATTGTTGGACATTTGGGTTGGTTCCAAGTCTTTGCTATTGTGAATAGTGCCGCAATAAACATACGTGTGCATGTGTCTTTATAGCAGCATGATTTATAGTCCTTTGGGTATACACCCAGTAATGAGATGGCTGGGTCAAATGGTATTTCTAGTTCTAGATCCCTGAGGAATCGCCACACTGACTTACACAATGGTTGAACTAGTTTACAGTCCCACCAACAGTGTAAAAGTGTTCCTATTTCTCCACATCCTCTCCAGCACCTGTTGTTTCCTGACTTTTTAATGATTGCCATTCTAACTGGTGTGAGATGGTATCTCATTGTGGTTTATATGGTCACAATTTGTTTTACGTCTGTCAAATGCTAAGCAGTAATTTGCGGATTTTCAGATATTATCTCTAATTCCTAAATATCAACTTGGAAAAGTGACTGTTATTTATCTTAGAGGATGTTATGTACTTCTCTCACTCTCAAAGGGACACATACATGCATAGATGTTTACTGCACGTCAACTAATCGAGTTTAAAGTGTCCAGAATTGGGGCTAGGGAACCAGTGAAAATATGGGCTGGTCACTCACAGCCCAGCCCATCCCTGGACACTAAGTAGAGCCTCACTATTTGAACACCTAGACTTTTCTATAGAGCAGCTTTTCAGTAGCAGGGCTTGTGCTCCAGGATCTTCATGCCCATCCTCACTCTATTCTTTCACCCCAATTCCACTGGTTTAACTTCTGGATCTTATTTTGCTCAAGAAACATTTAAACTCTTCCATCCTGAGTTGCACTGCAAATCTCTCTACTATTGATTCCCATTAGTTACTCTGTCCTATTTATCTTTTTTTGTGTGTGTGCCTATGCTGAATTCATTGTTAGGTTGTTCCACCCACTGCCGATGTTCCATCTTGTCCCAGGAATGCTCAGGATGGCAGGATAGGCAGGGAACAGCCATTCATACAGTCTTTGATGTGGATAAGATGCCCAGAGCTGTGCTTTTTGGCATTTCTGTTTCTCTTCTCCAAAACAAAATACAAAAGAGTAATTTAGGAAGTGGTGATCTCCCATCTCTAGTGACTTCTTACCTAGTAACTTCTGGAAGCAAATTTCAGGCAGTCAATATTTTAAGACAATTTGAAACCTGGACCCATGCTAGATTTACATTCCTCACTGGATCTTCATGATACCTTCACTTCTCCATACAAATCATTCTTCCTACCTAATATTTCTATAAAAAGAAGCTGCTCTCCAAAAGGGAAGTTAAAGAACCACTTGCTTTTGTGGCTACAGAAGGAGGTGAGGGTCAAAACCACAGCATCTACCTCCACAGCTCCCACAGAGTATGTGCTCACAGCGGAGAACTGAGTCCAGCTGCCACAGGATTCATACGCCCACACCAAGGTTATGGGACTGTGCTTCTGAATTTCCCTCACAGTCCCTGTTCAGAAGAGAAAGAGAAAAATGAGAAATCTCTGGAATGACACTGGTGACATGTTAGAATACAAAATAAGGTTTCTGGACTCCCTGCCATTTCTTGAGCACAAAGGAGAAGATGGGATGTTCCCCACTGAATACAGAATGTGGGAAATGGGTAATTTATTTGAAACATTTTAATGGAGAGACTAGATTTGATATATTAACCTTGGGTTCCTCCCAAAACTTAATTTTTTAAATTTTTACCAAAACTTATTTTACTTAATTATCACCATTTATTGAATATATTAATTGAAATAGCTCGGCTCTTCTGACATGTAGGGCAAAGGTTGGACTCTCAGGATCTCCTGGAAGCTGCCCTCAACTGAGCAGAACTCAGAGGAAACTTTTGACTGAGAAACTGAGGTGGACAAATTGTGCTAATGTTAAAATACATAAAATAGAGAATTTCTTTCAATCAGAACTACTGATACTATTACATGGTGCAGGTTGCCAGTTATTCTGATTAGAAATACTAAACAGAAAAAAGAAAACACTTGGCTTGGATCCTTATAAAGGTATGTAAGGAGGGTGTTGCCAGCACAGCCCATCCCAATGTCTGGTGGAATTTCCTGTCTGGGAGAGGTCCGTGGGTTCTCACCCAAACACCACAGACCACAGTAGTGTTTCCCGGGCTAATGTTCCTGTCTTTTCACAGTACTCTGCTGATTCAGTCTTTAGATAACTGGTCTTCCTTCCTCTTCATAGGATCTATACCCCTGAAGTGTGGATCCTAAACTGAGGGGCTTCTCGAAAGTCTTTGGATTCTGTAGAAGAGACCCTGGCACTTACTGTGCGCTCAAAGATCACTCTCCATGTCCACAATATGTTAGGAAGATCTTTACCCTTCAGAAAGGGAAAAATATTCCCTCTGATGCCCCCTGTTGTGGGTTGAACTGTGTCCCACCCAATTTCATGTGTTCAAATTCTAACCCCAGTATCTCAGAATATGACTATATTTGAAGATAGGGCCTTTAAAAAGACAAAGGCAATGAAATTAAAATGAGGTAATTGGGATGAACCTTAATTCAATATGACCAGCATTCTTATAAGAAGATATTAGCACACAGACAGGCACAAAGTAAAGACCATGATGTAGAGACACAAGGAGAAGGGTGGCCATCTGCAATCCAAGGAGAGAGGCCTCAGAAGAAACCTACCCTGCCGAAACCTTGGTCGTGGATGTCTAGACTCCACAATCGTGAGAAAATGAATTTATGTTATTTAAGTGATCCAGTCTGTGGTACTTTGTTATGACAGCCCTAGTAAACTAATACAGCTGCTCTCTTGGGGAGTGAGGAGGAAGAAGAGGGGCTGTCAGAGAACGAAGAAGAGGAGAAGATCAGAAGAAAGTCAAGAAGGCAGAGAAGGAGAAGATGCAGAGCAAGAGGAAGAAGAGAAGAAACAGTTTAAAATCAGAGATATTTTAAGGACTAAAATTTAAACCTACTTATTTTATACAGATTCTAAATTCTTCTTTTTTTCTTCAGCCCCACTTCCTCTTCCTGGTCCCAGCTCCAGAATCTCCTCCTCTTTCTTCTCCCTTTACTATGTTCCCCTGAACTTCACTCATCTTCTGGATCCGGTTCTCCTTCACCATCTCTGCTACAACCCAGAGAGCGTCCGCTCAATGACCTCATGTCTTCTCAAATGGCATCATCCATGCCGTAGCTTCTGAGACCTTCTTAGTTCCTTCTCTAAATCGTCAAAGATGAATAATTCTAGTATTATGTGGGTATGTTTTGTTCAGTATCTGTGTTGAGGTAATTTTTTTTCATTCTTTTTGATGTTTTCTTTTCTTAGTGTATTAGTCCATTTTCAAGCTGCTGATAAAGACATAACTGAAACTGAGCGATTTACAAAATAAATAGGTTTAATTGGACTTACAGTTCCATGTGGCTGGGGAAGCCTCACTATCACGGTAGAAAGCAAGGAGGAGCAAGTCACATCTTAGATGGATGGCAGCAGGCAAAGAGAGAGTAAGGAAGATGCAAAAGTGGAAACCCCTGATAAAACCATTAGATCTTATGAGACCTATTCACTACCACAAGAACAATATGGAGGAAACCACCCCACCACTCAATTGTCTTCCATCAGATCCCTCCCACAACACACGGGAATTATGGGAGTACAGGTCAAGATGAGATTTGGGTGGGGACACAGTCAAAGCATATCACTCAGTATCTTACCTAATTTAATAATGCCTTCAGAATATCTCCTAAGTGATAATACAACTGAAAACACAGAAGACTTCCTGTGTTAGTCCATTCTCACATTACTATAAATAAATACCAGACTGGGTAATTTATGAAAAAAAAGTTTAAATTGGCTCATGGTTCTGCAGGCTGTACAGGAAGCATGATGCTGACATCTGCTTGGCTTCTGGGGAGGCCTCAGGGAACTTAAATCATGGCAGAAGGCAAAGAGGGAGCAAGCACTTCACATGGCTGGGCCAGGAGGAAGAGAGTGGGAGGCGGGTGGTGTTACACACTTTTAAACAATCAGATCTCGTGAGAACTCACTATCATGAGAACAGCACCAAGGTTATGGTGCTAAGTCATTCATGAGAAGCCATTCCCATGATCCAGTCAACTCCCACCGGGCCCCGTCTTCAACACTGGGGATTACAATTCAACACTGGTTTTGGGTGGGGACACAGATCCAAATCATATCAATCTGCAAAACCAGTTTTCTCCCCCCTCTCAAATGTGGAAATGGGAAGTGAAAACACACATTGAGCCACAGACAGTGATTTTTTCAAAGGAATGTATGCAAATTTTTAGTAAAGGTTGAGAAAAAAGAAGAGAAAAATCCTCAAAATCTTCACATGACCATCTGTATCCCAAATCTCTACTGTTTGTGGTCATCGCTCAGCAGTTCATAAATCCAAGGACTATAATTATGATAGGGTAAAATAAATATTAAAAATAGTTTTTTTAAAAAAAGATAAGGATTTTGGTTTTGTTGATTAGGTTAATTGTTTTGTTTTATTTTTTAAATTTGTATATTAAAAGTAGGCAATGTCAAAGGAATTTTGGAGTTTATTAAAAATGAAAGGTTGTTTTTATTTTAATTTACTAAAAATAAGGATGACAATAAGGTTTTATTAAAAATAAAGTTGTGATGCTGAATAAAAGCCCATCTTAATGAGGAAGCAAGATATTTAAAGATAATTAATGGAAAATGGAGTTTTGGAGGTGAGAAAAGGACAAATAGAGCTTGAGGCAGAAAAACAATTGACTAGGCATTAGAAAAGAGAGAATTTGAGAGCATAGGAGAGGGACCCCCACAATTGTTTGTCCATGTTTTTAATAAAACATAATCAATTACATAACATTTAAATAAGGGTCCCTTTGCCTTTATGCCATGAAGTGTGTGGATTGGAGCTGGGTTCCCTCAGGCTTGACAAGGCTTCCTAATGAGGTTCCCTGCCTTTCCTGAGCTGATTGCAAGGTGAAGCCCGAGGTGACACCCCTCCTAGGGACACTCATCTTGGCTTAGCTTCTCCCTGGGGCTGATCGCTTGATAATGCTGCCCTTCAACTATACAATCTCTCTGATCCCATTTCTTCTGCAGTTTCAGGGATAATCTTCCCTCTTTCTTATTTCTGGGAAAATAGAAATACTGGCATTCCAGCAGTGATTATGTATGAGTGCTCTGAGCTGGGGAGAAATAGGAGGGCTGCAGAGAGGTGAACAAGAAGCAGGGTCTTACAGGCTCTGCTCTCTTCTCCCTCCAGTCTCCCAGGATTCTTTTATTTTATGATTTTTCAGAAATGCCATTTCCCTATGTTTCATGTTCTAAGTGTAAATATTCTGTGACTTATTTTCAGTAATAAAAAAGGAAGTATTTCATTCACAGATTTTCATGGAAAGACATGATAATAGTAATGACTCATTCATTGAGCATTTCCCAGGAGCCATGCTCTGTGCTAACACTTGACATCCTTAATCTCATTTATTCTTCCTTACCACTCTATGAAGGTTCACTATCATTCTGACCACTCTACCAATGAGGGAACAAAGGCACTTAGAGATTAAGCAACATAGTAAGTAGATGGCAGAACTGTGACTCAAATTCAGTCCTTCTGGCCACTCCCATAGAAGAGAAAGGAATGAGGTAAAGGAAAGAGAAGAAACAGGTAGAAAGAACATGTAGAAAGAGGTGAAGTCTATTTGAGTGATTCTTAAAAACATAGGAAATCTCAACTCTGGCTATAAAAACTAAGCAGTAAGTGTATTGGTTTTACAAAATTAAACAGTAAACTCTGATATCTTAGAGAGCAGTTCTGTAAAAACTATAGGATTTTTGCTGGCATTTTTAATTCAGTTCTCTCAGCTTCTTAATTTGTCAAAAGATAAAAATGCCTGTCCTCCCCAGCATCCAATCACTTGATATTATATGTAAACATGCTTTGAAAAAAATTGAAAACTGATATAACACATATTTGGTTTTCAAAACTTCCTGAACACATTGGCTTAATTATGTTTACCAAATGCCTTGTGGTTTTAATAACAAGTTTAAGATCAACAGCAAAATTTGTAGGAAGAAGATAATGAGTTTTCTACGAAAGCAACTGTGAAGACTCTATTACTGGGAGCACAATATAGACAGTGGCAATCGTACAAATAAATTGGAGCTAGTACAAATAATAGATGTGTCAAGTCAGTTTGGTTGACCATTTCTAGGCAGAAAGATAGTTACCTTTGACTTTGTACTGAATACACTAGGGGCAGTTCACCAAGAAAATAGCCATCATTCATTACAAGTATTCACAATGGAGGAAATTCCTAGGGTAACTGTATTTTACCAATTTTAACTCTGATTGATCAAGTCCCGCAGACTTATCTGACATCAACCCAAACTTATAAACTGCAAAGGGCTCTAACTCCATGATACTTTTCATTTAATAACTTCTATATTATAATTAATAATAATAATGTTTAAATCATTATTTAACTATGAAAAGAGGATGGATTGAAAAATAATATTGTAAATAAAAGTAGATGCATGCATGTTCCTATCATTAGTACAGCTCTTGACATATTGTAATAATAATAGTAAACCTTGATGCATAATTCCTGTGCCAGGCCTTGTTTTAAGTACTTTATGCTCATTTAGCCTTGCTTTTATAGAGGTAGACACGAGTATTATACCCTTATTGCCTAAGAGAAAACTGAGGTAAAGAAATATTATGTAATAGCCCAAAAGTAGACTATTTAATTAAATAGATAACTCTAAGAAAAGTGCTAAACCAGAAGGTGAGACATATATACTAAACACAGCTCCACCCTTTACATACTTGACTTATTAGTCTTTGCTCTGGTACCAGTGAGATAAGAAATAAGACAAACACAACTGTATGAAAATCCATTATTCTAAATTAACATTATCTGCTTCAAAGTAATCATTTTGAGTAATCTCCGTATGGATCCTAGTGAAGCAACTAATGCCTAATATGCAACTAGTCTTTGAATTCTTTTGATCATTGTGGCATATTCTTTGGAATATTCCTAATGGCATCAAATCTTACTCCTTTAAGGAAGGTCAGCAAACTTTTTCCATTAAAGACAGGTATAAAATATTTTTGGCTTTGCAAAATATATGGTCTAGGTGGGGACTACTCACCTCTGCCATGGTAGTGCAACAGCAGCCATAGACAATATGTAAGTGTATAAATAAGATTGTGTTTCATAAATTCAATACACAAAATCAGAGGCCCGATTTAGTTCACGGGACTAGTTTCTTTTTAAAGATGAATTTTTGATGGTTGCTATTGTTTTGGCAGAAAGCAGTCAAAATCATTCAAAGGTAAGTAAAGATCCAGGTGAATACATATTCTTTACATATAAGCATTTATACATATATATATATATAAAACCATCTTTATATATATAGTCATATATTAATATAAAGATGGTTATAAAATAGCACTATTATTTTTTTGTGTTACCCAAACACAGTCTTTCAAGGAAATACTAACAGACAATTTCCAAAAGAGCCATTAGAGTAAGTGCATAGTCTTTCAAGGTTACCAGTTAGTGGAAGAAAAGGCCAGTTTGTAATAGTTAATGGCCTATATTATGCCTAATCTAGAAGTCAAGAACTTTGATTTCCAAGTTTTTTTTTAAATTTTAGAATATATTCTCTTTATTGTGTGTGTATACTTTAAATGCGTGCTTTCATCACCGAGCTTAACATTTTTACTGTTTACTAAAGAGAAATAATTATTTATATTAGTTGAAGTTTGCAACCATACATGTAAAATAATACAATTTAGAAAGTGATATTTTAATTTTTCTAATGCAATTTACATTTCCCATGTTGGCAGCATTAGCTGAAATGCCATTAGTGTTGAGGAATCCTGTTCTGTGATCTACAAAAGAAGATATTCCTTCTAGTTTCAGCTCCTAAATTGTAAATGCTTCTTGATGGGTTAGACAATGATGATTTCATCAGTTCAGGCAAGCAATTTTTTTTTTCCCCCCTGTGGTGACTAAACCTTCACTGCAAAGAGCAAGATAGTTGTAATTTTTTTCTCATAGATACAAATAATTTTCTGTTGCTTCAGCGATCCAAGCAATGCCAGATTTTATCGGGCAGTTCATGTACTTATGTTTTATGCTCACTAGAAAGATTACAAGTCTTCATCTTTCTCTTTCCAGGGACAGAAGCAGCTGTGAGTCCAACTGTTGGAATTCACCTTCAAACTCAAACCCCTGACCTATATCCTGTTCCTGCTCCATGTTTTGGCCCTTTAGGCTCCCCACCTCCATATGAAGAAATTGTAAAAACAACCTGATTTTAGGTGTGGATTATCAATTTAAAGTATTAACGACATCTGTAATTCCAAAACATCAAATTTAGGAATAGTTATTTCAGTTGTTGGAAATGTCCAGAGATCTATTCATATAGTCTGAGGAAGGACAATTCGACAAAAGAATGGATGTTGGAAAAAATTTTGGTCATGGAGATGTTTAAATAGTAAAGTAGCAGGCTTTTGATGTGTCACTGCTGTATCATACTTTTATGCTACACAACCAAATTAATGCTTCTCCACTAGTATCCAAACAGGCAACAATTAGGTGCTGGAAGTAGTTTCCATCACATTTAGGACTCCACTGCAGTATACAGCACACCATTTTCTGCTTTAAACTCTTTCCTAGCATGGGGTCCATAAAAATTATTATAATTTAACAATAGCCCAAGCCGAGAATCCAACATGTCCAGAACCAGAACCAGAAAGATAGTATTTGAATGAAGGTGAGGGGAGAGAGTAGGAAAAAGAAAAGTTTGGAGTTGAAGGGTAAAGGATAAATGAAGAGGAAAAGGAAAAGATTACAAGTCTCAGCAAAAACAAGAGGTTTTATGCCCCAACCTGAAGAGGAAGAAATTGTAGATAGAAGGTGAAGGAGATTGCTGAAGATATAGAGCACATATAATGCCAACACGGGGAGAAAAGAAAAGTTCCCCTTTTACAGTAATGAATGTGGCCTCCATAGTCCATAGTGTTTCTCTGGAGCCTCAGGGCTTGGCATTTATTGCAGCATCATGCTAAGAACCTTCGGCATAGGTATCTGTTCCCATGAGGACTGCAGAAGTAGCAATGAGACATCTTCAAGTGGCATTTTGGCAGTGGCCATCAGCAGGGGGACAGACAAAAACATCCATCACAGATGACATATGATCTTCAGCTGACAAATTTGTTGAACAAAACAATAAACATCAATAGATATCTAAAATTTAGTTTGACCAAACTTATTTCCTAATCTTCTTTTTCCAAATCTGTTTTATCCAAACCTTCCCCATCTCAGTTAACTGCAACTGTTGCTCAGGCCAAAAAATACTTGGAGCCATAGAAGCTAGGGTAATCCTTTTTAATAAACTAGTTTTAGAGCAGTTTTAGGTCCACAGGAATATTGAGCAGAAGGTAGAGAGATTTATTGTATACACCCTGCTTTGACACTTACATAACCTCCCCCATTACCAACATTTCTCACCAGAGTGATACACTTCTTACAATTGATGTGCCTATACTGACATCATGATCATCCAAAGTCCATAGTTTATATTATGATTTACTCTTGGTGTTGTACATTCTGTAGGTCTGACAAATTTAGAATGACATGTACCTACCATTATAGTGTCACACAAAGTAATTTCAACGCCCCTGAAAGTCCTCTGTGCTCTGCCTATCTATCCATTCTTCCCTCCCTTCTAAATCCAAACAACCATTGATCTTTTTATTTTCTCCACAGCTTTGCATTTTTAGAATGCCCTATAGTTGGAATCATACAGTATGTAGCCTTTTCAGGTTAGCACGTAAGTTTCCTCTATGTCTTTTCATGGCTTGATAGTTCATTTCTTTTCAGGGCTAAATAAAATCCATTGTCTGGTTTACCAGAGTTTATGTATGCCTTCACCTGCTGAAGGATATCTTGGATGCTTCCAAGTTTTGGCAATTACGCATAAAGCTACTGTCAATATCCATATGCAAGATTTTGTGGAGACATAAGTTTGTAACTTATGTTTGTTGGGTTGTATGTTTAGTTTTGCAACAAAACCACTAACCCATCTTTCAAAGTGTCTGTACCATTTTGGAGTTCTAGCAGCAATGAACGAGAGTTCCCATTGCTCCACATCCTCACCAGCATTTGGTGTTGTCAGTATTCTGAATTTTGGCCATTCTAATAAGTGTGCTGTGGTATTCCATTGTTGTTTTAATTTGCAATTCCCTAATGACATGTGATGTAAAGAAACTTTTGATATGTGGAGTAATCTTTTTACAATGTAAGGAGCATCATTTACTTTAACTAAACTCTAACTGAGGCACTCCACCTCAGTCAAGGAAAATGTCAAATTCCTTGACACATGGCTCTATATGATCTGTACTCCTTCCCCATCTCCATTCTTGTGACTTTCCCTTTTATTCATTTGTTCCAGAAACATTGTCCTCAAACCTGTCAGGTACTAGCCTACACCCATTTTGCAGTTATTTTTGTCCACAACATTCTTCCCCCAGATATCAGCATTGCTTCACCAACTCACCTACTTGAATTCTTTGTTGGAAAGTCACCTTCTCAATTAGGCCCAACCTTTCTATTCTACTTTAAATCGCAGCCTCTCCCAACCCTGACACTCTCAACCTCCTTATACTAGAAACACTTTTCACTTTTCCGTAGCACTTATCATCTTCTACTATGCTATACAGCTGAATTCTACTGGTAGTCTGGTATGTTTCTTCCAGGGCTAGAATATAAATCCACAAGTGAAGGAAATCATTGCCTGATACTAAAACTAAGTTATAAAGTAATGTTTCCTAGTTCTGGAAATTCCCAAAAAACTGGATGAGGGTTTAATGGGGGTAAGACCTTACGAAAGTGAGGGTGAGTAAAAGCCAGAGACAGCTGACTTAGTGCTGTTAACATAATCTCACTTGTATCCGCTGATGAAAAAGATCTGAAGAAGCATGTGTTTATGTACTGCAATAATCCCTGGTGTGTGTGTAGGGCTTTATAGTGAACAAACTGCTTTCATATACGCTATCAGATTTTATTCTAATGACAATTTTGTGAACCGGCTATTCCTAACTTCAAGTTGAACATGGTAGAATGAAGACATCTACTCTCTTCAGAAACCTACTAAGATTATAGGAAAGAAATTAAACTGTTTTTAATTCACAGAGACAGAAGTAAGATGACAGTAAGAAGAAAGTTAATCAGAAGATTTTAGTACTTGGAAAGATGAATGAGATGGACACAGATGGTTGTCATGATTCACTGAGATTTTGAGTTTCTCTGCTTTGCTAAGCGTCAGGGAAGAAATAGAATGATTAAGCTAATATTTGCTACGGCAATCCAGAAATGTCCTAGAATTAGAGGCAAAAGAAGTGAAGAGAATTCTGAAAATGATAGTGAAGCTAATCTATAGGAAGACAGCATTGCAGCAGCCCGAAGAAGAGCCAGTTCCAATCAGAACATAACAGCAATGAGCTACAGGAAATAGGAGGAATGATTAAAGAAAAATATATATGTAGCTTTAATGTTAAATTAGTAGTAAGTGGAAAACAGGGGAAGTGAAAAAAACAAGGCATTTATTAAATCCATGAAAAACAAAAATTGGATTAACTATAAAATGGTTAAGCTATGAAAATTAAAAATAATTAGTACTGTTATAAATGGTTAAGCTATGAATAATGTAAATAATTAATACTTAAATTGATTAAAATGTTTAAATTAATATTTTAAATATATATTATTTATATTAACAATATAGGCAAAGGGAAAAGGTTTGTGAAGGAAGGTGGCAGGATACAGTAAGAAACCTAAATGCTAATCTCAGATTGTGAAAATTTAATTATTATTATTTATTAATAATTTATTATTTATTAATTTATTAAATAAATAAAGTATTAATAAATTAAAACCAAATGGTGCCAAAACACATCATTTTAGAATTGGATAATAAATATTTGTAACAAAATACTTAAAGAGTTGAAAATTGTTGTCTCAAGAAATTGGACTCGGAGATAATGTGTGGCTTAGGTATGACAGAAAAGTACTGATTTCTATTTCGATTTTATAGTACTACTTGACTTTTAAAATTAAGTTCATTTATTACTTAAATAGAAAGAAATATAAAATTAAACAAGTACATGATTTGGCAGTGTTATAGCTTGTAATTCCAAGCCAACAAAGGAAGTCATACTATAAAGAAGTAAAAAATGTAAAACATATCTTCACGTAATGGGGCTACAGATGATTTTATTTTTTATGTTTCTTGATTTTCTAATGTTCAATTAGACTTCAAAAGTATATATATACTTTTATAGTTGAAAAGCTCACAAATTCTGTTTTAAAAAGTAGACAAAAAGGTATCTATCTATCTATCTATCTATCATCTATCTATCTATCTACCTATCTATGCATGTGTGTCTGCTTTCATTTAATAGATGAGAAAGTGTGGACCCTGGAAGACGATTTGACTTGCCCAAGTTGTATAGCTAATTAGTGTAAGAAACAAAACTAGAGACTAGGTATTGACATCTTTCAGTTCCTATTTCAGGCATTTTTCCACTATGATCTTCTAACTTTAAAAGTGACTATAATAAGTAAACATCAGAGAATGATCAATATAACTATATTGATCTCAAATGAGTGACTCTAAGAAAAAGTTTTTGTTTGTATCCTATGAGCTACGTATGTTACACCCCATTCCATTTACAGAGCAGGCAGTGGTTATAATTAACCCATAGAAAAGCGTAAGCACATCTAGAAACAGAGCTAATGATTTATCAGCTAATTTGCCTAAGACAGTAGTGAAAGTCGGAGTTGAAGTAATTGGAATTTATTTTAAAGTTAATTGCGTTTATGAGTCAGTACACTTCAAACAAAATACCTGTTTGGTGTTGGTTGGTTGATTGGTTTATTTCTGTGTTTGTAATAGGATTGAATTTTTTTTCTTCCCATGTTAAAGAATGTTATTTATTTATTTATTTTCGGAGACAGAGTCTCACTCTGTCGCCCAGGCTGCAGTGCACTGCAACCTCCACCTTCCAGGTAGGTTGAAGCAATTCGCCTCCCTCAGACTCTGCACCCGCCACAACGTCTGGCTAACTTTTTTTTTTTGGTATTTTTAGTAGAGATGGGGTTTCGCCATGTTGGCCAGGTTGGTCTCGAACTCCTGACCTCAGGTCATCCGCCCACATCGGCCTCCCTGGTATTACAGGCAGAGCCACCGCGCCAGGCTGAGAATGTTTGTTTTTTAAAATGAGGGTTGTTTTTTTTTCTTTTTACTAATGATTGTAGCAATTTCTTTGAGCATCCACCAGAGGGCATGAAAGCCAATCTATGATTCCAGCCCATTAGCTAGCTTGGATTTAATGGCTAGAAGAAACTATGAAGCTGAGTTACTACTGATATCAAATTTTTGACAGACCCTAGCAGAATGAAATAATAATGAGGTTCACATTTGCAAAAAGGTATCTAGTTTCTTTCACAAGAAAGCTGAGCATCAGGTGAGATGCCTGGCATCAGAATGTAGAAAATTTGAAATAGAAACCATCTTTCTGAGGATGAGGCCTATGAGTTTGAGGTGTCTACAAAGGTAGGCTAATTTGTGCATATAATGCCCACGTGGTACGCAATATCTACAACACTGGCCTTATAGATCTAACCTATATCATTTTTACCTGACTGCAAGTTCCTTTTTAATTTTCAGTTTTGTAGTTCCAAATTTGTTTCATTTACATTAGCACCACAACTTTATAAGAGACAACTTTAAAATTCAATATCTTTCACAAAAATGAAATAGAGCTGGGATAGAGTTAAAATAGCATTCATGTGGACAATAAAATGAAACTCTCCCAGAATATTATATTTAAGGCAAAATGTGAAATTCTTCAAAATTGTGTAAGAGAAAATGAAATAATGAAAATGTGTTGGCTATAAAACCACTCTGTTGAGAGTGATCTAAAAAAAAAAAAAAAGAAGAAAAGAAATAGACTATACATTCCAAGGGAATCTTTTACTTTCAAATTCATTTTGCTTTGTGATTTTGTACAAAATAATCCTATGCAGGCATTTTTGAATGTTTAATATTAGATGCGATAAAAAGTACCATTTTTGTTTTTCACAGAACTAGCTATAGTTCTCTGAAAATGAAATAAAAGTAATGCCTGCTTTACAAAATGGAATAGGTTAATAATAAACAAAATGAAATTTGTATTTGTGCATTTGGAAAATATTTATTCTCTGAAATTATGCCAATTTATGCTTGCGATCTAACTCATGAAAAAATAATCTGTATCAATCAAAATGCTAGATTTTTATATTATTAAGATAAAAATGGCATTGCTCAGAATTACTGACACTGTTGATGAATGCAGGTTGCTTAATTTTACTATTATGTTTGTTTGGGAGGGTTTCCTTTTTGGAAAATCTGTTTTGGGACATAATGAGAAAAAGTAATATGAGTTCACTTTTTCTAATAATTAATGTAATAATGTCTCTCTTTATATTTAAAAAAAAGCCAACTTTTGTCCATAAGGTAGGAAAACTGGCCATACAAAATGAAGTCATATCAACTTAGATTATTCTCTCTTTTATATACCTAAATCCAGGTAAACTTATAATGTTAGAAGAGTCTTGGGTACTACTAATTGTCTTCTACATTTAGAAGGACTAGAGCTATTATCTTGTTTTGAAAGGTGCAAAATAATTTTTAAAAAGCCTAGATATTTATTAGAAATAATCAGTGGACAATTGCATGCTTATCTAATATTCTGTGGAGTACTTTGCCACCTGTGACATGGTCAAAAACTACATTAATGCTATGTGAAGACAGTTGAAGTAAGAGATGTAATGCCAATCTCTTAAGAGTGGCAAAGCATTGCTGGAATGTTAAGTATCTCCCATAATGCAAAATTTCTTCCATCTTTATTTTTTCTCCTTTTAGCAAGGTTTATTGACTGCTTCAGTTTCTGCTATATTAACTAAATTAACTTACATGGTTCCTATTTACAGAATTTGAAGATTTCCCTTTCTCCTACAGAGATCCTCTCTAACACCCTCCTCTAATCAATACTTCCCATTCAATAGCTTTTTAAAAAACACACAGTAAAATATTTATTTTAATTTAGAAAAAGGAAAACTACCATTTGAAACTAAAGGATTCCTCAATCCCTTTTCCCAATTCGCTTAGTTACATGGGCTTAACTTTGCACACAATAACCTAATTTAGAAAACAGCAGAAAAATTTGATGATTTTAATAACTATTTTCTATCTATTTTTTCTAGCTGACTTAGGATGACAATGAAAGGGATCAAGGTTACTTTGCTTAGTCTCACTTCATCTGTACTTTATTAAATATAAAGTCTTCCTTACAAAGCATCCCCTTTACTTGATTTTTGCTTCTATTTTTCTTTTCAACTCCAATTTTGTTTTTTTCCCCCAATTATCGTCAACAAATATTTAACCTGCTGGTTTTGTGAAGGCAGTCTAATTTCTGCAAAAGAAATCTTATAGTATTTCACATCTTTCAAAAATCTCCCAAGCCCTGATGCAAATAAAAGCTACAGAAATTAAAATTACAGTACTTAGGCATGACATCAACCCCAAAGTGTGAACCATTTTCATTGTTGAATTTTGGATCCAATTGAAATGGAGATCTTACAGACTACTGCAACAAAATAAACATTGAGAAAATTCATATTAAGGAATTGTTAATTGTTAATCTTGTTGAATGTGATACTGTATTGTGGCTATGTTGATAAAGTCTTTATTATATAACTATAATGAAGTTCTTATGAGTGGAATGATATGACTTCTAAGATGTTTTAAATAAACAAATATTTTTACTTATTTTTTGGTTGTGGATAAAGCCTATACATTGAATGTTAACATATATCAATTTATACTTGCTAACTCTGATACTATACTATTCTATTTATACTTGCTAACTCTGATACTATTATGGCTATGCTTTGCATAAGCAATGAAACTTAATAAACTATCTTTCCTCCTGCTTAGAGTATATTTAATGGTGAGAATAATACATTGATTAACCCAGCATGTACCGAAATTCAGATACTCACATACAAACGGAAAAGCATTTCTACTTATTTTATTTAATGTATTTTAAAGCCAAATTAGTTTCAAACTGAAATGTTTTTTAAATTGAATCTTTAAATTATATTACAAATGGAAAAGTGGCTTTTTTCCAAGTCCACATAAATATTAATAATGGCTACAAAATAAAAATATTCCATGTACTACCTAAATATGTTTCAAGTGCCATTTGTAGTAAGTATGTCACCCTTTGAGAAATTCATTAATATATGCTACCAAATTGGAGACACAACATAGGATGAACTAAGAACAAGAATAATATCTTTATAATTCCCCATTTTCAGAAATACACATCCAAACAATTAGTGAAAATAGAAAAAGTTGCTCAATTGGCTCCATTGTGCTCAATTTAATTAGATAAACGCATATCAAAACAACAACGTAATACTATTGTTTATCCATAAGATTGGCAGTATTAAAGATGGTTAATATCTTGTTTTGGCAAGAGTATGGGGAAGCAAGCTCTTTTATACAGTGTTAGTGGATGTATAACATAGTGCAGCCTTTTTTGAAGGCCAATTTGGCTACGTGTATCTAAAATTTTGATGGATATTAACATGCTGTCAACATTTCTACTTTCAGACACAGATATTAATTCTACAGCTAGAGTGCTGTAAGAAGGCAAAGATGTTTCTAAAAGTATATTCTCTGAAACATTGTTTATAGTAGCAAAATCTATCAATAGCGATGATGCTTAAAGGGACATTTTAGACAAATTGGTACAATGTACATTGGTACAATGAACTATGTAGCTATCAAAAAGAAGAAGGTCATATAGAACAAATATCAATGAATAATTAACTCTAGTCATCTTGCTATATAGTAGATCTCTTAAATTTATTCTTTCTATCTAAATGTAATTATGCATCCTTTGACCAATATCTCCCTACCCCTCTTCCAACTAACAAAGGATCCAGGCTCTGGTGACAACCACTCTACTCTCTATTTTTTTGTGTGATTTTTATTTTTATTTTTTTAGATGGAGTTTCGCTCTTATTGCCCAGACTGGAGTGCAGCGGGGCGATCTTGGCTCACTGCAACCTCCGCCTCCCAGATTCAAGTGATTCTCCTGCCTCAGTCTCCCAAGTAGCTGGAATTACAGGTATGCATCATCATGCATGGGTCATTTTTGTATTTTTAGTAGAGATGGGGTTTCTCCGTGTTGGTCAGGATGGTCTCGAACTCCTGACCTCAGGTGATCTGCCCGCCTCGGCCTCCCAAAGTGCACGATTTTAGACTCCACGTAAGTGAGACCATGTGGTATGTGTCTTTCTGTGCCTGGCTTATTTCACTTAATGTAATGTCCTCTAGGTTCATCCATATTGTCATAAATGACAGAATTTCCTTTTTTATGACTGAATAGTATTTATTGTGTATAGATTCTTATAGACTTAGACATAGCATTATTGCATATGATACCATTATTTTTAAAGCCTCTATATTTTTATTTTGTTATTATAAAAATGATTGAAAGTAAGCACCTTTGTAGAAAGAAGTAGTTAAACATGACCTCAAAAACTTGTCCTAAGGCTAAATCGGTATTATTACATACATCTAAATCACTAATATAGTGATTCTCTCCTAGCTTTAAATTTTTTCTTTTACATTTAAAAAGTTTTGAAAGAAAATAGCTATATTCATTAATGTCACAGCATGTGTGTATAAATTTCTAGTTCTGTGAAGAATTATCTAAGACACTCTGTGGCAATTAGAGTTCCATTTCTGTATTTATCTCTTTCTAAAGTTAGATTTAAATGAAAGTAAATTTATTCAGATAATTAAACCAGTAAATGTCACTATAGAAGACTGCTTTGTAAATAGAGCAATAATCTAGATAAAATTCTCTTCTTTCTATACTGTTTTAAGCATGATTTGCAATTTTAGAAAATTTTCTAGAATTTCTTTATCATCATCTTCTTTATTTATTTCCATATTTTGTATTTTTATATAGTATCTGATTTTCAATAAGAGGCACTGAAAAGAAGTTAGTTATCTTAACCTTTACCGGTTGGAGTAATTGTCAAATGAAAACTACTTTTTCAGGACCCCAGTTGAGTTTTCTGTGAAAAAAAATGCTAAATAAACTACTTGTATAAGAAGTATGTTAAAGCCAATACATCTTCTTATAGGAGGAATGTGTAAGTTATTTTTTAATGACCCTTTTATTGGCAAATAAAATGATGGCTATGGCAATCATTCATTTTATTTCTTAAAATACATTTCTTCAAAAATATTTAGATTCATATTTAAATTGAGCAGCAAGTCAATTTCTAAAGTGAGTAAGTGGTAGAGATTTCTACTGTACTTAAAAAGAAACAGTTGTTCATGCTTTCAAACAAATTAAATTTTGAGCCCTTATGACATCTCAAGCATTCATAAAATAAAACCTATGTTTAGAGGAAATCAAAGAAATACTCCTTTACTTTATAGTCTAAATACACTACTTGATTTTAATCCCAATAAGGATTGTATGTGTGTGTGTGTGTGTGTGTGTGTACCTTTGGATGTGTATGTATAGTCAATCATTTATTTTTAGTAATATGTCTATATGTAAGCTAATATTGATCATTATGTTTTAATTCAATATATTTAATAAGTTTAAAGTTTGTGGTACTATAAACAAGAAAATTGGCTGGGTGCCGTGGCTCACACCTGTAATCCCAGCACTTTGGGAGGCCGAGGAGGGTGGATCATGAGGTCAAGAGATCGAAGCCATCCTGGCCAACATGGTGAAACCCCATCTCTACTAAAAATACAAAAATTAGCTGAGTGTGGTGGCGCGTGCCTGTAATCCCAGCTACTCAGGAGGCTGAGGCAGGATAATAGCTTAAACCTGAGAGCGGAAGTTGCAGTGAGCCGAGATCATGCCACTGCAATCCAGCCTGGTGACAGAGTGAGACTCTGTATCAAAAGTAATAATAATAATAATAAAATAAAATTATATGATGAAAAACATAATTAGAAAGCCGAATAGTACTATTCAGTTTCCTTATAAGGAAATAACTTTTACTCAGATCTTTTTCTTAAAGTAATTTTTAAACTTGAGTCAGTCAACTGAGACTATGCAAGCTGCAGAGGGCTCATGTAGGGAGTGTATAATAAATAACTTCTGGAGTTCTGGTATAATATTATTTCTTGATCTTGATGCTAACAGTGTTTTCATGTGAAAAATTCATCAAATTATACACTTATGATTCATGTACTTTTCTGTGGGTATGTTATACTTGAATAAGGTTTGCACAAAATAAAATACAAGTAAATATTAAAACACATAATTTAGAAGAAAACAAAAGAATATTATCATGATTTTTTGGTAGGTGAAGACTTTTTATCAGGGCACAAAATCTGAGAGCCATAAAAGAAGAAAATAATAAACTGGACTACATTAAAAATAACTTCTCTTCATCAGAAAATATCAATTAATAAAATAAGAATGTGATGCATAAGCTAGAAGATATTTGCAATATCTATCTCTGATAAACAACTCATATCAAAGGTATATAAAGATTATCTACAAATAAATAAGAAAAATACATACAATAGAAAAATTGGAAAATAAATTGAACATGAAATTAAATAAATATGATATCCAAATAGGCAATAAACATATTAATATGTACAGGGCTTCATTACTTATCAGAAGGATGAAAGCTAAAGCTACAAATTTTTATTTGTGGATACCAGTACGTATACACGCTAGAATGGCTAAAATGAAAAAAAAAATAGATTATACCAGGTGTTGGGCAAATATGTGTAGAATTGAACTCTCATATACTGCTGTGCAAGGGTAAATTGGTACAAATGCTTTGTAAAATTGTTTGGTAATATCCACTATATATGAACATTTCTATACCATTATATGGTTTGGCTCTGTGTCCCCACCCAAATCTCATCTCAAATTGTAATCCCCATGTGTTGAGGGAGGGACCTGTAATCCCCAAGTGTTAAGGGAGGGAGGTGATTGGATCATGAGGACAGTTTCCCTCATGCTGCTGTCATGATAGAGAGCAAGTTCTCATGAGATCTGATGGTTTTATAAGTGTTTGACAGTTCCTCCTTCAAACACTCACGCTGTCTTGCTGGCCACCATGTAAAATGTGCCTGCTTCCCATTCTGCCATGATTGTAAGTTTCCTGAGGCGTCTCCAGCAATTCAGAACTGTGAGTCAATTAAACCTCTTTTCTTTAGAAATTATTCATTCTTGGACAATTCTTTATAGCAGTGTGAGAATGAACTAATGTAGTTAATTTGTATCAAGGTAGTGGGATACTGCTTTAAAGATACAGAAAATGTGGAAGTGACTTTGGAACTGGGTAACAAGCAGAGGTTGGAACAGTTTGAAGGGCTCAGAAGAAGACAGGAAGATGTGGGAAAGTTTGGAACCTCCTAGAGATTTGTTGAATGGTTTGCACCAAAATGCTGATAGTGATGTGGACAGTGAAGTTCAAGCCGAGGTGGTCTCAAATGGAGATAAGGAACTTAGTAGGAGCTGGAATGAAGATTACTCTTGCTGTGCTTTAGCAAAGAGACTGGTGGCATTTTGCCTCTGCCCTATATATCTGTGGAACTTTGAACTTCAAAGAGATTATCTGAAATTGGATCTTATGTTTAAAAAGGAAATAGAGCATAAAAGTTTGGAAAATTTGTGGCCTGACAATGTGATAGAAAAGAAAAACCCATTTTCTGGGGAGAAATTCAAGCTGGCTGTAGAAATTAGCCTGAGTAATAAGAAGCCAAACATTAATAGCCAAGACAATTGGGAAAATATCTCCAGGGCATGTCAGAGACTTTTGAGGCAGCCCCTCCCATCACAGGCCTGGAAGCCTAGGAGGAAAAGATGGTTTCGTGGGCCAGGCCCCTGGCTCTGCTGCTTTGTGCAGCCTTGGGATTTGGTGTCCTGTGTCCCAGCAGCTCCAGCTCCAGTTGGCACTACAAGGGGCCAAGGAACAGCTCAGGCCATAGTTTTAGAAGCTGCCAATCCTTGGCAGCTTCCACATGGTGTTGGGCCTGTGGGTGCACAGAATTCAAGAATTAAGGTTTGAGAACCTCCACCTAGAGTTCAGAGGATGTATGGAAATGCCTGGATGTCCAGGCAGAAGTCTGCTGCAGGGGTAGAGACTTCCTGGAGAATCTCTGCTAGGGCAGCATGGAAGGGAAATGGGGGGTTGGAGCCCACACACAGATGCCCACTGTGGCACTGCCTAGTGGAGCTGTGAGAAGACAGCCAATGTCCTCCAGACCCCAGAATGGTAGATCCACTGACAGCTTGCACCATGTACCTGGAAAAGCTGCAGACACTCAATGCTAGCCCATGAAAGCAGCCAGGAGGCAGGCTGTACTCTGCAAAGCCAGAGAAGCAGAGCTGCCCAAGGCCATGGGAGCCCAGTTTTTGCATCAGCATTACCTGGATGTGAGACATGGAGTAAAAAGAGATCATTTTTTGGGCTTTAAAATTTAATAATTGCCCCCACTGGGTTTTGGACTTGCATGGGGCCTGTGGCCCCTTTGTTCTGGTCAATTTCTTCCATTTGGAATAAGAGCATTTATCCAATGTCTCTAACCCCATTTTATCTTGGAAGTAACTAACTTGCTTTTGATTTTACAGGCTTCTGAGGGAAGGGACTTGCCTTGTCTCAGATGAAACTTTGGACTTATACTTTCAGATTAGTGCTGAAATGAGTTAAGTCTTTGGGGGACTGTTGGGGAGGCATGATTGGTTTTGAATGTGAAAGACATGAGATTTGGGAGGGACCAGGAGTGCAATGATATGGTTTTATTTTGCCTCCCCACCCAAATATCATCTCAAATTATAATCTCCATGTGTCGAGGAAGTGATCTGTATTCCCCATGTGTTGAGAATGGGAAGTGATTGGATCATGGAGGCAGATTTCCTCATGCTGTTCTTGTGATAGTGAGTTCTCATGAGATCTGATGGTTTTATAAACCTTTGACAGTTCCTCCTTCAAATGATTGCTCTCTCTCACTGGCTGCCATGTAAGATGTGCCTGCTTTCCCTTCCACCATGATTGTAAGTTATTGAGGTTTCCCAAGCCATGCAGAACTGTGAGTCAATTAAATCTCTTTCCTTTATAAATTACCCAGTCTTGGGCAGTTCTTTATAGCAGTTGAGAACAGACTAATACAACCTCTGATGGAGCAATCCTCATCCTGGGTATATTTCTAAGACAAAGGAGTGCATATGTCTCTCAAAATTGTGTCCAACAGTGCTCATAGCAGTACTATTTGCAATTGCCAAAATTGGGAACAAATTAAATATTCATGTCCCATAAAATGGATTAAACATTTGTGTTATATTTATGCAAGATAATATTCTACAGCAATGAAGATAAACAAACTAAATCATATACAACAATATAAAGGAATGTTGACCCTCACAACATAATAGTAAGTGAAAGAAGCCAGACAAAAAGAGTTAAATACATAATAGTTCAGAAACAGAGAAAAACTAATCTATAGTGTTTGAAATCAGGATAGGGATTACCCACCGGATTGTGAGAATAATGGCTGGGTCCAGAACTTCTTGCACAGTGGTGTTGTGGGGGAGAGTTGGTAGTGATTGGCTATCGATAGTGACAGGAGACATACAAATTCCTAGGCAGACAGGGACAGGTCCCTGGTGAAAACTGACCTTCAAGCCAAAGGCAGTTTAAAGCCTGAAAACTGAGCTGTGAGTTATGGGTAGAGTCCATGATGGGAGTGAGAACTTCCTTGATGTCTTTTAATCAATCAATTGGTGCTTTTCCCAATTCACCCATGGACCAATCAGCATGCACTCCCCCATTCAAAGCCCATAAAAACCCCGGACTCAGTCTCACAGAGGCCTACCAACCTTCAGGCCCCCTCTCAAAAAAGAGCTACCTGTTCTTGGGTCCCTTCTCCTCTGAGAGCTTTTCTCTGTCACTCACTAAAATTCTTCTTTGCCCTACTCACTATCCAGTGTCTGCGTGCCTTATTCTTTTTGGTCACGGGACAAGAACCTGGAACTCGCCAAGCTGTGTGTGGCGGGAACAAGAGAGAGGTGTAACATTTCTTGATACTCACATCTCAGGACGCCCTGTGCAAGAGCTTTAACACTCCTTGGGGCTCCACAGTTGTTGGCATCTCCAGGTTTTCAGGTGCCACCACATTCCCCCTGTGTAGACACCAATGCCCAGTGTGGAAGCTGCTTTTGGCATGCCTGGTCCAGCCACAGGCTGAGTGCAGATCCTATGGTGGGTGTGGGATCCGGGCCAGGGCATGAGCTGAGTTCAGTCTGCTGAGCCGAGTGGACAGAGTGAGCTTGGCAGGCTGGAGCACAGCCCCAGGCAGAGGTCATGGCAGCCAGAGATTTCAAGCTGGAGAAGCAGCACTGGAGGAATCCTCTAACACAGTAACCCTCCTTCCTGCTTGCCAAGCAATGGGGTAGAATAAAAGCTACCGGGTGCCATTCCCTCCTGCACACCAAACTACAAAAGCTGCAACACTATTTCTTAACATAATATTGATTGTATAGGTATATTCACATTGTAAGAATCTATCTAGCTATAAACTTGTAATTTTCTACATACACTTCAACATTAAGATTACTGAAAAATATATTAATAGGCCTGTGTCAAGAACACATAGGAGCTAGCTTAAGCAGTCTCTATTGATCAAACATTTAATAATTTGAGTATCAAAACAATAATGATTAGAGTGGATTAAACATTGAATTAAAGAAAATCTATAATTCTATAATAAGAGTCAGAAATGGAAAACTACTAAAAAATTGTACACATAACTCTTTAAGAGAGAGACCATATGGCCTTGCTCTCTGAGGAACATCCTGACTTCATGATTAATGGCGCTCACTTTTGTTCTCAAAAGTGTACCGATTTGGAAAATAAATTATATATCATATCACTAAAAAACAAGCTCCTTAGTTTGTATTAGTAAATTGGCGAATAGAGGGAAAGAACTGAATATTCATCCTATCCTTTCAGGCTAACTTGAACAGACTCCAATGAAGGGGCAAAGGCTTTTTTACAGAAGAATTTCTACGAAAGATGCAGATGCAATAGAATTAGAAAGTTCTCTTTCTACAAATCTTTATGAAAGCATTAGCTCAGATAAGAATTATCAATTGTTAAAACTATCATGTATACGGTTGATGAGGAATATGGTATTCCCATAGTTTCACAATAACACTACATTGATTACTTGTTTTTATTAATGAAATATATATATGTATTTCTTTACTATGGATTAATATATGAATATATAAAATACTGCCATTTGAAATGGTAGATCCACTGACAGCTTGCACCCATGTGCCTGGAAAAGCTGCAGACACTCAATGCAACCCTGGATATATAAACTCCACCTATTAATCCATATTAAATCTATATATTATATATCCATATATTATATATATATCGATTTATATATATTCCATATATATATGTATATATATTCTCTGTGTGTGTATATATACATACACACACCCACAGAAATATTGAGGGGTAAGCTCACCAACTTTCTAATCCAGTGAACAATTTTAGCATTTAAACTAAGAGTAAATTAACCACGTATTAGGTCTCCAGGTATGCTGTCACATCATCTATGTTGTATTCTACAAACTATTTAGCTTGATTCCATCTAGTCTTTAGATTTAAACTTCCATTACTGAAAATACAAGGCATTGAGAAATTAAGCTACATGACATCCCCAGACAAATCCAGAAGGTGGAACAAAGCGTACAAAAACTGGTCCTGCTGTTTTAACAAGTCAAGATCAGTGGGAAAAAAGTGTAACTTGATTAAGAGAGACTTAAGGGACTTAACAAAATGAAAGGCAGATCCTTGTTTTGACAAAGTAGCTGTGCAGAATGTTTTTAAATGTTTGAAGAAATTTAAACATAGACTAGGTATTAGATGTGAAATGTATTGCTTACCATAAATCAGAGGTAGTTAAATAAGAAAAAACGTAAATATAAAGCAACATATGAAATGATCTCTTCAAAAAGAGATACATATTTATATGAATGTGTCTTTATGGGTATGTGCATAAATAGAGAATATGTGGGAGGCTGTGTAGAGATTCAATAAAGTTTTAGGAGTAGTGATGTCCCAGGTAGAGAGAATTTGGTGATAATGTTGCCTTGGTATTTAAATAAGATATATTTTTGAATCTTTGTGTTTTTTACACAAAGATTTTACAATGCACATATACAGATTTTATAATAATGAAAGGTAATTTTAATTTAAAAATTTGATCTTAGAAAGTAGTTAATGAAGGGGTGGATAAATAGCATTGTCCAATTTTTAAAATTTTTTCTTTTCTTATATTGCAATTAGTAGCCATGCCTAAATAGTAGTACCCAGTATTTAGTGAGCTATTTTAATGTTTCAATCTAATAATCTTACCTGTATATGCCTTTGGATTATATCACTTTTTTCTTTCTTGCCCTGTTACATCACAACCTGTCAATAATTACAGCTTCATCATTTAATATTTGTTTTGTTGTTCACTAGTTGCCATACAAAACATAGTCTTCTTTATGCTTTATTTTGGGAAGCGTCATTAAATTACAATGAATTAGAAATGAATGTTTCAAATAAATTAAAAAAACAAATCTTGACATTCCTCCCATTACATACAAAATGTTTTAATTGAGAAAAAAATTCAAAACAGTCACACATATCCATTATCATCATGGTTCTCTGAAATATTTTCTTATACAAATGAAATATTTAAAATGGAAAAATTACATTTTTCAAATCTAATTAACTAATTATTTTTGTCCTGCCTTTCCCCACAAGGATTTCAAGACACTTATTGGAATACATAAAGCATGACAGACAATAGTATAAAATAAAAATGGGAATAAATGTTAAAAACAAATATTGAGAGGAACAACACAAAATTAATTTTAAAATGCATAGAACAATGATCAAATAACTAATGAGTATGATTTGCAAATATTTTTAAAGTAAATTACAGTTAATAAAAATGAGATAGTTAAATCAATTGCTGTTAATTCTCCAACTAGATTGGAACTGCTTCAGAGAATACTGTTAAAGATACTCTGGGAAGTAATAAACAGCAATCTCGAAACGTTAATTCATGTAGTAGGAATCATAATCTCATTTTCACATCATTCTTTGTTCTTTAAATTTGAAACACTTATTTCAAGGTCTTTAGAAATTCACAACTTAATTTCTTTTTTTTCAAAGAACTAATTTCTGGGTGAGTTGATATTCTTTTCAGGTTGATATTCTTTTCAGGTACTGCAAGGGTACCATAAAGGTACTAATGTTATTAATGTGACTGACAAGTAATTAGAAAACTGGAAATTAAATTTTACAAACATTTTTAAAATCGCTACAATTAAAAAAATTCAAGATGGTTACATTATGAATATGAATGAAATGTCATTAGCGACTTCGTTAAATGTATATGTAATTCTATATTTTCCCCAAAACCCACATTTTATGAAGAATATTTATTTATTTATTTATTTTTGTTTTTTGAGATGGAGTCTCGCTCTGTTGCCAGACTGGAGTGCAATGGTGCGATCTCCGCTCACTGCAACCTCCACCTCCTGGGTTCAAACGATTCTCCTGCCTCAGCCTCCCGAGTAGCTGGGACTACAGGCACCGCCACCACGCCCGGCTAATTTTTGTATTTTTAGTAGAGACAGGGTTTCACCATGTTAGCCAGGATGGTCTCCGTCTCTTGACCTCGTGATCCACCCGCCTTGGCCTCCCAAAGTGCGGGGATTACAGACGCGAGCTACCGTGCCCAGCCGCAACATTGATTTTTTAAGTAAAGTCGTGAACGTTTATTTATTTATATCAAAATATATTTGTTGAATTTTGCCATATGTCTAATATATTGCTTGGTGCTGATGATTCAGTGGTGTGTGGGCACTTGAATTGATGAATTTTAACATAGTATATTACAATAGTATTTGGATGTTTAATCAATAAATGAGTAAATTCTCTGGTTGAACTATTCTGTAGTCTAATCATTTGGCAATATATCAGCAAAGCTAGAATAGTGGTGAAATAATATGGAGATCCCTTATGTTGTTAGTGAGGTAGAAAGTCACCACGAGCTCCAGTATCAATTTAGCATTTGCCTTTGACATTTGGGGGTGGGGGGGCAGCTCTTGTCTTTAACTCTCACCAGTGGCTGGTATACGAAGTTGTTATTTCCTTTTTCTGTTTTAATATAATCAGAGTAATGGTAGGCATTGACATACTAGTTTGAATTTAAAAGAATAATCTTCCTCAAAATTATCAAATAATTCACCCACTTGTTAAAAGTACAAAAAGTGAACCAAAAGCCAGGGAGAAAAGTAAGTTTCTTCATCTCTTCAAAGATTAGGGTCCCTGGCCTCTTTGGAAATTGCTTTCTGTTTAAGTATCATTTCATTTTAATATTACTATGTCATAATCTCTAATAGCTATATAGAAATCACAAACAAATATTTCTACATCCTAGCAGACTTATCTTAAAATATAGGGAAAGTGTGTGCATAAGGTGGAAGGTTAGCAGAGAGAATGACGGGAAAATATAAGAGTAATAGAAAGAAAAAGTATAGGAGAATCAAACATTTTGATTAAGCTAGCAATTAATTTAATTCAATATGAATTCTAAATAACTGTTCCTGGATTGACTTACTATTTTATCAATGTAACCATACTGATTGATTAAATCATATGCAAACACACCCTGAAACGTGCATTTTACACCCTTGTGTCTACAGCATACATTTTGGCCGTCTCTGTGCGAGGGGCTGAGTATGACTTGGCCATGGAAACACCCGCGGCTGAATAGGCTTTCCTCAAGGAATAAGGATAGTTTCTCTCAGGTCCAACATCTGTTTGAAAGAAATATAAAAATAAGTAGAACTCAGTGAACTTGGGAAAATTATAAAATACCATTTTATATGTTCTTCCTCAAAAGGAACAAGAATATAGATACTCAAAGAAGGTATCATTTTGGAACTCTAAGAAGAATCCTAGAAGACAATTTAAGATTTTCATTCTGAAAGTTTCTTTTAGGTTTAAAATTCAGCCAAGTAGATTTCCTGTTATTTTTTTTTTCTTCATCAGGAGAGGTATTCCCTTAGTTTTTTAGGTGATATTTTTAGAAACCCAACATAACATGTTAAATTCTTTAAAAAGAAGTATTTGGCTGGATCTTAGTCCACTTCTCAGTTTAACACTAAATATACATTTAGTTGAGTGGGTGAAGATATATATGCATGTATAATTGTAATACATCAAAATATATATATATAGAAAATTCACAACTACAACCATGTCCAATATTCAAATGTATAATAGTTATTTTAATGTATTACAATTATATGTATATCTACATATATGCATACAATTATAAAGGTATAATTGTATATATAGACACACATATATGTATAATTCTAATATACATATACATGTGTGCATATATACATACATATACATGTGTGCATATATACATACATATACATGTGTGCATATATACATGCATATACGTGTGTGCATATATACATGCATATACGTGTGTGCATATATACATGCATATACGTGTGTGTATATATACATGCATATACATGGGTGTATTCCTACCTGTTACCATTAAAAATTCCAATTACCATTAAAAATTCCAATTGTTCAAGGGCAACTGAATTACAATACTCAAACATTATTACCAAGTTAGTGTTACATTAATTGAAAAAATCCACAACTACAACTATGTCCAATATTCAAATGTACAATAGTTATTTTGATGTATTACAATTATACATATATGTATACATATACATATATGCATATACATATGTGTATATGTGTATACATATGTACTATGTATACGTATATATACAAGGGTATATATACAGTATGTATATATAGTATATATACTATATGTGTATATATATGTATATAGTATATATACATATATAGTATATATACGGTATGTATATGTGTGTATATATGTATATATGTATAATTGTAATACATCAAGATAACTATTATACATTTGAATATTGGACATGCTTGTAGTTGTGGATTTTATTTTTCAATTAATATAGAACTAACTGGGTAATAATGTTTGAGTATTACAATTCAATTGCCCTTGAACAATTGGAATTTTTAATGGCAATAGGTAGGAATTCAAATAAATAACATTTTTTTCCTTTTGAAATTTGTTTCCACTGGATTGGGAAAAACGATAGTGGAGGCAAGGAAATTTGCTATTTTATTTTATTCTTACCTTTAAAAAGATATAAGCAGCAGGTGAGAACAGCTCCAGCCAAAAAGCAACCCAGAGACCCAGCCATTCCGAGCCAACAGGACCAACCAAATTTATATTGGATACCAAGAAATATATTGTGCAAAACCAAAGTAGAACGTTCCACATACACATCAACAGCATACCACACAGAGCCAATGATTCCTGGGGTACCTGAAAGAAAGGGAGGATGCTACAAATAATAGGGGACATTTTCTGAATTTAAATCCAAAAATACCTGCTTACTACACAAAATGGCTGGCGTGATTCAGAGAGGTAAAAACAGTAACATGGATTCATGGGCAACCCGAACTTCGGACACTTCTTCTGTCTCTTCCTTTTGCCTTCCATCTTGTATCTTTTTTAAATTTTATCTCAGTTTATACATAAAGAAAATGCAAAAATGAAATAACACAGTGCTTATCTGTGTAAATCGAAATTCATCGTTATGGTTTTCTTTGATTCTCCTGTCTTTCCAATGCCATGTTAGTATTGTATAAAGGAAAATACTAAAACAAAACCAAACAAAACAGAAAAAGAATGTAGTCTAACACAAACAACATAGAGCATATGTTCATTCTGTAATGATTTTTAAATTGTGAGTAAATATCATTGTATTTAATGCTCCCTGTACCCCCTTTTGAAGCTATGCCAGCTACGTAATCAGCACCCATGTGAAAACTGTTTTTAAAGTCACTGATTTCAGTGTCTTGAGGTCAAACACAAATAATTGAAGTAAAAAATGTTTTTATTTTCAAATAAATCTTTATCTACTACCCTCACACCATATAAGAATGGACCAAGAAATGTTATTCCCTTTAAATACATCTCCACAGCTTAGCCTCTCTGACAATTAACTGGTTTGAAATGACGCCACTAGTGTCCTGTTATTTTAAAGGTATAAATTGCATGTTGAAGCCTAGATGCAATAAGAAATGTGGTGAGTTGGAGGACAAAACACTGAATTAAAAGAGTGTTTTTAAAATATGTACTCTCCACATGCTCAATGCCTAGCAGAAGGCAATTACAAGAAATCAGTAATCTATATGTTGTCTAAGTCTGCTTGAGTTGGATTTTCAGTTATTTACTTGTAAATGTATGCTTACTGATATCCTGAAGCTGTATCAACGTTAGTGTTAAGATCTTGCCCACCAACACCCAAATAACTGGATCCTACTTTTCCTTCATTTCAAAGTTCTGCTACTCTGTGCTAAGTTAGATGCATGTGTTCACAAACAATCTCTTCAGATTACTTTCCAGAGTTGTTTTACTGTCTAATGAGAGAAATATTTGTCTTTCCCAAATCTAAAAAAATAAAATAAAATATGTAGTCTCCAAAAAATTTTACATTTTTTTCCCTAGATAGTCTGTGATATCTATTTAAATCACTATTTAACTGTATTCTTCTCCTAATTGTTTAATGTAAGAACTTTAAGAAGGAGCAGATAGGCCGGGCACATTGGCTCACACCTGTAATCCCAGCGCTTTGGGGGGCCGAGGCGGGCGGATCACGAGGTCAAGAGATTGAGACCATCCTGGCCAACATGGTGAAACCCCTTCTCTACTAAAAATACAAAAAGTAGCCAGGCGTGGTGGTGGGCGCCTGTAGTCCCAGCTACTTGGGAGGCTGAGGCAGGAGAATGGCGTGAACCCAGGAGGTGGAGCTTGCAGTGAGCCGAGATCACGCCACTGCACTCCAGCCTGGGCGACAGAGCGAGACTCCATCTCAAAAAAAAAAAAAAAAAAAAGCCAGATAATAAACACATAACCTTTAGAAAACGCAGTATATATTGCAATAGCATTGCTATAATGCCATTATCTGCAGTTTTCAGTTAGAAATTCCCTTTCTAAACCTTCAAAACAGATTATAGACTTTAAAAATAAATTTTATAGCACACTAATTCTAAAGTTTCCAAAGCTTAGGACATGCTTTGTCTTTCAATTTAGTTATTTCTTCAGTCATTCCTATCAGGATTTTCTTCAGTGACTTATTTTTTAAATGCTATTTGTTTTGTTGTTTTACATAAGATGGGTTATTTACTGATGATAGCTCAAAAATATTCTCGAACAAAATTATATAGCCGTAAATAATTAGATTAAATAATGTTTAAATCTGTTAAATGAATTACATTGTATATTAAAAAGTTCTATGCTGTCAGTAGGTGGGATAATTAAATAAATGACTTACAGAAGGGAAGAATTCTAAATTTTTGTAACTTTATAATACAATCTGAGGATTATTAGGACGTTGACTTAACATTTCTGTGTCAAAAGTCAGGGAGGCCCAAGTTCTGAGCATACAAAGGGTTAGGCAGTCAGCTAACAGTTTGCTGTGCCCACATTGCATCTTCACCATAGCAATTCAGGCTACATGTTACTACCTTAGCCTCATGCCTCTTTGCAGATCAGGAAACAGAGACACGGGTGAATATATCACACATACATATCTACAAGTGTTTCTAGTTCCAAACTCCATATCGATGTACTACCCCACACTGCCTGGTCAGGCTGCCACTTATATTCGCTTTGTTAGCAGACAAGATTTTTCCTGCTAACAGACAAGAAGAAGACATTATGTTGCAAAAGAAGAGGACTAAGCTTTGAAGTTGAAGACAGACCTGAATAAAGTATCATTTTTGCTGTTTCACTAATAAATACTACTTAAAGTGCTTTTTGATATGTTGTTTATTAGTCATGCTTGACTAATAAATATGCTTGACCAGTCCTCAGAACTTCAATTATTTATCTGCATCTTAAGTGAGGATAACAATATGATCTGTTTATTGTTACATTTATGAACAAATGGGTTAGTACGTGGGACAAGTTTAACATAGGACTTGGCACAATTGTTAGTTTATTGTTAAAAAGAATTGGTGGAGTTGGTGGTGGTGGGTATAGGTAAGGAGGTAGAAGTTTGGGGCTTACTTTAGGATTTTAACTTCAGTAATAATCACAAGATAAATTATTTTAAAAATTGAAGTTATGTAACTTTTTAAATGGCCAAAACATAGTTTTAGAGCTTTTTTTTTTCTTTATTTCCTTTTTTTTTTTTTTTTTTTCCGTGAGACGGAGTCTTGCTCTGTTGCCCAGGCTGGAGTGCAGTGGCGCGATCTCTGCTCACTGCAACCTCCGCCTCCTGGGTTCGAGCGATTCTCCTGCCTCAGCCCCGCCGAGTAGCTGGGACTACAGGTGTGCACCACCATGCCTGGATTTGTATTTTTAGTGGGGATAGGGTTTCACCATGATGGCCAGCTGGTTTCAAACTCCTGGCCTCAAGTGATCTGCCTGCCTTGGCCTCCCAAAGTGCTGGGAATATAGGCATAAGCCACCACACCCGGCCTGAGAGCTTCATATTTTGTTCTGAGATATTAACAAAAGACTAATTAGCTGACTTCAAAGCTAAAGTATGCAGGGCTGGTAGAAGTGACCTTTAGTTTTTCAATCTAGAAAGGGAAGCCACATATAATCCGAAAATGAGCAGCTTCAGCACAACTCTCTCCTTCACCTCAAGCCCTTAGCAGAGTCTCCCTACCCCTGTTGCTAGTCCAGCCAGACCGGTACCTGCTATTAGTAACGTGGCTCCAGCAACAAAGCAGATGCGGACTTTAATGTACGGCTCATCAGGGAGGAATTTCACGCAGTCAAGACCAAGGAGCAGGGTGAGAAATCCAAACCCAGCTAGAATATCTGCAGTAATCATCAACGCTCGAGTTACCACCAGCTTCACTGGAAGACCAGGGCATATGGTTAAAGCAGAGTCAGAAGAAGGAACCATATTAACTCACAGAGACATAGCAAAAAAAACAGACAAGTAGGTAACATTAACACACCCCTCCGGTAAAAGTCAGACTTTGTATGAACTTGAACATAAGTACCCCTAATGTTTTCATAAAACTAAAAAATATGAGATTATTGACATTATTGCTTGTTTAACCACAGTTCACTACTTAGTTTTGTTGTTGGTATGCTAGCAGAGAGCATCCTGGTAGATAGTGGAAACTAAATAAATGTTTTCCTTTTTGCCTCCTACTCTGGAAAATGTCTCATTCACAAATATTGTAGCCGATTGCTGAATCGAAGGTAGCATATCTGTCCTACAAAAATTTCTTAATAAATATTGAATAAATAATCACTTTAATTTTTTTTTATTTAAAAATAATAATTGGCTAAAATTTGACACAGGGAAGCAGAATAAAATATTTCAAGACTTCTTTTTGCCAGTTCAGGATAGAAGAAGCCATAAGGAGATCTTTAGAAGAAGGAGAGTTAGTTTGTGCTATTAAGTAGAAGGTAATTTCTGGAAATTAGATCATTTTCTCTTTCAGCTATTTAAATCATGACTCTTCTTGGCCAATATTACATATTAGGCCATATGGGTTTTATCTCTTCCAGACGTGACTTATTTCTCTACCCCCATATGTTAATAGGTTACATAGGTCAAAGATGAAAAAGGAACATATTAAATATAAACAGTGGTTTTCTCTACGTAGTGAGCTTATGAGTGATTATATTTTCTTCTTGCATAAATGTATATAACAGTATTTAAAAGTTTTAAATTTTTTTTAATTTTTCATTTTCTTATCAGCTTATGAATTAAAATCCATTTTAATGAATTTTTAGAATAGACAAAATGTCCATTCCTATTCAGCAAATAGTGTTTCTTTGTAGGTAGAACTAGGTTAGCACAGAGAGGGGAAAAGAAAAAGAATTAAGAAAATCCTTTTTAACAAAAATAAAACAAAGACCTTATGAACTATGTTTTTAAAAATGTTCCACGCACCCAACTTTTAAATAGCAGATGAAGAATTTTAGAGTGCTGCTGTTTTTAAGTGCTTTCCTCTGGACTGAAATAGAGGTTCAGGGGAAAAGTCACATTCCAAGGGCTTAATTTTTTATTTATCTTGAGAAAAGAAGTTGCCTTATGGTGCCATCACCCATCATTTGCTTTGAAAGAGACTAAAACCACTTTGCTTTCATAACAGAACAGATGTTTCTTAGCAGGGTTCGATGTTCTTATAAATAAACAAATAAACACTATGGAGAAGGATTGAGAGAATCAACAGTAAGATTTTTAAATTTAAGACATTTCTTTATTCATAGCAACATGGGCTCTGCTGACATGTAACTATAATTTATTTATTTATTATTTTATTTTTGAGATGAAGTCTTGCTCTGTCTCCCAGGCTGGAGTGCAGTGGTGTGATCTCGGCTCACTGTAACCTCTGCCTTCTGGGTTCAAGTGATTCTCCTGCCTCAGTCTCCTGACTAGCTGGAACTACAGGCTCCCACCACCATGATGAGCTAACTTTTTTTGGTAATTTTATTAGGGATGGGGTTTCACCATGTTGGCCAGGCTGGTTTCGAACTCCTGACCTCCAGTGATCCACCCGCCTTGGCCTCCCAAAGTGCTAGGATTACAAGTGTGAGCCACTGCACCTGGCTTTAACTATAATTTAAAGCTAAAAGTAAGGAAGATAAGGGAGCCAGCTTCAATATTGCCTGTAACAGTGCGTCACATGTGTTGGTTTTTTCTTCCACTGATCCCCATAGTCTATGTCTCTCTCTCTGGCTGTCTGCCTCTTTCTGCCTCTGCCACTCTCTCTTTCTTAGCTAACCTTCAACTGAAATAACTGTAAACTTTCTATTTGAACTAAGTCATAGCTTAAAACATCTCTGAAATGCTTTCCCCCTAACCCGTCCAGTTTAATAATGAAATTACAGCACCCTAAAGAGTTTATTTCGATTAAAAAACCATTTACTGTAAGCCTGCTGAGTATGAAGCACTATGCCTGGCCCTCTGAGGGACAGCAGAGATTAATAAGATAATATTTTTCCCTCAATGAATTTACAAATATATGAGAAAAGAGAAAATGTGCTGAAGTATATATTTCAATTCACATTTCCGAGATGAGCTCAATTTCTAACCATTACAAACTGGACCGAACCTTAATATAGTACAATAGAAAACAAAGCACAAAATGGAAACCTGAACTCAGTTTTCTGTCCCTTTCCCTTCCTGGCAAGCAGTGAGCTCTAAGGCATACGTACAGGGATGCTCCGCAAGTATGGAATCGTACTCATCACAGGTGCGAATCCCATCAAAAGCATTTGTGACGCATTCCCACCAGAGGCCTCGGCATTTTGTGCTCACCTAGATGTTAGAGAAGACACCGTGTGAAACAATTCATGCAGGCACAGTTCAGTTCCCCTTGATCAAAAAGAGAAGTTGGTGGTTGTGTTTGATAGCAAAGTAAGTGGTTACACATGTGATCAGAACTTCATTTACAACAAACAATGCGTATTAGAATATTTTCCCTTAAGCACTGACAATTGAAGCCTTTCTGGGCCAGGAAATGAATCCACTTCCTCATGAAGGGTGGGGGTAGAGAAATAAGTCACGTCTGGAAGAGATAAAACCAGAGCTAAATATATTTAAATATCTGTGGCTGCTTCCACCATTGAGTTATGGTTATGGAAAAACATCATTTCATGTCACTGTGCTGACATTTACTCACCAAAAAATATATATATATATAACAATAGATGATAACTGTTGACACCTTGAGTCTATTAAAAATATATATTGTTTCTTTATCACGAATACTGAGTTCCATGAAGAAAAATATTATCTTTATATATGAAGTTTATAAATATAAAATAATTAGCAAAGAAAACCAATAAATGAAAAGATGCCAATAAATAAAATATATAAAGGCCCCAAGTCTTATTTATTGCTCCAATGATATATTATAAATGCTTAAGCTATGTAAAGGATGTAAGCAGATTGAGCATTAATTTCATACAACTTGACGACTGTAATCCATTTTTACTTGGAAATGATGTGCAGATGACTCTAAGAATCCACTTAGAGCTAGAAGGTACCAGTTCCCTGAACCTTCTCATACTTTATCTACAAACCGTAAGTCACAATAGATTTCTTAGAATCGTAAACATGCCAACAGAAAATAGTTTCAGGTGTTCTTGATAGAGCTCACGCATATGGAACAGAGCTAATACAATTGTTTCCTCTGACCCAGTTATGGATTCAAATTACCTTCTGTATCTGGGAATAGTTTAGTAAAGTTTAACTATGAATTATCTTGGAAAATAAAAACTTAATTTTTTCCCCAAGAAAGAATAAATAACAGAGCAGGGTGGGATGAGGAATGCAAAGGAGGGGGTTAAATTGCTGTGGGGAGAAAAAAAAACATAAGAACACTTTGCTTTGGAAAATAAAATAATATTCAGGAATACATGCACTATGAAACTCTCTGCCCCATGCTATTTTTTGAGGCCGTGTTATGTGCCAAATAAAATTCTACTGCTTGCAACTTCATCGCGATTCTGAATGTTTTACCTCTATTACTACTTTATATGTAAAATACTTATAGTTGGTAATAATTATTCAATACAGAGTCTATACCATAAAGCAGTTACTATTTAGCATATTATTATTTTTCTTATTTCTTAAGGGACGTTAAGAGATATTATTTATCATCCATTTTACAAATGAGGAAATTGGGGCACAGGAAAGTTAAGTAACCCCAAGAAAGCATAGTTAATGGAGGAGATAGGACTCAAACACAGCAGTGTGTGGGTGTGCTCCTGAGCATTGCAGTGTGTTTAAAACCCATTCTTTATGATCCAACAAATCTCACTACTGGGCATTTATTCAAAGGAAAGGAAATCAGTATGTGCGCACCTCCATGCTCTTTGTGACACTATTCACAATAGCCAAGACATGGAATCAACCTAGATATCCAACCACAGAGCAATGGGTAAATACAATATGGTATATCTACACAATGGAATACTATTTAACAATTTAAAAAATGAAATTCTTTTATTTAAGTCAGCATGGATGGAACTGAATAATGTTAAATGAAATAAGCCAGGAATAGAAAGTTAAACATTGCATATTTTTACTCATATGTGGAAGCTATAAGAAGTTGATCTCGGTCGGGCACGGTGGCTCACGCCTGTAATCCCAGCACTTTGGGAGGCTGAGGCGGACGGATCAAGAGGTCAGGAGATCGGGATCATCCTGGCTAACATGGTGAAACCCCGTCTCTACTAAAAATACAAAAATTAGCTAGGCGTGGTGGTGCGTGCCTGTAATCCCAGCCACTCGGGAGGCAGGAGCATCGCTTGAACCACTGAGTCGGATGTTGCAGTGAGCCGAGATCGCGCCACTGCACTGCAGCCTGGCGACAGAGCGAGATTCCGTCTAAACAAACAAACAGAAAAAAAAACCTCGAGGTAAAAAATAAGACAGAGGATACTGAAGGCTGGGAAGGGTAGGGGCCAAGGAACAAGGAGAGATTTGTTAAGAGATACAAAATTGCAGCTAGATAAGAGGAATAAGTTCCAGTGTTCTATACCAGTGGTCTTCAACCTTTTTGGCACCAGGGACCGGTTTCGTGCAAGACAATTTTTCCATGGAACCAGTGGGTAGGGGGTTGGGGATGCTTTTGGATGAAACTGTTCCAGCTCAGATCATCAGGCATTAGGTGCTTGTAAGGAGCATGCAACTCAGAACCCTCGCATGTGCAGTTCACAACAGGGTTTGCACTCCTATGAGAATCGAATACTGCCGCTGATCCGACAGAAGGTGGAGCTTCTGTCCACCATTAGGCGGTAATGCTCACTTGCTCACTGCTCACCTCCCACTGCACAGCCCAGTTACTAACAGGCCACGGACTAGTACTGGTCTGTGGCCTGGGGGTTGTGGACCCCTGTTCTATAGCACTCTAGGATGGCTATTGTTAATAATGATATAATTTCAAATAGCTAGAAAAAAGGATATTTAATGTTTCCAACAAAAAATAAATGTTTGAGATGATGGGTATGCTAATTACCCTAATGGGATCACTATACATTATATGTATCAAAACATCACTAGGTACCCCATTTAAGAAGATGCATATGTGCTAAAAAATTGTTTAAACAGTTACAAATGTTTAAAAACAATTTTTTTTGAGGCAGAGTCTCGCTGTTTTCCCCAGGCTGGAGTGCAATGGCGCGATCGGCTCACGGCAACCTCCACCTTCTGGGTTCAAGCGATTCTCCTGCCTCAGCCTCCCGAGTAGATGGGATTACAGGCATGCGCCACCACGCCAGGCTACTTTTTTTTTTTAAGTATTTTTAGTAGAGACGGGGTTTCCCCATGTTGGTCAGGCTGATCTCGAACTCCTGACCTCAGGTGATCCGCCCACCTCGGCCTCCCAAAGTGCTGGGATTACAGGCGTGAGGCACCGTGCCCAGCCTAAAAACATTTTTTTAAAAAGAATTCCAAATCCATTTTAAAATAAAGTAATCCAGAATTGGGTATTGGATGATAGCTTTGGGTGAAGTAAGCCCTAACTTGGATCTCATCCCAAGGCTATTATTCTGCGAACTTCACCTTGGCATGCTCCTCCTTAGGTTTAAGTTGGAAACAATTCTTGGACTTTCTGGAGGATTATCTCATCCTGTGTAACACAGAGATCAAAAAATCTAATGATAAACAGCTATCTTGTGAAATTCAACATATAAATTTCTAAATAATGTGGACGTCTAAATTTATATGTGCATTACACGTAAATTAAATTTATATATGCATTAAATATTAAATATAGATTGAAACTCTTACTATCTATGTTGTAACCTTGGGGAAGATCTTACCTTTTTTGATCCTCAATCTCCTTATCTGTATACGGGAGATAATCATAGGATGGTTATAAGAATTAAAAATTACAAATACACACGCAATATAAATGATATGCTCAATAAATAAAAATAGTGGTAGTAAAGTGCTTAAACATCATAATGACTTGAGTAGTGGCTGTGTTAGGCTTTACTAACTAACCACAGTGAAGGTGGAGAAAGATGGAGGCCCTCAGAAAGATATGTCCACATTCTTACCACCAGTATATGACCTTATTTGGAAAAAGGATCTTTGAAAATGTAACTGAGGACCTTGAGATCATATTGGGTTATACAGGTGGGCTGACAAATTTCATTATAAGAGACACATGCAGGAGAGAAACAGACAAAAGAAAGATGCAATGTGACCTCTGAGGCAGAGACATTGGAGGGATAAAGCTACAAGTCAAGGAATGCCTACAGCCACCAGAAGCTGGAAGAGGCTAAGAACGGATTCTTCCAGAACTTTCAGGGGCAGCGCAGCCTTGCCAACTTCTTGATTATAAGCTTCCAGCCTCCAGAACTGTGAGAGAATAAAGTTATCTTTTGTTAAGCCACCGAGTTTATGGTCATTTGTTACGGCAACTATAGGAAATTAGTATATTAGAGACAGTTTGTACAGAACTGCTATATCATAACAGAAAACAGATCTTCTCAAAGCTGACTGCCCTGTAGTGTCTTAATGAACAGGAACACGCTGCATCCAGTTCACTTTAGCTCAAGCTAGGTGATACAAGTTTGAAGGCACTGTGCTGTAAATCAGACAGCGACTCTCCACAATTTCTTACTGTATAAGCCAGCCACTGAAACAAACTAGCCTACTATGGTCATTCCTGTCATACATGACATTATTTAGAAAGTGATCTGAAATGCATATTCAAAAATTCTTATTTTACACAAATAAGAGTATTTCCATCTTGCCAAAATAATTCAGTAGTGGTATCAGTTTCAAGGCTATTGATCATTTACCTGCAATGACCATATTTAGAAAAGCAATGAGCTCATTAGAGAAAACAAGGAATCCAATTTCATTAGGTATTAATGCTCAGGGGCACACTATTAGATGGCTTGGTATTCACACTCAGTTAAGGTACGTGAGAATAGTGGCTGTAATTAACTAAACTTCTGTGTTAATGTAGCACTCACTGGAGACACCCTTAAAGGTGCCTTTGTGCACAAAAGACAAGGTTACAATTTTTCATGTTTTTTATTATATTTAGGAATGCTCTCTGGTATGATTTATCATCTTCATTTACTTATTCCTCTGTTGTAAAATGGCTTATTAGAAACTAAAAAGCAAGCAAATCTAAATTCTTGAAAATTTTAAGACAGGGTTCTTAAAAAAGCAGACTGATGTTTCAAATATCATAGTTAACCTTTCTTAAAGGGTAAAAAATGCAAATGTTAAGTAATAACTTTTAATCTGACAGAGTTGTCTGAAATAGAGGATTATAAATTTAAAATTTCTCCTTCTAACATGCAACTTATATATTGATAAATAACGTTAAAACAATGCTAATTTGTATTGTTTCAATGAATATCTATTGTTCCCAAAAGTGAAGAGTGGATTACCTGCTAAATGGAGAGAGGTAGGTTTATTTAAGGTACAATAATAAAGTAGAAGTCACAAGCATGAGGAAAGCAAAAAATCTCTTAATTAGTTGCCAAAAATGTGTAGAGATTTTACAGAACAGTTCAGATTTCAGGGTTCCCTTAGAAACTTGGTCATTCTGGGTACCTGAACTCACCAGTCTCACAAAGCAACAACTGGCAAGAAAGGAGTGGCTGCTCCCATTTAGGTGGAGCTCAGGCTCACCAGGTTCCCCACAGATCCTACCCAACCTGCCTCTCTCGTGAACGCTGGCTACTTGGTTCCTTAAGGCATTTGAGTTTTCTCTTCCTGGTATATACTAATTATACTAATGAGAATAACTCCTTGCTCTCAACCTGTCAAACTTCTACTTATTATTCAAGCCCCATTTTAAAGACTTCTGTTTTTTCATTAGCCTCCCACCACCCAAGTCTCTCTAGCTGGCATTTATCACTTTCTATCCTGAAATCCCACAGGAATTTGTCCATATTATTATAGCATTTAAAATATTGCATTATCTTTTGTATGTGCAATTATAGGTCATCTGTTATTCTTCAAACTATATTTATTAAATGCCTGTCATTTACTAGTCAACATGCCGACTATATTAATGCTGGAGATACAGCGATAATAAAGACAAACATGGCAGCTGGCTTCAAGGAGCATACAGTCTCTTACTCTTGATACATAATAGGTGCTTAATAAATGTTTAGTGAGGATAAGAAAATCTCAATTTGTCAATCAATTCATATACTCTCATTGGAAGTTTGGAGCAGAAAATGGTTATTATATGCACAGTTGCTACTTAATAAGTGCAATTTCTACTTGACTAAATAAACAAAAACAGCTAAATCCAGAAGCCAAAAAATTATGATTTAGACTGAAGAGCTTACATTGATTTGGTGTCATTCTGGACCTTGTTTACTCAACTGGCTCTGGAAAGTGTTTACCACAGTACTAAAAATGAGTAGGATGTCACTTAAAAGTGTTAGGAAACCATAGAGATGATGACTCTTCCAACTTGAGTTACAGTGACATAAATTAGTTCCTTAATCCTGGGATTTCTTATTCTGGACTCTATAGCAGTCTCCCATTAAGACTTCTCTAACCTAGTTTTTCCCAGTTTCTCTTTTGTTATCAATCTTGAAATATAAGCAGCAACAATTTTGCCTGCCTTGTCTTTTTATGTATCTTTTGAGAATTAGAAACACTAAAAAATACTTGAGAATTAGAGACATTCAACAATGTTCGGCATTTATCTCTTCTCTAGTAACATAGGAAATTATGTCTGTGTGTGTGTCTATCTATCTATCTATCTATGTATCTATCTACAGAGAGAGAGAGAGAGTAAATATACACAGCAGATTTTGTAAATGTTTATTGTTGGTTAACCGCTATCAAGATTATTTTTTGTCAATATGCATTAAGATTATAAATGTACAGACAACTAAAAGAAAATAAGCTATTAAGATATATTATTTTAAAAAACCACCTTGCATATACAAATTGTAAGAATTTATAATTTTCACACCACTTTACTATCCATGTGCTAATATATTTTAACCTTGAAGATGTGACTTTCCTACTTAGATACCTACTTAGTACTTACTTATATTTATTAAGACGCAAAAGTTTTAATAATATTGTAGTAAATAACGTTTGACTACTAAAATTGGAAACATTTTCAATTTTAACATAAAATGCATTTAAATTTTCCAACCAAGACTCTGAACATTTTACCTTTACATTTTATATTATATTTTTTACTATCCCAGGGCCTAAATGGAGTCAATACAGGCCTTAATAAAGATGAGGGAGCAAGACTAAAATAATCATAATCAATGTTGCCTTTTCTTTTTACTTTATATCTTACATTTATAAGATACGAAAGAAAAACATGACTTTATTTGCTAAAATTTATTTGTTTTAGTTCTGGTTATTTGTGGAGCACTGGCTAAAGGTATAAATCATAAGAAATGGGTAATGCCAACTTAGTAGAAAAATAAAATTTTGTGCTCTTCACAGGTATATGACCTACGTTATATATCTGAACTTTCTAAATATTTTCATTTTAACATTTTTAAATGGTTACATACGTTAAAATGTCTTCCTTTTAAAAGTATGGCATTACAACTTTGTAATGATTATTGCCCAGTGATAAAGATCACAATTTATGTTGAGTAAATTATTACAAATTATCAATTTCTTTTTTCTCTCTGTTTTCTTTATTTCTCTCTTTAAAGCACTAAGCAAAAAGCCACATTCTCTAGTCCAGAATATACTCTTCATCAACCTTATTAGATATCCCAAGAATCAGATTTGTATTCCAATTTTATTTTTAAAAATGAACCAAATACATATCCTGAAAATATTTAAATTGTAGCAAGATACGAAATCTTGCTTTAAAAAAATGATCATTTCATTACAGACATACTTCTTATTTAAGGTTCAATGTGAGATTTTCAATAATCACCTCATATCATTAATATATTCATTCTTTCAACAGGTATGCTAAGTGTGTTACTAGGCGCTCTATCAACTCATGTGAGCAAATGCATCATGAGTTCACATTAATGTACATCAGTGCTAGGTACTTAGGAAATCATGAGATAAATAAGAGAACATTTGTAGCCTCAAACATCTGCTGAAAGAGTTTGAAATCAATTGGAAAGTTTAAAAATGGATATAATCAACGGGCATGCTGGATATAATAATTTTAATATTTACTTTATATTTAAAAGAATTGTAATATTAATGCAAATAGAAATCCCAGAAGAGAACCTGATTATACAGATAAAATAAATACTAATGTGAGCAACTTTGTTTTGAGGTAATAAAATTTTAATCATACTAGTGCTCAGTACATAGCAGGTTCTCAATAAATAATTAACAAAGATGAACTGAAAATGAAATCTTCTTGTGAAAACACTTTTTCCTTTTTATAATTGAGAGATCAGTAACTACTGTGTGAAGAAACTATTTCAGTGTAAATAATTAAGAATTGCATATCTTGTAGTTAACATATTAACAATGCTATTATCTCAATTTATTTTCTTTGTAAATGTGAGCATTTGATAAATAACCTTCACTATTTGACTTATTATCTGTCTTATTTCCCTGGTCAGACAAAAAGGAAATAGATGTAAATATAAAAATGGGTGGCCAGCCATGCTGGTTCACACCTGTAATCCCAGCACTTTGGGAGGATGAGGTGGGCGGATCACCTGAGGTCAGGAGTTCAAGACGAGCCTGGCCAATATGGTGAAACCCCGTCTCTACAAAAAATACAAAAAAATTAGCCGGGTGTGGTGGTGCTTGCCTGTAGTCCCGGCTACTCAGGAGGCTGAGGCAGGAGAATCGCTTGAACTCAGGAGGTGGAGGCTGCAGTGAGCCAAGATCATGCCACTGCACTCCAGCTTGGGCGACAGAGAGAGATTCTGATTTAAAAAAAAAAAAAAAAAAAAAGGCAAATGACAGCTTTAGAGGAGGAAACAAAATTTCTCCAAGAGAAGCAATACCAAAAATAGGAATAGAATTTAAACCTTATATTTCTCTGTTCAGCGAACATTATGCAAAATGTCATCTCCTTCTCCAGAACAAAAACAAACCAATAAACTGCAAATAGACAATAATGTATCTAATATTTATTGGCTGATTCATATCTGCCTGCTGCTGTGGCAAATGCTTTAGATACACAAGCTCATTTAATTCTCACAAGAAACTTATGATGTGTGTATTGTTATTCTCTCATTACTGAATAGGAAATGTGGTTTATAGCTATTTAAGAGTCTGTCTAAATTCATACAGCCACTGCCTGGTAAGGTGGGATTTAACCTCAGGTCCCTCTGATATAAAGTTAAATCTATAAACATCTCCATTGTAAAGAATTGTGTTCCTACCTCTAAGTATTGTATAATAAGCTAAGCAGAAAAAAATAGTAGGATGGTTCAGGGACATTGCTCCATGAAGGTTTCTGTATAGATACTAATTTTCATTCATTTAAACTCTTGGTGAGTAACATCACCACCCCTCCAATTGCCCCAGATCAGAAAGGCAGATTTCATCTTTGACTGTGTCTCTTCATCACCTACTTCCCCACATGCAGTCAATTATAACTCTCATCAATTTGACATTTTTAGAGCCTCCCTTATTTCATATTTCTTCATGCTTGCTGTCACTGAAGTACAGACCACTATTGTCTCCCTTCTGGTCTATAACAAAAGTCTCCTAGTTGTTCTCCCCATACCTCATTTTACCCTTCCAATCTCTCCCCACAGATAGCCAGAATGATTAATCTTTCTAAAATACATGTACATATTGCTTACAGCGACAAACCCTTGCCTATGGTATAAGATCTATATTTTACATGTTATGCAAAACTCTTAATGACCCAACCCCTGTATTCTTTTCTCTAAACTGGAAATTCTTACTATGATGAAATATACAAAATACCGCAAACATACAACGCTCTTGTACCTTGACCTCAGTTCCTGCCATTTCCTGAGCTTGGAATACTCTCTACTTCTCCTGCTTCACTCACCTGTTCTTCAAGTCCTAGTTTAGATATCTCTTCTTTTGGGTAGCTTTCACTGGTTATCCAAGACCAAGTGAGCCACTCGCTTAGGGTTTTCATTATCATAGTGTGTGCTACATGGTGCTATAACTGTCGGTTCACCTATTTGTCCCACTCACTACACTGGCAGTAGCCTAGGGAGGCTCCAGGTCTCATCCTACTTCATAACCATGTACCCACCATGGTGCCAAGTATACAGAAGTTGTCAGAGATTATTTGTGAAATGACAAAAGGTAGAAAGAAAAGAGAGAGAAATGAAGGGGTAAAGAGATGAAGAAGAAAGAGAAAGAAAGAAAAAGAAGGATATAGGAGGGAAAGAGAGAGAGTTAAGAAAAGGGAGGAAAAGAGAGAGGGGGAATAAAGAAGAGGAAGGAAGGAACAAGGAAATGAAGGAAAAAGAGAAGTTGGAATGAAGGAAGGGAGAGTGTATGAAGCTACAGAAAAATGGAGGATCCTTCCACTAGATTCCCAATGGAAATGTCTGGAGAAGTGCCAGACACCACCAGTCCATTAGTGAGTGTCCAACTCTCTGAAGTTTCAGACAGTCATGGAGACATGATGTTAAAAAAAAAAAAAAAAAGACTGAAAAGGACCTTAGAAACAACTGAGTTCAACTATACAATTGAAAAAACTGAGCCAAAGACAAGAAATGTGACTTGCTTAATAGAAGGCAGTTAATAAGGGTTAAGATGCAAACATACGCTTGAAAAATCTCAAAACCCAAATTCTCTTCTCCCTATCAGTCTTCTCAGAGACACAAATGAATCAATAATGACAAGAGCAGGATGGTAGCTGAGGGCCTCTAGTCACTGATGTAGGGTTGTGCACATCGTAATTCTGTGTGCTATTTTCTTTCCTAGCATTTTTACCTAATACGAAGAACTTCATTTGAGATAGGTAGAGTGTGGTAGGCAAAAAGAATATCTGAGCTTTTTCTGCCTCCTTCTTTGTGTTGCCCACTTTAGTCCTCTAACAAGCCCTGAGCTTCTCCTCTCTTTGCACTTTTGCCACTCTGTCCCCTTATCTGAAAGGCCCCTGCTGCCATTTCTACAATTTGAAATGCTTTACATCGTTTCAAGGCTTTGCTCAAATGCCTTTTCTTTCATGAGACCTGCTTCGATGGCCCTGATAGGAAGTAATCATCGCATATTTTCTTCCCCAATGATACTTCGTTTATTTCTTGCTCAAAATATGAATTTATTTATGCTTTTTATTATAGTTTCATGTGTATCTTTGTTTTCCCCTCATTAAATGTGCACTCCTGAGAGGCAGGAGCAATTTTTGCTTTATCTTTGTCTCTTCTAGTAGGAGTAGCATCATTCCTTTTATATGATATAATTGTATATATTTTTATACTGAATTGAACCACAAAACTCTTCTTCTAAATCCCGTGCCAACATCATCCAAATATACTAAAAAAAAAAAAAAAAACTGGAAAAGTATAATACTCCTTCTTATTTAAATTGTCTATTGGTATTCCTTTTTTTTCTTAAAAAATCAAAACAAAACAAAACACTTGTTTCGTTGACTTTTGTCCAACAATGGATTAAAGTGAGCTGCTGTGGTGGTTCACTCCTATAATCCCAGTACTTTAGGAGGCCGAGGCAAGAGGATCACTTGAGGCCTGGAGTTGGAGACCAGCCTAGAGAACAGAGAAAGTCCTTGTTCTTACAAAAAATTTTTAAAATTAGCCAGTTGTGGGGACATGCACCTGTAGGCCTAGCTACTAGGGAGGCTGAGGTGGGAGGATGACTTGAGCCTAGAAGTTTGAATCTGCAGTGAGATATGATCACACCAGTACACTCTATCCTGGGTGACAGCGTGAGACCAAATCTATAAAAAAATAAAAATAAAAACATAAAGTGAGTTGTTATATGGACCAAAGGTGATATATAAATGAGGATGGCGGCAAGAAAAGAGAAGAGCAATTGAGCTAGCATCAGAACCTTCAAATTTGTGGAAAATATAAGTTTCTATCCTGGCCTGTTGAAGTAGCAATTATTATAAGAGATTATTGTCTCTTTAAAAATATTGACAACTAAAGAGATTGTTGAAAGAGAAGGGAGCCGGATTTGTTACAGGGTTCTTCTTCTTCTTCTTCTTTTTTAAGATGGAGTCTCGCTCTGTCGCCAGGCTGGAGTGCAGTGGCACAATCTCGGCTCAGTGCAACCTCCTCCTCCCTAGTTCAAGCGATTCTCCTGCCTCAGCCTCCTTAGTAGCTGGGACTACAGGCCCCTGCCACCACACCCAGCTAATTTTTGTATTTTTGTTAGAGATGGGGTTTCACTATGTCGGCCAGGATGGTCTCAATCTCTTGACCTGTGATCTGCCCGCCTCGGCCTTCCAAAGTATTGGGATTACAGGCATAAGCCACCATGCCCAGCCTCTTCCTTTAAATGTGAAGGCTTCTTGGGAATATTATAGCAATACATTTTAAGTATGGGAAATAAGAAGGAAGCTAAGAAATATTAACTATTTTTCAAGGTTAGCAAGGGTTTACTTGAGGTGTGTAACCTGGACTGCTCATTCCATTCGTTTTAACTAGAAGTATTCTTTCATGGGACAGATGGCAAATTGGTTGGTTATACTAAAATGAAAGAAGACACTTTAAATTCCAGGACTCTCAATCTCTCTCTCAGCAAGGTTTGACCCTTTCTAAAACTATTTCTTATCAAATGAAGTTAGCAATTATGTCAGCTTAAGCAGAAAGACTTTTAAATTGTTTTAGAAAATATTTTAACAATGCCCCTAGATGGGATTTTACATTTTTTTGTATTTTAAAAAACATAATTATAATTATGCTCAAGTTAAACATATTTCTGTATTCATCACCTACCACTGGCCATCTAGATAATGGCAAACTAATGACAGCAGAACGTTTTATCTGCACTTTTCCCTGAGCACTGTTCAAAGGGCATTTATTTCATTCTTTGCATATATTCATGGCCAGATAAAATGCATCACTGGGCTCACTTATAGCAGACATCCTTTACAGTAGTTCAATTCTATCACAATTTTTGGAAATGTAATTTTCTAGCATTAAAGAGGTATTCCTAACTCCATTGGTTTTGAAATGCCATGTTCAAGTCAGAGGCAAATTAAAAGCAAGAAAAAGCGAGCAGCAAAAATAATGCACAGCAAAATAGAATCATTATTACTTTCCATTTGGAACTCCAATTTGAGAGTTTAATAAAGAAAATTAGAAGAAAAATATATAAACTCAGTCGAGTATCTTTCTTAAACTTTATAGAGGTGACATTATAGCATTTGCTAGGGTAAATTGTTCCCTTCAGGATGCACATTAAAAAGCAAATTGTTTTGCTATATACTCCTTTTTTTGAGCTCTTGAAATATTGTTTCTTTTTCTTACCTGTGTTTTCCTAAGCCTCATTAATGAACAGCAGCTAATTCTGAAGATTTGATTTTTTACTCAGTTCTGCCTCTCTCAGATTCCTATGGCCACAGGTAATGGTTTTGAACTTCAAAATTACTTCTTTCTGAGCTTCTCCAGCGAGAAAAATAAAATCCTCAAATGTGAACCCACTCACTCATCTTTTGAATAGTAGTCAGTTCCCTAGAGCAACTCATTTTAAGGGAGGATTTAAATCCATGCCTGTCCCCCGTACATTGGGATGCACTGGAAAGACATTTTCTCCCTCAACATTTTTTCTTTTACTTGGAAATCATTAAGATAATGTTTTTTCCTCTTGCATGTTAATTGGGTAGGTTTTGCATGCCTTGCATTTTCTTTCTCAACGTTTTAGATTATTAACACTCCTTAAAAAAAGTCTATCACACTATTCTTAATGCTGTCATCAAGAGTAAAAAATTTATCTTAGAAAAAAGGGTGGTACTGAAATGTTACTCAATATGATATATGCAGCAATGGAAGACGTGAATTTCTGGAGGTCTCAGTAGCAGAGATCACTTAATTACCCTTGTGGAAATTTATCCTTGTGAAAAAAGGAGGAACTATTTAGTAACTTCATCTGTTTAATGGGATAACAAGACCTACCTCATAAATTAACTATGAGGATTAAATGAGCTAATAATGTAAAGACTCAATAAATAGTCCATGTTGCCTATTTTTGGTATCATTAGCCTTAGTAAAGATACTGAATGTTGTACATGGCAGTTGGGACTTAGCGAAAATTTGGGCTGGCCTGGATCATGAAAAGAAGCTGCTATCTTCTTACCTCCAGAGAGTCATCAGCATTCACCATCCAACAGTCAGTCCAGGTGGCCACAATCAAAAACCCAGCAGAGAAAAAGGCAAAGAAGCAAGCGATGTATTGAAGAAGATCCCTCATTGTGGCAAGCAGCCCATCAGGATGGCAACATGGGCAGACACCAGCCCTGGCCCCACTTAAGTGGCGGGTGTCAGTCTTCTGTGTTTCTGGTACCTGGCAATGTGAAAATACTGGTCTTTTACTTTTTCTCACGCCCTGCTGCAGGTGTCTTGAGTTGCAGTAAGAATAATACAAACAGGCTGTAACCAACAGTGGGGTCCTGGAGGTCATTATCCGAAGCAACCAGCCTCCAATCAGAAGGCAGGTCAGTGCAAGGGCTGAGTGTGTTTCGGGTGGGGGAGAGAGGAGTTCTGTAACGTTTTCTGACCCAACTGTGGGCTAGTGGTGGTCACCAGACCAAGTGCCAGTGCCAAGACGGGGGAAGGAGGAAGGGTCCCACCCCATGCTGGAACCTGTAAACTGATCTTTCTTAGGCCCTCTAGGGAGAGTGAGCTATTCTCCTCCCCACTCGGAAGAAGGCTACACGGTTGACTGAGTGTTATTTTATTGTTAGGACTATTTTAATATTCGCCGACTACTTTAGACAGACAGGCCACTGGTGAAACTATGCTAAACAAGTGCTCGCTCAAGGGAGTCTGCATTCCAAAGTGTTGCGTAGAACAGCCCCATGAAGGACTTGTAGCACCTGGGCAGTAGGGACAGCCAAGGCTCCTAACCTTTCAGCATCGTAGAGTGGGAACAAGTGTGCATTTTAATGCAGACAGCTCTGGGTGGAAATTCTTGCTCTGAATTTATGGTCTGAGAGCCCTTGGGCTGTAGTTTCTGAAAATGCATGTATTAATATTTTCTTTATATAATGCTTGTTCTTCATATGAGGAATAAAAGATATTGTGCCTGTAAGTCGCTTAGAATAGCATCTGTCAGTAATAGCTAAATGGAAAATATTAACATGACTAAGAATTTCCTATATTATTACTTTTCCCTCATGGACCAATGTTTGAAAACGCGTCTAATGAAGAAAAAAAAACTGTTATATTAGGAAGAAAGTGTGTTTCTTTTTTGTAAAAAAAAGTTTTTAATATGTAACTGGGGCAACTGGAATTTTATCTGTATCTGAATAGGTATCCTTAATGGGTCTACAAATTCCATAACCAATACTCTTTAATATGCTTTAAAAAGCACATATATCAACATTTTCTCTTCATCAGGTAGACTTCTATATACTAAAATAAAAATTTTGAATGAGAACAGTAAAAACAAAGTGGTGATTCTTAATGTAGGAGAGAATGTCAAAGGGGAGACAGAGTGAGAGAAAGAAATTGGGAGGGAGAGAAAGAAAGGAGCAGAGAAAAGGCCAGAAAGAGGTAATTACTCTGGCATGAATCAGCTACTAAGATTCTTATTTTACCAACAGCTTATAAAAGGATTACTTTTTTCCATTTGAAAATTATTTGATCATAATATACAGTATAAAAGGCTAAAATCAGTATTGATAAACCATTTTTCAAAATATATTACAATAATAAACTTTTTGTGGCTAAACTTTGTTTTTTCTAATTTTAATTCATTTTATTCAAGTATATAAAACGTAAATTTAAATGTAAAAGCTGCATGGAAAACCATAGGTGGAATATAAGCTTAATTATTTCTATACATAGGGTCTACAGTACCACCCCTGCTATCCAGAATTTCCCTTTTGAGGCTTCAGTTACCAGTGGTTAATCATGGTCTGCAAAAATTACATGGGAAATTTCATAGATAAACAATTCATCAGTGGTAAATTGAACACTGTTCTGAATAGCGTGATGAAATCTCAAGCCATCCCACTTCACATGGGATATGAATCATCCCTTTGGCCAGCATTTCCACATTGTATGCACTACCCACCCCTTAGTCACTTAATAGCTGCCTCGGTGATCTGACCTACTGTTGCGTATAGTGTGTGTAGGATCCAGTACTGTCCTTCGTTTCTGACATCCACTGAGGGTCTTTGAACATATTCCTCAAGGAGAAGGGGTGATTACTGTACACATTAGCGATCGTTATAACTATCTGCGAGGTACATTACAGATGCTTTTATTTTACTTATTTTGTTTAACAGTTGGAAAAAAAATACCTGTTTTTTAAGTGCTCATTCAAAGAATGTCATTGCCCACGGAATACAAACATGCTGCTTTGGTGAGTCACAGAGAATCTTTCCCTGTGCCCTAAAATCTGAAATGCTATTAAGATTTACTCTGCTGATCTGGGAGAGCAAACCAATTCCAAAAGCACATGCCCTTTGCAGGAAAAGTCCTGGACTTGTTGCTGACATTTCACACAGGGACTTTTCACAGTGTACTTTACCTGCTAACAGTGCACTCCAAGGCAGTAGTTCTTCAACCTGAGTGTACACTGGACTCTGTAAGGCCACTTGTTATAAATGCAAACCCAGGAATTCCACTCCCAGACATTTGGATTCAGGAAATTGGGAGTGGAAGCCAGGAATTCATATTTTACATGTGTTTTGTATAAAATTCTGATTTTGAAACAGATGGCCATACTTTGAGAGATGAGTTTAGAACAACAAAAGAAAAACAATTTTTTAAGAGTTATATACTACAAATCACAGACAAAGTTTTAGAAAAGAGGGTATCAGAATTCCATCTTTGCTACAAACTCTTCCCTAACTAGCACCAATAGGTCCCAAATCCAAATATCAGAACTTAATGGAAAGAAATAAAGACCAAAAAATGCTAAGCATATGCATTCTCATATGCAAACACACACATGTGCATACATATCTCTGGAAATCATAGATTCTTTCACAAAAAAAAAAATCTAGACTATAGCATTCATTCGCTCCTAATGGTCACTGAACATTGTATGTGATAGGGAGTGGGGAATTATTCAGGTGGCTATAGAATTGTTCCTGAATTTAAGTTTACTACTCTTAGAGAATAACATAAAACATTCAGGCTTGCATGTGAATTTCTGTGAGTGAGGCCATAATGTAATAGGAGATACAAAAAGGAGAGTCATGCAAACTGATAGAGCAGTAAACACTTCATGGATGGGATGTGAGTGCACTTCTAAGAAATGTGTAGGGTGTTGTGAGGATGGAGGGCACAGATGCAGAATAAACTGCTCACCAATCTATATAGACACATCTCTTTTGCATTCTGACCCTCCCTAGGCTTCAACATTTTGGTTTATCAACTCTTTTATAGTTTAATTCCATTCCATCCAGCACACATTTATGAACAGTGTACTCTGACTCTAGTACTTTCTCTTGGGACACAGAGAAAATAAACGGTTGGAAGAACTCATCCTAGTCCTTGAGAGGTTTACTCTTCAGTGAGTGGACCAGAAGCAGGAAGTAAAGAACTCCATTCAGGTAATTCTGACAACAGTCTTAAGCTATAATACCACTCCCAATAAGAGTATATAGGCATATTAGTTAGAAATATGATGTGTTTTCCAATTTATTATAAACATGAAGAAAAGTTATTACTGTGTGTTGCTCAATAAGGTTTACAAAATATTTTCAGATATATTATCTCATCTAAGCTCTGTGAAGACAGACATCTTTCGTTCACCAGTGCATCCCACATGCTTAAAATTCTACCTGGCATATGGTAGGCTCTCAGCAAATGTGTAATAATTTAATTCTCAGAGCCCCCACATTTTACAGAAGAGGGAGTAATATTGGACTTTCCCCTTCTGAAACATTCAGGGTCCTCCAGGATGGATACTAGGCTGGCAAAAGTGTCCTAATCATCTTTGCAGCTCCAGGGCTATTGATTTTGCAAGATCTCTAAGACCAACAGTTTGGTCAATTCATTATGCACCATGTTCCTACTCACCCAGTGCTTGCACTACTCCTGGATGAGGCTTTAGAGCCACCTGGCGATCAGTTGAGTGACACCCTTAATCTAGCACCGTGGCTGTTGGTCTATTAAAGGAAGTAATTGTAGAACTGGAAGTATTGCAGTTGTCCTTTTGGTCTGCAGGTGGAAGCAGCCTTGCATTTTCAGTTAAACAGAACAGCAAGCTCTTGTGTCAAGAACAGCATATTTTTGTGTTAGTTCTGTTGTTTCCATTAATGTCACAAAATGTTCCCTCTATATTTATTAGGATAATAAGAGTTATTAGAAGGAGTAAACTGACTTATACCATATCCTATAAATAGTCTTCTAACTCCCTTTGAAATTTCCAGTGCATATTGGAAAAATCTAAACAATAAAATCAGTTGCTGTTCTGAAAGGCCATGCTAGCTATAACTAATATAAAAAAAGCGGTGGTTAAAAGCTTGGACCTCATAGTCAGGCTGACTCGAGTTTAGGCTAAGCCCATTTATATATGACAGATCTTGAGCAAGCTAGTTAACATTTCTGAGGCTGCCTTCTTGTCAATAAAATGAGAATTATGAATTTTGTCCCATAAAATGGCTGTGAAAAATGAATAACGTTTGTAAAGGTCTTAATGAAGTGCATAGAACTCAATAAATAAGCAATAAATTGTAGTTAGTATGATTTTTATAAGTTTGCTGTTTTATATATGTGCCATGCATATACATATGTATGTATGTTTGTGTGTACACACATGTATGTGTGTGTATGTATATCTATATCTATATATAAAACAACTTACTAAGTTGAAAACAAAGGAAAGAAAAAGTGTAGTCATAAAACAATTTCATTTTTGTCTCCTATGGTGCTTTCAAATCCATTTGGTTTGGGCCTATTCTTCCCCTGACCCTTGAATAAAATATAGGGCAAGTTCTATGACATTTATGTCATTTTCAGGTAATGTTTCAGGTAATATAATGTATTTTAGTCATTTCAAAGCACAAAGATACCGCTTCCTTCCAGTGATATGAGTATCTGTACCCCTGTACATAGGCCAAATCTCTTTATAGCCACTCCTCCATCATGCAGTCATCTTCCATCATGTAGGCAATGTGTCTGCTAGAACTTTTGTTCCTTAGATTTCTTAGCTGGAGAAGTGCACAGGTTTACCGTGTTTCTCTAGATCCAGGGAGCAAACACCAAGTGTTCAGAGCAGATGAACTGAAGCCTTGTTCTTTAGGCTTAAAGTGAGATTCAAGAACTCCCAGTGTCTGCCCCCTCCGTGGTGACATAAAAGTGGTACTCAGTACATATCAATAGCTCCCTCCAAAAATTATCTCCTAAACTCTAACTCCTTTCTTGGGGTTAAGTTTATTTGTTTGTTTGTTTGTTTTGAAAGGGAGAGAGATAGCTGGTCCACTAGGGGCTGCAAAACTGGTTCTCAGACACCATTTTTGCAACTCCGGCATAGGTCTCTTGTTTCATTTTGGAACTTGGTCTTTATTGTCTAGTGGATTCAGTAAAAACTGAGTCAGAAATGATTCTAATTTAAAATCCTATTACACTAGCTTATGTGATGTTGCACTGGAAGTCTAGTGTTCATTACGGGCAGCCCACACCTGGATTTGTTGTGTTTACTCTTGGGTACCACTATTTAAGATAAAGCCCAACTAGAGAAGGTTCCAGTTAGTGAGATTAATGAGGAGATCGGCAACTATCTGGCAACTATCTCACATGAAGCATGACTGAAGGAAATTGGGACAAAAAGAGTATTTTAATTGTTTTCAAAAAGGGAACAGAGCAAACGTGACAGTGGGTTTTAAATAATGGGTGGATGGCCCAAAGGAATTATGATCTTTCTGGCAGGCTTCAGAGAATATAACTAGAAAATATTGTAAAAGCACAGAGAAGCAGAATTATGCTCAATTAAGAAGGGACTTTCCAACAGTTAGAACTGACTGAAAGGGAAATGGTCTGGTTTGGTGGGGGTTCAAATAGTGGTAGGATCACCATTGGTACAAATGTTACCTACAAAATTCATGAATCAGTTCATGATGGGAATAATTGACATCTCCAATGTGGAGAATGCTTGGGCAAGCATGAGGCCCTGAAAATAGTATGCTGTTTATGCATCTGTTTTCTTTCATAGAATTCAAGTTTTACTTAAGCCAAACCTCAGCAATTACTCAGTGAATCATTCATCAAAAATCAGCCTCAAATTCAGTAGCAAGGCATATGTTGTTACTCATTCTGTAACTTACTTCACCTGGAAAAACAAGATGTTCATCATGGTACAGCATGATTAAGCAATGGGGGGTGTTTTGAGTGAACCAGGTTGGAATAAACCTAATGTGAAAGGTTAACATTCTACTCCCTTTGAGTTAGTAGGCAACTCATGAAGTCATTCTGGCATAAAACCTTTCTCTTGAATGCCCTACACCCTTCCACATATATCCTATGTTCATTATGAAATAGGACATAAAATGAATCTGTCTGAATTGGGCTTAATCTCACAAGTTGAGGCTTTTTTTTTTCTTTTGACTCAAACACATTCAATTGGTCATTATTAATATCCTTTCATTATTTTGTATTTCCTTCTTGTTTTCTCTCCAAATATTTAAGTATTCTCTCATGAAGTCAATGTCAGCTCTTCTTTGTAAATCAAAAAGACTATGCAAATGGTAAGATTTCAGTGTGTACTTAATCCATGTTGGGCAAGGAAACACTGAAATTGCCAGGAAATGTAGGATACTCTCTATAAACTGTTAGGTTGAGTCCTTATCACTGCACTCATGCCAACCTTCCCAGTCCAGTTAGCTTAACTGGTGTGTTCTTAACTCAGCACATCTGTTCTCACTTAAACATTCTGGAGTGACAAATATACAAAAGCAGTCCCTACCTAACACAATAAAATAGAAAGTTAGATGACTAACTTTCTATTTTATTCCAATACACTGGTGCTAAATCACATCAGGGATAGAAATAATATTATCAAGGGCCTAGAGGCAGTAGGAGTAAGTATTAAATTAAGAAGCAGTGAGTGAGTACTTTGGTATGTCCAGAGTTTAGCATATGTTTAGGTCAGCATAAGAAAATGAAGCTGGAGTGGCAGGTGATGGTAACCTTGTGGAAGATCTTCAGTTCCAGATGAAGGAGCATGGATAAATTTGAACTTATCTTTGAGAGTAACTGAAGGTTTTAGACAAGAGAGTAACAGTGATCAAGCAACAGATTAGGTAGCATCTTTTTTTACTGCTACCTGTAAACTTAAACTTCCATCTACTTACACTTTTAAACCAGAGTGAACTCCCACCAACCAGGTATGGGGAAACTAATAAAAACAAGTTCTAATCAATTGTATTTTAGGAAATTACCAAGAGTTCTCTCCCTTTACTCTTTTTCTCGCTGTTTGCACTGCACCGGCGTCACCTCCCTATCTTCTAATGGCTTCCTGAATTTGCAGCCTTTGTAGTTTATTTGTCATTTGTATTCCAGTCCTGACCTTTGGACTTGAGAATTAACTTTGGGTTCCCCATCTTTTATACTTAGTATTCCTTAGGGTGCAACTTGTACTCACACTCATTGTTCATCTGAATAACTTCCATGCTGTCCTATTTAGCTCTGGTACCGGGAACCCTGCCTTGCATCAGTTAATTTTATAGAACCATTTCCATTTCCTTCTTCTCAATAAGGGGAAGCAACTTCAGGCTTTGATTGTCCAGATTTCTTGATACACAACTAAAAATTTTACTAATTTATTTATTTTTATTTATTTATTTTTTTAGATGGAGTTTTACTCTTGTCGCCCAGGCTGGAGTGCAATGGCGCGATCTCAGACCACTGCAACCTCTGCCTCCTGGGTTCAAGCAATTCTCAACCTTTGTTAGATGCATAATAAATTGTAAAAATTTTCTCCCATTCTGTAGGTTGTCTGTTTACTCTGTTGATAGTTTCTTTTGTTGTGCAAAAGCCCTTTAGTTTAATTAGATCTCATTGGTCAATTGTATGCTTTCTTCTTAACCCATGAATACTTCAGTCTCTCAACATATTTATGCAATTTCTTCTGCCTAAAATGCTTTTTTATTTTCCCTACCATTTATCATAATCCTAACCATCCCTCAGGAATAAATATTAACTTTGTGAAGCCCAAATTGATATCTTCAGTTACTCTCCTCTCTTTTTGTTGGACTTAGAATCAGTAACTGGATAGTTTAGTATGTCACAATTAAGCTTTCTATATATTTGATACCTCTAGATGATGTTTATTAGTCTATAACCAAAAAACAGAAGGAAGGAAGGAAGAAAGGAAGGAAGGAAGGGAGGGAAGGAAGAAAAGGAAGGAAGGGAGGAAGGAAGGAAGGGAGGGAAGGAAGAAAAGGAAGGAAGGGAGGAAGGAAGGAAGGGAGGGAAGGAAGAAAAGGAAGGAAGGAAGAAAGGAAGGAATGGGATTCACCAAGTAGAGAATATGTCAGGCTTAGGTCAGCCACTTAGTAACTATAGATTAATAGAATGCCACTCAAGAAGCTTGCAGGCAAATAGAAGTTTAGATAGATAGATAGATAGATAGATAGATAGATAGATAGACAGAGTTGATAGACATAGATAGATCAATCTAGGTCTACAATGTTGAAATACATGTTTCCACAAAATGTTATAGGACCATAAATGAGGAAATGATTAATGCCTCTGGAAACTCATTACAAAAAGCTTCATGGAAAAGATAATGGTTGATGTAGTTCTTAAATAATAAGAATTTCTTAGAAAAGAAGGGAGTGTTCCTAAAGGGAAACATCTTGAACAAAGACAAAGACTTGTGAATGTGCATCACTGTATTAAGAAATGTGTTCGTGAGAAGCATCTTATAAACAACTTAGGAGCAGGGATGCTTTCTTTTGCCTGTGCTTGTACATGCACAGCAATACCAAGTACAGTGAATGTATCATTGTAGATGACCACATGATGATGTTGTTTGTTTGTTTGTTTGTTGAAGCCCAATGAGAATAAAGATTGTGTGACTAGCTTTATTAAATTCTGGGTTTTAATACATATATGTTGAGTGAATTAATAAATGAACAAATGAATTCTATGTGCCATACATTGTGCTAGGCACCAGAAATTCATCAGTGAACAAGATATTCTAGTTGGGGGAGGGTATCCAATAGTATTTAGGCTCTCGATAGATTTTTGCTATCTTTCTATCAGATGAGATATTTTACTGTGAGCATTCTAAAGAGATCCTTCTAAGGTGACCCTGTAATAGTGTAGTTTATTTTGGAATACATTTTACATTCAAGAGGCTAATCATTTTAATAGAAAAATGGACTGGAATTATAGAAACTTGGTTTCAGTCCAAGGTACACTTCAGAATTTTTTAGCTTATATTGTATTGAAATGAAGGAGGTGAAACTTTGACAATTGTTCAGTTGATCTGACCATTATAGAAAGCCAATCTATGTAACTGAGGCTCAACAACAACAAATCAAGTACGTTTCTTTGCTTACGCCTCAAATTTTCAAAGGTCTATAGCCCAGTTTTTGAAGAATTAATGGAAATAACTATCATTATTCCTCATTTTAATCATATTCAATTGGAGTATATAAACATTTGTATTTATTTTTATTTTGTACTACAAGACATAATTAGAAAGGCATCATATCACCATTTTATAGATGACGAAAATGAGGACTATATATTAAGTGACTTATTCAACCTGACACAGCTAGAAAGTGGCAGAATTGGAGTTTGGATCCAAGACAAGCAAAGTAGAACACAGGCAAACGTCCAGTGGAAATTACAAAAGCCAATGTAGATGAGTCAGGGAGATGGAAGTCCTCCCAAGGAGAGTGAGGCCTACTCAAAACTGGCACTTATTCAGGAACAAGTTTCCATTTCACCTGTTACTTGTCCAAACCCTTACTCATCAAGATCCGACAGCAGGACTCATACGTAAGAACTCATCTACCATTGAATAGGATGGAATCAGGGCCTGGCACCCATGATATTTGGACTGCCATCCTGGTTTCATGAAAGCTCTCTGCTGAAACGATGAAGCAAGTCACTTCATTCCCTTGAATTTATCAGTGAAGTAGTTTCAATCATGAGTGATCATGAGTGATCAGCCCTCAGGGAAGCATCACTCATGAAAGGTAGAAGGTTCTATTGTACTGTATATCCTGTTCTCTACATGTGTGAAAACCTTGTGAGTTTTACCCTCCTTTAGAAAGAACTTCTCTCATTTTTGTCTCTTATCTCTCGTCTGCTGATTCTACCTACTGAGACCCTCCTTCATCTTCAAGGATCTTCTCAATTGCTGTCTTCTTGTAAGTGCATTGTGAGCCCTCATTCATACGTGACCTTTTCTTTGAATTATTATTAGCTCTTTGCTTGTTGTAATAATAATTATATAAGAGGTAGTCACTATTATAAGCATGTGTTTAATGGACAAGGAAACAGATGATTGGGGTGGTAACTTATCCCAGTTTTTCCAGTAAGTAAATAATGGAGCCAGGATTTAAACCCAGGTTTGACTGACTCCAGAGAACATGGTCCTAAATAACACTATGCAATATAGACTTCTACTTTGTTATCCCCATATCTTTCTCTGCTAGATTTCTGGAAACTCCTAGTTAAAACTAGAAAGGAGTTTGGAGATACTCTTGTTCAGGAATTCCTTTTACAGATGAATAAATAAGGTTGCAGGCAAGTATTTTCCCAGGATGACAGCTGTTAACGAGAAACCTAAGACTCAAACCTTCTTTACACTTTTAGCTCTACCTGTAAGATTCATAAGGGCAGAGAGGGTGCCCGCTCACCCTCTTATCACTCGCAGAATTTACACACACATCTTGCTCTTAGCAAGGGCTTAAAGAACTATATTTCACTGGAATTTTTTGGCAACCAAAGATCACTAATCAGAAAACAGAGATTTTAGAGCTTTTCATAGTGATTAATAACATACATTGAATACAAACCAGTAACTGTTACTTATTTTCACATCTAAGGAGACTTTAAACAGAGAATCTCAAAATACAGAGTTGTTTTGCTTTGTTTTGTTTTGTTTTACCAGGGACAAAGCTCAACTAAACTTATTTGCAGAGATGAAACTAACGGAGACCCAAATGGAACCCAAGAGTACAAACTCTTATGATAGAAGGATGATGACCATGTGACCTCCATTTTTAGTAAAATGTTTCAACCCAAGAACTTAAACAGAAGTGAAAAAAAAAGTTATTTGGATATCAAATGCATTAGCAGCAGCATTTGCTTGGTGCTTCCTTTACCACATTCCTATCTTTTTAAAGATTCTCATCAATAGCAGAAAAAACTGCAAAGTATGCAGCACAATATGCAGATCTTTCCCAAGCTGGTTCTTCTTTTCCTCTCTAGATTCACTTCTTATGCATCCCTAATATGTACCCTGTTTTCTTGCGGTTCTGAAATGCATACAGTTCCTTTGAACCCAGTAACATTTTCTCTGGCATCCAAAAAAGGCTCTTCCCGTTGCCTGGAAGATTTCTGTCCTTCTCCTTTCCTCACTCCTTCAGCACTTAACTAGCTTCTCTGCCTCTGTCTAGACTCAGGTTTCATCATCCGATAGTTAGTTGATTCTAAAGCCTGTTTGATCACCAGAGTCACCTGGGAATTGCTATTAAACATCAGATGCCCAGATAAATAGTGATTTACAGGCATTGCCATTTCTTAAAATTGAATTACCAGGAGATTCTGAGAAAGAACTGCCTGAGATAGCTTCTCTGAGTCTACCTCTTCCTGTTACATCACTTATCAAACTGTAATTCTCTGTGTCTCTTCTCCTTACCAGGATGGGAATTCTTTATGGGCAGAGAAATGCCTTACATTTCTCTCATGGCAGCATTAGATCAGTGATTAAGTTTGGATACCTAAACGAATACATTCGGTTTGCAAATCATTAGCTTATTTACTCAAATTGTTTCCTCTGCCTACAACATGACCATGTACACCCCTTTATATTCCCGTAACTTTTTCAGACTCTTTTGGTTAAAATTACTCTCTCCTTGCTGTATATTCCTATGGAAGATGCTTTTGTTGATTTTTCTCTCATAACACTTTATAGTTTTACTTATATTTATGTGTTTGTGCATCTCTCCCACCAAGTTCTCAGCTCCTGAAGGTCGGAGACTAAGATTTTTTTTTCAATTTTGTGACTTCTTCAGTAATCATCAACATACCTTTCATTTCTGTTGTTGAATTATCAAAATTTTATATTTCTTTAATTTTCTAATCTTTCATATCATTAATATTCTCAGAATACAATCCTTATGACCATTTAATACTCCTCAGAAATGCGGTTCTCCTGCACAAATGCTAGGGAAAGTCTTATGTGCTCAAATTGGTACAGGATTCTTAATAATAAATCTGTAATTGATAGTTTCAGCACAACATATTCTGAAGTCAATGATGTGGATTCCTTTGAGAATTGTGCCTCAAACATCCAACCCTATTGTTCTTTCAGTTCCAAGCTATACCTAGTAGTACCTGCCACTAAAACAAACAAAAAGTACAAGAGAATAATTGTGCTGCTTGGCAAAAATGGAGGGGGTTACTGGAATTATTCTGCCAGAAGTGATCTGAGATCAAGATACTGGCACAGCAGAGACATACGTTTGAAGCCAGGTGACAACTCAGGGTGTTTTTTTGTGGGGGGAGGGGTGTGAATGTTTAACTGAGAGGCAAGGGTGAAGAGATGAACAAGAATCAGTGAAAGAAGATGACCAGAGGAAAGTAACAATTTAGTTGCAGAAGCCGAATCTTCTAAAAATGGAAAACCTGTGAGGCACTCATTTTGCATTAACCCACAAAAACCTCGCTGGATAGAGGGGAGACTCAAAGGAAACAAACTGGGATCAACAGTAAATGTTTAATAAAGAGATAAGTGAAGAACAAGCAAATGCATTAATGAATATCTGGTTTTACTTACATCTAAAATTTCAAGTAGTACCATAACAACCTGTTTTTTAACCCCCTGCTATCTGCTTTGTGTAGCAATGTCTAAATCTCTCAACTGGAACTAGGATCAACCATAAAACAAATTGGTTTCTTCCTGCATGACCCATAGTCATGTATGAGGTACTTCCTCTTAATTCCAGCATGTGATCTTTTTTCATCTGAGTTCCTGCAATGGCCAATAGCTTTCTCTAGATCTGTAGCCATTCTACACTTGCAGCCTTGGCATTCCAAAGAGCCTAGAGGCTGAAGCAAAATTAAATACCAAGTTGGAAAACAAAATGAAACAGCCTAAATCCCCTTGGTCAGTTAACATTTGCAAAAATGCTGTCAGTAAGTTATTAAACAAAGATTATTTCTTTGACCTTAAGGAATTATATATGAAAGAAAAAAGTAGGGTTATCTTATCACTTCTCCTAAAGTGCATCTCACCAACAGGAGTTTAAACATCCCTTCTGAATAAATAAAAATGAGGGATGAAGTGCAGGAGATAGACAAATAAAAAGATAATTCCTTGCAATAACACACAAGGTACCTTTAAAAGTTTTATAAGTATATGCCTCTTTTTATAAGGAAATATAGTATAGATATAAATCCAAGATACTTGTAAATCTAATGCCATGTAAACTTATTTAACTGTTCCCTATTCTCTACCTTTATTTTTAAGATATCAAGTCCTATTTACTCTCTGCTTATATTCTCATTAGTAATACTTAAAACTAGACCAAAAATAGTAATAAAAATCGGCACACAATACATGTAGAATTTTTGAAATATTGTTTTAGGTTTAGTAGCCTTGGTCTTTTTAAAAACAAACTTTCTTTTTTGTTTATTTTAACTAACAAGTGTTGTTGTTCTTTTTGAAAATAAATGATGGAAAACTGAAGAAGTAAGATTGATAAATGATATGCCTGGATCTATCTAGAAAGCTAATGTCTAGATGTGGGAAAAAACTGAAAACTTAACATGCTGACCTTCACATGCTGTATGTGTTAGATCCAACCACAAGAGAATGGTTTTCCAAACAGGTGGCCAACAACGAGTTCAGTCCTGCAGAGTGATAAAGAATGGATTGTTATAAGGGTGTTAGGGCAGGAAAGGGAAGCAAACACTTAGCTTGCCACTCCCTTAAATGGCATCTTTTATGAACTTTGGCATCCTTTGTAAACTTTTTCTGGTCAAAAGCAATTCATGGAACTTGTTGATAACTTACACATTTGGCCCTGTGCAAATTAAGGGTCTCTGACTCTGCTTCAGGGAAAACCACACACACACACACACACACACACACACACACACACACACACAATGTTTTTCAGGGCTGGAAGGAAAATAGAGAAAACCAATGACTCCACAGATTGATGATTCCATTACTCATATGGTAGACTATTCTGGATTCTTGGAATCTGGAGATTTTTACTTGCATTTTGATCTCTCCAAAACCTTTCTATGACTGAGTTCTATGTTTATATGACATAAAACCCAACGAGCTAAAATTTTGCTGCTTAAAATTCCTCCTCATTTTTTTTTATCATTCAGAAGAAAATATAAGCATTTGGGGCTAAACTTCAGCCACTGAGAAGTTTCTTCCATCCAAATGGAGAAAAAGGGGAATTCAGAAGTTTCCTAACAAGTAAGATGAGTCTTTTACTTGCAAGGGAAATGTATAAGGATCTCTCAGGTCTCTTGCCAGACCACCAAAACAATACTGATCTGTTTTCTTTTTTTTTTTTTAATATGGGCACATTATAGGCAATTTAAAATATATACCACTATCATCTATATTTCCTACATCATTGACTAGCTCTGAAGAATTTCTTCATGCAATAAAAATGCGTCCTGAGCGCTGGACTAGCTATTGGATAATCAGTGATGACTGACACCTGTTCTCTAAGAGCTCACAACCTGTCTTGATAGATTAAATAATCTTATCTTAAATAATGCACAACAGCATTATTTAAGGCAATATAAATTAGTTAAATGCAATGCATTATAACTATATTTGAGGCCTAACCACTCAAACTATACTTAACAAGTTTAGTAAAGAATAGTCTTTCTTACAGCCTTTATGTTAAAAAAGCATTAAGTCAAAATTTCTTTGCAGCTTTTCAAGAAGATTGAGAATCAGAGAACAAATGTATTTGTTCTAAATGAGTTACTCATAAAATTATATGTTCTTAGCTTGTATGATTAATGAAACTGTTCATAAAATGCTGCTGTGGTCGTAGGTGTAAAGTAAGAATTTGCTGGCTAATAGGCCCAGTGACTCCCTGAGGATGAATGAGGGACAAGGAGCAGATTGGGTGAGTCAATGGACTAAGGCTCTAGAAACCCTGCAACCCCTGCTGAAACAGATATTTATTATGTTAGAAAAATCATATCACTGCCTTGAGCCTCATTTTCAAAGTATAAGGAGAAAGGGAAGGGACTTCTCAGCTGTTAAAATTCTTATACTAAATTGGATTTCCTAAATGCTACAAATGTCAGATAAAGAACACCTGAGAGACAGAGCAGGTAGGCTATGTCAGGGACTGGAAGGCAGAACAAACAAAGGGGCTGCCCTTTGAAGAGTCAGGCAGATTATCAGCATGTACAGTAAGGATTCCGACACAGGCAGAAATGCTAGAAGGAAGAAAAAGATGAGGGGTTAAATGGCTGGGGTCAATAGTCAGGAAACAGGAACTGGGCTCCATGGAGCTAAAGATTCAGGCTCACAAAAGCAGATCAGATACAGGTACAAGCCCCTCGTATTGGGAAGACCTTGATACTTAAAGAAGGCCTTTGACAAATGACTGCTTTTATGTTTTCCTTTAAGGAGAGGATTGAAGGAAAGCTAATTTGAATGAAATTGCTAGGGACAAAGGGCCACATTACACAGGTTCACAAATACTAGCTCATTTTTGTTTAACTCATTTATGTATTTATTTTTAGTTAGAGGCCTAGTCTTGCTCTTTCACCAAGGCTGGAGGGTAGTAGGACATTCACAGCTCACTGCAGCCTCAAACTCTTAGGCTCAATTGATCCTCCCACCTCAGCCTCCAAAGTAGCTGGAACTACAGGTGTGTGCGACAAGCCCAACTAAATTATTTTTATTTTGGGGGGGAAGGGGGTCTCAACATGTTTCCCAGCCTTGTCTCAAACTCCTGGCCTCAAGTGATACTACAGCATCAGCCTCTTGAGTATCTGGGTAAACAGGTAGGCTCCACTGTGCCAGGCTCAATACTAGCTCTAATTTTGGTTTGTTTGTGAGGAAACTGGAGTTCAGAGAACATCAGTAAATTTCCCCACTCTCAGGGATGTGAAGGAGCTGGGTGTCTATCCTGAAAGTGTTGGTAATGAGGCTGACAGTGGTGTCTCCCTCTGTTTGCAAAGCTTTCCAAGTCTTGGGTTGAAAAAAATAATTTCCAAATGCTGTCCAAATACAAGACTCATCCTTAGCCGGCCTCAAGTATAGCTAATCCTGCTGGGATGTGACCTAAGTGGGGAGTGAGAAAGACTGTGAGACAGGGCATGGGACCTGAGATAAAACACATCTTACACTGGAGCAGGTGCTCAGAGCCAGACTAAGACACCCTTATATGTGAGGGCAAACAGCTCAAGAAAGAGAGCACAGACGCAAAAACTTATGGTGGCCAAGGGCAGTCAACAGCCCAGCCAGGTAGATGTTCGGTGACCTGGGACAGCAGATATGTGGGCTTCAGTGTCAGGGAATCTGGTGTCTCTCAATTTACATAACCAAGGAAAATGGCAGAAATTTTGGCAGACTGAGCATCTGACTTGGAACTAGGGTTCAGGAATGAGCAAATTACCAGCTGCCAGTTGAATTGGACAGAATATTTATTAATGAACTGCTTCAACAAATATTTATGGATCACCTCCTAATTCAAGGCTTTCCTCCAGCCTGGGATTATATCAGTGAATAAATAGACAAAAATCACTACTTCATAGATCTGACTTTTTTTTGAAGGAAACCAGCAAATAATTTGGGTACCAAGGAACAGGCTGGGAATGTAATTTCAAGAGCAGGCATTAGTGGGAAAATTGAGAACATCAGAGTCTGACCTGATTCCTTCTGCCTGGACTATTGGTCTATGACTTATTAAGTTCCTTCTTAATAGAGATGCACTTGTTCCTATATCCTGGCATGGCAGTGAACCTACGAAGTGTAGGGTTTGGAAGCGTGAGACAGCAGGAAAGTCAGAGAAACTAAAAAGAAATTATCATGAGCAAGCATAACCCTCACATATGTATGACTCATGTATATCTATCTACTTGCCTATATGAGATGTTTAACTGTTGTATTAGTCAGGTTTCTCTAAAGGGACAGAACTAATAGATTAAATATGTATATATTATACTATATATATGTATTAACTCACATGATTACAAGATCCAACAATAGGCCATCTGCAAGGAACAGAACTAATAGGATAGTCCATAGAGGTACAGAACTAATAGGATAAATATATATATATTATACCCTATATATTTATACATTTATATTTGTTTATATAAATTTATATATGCATATATATTTTATATATATATATATATATATATAAAGGTATTAACTCACATGATCACAAGATCCCACAGTAGTTCATCTGCAAGCTGAGGAGCAAGAAAGCCAGTCTGAGTCCCAAAACTCAAGAACTTGGAGTCCGATGTTTGAGGGCAGGAATCATCTAGCACAGGAGAAAGATGTAGGCTGGGAGAATAAGTCAGTCTAGCCTTTTCATATTTTTCTGCCTGCTTTATATTCTGGCCACACTGGCAGCTGATTAGATGGTGCCCACCCAAATTAAGGGTGGGTCTACCTTCCCCAGCCCACTGACTCAAATGTTAATCTCCTTTAACAGCACCCTCACAGACACACCAGGAATCAATACTTTGCATCCTTCAATCCAGTCAAGTTGACACTCAGTATTAACCATCACAACTGTCATGAGTGCACTTAAAATCAAAACACTTTTTTTGCAGGTTGCACATGACGTAGGTTTAGCTCATCATTCAGATCATAGCCATGTGAATTACACCCCTGCAGGTAAGTTATGCACAACAAGCATGGCCACATTTAGAAACTCTAAATTTTTACAACCAAGCCGTAATGAGTGATACTAACTTGGTAGTGATGATAACCAAGATGTATGACACTCAAATCATTCACTAAAATTTGTTTGGAAAATACTAAGTTTAAGTTAATGAGTATGCTCATAAAGTAGGTAGCTAAAGATACAACATAAATTGAGGAAATATTTACTTTACTGTCTTTCTTTTAGAGAATGGCATAACTTTCAGGATTATATGGAAATAGCTGAAGAAGCAAAACCTACACCTAATGATTCACCACATCTTTCAATCCAATCTTAGAGACTTAAAATAGCAGAGCTAGAATGCTTCTAAGATATTTCTTAAAAGGAAAGAGACCCTTTCAACGTTCCAGAAATGCTAGTGACAATTCCAGTTTCAGAGCCCAGGTTTCCTAATGGCCCATTTAGTGCTCTTGCCTTTCTACTACGTTGTCATACCTATCATATAAAAGAATGTCAGCTATTTAGGGTAAAAACAAATGTCCTCTGTATGTCTCAGCCTTTCTCGGAATACAAAATTCGCATTAAGGCTTTTTGCCAATTCTCAGTTTGTGAAAACATCACAGGTTTCATCTACTCAGACCTTTTACTCAAGCAAGGGAAAATAATATTTAGTTCCTCCCTGCAACAAACAAGTCTAAACAGAGCCAGGGCTGGTTTAGTCAGTTTTTCAGCCATTCTTTCGTAAGATTTTGTTTATGATCATTAACTTGAGTCACTGTTTTCCCTAAAGATAAGTACAAAGAAGTATATGAGAAAGTGATTATAAGGACAAAAGACTCAATAAACAAATAAACATATTTATGTTTGTTGACATAGAACGATGTTCATAACACACTTTTAAATGATATAAAACTAATACTAGTAAAGTTTCATTTTTCTAAGATATACATACAATTTCTATTAGAAAAAGACTAGGATAATGTACATCAAATTTATGGAGACATTTCAGATTATTTTCATTGGTGGAGTGGTTTGCTTATCTAGATTTTCTATTCTATAATGAATATTTGTTGTGTAATAAAAATGACATGGTAATCAAATTATAGCAATTTCTCACTGCATGTTCTCTTATGAGCAGCTTCTCTAAACCAGATCAATAAACAATTTCATCTGAGCTCTACAATAGCTTTATGAATCAGTTAAAAGATATGCTAGAACTGGAACCTTAATGGTAATCATTACAGAGGAAAGAAAAGACATGGCTGGGTACAATGGGCCAGTGAAAGTTACCTTGCTTTATTCTGTCTCCTTGGAGGCAGTGACTTTCTGAGTAAGGGGTCTAAATTAGACTTGCATATGGCAGCAGGATTTAATAGTTAGTAGTGACCTAAATAAGTTGAATAACAGTGATATGTTGAAAAAAAAATCTGTCTTTCAAGGAGCATGACACAAGACTGCATAACCCAGAACAATGGAAAGGAGGGCTAATCAGGTTAAGATCTATGACTACCTGTTTGAGATCAGAGGCTGAAAGATGTTTTACAAGACTATCATTTTTGGTCTAATAACACATTATAAACTAAGATGCTTGTTAACATTTAAAGGCAGGGCCTCTACCTATGTATACACTGGGATGGCCTTTAGTAGCAAGCAACAGAAAATCAAAATCAAGCAAGTCTAAACAATAAAAGGGTTTGGCTAGCTTAGAAAAGGGAAAAAATACAGAGGAAAGGTGGAATTGTAAGCATTTGTAACCAATTATTTATGCTCTACCCTCTTCAGAATGACAGCTTTGTCTTCATGCTGGTTTTCCTTGTCCTGACAGAATGACTCTGGCCTCCTCATACACACATTTAACCATCCAGGAAATAGGAGAATATCCATGTACAAGAATTTCCTTCAAAACCCTGAAAGTCATTCTGAATTGACGAACTTAAGTCACTTGTCCACTTTTATTCCTATCACTGTTTCAAGAAGAATGAAACACACTGATTGGTTTAGTCAAAATCACTGTATTAGACATCTACTACTGTGTAACAAATTACCCCCAAAACTTAGCAGTTTAAAACAACAAACATTTCTATGGATCATTTCTTTCTATGGATCATGTTAGTTGTGTGGTTCTGACTCAGGATCTCAAGCTGTTGGCTAAGGCTATAGTCTCATCTGAAGGCACAATGGGGGAAAGAATTGATTCTACTCCATCATTGTTGGCGGACCTCTGTGCCTCACCAGTTATTGTCTGATCATCAGATCCCTGTCATTTGAGCCCCTTCATAGGCTTCCCACAGAGTGTTCAGAGGGACAGAGTGTGCTTTCAAGATGAAAGCCACAGTCTTCTGATAACCTAATCTCAGAAGTAACAGATCATCAATTCTGCTGAATTCTATTGATCACACAGGGCTATCCCAGGATGTGGGATCAAACTGTACAGTGTATGAATACCAAAAGAGGACAGACATCATTGAGGGCTATCTTAAAGGCTGCCTGCCACAGCCAGGTATGCCACTCTGCAGCCAGGAGCAGTATCAGCTTCCCCAACACATCAGGACCCAACGTAAATCAGATTACAGAGATTTCTGGAAAGGATAAAGGGAGGAAAGATTATGGGAATGTAATCAAAATGCAGATTGCAGAGACTTTTGGGAAGGAAAGGGGGAGGAAAGATTATGGGAATGTAAGAAAAATGTATCTACTGCAGCCCACAGCTTTATATTTCATATTAATTAATACAATTGTTTCTGACTCCACCTTGCTGATACTAAAAATTTTCAAGAAAGAAATGGAGCCAAAAGTGCATAAAACATATTCTACTAATTCTAATAAATTACATGGAGTTCCACAATAAAGTAGGCTTTGGCCAGAGAGTTAAGGCAACAAAACAGAAAAGGTTTCATTTTCCATAATAAAGCCATTTAAAAACAATGAATTTTGCAGACCGTATGTTCTGTGTAATACTCTTTGACAAATAATAAATCGGACATTTGGGCAACATGATCACATTGATTCTCCTCTAATCCTAATATATTATATATTCCTTCCTTATTCAACAGGCAGGTATTGAATTTTCCCGCTGAAGAAATTCACCCTGGAGAAGTAGTATTGAGTCACTAGTTCACAGGCCAAATTTCTGTTTGATGGCTTTCATATTGTGTGCTAGTAAATTCCAGGGGGAAGATAATTTATGCCTATAATTTTGAATATTAAGTATCAACTATCTAAAAGGTCACAAAATAGAAAGATTGTTTCATGAAGTAATGATTATCTTGCTTTCTATCACATTTAAAGTTTCACTATGCACTTTAATATCTATGGTCAAATACAAACCTTCGGAGTTATCAGAGTAGACAGTATTATCCTATCATAAAACAAAGAAGAAAAGAATATTCATTTCTTTCAGAATGACAAATGAGTGTCTCTAATCAAAGGGGAGCAAGATATGAAAAACAGTGTCGACTAAAGATAAAAAGGATTTCAAAGTAACCCGTGGTTTAAAATGTTGTGCTAAAATTAAAATCTTGAATGTTTTTATGTATCTTGTTCTTTGAACACTCCCACATGCTGCTTTGGGGCAATTTTAAGGCCTTTGTGTACATCAGACATTCTTAATTTTGGAGGTCTCAGCTCATATTATATCAAATAAAGCAGAAGCTATGGTATGTTTCTGAAATCCCTCTGCAGGAATAAGATACTCCCCAAAGCTGCTGGGAGACTTAGATGCTGATTGCTCAAAACTGAGATCCTCTCTAGCGACTGCTCTGTTATAGGGAGCTTCTTTCCTAAGGATACCCTCCCTCCTGGAAAGCAGCCCACATCTCAGGACGTAGAAAAGAGAGTCACGGTCCTTTCCCCCAGTTTGGGTCAACTCTGAAGGGTCATCCCAAACACAGAGCTCCATGGGGGATTGGCCAAGGTGTTTTTGTAAGTGTATCAAAGTTTAACTTTTCTCTCTGTCCAGTCTTACTCTCACCCTTTTACAGGTGTGTTTGGATGAGCACTGGTTAGTAAATCTCCTGCTTCTAAGTCTCCAGTTGAGAGTCTGTTTCCCCAGGGAATGTGACTTAAGACCACTGGTATCAGGAGTGGGCCTAAGATACAATCTTTAAAATGGGATTTTTTAAAAAGTTAGATCACCTACTAACCAGCTGGAAATGAAGACCCTGTCAGTGGAGTAGATGGATTACTCATAGCGTTGGCATGCTGTGTCAGTGGCATTGTTAAAAGTTTCACTGGTGATGAACTTGGCTGGCATAATGTTGGAAAGTAATACATGGATGGTGCAACATGTCATACATTTTGAGAAAGAAAGAAAGAAAATGAAAGCCTAAAAGCTATAAATCCTAATTTAAATTACCAATTTAAGGTAAATGTCAGAGGCGGCATACAAAAATACTCTCATTTCCCACAGCTGCAGGGACAATAAAAGCAGGCCCAGGACTTAAGAGCTCCAGAAAGCATTGATTGAGAAGTAGGATCTTTAAACTTGAGAAGGCAATATCTGGGCTGATGTACTTACAAACTTGCTTTCCGAACATGAATCCTCTCTGGTTGTAAGAGTGGCCCATTTCTTCAAGTTAAAGACTAGTGCTCCCCCTTGCTTAAGAATTATGTAGAGGCCTGTGCCTTGCAAGGCAACATATACCCACTCGAACTTTGAATATACTAACACTTCTCCTCTAGGCTAACAAGCAGGGTTAAGTCACACCATACCTGGCTGAAAAGAACTGGGTCGGCTAGGGGAGGAATGGAACACAATGGTGAATAAATTGCCAGACCTAGACAAAATAGACTGGCGAATCTGGGAGACTGTGTATATACTGGACCCTAAGAGTTCTAATGGTGCTAAATAAAAGGAGATTAGTAAAACACAAAGATATCTAAGGGAGAGTTGCTTGATTTCAGATCGTTCTTCTGTGATACAAGATTTAATACTTGGTCAAGGATCCTGGAAAATAGTATTAGAGTTGTGAGGCTGGTTCTTGGAAGTTTGGGAAAAAAGATGGCTCATACTAGATGAAGTAGAAATACTAGAACTTTCACGGAAGATGGTGACCAAAAAGTATCAAAAGGCGTAAAGAAGTGTGCATAGCAAAATGGTCATACCACCTAAGGCTGGAAGCCCACCATCCAACTATATTCTATGGAAGAATCCAAAAGACACTTCACTGGCCAATACAATAAAGAGTGCACTGGTGGGTGCAGCATCAGAATAGCTGAAAAGATAAGTGGTGGCTATCCTGAGAAGGCCAGGACTGACGGCAGGGAAGGCTGTTACAGAATGAGCTCTCTGGTAACAACAGAGAATCCCAAAAGAACATAGGCCAGTGGTGCTGATCAATCACCTGATGCAAGGACATATAATGATTGTAAAGTTCAGAGTGGCAGCCAGGAAACATGAGACCTGTGAAGATAGTTAATAGACCGTAGTGTTCTTAGGAAGAGATAAACAGCCAAAAAGAGTGTTACTTAGTGCACATAAGCAAAACAAATTAAGGATGGATAAACAGGGGGCTGAGAGCAAATTCCCAGTAAAATTTCTAGTTTTCATATCTGAGCCAGTTCTCAAAACAAGTATCCATTGACTAAAGAAAAAAAAGAAGAGACAGATCCCGGTGAAGAGAAGCCCTAAAATACTCAGGGGTCTGCCATGTCAGCGAAGTTTTGAGGGGCTCTGTGACGTGGGGCGTGCCGATATAATCACCTCGAAAAAAAAAAAGACAACGCTCAGCTCCCCTCTTTGAGACAGCATATTCCACATTTGGGAATATGTCTTTGACTTATTTACAAAGTGACATTCAAGACTGGCAGCTTTGAGTGGACCCAGCACGATAAAGGGCTCTTCGAAAGTTCTAGACTGCAGTGCAGGCAGCCTTACCACTTGAGCCAGTCAGACCCTAATGCTACTAGAAGTGTAAGTTGCAATTAGAGAACCACAGTAGAAATCCCCAGGGCCCTAAAGCAAGGCCAGTCATACCATCGGCAGCAGAGAAGTAAACACCATTTGAAAAGTAGTCCTTGTTATGCAGCTGGGATCTGGTAGAGATGGAGGATCTACCCGTGGGACAACAGGAACCATTTGGCCAGAGCTACCCATCAGCAGCTCATCATGAGCTATGTTCTGTCAGAACCACAAAGTCATAAGATCAGCCAGATCTATAGCAGTTTATTGTTAGAAGAGGTACATCCAGGATGGCATGTACAGGACAAGAGCTACATGAACGGGTGATCCAGACTCCCAAGCCATACACCACTGCAATACTGCTACATCTCCCTCAACCAAACTATATTCACATGTGGGTGTCCTATTATCTGGCCCAGACTCCCAAGCCATATACCACTGCAATACTGCTACATCTCCCTCAACCAAACTGTACTCACATGTGGGTGTCCTATTATCTGGCTGAAGGACGAGGAAAAAGGATAAGCTTTGTTCACAAATGTATTGGTTTGGCTTAATTTATAGTGCAATCCAAAAAAAATAAAAAGGACCATTCTGCACTACAGCCTCACTCAGGATTACACTAAAAGATAGTAGTGAGAAGACAATCTCCAATTAGGCAGGCAGAATTCTTCAGGCAATACAATTGATACTTCACCTTTTGTTTTTAAGAGAAATAATTCCTGGTAAGAATATACACACATTCAAGGATAGTGGAAAATGATCAGAAGTCTGGAGGAAGATTAGATTTGAGAAAAAAGAGAATAGGAAAGAGACATGAGGATGAATCTATCCGGGTAGGTGCAAAATATGATCTTCGGATCACATGTTAATCCAGTGGGATCCATCAGAGAAAACCCACTGTGTAAAAGACACTAAACAACCAAATAGGCCGTTAACATCAATAGTAAGTACAATTTATCTACAGCTACAGCTGCAGCTCAACTCAACTCTTGCAAGTAACTAATTGATCTATATCTCACCCTAATTGCCAGACAGGAGAAAGAAAATATATATATATATATATATATATATATATATATATATATACACACACACACACACGCACAGCAACTGGAATTTAATAAAAAATTATTATACAGTCAATGAAGCAGAAATATGTGACCAACAATCAAAAGAAAACAGTTTGTAGAAGTGAACCTACATATAAACCAGACCTATTTATTGGAATTAGAAGATGAAGACTTTAAAATAACAATTAAAAATGTGGTAAAGCATTTACAGGTAAAGACAGATTGAATGAATGAAAAAAATGGACCAGTTTAAAGAGATAAATGGGAGTTGTAGAAAAACAACCAGCTAGAATGCCTGTAACTAAGATATGCAATACTTGAAATTAGAAAATTCATTGAATGGTGTCAATAGCAAATTGAACAGTCAAAAAGAAAAAAATAATGACCTAGAAAACAGGGCAATAAAAATCACCTGAACTACAATGGAAACTAAAGAAAAATTCTGGAGAAAAATTAGTGCCCTTGGAATTAATATCGAATGGTTGTAATTGATGTCTCTGAAGGAAAGGAGAAATTGGAAGATAAAAATACATTTTAAAAATAGTCGCTTGAAAAAATTTTTGAATTTGATTTTTTAAAAAATGCACATATGCAAGTTCAATAAACCGAAGCAGAAAAAATACAAAGTACACATATTCAATTACTTTCCCAAAACCAAAACTAAGGTGAGCATCTTAAAAGAGCCCACAGACAAAGGAAAAATAAAGTCAACAAAACAGGAAAACATATAATGTATAGGGAGACAGAGATATAAATACAGTAGCCTACCCTTATTAACAGTTTTGCTTTTCAAGGTTTCAGTTATCTGCAGTCAACTGTGGTCTGAAAATAGATTCATTTTGAAATAAAGCTAATTAAAACAAAAAGTCAACTTGCAATTTTTTATTTACTGAAAATATTCTTCAAAAAATGAAGGCGAACTAATGTAACTGCCCAACTGGTTCACGTTGCCGGCTGCCTAGACAGAGCCAATTTATCAAGACACGGGAATTGCAATGGAGAAAGAGTAATTCAAACAGAGCCAGCTCTGCGGGATACTGGAGTTTTATTATTACTCAAATCAGTCTCCCTGAGCATTTGAGGATCGGAGTTTTTAAAGATAATTTGGCAGGTAGGGGCTCAGGAAGTGGGGAGTGCTGACTGGTCAGGTTGAAGGTGGAATCACAGAGGGGGTCGAAGTGAGGTTTTCTTGCTGTCTTCTGTTCCTGGGTGGGATCGCAGAACTGATTGAGTCAGATTACTGGCTTGGGTGGTGTCAGCTGTTCGATGGAATGAGGGTCTGCAAAATATCTCAAGCACTGATCTTAGGTTTTACAATAGTGATGCTGAAATGGCCTCACTGTCTGGAGTAACACCCAGGGTTCGTTCTTTCACAGCCATGGAGAACAAGGACATGGACACACAAAGAGTGAGGTTGAGAGCAGAGGTTTAATAGGTGAAAAAGAGGAGTCCCAGAAAAATGGGTCTTCAAATGCAAGGGGTTTTATAGATGAGCTGGTGAGGAGGTGCTGTCTGATTTACACAGGTTAGACCAGGTTAGACCAGGTTAGACCAGGTTAGACTGGTTAGACCAGGTGTGCCATTTGTATAGGGCACTAATCCCTGGTAGCCCCCACCCTTATCTTTTATTACGCAGGTGGATTCTCTGAGCTGTGCCATATTGCCCATTTCTTTATTACAGTACAAGTGGTAACAAAAAAAGGAAAGATGGAGCCCCCAGTTGAACATGTCTGGCCCCCAGCTAGCCCTTTTCTGTTGGCACAGCTGCTGGAATTCCCCTGTGCAAGGTTCCAGCTTGTTTATCTATGTTTGCAGCTCAATTTTTCAGGCTGCTCTTTGTTAGAAAAAAAAAATGATTTCTTGGGCTGCTTTTTGTTAGAAGGGAAGCTCTGCCAAGGACTCTTTTGCCCTCACTTTCTGCCTAAATAATTTCTATCTACCTCTTGTATCAATGTTATCTCCAGGAGCAATTTGGGGGCATTCAGACTTTTGCAGCCAGAGGCAGCATGACCCCTAAACCATAATTTCTAATCTTGTAGCTAATTTGTTAGTCCTACGAAGGCCGACTGGTGCCAAGTCAAGAAGGGAGTCTTTTCAGGGAAGGGCTATTATCAATTTTGTTTCAGAGTCAAACCATAAACTAAATTCCTTTCTTTGGTTAGTTCAGCCTACGCTCAGGAATGAACAAGAACAGCTTACAGGTTAAAGGCAAGATGGCGTCGGTTAGGTCTGATCCCTTTCACTGTCATAATTTCCTCAGTTACAGTTTTTGCAAAGGCACTTTCACTAAGGACTAACTGAGATAATGCAATAGTTAAAGCCAATTGCTAATGGGCATTTACAAACAGTATAAAGACTGTGAGCTCTCAGTGCCTATTGAGTGACTAGCACATAGTGGGTGCTGGGTAATTACTGACTCAATGAAAGAATGAAATCATATTATTACATTGAAGTGTTCAAGTTTCTTTGCTCTTTATTTTCAAAAGCTAAAATAAAGACATTTTAACATAAATAAAATTGAAGGAATTAGTTCCCAGTAAACCTACACTAAACATAATTTCTTAAATTCTTAAAAAATAATTTTATGGTTTAAAGCAAGTACAATAACAACGTATTATGGAGTTTATCACATTTAATAATAGCACAAAGAACAGTGGGGGTAAATATGTGTATGTTTTTGTAAAGTTCTCTGTAAGTGAGGTACTATAGTATTATTCCAAAGGTGACAATACTAATCTAAGAATGTATATTCTTAAATATGCAGTAGAGCAACCACATAAAAACAAAATAAAAGTCAAAACAAGAAGAAATAGACAAAATGGCAATAGAGGAAACTAAATGGAACTCTATGGAGAAAAAAAAGTTAATCCGAGAAAAGCAGGAAAGGAGGAAAAAGAGAACAAAGAATAGAATGGGAAAAAAATAAAAGAATACCAAGATACTGGCTGATGTTCAACCAAACAAATAATTACATTATAATTAATAATGTAATGGAATATAATACAAATGGACTGAAAACTCTAGCTACATTTTGTTCTTATCACATTCATCCTCCCTATTTCAACTCTGCTATTACACCAGTTGAGTTTCTTATTATCTCTTATTTTGATGATTGAGAAGACTTCCTAAAATGGTCTTCCTGCCTCCACTCCCTCACATGTCACACCGGATAAATCTTTCTAAAACCCAAACCTTGACATGAAACTCAGCTTGTGCAATCCTTATTGCTTTACTAGTTTCTCTCCCACCTAAATGTGAGGTTTCAGGCCTCCTCTCAATAAAAGAAGGACTGGGGCTGAATATCGGAAGCTTAGAAAATGTTCCTATTTTCCTCCCTGGAAACAGTTTATACTATTTTAGAGAATTTTGTATATCTTCTGCCTTGGACTAGACCTCTACTGTTTGTTGTATTTCTTTGGGCATCTATACTTGGTTTGCAAAGTTTCTTTGTTTCTTGCCTACTTTGCTCTAAATAACAAAGTCAGTTTCTTTTTCATTCTACAGTTTAAAGACCAAGGGTCAGCCAAGCCTCAGTCTCAGCTCAGCCCAACCCAACATAGCTTCAACCAGCCCAGTTAAGAATTCCAGCCCTAGCCAGAGTGTCATCTTGGCCAAGAGAAGCATTCAAATACCTTTCAGTGCCAAAACTCGAGATCCATGTTTCTTCACATCGAGCCTCATAGCTCCTTTTAGGCCACAAGTTCTAGTCACATCAAATTTCAGAAGTTTCTGAACATTTCTTTCTCTTTAATTTGTTTGCATCTTTAGACCTACCTTTCTTATTTAAGAAATATTCTAACCATTTTCTCTGCTTTGGGAATTTATCCTCTAAGACCTGGCTCGCTGAAGCACTCTTCTTCAGTGCTCCCATGCTACTTTGAACAAGCACAGATCACATTAGTTGTAAATATTACCTGTCTGACTCAACCATTGGACTGTAAGGAACAGGGTTTTATTGAGCATTGTATATCCTCTTTGTACTTAGTACTAATGTTAACATTTAAAATCTTTTCACTAGGTGATAGTTGACTAAAGATACAGTTTTTTACAAAGCAGGATAAGAAACATCAAAAAATGAAGCATTATATTCATTTACCTTTAGAAACAACTGTAGGATTGCAATAAAGCTGCACTGGATTCCACTCATTTAATTCAATTAGAGTTTACTGAACACTTACATAGAGCTAGAACTCCAACATATGTGGAAGAAACTGAGTGACAATACTGCATAGGCATTAAGAGAGTCAAATTTGGAAGTCCTTCATGCAAGGTGTGTAATGTCTGAATTTAAATGTTAAGGTCATTTGTTCAGGAGCAAAATAGATGATAATTTTTGTTCATCAAAACTTTTGCCAGAAATAAGACAAATTGTAATGCAAACAAGATTGCAGTTGCAGGAGATGCTTAAAACACTTGAATGACCAAATTGTAGCATTTTCCAATCATTAATTTATATACAGAAAACAAATGCCCTGATTACAAATCATACTGTGTTATAAGAAAAGTTTATTAACTTGAGTAAATACATGTATCAAAACAATAGAATATCAGAAAGCCCAGAATGAAGCCTTCTGCAATTTGAATAATTTTATTCTTTAAAAAAATAATAAATTAGGTTTCAGTAATGTCCTGAACTATGAATATTTTTCAAAGGAAAGGCCATAAGGCCTCTTATTTAGGAAAATTTACCCATTAAATTGGATTATATCTTTCAGTAACTACTGATGTCCTTCCAAGGGTAACAATGGGAAGAAACATGGTCTGCAGCAGAATTGGATTTAATGAAAAAACTATGTCCATTGAATTTCAATTTAGGCAGACTGGTATGATGGGTTAGGTCATCATTAGTTGTCTAATACAATATTAGCCTGTTGAAGCTCTGAGCAATAAACTTGTTGTTTTTTTTAATTTTGCAGGAAAAGTTTACTGTGGAGATTAATTATGAAATCTTGGGAATAAACAGCCAGCTCTTACTGCAAAATCCTACACAATTTGCAATCATCCTACAATTGCTGTTATCCCTAGTGATGCTTTTGCTTTCCAGTCTACCCTCTGTGTGTGGTAGAGAATTCACAGAGTGAATCTTTCTGTCTGACTGATCCGTGTGTTTGTACTCAGGAGGGACGAGTCTGATTTTTATTCCACTTGAAGTATTCAGTCCTATGTGTCATTCGTACTTGAAAGCTGCTGAATTGGAGAAATGAATGCACTCATGATTAGATATTCTTTTTAAATTATTAGAGAAGACATGCTTTATAATGCATGCTTTATTTCTGGTATCCTTGTGGTAACTCTCAGCGGCTCTTATTATGACATAAAATTCACAGAGTCACACTCTGGGCTTACAGAAATTTGAGGGAAAAAGAAAAAAAAGCATTTCTCCTAAATCACAAAGCAAATTATATTTATTCTTATTTGTGGAAGAAACATAAAAAGGAAAGAGACCAGAGTTTAAGATCCAGATTCTTTTCTTTTTTTTCGTAATACTGCTTATCCACCAATACGTGCCAGTCAGTCTCATTTTTAGAATCCTATTCTATATATACATACTGAAGTCCTACTACCAGACCTCTGTGCTAGTTCCCATGACCCAGGGGAATATAAAAAATATGAAAGTAAAACAAACAATCTCTCCTGTGAAGGAATTTACAAATTGTGGCAGAAAGACACATATGCAATATAAATTAACGTGTAACAAGGACCATGAGACTAGTCTGAAGTGCTTGGGGATTATGGAGAAGAAAATGTAACCGATACAGACCCAAAGATGGCTTTAGGCAGGCTGTGGTTTGATTTTACAAGCATAGAAAGATTTAGCAACAGCAAGAAAGAGGTACATTTGCAATCTGGGCTGATGGGAAACCACGAGTAAAGCACCAACCTGTGAAAGAGGAAAAACACAGTCAACATACCAAGTGTGCAGGGTGTGGTGTAGGAGTGAGAAAGGTAAGCTTAAATTATTTTGGGAAGAACTTTCAGTATCATACTGAGGAACTGGACTTTAGTCTTTGGAAAATTGGAATTCCTTAGGGGTCACATTTGAAGTTTAGAAAGATCCCTCAAGAGCAGAGGTGAAGCACAGAAGAGGAACTAGAATGAGGAAAGGAAAATGAACAAAGGTGAAAGAAGAGTTAAAGAGTTGTTATGTTAATCCAGGCAAAAATAAAGAGTGTTTGAACCAAAGTATTGGCTGTAAGGAGAGAGGACACAGTGAATATGAGAAAATTTTCAAACCAAAATTACGAGTTCTCAGTTAGAGAAGGGCCTGGCTTAATGATCAGGTAGATTCAAGGTTGTGTTTTTCTGATCCCAGATCTGCAAGTTTTAGAAAGTTTTCTATTTTAGAAGCTCATCTACAGAACTCTGCCAAAATTCTGCATTAGGACATACTCATAGGAGGATGTTAATCCTGTAGGAACATTCCCTGTAAAAATGAAAACGACTTCTTTTTGAGTTCCAAAAATAAGGACTGTGATTAATTTGAGTACCTTTAAAGCTTTAAAGTGGATATAATGACATATACTTTGAATATATCAGGTAATAATCCACAGGATTTTTAACAGTGAACACTGATTTTCATCTTTTGAGAATGTAAAATGCAAGGCTGTGTATAATCTACATAGCGAATTATATGCCAACTCCATTAGAATCTTTGTATATTAGTTCACATGGGATAATTTTGCAATTTGAAGGCAATATTACATAACTTTTAATAATTGAATAATAAAATATTTTCAACCTAAATATTATGATATCTGCAATCATTATGTTTCAAAATTATATAACTTATCCATAGTTGTAATAATAATTCTTTCTTTTATAGCATGGAATATTTATTTCAGTAGGACATTATGGTATAAGGGAAAGATAAAACTTTATTTCTTCAAAATAGAGAGCTATCTCAATATCACTCATTGAATATTATATCCCTACTGCTTTTAAATGCCAGCTTTATTACAAAGTAAATTATTTTATATGTTTTAGTATGAATAACATTGGGTTTTAAATCAGATTGAGGAAGGGCCATCTAATTATTTTAGATAAACATGCCTTTGGTTTACCACAGACAGGTAATTTACCACAGTGGTATTTGGGCCTGGCAGTTCAAAAATTTTCCATCAACATGCACATTAGTCTGAAAATCTACAGATTTGTCCAGACATGAGTATGTATGCTTTGTGTATATAACATTTTGTTACAAGCAAGAATCATCTAAATTTGAAACTTATGACTTTCAGATCTTATCACACTTATTATAGCAGTATTTTTTCAGCAATTAATTGGGATGGTCTGAAAAAAAATGTAGAGACATATTCAAGCTTGTTTTTTATTAACTCCATAAAATGCAGGATAAAAATAATCTAAAGATGTCATTACTAATATATTACTTAAACTTTCTTGGTATAGGAACCTGAAAAAAAATTGTATATGCTTAGCCTACCAAAATGATGACTTTTATTCTTTTCAGCAAAAATCATATTGATTTTCCTCAACTTCCTCTTCACCCTGAATTTCAAGAGGAAATTAAGAGTCACTAAATCTGAACTGGACCTAAAATAATTTTAGGCTCAGTTCAGTTTTTAGTGACCCTGACTTTCTTCATGTTAAAGACTCTAAAAAGTAAAAATTGACCAATTCAGGTATATTTCATAGGAAGTTAAAAAAAATAAAAGAACCAACCAACAAACAAAAAACCCCACAGAAATGAGAAATCAAAGTATGGACCTAAAAAAATGCTTCACTTTTTTCCTGATCTAAGCTATATCAATAATTAATTATATTGCTATTTTTCTTTTATATGGGTAATCTGGCATTGGCTATGTGCATACCACTAGAATCTCAATGCATGTGAATATTCCATTAAAATGCTCTATATTGGTTCTCACAAGATCTCAAGGAAATTTTTCATATAAAACATTGTAACAACAAGAATATTTATTACTAGGATTACTAGAGAATGACATGTAAAGTCCATAAATCACACATTTTTCTAATAATCTGAGATCTGATGTTTTGTTTTAAATTCTTAAGAAGTTTAAATTATCCTAGAGAAAAGGTGGGTCATTCTACAAAATTATTTCTCAAGTAGTTTTAATTAGAAAGTTTTCCAAAAAGAAAAATAGAGTCGATAGAACATTGCTTTTGTAGTCCAAAATCAAAAGTTTGAAGAGAAAAGAAGAGGACTTGGGGATTTTTAACAGGCCAATAATTTTTAAGTATTTGGCTAAGGTGGAGGTAAAGAAAAGTCACAGAAATCAATATTTTGGTGTGAATTAGAATATATTAAAAAAACAAAGTTAAAGACATCAACAACTAAAAAACAAATGATTCTTAGTCTAGCCACGACAAACCCTGTTTATCACAGACATTTAATTATCTCTAAAAGTATATAATAATGGTGTGAGAAAGAGAGACCAGATTACCAGGAGGTTTTGTTGTGTGTAAGTGTAATTTGAAGAAAAAGGAGCTCTAAAAATAACTTTGAAATGCTTTTTGTGTGTTAGACATTTTTTAGTTACTTTTCTTCAGATGAATATAACAGTGCCAAGAAAAAACCATTAGAATAATGTTGATTTATTGAACTAATACTTTGACCTTTTCTGTGAGCCAAACCACTTGTTAGGCACTTGACATGGTAAGGTGTATAAAAACACAGTTACTCTGAGCAAAAGGAAAGATTTTATGACATCACATAAAAAAGCAGAGGTTTCAGAAAGGGCAGGAATGGATCTAATATCAGGGACATCCAAGTTCAGGGTATTCAACCCTTTAGGGTTTCCCATCTCTTCTCCCTGCTTCTCGCTAGCTGTTTGCTTCATTCTTTAACGGCAGAAACGCCACAAAGCCTGAAACTATAAGGTTTCAAGTAGTCCTAGGCTTGGCTCTGAATCTCTTCTTGTGAAACATTCCCCATAATCTCACAACCAATGAAAACAAAATTTTGCCCAATTTGCACCACTTTTAAAAAGTAGAAATGTCTCTTATTGGCCAGACTGGATCACGTGCCATCTCAGACTGTGGTCCAGGCATCAGGATACAATGATTGGTTCACCAGTCTTGCCATCAAGAGAACACGAAGACAGCACAAGAGTGTCATAAAGAAAAGAGTGTGTCTTCAAAATCCCTTTTTATATAAAGTAATTAAAAATGAAATCCATCATGTGACAGTTCCACCTCCGTAAAAGGGGAAATTAATATACAAGGTAGGCACACCAGGAAATGAAATCTTGGGAATCATTTCAGAATTCTACCTATCACACCTTTATTAAACATTCCTGCAAAGAAACTGTGGTTGACAAAATAATAGTTCCCTAAAAGATATTTGCATCCTTATTCCTGAAACCTCTGAGTGTTAATATTATACTCCAAAAAATGCCTCTGCAACTATGATTATCAAGATGAGACCTAAATGCAGTCACCAGTATCTTTATAAAAGAGAGAGAGAGAGAGATTCAATACAGACATAGAAGAAGGCAACATAACTATAACCGACAGAGATTGGAGTGATGTAGTCAAAAGCCAAGGAATGCTGGCAGCCAGCAGAAGCTAGAAGAGGCAAAGAAAGGATTCCTTAGACCCTCTAGAGAAAGTGCAGTCCTCAAACACCTTGATTTCAGCCCAGTGAAACTGATTTGACTTATGGCCCTCAGAATTGGGAGCGAACAAATTTCCATTCCTTTAAACCACCAAGTTAGTGGTAATTTGTTACAACAGCCACAGGAAACTAGTACAGAAACCATGAGTTGAAGGTAAGATGAATAATGTTAAGAACAGGCAAACTCCATGAGACAAGGAGGGCTGTCACTTTTACTACTAGAACCAGCTCTTTGTCAGCAACTTATCAATAAAAATGATGATACAGAAAGGTCTGGTAAAGCCAACTATAGATAACTAAATGAATTAAATATCAAGAGGATGATTTAATATCTCAATTGTTTGAACGACTCTTAAGTGTATATTGTGCCTTGAATGTTAAAATAAAGCCATGTAAGAAAACCTTTAAACTAGTGTTTATTTCATCTTGATCACAACTTCATTTAAGATTTAATAACACAAACTTGTGGTCCATAGACATAACTAAATAATTAAATATACATATTCCTGGGGTACATGCTTTATTCATTTATTTATGTTTTTATTAGGATTGGGTGACCAAATGACTTTGAAAGCCATTGCCATAAACAATGGGAAGCTATTGGAAGCTGGGTGCACTCATCATGATAAAATTTATATTTTAGACATAATAACTTTGGTATGGTGTGGAAAGTAGGTTGAAGAGAAGAAACTGAAAGCAAAGAGATCAGTTAAGGGGTTGTGAAAGTAAATTGCTCACAGCAGGTCACTCTGAATTTTGGATGAAGGTGGCATAGTCTTACAGTTAATAATATAATAATTAGCAACTTACAGGATTGCTGACTGGGTGGCAGTCTCTGTGACTTTGTATTAATGCTCATGATAACTCTTTGGAGTAGGTACTATGTTTATCCCATTTTACAAAATCACTTACTCAGCAAATATTAATGAACACTTACTATTGGTTGCGTATTTTATTAAGAGCTGAGGAGGAAATTAAATTGTACTTAAGGGCCATAAAGCTTCTAGATACTGAGCTGGGATAACATTCAAGTCTGTTTGACACCTATTTCTGAAGGGTGGAAAAATGAGGAAAGGGAAATATGAAATAATTTAGCACTATCCTAATTGTTTAAAACCAGTGATCTACTCACTGCTTATACAGTTGATGTAAGAAAAGAGGTTTTTTTTATCCTTTTTTTTTTTCTGAGAAAACAACAGAGCCCCGATAAATTCTACGAGATTCTCTTTGGAGGCCCCAAACTATTCTGAAAGCAACTGCAATGTTTCAAGGACCTTTTGATGTTCTAGAATAGTAGCTTTTGCTTATACTAATGAGACACGGAGAAAAAGAAAATTGTCACATTCAAATACAGCAGTTTTCTGTGCGACTTTTCGCAACCATAGCTACTTTGATTTCTAATTACATGATTAGTAGCTAACCTGATTAGCTCTGCCTGAGATACAAAATTCAAATAGCACTTTGCTACAGAAAGTGGAATTTACTGTTAGAATAAACATTTCAAAATAGTGTCATAAATATTCCTAAAGCTAGAAATGACCTGGAATGTTAATCTTGTTTATCCTTCTGCTTTAGGACAGATCTAAATAAAGACAATTCCAATCACATATTCTGTTTCTGAGCTATTCCAATATAATTAAATACAACAAATATTTACTGAGAATTTATATGTACCAGGCACAATATCTAGAAAAAGAAAAACTAAATTCACTTGGCAAACTTTTCTTACTCTTTAAAATTGTTAATTATGTTTGAAGTTGTAAAGAAGCTATCCTGATCCCCCTTCCTTTTTTATTGTTTTACTAATTTATTTGTCTTTTTTTAAAAAAAAAAAAACTTTTTCAATTGCCTTCTAGTTTCAGACAAATAATATTTAGAAAAGCATGATTCCAAAATTATAATCACTGTCAAATTAAGACCATTAATTACCTGTGTGTTCTCAACCTAAGCAAAATGCAGAATATATGCAATTACTGGGATAATTCAAGCCAGGAAAAACATTTTGCTGTACTTGCTAGAGCTCTCCCTGATATTCTGATTTATATCTGGGAGAAAATGGTCCAGTTTAACTTGAATACTCTTGAATGTTTCCACAATTAAAAGAGAATATAATTCCCAGTGGCCCTATAGTCAATATTACCTTTCCTTTTAGAATGCTAATAGATAAAATAACGTTAAGTTTTTGTGATTTTTTGACTGCAATATTTGCATTAATTATTTACCTAGTTTGTTTCTTGGTTATTTTGTTTTCCATCTGTTTACCTCTATTTCTCCCCAGCAACAGATAATCTTCAGCCCAATATCTGCTAATATGTTTCATGATTTTGACTTAAAAAAATAAAAACCTTAAAAAGTAATAATAACAACAACAATAATAAAATGTTCTATTAATTCAATGTTTACTAAATGGCAGTCACTGTACAATTTTGTTTTAAATTCACTGGTTTGTTTAAATATTACTACAATCCTATGGACTAGGTTACATTTTACACATGAGAAAACTGAGACTCAGAGAGGCTATTGTGTTAATCTGGGTTCTCAAGAAGCAGCTCTCAAGATGGGATTAAATGTGTAAATTTAAGTAAAGGAAGCACTTATGCTGAAGAAAATAGAAATAGAGCTGGAGAAGGCTGGGAAAAAAAAACAGTCTGTTTCAGTTCCTTTTGCATTGCTGTAAAGGAACACCGGAGACTAAGTAATTCATAAAGAAAAGAGGTTTTTTGGCTCATGGTTCTGCAGCCTGTCCAGAAAGCATGGTGACAGCCTGTGCTTCTGGTGAGGGACTCAGGAAGCTTCCAATCAAGGTGGATGGTGAAAATGAACAGACTTATCTATATGGCAAGAGAGGGACCAAGGGGGTGGGGGGGAGTGCACAGTCTTTTACACAACCGGATTTCCCACGAACTCAATTACCACTCATTAATCAAGGAGAGCACCAAGCCATTCATGAGTGATTTACCCACAAGACCCAACACCTCCCACTATGCCTCAACTCAAACATAGGGGTCATATTTCAACATGAAATTTGGCGGAGACACACCTCCAAACCATATCACAGACCACAATGCAAGTCTGGCCCAGAATGAAGAAGACTGCGAGGAAAGATTGTCTATAGACTAAAGAAGTTTGAGCAAAATCATAGTGAACCCTTGAGCCAAACTCAATGATAAAAGATTTGCCTAACTCCCAGGAACAGGTCAGCCTAGTATTTCCTCTATACTCAGTCATTGGTCAGATAAGCCTAAGGAAGTTATGGCCTGAACCCAAACACAGTAATAGGTTTCAATGCCAGTAGCCTGAGCCCAGTCAATTAAGCTGCCTGTAGGTCTGGAAGGTGCATTCTCATGGCTGCCACAGCTAGTTAAATGGTGGAGCTGAAATTCATCCTTGTACATTCCTGACTCCAGAGGCCTTTCCCTTTACCTGTGATATTTTTCATGACCTTTGCATGTTCTCTTGATTTTGGTATCGAATACTTTTTTCAACATTATAAAATCAAAATTAGCAATTCTTAGTTGCTTTTCAAAATACACATTGACTCTTTTTAACATTGTCATTTTTAATATCTTTAATATGATAAGTAACAATACAATCCAACATCTATAATAAAGTATATATATATATATATATATAACATTATGAACTATGATTCTTAAACTTCAAGTACTGCTTTTATGTAGAAAAGCTTTATCATTTCACACCAGACTTTGGGCTAATTTGAAGAGCTTTACGCAGGGAATAAAATGAATCATGTCTCAAAAACCTGTTCCTTTTTCATACAAATTTGAAAATATTTCTACTGGATTCTACTGGATTCTTAGAATCTTCATAAGACATTAAGATGTACTTAGATGTGGGAGGGAGATGGTTAAATGCTTGTCTCCATGCCCTGCCCTGTGCCTGGTCCGCTCATCTATTCCTCATTTTCCCATAGCTTGTTTGGTCAGGTCATCCCCTCAAAAGATTAGTACATCAGTCATTTCTCTGTACCAAACCACCCGAAATTCAATGGTTTTAAGACCAATCCTTCATTATTGTAGCTACCATGCTTGTGAGTTGAATGGGTTAATCAAGGCTGACCCAGTCTGAACTCACTTATATACCTGCAGTTTGACTGGGGCTCTACCCTAGGATAGGCTTGCCTGGGGCAGCACAGCTGAGAAATCTTTCATTTTCCTTCTTTACCTTGGGTCTAGCTCAGGCATGTTCTTCTCATGGTAATGGCAGGAGTGCAAGTGTATAAAAGGAACATGCAAAGCCTCTTGTGACCTGCATGTAGAACTGGCACACTATCATTTTCACCTCATGTCAATGGATAACACAAGTCACAGGGTCAAACTATGCAAGTCAACGGTTGGGAAACAATACTATAGTCCTTTTATAGACAAAAACAGTGAAGTCACACAGAAAATGATGTGGACTCAGGAAAAGTAAAGACATGACCATTGATGAAACATACCATGAATGGGGATCTGTATTAGTCTGTTCTTGCACTGCTATAAATACCTACCTGAGCCTGGGTAATTTATAAAGAAAAGAAGTTTGACTGACAGTTCCTCAGGCTGCACAGGAAGCATGGCTGGGGGGCCTCAGGAAACTTACAATCATGGCAGAAGGGCCAAGGGGAAGCAAGCATGTCTTCATGTGGTGGCAGGAGAGAAGGAGTGAAGGGGGAAGCTCTACACACGTTTAAACAACCAGCTCTTATGAGAACTCACTCACTATCATGAGAACAACAAGGGGAAATTCATCCCCATGATCCAATCGCCTCCCACCAGGTCCCTCCCCCAACACTGGGGATTACAATTGAACAACTGGATTTGGGTGGGGACACAAAAACCATACCAGGGTCTTACCATACTATTTCCTTTCATCTATCTGATATCGATTCATCAACCTTAATGCCCATCAATGACAGACTGGATAAAGAAAATGTGGTACATATACACGCTGGTATATTACGCAGCCATGAAAAAGAATGAGATTATGTCCTTTGCAGAGACATGGATGGAGCTAAAGACCATTATCTTTAGCAAACTAACACAGAAACAGAAAACCAGACATCACATGTTCTCACTTATAAGTGGGAGCTAAATGATGAGAACACATGGCCACATAGTGGGAAACAACACACACTGGGGTCTTTTGGAGGGTGGAGGGAGGTAAGAGAAAGAGGATCAGGAAAAATAACTAATGGGTACTAGGCTTAGTACCTGGGTGATGAAATAATCTGTACAACAAACCCCCATGACACAAGTTTACCTGTGTAACAGACCTGCACATGTACCCCTGACCTTAAAACTTAAAAAATGAATTCTTTAAATATTTATTGACACAATTTCATAAAAGAAGGTTTGCTTGGCAATGGGGGCATAGTTTTTATTTTAATGGGATAAACAGACATGAAAGCATATTGTTTTCTTTCTTCTGGTCTGACCACATTTATCCATGAGACTTAAGTGACTGCAGGCCTGTGTTGTAGGCTTTTGCTTTCCTTCACTCTGCACAGTCTCTCTAAGCAATATCTTCTATTCCCATGGCTTTAAATGAAACAAAAATCAGTGTGGGTGTGTATATCTTTGTAAGAAACATAATCTTCCAAAGACACACACCACACACACACACACACACACACACACACATTGCAGTCTTGCTGTCTTCCTTGACATTGTGGTCTCATCTTTTTTTTTTTTTTTTGATTTATTCTTTTTTTTTTTTTTTTTTGAGACGGAGTCTTGCTCTGTCGCCAGGCTGGAGTGTAGTGGCACCATCTCAGCTCACTGCAAGCTCCGCCTCCCAGATTCAAGCAATTCTCCTGCCTCAGCCGCCCGAGTAGCTGGGATTACAGGCAAGTGCCACCGTGCCAGCTAATTTTTTTTTTTTTTTTTTTGTATTTTCAGTAGAGACGGGGTTTCACCTTGTTAACCAGGATGGTCACAATCTCCTGACCTCGTGATCCACCTGCCTTGGCCTCTCAAAATGCTGGGATTACAGATGTGAGCCACCGCGCCCAGCCCATGGTCTCATCTTCTACCGATTCCTCGCCCTGTACCACCACTAGGTTCCCTATGCTCCAGCCACAGACCTTTTTTTCTGTTCCTTACAAACTACAAGATCATCACTGCTTCTGGGCTTTTGTGCACTTAGATCCCTGAAATCACCTCATATCATGCAGGTCTCAGCTCACTTGTCGCCACTTCAGAGAAACCTACTTTCATCCTCCAAACTGAAGAAGGTAATCTGTACCAATCATTGACTTTCATATCACCTCTTTTTATTGTCTACACAGCAGACATGCCTAGTTGAAATTGTCTTATTTATCTTTGTTGTTTATTATCTGTCTCCCCCATCAAGAATGACATTTCCATGAGGGCAGGAACTTGCCTATCTTATTCACAACTGTGTCCTTGATACCTAAGATAATAATTGACATGTGGCAGACACTCATAAGTATTTAGTAATGATGAATGAATGCTACAATTTTCTGATGGTCTAACACAGACCTTTCTTTTGAGTGCCAGATCGTTATATCCATTTATAACTATATGTTCCTTGGGCACTTCAAACTCAGCACTGGCATCTCTGAATTTTTCTCCTTTCTCTCTAAAACTATCCTTTTGTCCAGTGTTTTCTAGCACTATAAATAGGAGGTCTACCCAGAAAAACTGGTAGTTTTTCTTGACTCCTCCCTACTTTCTCATCACATCAAAATTATTAACAAATGTTATTGAGTCTACTCTAAAAATATTTATCAGAATCATCTATACGTTGCCATCCCCATTGCCACCATCATCATGGCTCTGCAATCGTTTCCTAGCTGGTCTCTCTGTCAATCGTCTCTGCCACATATTAGCTTTGTGACCTTGGACATATTTTTAAACTTCATAGTGCCTCAGTTTCCTCACTCACCTCTCCAGTTAGGCAAACATCTTACAGTTACAGCATGAGGATAAAGAGTATCCTCCAAAATAATAATAGTGTTCTCCAAAGTGTCCCCCCGCCCAAACCTCGGCGTGTGAACTTATTTGGAAATAGGAGCTTTTCGGAAGTAATAAGGTAATACTGGATTAGGGTGAGCCATACAATAACTGATGTCCTTATAAGGAGAGAACAATTTGGACACAGAAACATGGGCAGAGGGAAGGCAATGGGAGACACAGGGGAGAATGTCATGTGGAAAGGCAGAGGCTGGGGTGATGGATCTGCAAGCCAAGCAACACCAGGGATTGTGAGTAACCACTACAAGCTAGGAGAAGGCAGGGAAGGATACTTCCCAAGATCCCCTTCAGACAAAGCCTATGACCTTACTGGTATCCTGATCTCAGACGTCTGGGCTCCAGAAAAATGAGAGAATGAATTTCTTTTAAGCCACCTAGTTTGTGGTAATTTGTTGCCACATCCCTAAGAAACTAGTATAGTTGTTGTAAAGAATACTAGGACAACTTACATAAAGAATGTACAGTTTTGGCTATAGTAAGCATAAAATAAAATTTAGTTATTATTTTAATTTCAGCATCATTATGAATCTAGATCAAAACTGTTAAAACGCAAATATGACTGGGTCACTATCCTGCTTAAAATTGCCGGAGGATTTTTATTGTTCATAGAATAGAGACCAAAACTTTAAAACAGTTCAAAATTCCCTGTAGCAAAATCTGGTCACACACCCACATCTCTACATGGTACTTCTTTTTCCTTCAGTTTTTTTTTCCTTCCCTAAGCAAACAGAACTTCTTTTGAATTTTTATTCTCTCTCACCTCCAGGCATTCTAACATGTGGTTCCCTCTGCTAAAACACTTTCTTTTCTGTTTCTTTCCTTCGGTCTCGGTGTAAATTCCTTCTTTAAGGGAGTTCCTTCCTGGTTAAGGAAGATCCCTCTGTCTTACGTGCCATAGGACGCTTCAGTTCTATCCTTGGCTACTTCCATCACACTTCTGAATGTTCATGTGTATTGTCACTTACACTGTAAGACCTAAAAGGACTGGTTACAAGAGTCTTGTTATTTGGGTTTAGTCCAGTCCCTGGCATATGCTCAGCACTACCTCAATAAATATTATATATATTACATAAATAAATGAATAAGATTATTTCAATACAATGTAATCAATACAGTAATAAACATACAGTTGTTAGTTTAAAGGAGGGGACAGATGGATAGACTGGCAGATTACCTGGGACAAACTGAAAGTCAGAATTTTATGAGAAGGAAGGAAAGCTGCCAAAGTGTGTTTATTTTAGCCTCTTCCTGTATTTCACGAATGAATAACTGGAAGCCCAGTGAGGTAAAGCATTTAAACAAAGCTGAACACCTATCAGTGGCAAAACTAGAACCAGAATTCCTTTTCCTCATCAAAGAGTCTTTCTAGAGAGCATTATGCTGCTTATGATAAAGAGAGACGGAGCTAGGCCTGTAAAAAATAAATATGAGATTAACACAACTGAAAGAAGAGGCTCTGGAAAAACACGAGGCTTGTTTACAGAGGAAAAATAATAGTGATGAGATGAGAGCATTTTCAAATAATTCCAGGATTGCCAAATAGGGTGATTCAAACCTGATAGGAAGTAACTCAAATTCCATAAGTGCAGTGAGAGAATGTGTAACTAAGGGAGGAGAAGTCAAATTCCTGAGGTGCAGTGGGTGTGTGATATGAAGAGGAGAAGAGAAAGTCCCTAAACTGAGAAATATCACAAAATGAACAAAGAGGTTGTGAAAGACCTTTTATCTGGTAGTATCCATCCGAGCCAAAATCCTGCCTGCCTGCCCCTAGAAGCTCTTGCCAGCTATCTCCCTGGTTACTATCAAAGCTGGTAAGACAACAAGAACCAGGAACTTAAACTGTAGCTTAATACAGAGTTCACTAGCAGCACTGTGTGTGTGTTAGGTGGAGAGGGGTGTCTTTAGTCAAATTACTTTACCCTTTAAATCTACAAATTTCAGTGTTAACATTGGTATTAGCTTAACTCTTCCTCTGTCTCTGAATTTTGTCTATTTTCCCCATACTCTTCTAAGTAAAAGTCTGATCTTATTCATTTATTTACACTTCTGGGTAAATAGAATTATTTCCTCTGAATCGATCTGTGTGAAAATACAGCTACCTGACCCTTCTCTGCCAATATTCAATGTGTCCCTAAATCCCAACCAAATTCCTAGCATGAGCAAGAAGACCCCCTTTTACAGCTTGGCCTAATTTTTGCAACTCTTTCTCCAGACATTTATCCTCCTTTATTCTATAACCTAATCACATGATTATCTGGAATCCTTAGTTTTTTTTTTTATTTCCACAGCTTTCCTTATGCTACTTTTTTATGGAAGACAAGGAAAATTTAGTGATTTAATTCTTAATGTTTTGCCAAAATAAAAGTGTCGACTAAAAGTATACATACATATATAATTTTAACATTTAATATATTTTCACATTTATACAAATGCATTTACAGAATACATAGTATGTAATACAGTATGTACTATGTATAATTATGAATTATATATAATATACATTATTCACTACTCTATAATACTTATATGAAAATTAAGAACAGTTTATATACACATTAAATCTATCAAATATTAATGACTGTTTAAATAATATTTAATAGCAATTTATCTGTAGTACTTTTAATACCAGTAGTGAATATGATTAAGATAATTAAAGCTTCTTGGAGGTGCATGCATAAAAATCCACATATGGCTTTTCTGGGAATTTTAAGAAGTTATTCAGAGATGTTTAGGTAATATAAGCAATTTCTCTGAAGGTGTTATTTAGTTACAGAAATTTGGAAGCTCTGTGTTTTATAATGATGGCTATTCTTCATACGTGCTTTCAAAGCGTTTTTCAAAATTATTTTTTATATTTTTTATATTTCATTTCATTAAAAAATGTATTGTGCACATTTAAGTTATACAACATGATGTTATGATACATGTATATAGTAAAATGATTGCTGCAGTGAAACAAAATAGCAAATCCATCATCTTACATATTTATTCATTATTCGCCCTATCACATGTGAAGATACAATCTACCCATGTAGCAAAAATCTTGACTACAGTACATTATTATTTACTGTAGTCTCTATTTGTACATTAGATCTTTCAACTTGTTCATCCTACGTTGCTACTTTGTATCCTCTGGCCTGTATCTTCCCATTTTCTCCCCCAGACCTGAACTCTGATAACCACTGTTTTATTTTCTATCTCTTTTTATTGATTTGACTCCCCTGCCATTTTTTTAAGATTCCATATATAAGTGAAGTCATGTGATATTTTTCTTTCTGTGTCTGACTTACTTCACGTAGCATAATGCCCTTCAGATTCATATATGTCGTGGCAAATGGCAGAATCTCTTTGTACTTAAGGCTGAATAATATTTCTTTGTATATATACACTATAGATTTTTTATCCATTCATCCACTGATGTACACCTAGGTTGTTTCTGTATCTTAGGTATTGTATGAACAATGCTGCAATGAATATGAGAGTGCAGATATCTTTACGAGGTGGTGATTTTATCTCCTTTGAGTATATACCCAAAAGAGATATTGCTGGATCATATAGTAGCTATATTTTTAATTTCTTTAGGAACTTCTATACTTTTTTTATGGCTGTACCAATCTACATTCCCAAAAGTGTACAAGGCTTCCCTTTCTTCCACACCCTGATCAACATTTTTTATCTCTTGTCTTTTTGATACCAGCTATCCTAACAGGCGTGAGGTGGTATCTTATAGTTGCTTATGATCTATTTTCCTGATTATTAGTAATGTTGAGCTCTTTTTCATACACTTGTTGGCAACTTTTATGTCATCTTTGGAGAAATACGTATTTCAGTCCTTACCCAGTTATAAGTGGGTTATAAGTTTTCTCACTATTGAGTTGGATGAGATCTTTATAAATCTTTTATATTAACCCTTTCTCTGATACATGATTTGCAAATATTTTTTCCAATCCGTAGGTTGTCTTTTCATTTTGTTGATTGTTTTCTTTGCTATGCAAAAGCTTTTTGATTTGATATAGTCATACTTATTTACTTTTGCTTTTGTAGCTTAAACTTCTGGTGTGATATTCAAGAAATCATTGCCAAGGCCAATGTCAAGGAGTTTTTCCCCTATGTTTTTTTCCAGGAGTTTTATGGCTTCATTTCTTATGTTTAAGTCTTTAATCCATTCTAAATTAATTTTTGTGTGTGCTGGAAGGGTCCAATGTATTTCTTTTGCATGTGAAAATCCAGTTTTCTGAGCACCATTTATTGAAAACACTATCTTTTTCCCATTGCATCATGTTGGTATCTATGGTGAAAATTAGTTAACTGTAAATGTTTGGATTTATTTTGGGACTCTCCCTTCTGTTCCACTGGCTGACATGCCTCTTTTATGCCAGTACCATGCTGTTTTGTTTACTATAGCTTTGTATCCTTTTCAATTTCTTTCATTAATGTCTTATAGTTTTCAGGGGACAGGTCTTTCACCTCTTTGGTTAAATTTATTCCTAAGAATTTCAATTTTTATGCTATTGTAAATCAGATTGTCTTTTTGCTTTCTGTTTCACCTAGGTCATTATTTGCATATATAAATCCCACAGATTTTTGTATGTTGATTTTATATCTTGCAACTTTACCAAATTCTACCACCATGTGAGATGTGCCTTTCACCTTCTGCCATAATTGTGATGCATCCCCAGCCATGTGGAACTGTAAGTCCAATAAACCTCTTTCTTTTGTAAATTGCCCAGTCTCAGGTATGTCCTTATCAGCAGCATGAAAATGAACTAATACAGTAAATTGGTACCAGCAGAGTGGGGTGCTCCTGAAAAGATACCTGAAAATGTGGAAGCGACTTTGGAACTGTGTAACAGGCAGAGTTTGGAACAGTTTGGAGGGCTCAGAAGAAGACAGGAAGATGTGAGAAAGTTTGGAACTTCCTGGAGATTTCTTGAATGGCTTTGCCAAAAATGCTGATAGTGATATGGAAAATAAAGTCCAGGCTCAGGTGGTTTCAGATGGAAATAAGGACCTTTTGGGGAACTGGAGCAAAGGTGACTCTTGTTATGTTTTAGCAAAGAGACTGGCAGCATTTTGTCCCTGCCCTAGAGATTTGTGGATCTTTGAACTTGAGAGAGATGATTTGGGGTATCCGGTGAAAGAAATTTTTAAGCAGCAAAGCATTCAAGAGGTGACTTGAGTGCTGTTAAATGCATTCAGTTTTAAAAGGGAAACAGAGCATCAAAGTTCAGAAAATCTGCAGCCTGACAATGCAATAGAAAAGAAAATCTCATTCTGCGGGGAGAAATCCAAGCCGGCTATAGAAATTTGCATAACTAATGAGAAGCCGAATATTAATCACCAAGTCAATGGAAAAAAATATCTCCAGGGCATGTGAGAGACCTTTGTGGCAGCCCCTCCCATCACAGACCTGGAGGCCTAGGAGGAAAAAAATTGTTTAGTGGGCCAGGCCCAGGGTTCCTCTGCTGTGTGCAGCCTAGGGACTTGGTACCCTGCATCCCAGCTGCTCCAGCCATGGCTGAAAGGGGCCAACATAGAGCTCAGGCCATGACTTCAGAGGGTGCAATTCCCAAACCTTGGCAGCTTCCACCTGGTGTTGAGCCTGCAAGTGCACAGAAGTCAAGACTTGGGATTTGGGAGCCTCTGCCTAGATTTCAGAGGATGTATGGAAACACCTTGATATCCAGGCAGAAGTTTGCTACAGGGGTGGGGTCCTTATAGAGAACCTCTGCTAGGGCAGTGTGGAAGAGAAATGTGGGGTTGGAGCCCCCACATAGAGTCCCTACTGGGGCACCACCTAGTCGAACTGTGAAAAGAGGGCCATCATCCTCTAGACCCCATAATGGTAGATCCACTGACGGCTTGCACTGTGTACCTGGAAAAGCTGCAGACACTCAATGTCATGCCAGCCCATGAAAGCAGCTGGAGGAAAAGCTCTACCCTGCAAAGCCACAAGGGCAGAGCTGCCCAAGACCATGGGAACCCACCTCTTGCATCAGCATGACCTGGTCGTGAGACCTGGAGTCAAAGGAAATCATTTTGGAGCTTTAAGATTTGACTGCCCTGCTGGATTTCCGACTTGCATGGGGCCTGTAACCCCTTTGTTTTGGCCAATTTCTCCCATTTGGAATGGCTATATTTACCCAATTCCTGTACCCCCATTGTATCTAGGAAGTAACTAACTTGATTTTGATTTTACACAGGCTCATAGACAGAAGGGGCTTGCCTTGTCTCAGATGAGATTTTGGACTTTTGAGTTAATGCTGAAATGAGTTAAGATGTTGGGGGACTGTTGGGAAGGCATGATTGGTTTTGAAATGTTAGAACAAGATTAGGAGTCGCTAGGGGCAGAATGATATGGTTTGGTTGTGTCCCCACCCAAATCTCATCTTGATTTGTAACTCCCACGATTCCCACGTGTTGTGGGATGGACCTGGTAGCAGGTAATTGAATCATGGGTGGGAGGTCTTTCCTGTGCTACCCTCTCATGTTAGTGAGTAAGACTCATGAGATTTGATGGTTTTAAAAATGGGAGTTCCCCTGCACAAGCTCTTGTCTGCCACCACGTGAGACATTCCTTTCATCTCTGCCATGACTGTGATTGTGAGGCCTCCCCGCTGCATGGAACTGTAAGTCTAATAAACCTCTTTCTTTTGTAAATTGCCCAGTCTCAGGTATGTTTTCATCAGCAGGATGAAAATGGACTAATACAGTAGGCATCCTTGTCTTATACCAGATCTCAGAGGAAATGCTGTCAGTTTCTTCCCATTGTTTATGTTAGCTGTGGGTTTTCCATAAATAGCCCTTATTACATTGAGGAACTTTCCTTCTATACCTAAAGTGTTAGAAGTTTTTATCAAGAAAGGATGTTAAACTTTGTCAAATACTTTTTCTTTGTCAATAGATATGATCATGTGGCTTTTTGACTTTATGTCTGTTAATATGATATATCACCAACTGATTTGTTTATATTAAACCAACCTTTTATTCCAGGGATAAATCTCACTTGATTATGATGTATAATCTTTCTGATATGCTGTTGAATTTGATTTGCTAATATTTAACTGCTGACTTTTGTGTCAGTGTTCATTGGAAATATTGTCCTATAGTTTTTCTTGATTTCACACCCTTTTGCTTATAATTCTAGTATAATATTTATTTTTTGACTTTTATAACAACTACCAAGATAGTCATTATTCACTATTAAGACTACAAGCTCCGCAGGAGTAGTAGTAATTTTTTTTACATATGTGGTAAAACAATAATTGTTTAATGAGTTTTTAAGGCAGTATATGTGGTTTCAATTCTTGCAGGAGGTTAGGACATATTAATCCTTAAATCAATTTTACTGCTGACCTATCTTACAAGTTTACCTAATGTATGCTATTTCCAATGATCATTAAACTTCTAGCCCTTTTCAATTATTTTCTAGACTATTACCATAATCTATGAAATTATATTTTTGCAACTAGACTTGCCTCTCATACATTGTCTCCTCAACACTGCTGCCAGATTGAGCTTTCTAAATGTGAATCTAATCACATCACTCCCTGCTTGCTTCTGCTTCATTAGTCAGGATTGTGACAGGAAACCAATGTCACACACAAATGAAGAATAATGTATACACAGGAAATGACCACTAGGTGAGACTGTGGTTCTCCATAGAGAAACCCAGCCATTGCCACATGTAATTGAGTTAGGCCCAGAAGCCTAGAAGCAGAGTATTAGACAGAGAGTCTTGTGCAGGTGATTTCTAGAAGGAATACACTTAGAAGTCTTTAAGGAAGCAAGAAGAGCAGGAAAAGATGAAGGATGGGTAGAGTTAGGCAATAATATGATTTCAGAAGTTTAGTCTCAATCTAATCCCCTAGTTAGCTCTCTAGAACATAGATTATAATCAGATAATTTTCTTGGCCAGAGAAAAGAGAGCTGCACTGTCTTATCCCTGCACTTGTCAGTCTTTGGAGAGAGAACAGTGTAACTTCTCAGGCATTTCTGGGTGAGGTAGCTTCAATCAGCTGAGGACAACCCTACAGTGAAATGTGCTAACTTGAGCAGTTATCAGCCAAGACCTGCAGGGGTATGAGTGTACCAGCCCAGTCAAGGAGATCTGGAGAAGTGCCAAGAGCCACTTCCAAGTCTGCCACTCACACTTCTCAAATCCATTCACTTCTCACAATAAGTTCTTCCTATCTGGTCTTAGCTTCTTCAGAATTTGAGTTGGTCTCAATTTCTAGGAAAACTTGTAAGAGGAGCATTTGTAGGATGAATTACAGCCTTCTTTGCTGCAATTGATCTCAAGGCTGTCAATAATACACATTATCCCTGTCAGCTACAATTATAGATTCCTTTTACACTCAGCTAGGACTTCAGTTCATCTAGGTGGCTTGTCTGGTGGGATGTCTCAGACACTCATCCCTGAGAGCCTTGATTCCCTAGTTACCACGCACTTGCCAGGCAATAATTGCTGTACTTGTCAATTTATAATTAAACTTGGGCATGAGGGTACCAAGAGATAACCTGCAGTTCACGTAGGTATGAAAAGTATTTCTCCATGCCCCTATTAAGTAACAGCAGCCCTTTTCCTTAGGTAATCAGGCTAAAATACGCCACTACACATTCAAATATCCTAGTGTACACAATCTTGGCAGTATAATAATTCCTTTTCTTGCTTGTTGGTCCACTTGAAGAACTAGAAGTGATCATGTATCAGCTGTATCTTTAAGTTCTATGAGACTCTTGTGTCCCTGAGTGAAAGCATATCTTCTCTGGGACCTCTGGATCCACAGGCTCTAAAATTGAGTAGACAGGCAATACAACATCTCCTAGTCAATTCTTGGAGTGGCGGTGAAGTAGGGCTACTATTTCCTCCGTCTTTTGGTTACTGAACTCATGTACTCTACCTACTGGGCACCCTGGCACCATGTAATGGCTGTTGGTTTAGGATGAATGTACATCTTTCTGAAGTATAGTGTCTCCATCTACAGGCATCATCTTCAAGATGGTACTACAGCTATACATTAAAAGGGGCTTTCCTATGCTCTATAGGGTCAGCTGCCACTAATTGATTCAATGTATCATAGGATCAGGGGATATCTTTGCCATGTTCCCACTACCAGGCTTCCTTTGCCATAAAGGGGTTCTCTTGATCTGAAGTGATATTGTATGAGATGCTATCCAATATCTCTCTCTGTGAGCCTTTCTGTATAATGCTGACAGAAATACTACTGGTAGAAAAGGCAAACACATCCTAGGAATGTGTGTCACTACTACTCAGGATTAATTGTTGCTTTTGTCAGGATGAGAGCAGTCCAGTTTTATCAGCTTGCCACCAAAATGTCTGGCTGGTTTTGTCAAAGAATATTATCATATAAGGAGCTCAGCACAGAAATGTGTTGGTTGATAGGTTGGATATGGCATCGGGTATATGAGCTTTGGTGAGAGGAGAACGCATTCTTATCGTCCACATATTGTCTCCATCTATGCTGCCATGACTACTACATTCGTGAGACCTTTCAGCTAGCTAAGTTTCTTCTTATCTATTGGGCCATTCTCCACACTTGGTTGCTTTGTGTCTCTAACTTGATGAGGGTTAACACGTAATGGTGAGTTCTTCTTAGTTTCTGCCCATTTCCATATGTTCATCCACATGCTTCTTTCTTGGATCTTCTTGTCACTAATATGAAAACATTGCTTTGTTCAGGCCAAGCTATCCACCAATGACCATGTGTATAGCGTTCTTTTAAGCCATTTGTCACTCAACAAAATTGGATTACAAGTAACACTAACCCAAATCCTGCCTCCTGTTTGTATTTTCCCATGAATACTGTCTTCCAGGACTTACCAAGTGGGGCTATATTACAACAGCAGTCCATTGTCCACACCAACATACTGAGATGAACAATCCATGGACCAAGCCTGTGTTGTTTTCTTCCTCTATTAGCTGCTCATAAGGATTCTCCCATGAGGTTACAAGTGTGAGCTGATTGAGTGGTGTCAGGTGAGACTGTGCTGGTGACAAAGAAGTCTGGAATATTTGTTCATCCAGCTTACATATGCCCTTTGGATATTTTAAGGGTGATCCATTCTGTAACACTTCTATTTTATAAATAATTGCTGTTGGGGCTGCTGTAGTTTATTACTTGGACTGCCAGCGTCCAGTTCTTGGCGAACAGCTTTTGTCTCATGTCTTGATGCAACTGCATTTTAAATCACATGCTCTGCTGCAGATGGCATGGCCTTGCTCCACAATCTCAGCAGCCTGTTATGAAACCCTTCTGTTGGGGCTTGTCAGAGACTCCACACAAAACCTTTATCTCCTAGAGATAACTTTTATGCAACTATAGGATCTGTTGGGCCACATAAGCCATGTGGTAGGACAGCTTGTGCTATATGGCCTGAACATGCCCTTTCTTGCTCAGGGCCTCACTGAAAACGGGGAACTTTCCACAGCACTTGCTAAATCATTCATTGTAGTATTCCCAAGTGTTGTATGTGCTGTGTTTTACTTCTTTTTTAATGGTAGTATACAAAAGATGCCATAACTTTGCCCTTTACCTTGGAAGGGATGTTCGAGTATGCACCAGACCACTGGATCCCTAAAAGCATCGTATATGTGGCAAGCCACTGAATCTGCATGGCTTAACTCCCACTCTCTGAAGCACATCTGCCTTATTATGGCATCCAGAGTCTTACCTAGGCATGAATTTAGGCTTTTCTGAAGTTTTGCTCTTGTCACAACTAAGGCCTATGGTTCACCGGCTCAACATGCTCCCAAGCTGCAAGTGAGAAAAGTCTCTTTAAAGACTTCCAGAAATAACCTCTGACTTTTGCACTTAGTTTTAAATTAATGATTAGTCATTTTTTTTTCTCCTGAGTAACCAAAAGGCACACAACAACTAACACCAAATTCCACGTTCCATAATCTTATTATTTCCCCTACTTCTCTCAAATGCCAAAGACACTGTAAAAGCTACGGCATCTCCAACACTTTAGCAATTGTACTGTTAGAACATTCAAGAAACTATAAATACTCTACTTACCACTAGGTTTGGGGTCATCCTTACTACCAAGCTGGGGTCTGATTCAACTCCAGAATTAAATCTTTAGAGTCTGCTTTATGGGACAATTTCTAGCAATAACTGTCATTTATATTGAGCTCCCTAGAAGCTGTGTTCTCTAGAATCAGTGTCTGAGACAGATAATTTTATGCAAGTCATTTATTCAGGGCATGCCCTTAGGATAAACCTTTTTTTTTTTTTTTTTTTTTTTGATGGAGTCTTGCTCTGTCACCAGGCTGGAGTGCAGTGGCACGATCTCGGCTCACTGCAAGCTCCGCCTCCTGGGTTCAAGTGATTCCCCTGCCTCAGCCTCCCCAGTAGCTGGGGCTACAGGCATGCACCACCACGCCCAAATGTTTTTTGTATTTTAGTAGAGACAGGGTTTCACCATGTTGGCCAGGATGGTCTTGATCTCCTGACCTCATGATCCACCCGTTTCGGCCTCTCAAAGTGCTGGGATTACAGGCGTGAGCCACTGCACCCAGCCAGGATAAACCTTTAAAGAGGCAAGAGTAGCAGAAGAGTACAAAGGAAGAAGCTAGATGAAGATGTGATTTCAGAAGAATTCATCCTCAGGGCCAGGTGCAGTGGCTCACATCTGTAATCCTAGCACTTTGGGAGGCAGAGGCGAGAGGATCACCTGAGGTCAAGAGTTCGAGACCAGCCTGGCCAACGTGGTGAAACTCCGTCCCTACTAAAAATACAAAAATTAGCTGGGCATGGTGGCGGGTGCCTGTAATCTCAGCTACTAGGGAGGCTGTGGCAGGAGAATCGCTTGAACCTGGGAGCCATAGGTTGCAGTGAGTTAAGATCGTGCCACTGCACTCTAGCCAGGGCAACAGAGCAAAACTCCATCTCAAAAGCAAACAAACACAACAAACAAAAAAAAAAAAAAAGAAAAAAGAAAAGGAAAGAAAAGAATAAAAAGAAAAGAAAAGAAAAATAAAAGAATTCATCTTTAGACTGAACCCACAACGAGCTCTGGAGTACAAATTGTTTCCAGAGATTCTACTGCCTAGATGCAAGGGGGCAAGGCTGTTCCACCATTGCATAGGTCAACCACCGCTTACCAGCCACTGGTGAAGAGGAAAGCTGCATACCTTCCCAGGCATCTCTAAGTCACATGGCTCTCACTAGCCAAGGGCTTTCCTCATTGCTGCTAACAATGCAATTTGCTAGTAACCAATACCTGTAGCACCTGGGAGATGGGTTACCCTCCTAACAAAGAAGATGACGTGGTGGTTACCAACAACATCTACCATTCCAGTTTCACTTTTCTCCTGTGCTCTGACTTTCTAAAGGTGCTTCTCTTTGGCCAAAGCCAGAGAGCAAGAGAGACTATGAATGCAAGTGGAAAGATTCAGTTGCTGGGGAACAGACTGAGTGGAAAATGTTGCAGAATGGATGTAGAGGAGCACACACAAAAAATTGTCCAGTGCTTGTCCACAAATCATTCAGTGCTTGCACACAACCTAAGAGATGAAGCTCAAAGTCTTTAGCATAGTGGGCCCTTCTCAGTCTCTTTATTCCATTTTGCAGCTTCATATTCCATGGCTCCCTACCTGATATAGCATATACTCCAGTCAAATTTCTTATCCTTCCACTTCTCAAATACTTTTCCTCTTATCTGATATTGCTCTCCCTAATCTGAGTACATCCTTCTGCTAGCCCACTACAACTTCCCTCATTGTGCTAAACACACACGTATAGTTTTATCCTAACAACAATCACTCTGTACTCCAGTTTGCTACAAGTTATTTCTCAAATAGATTTTTAATTACTTGAGCACAGGAATGGCTTTGTTTTTGCATCATTTTGGCAGAGTAGCAATAAATGAATGAATGGAAGAAATCATGAATGATTCATTCATGTTCTTCAAGATTCCACTTTAAGCAATATCTTTTTAATGGCAACTCTAGCCCCTCCTCCTTGTCTCAAATTTTAGATGCCACTCTACCCTGATTCCATAATACTCTTTACCTAAAATTTTCATAAAATTTACATGGTTCTGTGACAATGTTTCTGTCAGCTGCATGTTACCCCTCACCCCATTGAAGTATGTGCCTTTTATCACAGTATTTCCAGTGCCTTGCAAATAATACACCTTTGAAGAATATGAAAGATTAATAAATGATTGAATGAGTAAATGTGTGTAATAGAGAGTGAAAAATCATAGAATTTCAAGGAGGGACAGCATACTTTTCTTTTTCATTATCAGAGAAAGAACTCCACGTTATGATAAGATTTTAGTAAGTGTGGCATGCACAATGGGCTGCTGAACATTAGGCAGAATATCATAGAAAGATGAAAGATCAGTAGATTTATAGAAAGATGATTGATAGATAGATAGATAGATAGATAGATAGATAGATAGATAGATAGATAGATGATAGACTGATAATTGTTTTAGCTACATAGTATTCAATCCCTATAAGGGAAAATATCCTACTGGTATTATATAAAATTTTATCCATAGTTTTTGAGTAATAGTGCATACACTTAAAGTACTTTAAGGCACTCAAAATGGGTAATTTGTTAACATACTTACAGTGCCATTGGCCCAAATATTTCTAAGAATCTGAATAAGTCTTAGAATTAATACCCTTTTAGGGAAAATAAATTATTTTAACACACCTTGATCTGAAAGTTGTGGATCCTTAGAGTTCCTAAACCTGAGGTCTATTTCATTTAAAATAGAATGAAATTACCTAATTTTATTGAGAAAATTCCTTTGTCTCACTCTTTGAGTTACCGCATAACGCACATGCTAATGTCTACCACAAAAAGAGTCTCAGTTGTTTATCAACCTTGTTGGGTGTAAAGGTTTATTTGGGTATGGTCTGATAGCTTTTGACAGAGATGTAGCTCTTCTAATGGCAGTAATATTCTCCTTTTTCCCTAAACACCTGACTACAATAAAGCAGGGGGATAAAAATTTGCTTAATCATGTGTACGACTAATAATTAATGTCAGTTTAACCCAACTGGAAATACAATGTTCCCTTCGTATTCCTCCTTCAATCTCAATCCTTAATAAAGCAAAGTGTATGCCATCAGTTTCTGGGCTCGGTTTGACTATTTTTATTCAGTTTCTTTACTATCCAGTCTCTTAAGCCATAGTATGTCTTGTAACAAAAAAAAAAAAATCATGCTCTGCTATACCTGATTAAATAATCTTTCTTTAGTCTTCCAAGTCATATTATCTTGTTTAATTTTCCAGTAATACACAGCAATTCTGTATTACTCGATATTGTGCTTTTGCATAATCTTATCTTTCTGCTAACTTAATTAATAGTGGAAAAATTTAAGTGTCGGAGGAGACCTTAGAGATAATTTTAATCTGTTCTCCTTTTATCTACCTGAAAAATTTAAATCCTTAGAAATTGCACAGGTGAGTAAGTGGCTATGCCAGGAAGAGAACCCCATTTTCCCAATTAAGATTCCATGTCTTCATTTATCCCACACTCCTACTTAAGGTGTTATTAATGTCTCTCTTTACTCAATCATGAGTTCATGCATATAAGCTCTTAAAATCTTAGCCCTTACTGTCTGGTGCATATTAAGCAAACTATTAATATCTTATTTTTATTAATTAATTTCATTACATATAATCAGAACTTTTGTTAAATTCAGAAATATGTGAATAATTATCTGCAATATATTTACATAGCCTCTTTCTACAAGGAAAATCAATGTACTTCATAAAATATTTACTCATGATGGTAGGTAGAATAATAACCTCCCTCTGCCAAATATATACATGTCTTTATTCTTCAAACTCAGAGATATGTTATATTACATGGCACGATGGGAATTAAGATTGTTCATCAATTGATCTTGAGATGTGATTATCTTGGATTATCTGAATGAGCCCAATGTTATCACAAGTGTCCTTATAAATGTCAGAAGGAGGTAAAGAGAGTGAACCAGAGAAATGGCTTTGTGAAAAGCATTTGGCCCATACTTGCTGGCTTTGAAGACGGAGGAAGATGGCCATGAGCCAAGGGATATAGATCCCTCTAGAATGTACCAGGACAAGGAATGGAGCCTCCAGAGAAGTACATAGGCTTGTGGACATTTTAATTATAGCCCAGTGAGATCCCTTTCAGTTTTCTCAACTACAGAACTGCAAATAACAAATTTGCTGTTTTAAGCCACTAAATTTGTGGTAATTCATTACAGTAACCACAGAAAACTAATAGACTAATTTTTAGAGAGATATTTTAAAAATTTCAACAGAGACTATCCGTGTAGTCAAATACATTTTAGAACTGTGACAAGAACACTCTAGTAGTGATGAACAACATAAGTACGTGAGGTGGCAGAATGCTCTATATCTGCATTGCCAGTATGTAGTTACTTGAAATTGTCAAGTACAACAGAGGAACTGAATTTTTAATTTTCATTAATTAAAATTTAAATAGCCATGTGTGACTAGTGGCTATCAAGTTGGACAATGCAGTTAGGGCCTAGATTATAACTAAATGCTACTTTCTATATCCTGCCTAGGATTCCAAAGACAATTTTTACCAAATAATACTGTAGCAAATAATAAACAAGCCTTTGGCTGTTCTAAATCCTGGAGCTGTGTTTAGTAAACTGTGTACTCAGTAAATATTTGATAAAGCTTGTGGGAATATGGTGGCAGCCACCATTAATGTCAACGGTAGAGGAAGAAAGTTGCTTGGGAGAAGACATCACTGTTTGCATTCAAATTCCAGCCAGGATGGTCTCTGCAGCACTAAGGGCAGGCATAATCAGACAGCAGATCATGCTCATCTATTGACCCTAACCTCACATAGGTATGGTAGCAAAGGTCAGAGTAACAGAAAATCAGTTTCAAATTCATTCCTAACTGTGGGACTTTTGCAATGTTGCACTCTGTCCTCTTTCTATTTCTCATGTTTACTCATTGATTCTGGTTCTCCCTGGTTTAACCTCTACCTTGTGCAAATGTCATAGAATAAGCAGTTGTTTCTGAGGCTTTCTTAGGTAGGAGAGAGAACAGGATAAGGCTGAAAGAGTAGCAGATTTATTTTAAGACTTTAGTTTTAAATTTGAAGGTTAAAAGTTACATAGACACATGCATGTCTTTGGAAAATTAATTTTACTTTTGATTATTTTCCTAGTGGTTATGGCATGTTAATTATTTATAATTCATCTTATGACACAATAAGGCAACTTGTTCCATTGTAAAATCTCTCACTTCACCCCATTCTCCATCCTTAGGGTCATGTACTTGTTCCGATTCTCACATCTTCCTCCTATACCAGTTATTACAAGAGATAACATTTCTTGAGCAGCTAACATGTGCCGGGCTCTTTTCTAAATAAGTTATATGTAATAACCCACCCTTCACCACCACCGGATGATGAAAGTAGTACTAGTATTCTTATTTTGCAAATAAAAAAATGAAGCATCCAGAGGATGATAAGTAACTTATCTAATATCACACAGCGAGCAACCAGCAAAGCCAAGATTGGAATGCATCAATCTGAAGCTACAGCTCATGCTTCTTGCCATTTTTACCATATTGACTTAAACAACTTCATTATGACACACAGAGAGTGAGCCTCAGTTAGAACATGGATCACAACTAGTTACTATTATTATAAAACAGCATAATTGAGTATTTTAATAGTTTATTCCTTAGAACCAATATTTCACAATGAAACAATAGTTTTTCAGTAAACAAAAGGTCGTTCAAGTTTCTGCCTCTAGAATCTCAGGCAGAATGCTTAGAATAGTGAGCATACAGTTGGAACTCAGAATATTAGGTACTATATTCTCAATTTTGGAAACATTTCTAGCTAGCGAACCTGAAATTGCATATAATCTTGTATTCAGTCATGTATATGATTAAGTGATGCTGGTGGAGGGGGGACGGTTGAGATATTTCTTCTACAATATTTCAATAGTCCCCAAATTAGTCAGCTAACTGGTCTCTAGTACACTAAGAATCCAACCCCATCATACTTTTTCAACTGTTTCTTTTCCTGTTTTTCTTTCAATTCAGACTTCAGTCCTGAAGTCCATTCCTCACCTAGATAATACTAACATCCTTCTAACTGGAATACACTGCTATACCTCTCTAAGATTCCTCTCCCCAAAGCATTCTTCACTGTTCAGAGTAATGTTCAAATGCAAGTCTTATCAGGTATTATTCCTCCTTTAAACCATTGAATGTCTTTTTATTCCCCTGAGAAAAAAAGTTAAATAACCACAGGTTAAGTTAATGATTTGCATGAGCATATTAATCAAAACTAATGTCTAATACCCACTTTTCCTCATCAATCTTCCTGGTTCCAAGTCTTATTATTCCTCCTAAGACAATACAGCCAAATTGCATCTTACAGGCTAAAATCATGCATAATATTATTGTTCTTGAAAATCCCTCAGGAAAGAGCCATAATAAAGATTGACATACTGTATAAATTCAAAAGGTTGAGCTTCTCCTTCCTCTCTGAAATGGCTAAAACTGAGATAGGGAATAAGAGTCATTCTTCCTATCCAATGTTTGATCTCCTTTAGGAACACAAGTAATGTCTCCGTCCTGTGATGACTGGGTAAAATCCCCAGAAGTTTTTGAAATTGTCATGGCTCTTAGCTCAGAATAGATATGAAATCACATAAAGGTATAAATATTCACTTTCACCCATCTCTGGTGGGTGCACTCATCTCTCTATCTGCAATGTCCCGCCTTTGACATAGTTCAAACCCTCTCACCAACCCATCCCTAAACTATTCAGCTTGTTCATTAAATTAACTTATATCTCTTCCTTCTGCCTCCCCCCCAAAAAATAACAAATTTGCTCAAGTGTCTTCTGGAAATTCTGTGATTGCTCCTTATTGACTACTATGTGATAAAGTCCACACTTAGCTTGGCATGCAAATCCTGTAAGTTAAACTATTTACGTTGTGCACTACCTATGCATATGTTGCACCAAATGCCTACAGGGCCCAGAGAAGTAACATAAATGAACAAAGTAGAAATAGCAGATACTTTGGAGAAATCAGAAACCATAGAGCTGCATAGTATTGCCATCTCGTTTGATTACTCTAAACAAAAGAGAATCTAGATTTTTAGGGAAATCTTTCAATTTTTCAAAGTTAAAAGCTAATTTAGTTTTTGGAAAATTGCTGAGCAGTTCAAACAAAATGCATATTCAGGTCAAACTTGAGATGCAACTCACCAGTTTGTAACACTGCTCTATATTTATATATAAAATCTTGTTTTTTTTTTTTACGTAGAATGTTCTCTCCCTTATGTAGCTGGGAGTTTAGTTCAAATATTTTGTTCAGCAGGATCAAGTCACAGCCAGCCTACCACACTCTATTCCTTGCTAATGGAATACTTACCCAGGTTCTCACAGTACTGCTATCATTTATCAAACACTTTCCAAGTTCCAGATACAGGATTTAGCATTATCCATAAGTGACTTCAATCAATTTTATTTACTCCTCACAACACTGTGAGATACACATATTTCTTTTCTTTTACAGATGGAGAAAATGAGGCATAGAAAGATTAATTAACTTGCCTAACATCATGTCTAATGGAGAGAGAAAGTAGTATCATATCCTAGATTCTGTCTTATCCCAAAAATCAAGGTATTAAAAATTAAGATATTTTGTGTGTGTGTGACAGGTCTCACTCTGTCACCCAGGCAGGAGTGCAGTGTCATGATCACAGCTCACTATAGCCTCCATCTCTCGAGCCCAAGTGATTCTCCTACCTCAGCCTCCCGAGTTGCTGGGACTATAGGTGCATGCCACCCATGTCTAGCTATTTTTTTTTTTTTGTAGAGATGGAATCTTACTATTTTGTTCAGGCTAGTCTCGAGCTCCTGCAATCAAGTAATTCTCTCACCTTGGCCTCCCAAGCTGTTAGGATTATAGGGATGAGCCACCACACCTGTCCAAAAAATTATGATCTTCATCGCATTGCTACTTATTTCTGCTTTGATATGTTCTCTAAACACACACAAAAAAAACAAGATCTACTTGTGAGTCAAAATTGTTTTATTCACTAAAGTGTTCCTAGTGCCTTGGATTATAATAAAGATTAGAGAGTCTTCCTCTATCAGTCCATCCATCTGTTCACTAATTCCGTTAGTTACCCCTCACTTACTGAGTACTTCCTATTCACTCTGATATGACTCTGATTTGGTGGCCTGATGAGGATGCAGTCTTTGGGTATCACTGTACTAGGTAGTTGTAACTTTGGAGAGATACAAAGGAGGTAACTGATAAATATTTGCTTCAGGTGTAGGATAGCGTACCACATAAGCTTTCTGGATCAAGAGCCAGAACAACTGAGTTTGGAGGCCAACTCTGCTTTTTGCTAGCTGTGTAACTTGGGATAAACTACTTTACTTTTTCACACCTCACTTTTCTCATCTGTGTTGATAGTTATCTAATTCAGTGGCTTTTTTGAGCACTAAGTAAGTTTATACAACAAAGCCCTTAGAATCTAAATGATCAGTAAGTGTTAGTGAGTGTGATGGTTGATTTTATGTGTCCACTTGGCTAGGCTATGGTGTCCACATGTTAGGTTAATACCAGCCCAGATGTGGCTGTATTCTTTAGTTGTGATTAACATTTAAATCAGTAGACTGTGAATAAAGTGCATTACCCTCCGTAATTTGATGGGCTTAATTCAATCAAGGAAATACGGAGGTTTCCCAGAAGAGCAGGAATTCTGAAACCTAAAAAATTTCAGACTCTAGACTGTGAAGTCAACTCTTATTCAAGTCTTCCGCCTGCTGGAACACTTTACGAATGTTGAATTTGGCAGCTCCCACAACTGAATGAGCCAATTTCTTATAATAAATCTCTGTCTCTCCCTTCCTCTCTCTCTCTCTCCTCTCTCTCCACAGACACACAAATACACACATGTAGTCTATTCTTTGGAGAACTCCCACTAATAAAGCTAGTGTCATATTAAAGAGATTACAAGTAAAATATTAGCAATTTGACCTTGATTCTTGTTCAAATCAGTTGAATGTTTCTAGTATCTCTAAGATAAAAAGGATCTTCCCCAAATGACACAAGTGAAAGGATAAAAGGAACAGTCATTCAGCACCTTGTTTCAAGGTAACCTTTTATGACTGAAACAGAAGGTTTTATGGCTAAAATTTCATCCCCTCCCAAATTCTCTGAAGAGATGGACCTGCTAGGCTAGGAGTTAAGGGGGCAATCTATGGGGGAAGTTTTATGTCCCTGAAAACAAGGGAGGCACTTGATAATAAAAATATCAAACTGAGGTTTTGTTTGTTTTTCTCTCATTACCCTCTACAGATTCTTGCAGATCTGTGGGAGTCATCTGATATCACATCGCCATTCTCCCTCTTGGCCAACCCCTCCTCAGAAGAAGCCCTCAGGCATTAGTCCTAACCAGGGAAACTATCCAGAGCTAGGAGGGAAAACATCGCAAGGCTTGGAGAGGGGACCTAGAAATCTCACTGAAAGCTCATACCCCTGCCATTGCTGCCTTCTCTTTTTCTGAACACAACATTGTGTCTTCTTTCTAGAGAAACTGCGTATCTTTTCACTACGATTTAACTATGACATTCAGTGGGACTGTAACAGAATCGAAGCATGAAAGAGTCCTCCTGAACAAACATGAGGATCATTTGCAAATGGCAGGATCAGAAATGGAACGTATCTGATCTGCTTGAAATAATAAGTACTGTTTCATGTATGCTTGCTCTATACCAGCTACTATTTTAAATAATGTGCATGTCTGAACTTGTTTAATGTTCATAACAGCACTAGGGTTTGAGCCATTCAAAAGAAGAAAAAATGTGAGTCACAAGGATGTTATGCAAATTTCTCAAGGTTACTTTAAGTGGCAGTAATGGGATTCAAAAGGTTTGTGCTTTTAACCACTACCCCTCACTACCCTCTCAAAGACTCCAAGGAGCTTCAAAGGGCCATTTTAAAAGGTTGTGTCAGTCACACAGCAATGCAGTTTTAGTAACCTGAATGTTTTAATACTAAAATTCATGTTAAATTTATACAATATTTGTACTCTGATCCTTTTCTCAAGCCCTAAATAATTACACAGCAGATTGCTTACTTAGTAATGTGTTCATTCGTTCTGCTTTTACCACTTAAGAAGCTCTGAAAAGTCAACATTAACATATATTAACACTAAGCAAAAAAATTAACATCCCAATGGCTTTCATACTGTCATCATTAACCATTTCTGAGAATCTGCCATGCTGCCTCTTAGAGGCTTGGTTCTTTGTCTACACTCTCTTCTGACACTCACAGTCTTACCTTTGCTTCTGTCTTTTATGTGTATATCTCTTCTACTTATTATTGGTTCTCAAGATCATGGCTAAGCCCAAGCATCAGTCGCACAAGCACATGGAATAAACCAGTACGCTATTTGCTGTTTTTACACATCTCTTCCTCCTCAACAGCAACAACTTTTTGCCACATGATTCTAAATCCCCAGGGTATAAAACCTCAGTGGGCTGCAACAGATATTAAGAAGAGACAGTCACAGAGTAAAATATCTTGCCACTGCCTGGAGCAAGAAACACATGATAAGTATGTCTAAGCTCTTCCAAAGAAGAAAAAAAAAATTGTCCTCGATTGATTTGGGTCACACAGAGAAATACTGCAGGAGAGCAGTCAAAGGCATGGACACGAGCGTCAAATTATATAGTTTGGAATTCCAGCGCTGCCATATTCAATATGAACTTGGATAAGCAGCCTGACCTCTCTGTGTCTGTTACCTGCACGTAGAGATAGCATATAAAACTCTGACCTCAACACTTGATGAAAATATACAGCAACAAGTGCCAGCTGTCATTACTTAGAGTCATAAAGCTTTAGACTTGGGTGACTTTCAGAAATTAACCCCATCCCTTTTATTGGTAGGGAAACTGAGGAAGAAAAGAAGTAATTTGTCTGAGGGTACATAGCAGATTTTACTACTCAACAGGCTAGGACACTTACCATACCATTGCCAGCCTTTCTAGAGCCTTCTTGGTCTCAGTGCTGCCTTTACTGTTTATGTTTCAGATATGAAAGGCCAGTATTTGGAAGCTGTTTTTCCTCTTAAGTTGATAGATTTATGCTGAGCCATTATCTCACCTGTCCTCTGCACTTAAGCTAGGAGCAGAAAACTAGACAGGATTAAGGATGCCTAGAGATGGGCCTGAATCACAGTGAAGCAAACAGCATTCACCTCAGCCTCACAAACATGGTTGTGGGTAGTGAAGTAATCAGCCTCGCACAGACCTGAAATACAAAACAAAAACACGGGACCCTGCTGACCACAGAACTCATCCCTCCGATTCCCCGCTAATTGTAGGTTGATAGAAACCAGTTGTAATGCAGAGTAAAAGGGCCTGTGCACAAATATATTTACTGAACGCAGAAAATGTCATTTATTTGTTTATTTATTTATTTATTTATTTGTTGAGATGGGGTCTTGGTCTGTTGCCCAGGCTGGAGTGCAGTGGCACGATCTGGGCTCACTGCCACCTCCGCCTCCCGGGTTCAAGCAATTCTCCTACCTCAGCCTCCCAAGTAGCTGGAATTACAGGCGCCCACCACCATGCCCGGCTAATTTTCATATTGTTAGTAGAGACGGGGTTTCACCATGTTGGCCAGGCTGATCTCGAACTCCTGATCTCAAGTGATCCGCCTGCCTCAGCCTCCCAAAGTGTTGGGATTACAGGCGTGAGCCACTGCGCCTGGCCTGAGCCACCGTGCCCGGGTGTTTAATAATACTTTTAATTCTTAAATGTTTGGAACAAAAAAAAGAAGAAAATGAGATTATATGATTCACATGGTACTGCTCTAGTCCTGCAGCAAATTCCAGTGCCTTCTCTGATCAGGGAATTTTTACAAAATCAAATGTGATTGATACATCTTCATCCACACTGACAGGCACCCACAGAACATCCACTGAGACCTAGACAGTAGTACTGACTGCAGGCCCTAACCCTGGGATACAACACGAACATGGTCTTGTCCTAAACAGCTGATAGGAGAAAGACAGTATTCACTGTGTTAATCTCAGTCCAAATTAATTGTCTTCATCTAGCTCCTGTCTTACATTCTTCATTGCTTGTCCCTAAATCCTAGCACGGCCAAGTCCTTTAGTTTTAAGCCTACATGAAAGGCATCCAGGGAGAGCCAGGTGGAAATGAAGGTGGTGGGGCTTGGCCTTTCTTCCCATTCCCACCTTGAGAATTTGCACCTTTCCTTCTCTGTCACCAACTAGCAGTTGCCATGGTATATAAGGGTATATCTTATTTTATCCTTAATATGTTTATTTCTGCTTCCAAGATGCTTCTGTTTTTACTAAAACCATAGAAGCTTCCCCTCCCACCACACTCGCACCACACACAAAAAGCAGTTGGAAAAACATTTCAATGATTCCTAACCACAACAGCACTTCTGACTAACTACAAAGAAGGAAGCTTTGGAGAAACATAGAGGGAAACTACAGTCCCAGCGAGACCGAAACCGGAGGGGTGAGATAGCCAGTCACAGTAAAAGCTGGAACCAGAGCCCAGACTTCCTCAACTCCAGCCCAGTCCTTTTGCCACTGGGGAAACGCTGTTTACATGTCCTCACCTGCGACGAACAACATTTGATAACTCACAAAATTAACACCTTTCAGGGAGAGCGGGGCACTGGCCAGGTCCCTCTGATAATGAATTGCTGCTCTAAGACATAACTGCTGTGGGGAGGAGGTTGGTGTTTGGCGGGGAAGGGCTGCTAGCCTGCAGTTTCATAAGGACAATAATACATCAAAAAGGACAATCATAGATCAAAGGGGATATTTTGGGTCAACTTGATATGTAGTGGAAAGCAGATTGGGAGGGGAGCCAAGTACTGGATATGCTCCGTGCGTGAGTGTGTCTGTGTGTGTGTGTGTGTGTGTGTGTAAATCATGTTGCTCTCTGGGTCTGTTTCCCAATCTGTAGAGTGTAAAAGTCTCTGAGGCTCCTTGCAGAGACAAGTGATGGAACGACCTTGACAGAAGAGAGCAGAGAGAGGAAAGAAGGGGGAGGAAGCCAAGCAAAGGAGAGAGAAATGGTGTGATGGGGGAGGAGACGCGGAGTTGGGTAGAAATGCCTTTTAATAAGATATTGGGAAAAAAGTATTAAACCTAAAACTGCAGCTCTTGAAGGATCATTTTTTCATCTTTGTGTTAGGATTTACAAGTACAGTGCATAGTAATTTTTGGATAATTGGAGTGAATGAATGAAAAGCGTGAAACGCCTTACAGGAGCGAGAAGATCCACGAGAGAAAGCGAGCAGGGACGCAGCTCTGGTGCCTGGTCCTGCCGGGTGGTCCCCACGCCGCCAGCCGCGCGTTCCCCAACCGGGCGCTCCCGGCGCCCTCTCGGTGAGCCGCCCTGAAACCGCCAGGGGGCGCTCCCCGGCTGCCGGGGCTGAGGCGGGCGGAGCTGCTTTAAATCGCGGCGCCCAGCGGTTCTGCGTCTCAGTTCCCGAGCCTGGGAGCAACCGCAGCTTCTAGTATCCAGACTCCAGCGCCGCCCCGGGCGCGGACCCCAACCCCGACCCAGAGCTTCTCCAGCGGCGGCGCAGCGAGCAGGGCTCCCCGCCTTAACTTCCTCCGCGGGGCCCAGCCACCTTCGGGAGTCCGGGTTGCCCACCTGCAAACTCTCCGCCTTCTGCACCTGCCACCCCTGAGCCAGCGCGGGCGCCCGAGCGAGTCATGGCCAACGCGGGGCTGCAGCTGTTGGGCTTCATTCTCGCCTTCCTGGGATGGATCGGCGCCATCGTCAGCACTGCCCTGCCCCAGTGGAGGATTTACTCCTATGCCGGCGACAACATCGTGACCGCCCAGGCCATGTACGAGGGGCTGTGGATGTCCTGCGTGTCGCAGAGCACCGGGCAGATCCAGTGCAAAGTCTTTGACTCCTTGCTGAATCTGAGCAGTGAGTGCACCCCCACCTCACAGCGGCCGTCCAGAGGCCCCAGTCCCCCTGCAGCTCCCTTATGGGCTCATTCTGTTGTGTGATTCCATGGTTATCAGTCTTCAGTTGATCAAGTCTTCTGATCATGTGCTCTGTCATAAGGAAATGAAGAGAATCCTGGTTTGAGGAAAGCGACGCCCAGGCATAAGCTCTAGTTTTGCCTCTAACTCCCTGGGTGACACTTCTGCCACTCTAGGTGTGGCTTCATCCTAAATTCCTATGCTGGTGGTTCGAGTTGAGGGAGTGAAGGCCAAACTTGAACTTGAGCTCTTAGACCTCTCCTAGGCATTCCGAGATTTGGGGTAAATTGAGGATTGGTAGAGTTCAGACAAGAAAATGGGATGACTGAAAAAGTTTGAAGCCTGGTAACTTCTCAAGTGTGCACGCTTAAATAAATAATCCTCAAGTATTAGATATAACTTTTTAACCTTTAATATGATTTTTTCATAGTAAAAGTTACATTCCTACTGGAAATGTCCTATCTAAGTGTCTTCTGCTTATGCTTGAGGTTGATTCTTTTAATTTATAAGATCCAGTTAGTGCAGGGAGGCCCCTTGCAAGACTCTTTGGAGAAGCTGCTTGAGATTCCCCCGAAGTTTTAATTTTCAGACCCAAGGTCTTCTGTAGAGGCTGACGGTGTAGTGCTATCTTGGAAAGAGAAGGTTGGTGGCAGGTGGGGAAAGGCTGACAAGAAAGGTTCTAAATAACCTGCGCAACATAATACAAAGAAAAAAGTAAAGGCACTGAAGGGAAATGCAGCAAAATAGTCATAGCTGATGAAATCAGAGGTCAGCTGGGAGTGGAAGGCAGTGAGAGAGAAAGAAGAGGTGGGTCTTCCTTAGGTTTCCATCTTCCACAAAGAAATTTCTGTGTAATGGATGTTCAGTGACCCCCTGTAAAACTGGAAAGGATTGTATAGAGAGACATATTTCTAAGGATGGTGGGAAGAAGGATAATAGGATAATTGTTTTACTTTGTTTTTTAAATTAAAGGTTTCGAGTTCCTTGTCCGAAAAGTCATTAAATTCCCATTTACTTAGATAATAATGATTCACGGCTGGAGTATCTTCCTTGAGAAATCACATTAATTGTCTTATATCATGTGTCTGTTATGCCCTTTAACTCACTTGAAGAAAAGATCCCTTAGTCTTTGCCTAGATGAACGTGACTGCCCACTGGCCCCCATTGCATGCTAAGGGTGAAAAGTGTTGGCATTGTTCAAGTTTACTTAACTTGTTTTGTCTACCTCCTATCAAGGGACAACTTTTAATAGTGTATATCAAAAGCCATATAGTTTAGAGTTATTAAACCTGTTCCAAATCTGTTTGAACACCTTGAATACCTGTGGCATTTGCTCAGTCAATGTGCATGGTTGTTTTGAGTGTTATTATTTCAGCTTTTGAAGGTTCTCATATCAGGACTTCTTTACACCAAAACCAATCCATAAGTTTAGTAATTATGTGTTGCTCATTGCCCTCAGGGGTTATATTTGTACTTATAAAATGAAAAATTTGGTAATAATTATTGAATTTCTCCATGGAAAGATAAATATATTTAAGGAAACGGTGTCAGGCATTTTAGGTACCACGTTAAGGAATTGGCAGGTGGAGGTTTCTAAGGACAATTCCAGAGAGGTCTCACTGTCAGTTTTATTCCTCTGATCAAAATAGTTCCTTTTCAACATCTTTAAATAGGTTTTCTTTTAACTTCCTGAAATGACCAAATGAAATCAGATTGATCTATGTTGTAAATACTCAAATGGATCATCCTTACACATGATAATGTGTTAAAATGTTTTACTTTCATTTTTTGGTTAATGTAGTTATTACAGTTTTTAAAACTAGGGTGAAAGGACTAAATACCTACCCCCCCACACACACTTTAGAGATGTCTTCCTATTTTTTTAAAACTCCAGATCAGAATCCACTTTTATTTTACTTAAAGCCATAGTTTATCCAAGGTGTGGCTTAGGCCTTTCTCTCAAAACCCATTCTCAGAAGAGGGACCCTTGACTCACAGGTGTTCTCCTCTCACCTGCCGTGACTCACGGGATGCTTTTGGATAGAACCCAGGAAACCTTACTTCATTTCTCTGCCTGAGCAGTGGTGTTTACGCCCACCAGCTGTAGAGATCTGGGATGGTGATTCATTGGCTGGTTTTGGTACAGTTTTGTTACATGTAGAGATGAAAAGGGTTATGTGTGTATATTTAAGCAGTATCACTCAGAAAAAAGCTGCATTTCATTAAGTGTGTTTAGGTGAAAAGCTTAGCTGTGGGTTTCCCGAAATTGTACCTTGCCGTCTTTCCCAGTAGAGCACACTTGTCTTCCCGGCCAGATGCAGGGCTTTAGCACGGGAAGTATTAAAATCTGTTGTTTCCCTGCTTTATGTAGGGTAGGTCATAAAAAGCATATGACCTTCATAAAGTATCTGAAGGAATACAGTGTGCTAATAGTGTATACAGTAAATACAAAATGAGATAGAGCAAGGCTTCTTCTTTTAGGTAGTTCTTGCCAAGCGGTTTATGAAAATGTAACTGAGGCACTTCCTGGGGAAACAAATGTCACATTGTGTATTGTAGTTTTATAATGGCTGATACAATTTCCATTTCATCCAAAGTATGTGATTTTATTGACCCTGGGGATTCTTGTAGCTGAAAGTTGGAATATACAAAAAGTGCCAGATACAGTTGTAGTAGACTTTTCTTGATTCACCTGTACCTCTCGCCTTGTTTTCATCTAATTCTCAAACTTTTAGGAAGCTCGCGCCAATTTTATGTGCTTGCTTAAATGCTTCTTCTTACTTGACTTTAATAGCTAGAGCTGTCCAAAGATTGAGTTGCTGTAGGAGGCTGCATGGTGGGAGGTGTGCAAGCAGAGAATAAATAAGCATTTTGAAGGAATGTTGTAGGGAAGATCCAAGCACCAGACAAATGGGAGGTTAGGCTAGACTCTCTCTCAATCTCACCGAACCCTGAGATTCTGTAATTTGTTTATAAGCTCCTCTAGCCTGTTTAACTTGCTTTGCATGAATCCACATGTGTGTAGGTGTGCTTAATGAGTATTGGTGGCTGTGAGCTTCCCCAGCACTCTCACCATGATGTCAGGCTCAATCAGAGAGACAAAATCACTGACGTGGACAGTCTTTGAAGCCTAAGTGGAGAGGAGGGCACCTATTTATGCTTCTCCAGATGCGTTGTGCCTGCTGAACCGAGGGTACTCGAAGGGCCATTGGTGTTCAGATATACTTCATAAATTAGTTCTGACTCTTAGAATAATGGAAGTTGAAGCAAAAATCCAGGCTTGAGATCAGAAATTCTCTGTTCTTACTGTGGTTTGGCACTAAGTAGCCAAGTGTATAATGGTGAGCCACTTGATCTCCCTGGTTTCAAGTAGTTACCCCACTTATAAAATAGGGCAGAGTGGGAGGAATGGGGAGATGAATCTATGATTCGTTTATCCATTCAACAGATGCAAGCTAGGCCCTATTCTTGCTGCTAAGGATGGTGCAGCTAAGATGAGTTCTAAGATTCCTTCCAGTGCCAGAATTCTTTGTTATTACTTCAGTGATTGAAGGGGAAGAGGCAAGTCACATAGCTTAGGTTTCCTTAATTGGAGTGATTAAGGAAATATAATGGAGGTAATATAGAAGCATCAACTTAATTCTGAGAAAATTTCTTGAAGAAACACACAAACAAGAAAGGTAGCAAAACTTCTGAGGACATCCTGAAAAGTGGTACATCCTGCCTCATCCAGGATCATTTTCACTCCTGATTTTGCTTATGTTCTGAGTTCACATCTGGTGACCATCACCTCATGCACCAATAAGAGGGAAATGCTAATGATTAGGACTTTTATGAAACTTTGAACTTCCGTAAAAGTAAAAGATTTAATATGGAGAAAAGCCAGGGGAGTACACTTCTGTGACTGTCTGTGTTGAGCTCATTTAATTGCAGGGGAGAAGGAAGCACAATATTTTTGTTCTAGTCACCCAATCATCAGTTCATTTATTCACTTAATACTTATTAAGCAACTACAGATGCAAAGGGAGAATTGGAATCTGCAGTCAACATTTGAACAACACAGGTTTGAACAGCAAGTGTCCACTTATAGGTGGATTTCTTTCAACCAATACCGATCAAGAATACAGTATCTGAGAGTCCAAAGCCTGCATGTAGGGAGGGTTGACTTTCTGTATACAAGGCTTCCACAGGATCAACTGTAGGACTTGAGCATGTGCAGATTTAGTTACCTGTGGGTGGTCCTGGAACCAATCACCCTTATATACCAAGAGATGACTATATTTTGTTTATGATATATAGAACCTAAGGTAATATGGCTAGAAAATAGCATAAACAATGTCTGGTATTGATAGTAGATTCTACTACTTGTGTAGCAAGACTTTCAAGCTTTAGAAAAATTACATATATGTCTGTCTTTCTACACATTTGTTGATTAACCTAAGTGTAGTAGATCAGTAACTTCCAACTCACTTCTTGTCTTATAAGTAGAGATCTTTGTAAGTATTTACTTTTAATTCTACTTTCAGGTGGAAAATGATGAGAACTCCTTAGGGGGTCTTTAATCTCAAGATTGTCAGTCTAGCTAAATATAATTAAAAGACTGCCTTCTGTGTTTACTGCTGAATAATGATGAGAAAAAATAGTGTAATTTTTTTAATGTTTGCTAACCAGGTTCTCCATAGACAACTTTAGTCAGTGGTCATAATATTGTAGATTTAGCTGCAAATTTAAGAGGTGAGAAAAGGAATATGTTTGTTCCTAGGTTTGTTCTAATCAGACCAATTCAAAGTTAATATTGCAAGGCTATACAACATCTATCTCATCCAAATTGTTGTTTTATAGCTTTCAAACATCCTTTTTAACTTCTCTGCTCTGCCACTCATCATTCCATTAGGGCAAAAAGAAACAAAACTTAAGCTTTGAAGCTCATTAGATACATACTTTAAAAAATAGATCAAAATAAGCAAAAAGTACAATTTGTATTATCTGCATGAGTTTCTAGTTATCAGTGACCTAAGCTAAGTCTGGCTTTTAGTAGCAAGATTTTAGCATACCAGGCTCTCAAGGGAGGTATTTCTCAGTATTATTTCAAAAATTAAGCTAAACACAAGAGAATAAGTATTTTTACCTATCATATTGGTACAGATTTTTAAAGGATAAAGACATGTTCTAATTTAAATTTATTGAAATTTGATAAATCCATGTGACTTTTCAAGTACTGTGCTTGGTGCTTTAGATGGAAATAGGAATAAATATCTGACTCAAATCATCCAGGAGTTCATGATTACATACTTTACAAATCTGATTTAAAACACTTCTATGATGTGAAGGTATTCATCTGTTTCCGGCTTAAAACTGTGCAATTTAGATTTGATCTGCACATAAAACACTTGTAACTTGTAACACAATAGTTGCTTACTTTGACTGGTAACCTATCATTACCTACGCCTTGCTTGTGAGTTTTCGTGCTGTTTTAATTCTCAGCTTTTTGTGCGTGACTACATGTGTATATTATTTTTGCATTTTCCTCACATATAACTATACTTAAGAATTTATCCAAATATCTCCAATGAAGCAAAGCAAGATTTTGGGTTTGATGCAAATCTAATATTGGAACATACAAATAAATTGTATAAGTCAATAGTTGCCAGGATGTAAGTGAAAATATTACTTTGCAAAACGACATTTTAAAAAACAAAGCAGGATCTCATTTCTATGGTTTATGCAATTTTTAAATATTGTGTTTTCCATTTTCTCCATTACTTTTTGTGTATTATGCAAATAATATATTATTCTATAGAGAAATGAAACCTGATAGGTTTCTTAGCAATCATAGAACAGAATATCAGTCCCCAGCCCCTTGGAAAGAACACTTTGTAGATGAAGTGGCAAGATAGATTTGACACGAATCAAATGTGTTTTCTTTGAGAACTTAATGGGCAAAAACTTAGAGATTAAAAATGTGAATATTAGGTCATTCCAGGTGGGTGCAGTAAGGGCCCTGGAGTAGTTTATGCACATGTGTTCCTTGCCTGGGAGATCAGGGGTTTTACACAGTCCGACTCATGAGATTGATGCCCAGTTAGACTTCTCTTGAAGACTACTCTGCGATCTAAGTGCTCAGACCTGCTGGGCAAGTGACCTTCTGTTTTTACTTGAAGAAAAGATCAGTGTGATTATTCTATAAACTGGTCCAGTTTGGGGCCCCACAACTTGAACAAAGAGAAAAACTTGGAGCAAGATCAGAGAAAACATCTAAAATGATTAATAAAAGGTTGAAAAAGAGTATTTATGAAAAAATAAAATGGAGGAGGCTGTGAAATGTAAGATGCTATAGATGCTTGAAGTGCTGTCATAGAAATATTTATTGATTGTGTGATCTCTATGCTGACAGTAAAAATCATGTCGCCCCTTTCTCAAGATAATCATATGACTTCTGATTATACTTAGAATAGAATCCATCTTCTTACCCTAATTTGCGAAGTTCTGCATGACATATGCCTTCTGCCCACCTTGCTAAACTTCGTTTTACTTTGCACATCCTATCATCCTGCGTTAGGATGACCAGCTCTCCCAATTTGTTCAGGATTGAGAGCCTTCTAAGGATGTAGGACTTTAAACTTTAAAGCTAGGACTGTTCCAGGCAAACTGAGATATGTGGTTTCCCTATCCTCCAGACATGGATCATCTTTGTTACTTTCAGCATCTCCTCTTCAGGCATATCTCTGCCTGAAATATTTTCCTGCCAAGTGTAATCTTAGGACCACATCTGAAATCTGTGTTATGTATGGGTTTAGTTATTTTATTTGTTATTTCCCAATAATGATAGCCTTTGCAAAAACCATCCATCAGAAAGAGGACATACCTTAACCATGGAGCCCTTGGTACTTTCCTCTTCATACCACAGTATGGCTTGTGATTCCAAGGAAAAAGTTGTGTAATAACCTTACAAGCAGCTTCAGTTCCTTCCTGGTAAACCTGTGGTCCGTGGAACATGTGTTTTGATCCAGCAGTTCCTCTGCCACCTGGAATCTTGAGATAAGTGTGTGGGTCAGTGTGCATGTGTGCCCATACATGCTTATGAGGAGGTCAGTGTGTGAGGGGAATCAGGAAGTCTCTTTTTTATTTTTAAATGAAATCAAGTAAAACTTAACCTTGGCTTCAAAAATATCTCTCAAATACTGTAAACAATACCTTTGATACTTTTTAGAAAGAGATTATGGCCAGGCGTAGTGGCTCACGTCTGTAATCCCAGAACTTTGGGAGGCCGAGGTGGGCAGACCACCTGAACTCAGGAATTTGAGACCATCCTGGGCAACATGGTGAAACCCATCTCTACTAAATACCAAAAAAAAAAAAAAATTTAGCCAGGCATGGTGGTTCGTGCCTGCAGTCCCAGCTACTCAGGAGGCTGTGGGATGAGAATCGCTTGAGCCCCAGAGGCAGAGGTTGCAGTGAGCCCATATCGCACCACTGCACTCCAGCCTGGGCAACAGAGCAAGACTCTATCTCAAAAAAAGAAAAATAAAGAGATTACTATAATTTTATCATAGATTGCCTGGTTATAGCAAAGACAGAAAATCAGTAAATCAAGATTTAATGAAGTTTTAGAAATATTTAGCTTCAATTATGATTGGTGACCTAAGTTCTCAATCTTGACAATATTAACACTAAGCCTAGGCCTGATTAGATATTGAGATACAAAACCTTTCCAACATCTCAGCCACTTTTAAAGACCATCAAGGAGTCAATTGTTCCAATCCACTGGATAAAGATATAATTTACATTTTACTTATATAATTGAAATATTATTCCAAACAATACTAAGTTTCTTGCTCAAGATAGCACAGTTTGTTAAAGCTAAAAAATACTTATATATGCAAAAAACACTTGTCACATATTATCACTGTCAATGATATAGTGATCTTTAATTAAAGGAGGACATAAATCTAGAATTTAAACAAAATCTTCTAACCAGCATAGTTTCAGTTCATATTTAAAAATCTGTGCCTTTATGCCACAATGATGGCATCAAGTTTTTACTCTTTAAGAAACATAGTGATAATGTCTCAAACTTGACCCTGTTTATTTGATCATGAGTTAGTACACCAAAAATAATGATGGGAAATTAGAAAAAATGGAATCCTGAGAAACACTACATTGAATTATTGTGTGTGCTATTTTACAACATGGCAGCTTAAATAGTTTTAAAAAACTAGTGATGTCTTTGAATATGAATCTACTACTATGTCCCAAGGTAACATCTCAAAGGTTATTTTGTTTAGTTTTAAGAAAATGACTTCTATATTCTTCCCCACTCCTCCTATTCACATCACTGGAGATACAAATACTGCTTATCCAGCCATGATAATCTATAAAACATTTATTTTTTATCTTCCAATTCATCCAGTTTTTCTGAAGCTTATTGATTGGGGTGTAAAGCTGGTGACTAATATCAAAGATATACTGTAAACCATTTTGATTACAAATAGTTAACATCCAGGATAGTATATATGATTGTTACTTAAAATTAAAATTATCTTAGCAAGGATGAAAATCCCTTAGTAAAAAATAAATATGTATTAGTTCAGCTAACCCTATTCAATTAGATCATTAATTAATTTTCCAGTTGATTTTGAATTTAATGTTGGAAACATAAAATATTGGAGTGGAGGGATCTCTTTTTCATCATCCAGCCTGGCATTTGTTTTTCTGGAGAAGATACTGTATATTGGGTTACCAGCGGAAACATCAGTATGACTGGGGTCTCTAGATTCCTAGTCCAGTTTTCTCTCTTCCATACAACAGTGACATATACTTGGTCTTCTTCCATTTTTCTCTTGTTGGTCCAAGCATATTTTTACATGTTTTAAAATGTTTTCTGCCAGGCACATTGCAAGCAACCCGTGCCTTGATGGTGGTTGGCATCCTCCTGGGAGTGATAGCAATCTTTGTGGCCACCGTTGGCATGAAGTGTATGAAGTGCTTGGAAGACGATGAGGTGCAGAAGATGAGGATGGCTGTCATTGGGGGTGCGATATTTCTTCTTGCAGGTAATAGAGGCTGTGCCCCCCTTTCACCTTACTAACCTGTTCCTGGTATGATTTGAAATCTATTACGTTGGATTCATTATACTTGATTTCAGTCTCTAAGGCAAACTGCAAACATAGACCTGAAGTCCAGTTGACTTTCATGTTCTCAAACACAAACTAAATGAAAATGTGAGAGCTCTGCTCACATCTGACAGGTCTATTGGTTGAAGTTTCAAGTGGCAACTGGTTTGTTAGAACCAGTCTCTTCCAGTGAAGAAAGTTGTTCACTATTTAGCAAACGCTAAGGAGGAAGTTCATGTAATTCAGATAATTCCTATGGTGTCTCCACAGATACTATGTGGAAAAGATGGGGAGTAGTGAGAGAAAACACAAGAATATGTGAACCCTTCAGGTCTGTGAGGGATGGAAGGATTGGGATTATTGGAGAAAAATAAGGATAGCATTCCAGCTGGGCAGATCTAATTCGAGAATAAACAGGATGTGCCTGTAGATCAATGAAAAGAAAGGCCAACTGGAGTAGAGGTGGCCTGTTGGAATGGTCAGTTTAAAGCAGTTAGGAAAAAAAAAATACAGAAATACCTTTAAATTTTTTTGATAAAATAATATTATATTTTCCATTTAAAATAAATACGTGTTTTTTAGGCCAGGTGTGGTGGTTCACGCCTGTAATCCCAGCACTTTTGGAGGCTGAGGAGGGCGGATCACCTGAGGTCGTGAGTTCAAGACCAGCCTGGCCAACATGGTGAAACCCCATCTCTACTGAAAACACAAAAATTAGCTGGGTGTGGTGGTGCACGCCTGTAATCCCATATACTCCAGAGGCTGAGGCATGAGAATCACCTCAACTCGGGAGCCGAGATCGCACCACTGCACTCCAGCCTAAGCAACAGAAGACTGTCTAAAAAAAAAAGAAAAAAGAAAAGAAAAGAAATATCTGTTTTTTAATTCAAGTGTTGATTGATAAGTTACATTATGTGTCATTTGAGAAAATCAAAGTCAGAAAACATGGACAGCATTATTTCAAAGCTTTATAATAATGCCTATTTAAAAAATTATAGTGTATGTATACTTACGTGTGTATATGTACATACATATGCAATCTCTCTGTGTGTATATATATATCTTTATATCTATACACTGTGTTATATATGTTGATAATCTCCATATAAATTATACAGCTATAATAATAGACTACTATATGTTCTCTATATTAGGTATTAGATGCATATATTATATATGTAGTATATTATAGTATATTATTTTAAAAAAATAACAGATATAATTAATGATACAAATCTACTAATAGAAAAAAACTAGAATAGACTTTATTTTCTTATTTTCTTTTTGACAGAAGACTTGTAGGGGCTTTTGCTTCAGTATAATATGTCAGTTTAACCAGTAATTGAGGAAGAGTATCTGTGGCTTTGCTAAAGATGTGGTTAGTTTAAAATGACCAGTCTCTCAGTTTACCCAAATACAAATTGACTCCTCTCTGAAAAGGCATGGATAGTGTCTTATTCCCAATAATTTACTCTTATATCAAAGGCTGCGAATAGTAATCTTTGTGGCCATCGTGGCATGAAGTGTATGAAGTGCTTGGAAGACGATGAGGATGAAATGCATTGCATTCTTCCTTCGCTTGCCTTCTTGTAACTCCCACATGTGACTGCATCACTCCTATTCCAGTTTCAGGGACTTCTCTTAGGAGTAAGCATCACAAGTTCAAGACCATTCGCATGGTCTATTTGAGAAGCCAAAAGCAATAGTGTTTTCTGTCATGTCTAGAGGCAATTACATTGGACCATGTTTTTGGCTGGGGAGAGACAGTAGCATAGAAACATCTAATCTATCTATATTGATGAATACTTAGAATTACTACAAAAAAGTTATTTAACTTTTTTGATAAAAAAATGAAGTATTTTATACATCTTATAAATGATTAAGTGAATGATTTTGACTAAATGATTTCTCTGCTATCATTGAATATAAAATGCCATGGGAAATTGAGATTGGGTTGCATAAATTGATCTGATGTGGCACCCTCAACAAATCTCAGGCCAACCTATACCTATATCAGGTATTCCCTTGGCCAATGGGGCAGTAGTAATGCAGGTATTCTGGTCCATTCTGAGACATGTCCTGATCTCACTCTATCTAGCTGCTTGCATTCCTTTTGACTCTGCAGAAATGTAAATTTTGAGTTTGATCAAGAACATAGAAGAGTTTTCATCTTCCCCTTTTGCAAGTAATTCTACCTGTACTAATAATGACAATAGTTTTATCAAATGTAGTTTAGTATCCTAATGTATAACAGCATATTTAAAAGAGATTTTGTACAACATACACCTGCCTAATTGTTTCCAAAAAAGAATTATTTGTGCCAAGATATCATAAAAAAGTATAAATTTTGTCTAATGCCAACCTAGTATTTTTTTATATTTTAATAGATACTTGGAATAAATCATATCTGGACTTCTAATCTCCCTAATACCAAAATAAAAATGTCAACACTATTGATGAGATTTAATTCTTGCAAAATATGTTTTGGTTTAACAGGTTGTGTATTTAGGCTCAGTGTTCCATGGTGATTAACAGTCTTTTGTTTTGAATTTCTATAGGTCTGGCTATTTTAGTTGCCACAGCATGGTATGGCAATAGAATCGTTCAAGAATTCTATGACCCTATGACCCCAGTCAATGCCAGGTAACGCTATTCAGGCGTAAAATAGTTTGTTTTCTGAGAAAATGCCCTTTTTATATTCTACAAAGTCCTGCTAGTGCCATCATTTCCCAGATTTGCTTTCAAGAATTTTATGTCAAACCTACAAACAATTTAAATGATCTCTGACTTATGTCAAAATGAGTTTGATAATTGCTTTAACACCCTGTATTGATGACAAAATACCTTCCAAAGTAGAAAAGTTTCAAGCTCTGTGCTTTTCAACTGTATAACTGGGCTTTCTTTTGTTTGTTTTTTCAAATATTAATAAAGATGTTAATATATTTGAAATTTCCTTTTTGAAGTGTATTCTGATGTTTACAACACCTACCTAAGATTATTTGTAACTAATGCACAGTTTATGATTGATTGAGAAAAATTATACTACTATAGGGGTTAATGAATAATACTTCATTCCCAACAGTTCATTTTTACACGTAAAGCTATTATGTATGTTTTTAGTATGTTCAGATACCACCTTGAAATTTTTTGTTCTTTCACAACTGTAAAATTGGCTTTACAAAGGTCATCTTTCTTAATACTGCAGGTTGTGCAAGTTGAGCTGATTCTTAGCTCTCGTGTAACAACATTCTTTAATCAGAGACGAGGCTCTTCATCTCACTGTCTTCACATCTTTAATGCCTAATAACTACATTCAGTCAGGATGTTAAAATATAATTATTGTTTGTTGAGTGCTTAGATGAATGGATGAAAAACCTCAGTGTTTGGAGAGATAAGATGTGTTTCTTTTTATATAATCACCCACATATGGGAGAACACATACTGCAATGGTTGTGTTGGAGCCCATCCCATAAGATTTACAGTGTAAGAATAGAAACTGCTAGAGGTCAGTAGGCTAAAATTTCGCCAAGGTAATAACACCAGTAATGCACAGGAAAGCACTTTATAAATTGCCAGCCATTTTGCAATTGTTATTTACATTATTGCATGTGATCCTAAAAGCAGTCTATTGAGGCAGGTGGGATTATCCTGCTTTGAGAGTAGGAGAAACTGAGGCTGAGAGGTGAAGTTGCTATCCCAGAATTGCAGCAGTTGAGAGTCTGCATCAGGATTTAGACTTGGCCTTATAACTTATAGAACCAACCCTTCTCTACTCTTCCGTATTGTCCATAATCACTCACAGATACCCCACCCTAAGTGTCTGCTTTAATACATCTGCCTGGATCAGCTTAATCCAGAATGGTTCATGGGCTGCTTAGAACTTTTCTTTACAAAACCATAAGATTTGGATTTCAGATTGTATAGGTGCCTGGGACCAATGGATCATCTGTTCAAAGCTCTGATTATCTCCATTATGCTCTATCAGTTTCTTTATAGAATATGATTACTACTTAGTGATAAAGCTTCCTTTGCTAAGTTTCAGCCTAGGAACCATGATCCAAACCCTACTTCTAAAACATATAAACATGCTTTACAAGTATCCTATATATGGAAAAGTCCTTGGAATTATTTGTGTAATTAACCTGGTATTACATGTGTTATTTCCTGATCTACTATTGCAAATTGTCACCAATTGCAATATAAACATTCTTTGGCGTGTATGTTCAGAAATCTTAAAGTACTTCCCAAGGGATATTCAGGGGTTATTTTCAATGAAAAAAATACAATGAGTATTGATTTTTTTTCCTTTTATTATATTAGAAAAGTTGCCAATAATTCACTGATTAACAAGCACATGGGTTTTTCCTTTTAGGTACGAATTTGGTCAGGCTCTCTTCACTGGCTGGGCTGCTGCTTCTCTCTGCCTTCTGGGAGGTGCCCTACTTTGCTGTTCCTGTCCCCGAAAAACAACCTCTTACCCAACACCAAGGCCCTATCCAAAACCTGCACCTTCCAGCGGGAAAGACTACGTGTGACACAGAGGCAAAAGGAGAAAATCATGTTGAAACAAACCGAAAATGGACATTGAGATACTATCATTAACATTAGGACCTTAGAATTTTGGGTATTGTAATCTGAAGTATGGTATTACAAAACAAACAAACAAACAAAAAACCCATGTGTTAAAATACTCAGTGCTAAACATGGCTTAATCTTATTTTATCTTCTTTCCTCAATATAGGAGGGAAGATTTTTCCATTTGTATTACTGCTTCCCATTGAGTAATCATACTCAACTGGGGGAAGGGGTGCTCCTTAAATATATATAGATATGTATATATACATGTTTTTCTATTAAAAATAGACAGTAAAATACTATTCTCATTATGTTGATACTAGCATACTTAAAATATCTCTAAAATAGGTAAATGTATTTAATTCCATATTGATGAAGATGTTTATTGGTATATTTTCTTTTTCGTCTATATATACATATGTAACAGTCAAATATCATTTACTCTTCTTCATTAGCTTTGGGTGCCTTTGCCACAAGACCTAGCCTAATTTACCAAGGATGAATTCTTTCAATTCTTCATGCGTGCCCTTTTCATATACTTATTTTATTTTTTACCATAATCTTATAGCACTTGCATCGTTATTAAGCCCTTATTTGTTTTGTGTTTCATTGGTCTCTATCTCCTGAATCTAACACATTTCATAGCCTACATTTTAGTTTCTAAAGCCAAGAAGAATTTATTACAAATCAGAACTTTGGAGGCAAATCTTTCTGCATGACCAAAGTGATAAATTCCTGTTGACCTTCCCACACAATCCCTGTACTCTGACCCATAGCACTCTTGTTTGCTTTGAAAATATTTGTCCAATTGAGTAGCTGCATGCTGTTCCCCCAGGTGTTGTAACACAACTTTATTGATTGAATTTTTAAGCTACTTATTCATAGTTTTATATCCCCCTAAACTACCTTTTTGTTCCCCATTCCTTAATTGTATTGTTTTCCCAAGTGTAATTATCATGCGTTTTATATCTTCCTAATAAGGTGTGGTCTGTTTGTCTGAACAAAGTGCTAGACTTTCTGGAGTGATAATCTGGTGACAAATATTCTCTCTGTAGCTGTAAGCAAGTCACTTAATCTTTCTACCTCTTTTTTCTATCTGCCAAATTGAGATAATGATACTTAACCAGTTAGAAGAGGTAGTGTGAATATTAATTAGTTTATATTACTCTCATTCTTTGAACATGAACTATGCCTATGTAGTGTCTTTATTTGCTCAGCTGGCTGAGACACTGAAGAAGTCACTGAACAAAACCTACACACGTACCTTCATGTGATTCACTGCCTTCCTCTCTCTACCAGTCTATTTCCACTGAACAAAACCTACACACATACCTTCATGTGGTTCAGTGCCTTCCTCTCTCTACCAGTCTATTTCCACTGAACAAAACCTACGCACATACCTTCATGTGGCTCAGTGCCTTCCTCTCTCTACCAGTCTATTTCCATTCTTTCAGCTGTGTCTGACATGTTTGTGCTCTGTTCCATTTTAACAACTGCTCTTACTTTTCCAGTCTGTACAGAATGCTATTTCACTTGAGCAAGATGATGTAATGGAAAGGGTGTTGGCATTGGTGTCTGGAGACCTGGATTTGAGTCTTGGTGCTATCAATCACCGTCTGTGTTTGAGCAAGGCATTTGGCTGCTGTAAGCTTATTGCTTCATCTGTAAGCGGTGGTTTGTAATTCCTGATCTTCCCACCTCACAGTGATGTTGTGGGGATCCAGTGAGATAGAATACATGTAAGTGTGGTTTTGTAATTTAAAAAGTGCTATACTAAGGGAAAGAATTGAGGAATTAACTGCATACGTTTTGGTGTTGCTTTTCAAATGTTTGAAAACAAAAAAAATGTTAAGAAATGGGTTTCTTGCCTTAACCAGTCTCTCAAGTGATGAGACAGTGAAGTAAAATTGAGTGCACTAAACAAATAAGATTCTGAGGAAGTCTTATCTTCTGCAGTGAGTATGGCCCGATGCTTTCTGTGGCTAAACAGATGTAATGGGAAGAAATAAAAGCCTACGTGTTGGTAAATCCAACAGCAAGGGAGATTTTTGAATCATAATAACTCATAAGGTGCTATCTGTTCAGTGATGCCCTCAGAGCTCTTGCTGTTAGCTGGCAGCTGACGCTGCTAGGATAGTTAGTTTGGAAATGGTACTTCATAATAAACTACACAAGGAAAGTCAGCCACTGTGTCTTATGAGGAATTGGACCTAATAAATTTTAGTGTGCCTTCCAAACCTGAGAATATATGCTTTTGGAAGTTAAAATTTAAATGGCTTTTGCCACATACATAGATCTTCATGATGTGTGAGTGTAATTCCATGTGGATATCAGTTACCAAACATTACAAAAAAATTTTATGGCCCAAAATGACCAACGAAATTGTTACAATAGAATTTATCCAATTTTGATCTTTTTATATTCTTCTACCACACCTGGAAACAGACCAATAGACATTTTGGGGTTTTATAATAGGAATTTGTATAAAGCATTACTCTTTTTCAATAAATTGTTTTTTAATTTAAAAAAAGGATTATTGGCTTGTTTTCTAATCATTTATTGCAAGATTGCCATTCTTGGTAGAGGAGGTGGCTTGGGACAGGATCTGACTCACCATGATCCTGGGAAAGAACTATGATGCCTCTGGCCCATCTATCAAATTTGAGTGGCTCCACCCACTAGAATGCCCTATTTCTCTCAAATTGAGTTCCTCATCAAGGGTGGTAATAGAAGAGGATGCCAGGAGATGTTACTTAATACTTTTTCTCATCTATAAAAAGGGGACATACAATAATAAATGATAAGATATGAAGATATTTTGTGAACTATAAAGCACTGTGCAAACTTAAGTGGCTTTGTTCCTCACAAAGGTGGAAGAGTGAAAGACAGCTGCTGGAAACCCATTATTGTTTCTGTAATGATGATGATCAAAACTACTCCATAAGGATGTGATGGAACTCATTCACTCATTATCTTAAAGTATCAATAACTGACACAACCTTAAGTGTGGCCTGTTCCTGGACAATGTTCATATTGAGACCAGGCTTATAAGTAAAGGCTTGCAGCTCTAATGTGGAGTCTCAGACATTAGCATGATGGGTGAGGTGCAAAGATCATTGCCAGTCAATTTGACTTGAATTCTCCTTAAATTAAGCAGATGCATCAGAATTCTCACTCTGTTTCTACAGAATTTAAATATCTGAAGGTAAGGCCAAGGCCAGCAGAAGTTTGAAAGGCAATAAAGTATCTTGGTGCTCCTGAAAATAACTAAAGGAAAACTTGGATTGTGAATCATACCAAGTAGATATCACCTCTGTGTGAGCTCATCCTTATCTGAATGCCATTGTTCTTCAAACCTTTCCTCCTCTTGTTTAACACTTTCTATATTTGCCCAGATCAAGAGAAAACTTCACTTTGTCCCCATATTCCCACCTTTTTCAGCCTGTCATTATTCCTAGTATGATCTGGTTGTGTATATTTCCTTCATTTTACATGTGGCTCACGTGTAATGTCTCTGAATTTCCTTCTTTCCTCATTTCCCAAAAACCCCATTTACCCCCAGCCTGCCCTAAAATCTCTTCATTTAGCTGGTATCATGCAACTTTGATAGAAGTCATTGCAGCTTCTAGGGTTATGTGGGGATGGCTTGTTGAGTCCTAAAAATAGGCAATCAGAGAGTTTCTCAATGCTGAACCTCTGGAAACTCTGGAAATCCCTTGGCAGTTGGCACACTCCACTTCTATTGATAAGTTTTCCAATATGGTCATTATCAGCAATTGAAAACTAGATATGAATTTATTTAATTAATATTTACGGGACACCTATCACAGGGCCAGCCTCATTAAATGCAGGCAGGGTAAAGTAGCTATGAGATGAGTAAGACCTTGTCCTGGGCTGAAGCAGTACAAAGGATGTTAGGTGGAAAGAGAAGTAAACTTGAAACATAGCACTCGTTCTGCCACTGATGAGCCAGGTGAGCCACGGAGATCTCCACCCAGTTTCTTCATTCATAAAATGAAGGCCTTAGACCCATGCAGTGGCTCTTAGCCATAACAGCATGTTAGAATCACCTGGGAGCTTTTGAAACTTCCCAATTCTAAGGCCTCACCCAAATCAAAGGAATCAGAACCTCTGAGAGGAGAGTCCTAGCAGGAGCTTCCCAGAGGATTTCAACATACTGTGTGGATTGCAAACCACAGGCCTATGTCATCTCTCAGGACCAACCTTGTCCCAAACATTTTCTGAGTAACACCCATCCAGGCACTTAATAGATTTGCTGTCAGTTCACCCTTTCCCTAATGTTGTTGCTTTATTTTCTGGTTCAGGATTGGGGCTTTTTTTTGTGTTTTGTGGGGAAAAGGAGGAGTTAAAAGCAGGTGGTCCTTCAGATGCTTTTGTCATGTTTCTTTGGCAAATGATCTTCTTTCTTGCCTTTCTCTATTATTTTTAATTTACCTCCAAAGAATAGTCAATAATACAAAGTAAATACTGTTTAAAAGAACAGGTTTCTTTTTATCAAACCATGTGAGTTCAGGAGGGTAAGTTGTTATTTATAAAGTGGAGTCTGAGTTATTCTCTTTAATGTGCAATTTTCAGGAGAGTCCTTAGCTAAACCTTAAGCTTGCTTCATTTATTTTTAATTGAATAGCATTTCTGTGATTTTAGTTCACTTATTTCATTATTTTTGTAATTTATTGCTTTGTTCCCCTTTTCCAAAATAGAAAAAAAAGTGAACACACACCCAAACCCCCCCACACACCAATTTAGGAAAGATAAAGTTTGAAAACTGTGCTCAGATCTCTTAACTGAGCTGACCTGGGATAGAACACATTGCTATGCTGAAGAGGCTTTTACTTCTTTTTGGAAATCATTTTTGTCAATTAAGTTTCCTGTTTCTATTAATGCTGTGCTTTTTCTAAGTGTCTATTGCTGCTGCTTGACTCTATTTAAAAAATCCAACAGCCTATAGGTGATCTGGGTCAAGCAGACATCTAGATCAAGGGTGAGGAATAGCAGAGAATACTTGCTGGAAGATGAGAGTGAAATACAGCAAAGATATATAAGCTTCAATGCAGCAAGGGCAGTGGTTTTAAAATTATTTTTTGTGATAATTTTTTACCACAATATGTATTTATTTGATAATAAAATTAAAACTTATTAATGAAGAAAGTAGAAAAATACAGAAAAGTGGAAATAAATATTTTAAATATTATAATAGTCATATTACCCAAAGGTAGAACTTTCAAATAATTTGATGTGATTTCTCTAGCCCTTTTTCCTTTCCCAGAGATAGGCTTTGGGGTTTATTCTTATTTTTTATTTTTTTACAGAGCATCATGTAAAAATAATTTTGACTTGTGCTTTATTTTCCATTTCAGTATATGGTAATATACTCTTACCAGACATACTTTCTAAACATAGATTGATTGTTTGATTCATATATATATATATATATATTTTTTTTTGAGACAGGGTTTCACTCCTGTTGCTCAGGCTGGATTCCAGTGACATGATCTCATTTCACTGCAACCTCCACCTCCCAGACTCAAGCAATTCTCCTGCCTAAGCCTCTCAAGTAGCTGTGATTACCCACACATGCCACCACGCCCAGCTAATTTTTGTATTTTTTTCTAGAGATGAGGTTTCTCCATATTGCCTAGGCTGGTCTCAAACTCTTGAGCTCAAGTGTTCCACCCACCTCAGCCTCCCAAACTGCAGGATTATGGGCGTGAGCCACCACACTGGCCTCACATAATATTTTTAAGAATCTAACATTCGCAGTATATTTTCTGCAATAATGGAAATGGTGCCCCTGGAGTTGTGCAACCCAGCAGCCATGAATAAAATAGACAAAAATTCCTTTCTTCCAGGAAGTTACATTCTAGGTAAGGAATGCAGATAATAAAATGGATATACTAATTATATAGCTTATTAAACAGTGATAATCCTAAACTAAATAGCCAAGAACTATTGAGAAGGTTGGAGGAAGGTAACAGTTTATAATAATGTGGCAATGGAAGTCTTCAATGAGAAGGTGAAGTTTAAGAAATAATTTAAAAGAGATGAAACAAATCAAGTGGTACCTGGTAGGAAAGTATTCCGGAAATAACATATGCAAGTTCCCCAAGGTAGAATCACGTACAACATGTTCAGAAAAGAGCAAAGGGGCCAACGCAGCTGCAATGAAGTAAGCTAGGAAGATAGTATTTTAAAATGAAGGCATAAAGGGAAAGAGATTTAAAATATATAGGATATGACAGACCATTCTAAAGACTTCCTCTTTTACTTTGAATGAAAGCAAAAGATAATAAGTCTTGATCAAAGGAAACATAGATCTAAATTGAGACGTAGTAAGAGTATTCTTCCTGTTGTGTTGAAAAATAGACCGTAAGTAGATAAGGAGGGAAGCAATGAGTTCATATAGAAGGTTATTACAATAATCCAGGCAAGAGACGGCTTGATGATTGCAGTCTGTCATAGGAGGAAGTGGTTAGAATCTGGATATTATTTACTTTAAAGTAGAGTCAACTGCTTTTGCTGATTGACTAGATGTGAGGTATGAAAGCAAAAGACTTGTCAAAAATGATTCCAAAGCTTTTTGCCTAAGAAATTCATAGGATGGAGCAGACATAAACCAAAAGTGGAAAGACTGAGAGAGAGCAGGTTTGAAAAAAAGTCAGAAATTTCATTTTGGACATGATGATAATTTCTCCTTCCCCTTCTTCTTCTTCTTCTTTTTTTTTGAGACAGAGTCTCATTCTGTCGCCCAGGCTGGAATGCAGTGTGCGATCTTGGCTCACTGCAACCTCCACCTCCCGGGTTCAAGAGATTCTCCCACCTCAGCCTCTGGAGTAGCTGGGACTACAGGCACAAGCCACCACACCCGGCTAATTTTTGTATTTTTGGCAGAGACTGGGATTCACCATGTTGGCCAGGCTGGTCTCGAACTCCTGACCTCAGGTAATTCATCCACCTCAGTCTCCCAAAGTGCTGGGATTACAGGCATGAGTCACCGCACCCAACCTGGACATAGTCGTCTTAACATGCCTATTGCGCATCCAAGTAGAGATGTCCAGTAAGCAGTAGAAAAACGGGCATATGAAGAACTAGAATGGAGAAAAGGATTTCAAGAAAAGAGAGTAATGAAACTTCAGTTTCACAGGATTGAGTCAAGTTGAAAATATGCCCCAGTCTTTGGATATTTGGATTGATTGTTACATATCACTAGGCTAGCTGGTTAATAATGGCAGAAACCAAATTTATTTTTCTCATTACCGGATCCATCTTTTATTCTCTCTCAAATTTTTCATTCTTTTTTTCACTGTGAGAGTATCATCAAAGAAATCTGGTGTGTTAGGGTCACAGACCAGCCCTGGATTCTGACCCTGAATCTGCCCTTTTAATAATTGCATCTTTATAATTTAATGTGATAGAAACCAAACGTGTCAGTTTAAGTGTTCTGGGAAGGAGGATGCCAAGACAGAGTTAGACTTGCAAAAGCATGATGGCTAATGCCTGTGGAGAAAAAAAATAGGAAAAGGCAGCAGGAGTAGATAGCAAAAGTCTTTGCCAGGGATCGGAGGGATCAGCAAACTTTTTTCTGTAAATGACCAGAGAGCAAATATTTCAGACTTTGTGGGTCACATAAATTGTCTATCATATATTCCTAATATTCAGTCGCTTGTATCGTTCTTCGAAATATGTAAATCATTCTTAGTTTGTCGGCCATACAAAAAACAGGCTGTGGACCAGCTTTAGCCTACGGGCTATAGTTAACAAATACAGCCTGGTCTGACACCTGTGAATGGATAATAGGAAAGCAGGAGAATTGTGTCAGAAAAACTTCAGGCTGTTGAGTGTTCTTATAAAGCCTTGTGGCCAGCCCATGGGGAGTTCTTGTTTAAAGGATGTCCATAAAGTAGTCCTGCATTGGGCAGCAATGATCACTTCCTAATGCCCCCTCTGTATTTACTCATTATCTGTGAGCTGTTAAAAGTGTGGCTTTAACTAGAAAGTTGCAGCAGCTGCCAACAGCACTGCAGCGAAAAGCTGTCAGCAAACTGCCCGCCCCCACGACCCCTCAACTCCCACTCCGTGGAAGATTCTTACTTGAAGAGCAGCATACCTCCTGAATGTCACATGAAAGTACAGAGAATTAGCCAATAGAGCTTTGGTTTTCTCACATTCCAAGTTGTCCCAAGGTAGGTAGTAGACAGATGCCTTGATGAATTTGTAAAATCATTGCTCAGTCATCTTCTCTCCTTGTCATTCTTAGTGTATGGCTTCCGTTCTCATGGTTATTTTGGTTCCAGGAAGGTTACTCTACCCTCACTCTTACCACCTTATGCAAGTCAAGAAGATGAAGACGCAAAAGAAGGATAAGGCAAAAAGGAGAAATGAGTGGTACCTATATATCAGAAAATCAAAACTTTTTCATAAATCCTCAGTGGGTGGAAAACTGAATAGTGGGATAGAATAGAGAGTACAAATAGACCTAAGCATGTATGGAATTGTGATATAAGACATGATAGTATTACAGATCAACAGAGAAATGAGGGATGCTTCAATACATGCTGTGGGGCAAGTGGATATTTACAGGGGAAACAAACAAACAAACATGGTCTCTAACCCATACCATACACAAAAATTACTTTTACATAGGTTAAAGACTTAAATATAAAAAAAATTCAGAAAAAATACAGAAGAATAAATTTCTTACCATAAATTAAAGAATTTTTCTAATTAAATAAGACACAAAAACAAAACCTTAAAAAATAGTTACATACAACTATGTTAAAGTAAAGGACTCTGTTCATCAAATACATAATAGAAACATCAGAAGGGGCAATCCAAAATTAGGAAGAATAACCACCACATAGTATATAATAAACAAAGACTTAATATTGAGAACACTTTTAAAAACCAATAGATCAATTATAACAAATACAATCAAATGGAAAAAAAAGCTAAATTCATGCAAAGGCATTTTGCAAAAGATAAATGATATAAGCTTATTAAAATGTGAAAATATGCTCAATCTTATTAATAACTTTAATAATAAAACCTTAATAAAATTAATGAAAAATGTAATTTTAAACCAGACTCATGTCCACAAGATTGACAAAATATAAGATGTCTGATATGCATCCAAGTGTTGTAGCATATGTGGATTAATGATGGTCACCAATTGATCTAATAAATTTTGAAAGGAATACTAACATTATACTGTAAATTTAAACATCCAACTTCATATTAAAATGCATTAATAAGCATATATTTTTGAGAAACTCTTATATGTATATCAGGGTACATGTATAAGAATGACAATTATAGCTACAGTAAGAAAACTGGAAACCTTTAAAATTTTCACTGGTTTAATGATAAATAATTTGTGGTGTGTTTACACATTGAAACATTTTATAGCAGTAAAAATGAAAAAAATAAATAGATGCAGTTATATGTAAAATGAATATTTTCTTAGAAACAATTTTGAGTGAAAAAAGCAACTCCCAGGCTCACACCTGTAATCCCAGCACTTTGGGAGGCCAAGGCGCGCGGATCACCTGAGGTCGGGAGAAACATGGAGAAACCCTGTTTCTACTAAAAATACAAAATTAGCTGGGCGTGGTGGCACATGCCTGTAATTCCAGCTACTTGGGAGGCTGAGGAATGAGAATCACTTGAACCCAGGAGGCGGAGGTTGCCGTGAGCAGAGATCACGCCATTGCACTCCAGCCTGGGCAACAAGAGCAAAACTCCGTCTCAAATACAAAAAAAAAAAAGCAACTCCCAGAAGGACACATTGCACGTAATATCATTTTTAACTCGTAGCTAGCAAAACTAAATAATACATTGTTAAGGTGTGTGTGTGTGTGTGTGTGTGTGTGTATAATATACATGTGAGATCAAACTATTGTAAAGAAAAGGCATGGACATGAATAACAAAATTTAGTATAATGTTTCCTTTGAAAGAAGCAGTAGGATGGTAAAGAAGTTACAAGTATATGGTTATTGTTGGTAACGTTCTAGTCCTTGGGTTAGGTAGTGGGTTCATAGGTATTCATTATATAACTATTATGCTTTAAGACTTACATATATTACATAACTATTCTTTTTTGTTTATATCAGATAGTATATGGAAAAGACAATAAAGAAATATGTTTTAAAACAAATAAATTCCTCTATTTTTATGTCTCATTGGATAGAATGGTTGTCCATGGTCATATTCAGCAGCAACTGAATTAGGGCGTTTAGTTTCATGGATGGCCACGTTGCTGTCCATCAAAACCAGCTTTTGCCTACTTCATTAGCTATGTAGCCTTGACAAACTTATCTTTCAGTCTCAGTCATGATACGTGTCCAACTTAACTCACAGAGTTTCAGTGGAAGTCAAATGACATATGTGAATGTCCTTTGTAAATGAGAAATACTGGATAAATGTAAAGGTTTTTTTTTTTTCAGGTATGTATATATGTGTGAGTGTATATGTGTGTATATATATATATCTGAAAAATAAATATATGTAATATATATTTTATATATTTATATATTAATATCTACATAATATCTATGTATAGATATATAATATAGATATATATTATATATTATATATTATATTATAGATATTATAGATATATATTATATAGATATATATTATATATTATATACTATATATTATATATCTATATTATTATCTATATATCTATAATATATATATACATATCTATATATAGATATAAATATAGATATATAATATATAGATAATATAACAATTAATATGATACATATATTTACATATGTATGTAAATTATATATATATATGTAAAATGAAAGCCTATATCTTCAATTTCAAGCACACATTTGGGTAGAGTCCTTTCCCCGTTTTCAAATATCATCCTGCCTCGTGTCTGTCTGTCAGAATAATATATGGACTCAGCATTGAGAATTCCATATTACAGAATTAAGGACATTTTCTGTTGATGTGACTTTTTATCTAAAAAGAATAAACTGAAAAATGAGTCTAAATGCAGCCACTTTGCTATTTTAGTTCTTCATAAGACTGGAAGCAAAGCAATTTTACTGAAATGTTATCAGTGAAACTACTCACTCTACAATGAAACATTTGTGTTTACTTTTGTGTTTAGTTATTTTGTGTTTAATATGTGTCAAATCTTTATCCAAACAGAAATGGTATAAAGAGATGAGTAAGACAGTCTGTGGCTCAGGGCTACTTTGTTGTAAAAACCCAGTGACACCATTCTGACTGTGGTCCTACTGTTTATTCTCTATCTAGCAGCAAGATCTTTGGAAGACATGTTAGGTAATTATCTTATCACTCTACTGTTCACAATCCTCCAAGATTTCCACATCACTTAAAATTAAATCTGGGCCGGGCGCGGTGGCTCACGCCTGTAATCCCAGCACTTTGGGAGGCCAAGACGGGCGGATCACGAGGTCAGGAGATCGAGACCATCCTGGCTAACACGGTGAAACCCCCACCTCTACTAAAAATACAAAAAATTAGCCGGGCGTGGTGGCAGTCGCCTGTAGTTCCAGCTACTCGGGAGGCTGAGGCAGGAGAATGGCGTGAACCCGGGAGGCAGAGCCTGCAGTGAGCCGAGATGGCACCACTGCACTCCAGCCTGGGCGACAGAGCGAGGCTCCGTCTCAAAAAAAAAAAAAAAAAAATTAAATCTGACATTAGCTACTTTCCCATCCTCATACGTTATTACTCTCCTCCTAGACCATCTTGACCTGGCCATACTAGTCTCCTTGCTATTTCTGAGATGTAACAAGTGCACATCTTAAACTTACTGCTTTTTTCGCAGCATCAGTTTTCTCCCAGAAGAATTTTCTTACCAGAAAAGACCTCTCTGACCACCCTTTATAAAGTAGCCACCTATGACACTCTATTCTCTTTCCCTGCTTTATTTTTCTTTGTAACATGACAAGAATGACAGAATATTATATTTTTATTCATGCATTACTGTATTGCCTGACTGTTTCATGAGAATGAATGCTTTATAAAAGCAGCTATTTTATATGTTTATGTATATTATGCTCGTCATTGTATCACAAATGTTTAGAACAGTGCCTATCACATAGTAAAGCTCAAATAGTAACTAGCAAATAAATTAATAAACTAATGTATAATGATTAAGGTAGAGTATATGACTCAAGTCAGATCAATGAGGCTCCATTTCAGAGCTTTTATTATAATTATCAGGGAAGAAAACTCTTCATTTAGAAGATGAAATAAAAAACCCTAGAGCCAATAAAAAATCAAATGAACATAACTATGAAAAGAGCAGAACTGAGGCTGGAGAAGAAAAATGCCTGATTACATAAATCAAGCCTCTTGATCCAGCCCCACGTAGAGTGAGTTATAAGCCTAGAATTTTCAGTTTTATGAACATATACATTTAATATTTTCTTAATGTATTTTGATGTGTATTTCTACATTTAGTTCAGACAGAGTCCTGACTAACATATTCACTGATCTCCTTTTATACAAATTGTTAGATTGAGGCCTGTAAAAAAGAAGAGTTTTGCCCAAACTCATAAAAACAACGGAGCTAAGATGTAAACATGGATCTTCTGAGTTCAAGTACTGATCTTTTTCTTCTGTACAAGCAGCTTCCAATGCTCTGTGATCTCAGGTTGTACATTTACAAAACAGCCTAGTATTCCAGCCAGGAATCCTAGGAAATTAAGTAGGTTGGTATTAAGTTTCCTATGCTGTTTAATCGTTTTAAGTCTAAACTGCCACCTCACTGTGAGGGAGTCCAACTCCGAAAAAAGAAAAGAAATCCCACAAAGAAAAGGTTAGGATTAATCCTTTCTGTCCAACCTAAGCCATAGGTTTGTTAAGGAAAGAAAATTTGCTTTTATAAAGATTCTCTTTTCCTCTAAGACGGGTACCATTCATGCTTTTTTTCTCTGAGTTTATTGCAGGTCATAGATATTTTAAATCACTGCATCATGATGAATGTAATCAGTTATTGTTTCTGTGTATCATTGTGTACCTGACAACCACACAATCTCATCTTAAGACTGTCAGAGAAATGAGAAAGTATCTTGCTTGGTACCTGGCACTTAGTAGGCATCTGATAACTTATATTCATTAAATATGAATATGAGCGTGTCTTGCCTATAATACTGTAAAAATTTATAGGGAAATTGTCTTAATTTTTATAATTTCGAGCCCTGAGATAATGCCTCTATTGAATTCCCATGTTTTCAGTTTATTATCTGTTAGAACATGATTAAAATAAAGCTAGAAAAGACTAACAGTCTCCACATTATATTTTGAGTTTACTGGAGAAGACAACAATAAAATGTGGTGATAACTTCATGATTTAATCCTCATATTTATTACTTTCTTACTGAGTTTGCAAGACATTTTCAAAAGCACTTTTTAATCCAGTTTTTATAAGTCATGTGGTTTATAGTTTAAATTACACTATTTAATATAGTAAGAACATTGTAAATTGTCAGAATCAATAATATGGTTCTACAGAAAAGATTAGGGTAAAAAATGTTCTTCAGAAGAAATTGTTTTTAAATTAAAATATAAAAGCTTTGTTTATTGAATATATTAATAATTTGTGTAAAATGATAATTTCAAACTTTTAAAGAAAGTTTATTTTGTTAATTGTTTAAACAGGACATGTTTTGAAACTTGTTTTTATTATTACTGGCTTTTAAAACTCTCCTTATTTAAAAAAAGTAAGTAAAAGCGTGCACAATCCAGAAAATTTAAAAATTAAATTAATTTACATTCAATATTAAAATTTTAGACAATGCTTATTTACTTTGACTATTAATACATTGTCTTTCAATGCCAATCAGCCTCTCATTCAACCAAAAGTATGAATTAAGTGCCCACAGCTATCAACTACATGTGGTGTGCTCTGAACACTTATTTAATACTAGCAGCTTAAATTGTTCCATTTTTTTAGTTGAACTAAGTGTCTACTTTGATAAAGTCATGAGGTCAGAACTTAGATGTGTAAACATTATGAGACATGGTTGAGATTTGAAGTAGTTTAGAAGGAAGCATTTTAAGTTAAATACAAGCACAAAACTCTGCCCTAGCTGAAAAATCCCCCAGATTAGGGTAAATCCCAACAGAAAGCAATTCTCAGGACAATAGACAGCCTCTGGTTTCTCCTTCCTGACATTCTGTCAAGACTTTTCAACCAAAACTCATCTAAAACTGTCACAAACTTAAAACTCCAGAATCATTTGTTTATTGAACTCCACACTTGTTATACAGTACTTGCTCAGTATTTCCACTAAAATGTCTAATAGGAATCTCAAACAAAACATGAACGAAACCAAATTATTGATCCCATTTCTCTCCCTCTGTCCTCCCTCTTTTAGACCCTTTGTCCCCTACCAACAGCAAACAAAACAAAAACCTGAGATTCTAATCTTCTCGGTTTAACTGTTTCTCTGTTTCTTTAGCCAGTGAGCCAAGGTCTTGACAATACTGTTGAATACATTCTTTGTCTCATACGCTATGTCCAATCCATTATTAAATCCTGTTAGCTATAGTTTACAGTTTACCCCAAATCTGATCCCTGCTCACTTCTCAATTGGATATTAGTCCAAACCCCACAGTCCCTCATTTGAACTATTGATATTTTATTGGACCTTTTCATTGGTCACTGGACTTTAATCCTTGTCCACTCATGGTCTAATTTCCAGAGAGCAGCATGATTATCTTACAACTCAATTCATAATTGTGTTTCCCTTCTGCTCAAAACCATCTAAGGCTTTTACACTTAGAATAAAACTCAAATTCTACACCTTGGAATATGATCTACAAGGTCCTATATATTACATGGCCTGATATGGATTGGCTTTGTGTTCCCACCCAAATATCATTTCAAATAGTAATCACCAGGTGTTGAGGGAGGGACGTGGTGGGAGATGATAGGATCATGGGGGTGGTTCCCCCATACTGTTCTTGTGATAGTGAGTGTTCTCATGAGATCCAATAGTTTTATAAGGTGCTCTTACCCCTTCACTTCCTTCACACATTCTCTTGCCTGCTGCCATGTAAGACATGCCTGTTTCCCCTTCCACCATGATTATACGTTTTCTGAGGCCTCCCCAGCCATGTGGAACTGTGAGTCCAATAAACATCTTTTCTTTAAAATTCGTAGTTCTTTATAGCAGTGTTAAAATAGACTAATACAGTAAATTGGTACTGAGGCAATGAGGTACTGCTATAAAGATGCAGAAAATGTGGAAGCAACTTTGGAACTGGGTAACAGGCAGAGGTTGGAACAGTTTGGAGGCCTCAGAAGAAAACAGGAAGATGTGGGAAAGTTTGGAACTTCCTAGAGACTTGTTGAATGGTTTTGACCAAAATGCTGATAGTGATGTGGACAATGAAGTCCAAGCTGAGGTGGTCTCAGATGGAGATGAGGAACTTACTGGGAACTGGAATGAAGATCACTTTTGCTATGCTTTAGCAAAGAGACTGGTGGCATTTTGCCTCTTCCCTAGAGATATGTGGAACTTTAAACTTGAGAGAGATGATCTGAAATTGGAAGTTATGTTTAAAAGGGAAGCAGAGCATAAAAGTTTGGAAAATTTGCAGCCTGATGATGCAATAGAAAAAGAAAAACCCATTTCTGGGGAGAAATTCAAGCCAGCTGCAGAAATTTGCATAAGTAATAAGGAGCCAAACATTAATAGCCAAGACAATGGGGAAAATATCTCCAGGGCATGTCAGAGATCTTTGAGGCAGCCCTTTCCATCATAGGCCCAGAGACCTAGGAGGAAAAACTGGTTTCATGGGCTGGGCTCAGGGCCATACTGCTGTATACAGCCTTGAAACTTGATGCCATGCATTCCAGCTGTGGCTAAAAGGGGCCAAGGTACAGCTTGGGCCATCGTTTCAGAAGGTGTAAGTCCCAAGCCTTGGTGACTTTCACGTGCTGTTGTGCCTGTGAGTCCACAGAAGTCAAGAATTGAGGTTTGGGAACCTCCACCTGAATTTCAGAGGATGTATGAAAATGCCTGGATGTCCAGGCATAAGTCTGCTGCAGGAGCAGAGCCCTCATGGAGAACCTCTGCTACGGTGGTGCAGAAGGGAAATAAATGTGGGGTTGGAGGCCCCACACAGAGTCTTCACTGGGTCACTGCCTAATGGAGCTATGAGAAGAGGTCCACAAACCTTCAGACCCCAGAATGTTGGATCCACCAACAGCTTGCAATGTGCACCTGGAAAAGCCACAGGCCACTCAATACCAGCCCATGAAGGAGTTTCCCAAGGCTGTGGGGGCCCGCCCCCTTAATCAGTGTGCCCTGGACGTGAGACATGGAGTCAAGGGGATTATTTTGAAGCTTTAAGATTTAATAACTGCCCTATTGGATTTTGGACTTGCATGGGGCCTGTAGCACCTTTGTTTTGGCCAATTTCTTCCATTTCAAATGAGTGTATTTACCCAGTGCCTGTATCCCCATTGTATCTTGGAAGGAACTAACTTTATTATTATTATTATTATTATTTTACAGGCTCCTAGGTGGAAGGGACTTGACTTGTCTCAGATAATTAGTTTTGAAATGTGAAAGATGTAATATTTAAGAGGGACCAGGGGCAAAATAATATGGTTTTGCTTTGTGTTTCTACCCAAATACATCTCAAATTTTAATCCCTGTGTGTTGAGGGAGGGACCTGATGGGAGGTGACTGGATCATGGAGGTGGTTTCCCCCATGCTGTCCTCATGATAGTGAGTGAGTTCTCATGAGATCTGATGGTTTCATAGGGGGCTCTTCTCTCTTCACTTCTGTTACACCCTCTCTTGCCTGTGGCCATATAAGATGTGACTGCCTCCCCTTCCACCATGATTGTAAGTTTCCTGAGGTCTCCCCAGCTGTGTGGAGCTGTGAGTCAATTAAACCTCTTTTTTAATAATTTACCCAGTCTTGGGGAGTTCTTTATAGTAGTATGAGAACAGACTAATACATGGCCTTTTGTTTCTCTGATACCATCACCTCTCCTTGACACATTCTTCAACAGCCACATTGATCCCCTTGCTCTTCCTCAGATATCAAAGGGATAGTCCCACTGCAGGCCATTTACATTTGCTGTACCCTCTGCCTAGATTGTTTTTCTCTAGATATCCACATGCTATGGTTCCGCATAGCATTCATTATGCTCAAATGTCACCTCATCCAAGAAGCTTCCCAAGACCATCATATAGAAAATAGTACATAACCCAGCCCCTCATTACTCTCTAACATCCTACTTGTTTTTTTCTTCATAATTCTTATCACCAACTGACAGTTATTGGCTTACATGCACATTTTTTATATTCCCACAGATATGTAGAATTTTTTTGTTTTCATTTACTGCTATATCTCATTTCTAGAACTGTGCCTAGCCCAAAGCTAGTATTTGATAAATAACTAAAAAGCAATTAATTCCTCTTCATTTCTTTCACTACTTTGATATAATTTTCTTTCACATATCCCTAATAAATTAGAATTGTAATAATTATTTATCTGTGATTTTCCTACATCCTTTCTGTAAGATAAAGGTTGTATTACCCCTCTATTTTAAGATACTCATTGCTAAGCAGGTGAGATAGTTGGCAAAAGAAGATAAATTGCTTTTATCACTTACCTCCTTGTAGAATTTCAGAGATGAGCTGATGAAAGGAGGACAATTTATGGAAACGAAAATGGTGAGGTATGAAAGAGTAGGTTTTTTTTCCTTAAAATTGTCTTCCACCTAGGACTGAAAGAGATCCTGAAGGTCAAATGATACAATTTAGACTAAACCTAATTCTTTTTCAAGTATACTCTACAAGTGGCCATTCTTTTAGCCTTCACAGACAAAAGCTCTCTAAAATGCAAGGTGGCAGATGTTATAATTCAGAAACTTCCCCCAAATAAGCTCCGCCCTTTAGAGAATCTTTCAGCACATTATTAGACTTTATTCCATTTATCACTAGAGGACATTTTTTCTGTGAAGTCCCCAAAAAACCACCTTTCAGATTCTCTGTCTCGATGCTAAGCAACTGTGAAAACTGTCATAATTGCTGAAGTTCACCATCAGGCCCTGCTGAAAGATTGTCAGCCTTTCTGTAACCATGATTCAGTTCACAGATCCCAGCAAAGAGACATCTGTGTCTAAAGACCTTTCAAAAGAGACTTTTGTCATGAACTTACACCAGTGTTAGATTATGTGACAAGCTTGTCAGTGTTGATAAACAGTAATGCCAGCTATAGTTGTAAGAATAGGGAGCCACCTACTTTGACATGAACCATCTCAACTCTTTCTGTAACCAGTTTGTGAATTCACCATGACACTTAAATAGCCTCATGATTAAGTACCCTTCCATTTACTACCTCTATGACCTTGATGAGGTCATTAATCCTCTGTAATTTTCAATTTATTCAGTTTTAGTTGAGAGTAATAACAATGAGTACATAGTTATTTTAATGATTAATTTTGAATTATTGATCATTCAAATCAAATTTTAATAAAATATTTTAAATATATACTGTCTTAATAATAGATAATTCGATACTTTAAGACTTCCTGCTCAATAACTAAGAAATGAATAAAACATTTTTATTGAGTTGTCCATAGAATTTGATAGTTCAAATTTATATTCATCTTTTTTTGGTATTATTTTCAACATAGAACCTCCATGGCAACCAACAGTGGGTCTCTCAGATACGGTGAGATTAAATTTGTTGGACAAATGAGATAATCTTATAAATATGATAAAGAGAATCATAGAAGGACTGATGTCACCAAAATGGTAAAATAGAAGGTAGTCTGCTAATGCCCCCTAAAAACCTAGAGTCAAAAGTCTGTCTGTGAGAGCCTCAGGATTCAGGTAGGAGTTTGTGAAACCCTGGTAGAGCTCAAGTCCTTGGAATGTTGTTTCAAAAGTGCAGATCAACATCCAGGTGGCTGATCTGCTGAGCTTGCTTCTGGGTTCAAGTCCAGTAATAGTTCAGTCCCCCAAGGGGCTTGGCTACAGCCCTGTTTGGCTTTGAACCTGAGCCCAAAATCAGCTGCCATGTGGTCCTGAAGAAATTGAGCACCCCAGTCCCTTGGCAGAAAGGCTGGTCTGCTCACTAACATTGATCTTGGCAGTAGAACCCGAAAGTTGCCCTGTGGTGCTACTCCAGCCTTCTTCAGTTGACCTCCCAGCTCAGAGCTGCTCACACAATGACTCAGAGGAGACTTGCCCATATTTCCCAGCCTGGGAATCTAACCCTCCTAGACAGGCACACCAGCCAACTTCTTTTCCACAGCAGATCCCAAAGAGGCTCAGTGTTAGATCTGGTCCCTCTCACTACAAACAGGAATCTATCCCACCTGTACAAGGACTTGCGGAGAACTATGTACCTGTCTGGATCAAAGAGATGGTCTCTTCAGCCTGTCCCATAGCAGATCCCAAGGGGGTCTAGTCCCATCTTTAGTTCTTCTTGTTGTAGTTGGAAACCATTCCTGCCTGTGCAAATACCTACTGGGGGGCACACCTATCTATGCCACTGGGATATCCTTCTAGACTCAGGTACCTGGGCAGCATTCTCACACAGCCTTCGTACCTTACTTAGATCTTCCTCAGGTCTAAATAGGCTGGAAAGCCATGTCAACCTCTGAGCCTTTGTGAGACTTTTGACAAACCTGGACTTAGAGAATCCACTAAGGCTAAGATGACTACCGTGGTCACAGGCTCAGGAAACAGAACAATCAGTCAGTTTAGAATCTCCAGATGGCCCTCTGAAGGACAGGCACATAAAAAGCCAGCCTGTGAAGACTAAAATACTTACCTAAGCACTCAATGTATAGACAATATCACACTCTACAAGCATCAAGAACAATCAGGAAAATATGACCTCATCAAGCAGGCAAAATAAGGCACCAGAAACTAGCCCTAAAGTAATGGAGATGTGTAATCCCTCAGGAAAATAATTCAACAAAGCTATTTTAAGAAATCAATGTACAAAAATCACAAGCATTCTTATACACCAATAACAGACAAACAGAGAGCCAAATGATGAGTGAACTCCCATTCACAATTGCTTCAAAGGGAATAAAATACCTAGGAATCCAACTTACAAGGGATGTGAAGGACCTCTTCAAGGAGAACTACAAACCACTGCTCAATGAAATAAAAGAGGATACAAACAAATGGAAGAACATTCCATGCTCATGGGTGGGAAGAATCAATATCGTGAAAATGGCCATACTGCCCAAGGTAATTTATAGATTCAATGCCATCCCCATCAAGCTACCAATGACTTTCTTCACAGAATTGGAAAAAACTACTTTAAAGTTCATCTGGAACCAAAAAAGAGCCCGCATCGCCAAGTCAATCCTAAGCCAAAAGAACAAAGCTGGAGGCATCATGCTCCCTGACTTCAAACTATACTACAAGGCTACAGTAACTAAAACAGCATGGTACTGGCACCAAAACAGACATATAGATCAATGGAACAGAACAGAGCCCTCAGAAATAATGCTGCTTATCTACAACTATCTGATCTTCGACAAACCTGAGAAAAACAAGCAATGGGGAAAGGATTCCCTATTTAATAAATGGTGCTGGGAAAACTGGCTAGCCATATGTAGAAAGCTGAAACTGGATCCCTTCCTTACACCTTATACAAAAATTAATTCAAGATGGATTAAAGACTTAAACATTAGACCTAAAACCATAAAAACCCTAGAAGAAAACCTAGGCATTACCATTCAGGACATAGGCATGGGCAAGGACTTCATGTCTAAAACACCAAAAGCAATGGCAACAAAAGCCAAAATTGACAAATGGGATCTAATTAAACTAAAGAGCTTCTGCACAGCAAAAGAAACTACCATCAGAGTGAACAGGCAACCTACAGAATGGGAGAAAATTTTCGCAACCTACTCATCTGACAAAGGGCTAATATCCAGAATCTACAATGAACTCAAACACATTTACAAGAAAAAAACAAACAACCCCATCAAAAAGTGGGTGAAGGACATGAACAGACACTTCTCAAAAGAAGACATTTATGCAGCCAAAAAACACATGAAAAAATGCTCATCATCACTGGCCATCAGAGAAATGCAAACCAAAACCACAGTGAGATACCATCTCACACCAGTTAGAATGGCAATCATTAAAAAGTCAGGAAACAACAGGTGCTGGAGAGGATGTGGAGAAATAGGAACACTTTTACACTGTAGGTGGGACTGTAAACTAGTTCAACCATTGTGGAAGTCAGTGTGGCGATTCCTCAGGGATCTAGAACTAGAAATACCATTTGACCCAGCCATCCCATTACTGGGTATATACCCAAACGACTATAAATCATGCTGCTATAAAGACACATGCACACGTATGTTTATTGCGGCACTATTCACAATAGCAAAGACTTGGAACCAACCCAAATGCCCAACAATGATAGACTGGATTAAGAAAATGTGGCACATATACCCCATGGAATACTATGCAGCCATAAAAAAGGATGAGTTCATGTCCTTTGTAGGGACATGGATGAAATTGGAAATCATCATTCTCAGTAAACTATCACAAGGACAAAAAACCAAACACCGCATGTTCTCACTCATAGGTGGGAATTGAACAATGAGAACACATGGACACAGGAAGGGGAACATCACACTCTGGGGACTGTTGTGGGGTGGGGGAAGGGGGGGAGGGATAGCATTAGGAGATATACCTAATGCTAAAGGACGAGTTAATGGGTGCAGCACACCAGCATGGCACATGTATACATATGTAACTAACCTGCACATTGTGCACATGTACCCTAAAACTTAAAGTATAATAATAATAAAAAAAAGAAAAAAAAAGAAAACAAACATCAAGAAAACAAAGAGAATCAATTTGGAATTTATCAGAGAAACTTAACAGAGAGATGAAATAACGAAAGCAAAACAAACAAAAAATAAGCAAACCCCCAGAAATCCTGGAACTGAAAAATACAATGAATGAAATAAAAAATGCAACAGAGTATCAAGATCTGCATCAATGAAAAAAAAAGAGAAGAATCAGTGAGCTTGAAGACAGACTATTTGAAAATATATAGTCAGAAGAAGAAAATGAAAAAAGAATATAAAGAAAAAAACAAAGCTTATGTGATCTATTGGATGACACAAAAAGAGCAATATTTAGGTTACTGGAGTTAAAGAGGGAATTGAGAAAGACAAAATGGTTGGATGGAACCATAGAAACAATAGAAAACTTTTCATACCTGCAGAAAGATATAAATAGTCAGCTAAAGGAAGGTCTAAGGTCACCAGTCGGATTCAACCCAAATAAGAATACCCCAAGAAATATTACAGTCAAATTCTAAAAGGTGGTAGGCAAAGAGAGGATCCTGAACGCAGTGAGAGAAAAGAAGGAAAAAACATGTAAAGGAAGATTTAATATGCCTGGCAACAGGCTTTCAGCTGAAACCTTACAGGCCAGGAGAGAATGGGACAATATATTCAGAGTTCTGAGGGGAAAAAATTGTTAAACAAGAACACTGTGCCCAGTGAACTTATCCTTCAGAAATGAAGAAGAGATAAAGACTTTCCCAGACAACAAAAGCTGAGAGAATTTATCACTACCAGACCTATTCTACAAGAAATGCTAAAGGCAGTTCTTCAAACTGAAAGAAAAGGATGCTAATGTAATTGCAATATTAATATTGTAATTGTGGTGTTTACAGCACTTGTGTCTTTAGTGAGAATATCAAACCACAAAACTATTAAAAGTGAGAATGACTACAAAAATTTGTAAAGCAATAAGAAATATAAAAATGTGAATTGTGACACAAAAAATTCAAAATGTAGAGGAAGAAGGGAATTAATTCACAATGTATACCAGGTTTTTGTCCTGCAAGTTGTTTGATTTCTTTTTTGTTGTGGTTGCATTCATAGTTAAGTCAGTATTAGTTTTAAATATTTGTTATAAGTATAGAATGATTCTTTTTTTCCTTTTGAGACAGAGTTTCACTCTTCTTGCCCAGGCTGGAGCACAAAGGCATGATCTCGGCTCACTGCAACATCCGCCTCCTGGATTCAAGTGATTCTTCTGCCTCAGCCTCCCAAGTAGCTAAGATTACAGGTGCCTACCACCATACCCGGTTAATTTTTTGTATTTTTAGTAGAGATGGGGTTTCACCAATTTGGCCAGGCTGGTCTTGAACTTCTGACCTCAGGTGATCCACGCACCTCAGCCTTCCAAAGTGCTGGGATTACATGCGTGAGTCACTGTGCTCAGCCACTACAGGATGATTTTAGTAAGTTTCATGGTAACAAAAAAGCAAAAATGTATAAGACACTCAAAAGTTGAAAAACAACAATTTAAAATGTAGTACCAAAGAAAATCACTTAACCATGTATAAAGACAGTAGTAAAGGAAGACAGGAATTACACAAAAACTAGGAAACAAATAACAAAATAGTAGGAATAAGGTCTTACCTATTAAAGATAATATTGGATGTAAATAAACTAAATTCTACAATTAAAAGACATAGAGTGGCTGAATAAATTAAAAATAAAAACTAGGCTGCCTACAAGAAAATCACTTCACATATAAAAACATACACAGACTGAAGGTAAAGGGATGGAAAAAGATACTACATGGAGATGGAAACCAAAAAAGATCAGAAGTAGCTGCACTTACATTGGAAAAAATAGACTTTAAGTCAAAAACAAACAAACGACAAAGAAGGTCATTATATAATGATAAAGGTCATTATATAAGCATTATATAATGATTCATTAAGAGGATCTAACAATAATAAATATATTTTCTACTCAATACAAGAGCACCCAGATATATAAAGCAAATACCAATAGATCTAAAGGGAGAGATAGATTACAATACAAAAACAGTAGGAGACTTCAATACTCCACTTTGGATAACGAACAGATCATCTAGGCAGGAAATCAATGAAGAAACATGGGAGTTAAACTATACTCTAGGCCACATGGCCCTAACAGACATTTACAGAACATTTCATCTGACTGCTGCAGAATATACATTTTTCTTCTCAGCATTTCCACTGCGTAGACCATATGTTAGGCCACAATACAAGACAAAAAATTGTAAAAATTCTAAATCATATCAAGTATATTTTCTCACCATAATAAAGTAAAAACAGAAATAAATAACAAAAGGTACTTTGGAAACTGAACAAATACTGAGAAATAAAGCAACAAGTTTATGAACAACCAATGGGTCAATGAAGAAATTAAGAAGAAAATTTAAAAACTTTTGGAAACAAATAAAAATAGAAACACAACATATCAGAACCTATGGGATACAGCAAAAGCACTACTAAGAGGAAAGTTTATAGCAATAAATGCCTATATGAAAAACAAATGGAAAGACTCCAAATAAACAACCTAATGATAATCTCGAAGAACTTGAAATGCAAAAACAAAGCAACCCAAAATAGTAGAAGAAAAGAAATAATAAAGTTCAGAGTAGAAACAAATAAAATTGAGAATGAGAAAAAGATCAACAAAACAAAAACTTATTTTATCAAAAAGATAACCAACACCGACGAACTTTTATCTCTCTAGACTAAGAAAAAAAGGGAGAAGAACCAAATAAATAAAAAGGGAAAAGGAAACATTACTACTGACACCATAGTAATACAGAGAATCAATAGAGACAATTATGAACAAATATATGCCAACAAAATTGAAAGCCTAGAAAAAATGGATGAACGTCTGGAAGCATAAAACCTACCAAGATTGAACCATGAAGAATTAGAAAACCTGAACAGACAAATAAGTCATAAAATCAAAGCAGTAATAAAAAGAATCCCATCAAAGAAAAGCCTAGGAACTGACAGATTCACTGCAGAATTCTTCTAAACATTTAAAGAACTAATGCCAATTATACACAACATATTTCAAAAAAGGAAATAAATGAAGAGGAGGGAATACTTCTGAACTTATTTATAAGGCCAGCATTACCATAATACCAAAACCAGATAAAGACACAACCAGCAAAAATCAATCTTATTCCTATCCCCATAGAATTGGCATATGCACCTAGTCATAGTCAGTGAAGTTGGAAAATGTCAGGAGCGCTCTGCAAGGGACAGGCCTGTCCCAGAAGCCTTACCCATAGAAGGATGCTGGAGCAAAGGCAAAAATGCCTGCAGCCTGTGTCTTCAAGGCCCAGAAAAGAGAAAAGGCAAGGATGTAGATGTGCAGTGACCCCTTCCCCCAAACTCACCAATCGGATTAGTCTTCTCTCCACCTATGTATAGAAGAGAGTGAGAAAAATCGAGAAAAGGCAGACTTTGTTCCCACAAAATTAAAAATAAAAACGTTCCTTTGATACATAAAAGCAAGACAATAGAAAAAAGTGACTCTCCATCATACCTTTCAGTGTCTATCCATGCACAGATGATTTTTTATTACTCTAACCAGAATACATATATATATATATATACCCTTAATTTAGTGAATTTAGTTGTTCTCATTCAACATTTTTATATTAACATATTTATGGTGCTGCTTAGTAGTTGTAATTATTATTTTATTACATAGGCAATAGTCCATTAAATAGATAAGATCTATTTTACTGAAATATTGCCTTATAATTGAACATTTTAATTAATTTAATTTGATAATAATCTTCCTGCATACAGCCCCTTTCTTTCTTTTACATTGTCTTTGGCACTTTTCAATAAATGGGATTACTAAATTTTTTATGGCATTTCATATGTATTGTGAAATTGCTATCCAAAGGATGATGTCCCACTGCACTGCCATCCGTAATGTTTGAGTTTATCATAATCAAATGAGTCTTATATTTAACTGTTTTGTTAATATAGTCCGTATAAATTTTTCTATTTAAAATTCCATATTTTTTCATCATTAATATTTTATTTTCCTAAAAACCTAATTGTGTTTCTCTATGGAATACAGATGCTCCTTGACTTAAAAATGGAATTGCATCTTGATAAACTCATCATAAGTTGAAAATATCATAAATTTAAAATATATGGCTGACGGGGAACTGTGACTCACTGCCACTGCCCAGCATTGCAAGAGAAATACAATTTCTACTGAATGGGTATTACTTTTTTACCATTGTAAAGTTGAATAATTGTAAGTCAAAAACTCAGAAGTTGGGGATTATCTGTGCATGCATTCCTTAGGGGTTTGACTTTTGGCAAATTATAAACTTGTGAGCCAATATACTACCCTTAGTCAAAAGGAGGATTCCAAATTTTTCCCTTCAGAATTCTGAATTTTCACATATTAATAGTCACTGAGTAGCTGGTGTCCACAATATAAGGTGAGAGTCTACTTCGTAAGAGACAGAGAGGCTGAAGTCTAATGAGAAGGGGAAGACATGCTCAGCACCCATAATGACCACATGGCCAGTACTCAGTGCAACTAAGTTGATTTTGTTGTCATGCTTTACTACAGTTTGAAATACCACTCAGTCGTCCATGACTCCAACTTATTTCTGGGCACAGGAAGCCACTCTTCAACACAAAGTAAGTAGAAGATTAATTCCTATCAGACGTACCAGGCTTTGATCTAACACCGGAAATTACAGAGCTCCAACTTCCCAAACAATGATTTTTAAAGAGTCCTCTCCCAAACCAGTAAATACTCCACAACTTCCTTTGTGCCATTCTTATGCCCTCTATCAACCAGATGAGCAAAGCTCCAGAACAGATGCCTTCCCTTGGCAGTCTATGGAGTTGAATGAAGCTGAAAACTCAAGGTCAAGGTCAGGGAACTGTTCAGTGAGGGAGAATTGCACAATACTCTCAGTGTGCTCAGTAACCCTACCATTTCCTTTTTCCCTCAGATCCTGTCTCACTGCAAAATAAATTCTTTCAATTTGAGTCCCTGCTTCTTTCTTGTTTAGGATGCCAAAATTTCTGATTAGACCCTAAAAGTAGGTATCAAGTATCTTAGGCAAGGGCCTGGTTTTATCTCTAAGGCTTTCCATTGTCTGCCAATGTGATTCTATTGTTTCTGTAATGTAGAATTAAAGTTGGATGTTAATTACCTCCACAAAATCAAAGATCACAATTTCAACAGTTTGGTCAACTTGCCCTTTATACAGTTTCTCTCAAGACATTTACATCTTGCTCTTCAGTTTTCTATCTCTGGAAAGTCACCTGATTGTTTCCTTCCTTGATGATTTTTAAAATTATTTTTCTATGAAAAATACCTGATTATAATCTAATTCCTGGCACAAAAATATATCTTCTAGAATTATTTTGTTGATCCTCAGAGATAGTGTGCTTGTCAAAGTGGCATTTTGAGGCATTTCCAAAACAAACTACCTGTTTAAACCTGTTTAATAATGCTTTCGTCTACCTCAAACACTTCATTTCATTCTTATTAGATAATGTCCACAGGATCTTTCCAAATCCTATGACTTTTACACATACACATTAACTTTTCTGATCCATAAAACAGATTTTCTTTCACATGAATTTAGATTGAGGTTTTATTATATGTGAGATAGTAGTAGGTATCTAGTAGGCGGATACTAGTAGGTGGATTTGCTTGGAATTCGGTGTTGCTAGAGCTAATAAACTGTGTTACTAAAATTAAAAATGAAAGACTCTTGCTGCATCTGTGCTGAAATGTGCTCTGTATTTCTTTGTAGCCCTTTAAGAAACTAGCACAAAGCCATGCATATGTTAGGCAGTTAATTAATGTCTCATTGAGCCATGGAAGTAGTGCATCATCATATAGCTGGGTTATTATTGACAAAATTGCTTTAGCTATCTTTTGCTTACATTATTACTAAAGTTAAAAATGTGTAAATTATCATAAGTGGAAGCATATTGTGTCAAGGTCCTGACTCTCCCCTGAGGACTTACCAAGCAAAAGCTGTTGAGAACAGGTCTAATGACTACTGAGCTCTCTTGTCCACTCCACCTCACCCTCTTAAATGCAGTTGCAAATACACAGGATAAGTTGGCAGCCATTCATGTTTTGGCCCATGAATTCTTCTATGCCACAGCTTCATCCTCACCTTTGTTCTGATGCCTTGAGAGACTTATTTTTTGGACTATCTACATGGCTCTTTGTAGAAATTCTCAAGGTATTTTTCAACTACGTCACCACACACACACACACACACACACACACACACACACACACAAACACACACACTGCCCTAGCATTTATTATCATATCTGGTATGGTATCTTTTAAATTTCTGAAGTGAGTTGGTTTTTATCATCAGTAAAAGAGATATCTGGGAGATCTATTAATATTATTCCCTAAATCCTCTGTTCCTCAGTTAATAGAACTTGCTGTTCTCTCCTGTGCCTCCTGGTGACAATAACAAATGTTTCCATGGCAGCAGCCAATCTCCCTCTTTCCTGCTGCATGACATCTAGCCAATCACTGGCTACCCTTTCTTATTATAACTTGGAGTAGCAATTTGGTTAAACACTCAGGGATTATTTTTGAGTGGCAGCTTTATAGTTCTGCAGAAACCACAAAACTGACCCAATCAAAGAAAATAATTGAAATTTTTTATACTTCCTATTTCCTTAATTCTCAAATTTAATCCATCACCAAGTCTTACTGATTTTTTTCTTTTCAATATATCTTAAATGTACTTCTCCCCATTTTCTCTGCCGCTAGTTTAGTCTAAGCTGCTGAATTATTTCAATAACTCCAAATATGCACCACCAACATCACCATTCACTCCTGCTCTTTCTGCTAGTTCTGAACCTATTAGCTCTTAGATCAGACCCTCATTCTTCCTGCGTGCTGCTTGACACTGTAGGGAGATTAACCATTGCACACTTTGATAACCCAGGTATGTGTCAGCTGGCTTCCTGATGATTCTGTCAATGAGAGATAGTGGCAGGAGATTGGAGGATGGTAGGGACAAGCCAGCTTTTTTCATGCCCCTCTCTACCCTAGGCAACATTTCTGGCACTGTTTCTATCTTTTCTGTGATATAGCTCTTACCTTTTATGATTCCAGCTTCCATTAGAAAACCGTGGGCCCTGCACACCAGTCTGCCACCTCTTTCCTTTGCCCTTCCAGTCTGGGCATGTTAGGGACTTCAAGCTGCTGCTAACTCTGGTTTACCTCACTTTGACTTTTTAATCCACTTCATAAACTAGATAGCTAATTCCCTGAATTTAATACTTTGAGTCATTTCTGTAATCTTGGTTACAAACTGACAATTCATTCTCTATTTTCCTGCAACCAAAGGCATCTTTTCAAAATAGAAGTCGAAGCAAGTATCCTCATCTTTAAAATATTTAATGTCCTTCTATTCTTCTAGGATAGCGACAAATATTCTTAGTGTTAACCTGCATTGTTTGGTCTTTACCTATTTTTCCAACATCATATGCTTCCATGCTTATTTTTTCCTGGTACTCTAGCTGCACTGGTCTTCTTTTTGTTTCTTGAATGTGTCATACATATTCCTACCAACAGGTGTATGCGCATGTTCTTCTTTGTTTGAAAGCTCTTGCCACAAAAACAGACACATAGACCAATGGACTAGAACAAAGGCCCAGAAAAAAGGTCACACACCTACAATCATCTGATCTTTGACAAAGCTGAAGTTTTTTTCCCCAATGGGGAAAGGACTCCCTATTCAATAAATGCTGCTGTGTTAAATGGCCAGCTATATGCGGAAGATTGAAATTTGAACCTTTCCTCACATCATACACAAAAATCAACTCAAGGTGAATTAAAACTTAAATGTCAAACCCAAAGCTATAAAAACCCTGGAAGGCAACCTAGGCAGTAGCATGCTGGACATAGAAACAGGCAAGGATTTCATGATGAAGATGTCAAAGGCAATTGCAACAAGAGCAAAAATTGACAAATGGGATCTAATTAAAATTAAGCGCTTATGCGCAGAAAAATAAACTATCAACAGAGTAAATAGACAACCTACAGAATGGGAGAATATTTTTGCAAATTATGCATCTGACAAAGGTCTAGTATCCAGCATGTAGAAGGAACTTAAATAAATTTATAAGAAAAAAATTAAAATGGGCAAGTACATGAACAGACACTTTTCTAAAGAAGAAATACATGTAGCCAACAATCATATGAAAAGAAAGCTCAACATCACTGATCATTAGAGAAATGCAGATAAAAATCACAATGAGATACCATCTCACAATAGTCAGAATGGCCATTACTAAAAAGCCAAAAAATAACAGATGCTGGAGAGGTTGTGCAGAAAAAGGAACAATTATATACTGTTGGTGGGAGTGCAAATCAGTTCAGCCATTGTGGAAGACAGTGTGGCAATTCCTCAAAGATGTAAAAAGAGAAATACCACTCAATCCTACAATCTCATTGCTGGTTATATACCCAAAGGAATATAAATCATTCTGTCATAAAGACGCATCCATGTGTATGTTCACTGCAGCACTCTTCACAATAGCAAATACATGGAATCAACCTAAATGCCCATCAATGACAGATTGGATAAGGAAAATGTGGTACATATACACCATGGAATACTATGCATCCATACAGAGGAATGAGATCATGCCCTTTGCAGGGACATAGATAGAGCTGAAGATCATTATCCTCAGCAAACCAATGCAGCAACAGAAAACCAAATACCACATGTTCTCACTTATAAGTGGGAACTAAATAATGTGGATATATGGACACATAGAAGGGAACAATGCGCACTGGCGCCTACTGGAAAGTGGACAGTGGGAGGAGGGAGTGAATCACAAAACAAAACCAATGGATACTAGGCTAAATTCCTGGCTGACTAAATAATCTGTACAACAAATCCCTGTGACACAAGTTTACCTGTATATTATAACAAACATGCACATGTACCCCTGAACTTAAAGTTTTAAAAAAAAGAACCTTTTTCTTTAAACTTAATTAACTTTTATATTTCCTCAGATTTCTACTCCCTCATTACTTCTTAAGGAAACCTTCTCTTCTCCCTATTATATGCTCTGAAACTATCTTCCACCTCTTTCTAGAGCACTTATCAAAGTTTAACTTGATCTTTATTTATATGATTTTGCATGAACTTCCATCTCTGCCACTAGACCTCTATGAGAGCAGGAAAACTTTTTTCTAAAATTGAATATAATGCTTAGCAGTACCTGAAACAGTGGCATAGTGCCAACTATTTCGCTGAATGAATATCTGACTAAATTAGTGAAAAAAAAGAGGGCAAATTAGAAGAAAGGAAAAAAGGAAGAAGGAAGCAAAGAGGAAGGAGAAAAAGAATGAAGTAACCAACTGGAAATTGAAGGGAAGGAGAAAAGCCTGTCACAGAGGTTATAATTTTTATATTTATTATTTTAACCCAGATATAATTGTGATATCTTGTTGTCAGACTGGCAGCCCTGAGAATCTTTCTTGGCTGAGTTCTGTAGAACTTAGTCTGGGCATCCTCATACCCACATAGTTGTGGTAAGAATGGGGGATGTTCTGTGAGATGCTGACATTTCTGTTATCCATGAGCTCAAAACCAGCTCTGTCTAATGCTAAGTGGTCTTCCAAGTATAAGAAGTATCATTTTAGCTAACTATAAATTATATTTGGATTAAATAAAAGAAACAATTATTATTTTGGCAAACACATAAGAGAAAAATTCACCTAGACAAGAGTGGCTTGACTATGTCAGATTCTAAGGATAAGAGACAAGTAGACAGGCAGGAAATGGAAGGGCAAGAGGCTAAGTAGTTTCTTCCTCTATGGGTGAAGGCTGAGGAGTACCAACACACACTCTTAAGTCCTTGGCCTCACTTAATAGTTAATGTCAATGAATTAGTGCCTAATGAATAGATATTATAGATTAAATATGTACGTTTCTCCCAAAATTCATAGCTTCACATCTATTCTCCAATGTGGAAATATTTGAAAGTAAGGCCTTTGAAAATTGATGAGGTCATGAGTGCAAAGCTTCCTCCAATGGAATTAGTGCTCTTAAGTAAGAGACACCAGAAAACCCCTCATCCCTTCTACCATATGAGGGTATAACATGAAGACAGCCATCTACGAACCAGAAAGCTAGCACTCACCAAATCTACTGGTGCCTTATCTTAGACTTTCCAGACACCAGACCTGTAAGAAATAAATATCTGTTGTTTATAAGCCACCCAATTTATGATATTTTATTATAGCAACCCAAACAGACTAATACGCTTGGCAACCTTGATGTTAGCTGTTAGCTTAGACATCCAGCGCAAACTTAGCATCTAGGAGGACTCCTCTGCTGGTATCATCTGGTTAGTTCTATACGTCTTTGGCCGCCAAAATTCAGTTTCTTTCAAATCTCGTACATTACTTGATGTACATAAGAACAGCCTCAAACAACTTAACCTCTTCTTTTTTACTCTTTCCCTTTCACTCCAGGCAAATCCTTCACCCTTCTCTCAATCAGTCACATTTTTTCCCCAATCTTCCTTTCTTTCTTCATCAGCTCACATCTTCTCATTTCTCCTTTCCTATCTCTTTAGTTCCAAACAATTTTTTTCCATTTAATTATAGTCAGGTTAATTATACTCATGACATTATGTACAAGGATAGACGTATTTTCAAGAAAACAGCCCAGCTCACAGCAACATGTGTAAAGCTGGAAGCCACTATTCTAAGTGAAATAATTCAGAAAGAAAATCAAGTGTCACATGTTCTCAGTTGTAAGTACTATTCTATATATCACAATGTTTCCATACATTTATATGGTAATTCACAATATACAATGTATTTGTGTATACATTATAGAGAAAGCACCCAGCAAAATGCTTGCTATATACTCTGTATTCACTAACATTTTATAACATTCCCTTGAATTGTGTTGTAAGTTCTCCTAAAATTTTGTGATATAGACAAAAGAGACCTTATAATACAATTATATAAAAGAAGAAATTGCTGTTCACAGAAGTGATCTGATTTGTGTAGGATCATACCTCTTTTAATAGGAAAAACTAAGATAAAAACCTAATTCCACAAATTTCGGGTACATTACTTTTACCTTGAACACTAAACTTCAGTTCTGTTTTTACTGGTTATATTAATATGTTGTTTCTCAGATGCCATTGCATAATAATACATCGATATAGTCTCATTTTTAAATTTCATAACTGCCTGTTTCGACAACACTATATACCAAAACAAAGCCTCGATAAACCTCATATTGTTTCTTAAACCTCTATAAAGCAAGATAAAATTAAGCTGTATCCTTCCTTAATTTTTATCCTTTTCAGTTAAATAATTCCACTGTACTCCAATATATATGAACAATAGCAATGGATTATCTGTCACACCTGAGTAGGGCTTACAGGAGCTGAATACCATTTTAAAGAAAAGGACCTTTCTGAGCTGCAGTCTCTGCCAGACTTTGTAAAGAAGTGACTGGAATAAGCAGGCCTGTGCCCATGGGGTTGGACAGTAGCTGGCCTGAATTTTTCTGAAAGGACATTAACAACGTGGCAAGCTGTAATATGCTAAACAAAGACTTCCATAATTTCATGCACTATAATTTCTATAGATCAGGTATGCATGCAATAGTTTTCTAAAAGTGATGAGGTAAGGAAAACCCTTGGTGATATGAATATTAGCTAACTTTAGTACTACTACATGTTAAAGGTGTAAACAGGTAGATATTCTCTTGGGAATATTTAAAGACATGGAAAGCCTCTTTCTTTTTAGTTTATCATTGTTTTTAAAAACCAACTTACCTATGACAACTGGTCAGATAAATAGAGAAATTTTAGCTCTGAAAAGAATGATAAAATTGAAAATTTTCAATGCATTCTAATTGTCACTAATGCTGAGTGTGTAGTGCCTAGCTCTACTATAATAGCATTTCCTAAAACACCCTCCAGGAAATACTAAATGTTATTTAAAAACAGATGAAAGCAACATTTTTCATTTATAATTTAATTTGATGCTATATTAATAATATATCAAATATATTTTGTGTCTTTCATTGTTTAGAAAATGTAAGGTACTCTATTGCATACTTTGAACAACCAAACTATACAAAACGAATTCTATGGTTAAGAGGGGAAAAAACTGAGGTTCTCATATTGTGACCAAACGAAATAAGCAAAAATCCAGTGAAATTAAAACAACCACAACCTCAAAGTAAAATTAAATAGCAACAGCCATTGTTTTAAAAACTGGCGGTAGAGATGGTGAGGATCTTTCCAAGATGTAAGCATTAATGATATTTGGAATAGCTTAATTCAAGACCATCTGCTTAGTTACTACGTAGTTCATTTGCTTCTCTTTATTACAATGGATATGTATAAAATAGGTTTTACATATTAAGTGGCGATCAAAATAAATTACAAAATCTTATTATGTAATAAACTTTTGTTTCTTCTTTGAATCTCTGAACATTTTCTGTTGAGTTTCTATTAATATAGTATAACCTTCAAAGTATCCCTGGCCGGGCGCGGTGACTCACGTCTGTAATCCCAGCACTTTGGGAGGCCAAAGAGGGTGGATCACCTGAGGTCAGGAGTTTGAGACTAGCCTGAAAAACACTGCGAAACCCTGTCTCTACTAAAAATACAAAAATTAGCCAGGCGTGGTGGTGCATGCCTGTAGTCCCAGCTACTCAGGAGGCTGAGGCAGAAGAATCGCTTGAAGCCGGGAGACGCAGATTGAAGTGAGCCGAGATCGTGCCATTGCACTCCAGCCTGGGCAAAACAGCGAAACTCCGTCCCAAAAAATAAAGTATCCCTGTGGTCTGATAAGTTAGGAAAATGCCCTGAAATACTGGGGGGCATTTACATATAGGAGGAAAAGAGGCAAATAAAAGCATGTACGTTGGAATCAGACAGCCCTAGATTTAAATCTTAGGTCTTCCACTTACTAATTATATGACGCTAGGAAAATGTATGAATTTATCCAAGGACTGTTGTCTTTGCGAGGAACACAGAGATGTTACAACTAGCAACATAGACATGGATTCTCAGGATAGAAAGCATCATCAATATGGCGACTCCAGTACTTTGGTGTTTGAATTTTTTTTATAAGATCCACATTTCAAGCAATGTTGCTTGTAGTTCACTGGTAGACACTTGTGAAGCATCTATTAAATTGGAAGAGGTGTAAAGAGGAAAGAACAATTATGTGTCAAACAGTGAGACAGATATCTAATATATCATAATGTTATCCAACTATCACAAAAAATGATATGAAATGTATTTTGTTATTATATCCTGAAGTTCAGGAAAGCCAGATGACAAAAATCACAAAAGTGAGACGCTGAATGTACAAATGAACAATGGCTGGAGGAAATATAAAAATAGAACTTTGACCCACGATTTGCAGCAACCTGCCCAGAAAATCCACCCCCTTATGTACAGTAAACAGACCAGGAAGCCAGCCTGCTATAAGGAAGCCAGATTGCTATCTTTAGTATCAATCCAAAAATCTCAAAACTAACTTTTGTAACAACCAGCCTCAAATGGGCAGGACTTGATTAATAACTGACAGTTTCCCTAATTTTTTTCACCACTTTCAACTTAGGACCAAGCAGACAAAGCTCAATATATACCCCTAATAAATTACATAGGATGTCCCACTTCTAGTTAGCCCATCTACAGCTGCTCTGTGACAATGGCCTTCCATCAGAGCACATTTGAAGTCTTCCCCTTTTCCACTATAATGCTTTCCTGTTCCTCTACCTGCCTTTGAGTCTCTGCCACTCTGTTGATGGCTGACTTCCTTGGTATAGTAATCTCTGAATAAAAAGCTTTTGCTTTTCTCATTGGGTTGGTCTTTGAAAAGCTAATAAAGAATAAGACTTAAAATTATTGCAAGTTTGCAATAGGCTATATGTACAAGACTATTCACTGGGACATAGTTTATGATAAATAATTGTTCATCAATAAAAGACAGATATTTAAATTGTGGTATTGTCACACAGTGGAAAGTCTTTCAACAAAAACCAAACAAACCACATTATAGACAGCAATATAAATAAATGTGACTAACATAATATTGTGTAAAAATAGCAATCCAAAAATATATACAGTTTTAATCAATTTTAATAAAGTTTAGTAACAACAAAATTTAATTATATCTTAGGGGCATATATTTACATGGCAAAACTGTGAAGAAAGCAGGGAAATAATTACCCCATAAGTTACATGGAAATTACTTTTCAGGGAGAGGGTATTTGTGATTATTAGAAAGGAGCATACAGAGAACTTGTATCATGCCATCATGTGGTATTTATTGATCTGATTGGAGATTACATTAGTCTTTGCTGATTCCCAGTCTAGGCTCTTTTGATATAATATGTTCCTTTCCTGAAATAAAGGTCACCAATATTTTTTCAACTTGAAGTGTGAGTGCAAAAGGCATTGGACATTTCCAACTTCTGTGGGATTGGTCTTGCTTTATAGTGAGAAAAATCTCTCTCCTGGAAGAATAAACTTCCTTTAAAATTTGCTCCTAAATTGCTTCCTCAAGCCAGTTTTCTGCATTTCCTACAGTTACAACCAGACTTTTTCCTTCCACAGCTGCTGGGAATGAATGACTGCTTAGCATACGTTTCCTGGGACTTTACTGGATTCCTAATGGAATTCTAGCCCCTGAATGCTTCAGGGATGGAGAAAGGGGTCATATCTTAGATTCCGTCCGAGTGTCTTCTTTCTATTGATGGGATTTAGGACCTGCTACCCCCAAAAATGGTATCTTGGCATTTCAGAAAACAGCAAATGCAGGAAGGTCTCTCTGACTTTCTCATGCCCTTCCTCCCAGGAGCAGGCCATAAAAGAATAATCTGGCCTTTCTCTAAAGTAACATATAAGACACTCATTTAACAGGTGCTCTCCTAATACCCAAAGGGAAGGAATGTTCTTATCTCTGAAGACACAGGGACACAGAAGAATCTTGACAAACAGGCCTTACTAAGTTCCTCCCCAAATTTATCACCATTAGATCATTCCCTCTTTGTCCAATCATACTTTTGCGTGACTGCCCACTTTTCATCAAGCCTAAGCATAAAATTACACAGGTCTCCCTATTTCTTTGGGTATTAATTTCTGAACGTCCATGTGTCACATAAAACTTAAATACAGTTGTGTGTTTCTATCTTGTTAATCTGTCTTTTGTTATAAGTGCCTCTGCCATGAGCCTAGCAATGGGTAAAGAAAGAAATCTTTTCATCATTCTACCATAAAGACACATGCACACATATGTTTACTGCAGCACTATTTACAATAGCAAAGATTTGGAACCAACCCAAATTCCCCTTAATGATAGACTGGATAAAGAAAATGTGGCACATATACACCACGGAACACTATGCAGCCATAAAAAAGAATGAGTTCACATCCTTTGCAGAGACATGGATGAAGCTGGAAACCATCATTCTCAGCAAACGAACACAGCAACAGAAAACCAAACACCGCATGTTCTCACTCATAAGTGGGAGTTGAACAAGGAGAACACATGGACACAGGGAGGGGAACATGACACTTCAGGGCCTGTCGGTGAAGTGGGGAAAGGGGAAGGAAAGCATTAGGACAAATACATAATGCGTGTGGGGCTTAAAACCTAGATGACAGGTTGATGGGTGCAGCAAACCACCATGGCACATGTATACCTATGTAACAAACCTACACATTCTGCACATGTATCCCAGAACTTAAAGTATAGTAATAATAAAAGGAAGAAATCTTTTCTCCCCTACACTATCTACACTGTTTCTTTTTTTTTGGGGGGGGGTTGCCCTTTTCTTTTTTATTTTATTTTATTTTTATTATACTTTTATACTTTAAGTTTTAGGGTACATGTGCAGGTTTGTTACATATGTATAAATGTGCCACGTTAGTGTGCTGCACCCAATAACTCGTCATTTAGCATTAGGTATATCTCCTAATGCTATCCCTCCCCCCTTCCCCCACTCCACAACTGTCCCCAATGTGTGATGTTCCCTTTCCTGTGTCCATGTGTTCTCTTTGTTCAATTCCCACCTATGAGGGAGAACATGCGGTGTTTGGTTTTTTGTCCTTGCGATAGTTTGCTGAGAATGATGGTTTCCAGCTTCATCCATGTCCCTACAAAGGACATGAACTCATCCTTTTTTATGGCTGCATAGTATTCCATGGGGTATATGTGCCACATTTTCTTAATCCAGTCTATCATTGTTGGACATTTGGGTTGGTTCCAAGTCTTTGCTATTGTGAATAGTGCCGCAATAAACATACGTGTGCATGTGTCTTTATAGCAGTATGATTTATAATCCTTTGGGTATATACCCAGTAATGAGATGGCTGGGTCAAATGGTATTTTTAGTTCTAGATCCCTGAGGAATCGCCACACTGACTTCCATAATGGTTGAACTAGTTTACAGTCCCACCTACAGTGTAAAAGTGTTCCTATTTCTCCACATCCTCTCCAGCACCTGTTGTTTCCTGACTTTTTAATGATCACCATTCTAACTGGTGTGAGATGGTATCTCACCATGGTTTTGGTTTGCATTTCTCTGATGGCCAGTGATGATGAGCATTTTTTCATGTGTTTTTTGGCTGCATAAATGTCTTCTTTTGAGAAGTGTCTGTTCATACCCTTTGCCCACCTTTTGATGGGGTTGTTTGTTTTTTTCTTGTAAATTTGTTTGAGTTCATTGTAGATTCTGGATATTAGCCCTTTGTCAGATGAGTAGGTTGCAAAAATTTTCTCCCATTCTGTAGGTTGCCTGTTCACTCTGATGGTAGTTTCTTTTGCTGTATCTACACTGTTTCTTAACCCATCTGTTAAAAATCAGAAAAATAACTCTGAAAGTATATTATAAATTTAATCTTAGTATAAAATTCTCTTTCTCAGACATTATTCTCACCATCAAATTCTATGTTCCCTGAACACTCCGAAATGTATGATCTTGAATGCTTAAAGTTGGAATGAACTGGGTTAAGATCTGTTTCCTTTCTCATGATCTTGGCAGCATCTAGGATGCCCTCTGCCAAAATTTCAGGCAGCTGTATAAAATCTGGTGCTTGGGAAAGAGCAGACGTATGAAATAGATGTGTGGGTGCCATTGTTTGTTGAAAATTTATAGGTTTCCCTTTTAAGTTTCAGATTTATAAGCAGTGTGAATAATTATCTGCTGTGTCTAAGGTTGTAATTTTATTCAAGAATGCAGGCACACACATCTAATACTGGAAAATATTATTATGCTTTCTAAATTTTACAAGTCTCTTCTATAATTTATGCAATTAGTACACTTAGAAATCTTTACTGATTGTGCTGATTAACTGAAGTGTACCAGTTTTCTGATGTGTGAGACAGTTTGTCTTTTTCTGTTGACTCAACACTAAAGCTTTGCAGTATATTGAGCCTTAACCCTATTCTGCCCATCCCACAGCTGAATATAAGGTTAAATAAGATACAACCCATATACTTCTCATTCTTATGCCATTCCACATCCAACAATGTTAGACTAATCAAGAGGGATTCAGAGTACTTTTGGCTTCAACTCTGAAAATGTGAAGAGCTTGGAAGTCATCGCTCCTGCCCCTACGACAAGAAAAAGTTGAACAAGTTGAAAATCAATGACTTTTTTTAGATCTATTAGAGAAGTGAGACGGTAGACAAAACATTACATTACCCTGAAGAGACAAATGAATTCAGGGAGACACAGCCAAGATCAACTTACCTGGGGCAGAAGCTACTAAAGCTATAAATGGATAGGAACAATTAAATGGGAATTTTGATGAATTTCTGGAAGCTGAGTAGCTTTTCATATTGTCATAGTTGAAACCAAAAGTACTCTGAAAAAAATTTGGGGACTTTAGTCAAGAGTAGCCCCACACTTCTGTGGATTTTTACCTTCAGGAACCCCACCAGGTTCATAAATTGAAGAACCTCTCATGGCTGTGGCAGAGGGAGGAGAAGAGTGATCATTTGAAATACACAAGCATTCTGCAACAAAGTGAGAGATAAGTTTGAAAAAGGTGAGAGAAGCAGTTGTGAAAAGCCACATGAGTGACATATTTCATTATGATGGCATGGACAAGAACAAGCCAGTGGAGATGCTTGCATGACATCAAGCACCAATGCGAAGGATGGGTGAGAGGGGAGAGGCTGGAGGTAGAGACAAAAAGCCTTTGCGGGATCTCAGACGTGCAGCGAAGAGGACTAGCGCCAGGTGGGGGAAACAGGGAAGTTAGAGAGGAGTTCATATTGGTCATGGGCACATGACATCTATTTCTACACCTCGGTTTCTCATCGTAAGAAGCCTAGTACTTGAAATTGCAATAATTTAATAAATACTTATTGAGCACATATAAAATATTAGACACTGTTTTATATGACACTAAAATGAATCAAATATCAATCTTTCCTTCTAGAACCTCAAATCTAGTTGGAAAGACAGACCCACATGAATAAATCAAATGTAAGGCAGAGCATGAAACAATTTTTATTAGTAATGGGCTCCAGATGTTCCCTTCTGAGACTTCAAGTCTTGTCTTCTTTTAGCCCATTCTAACAATGGTCATTCAAATACTAGAATAGATAAAGATAAAAAGAGGAGAAAGAAACCTCAAAGTAGTCAGAGAAAACGTCCACCTATAATTTATTTATTTTATTTATTTATTTATTTATTTATTTATTTATTTACTTTTGAGACGGAGGTTCGCTCTTGTTGCCCAGGCCGGGGTGCAATGGCGTGATCTCTGCTCACTGCAACCTCCGCCTCTTGGGTTCAAGTGATTCTCCTGTCTAAGACTCTAGAGTAGCTGGGATTACAGGCATGTGCCACCATGCCCAGCCAATTTTTGTATTTTTAGTAGAGACGGGGTTTCACCATGTTGGTCAGGTTGGTCTCAAACTCCTGACCTCAAGTGATCCACCACTTTGGCTTCCCAAACTGCTGGGTTTACAGGCATGAGCCACCACATCGGGCCTGATCATTTAAATACTGGTGGTTGAATATTAAGTTTGAATATTAGTTTTTAGCTTGAACTATTAGAAATATGGTAACAAAAATGATAGAAATGTATAGTTGCCAAGAACATTAGAAAAATTGTGAATTTCATTTGAGAGAATCTTTTACTCTGAACTTAAAAGCTTCATTGAATTTCTAAATAACTTCTTCTACCATCCAAGTCAATTCATGAAAAATTGAGACACAGACCAAAGTAGAGACTTTCCAAATTTGTGCACGTGGTATGCAAGAGCAAGATGAGGCAATGAGCTGATGACAGAGCATCTACAAAAAGATGCCTTGCAAACATTTGGAAAACTGAAACTAAAGTAGAGGCAGGGATAGACATGGATAGACATGCTCACTTCTTCAACACTGATGTAGTTAAAGTCTTGAGAATAAATTGAATTACTAAAGGGGAAATTGTTTAGAGAGAAGAAATAAGAGCCAAACACTGAGCCATGTGGTAAATAATCATGTCTTGGTGAGAGGAGAAAGAAACCTCAAAGTAGTCAGAGAAAATGTCCACCTATAAAGTAGAGTACCAGGAGATAATGTTCTCATAGAACATAAGGGATTTGAGATTTCAGAAAAAAAGCAACAGTCAGCAAATACTAATGATCTAGATAGATCAGGGAAATTGTTGACTGAGAATTAGACAAATATGCTCCCTAATACAATTTGGAAGATATGGTTTTGGAAGAAGCCAGAATTCCATGTACTTCAGTTGGGGATTGAGTCTTGCTTTTCAGATTAGGAAGTGTTATCATTTATCTCTTTGGGCAGGGTAACTAGAAAGACTGGAGTGGTGTCCTTGTCTTGCTGCCAGCAGTGATGCCTCCTCTTTGGCTCAAGGAGAGAGCTTCAGCACTGAAAGAGCTTCATGCTACTCTGAGCTCTGCCCACCAGGTTTCACAGTAGTCCTATATTACAGTATCTCTGATTATTGTCCTTAAAGTTAATGTATATTCATTTTCCCAGAAGTTCAGAGTAGGACATGGATTTTCTACCACTAACTGGCAATATTTTTTGAACCTGAGATACTTTTTAATCTGTGCTATTGTACTCAGTTAATAGCCTTATGCTGAGTTCTATGCAATGACATTGTTTGTCATTAAAGATACAGAAAAATGAGACATATTTCCTGCCTCTTGGAGAAAGATATGCAACACAGATCTGATGAGTTGTACAGAGGCATGCAAAGTATTGAAAGATCACATGAGGTGGAGCCTAACAGACTGAAAGTTTGTTGACAGAAATGTTTTCTGCCAAGAAGCTCCCAGTCCCGGGTCTCTTACTCCCTCCTCCTTCCCCTTTTCTATCCACATCATGCTTAATTAGTTTGTGGACAGCAAGTCTTGTATCTTTGCAGGCGGAAAGACGTCACTCCAGTAGTGTGCCTGGTTCTCTTGACTTGCCAGTTAATGCCCCATCTGACTCATGGTGCCACAGGTATTTATTGCTCAACAAGCCAGGTGTGATAGCTCTGGGAGAGCCAAATCCCACAGCCATAATGAAGGCTAGAATTTTCATTTAGTAAACAACTTGGTCCATATAATTTTGGCTTTGTTTCCTTACTTGATCGCGCTGTTGCCTGAAAAATACAGGTTTGTAAAACTACATATTTTACTTTGAATTTATTTCTAGAAAGTGTGTCAGTTCAATAGCAAAATTTAGAATAATTTTTTCATCTCTATTTTTTTGAATGTTTCATTCAATTTTTTTTTTTAGAATCATCCCACATCTGAATAGAAGGAAACCTTAAAAACTATCTGATCTGGGACTTCTATCTGATTCTTGAATCAGGTAATTCCTCTAGCCATGTGCACATCAGCTATTCAGTTACCCAACAGATGGTGGCATGTAACTATACTTACCATCAGTCCAAAACAATGAAACTTCTTTATGAGATGGTCTATTATTTCTTTAGGGTGTTATCTTCTCTGGCTTTCAGAACAGAGGCCTCATAACAATTCTATTATCTGCACAGTGTTGTACACTTTTCAAATTGCTTTCATTGCATTTCCTCATTTGAGTCTTACATTCCTGTGGGAAAAAAAAAGACAGAACTGCAGAGCTGGTATTGGCCCTGGACACCAGAACAGACACTCAGATGGCTGGGTTATAGTCACCAGCTCATATTATGGTGACTGTCAGAATCTTTTTCAACACGTCTACATGACTGCCTCAAAAACCTTTATTGGCACTGAACTTATGAAACTACAGATTCCTGAAGGACAAATATCCCATGTCCTAGTGTTCAAATTAAATTTCTATTCTTCAATGTAGTGGTTGTAGTTGACGGGGAAAAAAAAAAACTCATTATATCATTGTGCTTTGCCATTATTGTAAGGAAAATAATGCCATTATTATTTTTTAAATTTAGAAATAAATTTAGAGACTTCAAGATGTCAAACCGTGTAAGAGTTGCCCTAGTTTACGCTTGAAGTTATATCAAATAATATTCATCATGGATTTTGGGTTTTGTGCCTCTTATGTGGCAGTCACAGAGCTAAGCTCTCTATATACCTAGTGCCCCTTAAAACTTACACCACCACTCTGAGGTGTCACTATTCCCATTTTATAGTTGAAAAAAAATGTTGAATAAAATTTGTAGGAGGCCATTGATTTAGACTAAGTTCCTGTTCTAGGCCCAACAGATCTAACCAATATGGAGTCCTTCACGCTAGTAAAACCAATTAACTTGGGAGGATACTCGTATATGGGTAGCTGGATTCTGGTTAGTTACAGTAGCTGAGCTTTCCTCAGTTGTAGGGGGCCAGCTAATTGAAATAAACTGTAACAATTAAGTTGTCCTTTTTGCCTCACTTCTATTTTCTATCCATAAAAACTGCCTAAACACACTGTAGATCAGGAGTTCTTAGAACCTTTTGGTTCTGAGGGCTGCCTGATTTGTGAATCATTTTTGTTTGTTTGTTGAATGCTTTCCTTTTCCCCTCAAATAAACTCAGTTAAATTTAAACTTGTCTAGGTTTTTTTTTTCCTTTTAACAAAACTAAGGCTTAAGCAGGTAACAAAACTAAGGCTTAAGCAGGTAACAAAACTAAGGCTTAAGCAGGTAGAACAACTCGCCCAACGGTTAAGATCAGAAAATCCCAGGCTTTTGGATTTAAAATTTTAGATTAAATTTAGATTTTTCTGACTTGAAATCTTGAGCTCCTAGATGTCATGCTAGTATTTTTTCTCTTTTCTTTTCCTTTCTTTTTTCCTTCCTTCCTTCCTTCCTTCCTTCCTTCCTTCCTTTCTTTCTCTTTCTTTCTTTCGAGTGTTTTTCCATTTTTTTATTTCAATAGTTTTTGGAGTACAGGTAGTTTTTGGTTACACGGACAAGCTTTTTAGTGATGATTTCTGAGATTTTAGTGCACCTGTCACCTGAGCAGTGTACACTGTATCCAATATGTCATCTTTTATCCCTCACCTGCCCCCCAATCTCCCCACCTCCCAAGTCCCCAGGATCCATTATATCACTCTTATGCCTTTACGTCCTCATAGTTTAGCTCCCACTTTTAAGTGAGAACATATGGTATTTGGTTTTCTATGCCTGAGCTACTTCACTTAGAATAATGGTTTTCAGCTCCATCCAAGTGGCTGCAATGACATTATTTTGTTCCTTTTTATAACTGAGTGGTATTCCTTAAAGCATGATGTCCAGACTATCTGCATTAGATTTACCTGGGATATGTATTAATAAATCAGTTTCCTAAAACTTTCCCCAAGCTACAAAAAAAAACTTCTGGAGATAGGGTGCAGGCATCTTTATTTGGAGCAAGTTTTCATTTGGATCACTAAGGTGTGAGAACCACTACACTCTGCCACCACCCTCCCTCTCAACCAGTTTTACAAGAGCGAGGGAAGGGTGTGGAAAAGCTTTAGGCTTCATTGCCTACCAATGGTACCACCACATGAGGATGATTAAAACCAGTGTTTACTGGGGCTTATAGCCCTCACGGGGGATGCACCTGGCTATTTTGATATGCTTGGGCCATGTTTTATGCAGAATTGAAAAATGGAGAGTTTTTACTATCTTCCACTTTTTTGTTTAGAGATAGTGATGATAAGTGAAGAAAAAATCTCAGAACTTTGTGTAGAAATGCTGTATATATTTCTAAATAGCACCTCTTCTCCCTGTTTCAAGGTCTCTGCAGGTAAGCTATTACCATTCTTTTGGGGTATTCTTGCCATAATACTTTCTTCAAAAGTGGGATGGGGAAAATAATAAATCTCATGAGCCATTGAGGACTGTTTATTGGAGAGAGACATGCCAGGATGAAACTTGCCACTTTGATCTGTGTGGAAGAGTGTGCAACATAGGAACCATGAATGCTCAAAAACTCCTCTGAAATATGTAAAAGGAGGTGTTTATGGGGAGAATCATGGAAGGACATATTGTCTTCAGGGTTTCAAAATGAGCCCAATATCAGACATGAGGAATCTTCACACTTAAATATCAATATGAGTTTGTACATAAATATTGCTCCATCCTGCCTGATTCTTGTGTGGATGTCCTGCCTCTCCAGCTAGTCTGCCATACTTCTTTGCAACTACTCCAAGCTCTAGTGTAGTGAAAAATACTTATTTGGTTGCTTTGTTGATGTTGAGTGTGAAAATCCAATTGCAATTTGGGTAAGGTGTTCTGTAGAGAGTCCTGGTTTTCTAAAGTAGAAGAAAAATAAGTTATTACTCTTCTGTTTCTGTGAGATTCTTCATGACTTTTGTAAAATAAACATGATAGGACAATTTAGTTTTTCCCATTTTTCAGTTTATCAAAGTGTGATATAAATATATGATTAATCAATCATGAGGGCTGCCCTGTGCAGACACTATTCACCCCACCCTCATTTTTACTGATGAGAAAATATGACTCCAGAAGTAAAGGTAATTGTACAAAATGATAGAGCTTATGCCAGAGTCAAAACAGTAATTTAAGTCACTCCAAACCAAGGGCATTTTCCTCTTCAAGAAACCTCTGTGGGAAAAACTTCTTCAAAGAGTGATAAAAAGTATAAATTACTATTGTTATTACCATACACTATTGATATTATTATGCCTCATGTAGGTTTAGCTTTACTTCTTTCAGAATGCTGATGCCTGTTCCAAGGGCTTTCATGACAATAAACTAAAATATTTCCTGCTTTTGAACATTTTGAGATTATAAGTGCAAAACCTGCTTGAAGGGCTAGATGTTGTTTTCATTTATTTTCTTTGTGGGTGGTCTGCTGTGATTCCCAAGACCACCACCATTGTAGATCTGGAACACTGGCTGATGATACCCTGGGGAATTTAGAGCTGTGGTTTTGCCTTCCAAAACAACAGCTGAGCTAGCCAAGCCCAGGTCAGCACACTCATGCACACATACACACTCACACACCTGCATAAAGAGATTAGCCTCCAGCCTCAACTCCACCCACTCAATCCCTTCATCTAAGTGTTCCTCTTGCCTTTCCAAAGCATCCACTCCCACCCACAGACATCCAGAGATCTAGGCATGCAGATCTCAAGATCCTAGGGAAACCCTTCCCAATCCAGTGATTCAGCTTTCTCAAACAGCAACCTGAGCATTCAGTCAGGAAATTCTTATCTCAGTGTGTGTCTCATCTTGAAAATGCATCTACCTCAGCATCAATTTCTTTCTCTCTGTCCTGAGGCTCCCTGCATGCATTAAAAGAAGAAAGCAATTCCACCACTGGTAATGTTATGCTTCTTTCTGGCCATTTGACATGTGTCAGGTGTATTCCGTAAATCAGATGCAGGCCTGGGATCTGCCCAGTCTTTGCCCTCTAACTTTTGTATTTAAGCCGATAGTCTGTGCTGCTCTTTAGAAAACAGTGATACCTGTAACTACCTATAGAAGTTTTGAAGTTTGCCACTTTAAGGCAATTCTCTTGGTAAATAATACGCCAGATTGATTGCGGGAGTTAGCCACATTTCAAGTGAGGAACGAATAACCAAAGACTGGTTGGAGGTACTTCTGACATGTTGGTTTTATACAACATTGAATGGAAAAGAAATGCAGTTGTATTTCCTTTATTTGCCCCAGTGAACTTTTGTTCCACCAGAACTGTTCTTTCTTTGGAATCTGGCATCTGCTGCTCAAACCACCCCCTCACGCTCAGACATGTTTATAAACTTTTCTGAGAAAATTCTGATATTACCACTCTGGGAAATTTTTTTCAGAAGCTTTTCCCTGTGGCCAAACTTTATGAATTCACAACTATTATTCTAGCCAGCAGGGCCTCCCTCAGACAAAACAGTGCTAGAGGCCAAATCAGTCAACCTTAGCTTAGAGAGAGGGGACAAAAATGATCTCAAAATATCAGACTAGTGCTCATTTCAAGGATGGTCTCCCATGAAAGGTGCAGCTCAGGGTGATATAACCTCATCCTAAGTTGTGGAAATTCCCCTGGAAATAGGCAGAAGAGGTGAGAACTCCAAAAATCATAATAGGAGGCTATGGGGAAAGATAAAGTTAGAAAAGATCATAGCAAAGACAGAAAGAAATGAATGTTTGAAAAAGAAAGTTAGCAATAGTGATTGCATCGTACAAAGTCAAGGAAACTCATGTCTGTTAAATACCTGTTGTATCTTAGATAATCCATAAAATGCTTTAAGTATACAATCTCATCTAATCCTTACCCTATACAGAAGATGTTATGAGTGAAAGTGTGCTCCTCCAAAATTCATATATTGAAGTCCTAACCCGCAGTAGCCCAGAATGTGAGCTTGTTTGGACATGGAGTTGTTGATGTAGTTAGTTAAGATGAGGTCAGACCAGAGTAGGGTGGATTCAATCCAAGATGACCAGTGTTCTCATATAAAAGGGAAATGTGGATAGTGAGAAAGACATACATAGAGGGAGGATACTGTAAATTGACACAGAGAGAAGATAGCCATCTTCAAGCCAAGGAGAATGACCTGCAACAGGTTCTTCCCTCACAGCCCTAAGGAAGAACCAACCCTGCCAACACCTTGATTGTGGACTTTCAGCCTCCAAAACCGTGGGACAATAAATTCCTGTTGTTTAAGTCACTTGGTTTGCAGTACTTTGTTATGGAAGCCCTAGCAAACTTAAACAGAAAGTATTATTATTGTCACTTCATAGCAGAGGAAACCAGGGCTCAGAGAGGGTACACAGGTTCATTCATAGCCAGGGAGCTGTGGCCTTCTCACAGACCTGCCTGATTGCAAAGTTTAGTGCCCTTTCCTGCCATCTCTTTAAAGCTTATGGCTATAATTCAATATCTTCCCTTTTGAAAAGAACATGATAATTCTGTCATTTTCAAACATTTTGGCTAGAGATTCCTTTGTTCACAATGTAGTGAGGCTGAGTGTGGTGGCTCGTGCCTGCAGTTCCTGTGACTGAGGAGGTTGAGGCAGGATTGCTTGAGGCCAGGAGTTCGAGACTAACCTGGACAATATTGTGAGACCCCCCCTCATCTCTACGAAATAATTTAAAGTAAAAATTAGCCATATGTGGTGATGCTCATCTGTAGTCCTAGCTAGTTGGGAGAGTCATGTGGCAGGATCACTTGAGCCCAGGAGCTGGAGGCTGCAGTGAGTGATGATCATACCATTGCACTTCAGCCTGGTGACAGAGTGACACTCTATTTCTAAAAAACAAACAAACAAACAACAACAACAAAACAATACAATGAAAAAGTTCCATATGTAAAGCAGATGAAGGTAGAGATGTTCCAGCTGGAGCAGGGATGAAGTCTATAGTTTGACTTATTCATCCCTCTTCCCTAACCACATTGATGGTCTCAGGAGGCCTGTGAGAAACTTCCAGTCTTCCACAGAACAGTGAAACCCACTGCATATAAAAGGAAACTAGATAGTCACTAGCATAGTACCTACCTTATGCATAACACAAGGGAGCCAGAAACGGTCATTATTTAACATTATGAAATCCATTTTATAAAGGCAGAAATTATACCCCTTCCTCCAGAGTACATAAAAGATGCAAAGCCTTAAAAATATTTTCCCCACTGTCAAGTTGATGGGTTATGGCAGGGGAGAAAGTACACTGGTTGGGGGTAAAGGTGTCACTTCCTAGCCATGCGTTTCAGGCCAAGCCCTCCCCTCTCTGACATTTTTTCATCTCTAAGGCCTAAGTCATCATATATGTCCTGTGTACCTCACAGGCTCAGTTAGCTGCTAAATGGAATAAGCGATGTGAAAAGCCCTTGAAAAATAATGAAACAAAGTCCTGCAAAATGATAAAGATTATTCTCTAAGTTCTCGTGCATAAGAAAAAAATTACAGGAAGATATTCAGTTAAACCTGCTGAGAAATCAAGGTGGGGACGTTGGAGTGAAGGCTCCTGATTCCTCAGCCAAACCAGCAAAAGTCAGGCTGAGCACAGTGTCTGGGAGAATCAGCACACCGTGAAATTATGAAGTGTGATCATTAACTGGGCCATTCTGCGCAGGCCTTCATCTCTGCATTCAGCATTCTCTTTGAAGTCCATGACCTTCTCTGTGTCACTGAACTGCTGAATAACTACTCTGAACTGAATCGAGCATCCCAGCCCACCCTGCTGATGTAATCAGACAAGGCTCACCCTGCACAGCTGGAGTCGCTGATTAGCATTCAGTTCAGCAATTGGAGTGGAGCACTTGGGAGCCAGTAAGGCACATAAGGCCTGCATTCAGGCATAAACCATGTCAACTTCAGGAATAAGACTGAGTAACCTGTGGTTCATTTTTATCCTGTTAATCCTGTTGGAAACTTGTAAATACTCCTTTATTTTTAATGGGGAGTTCAACTAATACTTTGCTAATAACAATGAAAAGACACTATTCATTTTATAGCTAGATTTCATAAAATGCCAGCGTATAAGAGCAGAAGGGGAACCTGGAGGTCACTAGGCCTGACCCTCTAATTTTATAAATGGAAGAAGTAAAACTCAGAGAGGGATACTGACTTTTCAAAGTTTACTCAAAGTGTTAGTGGCAGAGCGGGTGTTAGAACACAGATCAATTATCTTACAACTTTGTGTTTTACTTACTGATTGTCAGAAAATGGATATATTAGCATTAAAGGAATGCTGGGGAGGTTGAAGAGATGGGATCTATTTGTTACTAACATATTTTGAAGCATCAATAACAACAAAGACACATAAAGTGCCTCATTGTGTGGTTCTGCGCTACGCATAGACGAAGGTTACGTTAGCTAAAGATACCTGTGAAGTAATATTGGAATACACATACATGTCAGGTGGTTGTGTATGTTAACAAAGTTAAATTAAACCATAAACAGCTTGGTATCTGTGTGTATACTTTCACTGGAAATCAAATTTTGGTAAAATACATGGGTATGGCCCCTAGGTTATTATAGGCATTCTACATAAAGTAGATAAGCATATGTTTCCTTCTTGGCATTTATAATAGGTTCCATCTATCTCTACAGTCCTTTAAAAACATCTTTACAAAATAAATTTATATTTTTTCTCCTTTTATTTCAAGAAACTGAGAACTGAGATGACTTATCCTACTCACTAGCTGCATAACTGCATGCAGATTACTTAAGTAGTCTGTGCCTCAATTTCTTCCTCCGTAAAATGGGGGTGGTAGCACTATCTACCTTATGGGATTGTTGTGCTAAGTGAAATGATATATGTAAAGCCCAGAAATATTCACTTATATTATCATCATTCATAAATTCACACAGATAAGAAGCTGCAAAGCTGGGGTTTCTAACGCCAGTTTCTTTGCCCTGTTTTTCTTCCATTCTGTCCTTTGGTCTTTGCCCCACTCCAGTGTTTTAAATTCTCAGTACCGGCTGGGCACAGTGGCTCAGACCTGTAATCCCAGCACTTTGGGAGGCCAAGGCGGGTGGATCACCTGAGGTCAGGAGTTCAAGACCAGCCTGACCAACATGGAGAAACCCCCGCCGACCTCTACTAAAAATACAAAATTAGCCAGATGTGGTGGCGCATGCCTGTAATCCCAGCTACTCGAGAGGCTGAGGCAGGAGAATCATTTGAACCCAGGAGGCAGAGGTTGCAGTGAGCTGAGATTGTGCCACTGCACTCCAGCCTGGGCAAGAGGAGCAAAACTCTGTCTCAAAAAAAAAAAAAAAAAATTCTCAGTATTGGGTGTATCTTTCCTCCAAGAATTTCTTTTCCTCAATTTGATGCACCAATTCCTTTCCATTTCCCTTTTATCCTTTTTATTTTAAGTTAGACTATATCTTAGGAGTAATTTGATAATTGTTCAAATAATTAAATTTAGGTATTTCCCGGACTGATTTTGCAGTTACCAATCAATAATCTGAACTTTCACTGTTAAAAGAAACAATGTTTTACACTTTTAGAACACATTACCAATATAAGAGATGCTTTTATGTCCATTATTTATGTGAGACCGGTGAGCTAGTCACATCCCACATTTTAAGACTGAGTACCTGAGGCTCACAAAAATTAAATGATAGAAAAATACCAAACAGTCATAAGTGGCAAAGTGAAGATTGGAGTCTAGTTTATGTGCTATGAACTCGAATACCTATAAAGACCAGAGAGGAGCAAACAACAGGCAGTGGCAAAACCTATGGAAGAGTAGAGAGCTCCAAAAGTAAAAATGCTGGCCTAATATTACCTAGCCTTCCTATTATTTAAGAGAAGCCAAAAGTATTTTTATATGAAATATCCTAATTTTTAACACATTTTAAAGTCTAAACAATACTCTTGAACCACCTGTTTACAGCTTTTGATCTAGACTAATGAATTTACTCCGTATACGGCCAAGAGGCCACATATATCTCTTTTGACTGTCCAACCTGCGTTTATTTCAGAAGAAATTATGCTAAGCAAAATGTTTATTTTCATCTTTTCCTTTGCTAAATCAAGGCAACTTTTTCTAAACTTAAAACCTAGACTCTGACGTCTAACAAGCAACTCAAACTTGACATAGCTAAGATAGAATTATTGATTCCTCCCTTTCTTCCTTCTCCTTCAAAGCTACTTCTTCCTAAGGCTTCTTTATCTCAGTAAAGGCCACCACCTCCCACTCTGTTGCTCAGGCCAAGATCCTAGGAGTTATTCTTGATTCCTCTCCTACCCTCACATCCGACATCCAACACATCAGAATGTCCCCTGTAAAACTAAATCTTAATCCAACTGTCTTACCACATCACCACTGCAACCTTAATCCAAGACACCATGGATTCTTGCCTATTTTATAACGGTAACATCATAATGGATCTCTTTGCCTCACTTTTGCCCCCTCATAATCCATCTTTTGTACAGCACAGTGATCATTTAAAACAAAACCAGATAATATAACTCTTTTTCTTAAAAACCTCAAATAAAATCTTACACAGCCCTGCATAATCAGGATCCCGCCTACCTTTCCTGCTTCCACTCCCTCCATGAAAGGCCACATTATCCTTCTTTTGGTCTTTCAAATGCACCAGGTTCCTTTCTGCACTAAAGGCTTTGTAATTTCTATTTCTTCTTCTGGAATACACTGCTACCCTAGATTGTTGAGTGATGATACGGCACAACAGGGCAGGTTCTGGAGCTAGGCTTCTCAGTTCAAATCCAAGCTCCATCATACCTGGGGAATGGTCTACTGTTTCTGTGCTTCAGTTTTCTCATCTGTAAGATGGAAACAATAAATAATAGTACCTCCATCACAGAGTTGCAGGAAAGCTTAAATTAGCTGATAGAAGTAGGGAGCCCACAAGTCTGGCACATAGTAAGTAGTCAGGATCTTTTGATGTTTCCATGTATTACTGATTCCCTCTTCTTCGGGTCTCAATTAAAATACCATCTTCTTAAATTAACCTTAACTGACCACTCCCTAAAATAGCCTCCCCCAGGCTCTTTCATATTTCTCCAGTTTTGTAAAAATAGCCCTTCTCAGTAGCTAACGTGTTTCTGATTTACTTGCATATCTGCACATTTACAGACCATCTCCTCCCATTATAAAGTAAACTCTGAGAGGAGAGGGATTCTATTTTGATCCCCACTGAAACACTGACTATAAAATGTTCCCGTGCTGACAAGAGTGCCTGACACACAGTGGATAGCCAATAAGTATGTGTTTTGCAGATCCCCCACACAGAGCTGACACACAGGAGGTGCTTAGTGAGGATTTGCTCAAATAAATGACATCGAGTCTTTTACAGAGTGCTTTTCCACCTCTTGAGGAAGCTTCTATATACCTTGAGAACTGTGTTTGTTTGTTTTTGTTTGTTTTTCTGAGACGGAGTCTCAGTCTGTTGTCTAGGCTGGAGTGTAGTGGCATGATCTGGCTCACTGCAACCTCCGCCTCCTGGGTTCAAGTGATTCTCGTGCCTCAGCCTCCTGAGTAGCTGGGATTACAGGCATGCACCACCACGCTCAGCTAATTTTTGTATTTTTAGTAGAGATGGGGTTTCACCATGTTGGTCAGGCTGGTCTCAAACTCCTGAACTCGTGATCCCCCCGCCTCGGCCTCCCAAAGTGCTGGGATTACAGGCGTGAGCCACCACACCCGGCCACCTTGAGAACTTTATAGCAACCTGTTCTTGATTCCCTGATGAAGCACAATGGGCCTATTAGAACTGTATCCTTTACATCACTGTCTGCAATAAAACGAAGTGTTAAGTTCTTTCATATTTCAGATATGATTGCACCCTGAGTGTCTTCCTACTCTGAAGAATTTTACATAAGAAATGATGCAAAGGCATAAAAACAATATAACGGACTTTGGGGACTGGGGTGGAGGAAACAATGGGAGGGGGATGAGGGACAAAAGATTACATATCTGGTAGTGTACAATGCTCAGGTGATAGGTGCCCTAAAATCTCAGAAATCACCACTAAATAACTTATTTATATAACCAATAACCACCTGTACTCCAAAAACTATTGAAATAAATATTTTTTTAAAAAAAGAAATTTGTTCTCAGGCTTGCTACTTTTGGCTACAGGATTCTAGTCCTCCACAAACTTCAAAGAAAAATGGTAACATAACATATTCATTATTGAAATATGAGCAATAAAAAACATTTGCCAAAAAACTTCACAAGCACTTTTACCATCACCCAGAGATGTCCTAAATCACACTGGGGGGCAATATTTTGCTGTTAGAATTGGCAGGTGCTGTAATTGTTAAGTGACGATATGACATTAAAGGGCAGGCTCTGGAGCTAGGGTTCCCAGTTCAAGTTCCAGCTCTGTCACACCAGCTGAGTGGTCTATCATCTCCGTGCGTCAGTTTTCTCATCTGTAATATGAGCTAATAAAATTGTGGATAAAGACAGTCACCACAGGCTTACAGCAAGGACAACCTTGTTCTAAGCCCTCATTAGGTATAGGAGGCAGCTGAGGCCTTGACAGGGGATGATTCAGGGTCAAAACCAGGCTCATGTGGTTTTATTTCCATTGCGGACTTTTCTCCACTATATATTCTGCCTTCATATATTCACTTCATTTTTCTTCTTACTATCCTATTTTTTACTATAGAAAATTTCAAGCAAAAGAAAAAAGAGAACAATATGACAAGCACTTATGGCCATCATTTAGATTGAACAATTGTTAACACTTTGGTATATTTGCATCATCTATTTTTTGACTAAAGTAACTTGAAGTCAATTACAGATCACATTGTGTTTCATCCTTGTTATGCAGTTTTTTAAAAATAAATATATTTCCCTTATCTAATCACAATACTGTTACCATACCTCAAAAAATGTAAATGGATCCTTAACATCACCTAATACCTAAACTATGTTCAAATTCTATCACTGTAATTACTTCATTTTAGGCTGGTTTGTTCAACTGGGATCTAATTAAGGCGTATATATTGCCTCTGATTGTTATGTGTCTTAAATCTCTTTTAATTTAAAACATTCTCCCTTTTAATGCCATAACGTATTATTTCATTTCATGTATTATTTTGTTTATGTAATAATGACTTCTTGAAGAGATAGGCAAATTATTCTATAAAATGTCCACCTTATAGATTAGTCTGAGTCCCTGCTTATGGGTGCTTAATTTTTTCTCTGTCTTCCATATTTCCTGTGAATTGGAAGTTAGACCTAAAGGCCTGATTATGTTAACATCAAAGTTCCTCTATTTTTGATGATAGACATTTGAAGCCATTTCTATATCATATTAATAATTAATTGAAGAAAGCCCTGAAAATTAGTTGGATTTTGAGTACGCTCTATAAGAGATAGTAGATAGAATAAAGGAAAGACCAGCATGTGGGGTGTAGAGGAGGAGAATATCCCAATTATACAGTTGTACTCCAGGATCTGATATATATCTGTGGTTCTCAGAACTAGTTTGCTCAGGACCCCCAGAACTTGGATGGATTTAAGAGACACAAAAAGAGTATGAAATTTGAACCGGAATATTAATTTTTATAATGTATAATGAGGAACATAGACATTAAACCGACTGGAATGTTAGAATCGATAAGACTAGCGCATTTTCTCCCATAGGCCAGTGGTTTCCAAACCTAGTTACATATTAGAATCATCTGGAATCAGAAAACACCACCCCCAGAGATTCTGCTTCATTGTTGTGGATGGGGACTGGGCATTGGTATTTTTGTAAAGCTCGCTAGGTGGTTCAAATATGTTACCAGAGCCGAGAAACACTGCTGTAGGTAAGTATAAACCAGAAGCCAATTTATCTCCAGAAATTTGTTTTGGAAACATGAAACTAGAATTGGGAATGTTAGTGATATAAACAAAGAAAGTCTGAGGCATCCATACCAGTCCGTGGTATTCAAATATCTGTGTATACAAGAGTCACAGGGTACGTTTACTTAAAAAATAAAAGTAGAACTCTGGACCCCTGTTTTCTACTACACTCTCAACTTCTTCATCCCCTTAGAAATTTTGATTAAGAAGTTCCAGGGTGCACCATTAGATGTTTCTTTAATATACAACAATAGCGGTTCTGGTATAGATTATCCATGGGTCTCTACACTAAGCAATACTAATTTATGTCCTCTGAGATACACTTGCCTGAGAAATAGATAAGACCAATTTTGTTCTCAAACTTCAGTTGCATCAGAACAGCTGTAAGACTTGTGAAAGCACAGATTGCTAAATCCCTCCCTACTGAGTTTCTGATTCAGTAGGTTTGGGGTGGAGCCTCATGCTTTGCACTTCTAACACTTTCTAAGGCAGTAGTTCCAGCCAAGGGAGATTTTGCCTCCCAGGGAACCTTTGGCAGTATCTGGGGACATTTTTAGTTGTCACAACTAGGATGTGGGACTGGCATCTAATGGATAAAGGTCCAGGAATGCCGCTAAATATCCTAAAACAGTTTGGACCAATATTACCACATTCAGCAAATGAAAACACCGGACACACAGATAAGTTTAAATTTCAGATAAGCGATAACTAATTTTTTTCATATAAATATGTCCCAAATATTGCACATGTGTTAGGCCATTTTTGCATTGCTATACAAGAAAGCCTGAGACTGGATAATTTTAAAAGAAAAGTGGTTCATTTTGGTTCATGTTTCTGCAGGCTGTGCAGGAAGCATGGCGCTGGTATCTGCTTCTGTCGAGGGTCTCAGGAAGCTTTCAATCACAATGGAAGGCAAAGGGGGAACAGGACCATCACATGGTGAGAGTGGGAGAAAGACAGAGGGGGGAGGTGCCACAGTCTTCTAAACAGCCAGATTTCACGTGAACTCAGAGCAAGAACTCACTGCTTACTTAGAGGAGGGCACCAAGCCATTCATGAAGGAGTTTCTTTCCTCATGACCCAAACACCTAGCAGTACGCCTCATCTCCAACACTGGGGATTACATTTTATTTTATTTTAGATTTTTTTTTTTTTTTTTTTGAGGCAGAGTCTCACTCTGTCACCCAGGCGGGAGTGCAGTGGCACAATCTCAGCTCACTGCAACCTCCACCTCCCGGGTTCAAGTTATTCTCCAGCTTTGGCCTCCCGAGTAGCCTCGGTTACAGATATGCACCACCATGCCCAGCTAATTGTTTTGATTTTTTTTTTCTTTTTGTAGAGACCGGGTTTCACCATCTTGGTCAGGGTAGTCTTCAACTCCTGACCTCAAATGGTCTCCCCACCTCAGCCTCCCAAAGTGCTGGGATTACAGGCATGAGCCACAGTGCCCAGACAGGGATTGCATTTTAACATGAGATTTGGGGGAGACCCACAACCGAATCATATCTGCATGAAATACATTTATGCTAAGCAAAAGTATCCATTTTTATCTGAAATTCAAATTTAGCAGGTGTGATGGTTAATACTGAGTGTCAATTTGATTGGATTGAAGGATAAAAATATTGATCCTGGGTGTGTCTGTCAGGGTGTTGCCAAAAGAGATGAACATTTGTGTCAGTGGGTTGGGGAGGGCAGATCCACCCTTAATCTGGTGGGCACAATGCAGTCAGCTGCCAACGAATGTAAAGCAGACAGAAAAGCATGAAAAAGAGAGACTGACCTAGCCTCCCAGCTTACATCTTTCCCCCATGCTGGATGCTTCCTGCTCTCAAACATTGGACTACAAATTCTTCAGTTTTGGGACTCAGACTGGCTCTCCTTTCTTCTCAGCTTGCAGACAGCCTATTATAGGACCTTGTGATCATGTAAGTTAACACTTAATAAACTTCCCTTTACATATATATATGTATATATATATATATATATATATATATATATCCTAGTTTATATATATATATACATCCTATTTTTTATATATATCCTTATATATATCCTTTTATATATATATATCCTTATATATATATATCCATATATATATATCCATATATATATATATATATATATATATATATATATATATATATATATATATATATATATATCTCCTATTGGTTCTACCCATCTGAAGAACCCTGACTAATAAAGATTTTGGTACCAGGAGTGGTTCTAGAGGAACAGAATATTAAGGATGAAGTTCTGTCATTGGTTTTGGGGTTTCTGGAGTAGGCTGCTTGATAAGATTAGAACCCAAAATGCTAAGGACTCTACTTCTAATAGTATAGAGAATACTGATAGTTCTTGGCATGAATTGTTTAGAGAGTTATGCAAAATAAATGCATTTGACACTCCTGATTCACCACTTGTGAGAGGTAAGGAGTTTAGTGACTCTGAACATAATACCTTTGACCATATGTGGAGAACCAAGGAACATAATGAAGCTGGTTGGTTGCTCTTAAGTTCAATGGACGAAGTGATGAAAGAAAATGATGAACTTAGGATTCTGTCTCCCAGCTTCAGAAGCATATACTGAGCCTCACCTCTGCTAAGATTGCCCTGAGTGAGAGTCTTATCTACTGTAGAGAAAGAGCTGAAACTGTGGAAAAGCAGACACAGGCTCTTATCATGTGAGGGGCTGATTTGCAATGAAAGATGCATGCACAGCCTCGCCAGGTGTTTACTGTTAAAGTGAGGGCATTGACTGGAAAATAATGGAACCATGAAACTTGGGATGGGGATGTGTGGGAGGACCCTGATGGAGCTGGGGACAATAAGATTTGTAAACCCTGATGAACATTTTTAGCCAGAAGGAACAGCTTCCCCATCTCCAGTAGTGGCAACATCCCCTCCCCGACCCATGCTGCCATCAGCCTTTCCATCTTTATCTGAGGAGATAAACCCTGCACTGCCTGACACAACAGTGATGGCCTCACCTGAGGCAGTTGCCAGGCAAGATAATATTGATTTTCCTCAGGAGCCACCCCCAACATATCTGTTTGTCTCTAGACCTATAACTAAACTAAAGTCCCAGCGGGCCCCTAGTGGTGAGGTTCAGAGTGTGACCCATAAGGAGGTGGACTACACTTGAAAAGAAATGTTTGAGTTCTCTAATTAATGTAAACAGAAATCTGGGGAACAGGCATGGGAATGGATATTAAGGGTATGGGAAAATGGTGGAAGGAACACAGAATTGGATCAGGCTGAATTTATTGATTTGGGCCCACTAAGTAGGGACTCTGCATAGAAAGAGCCTGTGTAGCCAAAGCAAGACCAAGCAAAAAGAACAAATCTGGAGGCATCACACTACCTGATTTCAAACTATACTATAAGGCCACAGTCACCAAAACAGCATGGTACTGGTATAAAAATAGACACATAGACCAATGGAACAGCATAGAGAAGCCAGAAATAAACCCAAACACTTACAGCCAACTGATCTTCAACAAAGCAAACAAAAACATAGAGTGGGAAAAGGACACCTGTTTCAACAAATGATGCTGGGATAATTGGCTAGTCACATGTAGGAGAATGAAACTGGATGCTCATCTCTCATCTAATAATAAAATTAACTCAAGATGGATTAAGGACTTAAATCTAAAACCTGAAACTATAAAAATTCTAGAAGATAACATTGGAAAAACCCTTCTAGATGTTGGCTTAGGTAAGGATTTCATGATCAAGAACCGAAAAACAAATGCAATAAAAACAAAGATAAATAGCTGGGACCTAATTAAACCAAAAAGCTTTTTCATGGCAAAAGGGAACAGTCAGCAAAGTAAACAGACAACCCACAGAATGGGGAAAATCCTCAAAATCTATACATCTGACAAAGGACTAATATTCAGAATCTACAATGAACTCAAACAAGTAAGAAAAAAGCAAACAATCCCATCAAAAAGAGGGCTAAGGACATGAATAGAGAGTTCTCAAAAGAAGATACAAAAATAGCCAACTACCATCTGAAAAAATGCTCAACATCACTAATGACCAGGGAAATCTAAATCAAAACTACAATGCCATACCATCTTACTCCTGCAAGAATGGGCATAATCAAAAAAACAAAAAACTGTAGATGTTGGCATGGGTGTGGTGATCAGGGAACACTTCTACACTGCTGGTGCGAATGTAAACTAGTACAGCCACTATGAATAACAATGTGGAGATTCCTTAAAGAACTGAAAGTAGAACTACCATTTGACCCAGCAATCCCACTACTGGGTATCTACACAGAGGAAAAGAAGTCATTATACAAAAAAGATACTTGCACATGCATGTTTTTAGCAGCACAATTCACAATTGCAAATCATGGAACCAACCCAAATGCCCATCAATCAATAAGTGGATAAAGAAACTGTCATATATATATACATGTGTATATATATACACGTATATATATATATACACACACACATATACACACACACACACACACACACATATATATATACATACACAATGGAATACTATTCAGCCATAAAAAGGAATGAATTAACAGCATTTCCAGCAAACTGGATGAGATTGGAAACTATTATTCTAAGTGAAGTAACTCTGGAATGGAAAACCAAACATTGTATGTTCTCACTGATATGTGGGAGCTAAGCTATGAGGATACAAAGTCATCAGAATAATACAATGGACTGTGGGAATTTGGGGGAAGAGAGTGGGAGGGGTGGCTAGGAATAAAAGACTACAAATATGGTGCAGTGTATACTACTTGGGTGATGGGTGCACCAAAATCTCACAAATAACCACTACAGAACTTACTCATATAACCAAATACCACCTGTACCTCAATAACTTATGGAAAATAATTGCATTAATTCACAAAAAGATAGAAAACTCCTAGAAACATTCTCAAGAAGATGAAATTGGTAGACTATGTGATGTGTTTGGACACATTGAAGGAAAATATATAATACTTAAAATGCAGTGCAAAATGAATAATAAATAATTAGAAAAAAATAATTATGAATTCCCCAAAGAGAGAACAATAAGTATTATTTCTCCCAAGCAAAAAAGGCAATTATTAATTCTAGGAAAAAGTAACAAGTTGTATAGAAAAGGAAAAAGTAATCATAATTCGTATCAAAGGTACACAGTTATAACAGTGTAAGAACTGAACATAGATCTCAACACCCTTGTGATATACCTGTACTGGGCAGATGGAGCGATCATATGCTGTAAAGGGGTGATGTGGAGTAGGAGTAAAGGTCAGCCAAGTCCTCATCTTCCCTAATCAGGAAGCAGTAAATAATATCCCAAATGAAAGGAAAAATAAATCTTTAAGTAGTTGATACGGTTTGGCTCTGTGTCCCCACCCATATCTGATCTTGTTGCTCCCATAATTGTCACATGTTGTGTGAGGGACCTGGTGAGAGATGACTGAATTATGAGGGCACATCTTTCTCATGCTGTTCTCATGATAGTGAATGGGTCTCATGAGATATGATGGTTTTAAAAATGGGAGTTTCCCTGCACAACCCCTCCTTGCCTGCTGCCAATTACATAAGATGTGACTTGCTCCTCCTTGCCTTTCATCATGATTGTGAGGCCTCCCCAGCCATGTGGAACTGTAAGTTCAATAAACCTCTTTCTTTTGTAAATTGCCCAGTCTCGGGTATGTCTTTATCAGTAGTGTGAAAACAGACTAATACAGTAAATTGGTACCAGTAGAGTGGGGTACTGAGGAAAAGATACTGGAAAATGTGGAAGTGACTTTGGAACTGGGTAACAGGCAGAAGGTGGAGCAGTTTGGAAGGTTCAGAAGGCAGAAAAATGTGGGGAAGTTTGGAACTCCCTAGAGACATGTTGAATGGCTTTGACCAAAATGCTGATAGTGAGGTGGTCTCAGATGGAAATGAGTAATTTGTTGGGAACTGGAGTAAAGGTGACTCTGTTACGTTTTAGCAAAGAGACTTTGGCATGTTGCCCCTGCCCTAGAGATTTCTGGGACTTTGAACTTGAGAGAGATAATTTAGGGTATCTGGTGGAAGAAATTTCTAAGCAGCAAAGCATTCAAGAGGTGACATGGGTGCAGTTAAAGGCATTCAGTTTCAAAAGGGAAACAAAGCATAAAAGTTTGAAAAATTCACAGCCTGACAATGCAATAGAAAAAAAAAATATCCAATTTTCTGAGAAGAAATTAAAGCTGGCTGCAGAAATTTGCATAAGTAATGAGGAGCCAAATGTTAATCACCAAGACAATGGGGAAAATGTCTCCAGGATATATCAGAGACCTTTGTGGCAGCCCCACCCATCACAGGCCTGTAGGCTTAGGAGGAAAAAGTGGTTTTGTGGGCTAGGCCAGGGTCCCTGTGCTGTGTGCAGCCTAGGGACTTGGTGCACTGCATCCCAGCCGCTCCCGCCATGGCTGAAATGGGCCAATGTAGAGCTGAGGCCATGGCTTCAGAGAGTGCAAGCCTCAAATTTTGGCAGCTTCCATGTGGTGTTGAGCCTGTGAGTGCATAGAAGTCAAGAATTGAGGTTCAAGAACCTCTGCCTAGATTTCAGAGGATGTATAGAAAAACCTGGATGTCCAGGCAGAAGTTTGCTGCAGAGATGGGGCTGTCATGGAGTACCTCTGCTAGGGCAATGTGGAAGGAAAATATGGGGTTGGAGCCCCCACACAGAGTCCCTACTGGGGCACTGCCTAGTGGAGCTGTGAGAAGAGGGCCACTATCTACCAGACCCCAGAATGATAGATCCACCAAGAGTTTGCATCATGTGCCTCGAAAAGCCACAGACACTCAATGCCAGCCTGTGAAAACAGCTGGGAGGGAGGCTGTACTCTGCAAAGTCATGGAGGTGGAGCTGTGCAAGACTATGGGAACCCATCTCTTGCATCAGTGTGATCTGGATGTGAGACCTGAAGTCAAAGGAGGTCATTTTGGAGCTTGAAGATTTGACTGCTCTGCTGGATTTCAGACTTGCATGAGGTCTGTAGCCCCTTTGTTTTGGCCAATGTCTCCCATTTGGAATGGCTGTATTTACCCAATGCCTGTACCCTTGTTGTATCTAAGAAGTAACTAACTCTTGATTTTACAGGCTCATAGGCAGAAGGGATTTGCCTTGTCTCAGAGAAGACTTTGGACTGTGGAGACTTTTGAGTTAATGCTGAAATGAGTTCAGACTTTGGGAGACTTTTGGGAGGGCATGATTGCTTTTGAAGTGTAAAGGATGAGATTTGGGGATGGTCAGGGGTGGAATGATATAGTTTGGCTCTGTGTCCCCGCCCAAATCTCATCTTGTAGCTCCCATAACTCCAAAGTGTTGTGGGAGGGACCTGGTAGGAGATTATCAAATTATGGGGGTGGGTCTTTGCTGTGCTGTTCTCATGATGGTAAATGGGTCTCATGAGATCTGATGGTTTTAAAAATGGGAGTTTCCCTGCACAAGCTCTCTTCACCTGCTGCCATCCATGTAAGATGTGACTTGCTCCTCCTTGCCTTCTGCCATGATTGTGAGGCCTCCCCAGCCATGTGGAACTGTAAGTCCAATGAACTTTGTTCTTTTGTAAATTGTCCAGTCTCGGGTATGTCTTTATCAGTAGTGTGAAAACAGACTAATACAGTAGTGCTTTCCAAAAGACCAGGATGGCTAAGTAGTAAAAGGAGAATTTTATTGGCAATATCAGTTTGCAAACCTTAAAGAGAGAGTCTCTGGTATAGGCTAAAGGTGCTCTCTTTGAAGAGAGAAAGGGCAGATTGGGTTTTATGCCTCACAGTGTCTGCATCACACAGTTAAGAGTCATTTTTATGCAGCAGGCTTGGGGAAAAACCATACATATTTAAGAGGAAGACAAGCACATGTGCAATAGACAAACATACATTCCATGTTCAGTTTGGGGTGGAGATTTAGCATTAAAATGAAGCAAAATTGGCTTTTTACGTAAAAAGGTGAACTATAAAACACAAGGACAGTTTCTGTACACTCTCTCTAAGCTGGCTAAAACTGGCTTAAGGTTTGCAGTTGCTTCTCAGAAAAGAGTGATGGTAAAGTCAGTCCTCTACACAGTCAGAGTTGTAGTATTCTGGATAGTATTAAATAAACCAAAGTTAGAAATTTGCCTGAAAGCTGCTATTGTTAGAGTTTAGCAAAAGTGTATTTTTTTCTTGCGGGCATACAAATTTAGAAAGCTTCCAGGCCAGCCAAGCCTTGAACCCTCAACCCATAGGTAACTTTTGTTTCCTTAACTTTAGTGTTCATTTTAGTTTATTTAGGGGCATCTATTTCCATCTGTCAGATCACAGAGGCAATATAAGAAACTTGTAGGGAGACTCAGAGGAAAAATGATAGAATCAGCTAAAAAAAGGTCCTGATAGTCCCCTTTCAGGAGTATAAAATAGGAAGGAATTGAGAGGCCACATTTTTCATAAGAGGCCTTGTCTCACTATAGGACTCTTGCAACAGGTTCATGCATAGTTTTATCAGCAGTCAAAATTAGATAAGAATTTTTTTTTTTTTGAGATGGAGTCTCTCTCTATCACCCAGGCTGGAGTGCAGTGGCGTGATCTCGGCTCACTGCCAGCTCCGCCTGCCAGGTTCACACCATTGTCCTACCTCAGCCTCCCGAGTAGCTGGGACTACAGGTGCCTGCCACCACACCCAGCTAATTTTTTATATTTTTAGTAGAGGTGGGGTTTCACCGTGTTAGCCAGGATGGTCTCGATCTCCTGATCTCGTGATCCACCCACCTTGGCCTCCCAAAGTGCTGGGGATTACAGGCGTGAGCCACCATGCTCAGCCAGATAAGAATTTTTTTAAATGAGAAAATTAATGTGGACTCACATTTAAAAGACATATTGACACTGGTGCTGATATGGTTTGCATATTTGTCCCTTCCAAATCTCATGTAGAAATGTGATTCCCAATGTTGGAGGTGCGGCCTAGTGGGAGGTGATTGGATCATGGGGATGGATCCCTCATGAATGGTTTAGCACCACCCACTTCGTGAAAACTGAGTTCTCTTTTAGTGAGTTCACATATCTAGTTATTTAAAACAGCCTGGGACCTCCTCATTCTTTCTCTCTTGCCCCCTCTCTTGTCATGCTATGTGCCTATTCCCCCTTCACCTTCCACCATGAGTAAAAGATTCCTGAGGCCTCACCAGAAGCAGAGCAGATGCCAGGGCCATCTTTGTACAGCCTGCAGAACTGTAAACCAATTAAACCATATTTTAAAATAAATTATCCAGCTTCCAGTATGTAATTTTTATATGTATAGTGTCTGGTTTTTTTTTATTATTGTTTCAATAGTTTTGGGAAAACAAGTAGTGTTTATTTACATAAATAATTTTTTTAGTGGTGATTTCTGAGATTTTGGTACACCCATCAGCCAAACAGAGTACACTGTATCCAATCTGTAGTCTTTTATCCCTCACCTCCCTCCTGCCCTTCCCCGCAATTCCCTAGACTGCATTACATCATTCTTATGCTTTTGCATCCTCAAAGCTTAGCTACCACTTACAAGTGAGAATACACAATGTTTGGTTTTTCATTCCTGAGTTGCTTCACTTAAAATAATCATCTCCAACTACATCCAGGTTGTGGCAAATGCCATTATTTTATTCCTTTTTATGGTTAAGTAATATTTTGTGGAATATGCATATATCACATTTTTTTAAAACCCACTCATTGGTTGATGAACATTTAGGCTGGTTCTTTATTTTTGCAATTGTGAATTGTGCTGCTATAAACATGTGTGTGCAAGTATCTTTTTCATATAATGAATTCTTTTCTTCTGGGTAGATATACAGTAGTGGGATTGCTGGATCTAATGGTAGATGTACTTTTAGTTCTTTAAGGTGCCTCCATACTGTTTTCCATAGTGATTGTACTAGTTTACCTTCCCAACAGCAGCTTAAATGTGTTCCCTTTTCATCACATCCACACCAACATCTATTATTTTTAATTTTTTAATTACGGCCATGTTTGCAGGAGCAAGGTGGTATGGCATTGTGGTTTTGATTTCCATTTCCCTGATCATTAGTGATGTTGAGAATTTTTTCATATGCTTGTTGGCCATTTGTGTATCTTCTTTTGAGAATTGTCTATTCATGTCCTTAGTCCACTTTTTGATGGGTTCATTTTTTTCTTGCTGGTTTGTTTGAGTTCCTCATGGATTCTGAATACTAGTCCTTTGTTACATGCATAGTTTGCATATATTTTCTTCCACTCTCTGGGTTGTCTGTTTAATCTGTTGATTACTTCTTTTGCTATGTAGAAGCATTTTAGTTTAATTAAGTCTCATCTATTTATCTTCATTTCTGTTGCATTTGCTTTTGGGTTCTTGGTCATAAACTCTTTGCCTAAGCCAATGTTTAGAAGAGTTTTTCTGATGTTATCTTCTAGAATTTTTATGGTTTGAGGTCGTAAATTTAAGTCTTGGATCAATCTTGAGTTGATTTTTGTGTAAAGTGAGAGACGAGGATCCAGTTCCATTCTTCTACATGTGGCTTGCCAATTATCCCAGCACCAAAAAGGTGTTCTTTCCCCACTTTATGTTTTTGTTTGCTTTGTTGAAAATTAGTTGGCTGTAAGATTTGGCTTTATTTCTTGGTTCTCTATTCTGTTCCACTGGTCTGTGCCTGTTTTTATACCAGTACCATGCTGCTTTGGTAACTATACACTCGAGTAGTTTGAAGTCGGGTAATGTGATGCCCCCAGATTTGTTCTTTTTGCTTAGTCTTGCTTTGGCTATGCAGGCTCTTTTTCTTGGATTTATATGAATTTTTAGGATTGCTTTTTCTAGTCCTGAGAAGAATGACAATGGCATTTTGATGGAATTTCTTTGAATTTATAGATTGCTTTTGGCAGTATGGTCATTTTCATAATATTGATTCTACTCATCCATGAGCATGAGGTGTGTTTCCATTTGTTTGTGTCATCTATGATATCTTTCAGTAATGTTTTATAGTTTTTCTTTTCACCTCTTTGGTTAGGTATATTCCTAAGTATTGTATTGTATTGTATTGTATTGTATTGTATTGTATTGTATTGTATTGCATTGTATTGTATTTGCAGCTGTTGTAAAGGTTGTTGACTTTCTGTCTTGATGACCTGCTTAGTGCTGTCGGTGGAATACTGAACTCCCCCACTATTATTGTGTTGCTTTCTAGCTCGTGTCTCAATTTCTGCATTAATTGCTTTATAAATTTGGGAGCTCTAGTGTTAGGTGCATATATGTTTAGGATTGTAATATTTTCCTGTTGCACCAGATTTTTTATCATTATAGAATGTGGCTTTTTGCCTTTGTTAACTGTTGTTGCTTTAAAGTCTGTTTTGTCTGATGTAAGGATAGCCACTCTTGCTCGCTTTCGGTGTCCATTTGCATGGAATATCTTTTTCCACTTCTTTACCTTATGCTTATGCTAGTCCTTGTGTTTTAGGTGAGTCTCTTGAAGACAGCAGATACTTGGTTGGTGGATTTTTATCCATTCTGCCATTCTGTGCCTTTTAAACAGAACAATGAAGCCATTTACATTCAGCATTAGTATCAAGATGTGAGGTACTATTCTATTCATCATGCTTGTTGTTGCCTGAATAACTTGTGTGTTTTTTTCATTGTATTATTGTTGTATAGGCCCTGTGAGACTTACATTTTAAGGACGTTCTATTTTGGTGTATTTTGAGGTTTTGTTTTAAGATTTAGAACTCCTTTTAGCATTTCTTGTAGTGCTGGCTTGGTAGTGGTGAATTCTCTCAATATTTGCTTGTCTGAAAAAGACATTATCAGTCCTTCATTTTGAAGCTTAGTTTTCTGGATACAAAATTCTTGGCTAATAATTATTTTGTTTAAGGAGGCTAAATATAGAATCCCAATCCCTTTTGGCTTGCAGGGTTTCCACTGAGAAATCTGCTGTTAATCTGATAGGTTTTCCTTTATAGGTTACCTGATGCTTTTGCCTCACAGCTCTTAAGATTCTTTTCTTCATCTTGACTTCAGGTAACGTGATGACTATGTGCCCAGGTGATGATCTTTTTGTGATGAATTTCCTGAGTGTTCTTTGAGCTTTTTGTATTTGGATGTCTAGATTTCCAGCAAGACCAGGGAAGTTTTCCTCAATTATTTCCTCAAAGAAGTTTTCCAACTTTTAGATTTCTCTTCTTCCTTAGGAACACCAATTTTTCTTATGTTTGGTCATTTACCATAATCTCAAACTTCTTGGAGGCTTTATCCATTTTTTTAATTCTATTTTTTGTCTTTATTGGATTGGATTAACTCAAAAGCCTTGTTTTTGAACTCTGAAGTTCTTTCTTCTACTTGTTCAATTCTATTGTTGAAACTTTTCAGTGTATTTTGCATTTCTCTAAGTGTGTCTTTCATTTCCAGAACTTGTGATTGTCTTTTCTTCATGACATCCATTTCTCTAGAGACTTTTTCATCCATATTATGTTTTTGTTTTTGTTTTTTGTTGGTTTTCACCTTTCTCTGGTACCTCCTTGAAAGTAGCTTAATAATCAACCTTCCGAATTCTTTATCCAGTAATTCAGAGGTTTATTCTTGGCTTGGATCCATTGCCTGAGAGCTAGTGTGATCTTTTGGAGTTGTTATAGAACCTTGTTTTGTCATGTTACCAGAATTACTTTTCTGGCTTCTTCTCCTTCTCCACTGTTTCATTGGAAAGATATGGAGCTCAAGTGCTGCCATTCCAATTCTTTTGTCTCACAGGGTCATCCTTTGATGTGGTGCTCTCCTCCTTCCTCTAGGGATGGGGCTTCCTTAAAGCCAGACTGCAGTGATTGTTATTGCCCTTCTGGGTCTAGCCACCCAGCAGGGCTACTGAGTTCTGGGCTGGTGCTGGGGAATGTCTGCAAAGAGTCCTGTGATATGTTTCATTTTCTGGTCTTACAGCCATGGATACCAGCAACATGGCAGAGGAGTGAAGGGGACCCTGTGGGAGTCCTTGATAGTAGTTTACTGCACTGGTTTTCTCGAATGCAAATTATGCTAGCAGTGAAGTTTTCAGGATAGACTCAGGTCTTCTGGTTAGCCAGAGTGTTGCAGGCAGTGGAATTAGCTTTTGTTTTCTCCTTGTTTGGAGCGAGGTTGTTCTGTTGTGAGTTGCTGTCATGGTTTCAGTTTGTTGGCCTCCAGTCAGGAGGTGGCACTTACAAGAGAGCACCAGCTGCAGTGGTAGAAAGGGGATATAATCTTGCCCTACACTGGCCAGGATAAGTACTCAGATTTCTCAGACAATGGGCAGGGCCATAGAGGTCCCAACAGTTTATGTCTTCTGTCTTCAATTACCATGGCAGGTAGAGAAAAACCATCAGGTGGAGGCAGGATTAGGTGGGTCTGAGCTCAGACTCTCCTTAGGCAGGGCTTGCTTCAGCCACTGTGGGGCATGGGGAGTGCTTCTCAGGCCAATGGAGTTATGTTCCCAGGGGGATTATGGCTGCTTCTGCAGTGCCATACAGGTCACCAGGAAAGTGGGGGAAAGCCAGCAGTGACAGGTCTCACCTAGCTCCCATGCAGCCAGCAAGGCTAGTATCACTCCTGCTGTGCCCTCCCCTCCCAACACTGAGTTTATATTCAGCTAGCTGGTGAGCGGGGCTGAGATCTGGTCCCGGGCTACAAATCTCCCTGCTGAGAAAGCAAGCAGGGTTCTCACGTCTCGCACCCCTCCCCCGCACACCTGCCCACACCATCAACTGTAGCTTCTGTGCTCATATCTGCCCTTCTGTTGACCCCCTGGATTCTGCTCAGGAAAGTTTGTGCTCAGTCAAAATTATTACAAAGTTTAGCTAGGCACTTCCTTCACCCTGTGTCCCCTCCCTAGTTTCACGGGCTGCCTTCCCTTCTCCAAGGATGCCTGCAAGATAAGGCCAGGAATGGCTTTCCTAGGCTCAAGCTGAGGAATGGGAGTGCCTGCAGGGATCTTCCTGCTGCTTCTCCTACTTTTATATTTCAGTTGGCTCCCTAAATTTGTTTCAGCTCTGGGCAAGGTTAAGTCCTCTCCGGTGATCTGGATTTTCAGGTTCCCCAGTGGGGATGTGTTTTCAGAGATGGACATTTCTCCATCTCACACTTTGGGAAGTCAGTTTTTCAGCTGCCTCAGGGTTTGCACCAGCAGGCCTCTTCTTTCAAAGGCTCTGTGAATTCTTTAGGTTTTCCTGGTATGTTCCTGTGGCAGTTGTTGGAGCAAAAGTTCACGATGTGAACCTCCATATGCTGTCCTTTCCATCCAAGTGGAAGCTGCACGTTAGTCCTGTCTCCTCCTGCTGCTTTTCTGGAAAGTCTGTGGTACTTCTTTGTAGTGACACAAGAACAAACTAACGCAGATATCTTCAGTAGGCCTGTACGTTAGACCACGGTATGACCCACACTTTGTTTTCCGTGAGTTATTAAAGATGTCTTGAGGGAAGAATGAAAGTTCTGCAACCTGTAGAGGACCCATAATGCCCTAACTCATTCATTTTTAATATGTGTCTAAATAAACCCGGTTAAGGAGATATATGAATTACATTACTCACTTCGGGGCTTTATAAGGTTCTTGCAAAAAATTAACAATAATACTATAATTTATCAACTCTAAGACACATTTTTTCACATTTTAATATCTCTAAAATTAGAATTCATCTTATAGTGTCATTTTATATTTAATTAGCAACTTTTTTATTTTTTAGTGTACATAAAAGAATGATGTGGTTTTGGATCAATGTCATCTTAAATTTGATTAAAAAGCAAAATAAAAAACACAGGGCCGGGCGCGGTGGCTCACGCCTGTAATCCCAGCACTTTGGGAGGCCGAGGCGGGCGGATCACGAGGTCAGGAGATCGAGACCATCCCGGCTAAAACGGTGAAACCCCGTCTCTACTAAAAATACAAAAAATTAGCCGGGCGTGGTGGCGGGCGCCTGTAGTCCCAGCTACTTGGGAGGCTGAGGCAGGAGAATGGCGTGAACCCGGGAGGCGGAGCTTGCAGTGAGCCGAGATCCCGCCACTGCACTCCAGCCTGGGCGACAGAGCGAGACTCCGTCTCAAAAAAAAAAAAAAACACAGGTGACAACAGTAGCATCAGCACTTCTAACCAAAGTAGGAGATCTTCATCAAGCACCTTATGATAAGGAAACATTTATGATTGCTGGAGACCAAACATATGCTCCCTTAAAATATGATAATAAGAAACTATAATACCCCACTTCAAAGTATGCCTGTTTGGCAGAAGCATTATTTTGAGATGATTATTTTGAGAGACTGAGGACACAGAAGAAGCTCTGAAAACACGAGTAGATGTAACAGAAATTTATATCTATGAAGAAATCTCCATTTGTAAAGGTGTCTCCCTCTCTACAAGAGAGAAAAAGATGATCTAACTCACCGATATGCTTATATTAATAGAGGTGGCACCAACTTAAATGTAACTTTAGATTTAAATCTGCCTTAATTCTACCTACTAACTTAAAAAATCTTATTCTGTTTACCTTACTTTTCCTAGATGCTTCTTCATAACTGGCCTTCTCCCACACCATTCTTTCTTTGTTTCACCTGGAGATAAAATCTAAGCCTGAACTCAAAGCCATTTCTTTGAGATTTACTCATTTCTCTGGGAGCTCCTATGTGTACATGAGATATACATGTTATTAAACTTCCGTACGTTTTTCTCTTGTTAATCTCTCTTTTGTTACAAGGGTTCATTCCAACTAACAACTGTAAAGCGCAGAGAGAAAACTATTTCTTTTCTCTTACATCATCTTATTATAACTGACAAGCCAAAAACAGGGTATCACAGTAGAGAACTTGATAGAGAAACTTAACTTTCACTATTTTTAGTAGTAGACATTGCCCAAAGTGTACAATGTGTCTTGAGATATTAACTGGTGATAGTATGGAACCACCATGTTTAGAAAGTGTCAAAAGTGTGAAAAGACAAAGTTACAACAAATTTAGCTTAAAGATCTTAATTGGCTTTATTTGCAAACGTCAGATCAAGCAACATTTCATTCCATAAAACAGAATGAGTGTTCTGATGAGCTGAGCAGAGGAGTTTTCTTTTAAAGCCAGAAAAGGGCTGAGAAAAGCAGAAACAGAATACAAAAAGTCGGTTGGTCATTTCAAAGTTACTTTTTTTGTAAAAGATAAACAAAGGAGATGTTTTAAAAATCATGCTGGCTAAAACTGGCCTGTTTGATGACTTGGCTATTATCTCCCTCTGTCTCCTGACTTCTTAGAAGGTCTGATAGACAACTTAGTTTCAGTTTGGTGATGTGGAACTTCAGCATGAGTGACTCCATTTTGGTCTGTTGGCCTGGTGCAGCAGCTCAGTTCAAATCAATGGCCCCCTATAAATTTTATTTAATAGAAGAAATTAAATACTAAGCATATATAAAATGAAAATATTCCATATACTTTTTCTTTCAGTGATTGGGAAATACATGTATGTTAAAGGCAATTAATTCTTGACCTGGTACTTTACAAAGTTTCGTTCTATTTAATAATAGTGATTGTGGCCTCTTTTGATGAATCTTAGTATTGTACCACAGAAGCATATTTAAATATTTTTACTTCTAGGATGTACAATAAAAGAAGTTGGAGACTGCTGATCTAGGTAATACTGCCATACTCTTCAATTCACAGTTTCTGTAAACATGACAAGCAATCACTTAGGTTTCTGCTTACTAAAATTACAATCATGTTTTCACACTGCCTCTCTACAATAGCACATAGATCACCTAGATTGGAGTTTGAAACATTGCTAAAACTTTGAGACACTCAGTTATACACAGGGCTGATCACATCAATTTGTATAAGTTATATCTGCCAGAATAGCCTCATTTTCACTCTGAAAATTCTGTCTCCTAACAAGTAGCTTATATCAAGTGATGTTATCCTCCCTCTGACCTTGGGGAACCTTCTTTTGGTTTTCACTCCACATTAAGCCCTGCATAAGACAGCACTGGCCATAGTGGATCCTACTCCACAGCATTGAACATACTTAGTGCTCAGAACTTGATTATTAATACAATTTCCCACTAAATTAAACCAGAGCTACTAAGAGACATGGCTGATTTCAGGGCTAGGACAGTATCAGTGTGAGAGATGAGTCTGGAACATCTTATTGTATCATAATTATGAAAGTTCTAGAAAGGAAGAAAGAAGAGAGAGAAAAGAGAAAAAAATAAAGAAAAAGAAACAAAGAAAAAGAGAGGGGAGAGAGGCAAAAAGAAAGGAAGAAAGATCTTGCATGTTATAGGTACACAGGAACCAAACTGAAGGAGCTCCCAATGGCCAGACATACAACAATTTTGAGCACCAAAATAAATAAGAACAATAATAAATTATAAATCTTTAAAATTAATATTTAAGATTCCGTGTTAAAAATAGATTAATTAATTGATTAACAAGGGGTGGATTCCTTGCTTACAATGGAATAACAAAGGCGAACTGGTAAATGTACGGCAAGTGCTGGAGTCACACATTCACATCACAAAATACATGATTCTGTTTACGTACACATTCCTGAGAAGACAGAAAAACAATACATGAAAATTGCTTCACATACATTTATTTATTTAATAGGTGGAGAGCTTTCTTTTAGATTTTTCCTTTATGCATTTTATGTTTCTATATATTCCACATTCTGCATAATGAGCATTATATGAAAGAAGATTTTACAGCCATCATGGTAAAGATTAGCTCAGGCAAGAATCCTGAATGAATGCTAAATCTAGGGGAAAATTTTGACAAGAAACAGGGTATTTGCATAGTCTTAAAGTGTCTCCCTACAGATTGCTGATTAGTTACAAGGGAGAAAACATAAACAGTAATTATACAGTGGAGAAATCAACAGCATCATTACCATAAGACCAACTTTAATATCACCTATGACAGAAAGTTGGACATAATGTGCCTCCGTATGTGTGAAGAAAAACACGGTATCACATATGCTGCATTCTCGCTGAGAATCTATAGCCTGAATCTAATCATGAGGAAAGATGACAAACACAAAATGAGTAACATTCTATTAAAACAAACAAAAAAGATGCAGCAGACAATTACCTCAAAAATGTCAATTGCCAAAAAAGGCTGTAAAATGTTCTAAATTAAAGAAAGCTAGAAAGTGTTCTTTATATCAACTCATAATTTGCATTCTTCTAGTTTCTACTCATGTGTTTAATTACTAAAAATTTCTTCCTCCTATCTTTCCCTCTGGAGACAAATATATGAAGTCTAGATTTTCACAAGTCTGGCTTGTCTTAATATATTTATTGACGGAATAAAGAGGAAACCAAAGAGAACATATCCATTTCCTCTTAACTTTACAATATGCACCTCAAGCAGGGATCATCATCACATTAGAATTAGTTGGGGCTGGAGAGCAATGGTGCCATCTCGGCTCACTTCAACCTCTGCCTCCTGGGTTCAAGCAAATCTCGTGTCTCAGCCATCTGGTAGCTGGGATTAAAAGCATGCGCCACCACGCCCAACTAATTTTTTTATTTTTATTTTTAATATATACAGGGTTTCATCATGTTGGACAGGCTGGTCTCAAACTCCTGACCTCAAGTGATCGGCCTGCCTTCGTCTCCCAAATTTAATTAGGTCTTTAGAGAGCCTTTGAATATGACTATTGCAAAAGCCCTTTTATTTTGTGAAGTATTATATTTGATTCTGTAGTCTTCAAAGTAGTCTTGTCTTTAGTCTCACTACAATATTTTGTCATTAGAAGCTCCTCTCTCCAATTTTCTTTACCTCTCTTTTAAATTTGCCATTTCTGTCCCATCAGAACCCTTTACAGAATCTTTTTATGTTTTTTAGCACCTGCCCTTTCAAGCCATCTTTCTTGTAACAGCCTCAGTTATGAAATAATTACTAGTTTTTGTCAGAATTGTTTGAATTCTTTTTTTCTGCATAGCAACATAGAGAAAAACTTAAAATATAGACTTGTAGATAAAATGAGATTTATAAAACTACCCATTCTTTTAATTTTTTATAACTTGTGTCACACATATTAATTTCTAAAAGATAAAGAAAACTTCTTGGAGTCTACTACTATATCATGTTGTATTATAGCAAAGCATTAGGTTTTGTGAAATGAGGAAGGGTGGAACTACTTTTGAAGTAAAGAACTCTTTTTCATGGAGGCCAGAGAGCAAATCCTACTGCTTTGGTTACACCCCCTGGATACAGTGGCAACCTCAAAGGACCACAGGGTTTGAGGGTTATAACCATGGGTTGTCTACTCCACAGTGGAGGAGTGGTCTCGAACTCCTGACCTCAGGTGATCCACCTGACATTTTTGGAGGAGCAAGGCCTGATATTTTTTTCTTAACTTTAAGAGAAACGTTCCCCAGTCAAATGGCGATTTATTATTGCACCCATCTGTTTTAGAATGTGTGATAGATTGGTATTATAGGAGCTTGTAAAATCATACAAACAAGTAAAACAATCTAGTAAAACAGATTGATATGTGGCGAGCAAGACAGACTAACAATGACAAAAAAACTCTAAAACAGGCAGAACATCCAAGTGCTCTAGGAAACACATAAGCTGTGAATTTGGTGTTAGATTTAATATTAGTAACCAAGGAAGGCTTCAGAGAAGAATTGCATTGAAATGTTCCTGGGATTTAGAAAGGCAGAGTTTGTGAAGAACATTCAGGCTGAAAGAATCCCATAAGCAAAGATCTGTGGGCATCTGTAGATAGGAAGAATGACAGTGCAACAGTTAAATGCATTTTATAAGGTGGCTGGGGCTCCAGGGATGGCTAGAAAGACTTAGTGGGGAATAAAATCACGTTTCTCACTGTAATGCACTAAACAGAGACAATCATCTGGGGACTTGTTCTCATTTTGTGAGTGACTCTGAGTCTATCTACTCATTGAGGGTTTCCACAGGTATTTTACCTTAAAGCTCTCTTGAATTTGTGGGTGTCTTCTGTGCTACATCCTAGGGATGGAGAGGAAGGAGGTGAGATATTTTGGGACCATTGGTCTCCATCTGGAAAGCCAATTGAGCTAACTCATGAGGATTTTAAGGGACATGATATGTACCTCATCACTAAATAAAACTAAGGTTGGCACATCTGGTAAGCCAGGAAGCTTCAGGATATAATCATAGTATTTTTATTATCCCCTGGATGTTTCATTTTTTGGTTCGTATGATTCTTTTTTCTGCCCATATACAGTGTGTATTTTACACTAAGTGAGGTGTGGTTAATCCCATAGTTCTCTGCTGTAAGAAATCACTGATGATACAGTTTTGTCAACCACTGTCTGTTTACTGCTATCACAAACATATTTTCTGTGATAAGTTGGGAATCTGTTAAGAAAGAGAAAGATGAAGGACATCCAGTAGCAAATTTCAAGCACTTGTAGTAAGCAACTGAATCAGGCCTTCACCTAAGAACAGAAATAGACTCTTTGCTCCAAGTGGCCCTTCAAGTGGATGCCTTGAGGCATCCTGAAGAAGTCTAGTCAGCTGCTGAGTTTGAGCAATTCCAGGGGCGGTACCTTATAATAGTGGCATTCTGATGATGAGATCAGCCAAGAATGAATTCACAGAAAGACCTCAGAAAGTCTGACATCATTTGAGATCCTCAATTATCCAAGCAAAAGAAGAAGAATGTGAAATGGGAACTTCCCCTGACATCTTGGCACAAACCCAAAGCGTCTGAATGTCCCACAAAAGGAAGCACTTCTTCCTCTGCTTCTGTAATTTTTTACTGAGTCATGAGATAGGGTTATATAAGTAGGGTATTTTAAATAAATTAGTGGATCTTAAAGTCAGAAGGGATTACTGGAGGTCACATCTGGTTTCAAGGTAGGTCCTCATAATGTAATATCCAAGAGAGATGAATGGAACAGAAGACATCTGTAGTGGGAAAAACATAGGCTTTAGAGTCAGAAAGTGTCTTTTTTTTTTTTTTTTTTTTTTTTGAGACAGTGACTTGCTCTGTCACCCAGGCTGGAGTGCAGTGGTGCAATCTCACTCAGCTCACTGCAACCTCTGCCTCCTAGGTTCAAGTGATTCTCGTGCCTTAGCCTCCTGAGTAGCTGAGATTACAGACACGTGCCACCACACCCAAATAATTTTTGTATTTTTAGTAGAGATGGGGTTTCACCATATTGGCCGAGCTGGTCTCGAACTCCTGACCTCATGTATCTGCCCACTTTGCCCTCCCAAGGTGCTGGGATTATAGATGTAAGCCACCACACCCGGCAGAAAGTCTACTTTTAAATCCCTCAGCTACCACACATGGCCATGTGGAGGGCAAGGTATTAACAATATTGTTTTTAATAAAATAGTCTTAAGAAGTAGGTGGCGTTATGTAGCTGGATGTACCTCATAGGCCAGCGAATCTCAAACTTGAACAGGCTAGGCATACAAATTACATGAAGATCATGTTAAAATACAGATTGTAATTTGGTTGGTCTGGAGTAGGGCCCGGTAATGTGAACTTCTAACAAGCTCCCAATGGTGGCCCATGCACAAAGCACGTTTTGAATAGCATGGTGGTAGAGAGTAAAATGTCACACAGAATTGGTTATTATTTGCTTATTTTAACAGGTTTTCAGGAAACAATATTCTTTAGCCTTTATGTTTTAATTTTCCCCCTCCTTCACTGACTTCTACCCTAACCCTCCACATTAAACCATATATCTGGTAAGAATGCTCATGCTCACCTAGCATAGTGAGCCCTACTAAAAACAACAACCAACAATTTCGTAGAAGAGTAGGCTTTGAAGAAAGTGACTCTTTTTCAACAGTTTTTGCATACAATACTTTCACAATTATCTCTGTGTATATCAGAAATTTGGGAATTATGCTGAGGCAAAGATATTTTTAAAGGAGTGCTTGCTGAATTGCAAGCGAGAATGGAAGGGGTTTTATAAGAAGAATCCCTTGGAAATCATATATCATGAAAAATGTATCAGGTATATTTGTACATCTGTGTAATGTTTTATATATTTTATGATTTTCAGGGCATTTTCACATATGGCTCTTCATTCATTCTTTAAGAAAAAGGTAGGCTAGGCAGGTGTCATTAGCCCCATTTCACAGGTGATGAAACTGGAATGTGGGGAGATGAAGTGAGTTGCTCAAAGTTATACTCATCCAGTTGCCACAACACAAAGACAAAATCCAGTTCTGAATTCTAATCCACTGCCCTTTTCTTTGTCTCCTCCTTCACCATGATTTCCATAGTGGCTCAGAAAAAGTTATGGTTTGGTTTCTCAAACTCTGGTTATGAGTGAGGCTGCCAGTAGAAGAAGGTAAAAGGTGGCAGATATCCCAGATTCAGTTACTGTGGGATACTGCATCAGCAGGGAGCCCATTAATGTAGATATCTCTCATTCTCATCAGATGAAAACCTACTCTAACCTTGAATTTTTAGATGATTCATTTGTTTGTTTCATTTCCAGCCAAGAATTCAATGTCCTATTCCCTTTGGCATGTTTACAGATGAGAGTTAGAGCCTGGAGGTGGAGCGCAACTTGATTATTACAATCATCCAAAATGGGTGGCTGATTTTCTACTCTCTAAAAATATTCTTACCTTTCTTCTTCCGTACTCTACAATATGTCCCTGACCACTTCCACTCATAGTGATCTCAATCTAGTTCCCTGTTCATGTTTCACTCGACTGTGTGTGTGTGTGTGTTTCATGACCTATGAAATTGGGAATTCCTTGTGGACAGGAGCAAACATGTTTCAGTTTCATTTTACATTGAATGATTGAAATGAGAAAAAAAAAGATGCAGAGTAAAAAGTACATTTCATTTGGAGTCAGATGATCTGGATCAACTACTTGTTAGCCATGTTACCCAAACCACTTAAACTCTGAGCTTTTGTTGCCTCATCTAGAAAATGAGAATAGTAGTACCTACATCACAGTACTGTTATGAAAAGTGAATGAAATATGCGTGAAATTATTTTGCAAACTCATAAGAGCTGTATCTGTGTAAAGAAGGTATTTGTATTTATTTTAAAAATAATGTACATTAAATGAGAGGAGTCTGCTTGTAGCATCAGTCATAAATGTATTTTCTCCCCTCAAAAGCAATTTGCATTTCTATGTTCTGCTATACAAAGAAATATAGACACATGAAACAATACTATTAAAAACTGATTTTCTCAATGTGGAAAAGATAAAAGTTCTAGAATATGCTGCAATAAGATATAATCCAGATGCTGAAAATGTTCACTACAAGCTGTCAACACTAGGTGCATGAAAGTCAGATACTAGGATTTAGGTTTTGGCCTAAGAATTTTCCTTTTAAATTCTCAATATTCCTCAGAAATCTTAAGTTAATACCCCGAAAGAATAAAAATGATTCATTTCTCAGACTGAGAATCCCAATATAAGGAGAACATACATGCCTACCACCTCCTCTGGAAGTGATTCTAAAAACCCAAACTCACCCATCCCTTCCTACTTACCCACTTTCTGTGGGTACCACATCAGATGCTTCCCATTCTTGGTCTTGAGACCATTCCATAGCTTTTCTCTCCTCTCTCTTACTATAAATGAGCCACCATCACACACATAACAATAGCTGTCACATGTTGAATAACTATGGAGTGTCAGCAGCTGTATTGGTAATTTTGATTGTATTGGTAATATTGATATACATATTGGTAATATTGATATACATATTGGTAATATTGATCTACATCTGACAAGAAGTTTATTCTTGTCCCAGTGTTATAGAAACCAAGACCCCAAGAATCTAAGTACATTGTTTAAAGTCTTTCTGTGGATTGGAGAGGACCAGGATTTATCTGAGTCCCTGTGATACTTTGCTCTCCTCTTATCATTAAACAGCATTGTCTCTCTGTCAAAGCCTCACCTTTTTTCTTTCAAAAATATTTTACTTACATGAACTAATTTTTTTAAACTGGTTTTAATCATTTGGATCTATTTATGCACTCTTTCAAATGAAATGAAACATCTTCCAGACAAATTTTTTCTGAATCAAATTGAAAACAACAAATAATATATAAATAAAGGTTTGAATAATGTTGAAAGTGTACAGCATTACCTGTATGTAACAAAATATTTCTTTTTTAAGGAGAAGGGAGAAGCTGAATTTTTAAAAAGTCACTCAATTATGAAGCAAAGCCTCAAGTTCTAGTCATTGCCCTATAACTAACTTCTTGTGTGATCCTGGGTAATTGTCTTCTCCAGACCTCAGATATTTCACTTACATATTGAAGAAGTTCCATGAAACGCCACTTGCATATGGGCTGCCACCTTGTGATATTAGCTTTTCTAGTTTCATTCTCCATCTTTCCACACGCACGTCCCCATCATTCCTCTCCTTGTCTTCCAATTTATCCTTATTTGGCAATTAGTATCTTGCTCAGGCATGTTTTATGTGTTTTCCAATGCAATATCCACACTATTTTTAACTTATCCATGTACATGTAAAATCGCGTATATCACCACTTGTAAACAAACCACATTTTGAGGAAACCAGGTTTCCTGTTTGGAGCTGCTTGGAGTTCACGAGGAAGCCATCCTCATAATAGGCAACGTGAATGAAGACCAACCAAGGAAAAGTCCAGCTGAGAATGGAGCCACAGCCTTAGCTGTCCTCATTCCCCAGCCTTTAGGTTGCTCCTGGTTGAACCTGTCCAGTTCACTAGGTCTTCCGGTCCAGGAACTGCTTCTGTCACTATCTGGGACCACCTTTCTGGGGCTTGTTCTATGTTGACCGATGCATGGACAAATTCATTTTCACCACCAAGTTGACACCTTATTAGAAAATTGATGGAAAATATAAACCAAACACAAAAGATAAAGAAGCACATTAAGTGGTGAGGTAAAAATGGCACAAACTTCTAATTGTGCCCCAGTCCACCTTCTTGAGGAAGAAGATAATTGCCTATCTGGACTGCATATTCATCTTCTGAATATCAGAACACCCTAAACTGCTTGGCATTGTCCATTTAATCACTCCTAGAAGTCATTCTGACATTGGGTCCCTGGGCAGCGTGATGTAAAGTAAGACCTGGTTTTTCTGTCTAATTTCCTGATTATGTGGAGAAACAAACACACTTGGAAATCAGACCGAACTGATTGCAGCCCTAGATCCATGACTGCCGGTTGTGTGGCATGAATAAGTGAATTAACAGATCTATGCCTCAGTTAACTTATGTGTACTATGGGAAAACAATAGTTTCCTCCAGTGGATTTTGTGAGATTTAAATAAAATAGCATGGGTGAAATATCCAGTGCAGCATCCGGTAGAGTTCTATTTCCATTTTCAGTATATGAAACATGCTTACAAGCCAGCCACTATTGTTGGAAGTGTATGGTTTCTTTAGTTATACTTAAATGATATTTCTATCTGTGCCAGTGAGAGGAACTACCCAATGGGTGCTTTTCTACTTCCTGTCAGCTCCTTTGGCAAGACATTCATATCAAAAACCTGACTCTCACTATGTTCCTGCTTCTGGTCTGTGGGGAGCCAATTTGAAAGCAGAACTGATCTGACTTGCCTGGAATGTTTAAACCCATCCTGGCTTAAAAATATACCTTTCAAATGATTCCTGTAGATAATCTGTTCAATTACACATCGTCAGCAGAAGCCTAAATAATTCCTATGTTTAGTGGCAATGATACCCATTCAAATATTGGGTAAAATATTGAAATTTATCAGAAGGTAAGAGGCACAGAGAGGCTCATTATATTGCTTTACTTTGGTGTAGGTTTTAAAATTTCTGTAATAAAATGTAACAGGAAAGTTTTTTTTGTAGGATTTCAAATTGCTACTTAAGTCATTATAAAACATTAATTCCTCTTACCTTCATTACTTTGTTCAAAACATTTTGCCTCGTGTTGTCCCAACTCTTACCCTATACTCTGGCTAGAAACATGATTTACCTTCCTTCGTAAATGAGTAGCTGATTCGTCTCTAGAGCTGAGCTATGGTCCTTCACTTTAGCACAGGGCGCTGCCCATGCAAACTCTGGACTTTCCATTCAAATTCATTATTAGTCTTTGCTGTCAATGAGTTGAACCCTTTTTTTCCTGAACGCCGTGAGTCACCTCCCATAACTAGCCTTCCATAAAGGTATTTAACTTGAGTGTATAAATTGAGTCTATCTCAGGGCAACCACAATTGTATAAGGCTGTGTGCTGTGTTTCCAGGAGAATCTTTGGGTCCTTATGTCTTTCCAATAGGGTTGGTTCCACCTTCACTTTAATGTTCCTCAAGAACAAAGACAATGTGTTCTACTTCCACAATAATTTGCATAAATACATATGCAATATCTTTTGCAATATGAACCCTCAGGATGTCAATTCAGGTATTTTTCTTTTTTGTATTCTGACTTCTCTAGGAAACTAAAGTGACACATTTCAGGTAAGTAAGGCCAAGACTTAAGTGATATTGGGATCCTAAAGTCTAGACAGCTTAAATGACAAAGGCCATTTTCTAATGCCCTCCCTCTTTTTAGTCTAAGTATGTAGATTTCTTTTTATTTTCTCTAATTCCTTTAGCTACCGTTTGTTCCTATCACATTTCTCAGTGGTATCAGCTCACTACTTATGCTGCTGCTACTTTAATAGCTACTAGAAGAAAAAACTGTTAAAGACAAATGCCCAACATGAATTGCTTGTACCTCGAATGTGCTTAAAAAGTATCTGTGGAGCAAATAATTGAATTACAATCATTACAACCCTACCCTCAAATTATTATTTTTTCTTTGAGGGAAGAAGGTGAACAGCTTGTGAGATAATTAGCATTGAGGAATAGTGCTATGATGTTTAGTATTCTCATTATGGAGAGGAAAACACTCTCTTGATGGGGCAGAAAGCAGACAACTTATTCTGTAAAAAGGAGAGAAAGAAAAATAATTTTTTCAAGGTTCCAGCTATATACCTAGTCATATTCGAAAGCAAGATTTTTGTAGGACCCTGAAATCTCTAAGACTTTGGTCCTAGTAACACATGCAGAAGGGACTAGACTAGAACATCACCAAAAACACCTCAAAATATAAAATTCTGATTCTGACAATTTGGTAGTAAAAGAACACATATTTATGTGATTTTTTAATTAAGAAAGGAGAAAAGAAAAATATGAACAGATGAGAAAGAAAACAATGAAAGAAAAATAAATGACAAAAAATGATAGAGAGAAATTGTCTTCTTGGGAAAGAAAGGAAGAAAAGAAAGAAGGAAAGAAGAAAGAAGAAAGAAAGAGAGAGAGGGAGGGAGGGATGAAGGGAGGGAGGGAGGAAGGAAGGAAGGAGGGAGGGAAAAAGGGGAAACAAAACAAGAAAAAGATGTATCTGCTTGAGTGATGATTTGAGATTAGATAATTTAGTAAATTATTTTAAAATTGGGTTCATGTGGCTCCATCTATTGGTGGAAAGATTATCTTCCACCTCGTTTTCACTGAGGTCTTTCAAGTGGCAGTTGGTTCCTAAGTGACAGGTCAGGCCGTGGAACAAAGCTGAGAGAACTATATTCTTCCATGAAAATGTGTTCCACTCTGCTCTGAATAATGAGACGAACTACTTAGCTTGTAAATATTGGAGTTCTGTAAAATTACTACAGATTTTATTTTTAAGAGCTACATTAAGGACCCTCTATAGTTGAGACATGGTAATAAAAATTTAACAAGACCACACACTCCACGGGTCATATTAAAATCCAATTTTGCTATGACTACTTTGGAGTCTATTTTCAGCTATGCTGAAATATGTGACTTTTGTCCTTAAGTAGATTAGCTGGGTTGAAAATAGATAATAACCATAAATATTTACAACAAAATAATGTCTTTTATAGAATATACATCTTATGAAGCCATTTTTATTAGTTAATCCTTCTAATAGAGTAGAATTAAAGCATTGCTCTCCTCTCAATTGGATCGATGTCAAAACCAAGACAGAAAAAAGGACCTCAGACTCACTTGAATGCAAATCAGTGGCTGAGGTTCAGGGATCACATTGACATAGAGCTGGAAGATTTGCGGTTCAAGAATCAATCCCCTTAGTACTGCATAAGAATGCCTGAAATGTTTTCCTGGCATTTCGGCCTCTAAAAATTATGATGACACGTCAAGGCTTGGGTAAGTTACATCCCTTCCATCAATGTTTCTCTGCTTTTCAGAGCCAAGAAGTGCTCTTTTTCTATTCTGTATGCCAAACACATTTCACTTGTACATCTTTAAGGTCCTTTTAAAATTTATATATGATAATTATTGAGTTTATATCCATACTGTGATCTACTTGAGGACAAGTGCCACATATTTCTTTTCTTTCTTATTTTTATTTATTTATTTATTTATTTTTGGCTGTCCCTAATTTTCACTGGAATGAGGAGGGGTATAATAAACTAGCTATGTGTACAAAAATACACACTACCTGGTATCAACACTGAACATGGTAAAAACCCAAATAATTGTTTTTAGATTTATGAATTGAATTGAGTAACTGCTGATGAGTGAATAAATAAATTCATGAAGAAATAAACTCAGCAAAGTTCAAACAACAGGTCTGTACCTCCCTGGGACAAAGCTTGCTGGGACAATGAGCAATTGGAAATAATCACAGTTAATATTTTCATGGTCATACCTGTAGAAAGTTGAGAGCATAGATTCTGTAGCAAGAAACATTAAGGCTTGAACACTGGCTCTTTCATTTCTGAACTGCACAAATTCAGGTAAGCTACTTAAATTGACAAATTCTGTTTCTTAATCTGTAAAATATGATTGCAAATAGAGTTTATATAAAATTAAATAAATTAATGCATGTTAGTAATTTAGGGGGAGTGGCCAAGGTGGCCTACTGGAAGCAGCTAGTGTGTGTGGCTCTCACGGAGAGGAACAGAAAGGGCGAATAAACACAACACCTTCAACTGAAACATCCAGGTACTTGCACTGGGATTAATCACAAAAACAACTTGACCCACAGAGAATGAAGAAAAGCAAGACAGGACAATGGCCCACCTTGGAGCAACACAGAGCCAAGGGCTCTTCCCCTGCCCAGGGAAGCAGCAACCAGGAAACCATGCTTCTCTCACAGATTTTTGCAACCCTCTGGTCAGGAGATCCCCTTGGACACTCATTCCACCAGGGCCTTCAGTCTTCAGTCTGACGGACAGAGCTACTGGGAGTCTCAGCAGAGCAGCCACCCAGGCATGTGTGGAGACCCGGGAGCTTTAGATACTTGGGCTTTCCTGCAAAAATAGCTGCAGCTCTGGCAAAGTAGGATATTAGACTCCTGTACATACCCCTAGGAAGGAGCTGAGCAGCAGCAGCTCACAGGACACACTTTAGGGCACCTCAGAAGATAAGACCCACTGGCTTGGAATTCTAGCCAACTACTGGTAGCAGTGTTGCACCTCCCTAAGAAGGATCTCCCAGCAGGAGGGACAGCTGCCACCTTTGATGTTTGGGTGCCTTAGCCATTCCAGCCTTCTGGCTTTGGAGAGTCTGAGCCAACCCAGGGAGAAAGGGATCCCTCAGCACAGCACAGCACTGCTGTGCTACCAAAATGTGGCCAGACTGCTGCTTTAAGCAGGTGTCTGGTCCTATTCCTCGTTGCTGGACAGGGCCTCCCAACTGGGGCCTCCAGCCACCCCTACCCAAGCTCTCCAGCTTACAGCAACCTGAATTCCGCCTAGGACAATGCTCCCAGAGGTAGGGGTGGGCCACGATCTTTGCTATTTTGGTGATTTGCCCATTCTAGCCTTTGGGCTTCGGAGTGTCTGAGGCAACCAGAAGCTGAAGTGAATCCCCAGCACAGCAAAGATGCTCTACCAAAATGTGGGCAGACTGCTTTTTTAAGTGGTCCCAACCTTATTCCCTCTCACTGGGAGGGACCTCTCAACCAGGGCCTCCAGCTACTTCCTACAGGTACCTCTGGGTCAGCAACAGGTCCGTGTTTCCCTGGGACAAAGCTTGCAGAAGGAGGAACAGGCTGCCATCTTTGCTGTTTCACAGCCTTCACTAGTGACACCTCCAGGTCCTGGAAAATCCAGGGTGACTAGGGACTTGAGCAGGTCGCAAGCATATTGCAGCAGCCCTGCAGAAAAGTGGCCAGACTATTACATGGGTGCCCTTTGCCATATCTCATCCGCAGGCAAGTCCTACAGTTCTGGGCCTCCAGCCACCCCATGTCAGAACTATTGAGCCACTAACAACTCAGCAGTTCCCTGAACAGAGCCTCTAGGGACAACTGAAAGCCTCTCTACCACGGCCTCTGCAATGGAACTGCCTTTGCCACTCTCAGATTAAGGAAAAAGCAAAGATCCTAAGTGTCTTCTCCATAACTCCAAGCTGCAAGTTGACCCAAGGAAAGGAGGCTAGTCTGTCTCCCATAGGTCTCACCCCACCCCCCCCGACACACACGCACATGCACACACACACACACACACACACACACAGCTTGTCACCAGACAAGGAAGCCCTGGCTTGGGCCCACAGCACAAACCCTCCATCCTGGGCTGAATGCACTGAGTGATTGCTGGCCTGCATCTCTCTGGGGTGGAGCCCCTAGAAATCAAGCAAATGATCCTTGGCCACAGCCACCACTAAGATTTTTTACTCTGCTGCCTCTAAGCTAGGGAAGGAACATAAATACAGTGGGCAGCCCAAGAGTCCCAAGTAATGAACTACTGCCAGCACTCAAGGGGCAGAGGAACCCCCAGTTTCAGAGCACTGAGAGGGAACATGACTACAACTGTGAGGAAACACAGAAGAGACACACAACCAAGCAAGCATCTACCAACTAAGTGTCAACTGCTGGATCATACCCTAAAGCTCCAATGCCAAAATACCTGACTAAGATAGCCCCCACTGAAACCAGAGACAAAAAGTCAGCTTCAAATAAAGACCCTACACAAAGCATTGGCCCAGTGAAAACATCCAGAAAGGAAGTCTATTGAGTGGATTCAATCTACACTGCAGTAAAATGAACACTCACACACAGAGATGAGAAAGAACCAACGTAAGAACTCTGGTAACTCAAATGGCCAGTGTCATATGTCCTCCAAACAACAGCACCAGTTCTCTGACAGGAGTTCTTAACCAGGCCAAACTGGCTGGAATGACAGAAATGTAATTCAGAATACAGATAGGAACAAAGATCATTGAGATTCAGGAGGCTGACAAAACACAATCCAATGAAAATAAGAATCACAATAAAATGATACAGTGTCTGAAGGACAAAATAGCTGGTATAAAAAAATAACCTAATGAGTCTAGCAGAGCTGAAAAACACAATACAAGAATTTTACAATGCAATTACAACAATTAACAGCAGAATAAATTAAGCTGAATAAATAATCTCAGAACTTGAAGACTGGATCTGAAATAAGACAATCAGACAAAAATAAAGAAAAAAGAACTTAAAAAATGAACAAAACCTCCAAGTATAAGATTATGTAAAGAGGCCACATCTATGAATCATTGGCACCCCTGATAGGGAAGAGAAGAAAGCAAACCACTTGGAAAATATATTTTAGGATATCATCCATGAAAACTTCCCCAACCTTGCTAGGGAGGCCAACAGTCAAATTCAGAAAATACGGACAACTCCTGCAAGAATCTATACAAGAGCATCTCCAAGACACATAATCATCAGACTTTCCAAGGTTGAAATGAAAGAAAGAATGTTAAAGGCAGCTAGACAGAAAGGGCAAGTCACCAAAATGGGATCCCCATCAGGCTAACAGTGGACTTCTCAGCTGAAACCCTATAAGCTAGAAGAGATTGAGGGCCTATATTCAACATTTTTAAAGAAAAAAATCTTCAGCCAAGAATTTCGTATCAAGCCAAATTAAGCTACGTGAAAGAGAAATAAGATTATTTTCAGATAAGAAAATGTTGAGGGATTTTATTACCACCAGACCTGCCTTAAAGAGATCTTGAAAGGAGCACTAACTACAGAAAGGAAAGACTGCTACCAGCTAATAAAAAAAAAAAAACAAAAAAACACTTCAACACACAGACCAGTGTCACTGTAAAGCAACCACACAAACATGCCAACACAATAACCAGCTAACAGCACAATGACAGGATCAAATCCACACATATCCACAGTAACCTTGAATGTAAACAGGCTAAATGCCCCAGTTAAAAGACACAGAGTGGCAAGCTGTATAAAAATGCAAGACCCAACGATATGCTGTTGTTCAAGAGACCCATATCATGCATAATGATACTCATAGGCTCAAAATAAAGGGATGGAGGAAAATCTACCAAGCAAATGGAAAACAGAAAGAAGCAGGGGTTGAAATTCTAATTTCAAAAAAAAAAAAACAGATTTCAAATCAACAAAAATCAAAAAAGACAAGGAAGGGTATTACGTAATGGTAAAGGGTTCAATTCAACAAGAAGACTTAAGTATCCTACGTACATATGCACCCAACACAGGAGCACTCAGATTCATAAAGCAAGTTCTTAGAGACCTACAAAGAGACATAGGCTCCCACACAATAATAATGGGAGACTTCAACACCCCACTGATGGTATTAGACAGATCATTGAGGCAGAAAATTAACAAACATATTTAGAACATAAACTCAACATTGGATCAAATGGATTTAATTACCTTTACATAAGTCTTCACCCAAAAACAACAGAATATACATTCTTCTCATTGTCACGTGGCAAATACTCTAAAATAAATCACATAATTGGACATAAAACAATTCTCAACAAATTTAAAAGAACCAAAATTATACCAAACACACTGTTAGATCACAGCACAATAAAAATAGAAGTTAACACAGTGAAAATTGCTCAAAGCCGTACATGCAAATTAAATGACATGCTCCTGAATGACATTTGGGTAAATAATGAAATTAAGGCAGAAGTCAAGAAGTTCTTTGAAAATAATGAGAACAAAGATATAACATACCAGAATGTCTGAGACCTGTACAGCTAAGGCAGTGTTAACACAAAAATTCATAGCACTAAATGCCTTCATCAAAAAGTCAGAAAGACCTCAAATTAACAACCTAACCACACAACTGAAAGTATTAGAGAAGCAAGAACAAATCAACCCCAAAGCTAGTAGAAGACAAGAAATAACAAAAATCAGAGCTGAACCAAAGGAAATCAAGACACAAAAAGCCATTCAAAAGATCAACAAATCCAGGAGTTGGTCTTTTAGAAAAAATTAATGAGATAGATAGGCCACCAGCTAGACTAATTTGGAAGAAAATAGAGAAGATCCAAATAAGCACAATCAGAAATGATGAAGGGAATGTTACTACTGACCCCACGGAAATAAAAACAACCATAGGAAACTACCACATACACCTCTATACAAACAAACTAGAAAACTCAGAAGAGATGGATAAATTCCTGGACACGTGCACCCTCTCAAGCCTGAGCCAGGAAGAAATTGATTCCCTGAACATACCAATAACGAGCTCTGAAATTGAACTGGTAACAAATAGCCTACCAACCAAAAATAAAAACAAAACAAAACAACAATAACAACAAAAACCCAGAACCTGATAAATTCACAGCTGAATTCTACTGGATGTACAAAGAACAGCTGATACCATTCCGAAAAACTGAGGAGGAGGGAGTTATCTCCAACTCTTCTAAAAGGCCAGCATCATCTTGATACCAAAACCTGGCAGAGACACAACAACAAAAAAAGAAATCTTCAGGCCAATATCCCTGATAAACACTGATGCAAAAATTCTTAACAGAATACTTGAAGACCGAATCTAGCAGCACAGCAAAAAGTTAATCCACTATAATCAAGTAGGCTTCATCCCTGGGATGCAAGGTTAGTTCAAAATACAAAAATCAATAAATGTGATTCATCACATAAACAGAACTAAAGACAAAAACCACATGATTACCTCAATAGATGCAGAAAAGGCTTTTGATAAAATTCAACATTCCTTCATGTTAAAAACTCTCAATAAACTAGGTATTGAAGGAACACATCTCAAAATAATAACAGCCCTCTGACAAACTCACAGCCAGCATTATACTGAATGGGCAAAAGCCGTAAGCATTCCCCTTGAAAAGGCGTGAGACAAGGATTCTCTCTCATCACTTCTATTCAACATAGTATTGGAAGTCCTATCCAGAGCAAACAAGCAACAGAAAGAAATAAAGAGCATCCAAATAGGAAGAAAGGAAGTCATATTATCTCAGTTTATAGATGACATGATTTCACGATTTTATATCTAGAAAACCCCATAGTCTTCACCCAAAAGTTCCTTCAGCTGGTAAATAACTTCAGCAAAGTTGTAGGATATAAAATCAATGTACAAAACTCTCTAGCATTCCTGTACAACACCAACAACCAAACTGAGAGCCAAATCAGGAGGAAATCCCATTCACAATTGCCACACACAAAAAATTAAATACCTAGGAGCTAACGAGGAAGGTAAAATATCTCTACAATGAGAATTACAAAAGACTGTTCAAAGAAATCAGAGAAGATACAAATAGAAAAACATCCTATTCTCATGGATAGGAGGAATCAAGTTCCTTGAAGAACTTGGCAAACTACTTTGTGGAGATTTTATTATATCAGTCCCCTTTGTTCTTGGAAAGAGCAGCAATTTGTCCTTACTGGAGTTGACATTTCTTCTGGCTCTGGTTTTGCTTTCCCCAACCATAGTGATTGCCATGGAATAAATTGTGCCCCACTCGTCAAATTCATATGTTGAAACCCTAATTCCCAATGTGACTGTATTTGGAGATTAAGCTTTTAGGAGTAATTTAGGTTAAGTGAAGTCATAAGGATGGGGCCCTAATATGGTGGGTTTGGTGGCCTTTATAAGAAGAGAACGAACTCTCTATTTCCTTCATGTGAGTACACAATGAGAAGGTGGTAATCTGCAAGCCAGGAAGAGAATCATCACCCGAAATTGATTCTGTTGGACTTCCATCTTGGATTTCTAAACTTCAGAACTATGAGAAAATAAATTTCTAATGTTTAAGTTGCCCAGTCCGTGGTATTAATTATGGTAACTCAAGCTGATGAATAGAGCACCTTCCAGAAACAATAAGAACTCACAACCATGTAACAAACCTGCATATGTTCCCACTGAATCTAAAATACAAAAAAAGACCTCACAAAATACTTATAATAAAAAAACATGATGTCAGATCAAATTTTATGGTAACAGAATAGCAACAGTAGACACAAAGCCAAGGTATCCATTGATTATACCCCACATTGCATCACTGGGAAGCAGCTGGCTTAGCAGGACGAAGGAATGGCCTATTAAATGTTCAGCTAGGGTACTAGCTCTGAAATAACGTCCTGACAGGTTGGGGCATTTTTTCCCCAGGATGTTATATCTATGCTCTGAGCCAAAGTTTAATATATGGTGCTATATCCTCAATACTTAAAATGCACAATTCCAGGTAATAAAACAGGAAGTAGAATTAGCTTGGCCTAACTCACATCTCATGACTCATAGTGACCCAACTGCGGAATTTATGTTTCCCAATAACTGTAACTTCTGGCTTTGATAGATTAAAGAAGGTCCTGGTTCCATGTGGAAAAAAATATTTCACCAATAAGAATTCTATTAAATCTGAAAGTATGATTACCACCTTGTCTTAGTCCATCTGTGTTCCTAGAACAGAATATCTGAGACTATATAATTTGTAAAGAATAAAACTTTATTTTCTCACAGTTCTGGAGGCTGGAAAAATCCAAGATCAAGGTGCCAGCACTTGGTCTTTTGCGTTTTCACATGGCAGAAGGCAGAGGGGCAAACAAGTCAGATAGTGAAATGCTGTGTGAAGCCTCTTTTAAAAGGCCCTTAATCTAATTAATGAGGAAGAAGTTCTCAAGGCTTAATTACCTCTTAAAGGCCTCACCTCTTTTTATATATATATATATTTTTTTTATTATACTTTCGGTTCTAGGGTACGTGTGTACACCTCTTAATACTATTGTATTGACAACGTCAAAATTTTGGAGATGATTAGGTTTCTACATGAATTTTGGAGAGAACAAAAGCATTCAAACCATAACACATCTGGTCACTTTAGGCTTCTCATGCTAGTAGGCTAGCAGGAAAGTTAAAATGGTATGGAAGATACCCTGATTTTCATGAAGAGCTATGATTGCTGTGAAAAGTGAGGAATATATATTTCGTTCCCAAGGGATTCATCACACTGTTTTGTTAGTTACTCTAAGCCTGGGATAATCAAGAAAGGGCAAATGCAGCAACCGTGGCTTTTCAAGGGCAAGACAACTAGGATCTTAAATCCCTCAGGTATAAAGAGATCTGAATTTATTTACCAAACATTACAACTAGGCCTTCTGAAGTAGCAGCTTAGTTTGAGGGTCATCTAGAATAGGCAGTGGAGAGGGAAGATGATGAATACTTACTCCATACTTGGGACCAATTGTTGAAGCAGTGATTGTAGCTGGTTCCACTAACACTTGTGTATTAAATCTTTCACCAGCAATCAAGCTTGGTTACCACCTGGAGGACTTGACGACACATTCGTTTTAATGTAGAATATCAACATGTCTAGTTGTGAAAGGAGTGCTTTATTTCAGGCACTCTTGCAATATGCTTCACATTCTCTTGGCCTGACCTCTGATTTTAGTTATGAGTCCAGTGCATCATTCTGGATGGGATTCAACTCTCTTGTACCTTGATAGTGTCTCACTTCAAACTGATACAAGCTTTTTTTTTTTTTTTTTCCTGTATTAGGGCCTCTTTGATACTGGCAGCATTTTTTTTTTTTTTTTTTGCCTTGTGTATTAGGGCTTTTTTGATACTGGCAGAAGTTCATCTAACATGCATGTGCAGTACTGAGACAATTCTCAACTAGCAGGGGATGGGAACTAATAGATAAGTGAGGACTTCAGAGTGACTGGTTTTTATTGAAGCTTTCTCTATGGCAGTTAGAGGAAATAAATATATAAAATAGAATGAGATATGGGATAGTGTGTGTGTGTGTGTGTGTGTGTGTGTGTGTGTATGAGAGACAGAGATTCACATATAGAGGAGCATAAAGTAATGAATTTTTCCTCATTTATTTCAACTTGTTAGACTTACCGTCATTATTGTATTTTAAAAACAAAATTGGGATAAACTAACTTTCAATTTAAATCTTGCTTTTAAAAATTTAATGATATCTTGATAATTTTACTATATAGCTAAGTGTAGTTAAAATTTATAATTTTATTGAGAACATGAAGCTGTATTATACCAATATTTCATTTTATCTTTACTCTATCAAGATATTTTCTCATTTAAAGTTTTATAACTGAAATACTGTGGTTTCTCTTTCACCTTAAATCTTATAATTGAGAATAAATAAACCTCATTGTTTACAATACGGGTCATACCTATAGGATAATTTGCTTTAGTAGTTTAAATTGTCTACAAGTTCTTAGGTAAATGTATTTCGTTACTTTTATTAAACTTCTTTGATTATTAGGGAGATTTAAATATTACTTCGTATGTTTAATTAATATTTTATACTTTTTGCACATTTTGGCTTATTATTCAGTTGGAGAGTTAGTATATTTCTTAGAGCTATATAAGAGCTTAGAAATATATAAGACAATATAAGAGCTTAGAGATATATAAGAGCTTTTTTATAGAGATATATAAGAGCTATTGAAGACTGTTTATATTAACCTATCATCTGTCATTATCATAACAATGATAGTAACTATCATCTGTCATTATCATAACAATGATAGTAACTATCATTACTAAAGATTTAATGCATTGCAAATACCCATTTTTAGACTATTCTTTTCTTTTTAATATTATTTATGTTTTGTTATTAGCATTTAATTGTTTATCCAAATTTAGAGGCATTTTAATTGCTAATTTAATTTATTACTTTCATGTTTAGTGGACTCTCCTTTATTCCATTCAAATAAAAACAGCAGCATTTTTTTAAAGTGAGTGAATACAATATTTAAGATATACTTTAAAATTATAGTAACTAAAACAGTATAATACTTTTACAAGAAAAAAACAAGTAGATCAATAAAACACAACAACAAAATCAGAAAAAGAGGCTTGTGCGTTGGCATTTTAAACCAGTGGGAGAAGTGTGGACTATTCAAAAAATGATTTTATAGTGAAAAAACAGATTTCTACTTAATTTAGTATTCCAAAACAAATTCCAGATGGAACTAATACCCGCATAGTAATAGTAAAAAAAACTAAATTTTGACAAGAAATTGTAGAGACATTTATCATAGTTCCCCAGTAGAAAAAAATAAAAATCTTCCCAGACAGGCACAAAACCAAAACACATAAAGGATTGATATATTTGATTATCTTAAAATTTAAAATTGGATATGGGAAAAACACCTATGAATTGCCATATTTTCTTTCCTTTCTTATATTTTCCTTTTTAGCTTTCTGTCAGAGTGATACAGTGCTCCTTTTTTATTTTAATTTTTGAAAGATTCATATTCTGTTTTCATTCTTCTAGGGACTATCTAAATATTTGACAAACACACTTAAAACTATTATGACAGATTCTTATTTATCTCTACCTGTATCTAAACCCCATGATGATATTATCTAAAGGTGTAGTTACACCCTTGTCACTTAAAACCATTTCTTATACAAATCATATTTAGATTTACTAATCTTGTTTACTTATTTCCTTGACTGCTCAGCCTTAATGCATCTTAATATTTACTATTAACTTTCTTTTTCTTGGCAGACTATGTTAGTTTCTTGCTCTTTCAGACAGGATCTGAGGATCATCAACTTTATAACCATTGTATATGTAAAATTGCTGACCCAGCTAAAATAGGTCAGCTGGGTATAGAATTCTATGTTCAGTTATTTTATTTCAATTGTATGAAGATATTGCTACTTTGTCTTTTTGAATACAGTATTACTGATGTTATTCTAGTTCTCATTCCTTTATGATTTATTTTCCTCTTCTGTGTAAAATTTCTCCTTAGAAGTTAATTAATTTTCATTATTTCCTCAGGTTTCATTTTGTGATTTCTAGTTATGAATATTTGTTCTTGTGCTTTTTATTGATCTTGCTTGGCAATTAACAAGTTCTTTAATTTTAGCCATCATCTTTTTAAAATTTTGTTCACTTGGCCAGGCGGGGTGGCTCATGCCTGTAATACGAGCACTTTGGGAGGCCAAGGTGGGCGGATCACCTAAGGTCAGGAGTTAGAGACCAGTCTGGCCATCATGGTGAAAACCTGTCTCTGCTAAAAATACAAAAATTAGCTGGACCTAGTGGCGGGCACCTATAATCCCAGCTACTTGAGAGGCTGAGGCAGGAGAATCGCTTGAACCAGGGAGGCAGAAGTTGCAGTGAGCTGAGATCACGCCACTGCACTCCAGACTGGGTGACAGGGCAAGGCTCTGTCTCATAAATAAATAATTTTGTTAACTTTATTTTGAAGCTTTCAAAATTTTTTTTATTTTTTATTTTTGTGCATACATACTAGGTGAGTATATTTATGGGGTACAGGAGATGTTCTGACACAGGCATACAATGCATAATAATCACATCATGGATAATGGGGTATCCATCCCCTCAAGCATTTATCCTTTACATTACAAACAATTCAATTATACTCTCTCAGTTATTTTTTAATATATAATTAAGTTATTATTGACTATAGTCACCCTGGTGTGCTATCAAATAGTAGGCCATTTTCATACTTTCTAATTTTTTTGCACCCATTAACCCTCCCCATCTCCCCCTGAACCTCTCACCAACCCCCACTACCCTTCTCAACCTCTGGTAACCATCCTTCTACTCTCTATGTCCATAAATTCAATTGTTTTAGTTTTACATCCCACAAGTAAGTGAAAACATGAGACATGTGTCTTTCTTTGTGCCTGGCTTATTTCCCTTAACAAAATTATCTCCAGTTCCATCCATGTTGTTGCAAATTACAGGATCTAATTCTTTTTTCATGGCTGAATAGTACTTCATCGTGCATGGGTACTACATTTTCTATATCCATTCATCTGTTGATGGACACTTAGGTTTTTCCAAGTCTTGGCTACTGTGAATAGTGCTGCAACAAACATGGGAATGCAGATATCTCTTCAATATACTGATTACCTTTCGTTTGGGTATATATCCAGCAATGGGATTGCTGAATCATATGGTAGTTCTATTTTTAGTTTTTTGAGGAACTTCTAAACTGTTCTTCAGAGTGGTTGTACTAATTTACATTGCATTTTCTCCACGTCCTTGCCAGCATTTGTTATTGCCTTTTGGATATAAGCCATTTTAACTGGGGTGAGATTATATCTCATTGTAGTTTTGATTTGCATTTATCTGATGATCAATGATGTTGAGCACCTTTTCATATGCCCATTTGCCATTTGTTTATCTTCTTTTGAGAAATGTCTATTGAAATCTTTAGCCCATTTTTTGATCAGATTATTAGTTTTTTTCTTCTAGAATTATTTGAGCACCTTATATATTCTGGTTATTAATCCGTTGTCAGATGGGTAGTTTGCAAATATTTTCTCCCATTCTATGAGTTGTCTCTTCGCTTTGTTGATTGTTTATTTTGCTATGCAGAAGCCTTTTAACTTGATGTGATCCCATTTCTCCATTTTTACTTTGGTCGCCCATGCTTGCAGGGTATTGCTCAAAAAATTTTTGCCCAGACCAATGTCCTGGATGCTTTCCTCAATGTTTTCTTATGGTAGTTTTATAGTTTGAGGTCTTAGATTTAAGTCTTTAATCCATTTTGATTTTTTTTTTTGGTATATGGCAAAAGATAGGGATCTAGTTTCATGATCCTGCATATGGATATCTAGTTTTCTCTGACTGTCTTTTCCCCATGTATGTTTTGTTTTTGGTAGCTTTGTTGAAAATAAGTTCACTGTAGGTGTATAAATTTGTTTCTGGGTTCTCTGTTCCATTGGTTTATGTGCCTGTTTTTATGCCAGTACCATGCTGTTTCAGTTACCATACCTCTGTAGTATAATTTGAAGTCAGGTAATGTAATTCCTCCAGTTATGTTCATTTTGCTTAGGATAGCTGTGGCTATTCTGGTTTTTTTGTGGTTCCATATAAATTTTACAATAGTTTTTTTCTATTCTGTGAAGAATGCCATTGGTATTTTTATAGAGATTGCACTGAGTCTGTAGATTGCTTTAGATAATATGGACATTTTAACAATTTTATTTTTTCTAATCCATGAACATGGAATATATTTCCATTTTTTGGTGTCCTCTTCCATTTTTCCATCACAGTTTTATAGTTTTCACTATAGAGATCTTTCACTTATTTGGTTAATTCCTAGGTATTTAATTTTATGTTTGGCTACTGTAAATAGGATTACTTTTTAAATTTCTTTTTCAGATTATTCACTGTTGGCATAAAATCATATTTCTTTACTTTTGGAAAATTCTTGACCATGCATTTCTCTAAATATCTTTCCCCTTTAGTCTCTCCATTTTTTTTTTTTCTGGGACTTCTTTTAGCTGAATCTTAGTAGTCTAGACTTACTGTCTTTTAGTTTTTTCTTAATATTTTTCATATTTTTTTGGATTCTTTCAGGGAAATTTCTCAGCTCAGTTTTCTAGCACATTTTTAGTCCTATTTAACTTTTTGAAATAAAAGTACATTAAAACATTTTTTGGAATTCTTAGTTTGTCATAACTGCTTTTTATCTTTTTCATAATGTATGGTTCTTGCTTATTGGAAGAAGTCACTTCCTTTGACTCTTCAAGATTATGAAATATTTCAATATTTCATATTTTTACCTTGTATTATTATCCCAACTTTCTTGGCCGTAAGTTCTCTTAATGTTTGAGTTTATTGTGCCTCTGGAAAGATTTGGTATTACCTAATTATTTCTGTTTCTTAGTTTTTTGCAGAGGAAGTCTTATTTTCACACCTTATGATGGGAATTTCCTGTAGTGAGATGTCATAATAGCACCAACATTAGCCTTGAAGGTAGCTTAGCTTTAGACTTGTCTACTGGGCAAGGAAGCCTCAGAATTTGTTTCTAAACAATGCAGCTCCAGTTTCAGATTCATGATAGTAAAGAAGCAGCCTTTGCTGTGGTGTTTCCTTTGCTTTACTATTTTAGAAATGCCTCTCCAATTCTTCTTTATGAAGAGCTTTCTTATATGTTTTTGAGTGTGGTTAAGAATTTTTTCATTTTATTCAAATTATATTATTTTAATGAGTTTAGTGTTGATGGGGAGATATTTTATTATATTCTCTATCTGCATTCTTAAAACAAAATAACAACTCTTATATTTTTAGCTTCCTAAAAGGTTTTATCAGAAATAAGATTATATTTACCATATCCTTTTAGCAAAATTTGAGGGGATTATATTACCATATCTTCCATTGCACTGATAAGCCATATTACATCACTGATCTCCAAAGAGATATATGAGCACCTCAGTAGCTGTTTGCCTACTTTATGTTGAATAACATTTTTCTAGTTCCTATGAAGTGTTTCTTATTGTTCCTATTTTGATTTTCTTTGTTTTATTTTATTTTCTGCTTTCTCATTCTTTTTTTGAAATGAGAATTCCTAGGTCTAGCATTAAAATGTGTATTATGTGAGTGCATTTACCTAGATTCATTCTTCTCTCCAATTGATTACTAGAAAAATCATGTTCTTTTAAATTAATCTGAAGCTTATTTTTAATATTTTCTGGCTTCTGGCTCATTTGTCTTTGTGTAGCAGAAAAATATTTCTGGAAAACTTGGAGTTAATTATTATATTTCAGTTGAGTAATGAAGTCTTCAAAAAAGGAAAAATTTAAAACTGTTATTGAAATGGACCAACCACGCTTGTTGGTCTAGGGTCTCTATATGTTACTGGGAATATGATAGTCTACTTTCTAGTAAATTCTGTCTTTGAAAATATGATATTTCTGCGTACATAAGACTGAAATAAGTGTGGCAAATACAGCCCTAACTAGAGACCTAAGAGTTTGTCCTGACCCTGGCCACCACACAATGCTTTGTAATATTTATAGTTCAGAAATGACTGTATTGCTTCTCTTCAGCAAAAGTTCCATATCTCTGAAGGAGCATGGGGAATGGTGGGGAAATCTATCATTTTCCTGCTTGGCTTTGTTTTCTTGCTTCATTGATATTGTATTAACTGCTGCTATTAATGATGTTCAACATCAAAATCACTACAGAACTCAAAGAAAAATTTTCTGCTTTTGTAAATTTCCACTTTGCTTTCACTTTGATAAATATATATACATAAACATATTCCCATATCACAAAAATTACAATTCTGCTTTTCTCTTTGACAAATATATCTGTTGAGATGACTCTCTCTCTCTGTCTGATATGTTATTAAAATATTTTAAGAACTAGCTAAAGGCTTGTTTAAATACCTTCTAAAGAATAATTTAATAAATAATATTTAAGCTATTAAAGAAGAAACACCCAATCTCAGTCTTTGTTTTTAAACATCCTTTTCCTTTTTTTTTTTTTTTCTGAGATGGAGTCTCACTCTGTCACCCAGGCTGGAGTGCCGTGGCGTGATCTTAGCTCACTGCAACCTCCGCCTGCTGGGTTCAAGCAATTCTCCTGCCTCAGCCTCCCAAGTAGCTGGGACTACAGGCATGCACCACCACGCCCAGCTAATTTTTTGTATTTTTAGTAGACACGGGGTTTCACCATGCTGGCCAGGCTGGTCTGGAACTCCTGACCTCGTGATCCACCTGCCTTGGCCTCCCAAAGTGCTGGGATTACAGGCGTGAGCCACCACGCCTGGCCTTAAACATTTTTTAAACTTCAAATAGCATATTAGAAGCACTATTAGAAGAGCCATTGGCTAACTATTAAAGTTATCTATGGATCTTCATGCTGCTAGGTAAATAATTATGATCTCATGGTTATGGTATCTATGACTGTGAATTTAGAAATAGGTTTTTTGTCTGTGTGGACTTCTACTTCCCCATGTGTAAGCTGAGTCTATTTTTTACTCATGGCTCTTCACCACAAAATAGAGAAGAAAAGTGAGATAATGTCTGTAAATGTATTAAAATGTCTAGAATGTACTATCCAATAACTGTAGAATAGAACATTATGCAGCAAGATAAAACAAAATTCATCTGTTAAATCAAGGAGACAAAGAAGAAAACAGGGACAAGCCATTCGCTTCCATTAATTTATCCACTCATTAATTCCATCAAAAATTCATTGTAATCCAACTGTACCCCAGGCATTGTGTGAAGTATGGGGATTGCAAAGTTGGAAAAGATACATTCCTTTAAGGAGCATGCTATCTAGTGAGGGAGACAAATACAGGCACAGAGAACTGTAATAGAGCACATGATAAAATAACTATCAAACAAAAGTAAAAGAAAAATACCCAATGTAAAAAGGAAAGAGGGAAGTAAGAGTTTCTTGCAACTGATTTTCACTTTTGTAAAGCTGTTGGTAATGTTTATATACTGCTCTAAGAAAATATTTTAAAAGTTGTTATCAACGCTACAATATCAGAATCTGCTCAATTTTTTTCTTAGTTGATTTTTACTTAATCTTAATTTTTCTTAACTAATATATGTCATTTTAAAAAATAACTTAAAATATAAAAAGGTAACTGGGAAAATTGTGAATCTCTCCTTCCATGTCCCCCAACCCATTCTTGGAGATACCCACTATCAATGCTTTTTATGTCTGCTTGACTTCCCTTCTATGAACTGACATATGGGTGCATGTAGATTAAAAACATATTTCAAAGATAAATGGGAAGCATTATTATGCCACTTGCTTTTGTCAATTAAAATTGTTTCTTACCAATGTTCTTGTAATTGCATACAGATATACCCTTTATTTATTCTTGTTGCATAGAATTCCAGTTTATTTTTAGAATGGGTTGCGAGTACCTGAGTATCCAGAGCTGCTCCTAGACTTTCAAGGATTATATGGGAATGAAAATTTGTCAAGGAATTAGTTTCCAGATCTTCAACTTTCAAATTTACTTCTCCTTACAATTGATTTGTTTGAGAATGCTCTTGTGGTCTGACTGCTCCCCTTTTCTCCGTCCGCTTTTACAATCAGTCAGTCACCATTGCAGATGAAAAGCACACCTCTCACCAATCCTTAATATGACCTATGAGGCAATTGCTTGAGGTGTAAAAGATTTCAAAGTGCAAATCAAGGGACAGTGGAGAATGCATAGCTCCTGGGGGAAAGGGCCAAAAAGAGCAAGGCACATACAGTTTTAACATAGTCGGAGGTGACATTTATTTCACTCAGGCAATAGAAATAGCTTAGATTTGGAATTTAGATGTGAGATGGTTGCCACTGAAACCCATATTTATTTGAATTGAAAATGAAGTCAAATTTGTCTGATGCAAAGTTAGAACTGTCTTTGCTGTTTAGATTATATGGCATTTCCATAAATTGAGTAAGTAAATGTACAGCACCTAGGTTTTGATGAAAATATATTTAAAGAATGTGTAAATATTAAAAACATCGGAAGTCATACATTCTACAATATAGCATTGAAATTAAAATAAAGTAAATGTCATACTTTCACAAAAGTCTTACAAGGAATATGTGAACAAAATTTTAAAGATCATTGTGTTATGATACTCTCCTAGTGACAAACTTGTATTATTATCTCATTCAGCAGATAATTACTGAGCACCTAATGTGTTCCAAACAACTGTTTTAAGAATGGGAGGTACATTAATAAACAATAGTAAAAAAAAACCAGCCAATCAAGCAAACAAAAAAAACCTGGCCAAAAGAATATTCAGTTTGAGGAGACAGAAAACAAATGCACAGGCCGGGTGCGGTGGCTCACGTCTGTAATCCCAGCACTTTGGGAGGCTGAGGTGGGTGGATCACGAGGTCAGATCCAGACCATCCTGGCCAACATGGTGAAACCCCGTCTCTACTAAAAATATAAAAATTAGCTGGGCATGGTGGTGTGTGCCTGAAGTCCCAGCTACTCGGGAGGCCAAGGCAGGATAATCCCTTGAACTAGGGAGGCGGAGGCTGCAGTGAGCCGAGATCATGCCACTGCACTCCAGCCTGGCAACAGAGTGAGATTCTGTCAAAAAAAAAAAAAAAAAAAAAAAAGGAAAGAAAGAAAGAAAAGAAAAAGAAAAAATATATACGATATCAGATGGTGATGAATCTGAGTAGTCAAGGAAGTCTCAATATGAAGGTGATACTTGAGTAAAAGCTTAATATAAGTGAGGTAATGAGTGACAAAATACAGGCTGAGGAAAGAGGAAGAACATGGGCCTTATGTCCAGACTATGCCTCGAGGCTCTGAAGATTTGAAAGAGTGCAGGTGACCATGCCTGCTCTACTAAAATCAAACCACAGAGGGATAAGGGTGGAAATCAGGAAACCAGTTAGGAGGCTGTTTCAGTCATTCAGGTAAGTGATGATGGTGGTTCAGACCACAGTAGTAAGAATGGAGGTGAGAGATGATTGGATTCTTCATATATCTTGAAAGCACAGCCAATAATTGGGCTGTACAAATTGCCGACAAATTGGATGGAGGACATGAGAGAAAGAAATTTCAAATATGACATCTAGAATTTTGGCCTGGTCCACTGGAATGATGAAGTTTCTATTGACTGAAATCTAGAAGATTAAGGTAAGAACAGATTTGGAAGAGAGGATCAAAAGTTTGCTTTTCAAGTAAAGTTTGAGATAAATATTAGGTATAGAAAAGAAGATATCAAGCAGGTAGGTAGATGTATGAGTTTGTATGTTAGAGGAAGAGTCTGAGAAAGAAATATCAACTGGGGTGTCATCAGCATAGAGTGAGTCAAGTGGTGAATAGAGAACGCTGAATCATAGAACCAAAAGACCAAATGATGTCACCAAGGAATAAGTATAGACAAAGATATGAGAACTGAGCCTTGGGGAACTGTAACAGGAGGTGGGGGAGATGAACAGGAACCAAGAAAAGAGACTCAGTATGAGTGGCCATTGAAGAAAGTCAGGAAAATATTGTTTTGGAAAGCAAGTAAAGAAAGTTATTTTACTTAAGTGTATTTTCCATTTTTTCACTATTATTAAATATAATGCAAGCAAGGAGCATACATCTTTGTGCACATATGTGAATATTTCCTTAAGATTGATTCCAGAAGTAGAATTGCTATGTCAAAAATAAGTGGATTTTAAAATTTTATAGTTTCTGTTGAACTGCCTTCCAAAAATGCTTCACCAATTCATTACTGTACAAGAGTATTTGAGGGTGCCTATTTTCCTATAGTATCATACACTCCTAATATTACAAACTTTAAAAACAAATAAATATCTTATTTTAATTTTAATCTGCATTTCTTATCAGTATTAAGGTTGAACATCTTTTATCAGTTTTTGGGCCATTTGTACTTCTTCAGTGAATCACAGTCAAAATAATTTGCCTGTCTTCTATTGATTTGTTTTCTTATTGATGTGTCGAACCACTTTTATATTCTGAATGTCATTTCCAGTCTGTCATTTGTTGTTAACTTTGTTTGTGGTGTCTTTCATCACAGAGAATTGAAAATTTGTACGTAGTTAAGTGTGTTAAACCTTTTCTTTATGGCTTTAGGGCTGTGTTTTGCTTAGGCTCTCCAACCATATGGTTATAAAAATTATTCTGCATTTTCTCCTTAACACTTTGTATTAGTTTGTTCTCATGCTGCTAATAAAGACATACTCAAGACTGGGTAATTTATGAAGAAAAAAATGTTTAGTGGACTCACAGTGCCACATGGTTGGGGAGGCCACACAATCATGGCAGAAGACAAAAGACCCAACTAACTTGGTGGCAGACAAGAAGAGAATGAGACCCAAGTGAAAGGGGTTTCCCCTTATAAAACCATCAGATCTCACGAGACTTATTCACTACCATGAGAGCAATATGGGGGAAACTGCTCCCATGATTCAATTACCACCAACCAGGTCCCTCCTATAACACATGGGAATTATGGAAGTTATAATTCAAGATCAGATTCGGGTAGGGACACAGCCAAACCACATCATTCCACCCCTGGCCCTTCACAAATCTCACATTTCAAAACCAATCATGCCTTCCCAACAGTCCTTCGAAGTCTTAACTCATTTCAACATTAACTCAAATGTCCACCATCCAAAGTCTCATCTGAGACAAGGCAAGTCCCTTCCACCCATGAGCCTGTAAAACCAAAAGCAAGTTAGTTACTTCCTAAATACAATGGGGATATAGGCATTAGATAAATACACCCATTCCAAACAGGAGAAATTGGCCAAAATGAAGGGGCTAAAACCCCATGCAAGTCCAAAATCCAGTGGGGCAGTCAAATTTTAAAGCTCCAGAATGACCTCCTTTGACTCCAGGTCTCACATCCAGGTCACGCTGATGCAAGAGACGGGCTCTCATGGTCTTGGGCAACTCTGCCTCTGTGGCTTTACAGGGTACAGCCTCCCTCCTGGTTGCTTTCATGGGTTGGTGCTGAGTGTCTGTGGCTTTTCCAGGTGCACGATGCCAGCTGTCAGTGGATCTATCATTCTGGGGTCTGGCAGATAGTGGCCCTCTTCTCACAGCTCCACTAGGCAGTGTCCCAGTGGGAATTCTGTGTGGCAGCTTCAACCCCTTCCACACTGCCCTAGAAGAGGTTCTCTATGAGCACCCTGCCCCTGCAGCAAACTTCTGCCTGGACATACAGGCTTTTCCATACATCCTGCGAAATATAGGCAAAGGTTCCCAAACCTCAATTCTTGATTTCTGAGCACCCACGGGCCCAACACCTCCTGGAAGCTGCCAATGCTTTGGCCTTGCACCCTCTGAAGCCATGGTCTGAGCTGTATCTTGTCCCCTTTTAGTCAAGGCTAGAGTGGCTAGGATGCAGGGCACCAAGTCTCTAGGCTGCACAGAGCAGAGGGGTCCTGGACCAGGCTCAGGAAATCATTTTTTCCTCTTAGGCCTCTGGACCTGTGATGGAAGGGGCTGCTGCATGTCTCTGACATGCCCTGGAGATATTTTCCCCATTGTTTTAGAGATTAACATTTGTCTCCTGATTACTTATGCAAATTTCTGCAGCTGGCTTGAATTTCTCCTCAGAAAATGGGTTTTTCTTTTCTATCACATCATCAGGCTGCAAATTATCCAAACTTTCATGCTCTGTTTCCCTTTTAAAATTGAACGCTTTTAACAGAACATAAGTCACATCTTGAAGGCTTTGCTGCTTAGAAATTTCTTCTGCCAGATACCCTAAATCATCTCCCTCAATTTCAAAGTTCTGCAAATCTCTAGGGCAGTGGCAAAATGCCACCAGTCTCCTTGCTAAAATATAGCAAGAGTCACCTTATTCCAGTTCCCAACAAATTCCTCATCTCCATCTGAGATGACCTCAGCCTGAATTTCATCGTCCATATCATTATCAGCATTTTGGTCAAAGCCATTGAAAATGTTTCCAGGAAGTTCCAAACTTTCCCACATTTTCCTGTCTTCTTCTGAGCCCTCCAAACTGTTCCAACACCTGCTTGTTACCCAGTTCCAACACCACTTCCATATTTTTGGGTATCTTTACAGCAGTACCCCAGTCTACCAGTACCAATTTAATGTATTAGTCTGTTCTCATGCTGCTGACAAAGACATACCCAAGACTGGACAATTTACAAAGAAGAAAAGAGGTTTAATAGACTCACAGTTCCACTTGGCTGGGGAGGTCTCACACTCACGGCAGAAGGTGAAAGGTACATCTTACATGGGAGCAGTTTAGGAGAGAATGAAAGCCAAGCAAAAGGGGTTTCCCCTTATAAAACCATCAGATGTCATGGGACTCATTCACTACCATGAGAACAGTATGGGGGAACTGCCCCCATGATTCAATTACCTTCTACCAGGTCCCTCCGACAACATATGGGAATTATGGGAGCTACAATTCAAGATGAGATTTGGGTGGGGACACAGCCAAACCATATCACACTTACATAGACTTTTTTGTCACATCTAGCTCTCTAAACATAAGAAATTCATATTGGTATATAGCTTAAAGTTGAAAACAACTCTATTTTTTCCCAATGCGTGGTAAATTTTTAAAACATCATTCATGAAATACTTGCTCTCTTTTTCCCCCACCAACTTAAAATGTCACTTCAAATATCAGCTGTCAATACTTTTCATGAGTTTCTTCCTGGACTCTATGCGATTCAGCTGGCCTACTTGTTTACTTTTGCATATTTTGTGTCTTTTAATGACTGTTATGTTATGGTGCATTTTATATCTTAAGCAAGCCCTTTTTCTTCTCCTTTCTTTTTCATTTTTCTTTTGTTATTGTTTCACATTTTCTCTTACATTTGAACTATACTACCAAGTTATAATATTCAAATATACAAACAACATTCTTTGGGGGTTTTGCCTGTGATATTTTCAGACCTGTAGCTTACTCTGGAAGATGTATGCATATTATAATAATAAATATTTTAACAATTACAATATATCCCTTCATTATTCTATGTTCCTTAGTAGGGTTCTACAATTTTCCTTATAAATATCTTGTTCATTTCATGTTAGGCTTATTCCTACTTAATTTATGATTTTATTTCCTAGAACTTTATGAGAAGGAATATTCTGAACGGGTGCCCAATATCAACCTTAAGAGAAGGATATACCTCATATTTTTATTTTCCTAGCTCTATTGCCTGGCCTCCAATATACACTTAGTATGTACTATAATTAAAATACACCTTCGGGTAAATTTCGGTTTGGTTTTCTTTTAACCCATTACTTCTCAATGTACAGTGATAACATAATAAAACAAGCCACAAGATGGCAGAATAAGCCATCTTTCCTGGACTTATAGGAAGGTTTTTAGACAAGAAACTGATCACGACTTGCTCATGGAGAAGAATAAATTATTTTATACTCCACAATGAACCAGCATACTGACAATAGTATTAATCTTTTTCTTTTTTTTTTTTTTTTTTTTTTGAGACGGAGCCTCGCTCTGTCGCCCAGGCTGGAGTGCAGTAGCGCGATCTCGGCTCACTGCAAGCCCCGCCTCCCGGGTTCACGCCATTCTCCAGCCTCCCGAGTAACTGGGACTACAGGCGCCCACAACCACTCCCGGCTAAGTTTTTGTATTTTTAGTAGAGACGGGGTTTCACCGTTTTAGCCAGGATGGTCTCGATCTCCTGACCTCGTGATCCGCCCGCCTCTGCCTCCCAAAGTGCTGGGATTACAAGCGTGAGCCACCGCGCCCGGCCAACAGTATTAATCTTAAAACAAAAACTTCAATATAAAATAAAGAAAATACTTCTGACGGTAAAAACTATTACCATAAATTATACTTTACTAAATCCTTCATTCATATACATATACGAATACTATATAGAGAGAGTACTTTCTCTAATTCTTCTTCTTTACTCCACTGCAGAACTGTGGGTACTCAGTAGAGTTTAGTTTCTCATCTTCTGCTTTACTCTATTCTTTTTGTTTTTCTCTCTTCAAATAACTTATCTACTCTGATGCCAAACATCACCTCTGTGCCCACACCCGTCAAACTGTATTCATGGCCCTAAACTCAATTTCATTCTAAAGCCTTATTTATTTATTTATTTTAAGTTACATGTGCAGGATCTACAGGTTTGTTACATAGGTAAATGTGCAGGGTACATGTGCAGGATGTGCAGGTTTGTTACATTGGTAAACGTGTGCCATGGTGGTTTGCTGCACCTATCAACCTATCACCTAGGTATTAAGCCCAGCATGCAATAGCTATTTTTCCTGATGCTCTCCCTTCCACCACCCCCACCCCTGAGGTTTATGTCAAACCTCATATATATATAATATATAATATATTTTATTATATATAATATATATAATATATAATATATTTTATTATATATTATATATAATATATATTATATTTTATTATATATAATATATATAATATATAATATATTTTATTATATATTATATATAATATATATTATATTTTATTATATATAATATATATAATATATAATATATTTTATTAATATTATATATATTATATATATGAGGTTTGACATAAAAATATATTGACATATATATACACACACACATATACATATATATGAGGTTTGACATAAATATATATATACACATATATATGCGTGTGTATATATATATACACACACACACACACATATACTTGAATTATGTTTGCAAGGTGAGTTGCTGTTCTTCTTAAAGAGGTAGGCCAGGCAACTCTTTTATTAAGAAATGACTGACCGGGTGCGGTCGCTCACGCCTGTAATCCCAGCACTTTGGGAGGCCGAGGCGGGCGGATCACAAGGTCAGGAGATCGAGACCATCCTGGCTAACATGGTGGAACCCCATCTCTACTACAAATACAAAAAATTAGCTGGGTGTGGTGGCGGGAGCCTGTAGTCCCAGCTGCTGGGGAGGCAAGGCAGGAGAACAGCGTTAATCCAGGAGGCGGAGCTTGTAGTGAGCTGAGATGGTGCCACTGCACTCCATCCTGGGCGACAGAGTGAGACTCCGTCTCAAAAAAAAAAAAAAGAAATGATTCCTGCTTGCTCCTATCCCTGAGGAGATATATATATATATATATTCAGACTGCTGTTGCCCTTGTTGCCCAGGCTGGAGCTGGAGCGCAGTGGCACAATCGCAACTCACTGCAACCTCCGCCTCCCGGGTTCAAGTGATTCTCCTGCCTCAGCCTCCCAGGTAGCTGGGATTACAGGTGTGCCCACCATGCACGGCCAATTTTTGTATTTTTAATAGAGATGGGGTTTCACCATGTTGGCCAGGCTGGTCAAGAACCCCTGACCTCAAGTGATCCACCCACCTCAGCCTCCGAAAGTGTTGGAATTACAGGTGTGAGCCACAACGCCTGGCCCAAACCTCATACTTTTAACAATCATCTAACATGGCCTGTACATTACCTGAGTCCTTCTCTTCCTCTAGGGCACACAGATTATCAGCATTTACCTCTCTTAATGTTTTTTCAGCCAATACTTTTGAAATAGTAAGTTATGGCCTATTACTGAGTTGTGAAACCAATTTAGTTCATTGCATCCAGCAATATAAAAAAATAAAATAAAATATGGTAGTAAAATGTCAGAGTTTAATAATATAGTAAGGGCAAATATTACTTCTGTGAGATACTGTTTCAGCTAAATATATGCATCTATATGTATACTGGGTTGCGATAAAAATGTATTTCATACTGCAAGTCACACTCAAAAAAGTTTGAAGAAGAAAAAAGAAATATTCTAGAATCTCTCAGACTATCTTGCTTATTGTAATGGAGGACTGATCACTGTAACAGATATAATAACAATTAAAAAGTTTGAAAAATTGCAATAATAACCAAAATGTGACACAGAGAAATGAAGTGAGTGCTGTCAAAAAAATGGTACCAGTAGACTTGCTTGATGCAAGGTCGCCATAAACCTTCAATTTATTAAAAAAAAAAAAAGCAATATGTGCAAAACACAATAAAGCAAAGCACAATAAAAAGTAAAATAAGGTATGTAAGGTATGTTAAGGTATGTTGTATTAACAACATAATCTTTCTGTTAATTACTTAGAATTGAAATCTCAAAATGAGTATTAGCTTAGATGTTGGGAGCATTCACTTTGGACTCAGAAGAATCTGGCTTTGAATATCTGCCTTACCACATTTTTTTCTCTGCCTTTATGCAAGTAACTTAGCATCTCTAATTCTCAGACTTTCTCATTTATAAAATGAATTTATGATAATGTCTACATGACAGAGTTATCAAGATGAATGCTACAATACTTTCAAACACTTAACACAGTGTCAGGCAAATACTAAGAACACAATAAACAGTAATTATTGTTTTCAATAGTAGTAGCAATCTAGAAAGAAGTCAAGGGAACTTGCCAAGTCTTTTGGTATGATCTGGATTCTTCTGAGCTTTTTAACCTCCATTGTACTTGGCTTAATGTATAGTGCACAGAATAATAGGATGTACATGTGGTAAATTGTCTAGCTTAATGTTCTCTAATTGCTCATTTTAATAATTTTACTAATCTTTTAATAATAATAGCCTTCTGTTTGCCTTTTTATATGAAAGAATTAATTTTTTTCCAAAAATTATATTTATGCTCCATCATTTTGTAGTAAAAATTGTAAGGTATTAGTGCTGCTCCCTTAAAAAAAGGAGAGAAAAATGTAGTTACGCTTTGCTTGTATAGAGAAGAGATTAATAAAATCCACTTTTTCTCATGATGAAATTCACATTTGAAATATAAAATTGGCAGACTTATAGCCTAAATGTTACAAAGCTACCATAATAGAGAATTGGAGGTCTCTTTTCCCAAATATTTGATGTATTTTAGAAAATTTAAATTATCTGATTTCTTGACATTCTCAAGAAATTCTGGCAGGAATATATCTTCAGTGTAGTAGAAAAAGAAATATGATCTTTGAAATACTTTGTTCCCTACTCTGTTTGTTCTCCTAAAGAACTACCTGGCATGGTGTTCAGCAACATTTATTGAGGGAAGGAACAAATGAATTGAAAGAATCAAATCCTGACTTTGCTAAATAATATTCTGACCCTAGTCAAGTTATTTACCTGTGAACTTAATTTTACCTTTCCTTTAGTGGAGATAGGCTACTTTCTAGGTCTGTCATCATGTAAAAGCAGAACTGTATGAAAATCTATGGCAGAGAGCAAGCTTGTTATTAGTTTCCTTCTCCATATTATTGATGGTATAATAAAACATCTTTCTAAATGCCTAGATTAGCCTTATTATGAGAGGTTTTATTGTTTTGGTAAGGTCGTAACTGTGCAGGATAGATTGTAATTAAAGACTGCCTTTTAAGCATTGCACACCACTACATTAGCCCTAGAAAGGATTTGAGGCTGCCTAATTCCCTGGTTTCATTTTATAGATCAGAAAACCAAGGCACAGAGAATAGTAACTTGCTCAATTTTTCACAGCAAATTAGAGGCTGCAATTGAACTACATTCCAATTGTCTTAATTCTCAGCACGATGCAAGATAGTTTTCTAACTCGCTCCCTTTCCCCTTCTTTCTCCCCTTCTTTATCTCTGCTCTCTTTCCTATTTCTAATCCCCCTCTCTCCCTCCCTTTCTCTTTCTCTTTTTGTTTCTGTTGCTCTCCCTCCCTTGACTCTACCAGGAAGCTTTCCAAAGTTAAAGTTAGATGATCATTGGCCAATAGGGACCCACCAAAGAAGACAGTAAGACAGCAGGAAAGCTAAGACACAGCATCTGTTAATGTTTTCTTCTCCTGTTAAACATCAACTAGAGACTTAGGAAGAGCTCTCTGGGGTGGCCAGACTTGTGCCACACATTTGCAACACATTTCATCCACCCTGGCCTTTCAGACTCTGGGGGCACTAACAGGCAAGCGAGAAAGAAATGCAATACTCAGCACGTAACTGAAGGGCAAATTTGGGATATGCATGAGCAATTGGGCCTCTCTCCTGAACAATCAGATGGTGAAATCTAACTGGTCCCACTGTGTTGTGTATCACTGGGACCTCTGTTTAATAAATATTTAGCCCTTGCATTCGTTAACCACTTAGCATTTCGTTAGGTGTTTTTTCCCCCAAACTGTGTATTTGTGTTTAAGTTTATTTTTAAACTATGCATCCTCAGCTAATATGTTAAAACTTGCGTTTTTGATACATAAAAATAGAATTTACTAAGAAACAAGTAATTACATGTGTTCATTTAAAAAATTTTTTCCTTGTAATTGTATTAAACTTTCATTTGAAATATGCTCTGCTTATTTAACCAACTTCTCCTTTAGATTATTTCAGAAAAAGTGTGGCATCTGGTTAAAAGATGTTTGTAAAAATATTGCAGAAGGAGTTTATTAACTTGAGGATCGACATCATCTTCAAATGCTAACTTTTTGTTTTAAAATAATCAATATATTATTTATCTTTCATGAATTTTGAATGAGTGGATAAAATACACGTCATGTTTTGGATAATTTTTAGTTTCAACTGGAACTGAAATTTGTGAGAGTCAAAGAAGTAGAATTGATTTTATTTAGAGATGTAAGTCACTCATTCATTCAATTAATTGTTTATCGAGCATTTCCTATTTTCCAGGCTATGCTAGCCCATTTCTTACTGTGTACTTGTTACAAAAAGGCTGAATAGTAGGTATTAATATTATCACCCTCATATTCCAGACACGTTAACTGAGTTTAAAGTGGCTTAGGTCTCATGATAATAAGAAGCAATGCTGGATTCAAATTCCGGGCATCGGGTGCATCTTGCATTGTCCATAAAGTCTGAATAAACTAACAATATTTTATATTTATTTAGCAGTCACCTTCGGCTAGATGTCATTACAGATATTGTCTGTTCTCATGCCAACTCACACAGGTAGGTATTATAACAATCTGAAGCAGAATTTCGGAAAGCTTATATTAATGCAGTGTAGAAGGATGTTGATATTTGAATCTCAATCTGTTTGATTTTAAAATCCCAAACTTTCAGAGACTGAGGAAAGAACTCTACTCCACTAACCTGGATCAGGAAAAAGTATTACTTTATGCTAACATTTAACTAAAATTTAGCATTTTCTTTAACTATGAATGATGGCAAAAAATCACAGTAGTACTGGAGGGCCAAGGCAGCCAAAGGTGACCAGCATATAAAAATATTTAAAATTCAAAAACTCCTAAACTCTTTACTGTCTTAAAGAAACATTAAATCCTTATGAGGTGTCTGGCACTGGGGGTTTATACTTTAAAAGAAAAAATTACCCTTAGTGAGATCAGAGACTTGTGGAATAAATAGATGTGTGACTATCAAATATAAATATAGCATTTAAAGGCCATAGAAGAGGAGGTGAGACAAAAGAGAAAATTACCAATGTTACTTCAGACAGCTCCTCAGGAATAGGAGCAAGCAGGAGTCATTTCTTAAAAGAAGAGTTGCCTGGCCTACATCTTTAAGAAGAACAGGAACTCACCTTGCAAACATAGTTCAAGTAATAAAGAAGAATTCTTGGTAAAAAGAACAACGTGGGCCGGGCACAGTGGCTCACACCTGTAATCCCAGCACTTTGGGAGGCCAAGGTGGGCGGATCACTCGAGGTCAGGAGTTTGAGACCAGCCTGGCCAAAATGGCGAAACCCTGTCTCAACTAAAAATGTAAAAGATTAGCCGGGCGTGGTGGCTCACGCCTGTAATCCCAGCACTTTGGGAGGCCGAGGCGGGTGAATCACAAGGTCAGGAGATCGAGACTATCCTGGCTAACACGGTGAAACCTCGTCTCTACTAAAAATACAAAAAATTAGCCGGGAGTGGTTGTGGGCGCCTGTAGTCCCAGCTACTCGGGAGGCTGAGGCAGGAGAATGGCGTGAACCCGGGAGGTGGAGCTTGCAGTGAGCCGAGATTGCACCACTGCACTCCAGCCTGGGCGACAGAGTGAGACTTTGTCTCAAAAAAAAAAAAAAAAAAAAATGTAAAAGATTAGCTGGGTGTGGTGGCAGGTGCCTGTAATCCCAGCTACTCGGGAGGCTGAGGCAGAAGGACTGCTTGAGCCTTGGAGGTGGAGGTTGCAGTGAGCCAAGATCGCGCCACTGCCCTCCAGCCTGGGTGACAAGAGAGAGACTTTGTCTCACAAAAAAAAAAAAAAAGAACAACTTGTGCAAAAGTACTAAAATATGACAGGCAAGGTGCATTTGAAGGACTCAAAATATTTTAGGATAAGTGGACTGTAAGGTGTATATGAGGGAATGTTAGAGCCTGAGGCTGCAAAGTCTGGCAGGAACCAGGTTACAAAAACCACCCTGCCCCAACATGGAAGAGGGAGGACACGCTCGAGAAGTATTATCTATAATAGTAATATCTATCTAGTAATTTCTATCTCCTAGGAGAATTAGCAATGTGCTTAACAACTAAGTGACCTAGGCTGATAGTTACAAACTTTATTTATTCCTTATCTACAAGCGCTGGTTTTGGTCTTAAAACTGCTTTAGGAATTGAGTGGTTGATTTCCTAGAGTAGAGGTACAGTAGAGACAGCTGAGGCTAACTGAGATGCCCCAGATGCAGGGCCGGGAGGAGCCTCTTGGTGTGGGGTCCTGGGCTCTGGAATTTCAACCATATGTTCTGACAGAGCCCCAGTTTGTTTTCCCTTTGAGTGTGCTTTTCACTTCATTCTGCTCACTGACTGCTACAGCTGGCTATGGAGGCTGGAAAGGAGAGGGCTTGCATTGCATGGGTTCTAGGAGACATGAAAGGAGGAAGATGAAAGTGATGGCACTTCAGATCTTTGCGTCTATTCCAGAGATTAATGCAAATCTTTCTGCACTGTTCCAATAGAAGAATACAGCTTCAACTAGAAAAAACAAATGCCATTTTCTTATGGGCTTGTGTACTAATAGGAATCAGAGATAAAATGTATTACAATAGCAGTCATTGGGTCCTTTTGAGTGTGTGAGGCACTATGCTAAACATTGCATTATACAAACATTAGCTCACTCCTTGAGGTAGGAATTACTTTTCCTATTTTACCAATTAGAAAGGTGTAGTAGTGAAGCTAAGTGGTTTCTCAGGCTTCACCTACAGCCCACCTGTGTAAGGGCCAAGTTTTATATCAAAATCTGGCTGACTCCAAAGCCTGCACTCTATAAAGAGGCGGTTTTACGTAATGAAAAGAGCACTTTATAAGGAGTCAGATAATCTGGATCCAACTTCTTTCTCTGCCACTTATTTGCTGTGAAATCTGCATTGTCATTTAATCTGTCTACTGACTTGCTTATATGTAAAATTGGATTATAATAAATTTATTTACTACAGGGATTTTCAGTAGAAATCAAAGGAATTCATATATATAAGAGCTTTTAATGCCCTATTCTATGTAAAATTTAATTACTATTTGTATTTCTTTCAGAGCCTCCATTTTCTCACTTATAAATTTGAGATAATACTGGTCCTGCATAGCTCACATGGATGTTGGGAGAAACAATCAAGATCCTCTAGGGATGATCACTCTATAAACCGGAAACTTGATGTACAAATGAGGTAGTATGCACACAATCACCTTAGATAGTAGTAGTACCCCTTATCCACAGCGGGTATGTTCCAAGGACCCCGGCGGTGCCTGAAACCTCAGCACCAAGCCCTATATATATTGTTTTTTTTCCGATACATACAAACCTATGATAAAATTTCATTTATAAACTAGGTAAACACAACAGCAATCAAATGGAACAATTATAACAATAGGCCAGCATCACTACCCTTGTGCTTTGGAACCATTATTAAGTAAAATTGGGGTCATTTGAATACAAGCACCTGACACTGTGACAATCTGATAACCAAAAGGGTGAAGTGACTAGTGAGTGTGCAGCATACACAGCGTGGATACCCTCGACAAAAGGATGACTCACGCCCTGGGTGGGATGGTGTGAGGTTTTTGTCATGCTACTCAGAACAGCTTGCAATTTTAAACGTATGCATTGTTTATTTCTAGAATTTTGTATTTATTATTTCTGGACTGTGGGTAACTGAAAGCATGGAAAGCAAAAACACAGGTAAGAGGGAACTACTGTAATTCTAATATGCTGTAAGGGGTTATAGTGATTACTGTTAATTCTTCTGAGACTAGTAACATGTATCGCTTTTTAATATCCTTCAAATTTATTAGGTTCCCTCAATTGCTTGTAGCTTATATTTTCCAAATGACTTGGCATAGAACTTTCTCCTAGCTGGCTCTCCTCCGCCCATCCCCTCTGCCACTATAAAACAAGATGATGCCATTATGAAAGTAGCAGCGTGTTCTCAGAATGACCTGCCCAAGTCAGGGCCTCATGTATTACATATCCTAAGACCTGCACATGCATTAATACTATAAAAGAGGTTTTGTGAGAGAGACAAATACAAACACCATGAGGTCACTTCTTCCAGAGTATAACAGGATGCAGACTCTTGGAAGAAATTGTATAAATGTCCTCTTGGAAAATTTTGTCTCTGAGTACAGAGCACATTATAAATTTTTCCAAAGCTTTCCAACATACAGTACATCAAACAGTGTGCCTTTTCTTTTCTTTCCTTTTTCTCTCATACTCCCTCTCTCTCTTTTTAAATACTTCTATTTTCAGAGAAAAGAGGAAAACCTGGGAGGAGCTTTCAGTTACTAATTATTTCCAGCATCAATGTTTGGTCTTAAAGCCATAGTTCGTTTGTAGAGAGGACAATGTAATGGTTCCAGAAATCTAGGTCCTAGTCCTACTTGCCCAGCTGGGTGAACAGTTCAGTTTTTTCAGCCATCTTCATGTGCCAAGGAGGACAGTAGGACATGCAGTTATATGAACACTGAAGTGGAAATCAGGAGACCTGAAATTTATTAAACAATTCTACAAACAATGGTAATGTGATGAAATAACTATTTTCAATCAAGTGTACTAGTTTCCTGGTGCCATGTGGTGGAGGCTCCATGAACAGTTGTTGAATGAATGACTAGGTAAACAATCATGAATACATAAATGCCTAGTATATACAATAGTCAATCAACAGTGAGCAGAATTTCGAGGAGGCATTGTGATCACTGTACTTACAGGCTGCAGGGAGTACTGATGGAAGTGTGTAACTTGTTGTGGGAACAAAGGGATGACTCCAGGGGAAATGTAAGGGCTATGAGTTAACTCAGGTCTGTTGCTGCTACTAAATTATGCTGCCTGCTATTGTGAGTGAATCGCCCTCTCTGAGCCCCGGTTTCTTTACCTATAAATGAAGTGCTTGGACTAGATAATCTCTAAGAACACTTCCATCTCTGTAGGTTTACTTGTATAGTGCAGCACATAACAACTTAGGAACCCTAGACTTAGAATTTTCGGTTAACACTCAAAGCTAAGTCCTCACACCAGGAAGAAGATATCAAACACATAAGAAACTGTACGGCCGGGCGCGGTGGCTCACGCCTGTAATCCCAGCACTTTGGGAGGTCAAGGCAAGTGGATCAACTGAGGTCGGGAGTTCGAGACCAGCCTGACCAACATGGAGAAACCCCGTCGCTACTAAAAATCCAAAAAGTTAGCTGGGCGTGGTGGTGCATGCAGGTAATCCCAGCTACTCAGGAGGCTGAGGCAGGAGAATTGCTTGGACCCAAGAGGTGGAGGTTGCAGTGAGCTGAGATCGCACCATTGCACTCTAGCCTGGGCAACAAGAGCAAAATGCCATCTCAAAAAATAAAGAAATAAATAAAAATTTAAAAATACAAAGTAAATTGTACAGTTTTTTTCTTATACACAGTAGTGCTATATTTCCTTTGGTGTTTTAGTCAAGGGTTTGACTGCTTGGTTAACTATTGAGTCAATTTCCAGAAATACTATATTTGTTTAAGATCTTTGACTTCCATCCTAGCATCTAGATAATTAATTTTCTTTCATTAAGAGCCTCAAAGACGGTCATTGTTGGCCTTCAGTCTTTATTTTTGACCAATAGTTTTCATTCATGACTGCACATTAATGTCATCTGTGCAGTTTTTAAAACCCATCCAGGCTCTATTCTCTGAGATTCTGATTTAATTGGAGTGGAGTCTAGACATCATTTGTTTGTTTGTTTTTTAATGCTATTCAGGCGATTCTACTCCATACTCAGGACTGATTACTACCACGCTGGAACAGTGCTTCTTAAATTATTGTGTGCAAATGGGCCAGCTAAGAATCTTGTTAAAAATGAAGATTCTGATTCACTGGGTCTGAACTCAGGGTCTGAGGTTCTGTGTTTGTAATAAACTCCCAGGTTACGTTGGTGCTCTGACCTCTGCTCCTAGAAGTGTGGTCCATGGACCAAGATCATCTGGAAGGTAGACAGAATGCAGAATCTCAGGTACCACCCCAGAAGTACTGGATTGATCGGGGTTCTCCAAAGAATTGGCTCACAAAATTATGGAGTCTGACAATTCCCAAAATATGCTGTCAGCAGGCCGGAGACCCAAGAGAGCCAATGGTATAGTTTCAGTGTGAAGGGCTATAGGCTCAAGACCCAAGATGCTTCAGTTTTAGTTCGAAGGAATACATCAATTGATATGCCAGCTCAAGACAGTTAGGCAGGAGGAAATTCACTGCTACTCATGAAAGGTTCAGCCTTTACTTCTATTGAGGTCTTCAACTGATTGAATGTGCCCCATTCATGTTAGAGGGCAACCCGCTTTATTTTTTATTCAGTTCAATTATTCAAATGTTAATCTCATCCAAAAGCACCCTCATGGACACACCCAAAATAATGTTTGATCAAATATCTGGGCACCCCAGTGTGCTAGTCAAGTTGACATAAAATGAACCATCGCACCTAGAGAATCAGCATGCGGTTTAACATATTATACATATGCAGAAATTTAATACACATACTAAAGTTTAAGAAGCTCTGCACTATAATAACTATTCTCAAACTTTTTGGTCTCTTGACCTCCTTATACTCTTGAAAATATTGAGGATTCCAAAGTGCTTCTGTTTATGTAGGTTACATCTATTGCTATTTCCTATATTAGAAATGAAAACTGGGGACTTTCCAAATTATTTATTTATTTTATTTAATAAACCCATTATATGTTAACATAAATCACATAATTATAAACAATAACTTTTTTTTTTTTTGAGATCAAGTCTCATTCTGTTGCCCAGGCTGGAGTGTGGTGGTGCGATTTCAGCTCACTGCAAACTCTGCCTCCCGGATTCAAGCGATTCTCCTGCCTCAGCCTCCTGAGTGACTGGAATTACAGGGGCATACCGCGACCGGCTAATTTTTTGTATTTTTAGTAAAGACAGGGTTTCACCATGTCGGTCAAGCTGATTTGTAACTCCTGACCTCATGTGATGCACCTGCCTTGGCCTCCCAGAATGCTGGGATTACAGGCATGAGCCACCGTGCCTGGCCGAAAAGTAATTATCTTTTTATAAAATAAAAAATTGTGAGAAGAGTGATGTTGTTATACATTTTCGCAAATCTCTTTTATGTCTGGCTTAAAAGAAAGCAGCTGGATGCTCATACTGGCTTCTGAATTTAATTTGCTGCAATATTGCAAATTATGTTGACTCTGGAAAACTGTTCTAATCTCATAAAAAAATAAAAGTGAAACAGCATTCTAATATTATCGCAAAAATGTTTTAATTTGTAATACTCCCTAAAAGTGTTTCAGGATCCTCTAAGGGTGCCTGGATCTCTTTGAGACTGCTGTTCTAGGCTAAAGTTGAGAATCTATATAATTCATTCTAAAAAATTCAGCCTCAAATCTCACCAGCAAATTTGTCACAATTCTACTAAAATTTGGAGCAAAAGCACTTTGTGGAGGAGTCAGCCCTTTCTTCCATCAGCATATTACATAGTACTGCTAGCAGTTTCAAAGACCAGTGCTTAGAATGCCAGTTCAAAAGTTTGCTGTACCCTCAGTGTAGACCAATAATTCTCAGCCTCAGCACTATTGACATATTGGGTCAGAATATGTGTATATTTGTTCATATATAATTCATTAAACAACACAATATATGGCTGCATTTATTAAAAGTATCTTTCTTTGCATTTCAATCATACCAGGAGAGGCAATATGGCCATGGTGAAGCTTTGAAACCTAGTTTCTAATCTCAGATCTGTAGCTTTCTAGCAATATGGCATTTCTTTCCTCAGTTTTCACTGTTTTCTTTTGCAAAATGGGAATCAGTTATTGGAAAAACCATGGAGATGCCTGTGCAAATGTAGACTCTTATTAATAACCAGGCTATTATTCTGCCAAATCAAAGAGTCAACATGAGTACAGACATGAAATGTGAATGCAAAGGCATATTCAAATGAAGCACATAATCCATATTATCTGACAGGGCCTTGGGGTTCAATGGAAGATGGAACTAATGACAGAGTTTGAGCTGCATGGTAGTGGGTCTTAAATCCAGAGGGAGAAATTCCTGCTGAATTTAATAAATTTAATAGTCAATTCATCTCATTGTAAATTATTACTATTCATTGCTTTATACTGGAGCAACAGCCAATATATTCGGGGAACTCTATAGGAACTGGCAGTATCAATGAAGCCTTTATAAATACCAATATCTTATGTCTTATTATTTTCACAACTAATTCAGAGGCAATTTAAATATTTCTGCTATTTCCAAGATGCTTGATTTGAAGTTGGGCTCCAGAAAGCTATTTAGCAGATGCAATAATATTTGTAGGGTACAGAGAGAGGAAAAAACTTAGGTTCCATTTAGAAATATCTTAGGATTTTCAAGAATGTACAATTTTTAGTTTCAATTATCCAACCAAACAGCTTGTGTGTGCATGAGGGGGTAGAGGAAAAAGCAGTTAAGAAAAACAGAGAGATGTTACCAGGATAAAAATGTGGGCCTGAGGAGGTTGCACTGATGTAGCACAGGACCAAGTTGAATGCCAGTGATGATCTTGAGAAAGTAATTATGAATCAAGAGTGTCCGAAGGGAATACTTTTACAGGCCCAGATGAAATAGTTGAGGTATAAACAACAAAGAAGCCTGCCCAACGGTCACCCAGCTAGGCAATAACAAAGCCAGGACTCAAATCTCAATTCTATGAAACAAATCATGGGATTTTTTTTTCCTTCAAAACATCATCTTCAAATCAAAGTAGGACAATAGATCATTAAACAGAAGATTATATAGAACCAGTGGCCAAAAGCTTAGATATACAGCAGCAATGTATGCAAAGGGTTCTGCATTTCTAATCCCAAAGCAAGGTTTTCTTAGGTTAATATATTACCTGTTTTTAAACATGTAGAAGGAATATTATATTCTCCCTGAGCTTGAGATGGGATGGCAAACACACAATTTACAAAAATTCAGGGGCTGGGCACCGTGGCTCATGCCTGTAACCCCAGCACTTTGAGAGGCTGAGATAGGAGGATTGCTTGAGCCCAGGAGTTTGAGACCAACCTGGGCAACACAGAGAGACTCTACCTCTATAATTTTTGTTTTTTTTAATTAGCTAGATGGCGTGTCATGTACCTATAGACCCAGCTACTCAGGAAGCTGAGGTGGGAGGAATGCTTGGGCCTAGGAACTCAGGGCTGTAGTGAGTTGTGATTGCACCACTGCACTCCAGCCTGGGTGACAGGGCAAGACTCTATATTAAAAAATATAAACAAACAAACAAAAATAAGTAAAATTCAGGGCTTGTGGCTTCAGAACAGTTCCAGAATGATTAAGTTTTGCAGATTAGGATTTTTTTAAAAAATTAAGTTGTGCAAGTTTGTTGTTTAGGCATGTATAATCAAATTCAATTTTTAGGATGTTTTATATTTAATTAAAAAGTTTTTAGGTCAGCTGTGAAAAATAAGTTAATATTTCTCCCACTTCACAAACTAAAAAATTAAAATGCAGGTTATAGAGCAACACAAGAGCAGCATCTTTGGTCTTCAATCTTTTCCTTGGCTCACTGAACTGCATAGTGGGACAAAAAGCGATTTTACTGCTAAGCCTCACCTTTGATCCAGAGTGCCCAGTACGCCCTTGTTCTGCGCAATGAAGCATATTCATTCAGAAATAGCATGGAAATTCAGAAGAGAACTGGTAGTTCCACAGTGCGTGTGTGTGTGTGTGTGTGTGTGTGTGTGTGTGTGTGGTTTTGTGTGTGGTTTGTTGTTGTTGTTGTTTGAGATAGAGTCTTGCTCTGTCACCCAGGCTGGAGTGTACTGGCTCAATCTCGGCTCACTGCAACCTTCGCCTTCCAGGTTCAAGCGATTCTCTTCCCTCCTCCTGAGTAGCTGGGATCACAGGCACCTGCCACCACGTCTGGCTAATTTTTTTGTATTTTCAGTAGAGACGGGGTTTCACCATGTTGGCCAGGCTGGTTTCGAACTCCTGACTTCAAGTGCTCTGCCTGCCTCGGCCTCCCAAAGTGCTGGGATTACAGGCATGAGCCACCACACCGGCCCACAGTGTGCTTTTGAAGAGCAACAGGCTTACAGCTTTCAAATATGCTCTCACTTTGGGGTTAAAGCAGGTCACTTAGTCATCACTGTCTCAAAACTCCTGTCCCCTCCAACCCTGGATCCCCACTGCACTACAACTCTCGAATTCCCTATCTCAGTGAACCCACTGTTTTACCCAAGGCTGAACTTAGGCACCACCTTAGATTCCACATCCAGTATACCATCAAGCTGTTGCTTCTTAGTACTTACCCTCTTGAGTCCACCTCTCTTCCTTCTCCATTGCAACTTAGTTCAAGTCACCATTCTTCTATGTGGCCTCCCTGCCTCCAGTCTTGTCCCATTCCAATGTTACGCACATTGTAGCCACACTACTTCTACAGCAGAAATAGACTGTAGCTATTTCACCGCTTTAAAACCTTTCAGTGCTTTCTGGCTGATTGCCACCCACCCACTCTAATCTCCTTCACTCCTTCTCCAGGACAAATATGGTTTAGAAGACTTTATTGTGGTTTAGGAGACTTGCACAATTTGGTCCTGTATCTCACCACCCTCATTTCTCCTCACTCCATTTTGTACTCTACGTTTTGTCCAGTATGAACAAGCTACAGTCCTATGAAGGCACCTTGCTGCGGTTCCCACCCTGTTTTCTGGCTTATATAAATGCAATATCTTTTACATGCAACATCCTTTCACACTATTCCCCACTTCATTCCTTCTCCTTGCACCCATCGCCTAAATAATTCCTACTGATGCTACTGGCCTCAACTAACATACTATATTTTCCAGGAAGCCTCTCTGAGCCCTCTAAACTGGGTTAGTGTTCATGTGCTGGGCTGTTTGACAGCTGGTATTTACTCCTAGTTAATACAAATGGCATTGTTTTAAAACTGCATATTCATTGTGCGTTACCTCCATTACACTGTCAGCAATTTAACTGTGAAGCCTGTGCCTTTTACTTATTTGTGTAACTCCACAATAGTTAGCATACAGATTATACATCATTGGCTCTCAATAAATATTAGTGGAAATAATAAATGATCTAATTAGTGAATAAAGGATTGGTATTATAAAGGTTCCTATACAATAAAATTGTATTTTCTGTGAGGCTTAACATATTAACACCCTCCTAGCCCTTGACTAACACACAGCAACACTATACTACAGGGGAGTTTCATTATACTGTGTGAACTTAGCAAGTGCTGATTTTTGCTATTTTTCATTGGGAGTGGGGCAGAACACTACAGCTGGAGCCATCATAAGCAAAGCGACTTTAAAAATTCTTGCCTTTTGTCCCACCTTTGCCAATACTCAGGCTTTATCTTGGCTATGTCTTAAGATTCTACCAACTAATGGAATCCCCCGCCTTGGCGTTTTGGCACTGGTTAAATAACCACATTTTTATTAAATGAAACATGAGTCAGCATCTTCCCAGAATCTGTAAGTTCGTTCCTGGTAATGGTTTAGGAATGTGCTTCTCAAACTTTAGCATGCATAACGATTCTGGAGATTTCCTAATTCCCACACTCTTGGCATCCTGGGCCACATAGCTAGACCCCCATCTCTACAAAAAATAACATAATTAGGCCAGGCATGGTGGTCCACGCCTGTAATCCCAGCACTTTGGGAGGCTGAGGCGGATGGATCACCTGAGGTCAGGAGTTCGAGACCAGCCTGACCGACATGGAGAAACCCCATCTCTACTAAAAATACAAAAATCAGCTGGGCGTGATGGGGCACACCTGTAATCCCAGCTACTCAGGAGGCTGAGACAGGAGAATCGCTTGAGCCTGGGAGGTGGAGGCTGCAGTAAGCTGAGACTGGGCCATTGCATTCCAGCCTGGGCAACAAAAGCGAAACTCTGTCTCAAAAATAGAATAATAAAATAATTAGCTGAGTGTGGTGGTGTGCACCTGGTAGTCCTTGCTACTCCGGAGGCTGAGGCAGGAGGATCTCTTGAGCCCAGGAGGTTGAGGTTACAGTGAGCTATGATGACACCACTGTACTCCAGCACTCCAGCCTGAGTGACAGAGCAAGACCCTGCCAAAAAAAAAAAAAGAAAAAAAAAAAACTTGGATCAAGTCTTAAGAATTTGCATTTCTAACAAGTTCCTAGATCAAGCCGATGTTAGCAGTTCAAAGATCATACTAGTTTAGACAACAATCAGCAGCACTAGTTTAGACAACAATCAGCAGTTATTTATTGAGAGGTTGTAGTGTGAGAGACAAAACAGGTAGGGAGAGATCCTGCTAAAAGAGCAACCAATCAATTCCACAAACACTTACAGTGCCTAGTGTGCCACCAAGTGCAGTTTTGCCACCAGGACTCAGAGATATATAAGGAGCCATCCCTGCTCTCCAAGAGCTCTTGGTGTAGTGACAGAAACTGACAACTCAGATTGCGATAGGGATTATAGCTGTTAAGTAGCTTGTCTCCTTTAAAACACAGACTAGGCCTAGTGCGGTGGCTCATGCGTGTAATCCCAGCACTTTGGGAGGCTGAGGAGGGGACATCACTTCAGGCCAAGAGTTCGAGACCAGCCTGGCCAACATGGCAAAACTTTGTCTCTACTAAAGATACAAAAATTAGCCTGGCGTGGTGGTGCACACCTGTAGTCTTAGGTATCAGGAGGCTGAGGCACAAGAATCGCCTGAATTCAGGAGGTGGAGGCTGCAGTGAGCCAAGATCATGCCACTGTACTCCAGCCTGGGCAACAGAGCAAGACTCTGTCTCAAAAAAAGAAAAACAACAACAACAGCAAAGCATAGACTAATACATGTATACATGTAATGGATGAAAATAAGAGAGGGGATTTCAGGCTGACTACGGGAGTCTTTCAATTTCATCTTAAGAAATTTGTACTTACTTTTGTGTGTCCCAGGGAAAATAAGACTTTTGAAAAGAAGAATGATATTGACAGTTTCTGAAAACACTGATAACAATTTCTGATAACAATTTGCATGGTTATACGAAGACTGACAATGGGAACAAGGAGACTGGTGAAGAGGTGACTGTTACCACTCCAGTAAGAAATAATGAGAGTGTAAGGTAGAGAATGGCAGAAAAGTTGCAATTTTAATACAAATGTATATCCCCTTTCGGGCATAGCAAAAGAACTGGAGTGTTCTTACTCCCCAGAGGATATTCGAGGCCTGTGAAGGCCAGATAAATCCATTTGTTGGCTCTTTCTTCATGTTGAAATGAAGGCAGGCATCAAGTCTGTTTTGTTTACTAATGTTTTCCCAGGACATAGTAAAATTCCTGGCACATAGTGGGTGCTAAATAAATATATATTTATTGATTGCCACACTAGCAAAGGCCATAGGTGTTATCTAATCTTATTCCTTCATTATTTGTTCATAAGCAGAGACACTGCGGCCAAAAACAGGAGGAATTGACTAAAACCATACATCAAGTTGCCACTAACACTAGGACTGGAACCCACATGTCTTGACTGCCAGTCCAGTGCTTTTCAACATCACACCAAGCTGGGTTGTCAGGCTTCTATTTTTGGGTTCAGCGTAATGAGCTACTTCTGCATGACCTCATTGTTTTCTGTTTGTCTGCCTCATGCTGTGGTCTGGCAGACAGCAACTCGTTTAAGTCTTCTTCCAGCCAATAGCGTCCTTGAGTAAGACAATAAAGTGTGTTTTCCTCTAGTCTGTATCCCATTTCTAGTGGTTTGTTTGTCTCTACTCTGTATTCCACTACAAGTGGATCACAGCATAATTCCACAAACCTTTCAAATGAAGAAAATAAAAGAGCTTAACAAGCAGTGACTGCTGGGAGATAATCCTCCAATCACATCTTCAGCTGAAAAATGTATCCCATGGAAAATATACCAGCACCTCTTGGCCAAACCTCTCTACTGAAAAGTTCCTGAACGTGTCCCCAGTAAAGTCCCTCAATAAACACATTATCTTGGCCTCACAATGTGTGCTCTGGAGAAAATAAAGAGGAAGACAGCAGTAGTACTAGAACTTCTAAAGGGAAATTAGACAGCCTCCTACCATTTGCACTGCTCCATTCGTGTAATGCCTTGGTTATAGACATGCTTCACAGTAATATAGAGCTTCTTGTGCCGGAGACAAGACAGAGCACCGAGTTATAATTCCAAAGTCACGATGCTGGTCACTTTGGCATTATAACTCAGTGCTCTTTCTTGTCTCCGGGCAAGAATCTCTATATTACTGTGACCTCGAAGCCACTTTAACTGTGAGTCGATTTCTTCAAACGTAAAAGAAAACATTAATAACTTACTGATTCACTGACAGCATTTAGAGCGTAAATGTTTGTGAAAGTACTCAGGATTTCTGACATAGTATGTGTGTAAACATATACTAAGAATAATAAATGTTCACCTGAGTCATTCCTGCGTACACTTATAGCCACATTGTAGAGTAGGAATGTGAACGATACTTCTTAGTAACATATCCAACATGCTTTTGGGCCATCTTGTCTATCTTTATATTTCCTTCAGATACAATAACTTTTATTTATTGAGCCCTTACCATATGCTAGGCACTTTAAGTGTAACACATGAATGTTAATACTTAACAGTTATGAAATGTAGAGATGATCTCCATTCCACGGATGAAGAAAACAGTTTCAAGAGATAAACGACCGGCTGGGCGCAGTGGCTCACGCCTGTAATCTCAGCACTTTGGGAGGCCCAGACGGGCAGATCACGAGGTCAAGAGATCCAGACCATCCTGGTTAACACGGTGAAACCCCGTCTCTAACTAAAAATAAAAAAAATTAGCCAGGTGCGGTGGCGGGCCCCTGTAGTCCCAGCTACTCGGGAGGCTGAGGCAGGAGAATGGCGTGAACCCGGGAGGCCGAGCTTGCAGTGAGCCGAGATCGCGCCACTGCACTCCCGCCTGGGCGACAGAGCGAGACTCCGTCTCAAAATTAAAAAAAAAAAAAAAAAAAAGAGAGAGAGATAAATGACCTTGATCAAATGTAAAAACTTAGAAATGGTAGTGCAGAAATTCAATCACAGTGTGTCTAATTATAAAGTCTAGTATCTTTCTTATATCACATGCGTGTCAGCTTAAACCTTACATTTTATTTCAGGTCAGAAAAATGTGGGCGTTTTAATTTTTCCAAGGAGAGAACAAATTTACTGCATTATCTGGGAGAGATAAAGAAATAACATACTAAAATATTTAAATATTTTCAATTATCATAATATCAGGGATGATATTGGTATTGCTTTCTGAGACAATAAAATGTATAATATGGGACAAAACAAAGGCATAATGATGTGACATTCTAATTACGTATCTTTATTGTTCTTGAGAACCAAGATACTTTACATGTTAAAGAAAGAAGATAAAGATGTTATAAGGGAATAATTAAAAATCCTATAGTTCTGAATGTTATTTATTTATTTTATGTACTTTTTTATTTTTACTTTTTTTTTAATTTTTATTTTTATTTTTTTGAGACGGAGTCTCACTCTGTCACCCAGGCTGGCGTGCAGTGACGCCATCTCCGCTCACTGCAACCTCTGCCTCCAGGATTCAAGCAATTCTCCCACCTCAGCCTCCCAAGTATCTGGGATTACAGGCCCCCACCACCATGCCTGGCTAATTTTTGTATTTTTGTAGAGGCGAGGTTTCACCATGTTGGCCAGGATGGTCTTGAACTACTGACCTCAGGTGACCTGCCCACCTCGGCCTCCCAAAGTGCTGGGATTACAGGCGTGAGCCACCACGCCCAACCTATAGCTCTGAATTTTATTTTGGAAGTATGAATATGAACTCATGAGGTGTTTTACCTTAAAATAAATAAATATAAATGTGTATATAATAGACATATTTTTCCTTGTATTGTTTTTGTCAAGATCTGGTATCAGGATAATTCTATCCTCAAGGAATTTTTCTGTTTCCACTATGTTAACTAAGGTATTATAGAGTTATACATTCTCTTTTCATTCTTTTATTCTTTATAAAATCGGTAGTGATATCATCTCTCTCACTCACTGCTAATACTGGTATTTTGTTCATCATCTTTTTTTTCTCTCTGATCAGTCAGGCTAGATGTTTATAAATTTTATTAATCATCTAAAATAAATAGCTTTCATTACAGTTGTAAGTGCTTTTTATTTCATTAATTTGTGTTCTTTATTATTTTATCTTTTCTGCTCAGTTTGGGTTAAAAGCACTGTACTTAATTTTAGTTTCTAAGGGTTAAAGTGGAAGTCATTGATTTAAGACTTTTCTAATGTAGGTTTAGTGCTATAAAATTCCCTTTAAAGATTGCTTATGTGGCATCCTACTAATTTTGAGTATGTATTTATTTTAGTTAGTTCAAAATACTTCCTACTTTACTTTTTGAAATTTCCTTTGACTCATAGCCTATTCAGAAGTGTATCATTTAGTTTCCAAATATGAGGGACTTTTTCAGATGCCTGTCACTGACTAATATCTAATTTAAGTCCACTGTGGTCACATAACATACACTGTACAATTACATCCTTTAAAATTTGTTAAGACTTGCTGTATGGCACAGAATACGGTATCTCTTGGTAAATTTTCTGTGTACACTTAGAAAGAATGTGCATTCTCTCCTCATTAAGTACAGTGTTATATAAATGTCAGTTGGTTCCATTTGGTTATTAGTATTGTTCAAGTCTTTTGTATAGTCACTGATTTTCTGTCTACTTGTTTGGTCAATTATTGAGAGGGTTATTAAAATTTCCAGCTAATTGTGAGTTTGTCTATTTCTACTTGCATTTGTATCAGTATTTTTTAGTTTTTTTTTTTTATTTTGAAACTCTGTTGTTAGGTGCATACATGAGTAGCATTGTTATGTCCTCTTGATTAATTGAACCCTTTATCATTATGAAATGGGCTTCATTACCCCTCATACTTTTCCTTTGAAAAGTATACTACTGTGTAACCATAGCTAGAGGGAAGTTTTTCTTTATGGAAGCATTTGTACTATTATATTAAGGTGTAAGTGAATTAAAATCTTCCAATCTTTCACCCTCTAATAAATTAAAGGACCCAGGCAATGATCATTAATGACTGTCAATATCACAAAAAGAGTCACAATGAGACATTATATGTCTGCCGATAGAGGAAAACAATGTTTATTAGAATCAGGAAATAATTACTAGTTACCAAATATTTACTTATTTATTTTGAGATAGAGTCTCTCTCTGTCACCTAGGCTAGGGTACAGTGGTGAGATCTCGGCTCATGACAGCCTCAAACTCCCAAGCTCAAGCAATCCTCCCACCTCCGCCTCCCAGATAGCTGGGACTACAGATGTGCACCACCATACCCAGCTAATTTTATTTATTTTTTGTAGATGAGAGGTTTTACTACATTGCCCAGGCTGATCTCAAACTCCTGGACTCAGGTGATCCTCCAACCCCAGCCTCCTAAAGTGCTGGGATTACTGTGCCTGGCCAATTTTTTTTAAAGCTGACAAACAGCATAAATGTAAAAAAAAAAAAAAAGAAAAAAAAAATCCAGAAAATTACATAAGATTTCTCATTACTTAACTATCTGATACTCTATAATTTTTTTTCTATACTTTTGGTTCCATATAGTTTGACTCTCTTCATAAGATAATAATGTTGTGATATTGTATTCTACATACAATAGAAGCATAATTCAATATTTGCTTTAGCGTGATTGATCAAAATATTTTCATTCTTGAGTTTAAAAGAGTTTCTTTCAACTTTATAACTCACTATTCGATATGCCATAGACAGGAGCAATTCAAACGCTTTTGAAATTGTCTGACATGGTGTATTGGGTTACCTAATTGTATGATCAAGTAATTACTATATTACATGAATTGAATCATTGATAGAAAATGTAGGAACACTTTTTTTCTTCAGACCATTTCGCTGTGTCAGAAGCAATTTTGCATGCTGTTTTATCTGAAAGCTCCAGACTTGTCAGGGCAAGGTAAAAGCAGATATGTGCAGACATGATCCCATATGTTGGGATGTATAAGATACAAATTTTCACTCACAGATGTACTCACTATTATAGCATTACTTCACATTTGGCCCCATCAGACACAGATATTACAATACATTCTATTTTGCATAGTTTCTAACCAAATTTTGAAATAAAGATTATGTTTATAATTGCATACCCCGTAATACCAATTATATTTCTATAAGAAGAGATCTTCTTATGGATTAGGAGCTAATAAGAACTTAAATGTCAGTTGTTACAGCTGATAGAAAAAGTTCCTACACATTATCTTCTAAATTAATGCATTTTAAACGGTGTTTTTTTTTTTTTTTTTTCTTTCTACTAGCCTATATTTTGTGTGCGGAGTCATACAGGACCCATTTTTGTCACACTATGACCTCTGGCTCTGCATCTTGAGGTCACATTGCTGGATAAGTTGGACACAGTGGCCATAGGAGTATTCCTGAAAATCATTCCTGCACAGGAGAAATTAGCAATAACCTACTTAAAAAAAAAACTTTTAATTTGAAAATAACCTCAACCTTACAGAGAGTTTTTGAAAATAAACACAGTAAAAGAATAACTGTATAGACCCTTACGCAGATTTACCTATAGCTAATATTTTAATCCATGTGCCTTATTATTGTGCGTGCTTTCTTTTCCTCAGGTTACTTGCTAGTTTATTCATTTATTATCATGTGGATTCATAAATTTCTATTCATTCAATAATTTATAATTCATTACTGTATTTAATGTTTTGGTCATCAAATTGCCTCATACATGGCCACTGGGAGCCCCTTCAAGCTGGCTCCCGAGTCTCTGTACATGTTCGTATATTTCTGAGCACTTTATGTTCTTGATTAAGAAGTTATTCAGCAGGCTTACTTTATATCTGCCCCAACCCTGGTACCATCCATACCATCCATAAGTCCCAAAAGCCCTGATTCCTTTAGGCGGAGATGGTTTGTGTGCTAGATCTGCGTGCTCATTGCTACTAGTGTATAGCACTCAAATACTTTTATATTCAGTAAATGCAAGCCACATAAACATATTGCAGTGAACTCAAACCAAATGTTTTCCCAACTCATTTTCCCTATGGCCACTCCATGGGCACACTTCATTAATAGAAGAGTAACAAAAAGGAAGTTTAAAGGATAAGAATATTTTGTAAACTTTATAACAACATAAGACCACATGGTTGCAAAAGGGATCCTCCCAGGCCTTAGGGAAGAGTCTGTAGAAATTTACCTCCATCAGCTCCATGGTAAATCTGCACTGGTCTGCTGAAACGTTGATGCCATTCTATAGACCGTTTATCATACTGAGGGAGAAGTATTGAGAGGTGACAGCGTGCTGGCAGTCCTCACAGCCCTCGCTCGCTCTGGGCGCCTCCTCTGCCTGGGCTCCCACTTTGGTGGCACTTGAGGAGCCCTTCAGCCCACTGCTGCACTGTGGGAGCCTCTTTCTGGGCCGGCCGAGGCCGGAGCCTGCTCCCTCAGCTTGCAGGGAGGTGTGGAGGGAGAGGCGCGAGCGGGAACCGGGGCTGCGCGCGGCGCTTGCGGGCCAGCTGGAGTTCCGGGTGGGCGTGGGCTTGGCGGGCTCTGCACTCGGAGCAGCGGGCCGGCCCTGCCGGCCCCAGGCAATGAGGGGCTTAGCACCCGGGCCAGCAGCTGTGGAGGGTGTACTGGGTCCCCCAGCAGTGCCAGCCCACCGGCGCTGCCCTCGATTTCTCGCCAGGCCTTAGCTGCCTTCCCGTGGGGCAGGGCTCGGGACCTGCAGCCCGCCATGCCTGAGCCTCCCATCCCCTCTGTGGGCTCCTGTGCGGCCCGAGCCTCCTCGACAAGCGCCACCCCCTGCTCCACGGCGCCCAGTCCCATCGACCACCCAAGGGCTGAGGAGTGCGGGCCCACGGTGCTGGACTGGGAGACAGCTCCATCTGCAGCCCCGGTGCAGGATCCACTGGGTGAAGCCAGCTGGGCTCCTGAGTCTGGTGGGGACGTGGAGAACCTTTACGTCTAGCTCAGGGATTGTAAATACACCAATCGGCACCCTGTGTCTAGCTCAGGGTTTGTGAGTGCACCAATCCGCACTCTGTATCTAGCTAATCTGGTGGGGAGGAGGCGAACCTTTATGTCTAGCTCAGGGATTGTAAACACACCAATCCCCACTCTGTATCTAGCTCAAGGTTTGTAAACACACCAATCAGCACCCTGTGTCTAGCTCAGGGTTTGTGACTGCATCAATCGACACTCTGTATCTAGCTACTCTGGTGGGGCCTTGGACAACCTTTGTGTCCACACTCTGTTTCTAGCTAATCTGGTGGGGAGGAGAACCTTTGTGTCTAGCTCAGGGATTGTAAAGGCACCAATCAGCACTCTGTCAAAACAGACCACTCAGCTCTACCAATCAGCAGGATGTGGGTGGGGCCAGGTAAGAGAATAAAAGCAGGGTGCCTGAGCCAGCAGTGGCAACCCGCAGGGGTCCCCTTCCACACTGTGGAAGGTTTGTTCTTTTGCTCTTTGCAATAACTCTTGCTGCTGCTCACCCTTTGGGTTCACACTGCCTTTATCAGCTGTAACACTCACCGCGAAGGTCTGCAGCTTCACTCCTGAGCCAGCAAAACCACGAACCCACCAGAAGGAAGAAACTCCGAACACATCGGAACACCAGAAGGAACAAACTCCAGACGCACCACCCTAAGAGCTGTAACACTCACCGCGAGGATCCGTGACTTCATTCTTGAAGTCAGTGAGACCAAGAACCCACCAATTCCAGACACAGTATCCATAACAATAGTTCTTGCAAATCAACAAAATAAGTTAATCAACTAGGATTTTCTTTTGGAATTTTGTGATTCTACCCTTGTTGGTTTCTTTAAGCTCTTGATCAGGTTCTTAGTGTCCACTATCTTGACTTTTTCCAATGGGCCACTATTTATTCTAACTTCTTATTGACTACTGTGTATTTGAAATTACTGAAAGAAGATAAATGATTTGAAATTATTCCCTATTAACTCAACTATTAAAAAATTGTTTTTCTGGTGTTTCTGGTGACAAGAGCACAGACTTTGGGTTTAACAGGCCTTTGAATAATTATTAAATGACTACAACTAATTGGTCCGAAGCCTAGTGTGCTTAAGATATCCATCTATTTGCCCTCTACAGCCTTCAAAGTGATAGGATTTGCTATTGTTATAGAACTGAAAGAGAATTCATTCTACTCTAACAGAAAGGCATTGCCCATTGAGGTGAAGTAATCCCTGGTTCAATTAAAAATGAGTCAGACTTATCTTTGCTTTCCTGGAATTCTGTGCACATTGTAAAAATTCACACACTGCTAAGCATGATGGTAAGTTTCTATCATGCTGTATGTATTATAATTGAGGTATCATATATATATATATAATATGTCTATTTAATAGCTTGGGTACTTTGAAATCATTTATAGGATTTTTTTCCTTTGGAAAATTACAAAGTAAGTTAGAAATATACTACTCAGAAACTGACATTTAGATCATTAATATATCAATGTATTGGTAATTTAGAAACTGACTAAATACTTATAGTATATATGCTTTTATGAGTATATGCTAGAATGTATACAATATAATTAACTTCATTTTTCTAATTTAACAATCAGTAACATGCAGATCAAGATGAGAAGTAGAGCTTGACTGGGTAATCTAAGAGTTTAGATATTTTCTGCATGCAGACTTATCTGTGGAGCTGTTTCATTTTTCAAAAATCTTCTGATATTTAATGACGTTTATAAAAATTAACAGTGTCAGTCAGACAGTCTATTTCCCAGGTAAGATTTAATTAAAAAGAGAAAACTAGTGCTGTCAGTTTGAATATCAGTCTGTATCCAGAAATTTTCTTTAAAAGGAAGTTCTGGGCACAGTCTCATGCCTATAATAGGATGTATACATCCTAGCACTTTAGGAGTCCAAAGCGGGTGGATCACCTGAGGTCAGGAGTTTGAGACCAGCCTGGCCAACATGGCAAAACCCTGTCTCTACAAAAATACAAAAATCAGCAGGGCATGGTAGTGTGCACTACTCGAGAGGCTGAGGCTGGAGAATCTCTTGAGCCCACGAGGCAGAGGTTGCAGTGAGCTAAGATCATGCTACTGCACTGCAGTCTGGGTGACAGAGTGAGACTCCATCAAAAAAAAAAGGAAGAAAGAAAGAGAGAAGAAGGAGGGAGGGAGGGAAGGAAGGAAGTAAGAAAGAAAGAGAAAGAGAAAGAGAGAAAGAAAAGAAAGGAGAGAGAGAAAAATGAAAGAAAGGAGAGAGGGAAGGAAGGAAGGGAAAAAGAAAGAGAAAGAAAGAGGAAAAAAATGCATAAATCACATGAACTTACCATGCTTTGAATTCCAAGGCAAAGTCAAAATTTTAAATGATTATACAGGCATCCATGTTAATTATTTTACAGAGTTAATGCTTCTAATTTTTAAATAAAAGTATAAAATTTGTATTAAAAATGCTCAAACTACTTCTTTGTCTGTCAAATTTTCTGAGGGAAGTGTCCAGGAACTCAACACCTACATGTTTTGGAATTTATACAAGAGTGAAAACCAATTTGAACTCTGGCAGTGACTTGCACAGGTGCCTGAATTTGAGTCTTCTAGGCTCTCCTTACATCTTCATTAAGAGTTAGTAGTTGAGGCAGCCCGCTCTACTACAAAGTACTTTGGCCTATGCATTGAAGGTCATAAAATCAAGCCCTATTGCTGCCAGCAATTGTCTCTGCGATTTTGAGAGAAACATTAGTCCTCCAGGAGTCTCAGAGACACCATATATTAAATGAGGGAAACCAACTGTATTACTACTATTCAACATATGACCCGCAGAATGATGCCAGTTTTGAAAATTTTTGTTACTGATATGAGATTAAATGAGTACAGAAAGTGAGAGCAAATTTTTAAAAACCTTTCACAGCATTCTGACAGAGTAATTTTATTTCTGCTGAATTTAATAAAACATGGGGCTTAATTTTTAGTATATTTTAATCTAATAACTCATTTTTTTTTCAAAAGCATTCATGTCTCACAGATTGGGGAAAAATGCAACCAAAATCTAATTATTTCCACAGAAACACAGGATGAAATTTATCCTCCGAGAGCCTTTTTTGTTGTTGTTCTACTATACTTCACCATTTTATGATTTTAAGAAACTTCATTAGAAAACAAGCAACTGTACAACTCTCAGTTTCTTCTAAGCTAGACAATTAATAACAGCACAGGAAAACACAGTTTTAGCCAAAGGTCTTACCATTTGCCAACCAATTTTGATTATGAAAGGCTGTCTGGGCTAGTCATGTAGTAGCTAATTTGAACTTATCCAGACAAAATCAGAAAGGAATTATAAGGCTGGCTTTGATGTGAAGCAATAAACAGAACACATGCTGTTTCCAGTTGTTTGAAGAGAAAACTTTTTCTAATTCTAGTTCAGGACGAAATGCCAAATTTCCAAAGGAATCTACTCATTAATGTTTAATGCAGAAATAGTGGAAAGATATTCTTGACTAAATATAATAGACCAAGATGCTCACATGCTTTAGCATTCAAGAAATGAAAAATAAATTTTAGATATTTGTACATTTTTGGTACTTGCTCTGAAACCCATAGAAAATAATCATGACTAGAAATATTGTGTAGATTTCTAGTTGGCCTAGATATTATTTAACAGAAAAATCACACAGGTTAGACATATGTTGAATGAGAGAATTAAACAGATACATCAAAAATGCCTCATTTCCAACAATCTGCATTCTAATATAATCTTGTTTTCTAGTTCTAAAAGAGATAATATGTAATCCTCATTTTTACTAGACATAAGCAAATGATTGACCTTTGTGCCATTAGAAAACCAGCATTTCTTTAAACAAAAAGGTTTTATTCTTTTATTTTTTAATGTTTTAGACTTTGAAGCCCGAGATTAGAATACCTAAAAATGGCTCATATTTGTTAGTAATGATGATGTTACTCACCATTGCTCACAGGCTGGCTACATGCTCTTTTTCACAGTAGGAATGGGTTTAGGCTAATCAACTTATATTTCTTCACCTCTTTCCTTTGTTATCAACAGCTTGGATTAATTCAGATGTGGAATAACAATGAAACAAAACCACCTAAGCGAAAAAAGAGGATTTATCTCAAATTTAGATTTGTGGAACAAGGTGATTGATATCACTGGACAAAAATTCTAGATCTATGTATAGAAGATGTTGGAATGTGTTTCTTTGTCTACTATTGTGATTAGTATTGATACATTTTGAGTGATGACATTGTATTTGGAAAATCATGAAAGGGACCTATATCACAAAACCCACATGCTGAAATTAAGAAAGCAACAATGACAATTTTTTTTGGTTTATGTAAAATTATCTTTTAAAAATGATTAATTATATACCTATATTGGAACGAACTATAAGATATTTCAATAAATTTTCAAACTGGCCAATGTCTGTGGACCTGCTGCATCAGAATTCTTTGGTGAAATGTTACAAAATATAGACCACTTCTCTCTGCAATTCCCTTCCCTCATTTTCAAAATTCCTATTGGTAGAATCAAGAAGTGGGGTCTAGAAATTTGTATTTTTTTAAAAGCCACACAAATTATCCTGAGGTCACTAATTTGTGGAACTTCAAATCTGAAGATTAAATTAGCTGTGTTACCCATTCATCCATGGATGTTCGGTGTGCCTGGTTCTTTACTCTCTGCCTGAACTCTCCCAAGGGTGGAGAATGCTTTTGTAGTTAGCATTGGGCCTGTTAGAGTATAGTTTCTCAGCATATGTGTGATAAATTATTGAATATACTGAGGAAGAAAAGAGGAAGGAGAGAAAGAAGAGAGGGATGGCAGAAGGAAGAGAGGAAAGAAACAAGGAAGGAAGCAAAAAATGGTTGGTAGAATGGAACAAAACTATCTCAAATTATCAATCAAGACTATATCATATTTGGTCTGTTCTCTATATGTTAGATGGTTCTTTTTGTTTTCTTCTCCATAATTTTCACACATCCTTTTTAATTTTTTTTTAATTTTTGTAGATACATAGTAGATGTGTATATATTTATGGGGTACATGAGATGTTTTGATACAGGTATGCAATGTGAAATCAGCACGGCATGGAGAATGGGGTAGCCATCCCCTCAAGCATTTATCCTTTGAGTTACAAACAATACAATTACACTCTTAGAAACATACAATTAAGTTATTACTGACTATAGTCACCCTGTTGTACTATCAAATACTAGGTCTTATTCATTCTTTCTATTTTTGTTTTATTCATTAACCATTTCCACCTCCCCCATACCCTCACTACCTTTCCCAGCCTCTGATAATCATCCTTCCACTTTCTATGTCCATGAGTTCAATTGTTTTGATTTTTAGCTCCTACATGTAAGTGAGAACATGAAGTGTTTGCCTTTCTGTGCCTGACTTATTTCACTTAACATAAATATGATCCAGCAATCCCACTGCTGGGTGTATATATATACTCAAAAGAAAGGAAATCAGTATCGGTATATCAGAGATAACTGCACTCTTAGGTTTGTTGTAGCACTGTTTACAATAGTCAAGATTTGGAAGCAACCTATGTGTCCATCAACAAATGACTGGATAAAGAAAATGTGTTACATATACACAATGGAGTACTATTCAGCCATAAAAAAGAATGAGATCCAGTCATATGAAACAACATGGATGGAACCAGAGACCACATATTCTTTTTATACTATGCAATAAATAAATTTTTAAGTGATGTGGAACTTTTTATGTATAGTTTTTTGTTGTTTTTGTTTTGAGATGCAGTCTCACTCTGTCGCCCAGGCTGGAGTGCAGTGGCACGATCTCGGCTCACTGCAAACTGTGCCTCCCGGGTTCACGCCATTCTCCTGCCTCAGCCTCCTGAGTAGCTGGGACTACAGGTGCCCGCCACCACGCCCGGCTAATTTTTTTTTTTGTATTTTTTAATAGTGACGGGGTTTCACCGTGTTAGCCAGGATGGCCTCAATCTCCTGACCTCGTGATCCGCCCTCCTCGGCCTCCCAAAGTGCTGGGATTACAGGTGTAAGCCACCGTGCCCAGACTATGTATAGTTTTGTATCTGTCTTCTCATTAAAACATCATAAAGAAATATTATGCACATATTACAGAAGAAAATGGAGGCTGCTCAGAGATCAGAATATATTGCCCAAGATTACAGATAATCAGAGAGTAACAGAGCTAAGACCAGAAGACTAACGTTCTCTCTACAAATAATTAGAACTAATGTATATGTAACATTTACTATATGCCAGGCACACTTCTAAGATTTTTATTGGTGTTAACTCCATAAAACATTACATTATCTCCATAAGATAAAGCCACTATTATTATTTTTCCCTTTATGCATGAGAAAACCGAGGCACAATGAGGTTAATTGACTCATCAGATGTCACTGAGCTAATAAGTGACTAATTTTGCATTATTAACTTCTAAGCATGGTATTCTGCTTTCCAAAATACATACGCTGCCTCAGGTGTAGAGATAAAAACATTTTAAAATGACAGCCATTGAAACTATAAATGGTAGTAAAATCAAAAATTATAATGTTATATTAATTAATAAAATTGGTTAATATGTTTTTCTTACTGCCGTCAACTCTCTTAAGATGATATGACTATTCTCCATCACCTGATATTCTGGCCAAGAACAATTAACACACAATGATCCTTCTTTCAAGTATATTACCATATGGGGTAATTGAACATTTAGTCCTAGTTAATAAAGACATAATTGCTACTTTGCTCTCTAGAAATTAGGAGTATAATTGTTCACAATAGTCACTTACAATCCTTTGTGTTTCTGAGGTATCAGTTGTATCATCTTCTCTTTCATTTTCGGTTTCATTTATTCGAGGCTTCTCTCTTCTTTCTTGGTTAGTCTAGCTAAAGGTTTGATAATGTTGTTAATTTTAAAAGAAACCAACTCAGTTTTGTTGATTTCTAAATTGCTTTTGAAGATGCCAGTAAAGGACTTTTCCTGCATGTTTGTTTGTTGCATTTGAATTACACAATATACAGAGTAAAGTATACAACAAATAAAGCCCCCAGCATTAAACAAACAAACAAAACACAATAGGAGCATCACACATTTCCTCTAAATTCACATTACAAAAGCAAATTACATAGATAATGAAGTAGGGAATAAGCCATGGTGTATTTTCTTCTTCCTTAAAGAAAGTCACAACAGTTATTAATATTCATTCTCTTGTGAAGTTCATTGTTCTTATTTCCATTTTCAAAGGGGAAGTTCTGTTCAGGAGGACACCCAAAATTATACCATTATGTGGCAGCATCAGCAGCACCCTCAGAACTTGGGGAAAAAAACAAGTAACTTGTTCTTTGTATAAAGTTGTTGCTCCATTACCAGGCCTCCTGCACGTGCCTCATCCAGTGAGGTTCTGAGGTCAATAGTATCACAGGTCAGCAGGGCCCGGGCACTTCTAAGTAGGAAGGCATGACAGTATGAGAGAAGTTTCAGATGAACTAGAAGTTGCCCAGAAGAAACTAAAGCTCAGTTATGATAGCTTCATCTTGCTCAATTGTTATTTTTCAGTGCTGCTTCAACTCTTAAGCTCCAAAAAGCCAAGGAGTAGAAAAATGACTCGCATCTCTAGGATTTGAGATTCCAATATTTCATTCACTCGGCAGATGGATAATGCAACTGCTAGGTGTGAGGCTTTTCGCCTACCCTGTCTTTGAGAGTTGGCCCGATGGCTTTAGTAAGAATAAGCTGGGAGCTGTAGGATAAACATTTGCTTAACCTTATTTAACATTTTCCTTTTTTAAACTGTAGATTCAGGTCCAACTACGCAATTACACAATTCTATGTATGTTTTTTATTCTGCAGTTCAAATCCTTCATCTGGGGTGGTATAGGTATGAAATAGAAATTTAAAAAAGCAAATTATTCTATTTTCATTAGAAATTTAATTTTAGTCCTGTTTCTATCACAGAACTATTTTCACAAACCCTAAAACTATTTTACAAAAAGCTATTTCTAGTCTTTCATTTTACCAGTTGGTAGAACTTCTACAAAATTTTAACCAGTTTTTATCATAAAGCTATGACTAGTTATTTGAGAGTACTACTTTTAGCTAAACTTCATATAAAAGGACAAGAAGAGGAAAAGTATAAGAAAACAGACCCCCTTTCTGCTTAAATTCACAAATGGCAGATTCACAGTGGGCTGGAACAGAGAAAGAGCAGGGCTTTTCAGAAACTCCAGAGTTTTTTTTTTAAGATGAGCTCTCCTTGTTTGTCCCAAGCTGGTCTCAAAGTCCTGGGTTCAAGCGACCCTCCTGCCACAGCATCGCAAGTAGATGGGATTACAGAGCATGTGCCACTGTGCCCCACTCAGATCTTTTGATTAAGCTATCAGTAAAGGCTGAGAACATTCAGACTTATAAATTCCTTGAATGAGACCCCTCATTATCTTTGGTTTTCTCATTTCAAAGCAGCATGATGTTATCTCTGAAGTTGTTCCTGAAGATAAAGAGGTGGCAGATGGCCAGGGCTAGAATATGATTTGCAAAAGGCTAAATGAATGTGTGTAACCTGTAAAGCAGCAGCTCTCTACCTCTGGTGGGCATCAGAAATACCTGCACACCTTTCTAAACATACACGGGCTTGGACCTCACTCCCTACCTCCAAAGGTGCAGCTCTAGGCAGATAAGTCTCGCCAAAGTTTATTTGGCCATTCTGATGTGTGAAACAGAAAACCAACTATTGGTGCAATGTTTCTGCCAGGCAAATTCACAATCATTGTTTTGCGTAACTGGAGACGATTTATCAATGGTGCACTTTACAAGATCACCACTGTAAGAGTTCCTTCCTTTGTCTACCCTGGCTCCTGATTATCCAGCAACAGGCATCCACACAATGTCAATTTCCTTCATAACCAAAGTTAGAATTTTAAATGAACTTTTGCTTTTCACACTCTGTTTCTTTTATGTGGTAGAGTTGAATGTACTTTTTTACTTATTTGTGGCTAGTTTCACTGAAAATTCTTCTGGTTTTAGTGTGCTGCTAATCTCTTGGTTTAAAGATAAAGAGATTTGTACATTCTAAAAAAACCAAAACATATGGAAAACATTCATCTTAGCAACTTCTAATAAAAATAAATCCTGATTTTAACTTACCACTGATTTTTACTAAACTTTTAAGCTTTATTTTATGCAACAGGATCACAATTTCTTTCCCCCGTTACTAACACCCAGATTGTTTCAAATCCCCAAAAGGGAAGTCCAAAACATCATGCTGTAGAATTCCTATGCCTTAGCTTCTGCAGTGTTTCTCTGCAAAGGGGCAGGATGATCCCAACATTCCTGTTTTCACTCTCGGAGCTGTACAAATTCTGCTTTTCAAGGTATTATTGGACAAGATCTGGTGCCAACTAGCAAATGCTCTGATCCCTTCTGAGGACTCTCCAGATTTTTGTCAATGAGATCTCAATAGTCATCCATTCATTCACCATGTGAATGTTGCTCTGATGTTTCAACAACACATCAGATTCATAGATGAATTTCTGAGCATCATTTCCAATTTAATCTGAATTTTCCATGATAATATATATCAAGTAATACATATGAGCTCATAATCTGCCACGATTTGGATGATATCTTCACTCATCCACAAACTGAGAACACCAAAGACTCCAGTAAATCTACCCCCACACAGCAGATGGACCTTTGGCGCACCTTTCATTTTTGGCTCTAGGGGATTCCTCTTGATCAGAATCTTGTCTTTGTTCAGTCCACTTCCTCTTTCGTCCAGGCCTTCCTAATGTAGGTGAGTTCTGCTGGTGATCACAGTTACTGGCCTTCAGTTTCTCTTGATGGTGCCTTAGCACCTTAACAGTCTCTATCCACTCCTTCTGAAGACTTTCCCATGTGTCAACTTCTACCCATTTGGAATTTTGGGTGGCAAGTTCTGCCGTGATGACCTGGTGATGGGCAGGAATGAGTCCTTTCTTCTTGTATGCATCGCCAACAGGAGAGATTATGCCTTTGACAACTCTATATCTTCCTGTTCCATTCATGTAATCCTTGGCCAGCTCAAACAACCTGAGGTGCTTGTTGGTGATAGAATTAAAGGAACCACAAGCACAGAGAGCCACTTCTGTCTTCTCTGAATTTTCCATGGCAAGAACTTAAAGTTGTCGCTCTAAATGGAATACTGTGACACCTCCCTTGCTGTTTTTACAAAGAAAATTCTTTGACTCTGAAGTGACTTGCAAGGGAGGCTATTGGAACCATTTCAACTAGCGTGGCAACAGTCTTCTCTAAGGTGGGCTAGGAAAATGGTTTTATATCCAAATTATAATTAACACCCTCACTGCCACCAGCCCGAGTGTTTCTGGAGACTAAATTGTTTTTCTAATCTCTATTTCATTTATTTCTGCTCTAATTTTTACTTCCTTCTTCTTGTCAATTTTAGATTCATATTTTCTCTATTTTTCTAGTTTCTTGAGGTATAAAGTAAGGTTGCTCCTTTCTTTCTTTCTTTCTACCTTTCTTTTTCATGATGTAGGCATTTATCACTGTAAATTTCCCCCATAGGGAATGAAGCTTTTTGCTGCACTCCATAAGTTTTGATGTGTTGTGAGTCCATTTTCATTGTCTTTTGATTTCTTCTCTGACCAGAAAAAGTAATTTGGTTATTGAGGAGTATGTTTAATTTCCACATATGTTTTAATTTTCCAAAGTTCCTCCTGTTATTGATTTTTAGTTTCATAACATTGTGGTTGGAAAAGATACTTGATATGATTTCAATCTTCCTAAATTTGTTAAGACTTGTTTTGTGGCCTAACATATTATCTATCCTGGAGAATATTCCATGTAAGCTTGAGAAGAATGTTTACTCTGCTGCTATTGGAAGTAATGTTTTGTATTTATCAGTTAGGACATTTGATCTATTGTGGTATTCAAGTCTGCTGTTTCCTTGCTGATTTTCTGAGTGAATAACTTATCCATTGTTGACAGCGGGGTACTGAAGTCTTCTACTATTGTATTGCTATCTACTTCTCCCTTAAGTTCTGTTAATATTTGATTTATGTATGTAGGTGCTCTGAAGTTGGATGCTTATATATTTACAATAGTTATATGCTCTTGATTAATTGACCTCTTTTTATAGTGACTTTCTTCATCTGTTTTGACTGAAAGTCTATTTTGTCTACTGTTAAGTACAGCCACTTCTGCTCTCTTTTGGTTGTCATTTGCATGGAATATCTTATGCCATCCCTTCACTTTCAGGCTATGTTTTTCCTTGAGGCTAAAGTGAGTCTCTTGCAGGAATTATATTGTTGTAAATTGCTATTTAATCCATTCAGCCACCCTAGGTCTTTTGATTGGAGAATTTAATTTACTTACATAAATAATTGAGTGTTTATGTTGGCACCACATATAATAAAAGTAGAATCATACAGAGATGATTACCATGACCCCTGTCAAAGAATAACATGCAATTATGTGAAGTAGTCCATATTTTTAAAGTGTAGAGTTTTTATTAGTTTTCTCTTTGAGTGTTTGCTAGTTGTTTGTTTATATAATCAGTGCTAGGTTTTCTTCACTTTAATATAATGAGTTATAGGATATTATCTGCAAGCCTCATGATAACCTCAAATCAAAAAAACAAAACAAAACAAAACACACAGAATATAAAAGGCAAGAAATTAAAACAAACCTACTGAGAAAATCATCTTCACTAAAGTGAAGACAGGAAGAAAAGAACAAAGGAAGAAAAGGCCATGAAACAGTAAAAAAAAAAAAAAAAAAAAATGGCAGGGGTCCTTAATTATCAATAATAACATTGAATATAAATGGAATAAACTCTCCAATTAAAAGGCATAGAGTGGCTGAATGGATTTAAAGAATAATAATCTGTGGCCTACAAGAAACACTCCCTACCTATAAAGACATACATAGACTGAAAATAAAGAGTTGGAAAAAAATATTCCACGCAAACAGAAATCAAGAAAGAGCAGGGGTAGCTATACTTAGACAAAATACATGTGAAAACAAAAAACTATTAAAAAAAAAAAGTCATTATATAATAACAAAGGGGTCAACTTAGCCACAGGATATAAGAATTATAAAAATATATGCACTCAACACGGGAGCATCCAGATATATAAAGCAAATATTATTAGAGCTAAAGAGAGGTATACCCCAATGCAATAATAGCTGGAGACTTCAACATTCCACTTTGAGCATTGAACAGATAATCTAGCCAGAAAATCAGCGAAGAAACATCAGACTTAATCTGCACTATAAACCAAATGGACCTGTGATGGTTAATACTGAATGTCAACTTGATTGGATTGAAAGATACAGAGTATTAATTCTGGGCCTGTCTGTGTGGGTGTTGCCGAAAGAGATTAACCTTTGAGTCAGTGAGCTGAGGAAGGCAGACCTGCCTTAATCTGTTGGGCATCATCTAATCAGCTTCCACTGAATATAAAGCAGGCATAAAAACGTGAAAAGATAAGACTGGCCTAGCCTCTCAGCCTACATCTTTCTCCCGTGCCGGATGCTTCCTGCCCTTGAATATCGGACTCCAAGTTCTTCAGTTTTGGGACTTGGACTGGCCCTCCTTGCTCCTCAAGCTTGCAGACAACCTATTGTGGGACCTTGTGATTGTGTAAGTTAATATTTAATAGGCCGGGCGCAGTGGCTCACGCCTATAATCCCAGCACTTTGGGAGGCCGAGGCAGGCAGATTACTTGAGGTCGGGAGCTCAAGAGCAGCCTGGCCAACGTGGTGAAACCCTGTCTCTACTAAAAATACAAAAATTAGCTGGGTGTGGTGGTGCATGCCTGTAATCTCGGCTACTCGAGAGGCTGAGGCAGGAGAATGGCTTGAACTTGGAAGGTAGTGGTTGCAGTGAGCCAAGAATGTGCCACTGCACTGCAGCCTGGGCAATAGAGCAAGACTCAAAAAAAAAACAAACAAACAAAAAAAAACACTTAATAAACTCATATATACTCATATATATATATCCTATTAGTTCTGTTTCTCTAGAGAACCCTTACTAATACGGGATATAATAGATATTTATAGATCATTTCATCCAATACTTGCAGAATACACATTCTTCTCAGCAGGTAGATCACTCTAAAGGAAAGACCGTACGTTAAGCCACAAAATGGGTCTTTAAAAATTAAAAAAACTTGAAATAATGTCAAGTATCTTCCCTGACTACAATGGAATAAAACAAGAGGAATTTTGGAAACTCTACAAATACACAGAAATTAAACAATATGCTCCTGAATGACCAGTGGGTCGATGAAGAAATTAAGAAGAAAATTTAAAAATTTCTTGAAACAAATGAAAATGGAACTACAACATATGAAAACCTATGGAATACAGTGAAAGCAATACTAAGAGGTCAATGCATAGCCATAAGCACCTACATCCAAAAATTAGAAAACTTCCAGCCGATAACTTAGTAATGCATGTAAAAGAACTAGAAAAGCCCCTTTCTCACACCATATATAAAAACCATCTTAACATGGATTAAAGACTTAAATGGGCCAGCTGGGGTGGCTCTTGCCTGTAATCCCAACACTTTGGGAGGTCGAGGCAGATGGATAACTTGAGGCCAGGAGTTCAAGACAAGCCTGACCAACATGGCAAAACCCTGTCTCTACTAAAAATACAAAGATTAGCTGGGTGTGGTGGTGCATGCCTGTAGTCCCAGTGACTCAGGAGGCTGAGGCAGAAGAATCACTTGAACCCAGGAGGTGGAGGTTGCAGTGAGCCAAGATCGCTCCACTGCACTCCAGCCTGGGCAACAGAGCAAGACTCCTTCTAAATAAATAAATAAATAAATAAATAAATAAATAAATAAATAAATAAATGCATGCTGGTGGTACTTTTCTCAGTACCACTCTCTTAATTTTTTTTTTTTTTTTTTGAGACAGAGTCTCGCTGTCCCTCAGGCTGGAGTGCAGTGGCATGATCTCAGCTCACTGTCATCTCCGCTTCCCGGGTTCAAGCAATTCTTGTGCCTCAGCCTCCTGAGTAGCTGGGATTACAGGTGTGCACAACCATGCCTGGCTAATTTTTATTTTTAGTAGTGGCAGGGTTTCACCGTGCTGGCCAGGCTGATCACGAACTCCTGACCTCAAGTGATCCTCCCGCCTCGGCTTCCCAAAGTGCTGAGATTACAGAAGTGAGTCACCATGCCCAGCCCCAACTCTCTTAAAGTTTGTTTATTTCCCCAAAAACAGATTGGATATCACTGCTTACTCAGAAAAAAAGCCAAGTCTATCGGGGAATCTGCCCCGATATTCACAGAAGTTCTTTTCTATTTTTCCTAAGCGTCGGCCGGCTTGAGAAATAAAGGGACAGAGTACAAAAGAGAGAAATTTTAAAGCTGGGCGTCCAAGGGAGACACCACATGTCGGTACGTTCCGTGATGCCCCACAAGCCACAAAAACCAGCAAGTTTTTATTAGGGATTTTCAAAAGGGGAGGGAGTGTGCGAATAGGTGTGGGTGACAGACATCAAGTACTTAACAGGGTAATAGAATATCACAAGGCAAGTGGAGGCAGGGCGAGATCACAGGACCACAGGACTGAGGCGAAATTAAAATTGCTAATGAAGTTTCAGGCACCATTGTCATTGATAACATCTTATCAGGAAACAGGGTTCTGAGATCAACCGGTCTGACTAAATTTATTAGGCGGGAATTTCCTCTTCCTAATAAGCCCGGGAGCACTATGGGAGACTGGAGTCTATTTCATTTCTGCAGTTTCGACCACAAGAGACAGGCGCACCTGGGGGGGCTGTTTATAAGCCTATACCTCCAGGCGCATATTCTCTTTCTCAGGGATGTTCCATGCTGAGAAAAAGAATTCAGCGATATTTCTCCCATTTGCTTTTGAAAGAAGAGAAAATATGGCTCTGTTCCACCTGGCTCACCGGCGGTCAGAGTTTAAGGTTATCTCTCTTATTCCCTGAACAATTGCTGTTATCCTGTTCTTTTTTCAAGGTGCCCACATTTCATATTCGAACACACATGCTGTACAATTTGTGCAGTTAATGCAATTATTACAGGGTCCTGAGGCGACATACATCCTCCTCAGCTGACAGGATTAAGAGATTAAAGTAAAGACAGGCATAGGAAATCACAAGGGTATTGATTGGGGAAGTGATAAGTGTCCATGAAATCTTTACAATTTATGTTTAGAGACTGCAGTAAAGACAGGCATAAGAAATTATAAAAGTATTAATTTGGGGAACTAATAAATGTCCATAAAATCTTCACAATCCACGTTCTTCTGCCGTGGCTTCAGCCGGTCCCTCCGTTTGGGGTCCCTAACTTCCCACAACACACGTTAATAATTTTTTTGAGAAAGATCTTTCCCTATGGAAATTTACATGTAAAGCAACTATGAAATGATGCCCCTATGAACTTAGAATCTTTTGCCTAACTGACAAGGCATTGAAAAACGAAAAAAAAAAAGGAAGCATATCAAAGCAGGAATAATGCACTCTGGTAATGCTGCTTCTAAGTTAAATAACATAAAGACTGGGAACTGATGACTGGATTTGGTTCATGAGGCTTGTTGGTAACTTTGGTAAGTGGATTCAGTGTAGAGTGGAAGGGATTCCTGATTAGAGTGTGTTTGGAGTTAACAGGAGGAAAAAGGTAAAGGTAGAATGTATGGACTACTTTCTGAAGAGCAGAAAACATCAAATCCATTAGGGTTTTTTAAAGGTAAAATATATTACAGCACGTTTATGTTGATAGAAATTATTTTAGAGGAAGTATAACATTTATGATGTAAGAATAAAGCCCTTGAGAAGATAATAACAAGTAGATTTCTTTCTTTTCTTTTTTCTTTCTTTCTTTTTTTTTGAGACAGAGTCTCACTCTGTTGCCCGGGCTGGAGTGCAGTAGTGCGATCTCAGGTCACTGCAGCCTTGCCTCTGGGGTTCAAGCACTTCTCCTGCCTCAGCCTCCTGAGTGGCTGGGACTACTGGCACATACCACCATGCCTGGTTAATTTTTGTATTTTTAGTAGAGATGAGGTTTCACTATGTTGGCCAGGCTGGTCTCGAACTCCTGACCTCAAGTGATCCAGCCACCTCAGCCTCCCAAAGTTATAGGAATACAGGCGTGAGCCACTGCACCCGGACAAGAAGTAGATTTCAGAACACAAGTGAAAATTCTGATCTTAATTCGGAAAAGGGATATAGCTCATCATTTTAACAGAAAGTACAGCACAGAATATGAATTCTGATGTAGCTCAGCTACAGTTTGCTGGAGGGAAGATGAGGAAACTCTCTTCTAATTACTTCTATTTTTTTCAGGTGAATCTGTAAAACAAAGTCCTGCGCTACCGGTGAGAAGGTAAGCAAGGTTTTCAGATATGGGAAAAATATTAAATAGATGTCTAAAGAGAGGAGAATATATTAAATCATGAGACCTCAGTGAATTGCTTAGTAGCCCTGAGGTTACATCTGAGGTTTGTGTTGTATATCTAACGTGAGTTGTAAATATAAAGTGAGCCCATGTTTTTCTTCAGCCATGTTTGTCTACTCAGGTGTGAACACAGCATAATAATAAAGTTATCTTTTTGTAAACGAGATGAATGGAAAGAGAAAGGTACAAAGCATAAGTGTGTGATGCATGACAGCAGTCATGGTGTAGTCAGATGAGGAGACCAGTAAATAAGAAAGTAGGCTCCCCATCCCACCTCCCACTTCTACCCCGTTCTCACCTACTATAACCTATTCACAACAATGTTATTCCTTGTCTTCAAAAGAAAACTGAAAGAAGAATGACTTGCAAAAATTCAGTTTTCAAGTTTGAAGTTGCTATTAATACTAAAACGCAATAGCACTTTTTTCTTGGTTGATTACTCTGAGTAGCATAGTAACATGAACTACTGTGTACTGAACATCTCTTTTACTTCAAGAGCTCTTACACAAACTTTATCCTTCAAGTGACGATGGTAACAATTTTGTAAGTGAGCACTTAGTCTCTGATTTTAGTTACAAATAAATTGAAGATCCTGTAAAGTAAATAATTCACCCCCGGTTTCACAGTTAATAAAAGACCTTTATCAAAATTTTCCACATTGCTTTCCATCTCCCAAGCATAGAGATGAAAGCCCTTGGCAAGAGTGAGAATGTGGATCTTGAAAAGACCTTTACATTATGCGTTCCAAATTATTTCTTTAAAGAGAAGCACAGACCTTACCTTGAATTCACTCACAAACCTCTGAGATGTAAGATGGGTAAGGCCTCCAACATCATCAAATTAGAGAAGATTATCTGATTGGACCAGATGTTAGAAACAGAACAAGAAACATAAAAATAGTACAAGGTAGTAGCCAAGCACCTAATTTGTCCCTGAAGGAATTCTACAGGAAGCCTCTGCCTTGAGCAGTGTAGAAAAAGCCAGGGAGAGTCACTGAGACTCAAGATCTCAGACCTTTAGGGTCAGCTGAGCTGCACTCGTCTTCATCTAATTGGGCCTTGAACTATTGCTCTTTCCCTGGTACTCTGAAGATCAGTGGCCATGTTTTAGATCATTATTCCCCTGAAAGGCTGGAAGGTAAATAGGCATGTTTTTCAGGCACATATTTTTCAGAATGGTGCTTCCTTTGCACGAATTAGTGGAAAGGATTTGAAAGACCACTGAATCAGCGTGATGAATAAAACTACTGAGTAATGTAGTTATCATATTCTCTGCTCCAAGGTCAAGATGCAGTCAGTTGAGAGAAATTAAAAAAAAAAAAATTTACTCTCAGATGAGGGCCCTGGATTCCTGAGAGGAGAAGCAAGTTTCTAAACTCTAACGGGATGAAAAGGTATTAGTAAAACTAACTTAAAGGCCTCTGACATTGAGACCAATGTTGTCTCCACAAGGTAGGGAGAGTGGGGTGAGAATGAGAGCAAAGAATAAACTCTGTCTCCATCCAGAATGTCACTCCAGCAAATATGTAGGTCACTCACACAAATGCTTTCAGGGTCTTTGGTGGTTTTTTGCAAATCCCTAATTTTCCTGTGGAGGAGCCAGTCTGCATTATTACTCCAGCCAAGGTGACCCGCCCTTTGGCAGGTTCAACAGACTCTTAAGCGTGTAGTTAAAAGGGGCTCTTGTTTACAGTACAACCATCCAAGAAAGCTGGTTTTGCTTCACAAACAAATGAACCTTCTTTGCCTGGGGAGTGTTGATTATGTATTTATTCTTTATATGAGTAATAGATGGTCAATAGAAAGCTTTCTCTATTGGGTAAAGAGCAGTTTTGTACCCAACTTTTCTGATTGTTTTGAGGCTAATATTAGCTTCTCTCCGAGGTTGCCACCAGCAACCATCAGGGTAATAATTCTAGTTCTGACCTTCAGTTCATTTCTGAAATGTTGAGGCTATATTTGTAGTATGTGATGTAGAAGTGACTCACTGGATATTGACCATCATCTAGTAATGAATGATGAGTCTCTCTTACCTAGATTCTTGTATTCCTTTCTCCAGATTCACATCAATTCAATCATCCTCCATATCAGCAACAGCATTATTTTATTGAGATGTACATCTGTACCCCAAACTCCTTAATATGACGTTCTGGGCTTTTTATTAACTATCCCCAATTTCCAGGTCTATTTTCTGTCATTTACCTTTATAATCCATACCCAATTTATAATGTATACCCAATTTATAATCCAATTGATAATCCAATCACACAATACATTGTGCTGTTATTTAAAATGTCTACTTGTTTTATATCTCTATGCCTTTATTCATGCTCTCCCCCATTCCCAAACATCCTACTCTTTCTGAATGGCCAATCTAAAATGTTTTTCTTCTTTGCAGTTTTTCTTGACTTCCCTTTTCTAACAAAAAGAAATATCTTCTTTATACGTGTTTTCATAAAAGTTTATACTTACTCTTGTAATTGCTTGTGTGTGTGTGTGTGTGTCTTTAGATATCAGTTGCTCCTTGGAAGCTTGGACTAAATGTTATCCTTGACATCGTTAATACCCTACACAGGGTTAGATACATTGAATTAGTACCATTTATTAAATATTATAAAGAGTACCATGTGATTTTTTTTCTGTTCTGTTTGTATATTTACTTTTGGTTGGTTTAAGACCAGCAAAAATACAAACACCTACAAGCCCACCATACTGAAATTATAAATGATAATATTATAAGAAATGTACTTCATGTTTTAAAAAATAAAATATTATACATACTGTTGTGTGATATCATCCCAAACCCCAATTCCCTCTTCTGAGGAAATTGTTCTTATTGATTTGGTGCATATGCAATCTATATTTTTATTCATTTTCTAAATACGTATGTACCTATAAATGAATTATATTACTATCATTATTTTTTAGAGTAAAGGTCATGCTATGTTGCCCCAGCTGGAGTGCGGTGGCTATTCGCTGGCATGATCATAACACACCACAGCATTGAACTCCTGGTCTCAAGTAGTTCTCCCAAATAGCTGGAAATACAGATTTGACATGCAGCCATGACACCCAGCTACTAATCTATATATTTGTGTATGTGTATATATAAATTTTGCCATACTGAATGTATCCTTTTTCTACTTGCTTTTTCACTTATTATCTATACATGTCAATTCTTATAGTTATTTATTTAACGGACATATGTATTCTCTTATTTAAATAAAACTCAGTAAATTTAGTTATTCTGTAACTAATATAACTATTTCTAATTTTTTGGTTTCCAATCAACATTTCAATGAGCATACTTGTAAATGCCTTCTTATGTACACATGTAAACATTTATCTAGAAGTTATACCTAGAAGTGAAATTGCTGGGTCATTTTCTGATTTAGTAAATGAGGCCATAATCCTCTTCGAGGGGATTTTATAAACTGGCAGTATATGAAATAGTTGTGTCTCCACGATCTTGACACAGTAGTATTTGCATAATGTTTTTGGAAGGGTCGATCTATGGCTGCTCATCTTTGGTTCTAATTTTCCTCCTAGCCCATAAGTACTAAATCCATGGATTTGGTCCCATTAGATTCCTCCTTGAGAACAATGTTTCTCTAGGTATGTCTTTTTCATTTGACTTAACTTTTTTTTTTTTTTTTTTTTTTTGAGATGGAGTCTTGCTCTGTCACCCAGGCTGGAGCGTAGTGGCGCCACCTCTGCTTACGGCAACCTCTGCCTCCCGGGTTCAAGCGATTCGCCTATCTCAGCCTCCCAAGCAGTTGGGATTACAGGCACCTGCACCACACCTGGCTATTTTTGTATTTTTTTAGTAGAGATGGGGTTTCACCATGTTGCCCAGGCTGGTCTCACACTCCTGACCTCAGGTGATCTGCCCACCTCAGCCCCCCGAAGTGCTAGGATTACAGGTGTGAGCAACAGCATCCTTCCTGACTTAATTTTTATTTTCCTTTTTTGGCTCATTGTCATTGGGGAAAACACTGGGAGGTTGTCTGCAGGCCCTTTATGCTACTAATCCTGAATTCTCTGCTTGTTGTGGTTGGTCATTGCATATAATACTTACAGTTCTGCTTTTTTCAAGTAGCCTGAGACCAAAGCACGACCAACAGCTGTACCTGGACTGGATCCTTTTCTTCTCTGCTAATATGTGACTAGATTATTCCTTGTGTTCTCCCTAGGACCTCATTTTCAGTTCCTACCAGGCTTTCCCTTCCCAACCAAGAACACTGTAGTATACTAGTTTAAATTCCTGCCAGGCCCTTTTCTGCACTAACAGGCCTCCAGCCTTCTCCCACTTCTGCATTTCCCTGATATTTCCAACAGCCTTTTCCTGACCATAATTTGACACTGCCACACCAATTAGCTGATTCATAATCTTTTCACTGTCTGTTCTTTGGAGACTCTGGACCATGGCCCAGGAACAACAAGATCCCCTTTGCTGCCTCCACCCACTTCTAGTCATCAACAGCAGCCATGGCACCTGGTGTATTCAGCCTACACAAGCTCTAGACAGAGTACGCACGTACTGGCAATTTTAAGCCCTGTGATTTCCAAGGGTGTTGGCCTTTTAACACCTGTATTAAAAATGTGGGTGGAGAGCACATACTGTGATTCATCTCAGACCAGGCACTCCCTAGAGACAATGAATACCTGTGATAGACACGTTTTCAGTTTCCCGCTACTCCCACAGCCCCTAGAAGGAGTCATCTTATATATTACATGCCTTATCTGGCCCTTGCCACCACCATTACAGATGGATAACTGATCAAACACACACAAAACATCATTGCGTTATGTGGCCTGGCTTTAAACGTTGATCTAGGCCATTGGGTTGCTGCCTTGTCTGAGCTGGGCATGGTGGCTCACGCCTGTAATCCCAGCACTTTGGGAGGCCGAGGCAGGCAGATCATGAGGTCAGGAGTTTGAGATCAGCCTGGCCAACATGGTGAAACCCCGTCTCTACTAAAAATACAAAAATTAGCTGGGCATAGTGGTGCCTGTAATCCCAGCTACTGGGGAGGCTGAGGCAGAAGAATCGCTTGAACCTAGGAGGTGGAGGTTGCAGTGAGCCGAAATTGGGCAACTGCACTCCAGCCTGGCGACAGAGCAAGACTCCATCTCAAAAAAAAAAAAAAAAAAAAAAAATTACCAATGGCCAAGCACCTCCCCTAAAGATAAAAAATTCATGTCCTGAAATGGGGTAAATCACAATATGTGTCCTCCCTCTGCCACACAATTTTAATAAGAGATGGCATTGCGAATTGAGAAAAGAAACAATCTGAAACATATAGCTCACTGAGTAAATTAACAGAACTTTAGAAAACTCTAGCCCAGGAAGAAGTTCCAACTGACTTTATTGTCTGTTTTAAGAACTTCCTCCAGAAACCATTTATCTGAACAACAGACTACTCCTCTAGCTCTCCTTACCTGTTCATAGGACAATAGGTCACTTTAGTGTCACTTTAGTGACAACTTTAGGCTCATCAAAAGACTGTTTACTCTTTAAGACTCTGAGAAACCCTCACTTTCTTGTGTTGACCAGCCATAAACTTTTCTTTCACTAACTTGTCCAATCCAAAGTTGATTCCAGCAGAAAGACTCACCTTAAAGTAGACCTCCAAATCCTCAAATTCATGCCTGAAATCCATCACATCCTTGTAAGATGCTACTGAGATGGTCAAGACATTGTACTCCCGTATTACAGCAAGCAATAAACTCTGATTTGCTTTATCAAGAGATTGTTTTGGTGACCAACAAGTTATCTTAATGGAATTTTCAGGGAGTGGGAAATAGAACCACTAATCTGGGCCAAGCTGATTGTCTTTCTGATCTAAGAGACCCAGAGACTGTCGCCAGTAGGTGCTGGATCTAAGAAATCATGATGTATAGCAAGGGATCACAGTCATACTGGATTAAGTACAAGATGAACATGCAGAGGAAGCTGGAGAGCAAAGAGAGGGGAATGGACAAACTCATGCAAGGAGAAGAAGCAATGGAAAAAATGGTGTGGCCTCGGAGAGTTAAACTCTTCCATACCTGGCATTCCAGCTCTGTTCTCTGTGAGGCCTGAGTATGGTACCTTATTTCCCAACTCAGAAATCCAGGCAAGTGCTGGTGGTATCATAAGGCAGAGAAACTCTGTTGTGTTTGGGGAATTTATATACTTAATGTATTTAAGCTGCTTTACCAAGAAGCCTAGTTGCCAACTGATCATGTATCAAGAAGGAAATAAATCACTCTACCTTTTCTCCAGCTAGAAAAGTGCAGCAGTTGTGTTTGTACGAATTTGACCCCCATCCGTTGGATGAGGGCGTAAAGTGTATTTTATGTTGCTAAGTCATGGAGTTCCATGTGATTGGGCCATTAAATTCTTTATGATTAGTCATTAAGCCCATGAAGGACAAGAAACTGAACAAGAGTTTTGAAGAAGAAAGCCTAAGGAAGATGCATCAGGAAAGCAGAAAGGGAGTGAGGATACATTATGGACACCATTCTTTAAAGGCGACCATTGATGATCTGCATCATATAAACCCGCAGTGTCTGAGGACCTTGACAAGGGCCATTCAAGGGCCCAGAGCTGTGTTCAATAGAACCGACTTAGTACCTTGGCCAGCTGCTAATTCCTTAGGAAAAGCTGCTTTTGTATGAAGAGGAACATTGTTCTGCATATACTTCAGAATTAAATATCTAGCCAAACTGTGAATGAATTAAATACATTCTCTATGCTTCAAGTTTTCATAGACCAAAATAAGTATGGCTTTACCTGGTGAATTAAGAGCTAATTCCCTCTAAGCTGGACTAGACAATATTAATATGTCCCAAATTGAGAACAGAAGACAGTAGGCCCACCCCCATCCAACCATGAAGACTATTATCCTTTATTTAAAATAGTTTCTGGTCTTTGCAAGAAAAAAATAGGGCAGGTAGAAACTTCTAAGGCATTTAATAAAAGTTGACTTTGTTGAGCTTCAAAATAACCCTGGAAAGTAAAAGTACTCATCTCCAATTTACCAATAGCTAAACAGAGGTACCATTTTATAACTAAAGCCGAGGTTGAATAACTTGCCCAAAGTTCAATAGCACATTGAAAGAAGAATGAGTCAGATCCAGGTCTTCATTCCCCATAGTGCCATCTAAACTTTTCCAGGACAGCTTATCTTATAGAACTGAAGTAGGCAGGAAAATGATGACATATCCAAAGGTCCAGCATAATTTCCACATCTGTTGCTAAAACTATGCTATGCAGAGGAATCCAAGGAGAATTATGACAGCTAAGTTAATTTTATTTTTCATGGCTCAAAAAAAAAAAAATTCCCGGCCGAGCACAGTGGCTCACGCCTGTAATCCTGGTACTTTGGGAGGCCAAGGCAGGAGGATCAACTGAGGTTGGGAGTTCGTGACCAGCCTGACCAACATGGACAAACCCCGTCTCTACTAAAAATACAAAATTAGCCAGGTGTGGTGGTGCATGCCTGTAATTCCAGCTACTTGGGAGGCTGAGGCAGGAAAATTGTTTGAACCCAGGAGGTGGAGGTTGTGATGAGCCAGGATCGTGCCATTGCACTCCAACCTGGGCAACAAGAGTGAAACTCTGTCTCAAAAAAAAAAAAAAAAGAAAAAAAAAATTCCCAATGCTTCAGATTTTATGTAACTAAACAAATGGAAGATTTTGACTTAAAAGGAGAAAACAAAGAAGGAAAAAACTTCACTATTATTTTCTCTTGATGATTACTAATGACTTTCATCTGCTACCTTCTGTAACTATTGAAAGTTTCCATTTGAAAAATAACTTAATAGTTTTTAAATGCCAAAGAAATCAATTTTCTTTCTGTATGGGTGCCTTTTAGTCCCAATCAATATCATATTATTTTTAAAGAATGTATTTACTACTAAAACATATAAATGAAAAGAAAAAATAATGTAATATTATATTTAACTTTATATAAATAAGAATTATTTCTAATTTTATTACATTTTTCAGTATTAATACTCGACAGTTTCATCATCTAGCTAATTTAATCAGTTATAAATATCTATTTTTTCTCTTTGAGGCCTAAAGAATGATGAACAGCTAGAATCATCTACAAGCAATAGGAAGCCATTGGCCATCATTTTTTAGAACAACATTCCGTCAGTAAATTACTCAAATGGAATAATTATAAAGATATTTGCTTTTTTTTCTTAACACAGCCCAGTACCACTAAACATCTAGCAGGATCCAATGCTTTCTTAGTTTGTTTTTGTTACAAATACTTATGGCTTTAATAGGAAAATATTGGCACAGCTATGTGTAAACTGTGCATATTTCTGTGCTTTTTGAAAGCTTTCAGAGATTTGTTTGCTTTGCAAGCTTTACTCATTCATTCATCTACCTCAGCAAAGTTGACCATCTATGGACACTCTTATTTTTTTTATTTTTTTGGAGACAGAGTCTTGCTCTGTCACCCAGGCTGGAGTGCAGTGGCATGATCTCAGCTCACTGCAACCTCCGCCTCCCGGGTTTAAGTGATTCTTCTGGCTCATCCTTATGGACACTCTTAAGCAAATTGATTTATCTGTTCTCGAGTGTCTAGCCATCTAATCAGACCTGTCCATTTGCTCACTCCTCAAACGTGATAAATGCTTGAGAAACAAAAATAAATAGATCACAGTTCCTGGCTTGAGAGGTTAAAGGGGGAAGACAGACAAATACACTCCAATGATTTGTAGGAATTTGATACATAAATTTTAAAAACAAAAAAGAACTCATCTAATATTCTTTGAGAACACTGAGGAGAGTATGCTTAACACTGAAAGGAAAAATTAAGAAAAGCTAATTAGGAAAATGTGAGTTGAGTTGATTTTTGAAAGATAACTCAATACAACTAATACTTACTGAGTTCTATGACAAGCCAGATATGTGTTCAGCCTCTACTGTTTTAATTCCTTTAATACTCGCAATAACCATCTGAATTAAGCACCATTAGTATCCTACAACCTCACTTAATCCTCATTTTAAGCGTGGGGAAATTGTAGAGTCATTAAAACATTGTGACTGTGACACTTGGTCAGGTAACACAGGAAATTAGAATGACATGTTTCCTATCTCATTTTTGACTGAGGGGCTGATAAAATAACATCAGTTACTCAAGCATAAATCAAACCCCTTCCCATCAATGCAGTTTTATACATAAAATGACGCCTAGTCTATAAGAGGGTATGGTCAGGGGATCTGCAGAGACTTCTTTTTGGGAATAGGTTGTTATGCTGTAAATCTCCGCCCTACCCATTTATGGTGGAAGGCTGTCAACCTCTCCCTTTAAATATAGCGAGAGAGGTTTCAAGGAAATAACTGAAAGACCTCAGAAATTTGCTTCCAGTAATCGGGAGATATAAAGCACTTTGCTTGCCTCGGTTTTGAGAAAGCTTTATCAAGTTGTAACTAGAAAATCTGAAGGGTAAAGCAGGCCTGGCTGTGGTGATAGAGCCTGGAGAAGGCTTCTGCATTGGAATCTGTCACCTCATACTAAGTAAGGTAGCTGAGGCTTTCCAAAGTCAGATAAAGGTCACATGAGAGAAAGCTCACAAAGGGCCTTCTTGCTCCTGTCTGATGGTGTTGCCTGGAGGGGCAAGGAGACCTCAGTGAAAAACCACTGGATATGTAACTGCTGATGGCCAGGTGCTGATAAAGGAATTACAAACAGCCATCAAAAAGCAGGCTTCAAGGTGATTTAAGAGAGAGACCCACGAAAGAATCTCCACAGAAGTCACAAAACCTTCGCTAAGAGAAAGATCTGGCTCTTATCTGCCAGGCCACTTAGGGGTAGCACCTTTACTTGTCTGTCAGTTCCATAGATAAGAAAACCACCCACCAAGTATGAAATGTCCTATCCTTTTGTCTTTCCTCCTTTTCCTAATAAGATTCCTACAGAGAATAAAACCTGAAAACAACTAGTGAGTGGGTGAAAAAGCAAGCAGAGAGGGAGCAAACAGAGGAAGGACCTTGCCCCTTTCAGTTCACCCCTTGACTCATTCAAGGCCTCCAGTCTGAAGTGGACCCAGACTCCACCAGGGAAACAATTAGCTGATACATCAGGCCCAGGATTTTGTCTGGTATCTTGGACAGGACATTATAGTTTCCAAATTCAGACTGTGTTTACACTTAAAGTCACCAGAAGACCACAACCCAAGAATTGAAGCCACAGGCTTGCGGGGGTGTCATCCAACACCCCTAGGGACTTGCTCCACTGATGAAAATTTGGAGGACAGTGGGAGATTTCATGCCCTTCCGTGTGAAGAGACCACCAAACAGGCTTTGTGTGAGCAATAAAGCTTTTAATCACCTGGGTGCAGGCGGGCTGAGTCCGAAAAGAGAGTCAGCAAAGGGAGATAGGGGTGGGGCTGTTTTATGGGATTTGGGTAGATAAAGGAAAATTACAGTCAAAGGGGATTGTTCTCTGGTGGGCAGGAGTGGGGGTCACAAGGTATTCAGTGGGGGAGCTTTTGAGCCAGGATGGGCCAGGAGAAGGAATTTCACAAGACAATGTCATCAGTTAAGGGAGGAACAGGCCATTTTCACTTCTTTTGTGGTGGAATGTCATCAGTTAAGGCAGGAACCGGCCATCTGGATGTGTACGTGCAGGTCACAGGGGATATGATGGCTTAGCTTGGGCTCACAGGCCTGATATTCCTGTCTTATATTAAAAAGAAAAATAAAATGAAATAGTGGTAAAGTGTTGGGGCGGCGAAAATTTTGGGGGGTGGTATGGAGAGATAATTGGTGATGTTTCTCAGGGCTGCTTCGAGCGGGATTAGGGGCGGCGTGGGAACCTAGAGTGGGAGAGATTAAGCTGAAGGAAGATTTTGTGGTAAGGGGTGATATTGTGGGGTTGTTAGAAGAAACATTTGTCATTTAGAATTATTGGTGATGGCCTGGATACGGTTTTGTATGAACTGAAAAACTAAATGGAATAACAGAAGGAGAAAAACAGGTATTAAAGGTCTAAGAATTGGGAGGACCTAGGACATCTAATTAGAGTGCCTAAGGAGATTCAGCGTAGTCCTGCCAGCAAAGATTATTTATTTACTTCAAGAGTTAAGAGTGGTAGTTTGGGGATAGCACCAGGAGATATCAGCTGTGATGGCTTGGAAAAACAGGGTAAACCGGCAGTGTAAACAAGAGCAGGGCATGTATGAGTAGTTGAGAACGGTGAATAGGAGTATGACTAGACAGAAGACAGTAGGGATGACAAGTTTTTGGGGGGCACAGTCTAAGTTGGTCTGGTGTCTGGAATGAGACTGGGGCGTAATAAAAAGGAGCGTCTATACAGGAGCTCAAATGGGCTGTACCTTGTAGCATTCTGACGACAGGTCTGACTTCTGAGAAGGGAAAGTGGTAAAAGTATTGTCCAGTCCTTTTCAAGTTGGTGGCTGAGCATGGTGAGGTGTGTTTTTAAAAGACCTTTAGTCCATTCTACTTTTCTTGAAGACGGAGGACCGTAAGGGATATAAAGGTTTCACTGAATACTAAGAGCCTGAAAAACTGCTTGGCTGATTTGACTAATAAAGGCTCATCTGTTATCAGACTGTATTGAGGTGGGAAGGCTAAACTGGGGAATTATGTCTGACAGAAGGGAAGAAATGACTGCGGTGGCCTTCTCAGACCCTGTAGGAAAGGACTCTACCTATCCAGTGAAAGTGTCTACCTAGACTAAGAGGTATTTTAGTTATCTGACTCGGGGCATGTTGAGTAAAGCTAATTTGCCAGTCCTGGGTGGGGCAAATCCTCGAGCTTGATGTGTAGGGAAGGGAGGGGGCCTGAATAATCCCTGATGAGTAGTAGAATAGCAGATGGAACACTGAGAAGTTATTTCCTTGAGGATAGATTTCCACGATGGAAAGGAAATGAGAGGTTCTAGGAGGCGGGCTAGTGGCTTGTACTATAGCATAACCTGCCTTTGCTGGTGTGTGGCGATTAGGCCTGGTGGAACCGCCATCAATAAATCAAGCATGATCAGGGTGAGGAACAGGAAAGAAGGAAATTTGGGGAAATGGGGTGAATGTCAGGTGGATCAGAGAGATACAGTCATGGGGGTCAGGTGTGGTATCAGGAATAATGTGGGAGGCCGGATTGAAGTCTAGGCCAGGAACAGTGGTAATTGTGGGACTTAGCAAAGAGTGAGTACAGCTGAAGGAGCCGGGGAGCAGAAAGTATATGCTTCAGGTATGAGGAAGAAAATAGATTTTGGAAGTTATGAGAAATGTGGGGAGTGAGTTGAGCATAGTTTGTGATTTTTAGGGCCTCTAAAAGTATTAAAGCAGCGACAGCCACTGCACGCAGACATGAGGGCTAGGCTAAAACAGTAAGGTCAAGTTGTTTGCACAGAAAGGCTACAGGGTGCAGTCCTGGCTCTTGTGTAAGAATTCTGACCGCACTAACTATGCCTAGGAAGGAAAGGAGTTGTTGTTTTGTAAGGGATTGAGGTTTGGGAGATTAATTGGACACGATCAGCAGCGAAAGCACGTGTGCTTTTATGAGAATTATGCCGAGATAGGTAACAGATGAGGATGAAATTTGGGCTTGACTGAAGTAATGGGGGCTGTCTGTGAAGCCTTGCGGCAGTACAGCCCAGGTGACTTGCTGAACCTGATGGGTGTCAGTGTCAGTCTAAGTGAAAGCAAAGAGAGGCTGGGACGAGGGGTGCAGGGGAATAGTGAAAAAAGCATCTTTAAGATGGAGAACGGAATAGTGAGTTGTGGAGGAAGGTATTGAGGACAAAAGAGTGTACGGGTTGGGCACCACAGGATGGATAGGCAAAACAATTTAGTTGATAAGGCACAGATCCTGAACTAATCTGTAAGACTTGTCCGGTTTTTGGACAGGTAAAATGGGGGAATTGTAAGGAGAGTTTACAGGCTTTAAAAGGCCATGCTGTAGCAGGCGAGCGATAACAGGCTTTAATCCTTTCAAAGCATGCTGCGGGATGGGATATTGGCATTGAGTGGGGTAAGGGTGATTAGGTTTTAATGAGATGGTAAGGGGTGCATGATCGGTCGCCAAGGAGGGAGTAGATGTATCTTATACTTGTGGGTTAAGGTCGGGGAATACAAGAGGATGCAAAGGAGGCTTTGGATTGGGAAGAAGGGAGGCAATGAAATATAGCTGTAATCCAGGAATAGTCAGGGAAGCAGATAATTTAGTTAAAGTGTCTCGGCCTAATAAGGGAACTGGGCAGGTGGGGATAACTAAAAGGAGTGCCTAAAAGAGTATTGTCTAAGTTGGCACCAGAGTTGGGGAGTTTTAAGAGGTTTAGAAGCCTGGCTGTCAATACCCACAACAGTTATGGAGGCAAGGGAAACAGGCCCTTGAAAAGAAGGTAATGTGGAGTGGGTAGCCTCAGTATTGATTAAGAAGGGGACGGACTTACCCTCCACTGTGAGAGTTACCCGAAGCTCAGCGTCCGTGATGGTCTAGGGGGCTTCCGAGGCGATCGGGCAGCGTTAGTCTTCAGCCACTAAGCCAAGAAGATCTGGGAAGCAGTCAGAGAGCCTTGGGCCAGAGTTCCAGGGGCTCTGGGAGTGGCTGCCAGGTGAGTTGGACAGTCCAATTTCCAGTGGGGTCCCGCACAGATGGGACGTGGCTTAGGAGGAATCCTGGGCTGCAGGCATTCCTTGGCCTGGTGGCCAGATTTCTGGCACTTGTAGCAAGCTCCTGGGGGAGGAGGTTCTGGAGGAATGCCTGGCCGCTGAGGTTCAGGCGTTTGGAAGTTCTTGTGTGCTGGAGACGTGGCTGAGGTTTGTCTCACAGTGAAGGCAAGGAATTGCAACTTTTTTCTATTATTGTACACCTTGAAGGTGAGGTTAATTAAATTCTGTTGTGGGGTTTGAGGGCCGGAATTTAATTTTTGGAGTTTTATTTAATGTTGGGAGCAGATTGGGTAATAAAATGTATTTTGAGAATAAGACGGCCTTTTGACCTTTTAGGGTCTAGGGCTGTAAAGTGTCTCAGGGTTGCTGCCAAAGGAGCCATGAACTGGGCTGGATTTTTATATTTGATGAAAAAGAGCCTAAATGCTATCTGATTTGGGATAAAGAAAAAGAAGCATTAACCTTGACTATGCCTTTAGCTCCAGCCACCGATGGGCAGGTGGGGGAGGGCTAGTCACAGAAAGAAACTGTAAGCCGGACCAGGTGTGAGGAGGGGAGGTGATAAAAGGATTATAGGGTGGAGGAGCGGAGGCTGAGGAAGAATTGGGACCTAGCTCGGCCTGGCGAGGAGCAGCCTGGGGAGGAGGGGAGAGGTCAGATGGGTCTGTAGAAAAGGAAGATTAGAAAGACTCAGCGACGCTTGGGGTTGGGACTGAGGGGACAGGTGGGAGGGAAAGAAGGAAGATTTGGGAACAGTTGCTTTGGGAACAGAGACTAGAGAGGGACCGACGTGTAAAAGAATGCCTGGACGTCAGGCACCTCAGACCATTTGCCCACTTTACAACAAGATTTATTTAGATCTTGTAGGATGGAAAAATTGAAAGTGCCGTTTTCCGGCTGTTTGGAACTACTGTCGAGTTTGTATTGGGGTCAAGCGGTATTGCAGAAGAAAATAAGATGCTTAGATTTTAGGTCAGGTGTGAGTTGAAGAGGTTTTAAGTTTTTGAGGACACAGGCTAAGGGAGAAGAAGGAGGAATGGAGAGTGGAAGGTTGCCCATAGTGAAGGAAGCAAGCCTAGAGAAAAGAGAGAGTAGAGACACAGAGGGAAGGGGTTCGGGGGTTCTTACCTTCCAGAAAAGCAGGAAAGGGGTTGGGGCGTGGAAATAAGGGATTGGGGCACAGAGATAAGAGGTTGGGGCATGGAAATAAGGGATTGGGGTGCAGAGATATGAAGTTGGGGTACTTGCCCCTCTAGAAAAGCGGGACTTGCTGCTAAGAGTGAAGAAGAAGGGGTTACGGGTTTCTTGCCCCCCAGAAAGGTGGAGAAGGGGTAGAGACACAGAGAGAAGGGGTTGGGGTACTTGCCTCTCCCCTAGAAAAGCAGGACTTGCCGCTAAGGGTGAAGGACTAAGGCAGGCGTCCCTGCGTGGTCTGACACCTCTAAAACCTGGGTGAATAATCAGAGAGGCGTCCCTGCAATGATTAAACACCAAGGGAAGGCTGCCTTCCCAGTCCGTGACCGGCGCCGGAGTTTTGGGTCCACGGATAAAACGTGTCTCCTTTGTCTCTACCAGAAAATGAAGGGAATTGAAATTAAAAGAAGGGAGAGATTGAAGTGTGGCACCAAGATTGAAAGGAGAAAGAGGTTGAGGGATAGTGAGGGAGGTTGGAGAAGAGAGTAAGAAGAGGCCGCTTACCAGATTTGAAATTGGTGAGATGTTTCTTGGGCTGGTCGGTCTGAGGACCATAGGTGGATCTTTCTCAAGGAGCAAAGAACAGGAGGACCTCCCAAGGGAGGTCACGATCTGAGTCACGGCACCAAATTTCATGCATGTCTGTGTGAAGAGACCACCAAACAGGCTTTGTGTAAGCAATAAAGCTTTTAATCACCGGGGTGCAGGCAGGCTGAGTCCGAAAAGAGAGTCAGCAAAGGGAGATGGGGTGGGGCCGTTTTATAGGATTTGGGTAGATAAAGGAAAATTACCCTCAAAGGGGGTTGTTTTCTGGTGGGCAGGAGTGGGGATCACAAGGTACTCAGTGGGGGAGCTTTTGAGCCAGGATGAGCCAGGAGAAGGAATTTCACAAGACAATGTCATCAGTTAAGGCAGGAACAGACCATTTTCACTTCTTTTGTGGTGGAATGTCATCAGTTAAGGCAGGAACCGGCCATCTGGATGTGTACGTGCAGGTCACAGGGGATATGATGGCTTAGCTTGGGCTCAGAGGCCTGACAGGAGACATATATGCAGTTATATTTCATTTATGTCAGAAGTTTCACATGCAAATTATGCTAGTAAACACTAAAGCCATCATTTCTAACTCATCCCTCAAAAATATACAAATCTCCAAATGTTCTCCAGTATAACAAAAATTGATAATCAATGATGTATTTCCATGTTTCTGTAAACCTGACTTTTCTATCTTAAAAAAAAAAAAAAAAAAAAGAAAAAGAAAATGTCAGGTCTCTGGGCCCAAGCCTGCACGTATACATCCACATGGCCTGAAGTAACTGAAGAATGACAAAAGAAGTGAAAATGGCCTGTTCCTGCCTTAACTGATGACGTTACCTTATGAAATTCCTTCTCCTGGCTCAAAAGCTCCCCCACTGAGCACCCTGTGACCCCCACCCCTGTCAGCCAGAGAACAACCCCCTTTGACTGTAATTTTCCACTACTTACTCAAATCCTATAAAACGGCCCCACTCCTATGTCCCTTCACTGACTCTCTTTGCGGACTCAGCCCACCTGCCCCCAGGTGAAATAAACAGCCTTGTTGCTCACACAAACCCTGTTTGGTGGTCTCTTCACACGGACGCGAGTGAAAGAAAGAATATCAGACACCTAACTAAGTTTACAACAATTCTAGTTAAGTGTCTTTTACAAATCCTGGTGACTCACTTAATATTCTATCTGTAAAGTGGGTGTGGGAGGGTTATTTCAAAGAACAAATGACAAGAAAATTTTGTAGTTTACACAATAAATGACTAATGTGTGTGTGTGTGTGTGTTTCTTCCCAACATGGATAAAAGAGTATAATATTCAAAAATAAAGGGAAAAACAATATATACAATAAAAGTTACATAGAATTTAAAATACCCCTCACACACACACAATACAAAAGAATATATTGTTCATAGAGATATACGTGTGTATACATATATACATATATGTGAGATATATGTGTGAATGTGAAAGGTGGAAGTAAGTCGCAGAAGACTTCAATTTTTTTTTTTTTTGAGACAGAGTCTCACTCTGTCACCCAGGCTGGAGTGCAATGGTGTGGTCTCAGCTCCCTGCAACCTCCGCCTCCCAGGTTCAAGCGATTCTCCCACCTCAGCCTCCCGAGTAGCTGGGACTACAGGCATGTGCCACCACACCCGGCTAATTTTTGTATTTTTAGTAGAGACAGGGTTCCACTATGTTGGCCAGGCTGGTCTCGAACTCCTGACTTCGTGATCCGCACTCCTTGGCCTCCCAAAGTGCTGGGATTACAGGAATGAGCCACCACACCCAGCCCAGAAGACTTCAATTTTAAGTAGAAGGTGTTCCTTTACAAAAAAAAAAATGGCAGAATGTTAATAGATACTAATACTGGGTGTGAGAACTCAGAAATGTATTATTCTTTGTATGTGTTTGTGTTTTTTAAACTACATTTTTATATACCCAGAAACCCATATACATACATAAAGAATTAGAAAATAGACGTTCTAGTGGTATACAAACTGCAAAAAATGTTACATAAACATTATGTAATAATATTCTAACATATTATAACTTTTAATCTTGAGGTTTAAACTATGTTCAAGCTCTTTATATATTCCCTTATGATAAATAACAAAGAATAACAAACACCCTGAGTCAACAATTGGTAAATGAAAAGTATTTTCTCACAAATCAAAACCACAATGAGATACCGTCTCACAGTCAGAATGACTACTATTAAACAGTCAATAACAACAGATGCTGGGCTGGGTGCGGCAGCTCACACCTGTAATCCCAGCACTTTGGGAGGCCGAGACGGGCAGATCACGAGGTCAGGAGATGGAGACCATCCTGGCTCACACGGTGAAACCCTGTCTCTACTAAAAATACAAAAAAAAAATTAAACAGGCTTGGTGGCGGGCACCTGTAGTCCCAGCTATTCAGGAGGCTGAGGCAGGAGAATGGCATGAACCCGGGAGGCGGAGCTTGCAGTGAGCCAAGATTGTGCCACTGCACTCCAGCCTGGATGACAGAGCGAGACTCCGTCTCAAAAAAAAAAAAAAAAAAAAAAAAAAAAACAGATGCTGGCGAGGCTGTGGGGAAATGGGAATGCTTATATACTCTTGATGCGAATATAAATTAGCTCAGCCACTGTGGAAAGCAGTTTGAAGATTTCTGAAAGAACTCAGAATTAACATTTAATCCAGCAATCCCATTGCTAGGTATATACCCAAAAGAAAACAAATTATTTTACCAAAAAGACACATGAACTTGTGTGTTCGTTGCAGCACTATTCACAATAGCAAAGACATGGAATCAACCTAGGTGCCCATCAACAGGGAATTGAATAAAGAAAATGTAGTACATATATACTATGGAATACTATGCAGCCATAAAAAAGAACAAAATTATGTTCTTTGCATCAACATGGATGCAGCCGGAGGCCATTATCCTAAGTGAATTAACGAAGGAATGAAAAACCAAATACTGTATGTTATCATTTATAAGTGGGAGCTGCACATTGAGTATTTGTGGACATAAAGATGGCAACAAGAGTGGACAACTAGAAGGAGAAGGGAGTAAGGGAGCAAGCGTTGAAAAATGAACTATTAGGTACTATGGGTGATGGGATCAATCCTACCCCAAACCTCAGCATCATGCAATATACTCAGGTAACAAACCTGCATGTGCACCCCCTGAATCTAAAGTAAAAGTTGAAATTATAAAGAAAAGACAAATATTTTAATTACAAAGGGTAACATATGGCCTTTAATTTCATCAAGTCTGAGAGTCTGAACCATGCAAATATTAGTCCAAATTTCTGAGCTTGGGCTCTATTTTTTAGAGCTCACTCTGAGCTCAAATAAGTGAAAACATTTCAAAATTTAAATATAAATAGGATTTTTTTTTCTTTTTGGAGTAGTATGTAATTTGTGGAAGATTTATGGAACACAAGTTAAGTTTTTAAAAAATCAAAACAACTCATAATTCTACTTCCCAAAGATAATCTTTTTCTTCAAATACTTTTTTCTATAAATATGTAGTTGGGATTATTGTTTCATGTATGCATAGGTGTTTTGCTATTACCTCAATTCTGGCTCATGTCATCAAATTTTTTTGAAAGTGTGTTTTTACTATGATGTTGTAGCATTCATTGATACCATTGTTGTCTTACACTCTCTTATGATGAATGGATTATTTTCAGTTTTTTACTATTATGTATAACACTCAGCAACATCATTATTTATAAGTATTTCTATATGCTACTATTTTTTCTTAGATTAAGGTCCTGAGGATATCCAACTTTTGGGTTTTAGAGAGGTAACGTGTTGCCTTTAACCTCTATTAAGTAACATCCTATTTGGAGTCTAGGGAAATGCTTTCCTTAGCAAAATGTATTGATAGTCTCATAAAGTAGAAGCAATACAAACTGTGAGCAGCATCATATGAATTCGAGTCAGTGTTTAGTGGCAAATGAGCTATGAAAAAATCTTTGAACTTTGGAAGTGTGGATGAGGGATTGTGAATCCATACCAATTTATACTCCTTCCCAGACCAGATGAGAATGATGATTCATAGAATTTTCAGCCAGTATTATTTTTAGATTTTACCAATTTAATAAGCTAAAATAGGAATATTTAAACATTTTAACGTTTAACATTCACTTATATTTTTTCATTCAGAAACCCTATTATGCCTTTTTTCTATCACAGTTGAAGCATTTATCTTACTAATTTGTCAGAATTCTTTATATAAATGATAATAATACTGTATAATATGTGTTTTAATACTTTCAAAGTTCATTATTTATATTTAATTTTAATATTTGAAATTTATCTATGTAGCTAAGTATTTAAGTCTCTTATTTTGTAATTTATTCATTTGCTTTTATGTTCGGAAGTTATTTCACCACTTACAGATCAAGTAGTGACTTTCATTTTTACCTATCCCTTTATAACTACAGATTTTATATTTAACTTTGATTCTATTGAGATTTTATTTGGTATATGTTTAATAAAAGGGAGCAATTTATACTTCAGCTTTCCCTATTACAAGTGGAGCTATTTCAGAGGATCTTTGGAATTCAATTTTGGGCTATATTGGTATGTGTGTGAACCACAGCCTTCATCTGCTTTGATTTATTATCAGTTTGATAGAAAAATAATGTTAAATTAAAAATGTGAAAACAGAGATGTACAATATTTACATATGTAAAATCCTTACAATTCATCATTTACATATTTGTGTATCTTATGAACTCAAATTATACTTTATGTTTTATGTTGATTTGATTCAGCTAAGTATGGGTAATAATAAAAATTCCAATTCTGCTCGAAATGTCAAAAATCATTGCTAATCCTCTCCTTCCAACCTCCACCCTCAAGTTGTTCTTATTTTTGTATTTGTTACTATTAATGTTATTTGACTGAGGTTAGTTTCTGTTGTTGCTGTTTTCAGAATCAAGTGCTACTTGCGCTAATATCCCTGAATCACGTATATAAGTGCAAGCAGCATATTTGGAAGGTGATCCCAGGAAAAACTGTAAGGAAAGTGGTGAAATGAGAGAGACAATGGAAGGAAGCTGGTGAACGTTGTATTATGGAACATGTTAATACTGTAGGCAATTGAGGCTCAGTTATACCGGAGAAATCTCACAGAATATAGAACACATCTCATTTATCACAACCAAGGTCTAACTTTGCTCTTCTCTCCATTACCTACACCACATCCTAATTTGGGTTTATAGTACTATTTTCCAAGACAATTGCAGTAACCTTCTTACTGAAAGCTCCTGGTCAAGGGGTCCAGAGTACCTACTTAATATAATTGATGTATAGGTCCCAGTTTAATCTTGTAAATTTGCTACCACCTTGTGCAAAAGAACTTTAACAGATTACCATTCTCTATAAATAAATAGAGCCTAAACCTCGGGAATCATTGGCTTCAAAAAATTGCTTTCATCCCTCCTTTCAGGCTATGTCTTACTGCTTCTCATGACATACGTTGTGGGAAAACTGGGCTCCTTTCTGTTTCTCAACTGTGTCCTATATTTCTACACGTGCATCACGTCATACTTTTTCTTTCTCTGGAATGCTGTTGTTTCTCTCCTAACTTCATTCTATTGAAATCTCACCTGTCCTACATAGTTCAGCTCAAACATTACCTCTTCCACGAATTTTCTGACCACTAAGCTAGAATTAGTATAATATGTTCTTTTGAAGTCTCTTATAACACAAGCCACCTTTCTCTTTGAATTGTATTTGTTTCTATGTCCCCTAGATTGTCTTCTTTGAGGAAAGGGTGTGTTATCTGATGAATTCTCCACTGAATTAAGTAAGTCACTTGCACATAACAGACACATAAGAGATATATAGTAAATTAATTCAATTATTAAGAATCTTACTAATAAAGTGTTATTTTCAAATATGTGAGGAGATGTCAAATAAATGGACTTGAGTTTTTTCTATTGTTCTCCCAGGGGATAATGAAAACAAATTGACAGAAGTTGCATCGGGCATGGAGGTTAAAAAGGAAGCTTTTCCTGCATTTTTTAGGCTGTATATCAGCTGAGTATTTGTTACTTTTCTCTTTACTTCTTTATTTTCTTTACTTATTTTATTCTTTACTTATTTATTCATCTTTTTTTAATTAATTAGTCAATTGACAATATTGACTTATGTTAAGAACGATTCTAGTTGCTAGTTACACAGCGGTGAACAAAATATGTGATTTTTACATTCATGGAGCTTATAAAGTATTCAAGGAGAAAGATAAACACACACACACACACACACACACACACACACACACACACACATGTAGTGGTCAGTGCCATGAAGGCAAATGACAGTATAATGCATAATAGACTATGAGAGGGATTGAGAATAAAGAGAGCCAGAAAAATCTCTTTGAGAAAGTAACAATTACCTTGATACCTGAAGGATAGGGGAAATTTCCAAAAAATGAGAATATAGAAAGGATCTGAGATGGGAAAGATTTGGGCAAGTTTAAAAAAAGGCGAGTTGCCTGGCCGGGCATGGTGGCTCACACCTGTAATTCCAGCACTTTGGGAGGCCCAGACAGGCGTATCACGAGGTCAGGAGTTCGAGACCATCCTGGCTAAAACGATGAAACCCCGTCTCTACTAAAAATACAAAAAAATTAGCCAGGCGTGGTGACGGGTGCCTGTAGTCCCAGCTACTTGGGAGGCTGAGGGAGGAAAACCACTTGAACCCAGGAGGCGGAGTTTGCAGTGACCCGAGATCATGTCACTGCACTCCAGCCTGGGTGACAGAGTGAGACTCCATCTCAAAAAAAAAAAAAAGAGAGTTGTCCAATAGAAATAGAGTAGTAAGTAGGATGAGTTTAACATTGGGTAGATCACACATGATCTTGTAGAAAAATTGAAGATTTCATATTTTAGCTCAAGTGCAGTGAAAAATCATTGAAGAATATTAAGCTGGACAATGACATAATCATATTCATATGTAAATTTTTTTAATTTCGATTGATCATAGCAAATGGTTTCCTCATAAACCAATAATAGTAGTTAATTCAAATATTATTTTTAAAAATTAACCTCTTAAAGGCAAAATAACATATATTCATATCTATTAAAATATAATTATTTAAATTGTTTATTAAATATTATGAAGAAACAATAGAATTATTTTTGATACATTTTCCTAAATTTTAATGTCTTCTTATTTTACTTCTACTATTATATTACTAAGTTTGTGTCCTAGAATATATTTTGTTCTTCAAAGTGGTTTCTTTTATTTTTAATGTTTAATAGATTTATTGAGGTGTAATTTACATACCATAAAGTTCACCCATTTTAAGTGTACAATTAAATATTTTAAAATAAATTTACAGGGTTGTGCAAATATCATCACAAGGGCTTTACATTTTTAACTTTATAAAATTACTGGTAATGTTCTTCCAATCTTTTTTTAATTAATTAATTTGAAATTATTGATGACTTCAATTGACTCTTCTCTATAAACTATATTTTTAAGTAAGAAAGTGATCAGTTAACTGATGCTGAGGTTTTTGATAAGTTCATGACAAATTCTACCAAAGAGAAGATATTTTTAATTCTAACTGCCTTTAATATAAAAGTATGTACATAATACTATCTAATTATTTTCACATAGTGTCTTTTTGTTTTATTCACATTATATTTTGGCAATATCTAACAACTATTATTTAAGACAACATTTTTCAAATAAGTTAACGATTTTGAATGTTTTGCCATATTAATCCTGTAAAACTGTAGGCTTTCTGAATCTTTTCTGTTCTAGTATACTACATTTTTATATTTCATTTTATTTTTAGGTTAGATTCACAACAAAATTGAGAGGAGGATATGAAGATTTCCCAAATACTCCCTGCCCTCACACATGCATAGCCTCCCCATGATCAACATCTCCTACGGAAGTGCCACATTTGTTACAATTGATGGACCTACATTGACACATTGTTATCATCCAAAGTCCATAGTTTACATTTAAGTTCGCTATTGATGCTGTATAGACTATGTTCAGACAAATGTATAATGACACCTGTTCACCATTATAGTATCATAGAGTAATTTCACTGACTTAAAAACCCTGAGTTCCCCCTAACCCTTGGCAAGTACTGGTTGTTGTACTGTTTCCATAGTTTTAATTTTTCCAGAGTTTCACATAGTTGGAATCATACTGTAAGTATCCTTTTCAGATTGGTTTCTTTCAATTAATGACATGCATTTAAGCTTCTATTTTCTGTGACTTTATAACTTTTTTATTTTTGCACCAAATAATATTTCATTGTTTGGATATACCAGAGTTTATTTACCTGTTCACCTACTGAAGAACATCTTGGTTACTTTGGCAATTATAAATAAAACTGCTATCAATATTTGTGTACAGGTTTCTGTGTGGACAATAATATTTCAACTTTTTTGGGTTGATATCAAGAAACACAAAATGTTGAGTCCCATGATAAGGGTATGTTAAGTTCTGTCATAAATTGCCAAATTTTGTCCAAAGCAGCAATACAATTTTGCACTCCTCCTAGCAATGAATGAGTGTTCCTGTTGCTCCACTTCTTTGCCACTATTTAGTATTGTCAGTGTTCTGGGTTTTTGCCATTCTATTGGGTGTGTAGTGGTATCTCATTATTCAAATTTGGATTTCCTTGATGACATAAGACATGGAGTATCTTTCCATATACTTATTTTCTGTCTTTATCACTTCTTTGGTGAGACGCCTGTCAAGGTCTTTGGACATTTTTTAATCACTGTTTTTTTTTTTCTTGTTGCTGAATTTTAAGGTTTTTTAGTTTAGGTTTTTTTTTTTTTTTTTTTTTTTTTTTTTAGATGGATCTTGCTGTATCACCCAGGCTGGAGTGCAATGACATGATCTCAGCTTTCTGCAACTTCCAGCCCCCGGGTTCAAGTGATTCTCCTGCCTCAGCCTCCCGAGTAGCTGGGATTTCAGGCATGCCCCACCACGCCTGGTTAATTTTTGTATTTTTAGTAGAGACAGGGTTTCACCACGTTGGCCAGGCTGGTCTCGAACTCCTGACCTCAGGTGATCCTCCCACCTTGGTCTCCCAAAGTGCTGGGATGATAGGCATGAACCAATGTGCCCGGCCATTAAGGGTTTTTTTTTTTTTTTTTAGCACATTTTGGATAACAATTCTTCACAAGATAAGTCTTTTGAAAGTATTTTCTCCCAATGTGGCTTCTTTTTTTATTATCTTGAAAGTGCCTTTCACAGAGCAGAAAAGTTAAATCTTAATAAAGTTAAGTTTATTAATTCTTTTTCCTCATTAATTGTACTGTTGGTGTTGTATTGAAAAAGTTATCACTAAACTCAAGGTCATTTGGATTTTCTGTTATGTTATCTTCTTAAAGTTTAATAGTTCTGCATTTTACATTTAGGTCTATAATCCGTTTTGAGTTAACTTTTGTGAAGGCTGTAAAGTCTGTGTCTAGATTCGTTATTACCTCTTGCATATGATTGTCCAGTTGTTCTAGCACCATTTGTTGAAAAGAATCTTTTCTCCATTCTACTGCCTTTGCTCCATTGTCAAAGATGAATTGACTATATTTATATAGGTCTATTTCTGGGCTCTCTATTCTGTTCCATGTATTTATTTGTCTATTCTTTTACCAGAACCACACAGTCTTGATTACTGTACCTGTATAGTAAGTATTGATGTTGGTTAGTGGTAGTTCTCCAACTTTGTTCTTCTCCTTTGATATTTTGTTGGCTATCCTGGGTCTTTCGTCTATTTATATAAACTTTTAAATCAGTTTGTCAATATTCACAAAACAAGCTGCTGGAAGTTTTATTGGGATTGCTTTAAGTTTGTGGATCAAAATGGGAAGAACTGACATTTGGCACTATTGATTCTTCTTATCCATGAACATAGACCATCACTCTACCTATTTAGTTCTTCTTTGATTTCTTTCAACAGAGTTTTGTAGTTTTTCTCATATAGATTTTGTACATATTTTGTTAGATTTATACCTAAGTATTTCATTTTAGGGACTGCTAATGTAAATGGCATTTTATTTTTAGTTTCAAGTCCACTTGCTCATTGCTAGTATATAGAAAAGAAACTGACTTTTGAATACTAACTTTGGATCCTGCAAACTACTATAATTATCTATTAGTTCCAGGATATTTTTATTAATAGAGCTTTTTGTTTGTTGTATGGAGAAAAAGTTTCAGGGGACAAGAATACAAGCTGGGAGACTGGTAAGAAGCTATTGCAGTTTACCAAGTGAGAGATATTGGTTGGTTGTTGTGGAGTAGTGGCCTACATTAGAAATAAAGAAATTAGTTTAGTGAGATATTTTTAAAATTTTCAGTGGACAAGGCTGAGGGATTAGCTATTGAGTATGAGGAAAAATAGATCTCAACAATAATTTTAAGGTTTTTTGTTGTTGTTTGAGCAACTAGGTGTATGTTGAGAGATTTAATGATATGGGAAAGACTAAAAAAGAGTAGATGAGATTAAGGGGAGGGGCCCACAATAAAGACACCTTCTCATTTCTCTAGTGTTCCAATACTAATTTGTTTGATTGACCAGTGGTTCTTTCTCTGTCTTTCAAGTTTCTTCAACTTGCCTCTTGGATTTAACACTATTGTTCAGAGTCTATCCCTGATCCCTCATTGAATCCTCATTGTGTTTAGATCCATCTTCATACTCTGCTGCTGGATCACAGTTGCTTGATTTGTTTGCTTGGTCATCTTGACCTAATACCTAGAAGTAAATGAGAATATTCTTCTCCATGGAAATGGAGAAAAACACACCACAATGCAATGGAAAGTAAAACCAAAAGCAACTGTTGTACCCGAGCGAGTTAGAAAAACGCCACACTTTGAGACGAATTAAGAGTCCTTTATTAGCTGGCGACCGAGAGACGGCTAACACTCAAAATTCTCTCGGCCCCTAGAAGAAGGGGCTAGATTTTCTTTTATACTTTGGTTTGGAAAGTGGGGGGGTCTAGTTAAAACAATTTTACAGAAATAAAGTGGCAAAAAGTTAAAAGGATGAATGGTTACAGGAAAGTAAACAGCTCCAGGTGCAGGGGCTTAAAGACTATTACAAGGTGATAGATCCGGGGCTTTGGGCGTCATCAATCAGACAAAATCCTGAGAATTGCGGATATTGCTCGCCACAGTATCTTATCAGTTAATTGCATTCTTGGATGTGCTGGGAGTCAGCTTGCACAAGTTAAGTCCCTGAGGAAGGGGCTGCCAGTGAAAGAGCCAAGATGGAGTCTGTCTGGCTCTCTTAGCTAAGGGAGAGTCAACTCAGGTGGAAACAAGGCTAGGTGATTAAAGGAGAAAGGGAGAGTCTAAAAACAGGGTTAGTAAAAACCAGGTTGGGCATTACCCAACTTCTAAACTCTTGTGCAGTTGAACAATATTGATGTTTTCAACTTTGAGCCCTTGATAAATCTTGCATATTTTCTTTGTCCTCAATAATGTCTTCTTCACAGATCCTGCCTGGAGTTTATGGGGTGTGTTGGCTGTACCTGTGGCTTTTCCGAAGCTAAGGTTTTTCAAAGCGTGAAGTAGCAGTATCTTATTAGTTTTCTAATACATTATATGCAAATAAAATCAAAGAGCTCTGGCCGAAGTGGGAGCAGGGTTTCCAAAAAGCCTCGGAGACTCTAAAGAACATCTAAGGATCCCATATGCAGTTTAACTACAATTTTCGTTAAATCAGCAAGGAAGAGTTTTAAATCTCAATCCTGACATGGTCATTCTTAAAAAAAAAAAAAAGAGCTCTATCTACAAAAACATGATGTGTTTCTAGTTCGGCCACCAATCACTATAACATTGTATGTTAATCACTTTCTAATCTAGGCTTCAGCGTCTTCACCTGAATCAGGAATCTGGACTAGAGGAACTTAAAAGATTCTCTCAGCCTGGAGCATCCAATGAGCTTAAGCATCCAAGATTATCTCTGTATAATTTCCTTGCTCATCATGAGCTCTTCAACTTTCTTTTGGAATAGTAGGTCACTGTGTGGTTGCAGGGAAAAAGGAAGGTAGTAGGAAGTTTGGACAAGTATGATAGTAGGAGACCATGTGATTTGCCTAACCACTACTGGAAAGCTAGTCACTGAGCCTCATTTGCTGATTTAGTCCTAGATTCATTGTGAGATTTGAGATAAAGCATATCCTGAGGTCATAGTCTGTTTCATTATCAGGAAAATCTGAGTTTTAATCTCTAATCATGGAGAAAAAAACAGATTTTGAATAAATACATAATCTGGCCACATCGTTCTATTCTTAAAATGTCACATCAGAGGTCCTCTTACAAGGAATGTCACTGAAAAAGAAGTGAATAAATAAAAATTTTATCTCTGAATTTTAATGTCCTTATCAGAAAGCCTTAGTCAATTACAGCATAATCTTCCAAGAGAAGGGTCATAAGTTTTGCCAGTGAACATGGGGTAGCAAGTGTAATACAAGGGTAAACTCCTATTTTTAACTGTTATTTTCTGTTATCTTGCAATAATAGAGAAGCAGATCCCTGGAGAATTTCAAATTTTGTGTAACAATCTGAGGTCTGGCAGTCTTTCAGATGCAGAGTTCAGTAATTGTTTTCTAGTGAATATATCAGGAATGAAGTAAGGAAAAAATAGAGAAAAAAAGATATTTAATAGCAACTCTTTCATATATCCCAACATTTGGGATTCATACTATTAAGTTTATTTCTCAAAGTGTGGGAAAACTCTGGAGTACAGAGAATGTCTCTAGAAAGATAAATGGATTGCTTTAATAAAAGTTTTCCTACTAGCTAAAGTTTTCAATAATGATGGAAATGTGAGGAGTACATTAGTTTGAAGTGTAGAGTCCTAGGGTATAGGTAAGCAGATTGTCATTGGTTTACTAATGGCAGTCCCAGGGGGCAAGCAAGATTTTGAATTTCTCCAGCTTTGCAACACAACCCAAAGCCTTTATATAGGAAATGCCCAGAAGACCAGACCAGGTGGTGAGACATCAGCTGTATCACTATCATTTTACACATGTGAAAGGGCTTTGAAAATGATCAAGGGCTACAAAAATTAAAGTAACATTACATTTTAAAAATCTGTGATTATTATATATGAAATGATTATTCATTAATCAAAAGAAAGGTCTCTGAACATTTAGAAGACTGGCTTCAATTACTATTATTTTTAATAAGGGTAATTCTTTATCTTTTGAAGTTTACTCGAATTCAGGAAACATCTAAATGTCACCTGGAGTTGATTTTGGAAAATGAATTTAGAAAGACTCTTCTTTGGTAAAAAAGAAAAACAAAATGGAAAATGAATTTAAAAAGACTCTTCTTTGGTAAAAAAGAAAAACAATCAGTTTTGGTTATAAAATAAGAAATTTCTCCACAAGTCCTTCCCAAAGCATTGATATCATCAATGAGATCAGCGTATGTAACACCAAGGTGTCTACTTTGAAGGAAATTAATTATAATTTATTTGATATTTATTTTAACAAATCAACCTATCATTTGCTTTTATGTGATAGAACCTGAGGGCTGGCAGTCTTCCAGGAGTAGAACGTCAAGTTAGTGACTCATGTTTTCTCATGGGTATATTAGGACTGAAGTGTGAACAAAAATGGATATTTTGTTTATACGACTTGCATCATTGAAAGTAAGGAGTCATCTAAAGCTAGTCCTAGTCCTCTGAACCTGAAAAGGTTTTAAGCGTACATAGGTATATTTTTATAGTACCTCAAAAGTAGTGATTGAAAGTTTGAAACTGGTTTAGAGTTAAATAAGTTTATTTTAAAATATAAAGTGTCTCCCTCCTTCAGAAGTAAACTGGCTCAGTTAGTTTACTACTTACATTCCGAATTTCTCCAAGGAACAGAGTGACAAGGGATTCAATCCAACAGGAGAGAGGAGTTAAGATATTGGTTTAACCAATCATTTGTTATTATTTTAGGTGAGCTTCATCATTGCACCTGGGTCTTAGCTTCTCTATTTATAATGTGAAGTGGTAGAATAGAGTAGCTGCAATTCCAGTCATTATTTTCCCTCAGTCCTGGATTATATTCATATTTCGTCTTTCCTATGGATAAAGGCCCAAAGACAGAAGGCAAACACGCATGCTGGACAGACTGAAGTAAGGAGGTTCCCCAGGGAGCTGGGCATATGGATCAACTCCGTATTGCCCAGAATTGTTACTATGCTACGGGCTGGCTCAAAACAATAACAGTAGTCTCTTGCTCTACTTGGTGAGAGCAGCCGAGATTTCTAGGCAAAACCAACAAGCTCTGAGTAAACTAAGACTTTTAATGACCCCAGAGGGAGCTTCGAAATTTGCTTGGGAACCAAAGTTTAACTTTATCCCAGAGACAGATGTAGGAAGAGGGGGAGCAATGCTTTGGGGATCTCTAGGAATGTGACAAAAGTATATATTTTAAATGAAAGAATTAAAGAATATGGAGATCTAGGAGACATCTCAGAGATCTAGTTTCACATTTTCCATTACTGATGGGAGTAAAAGAAGCCCAGAAAGGGACTTGCCTAAGATACCAGACCTAGATAACGGAAGAAACAGACCGGATCCAAGATGTTCTAATTTCCTATCCAGGGTAATTTTATGTGTACATCTCTTTTGAAATATAAATTTATTTTGTTCACTCAACAAAATATTATTTGCTAGAACATAGACACAGTGTTGACATCAAATAGATATCTTTTTTCCAAGAGGTTAAGAGAATGATGATCACTGGTTTATCCCTTCAAATACATTTCCATATGGGCAATCTGCATATGGTCAGGTACTGCTACCGAGAGGTAATTTGGAAATAAACACAGCAGGACTGGACTGGTGTAGGGACAGCCTGGTTGAAGAAACCACAGACAGGCTGGTGAGGTAATCAGGAAGCTGGAATCTATTTTCAGGGTAGCCAAGATGAGTAGTGAAGTCAGACAGAATATAAAATATTCAGGTATGATGAGTGAAGATTTCTCCAGAAGTCACATTGGCAAGTTTTATGAGTTCTGCCAATATTTTCCTCTGAATGCATTCTGTTTTTTTTTTTTTTTTTTTTTTGAGACGGTGTCTTGCTCTGTCACCCAGGCTGGAGTGCAGTGACATGACCTCGGCTCACTGCAACTTCCGCCTCCCAGGTTCAAGTGATTCTCCTGCCTCAGCCTCCTGAATAGCTGGGACTACAGGCACGCGCCACCATGCCTGGCTAATTTTTGCATTTTTAGTAGAGACGGGGTTTCAACATATTGGCCAGGCTGGTCTTAAACTCCTGACCTCGTGATCCACCTGCCTGGACTCCAAAAGTGCTGGGATTACAGGTGTGAGCCACTGCACCCAGCCTGAATGTATTTTTTAAAATTACTATGAGGAACAAAATAATCAATTTAGTGACATATCTATTTGGTATTTTTAGCTTTGATAATTTTATTTTGATCACTAAAACATCAAGCAGTTTTAAATTTCTACAGAGTGAATTCAAAACATTTTTCTTTATTAAGAAAAAAGCAAATCTGTTCTTTTTTGTTTGTTTGTTTGTGTTTTTGAGATGAAGTTTTGCTCTTGTTGCCCAGGCTGGTACCACAACCTCCACCTCCCAGGTTCAAGCAATTCTCCTGCCTCAGCCTCCCGAGTAGCTGGGATTACAGGCATGCGCCACCACGCCTGGCTAATTTTTTTTGTATTTTTAGTAGAGACGGGGTTTCTCCATGTTGGTCAGGCTGGTCTCGAACTCCTGACCTCAGGTGATCCACCCACCTCGGCCTCCCAAAGTGCTGGGATTACAGGCATGAGCCAACGTGCCCGGTCGCAAATCTGTTCTTTTTCCTCTGAACCTTTTTTTGACCATGTATATATGGGAGAAAAAACATATATGTATATATTTATAAAGTTGACTCTTTAATTACCTTTTAATCTATACTTGATAGTAAATCATGAGTTGTTAATCTTAGTGACTACAAATCATAAAATGTGAGCTACTGATGCTTTATATAAAGTAAAAACATTACATATTACATCATCTTATTACCTTCAAAGCAATTACCTTAGATTTGCCACAGATGAGGTTGCTAATCAATGAGATGCTGAGAGTTCTGAGGCCAGAGGTAAGGAAGGATTGTGCATTTCCTTGAGACTTGGAGAGGCCTTGTCCTCCATCTGGCTGGGGTGGGCTGCTAGTACCCATCAGGCACTAAAGAAGAGAACAGAAGAGGGGGCTCAGCAGTCCTGGGGGAAGCACATGTAGATGCTATTCATAGAAGCAGGGATGCAAGATTGGGTGGGAAAACTTGGTGCCAGCATGCAGGATACCACAGGTTACATGACGCATAACGTAGATGTGGGGAAATGGTGATAAGGGTGGGCAGAGCAGCCTAGAATCATTAGAGTGGTGAATACCCAGCAGTAGAATTCAGAGGGTTTTAGTGGCTGAGGCTTTATTGTCCTAGTATTTGGCTCTTTTAGTTTCCCTGTGATCCTACCAGATGATGAGTTTGGAGGCTACCAGAAGTCTGAAGAAATTGACTAGAACAAAGCCTCCTGTTTGCAGGCGCTGAAAGGAATTCCTGTCTGGAGGTCCTCACAAGAGAAGGAAGACATCTCCAGTAAAGTGAGCTCTGGATTCAGATTCAACTCTCTACTGCGTAACTTATTTTTTTTCTGTGGACTTAAAATATTTTTTGAAATCCACAAAAAAATCATAAATTAGGCAGTAAAGACAAATATCTTAACAAATGTCTTCATTCGTAAAGTTTGTATAATATTGTATCCCTTAATTTCTTCCTGTCTCTAAACCCCAGGGCTCAAATAAAATCACAAAAATGTTTCCAGTTTAGAATCCTCAATTAGTATGAGTTGAACCTGAACAAAGATGAAAGTTTAATGCTAGGAGGGAACTTAATGTAAATTTTCTATCAGTCAACTAATATCTTTGTATTCCTTCCTGCGCTTTTTATATTTGGCTTTCCATCTAGATCCCCGACAAAATGTAAAAACTGCAGCAGCCTACGTTTTTCTGAAAATGGGAACAAGACATGATTCACAATTGAAGTGTGCGTCTCCATCCTTTTCCCATGAAGCTGAGGCCAGAGAGATAAGCACATCAATAGCTCTGTTGTAGCCAGAACACGCCTCAGTGCACTGTCAGCTCAGGGGCCCTGTCAGAAGCAGGGCAGGCCAGATCCAAAGGAAGGTCTTAACAACTGGTCAGAACATTTTAGTGGACCAGACTTAGGGGTATATAGGCAGGAAGCAACAGGATGAAATGCAGATGTCCAATAGCAAAGCAGTCAGTATTCGGGTGGCTTTAAAGGGAGACAGGAAGATGCCATACCAGAAAGATGAAGCTCTTACCCAAGGAGTTTGATAGCAAGAGCTAGGTGCTGGTCCAGGCAGGTTAGTGGCATTACTGATATCTAACAGCTATGAAAGGGACTGAGGTTTAGGAACAATTTCAGTTAGAGCCAGAAGGAGTAAGGCAAGGGACTCATTTCAGAGGAAATAGGGTGATAATTATTGAGATTAAGTAGAATGTTGAAGGAAGCCCTCATTTTTCTTAAATATCTCAATGAGGAAATTTCTACAGTAATACTTCATACTTGTCTAGCGTGGCCTGGGAGTAGGCAGGTAAGTTTGATTTGAGGGTGTGGTTGGCTGAAGAAATAAAAAGACCATTTACTAAAGATTAAAACCCATGTTCTTCAAAACTGCTTATTCATCAATAAAGGTAATATTTGGATAATTATCTCAAGTGATTCCAAGTTTGAAGTTGGGAAAAGATAAGTCATTAATGATCAACCCTAATATACCTAAACAGGAAAATACAAGGGTTCAGTTTCTAAACCAGTGTTCCAAGTTAGAGTAGGCCACTAGGAGAACAGTGGTGTCTACTTTGCCATGGGACAAAGCCTCCTGGAACTACAGAATGACCAGAGCCAGACTCAGTTCCTGGAGCTTGCAACAGGGATGCTTCTGAAATGTGATATCAGGGAGCCCTGTGAGGAAGAGTGCAGGGATGGAAATGCGAAGAGGGTCTTGGGACAGGGAGGGCATAAGGGTTATCTCAGGATGACAGATCATCCCATGCATACAGAATATTCTTCTCTTCCAGAATTTCTGATGCATAAGGCTTTTCTTTGCACCCAAGAACAGTGTTCTGGCATCCCTTGTGTAGAAATGAATTAAGACCTATTTACTTCTCTTGTCTTGAGTGTTCCTATACACATTATATCGTCTAACAAGCTGAGTTCAAAGTTGTATTCAGCTTCTGTCCAATACATATGGCTTTACACACACACACACACACACACACACACATACAAACACACTTTGTCTATATATATTTTGCAAAATAATTTTATGAGTCTGGGACTCTAGCTGAATGATGCTTATAAAACAAATTTGGTGATTAAAGCAGAAATGTGGTCTGTATAACTTGAACCAAGGCAGAATTGTGACAGAAGCTATGAAGGTATTTTAGGCCTAGAAGGAAGCACTGAGAAGCAGTGAGAAAAGCACTAAATAAGCTTTAGTCCTGGCTCTGTCAGTTTCAAACTATTGCATTAGGCAAGTCATTTCTATTTTATAAGCCTCAATTATTTCAACGGTAACATTACAGTACAAATGTCTTACTCAAAGGGACCCTTGAGGGTTATATAACTTAATGTTTGTAAAAATAATTGGTAAAATGCTAAACACATAGGATATACCCAATAATCTGGATTTCAATCTGAATTGTGTTTTTAGCCTCAATTATTTGGGGAATACTTAGCACCGTTATTATTTATTTATTTACTTATTTATTTATTTTGAGATGGAGTTTCACTCTTTTCACCCAGGCTGGAGTGCAGTGGCATGATCTCAGCTCACTGCAACCTCTGCCTCCCAGGTTCAAATGATTCTTCTGCCTCAGCGTCCCGAGTAACTGCAATTACAGGCGGGGGCCACCGCGCCTGGCTAAATTTTGTATTTTTAGTAGAGACGGGGTTTCATCATGTTGGCCAGGCTGGTCTCGAACTCCTGACTTCTGGCGATCCACCCGCCTCGGCCTCCCAAAGTGCTGGGATTACAGGTGTGAGCCACTGCGCCCGGCCAGCGTTATTTTTTCACTTCTTTGTAGTTGTTGTTCAACTAAATGTGAGGCTTCCAAGGAATGAAGTTAGAATGTCTCCACAACATGAGTGTGAGGACAGAGTGTTTGCATGTTTTGTTTGATTTGGAATTTTAAAGCTCAACTGAGAATTAAGGTAAGCACAAGGATGGAGCTATTGAAGAAATTGGAAAGGAACAGACAGTCCTGGAATGTGGCAGCTCCTGTTTGATTTTAAATGTAAGTTAAATATTAATTTTTCTAAAAAAAAAACCTCTTTCTCCAGGGAGGGCTTTCTCTCTCACTCTCTTACGTTGACAGATTGTTGGTGGCTTGCCTTTCACACTAACTTATTTGGAGGAAAAAAAGTCTTCAGATGATTTTATTTGCGTAAGAAAAAATTGTCTCCAAAACAACTCCCTTGTCACCAGCATCAACAGCAGCTGAACAACGAGTTGGGTTGTCGCACAGTGAGAATTATTCCTTTCATTTCAAAGGAATCAAAGATGTTTGGGGCAAGCAAGAGCCCTGGTTACACGTGATCATAATAAACTAGTATCAGATTCGCTTTTGGAAAGTGTTAAGTCTACTGCTGAAGTCCGAGTACACTTTTATTGTTCCAAAAATATTTACTAGAATGGAGAAAAGTTGGTTTTTAAAAACTAAGCTGATTTGGAGAAAATAAGAAGCACTTAAAAATCTCTTCTAATTCCTACTTGCTGATGGTTCCCTAAAGAAAGACGGTGCAATTATGCTGTTGACTTGTAAACAGAAGTCAAAAGGAAATTCAAGCTCTGTTAAGACTCAATCCAAATATAATAAAAAGGGCTCTGTCGCCCAGAATCTCCTTTAATGTTTTTGGATGGATTCTCTTGTGCTCTGGCTATTCTTTGATTTTGTAAAGAATAGGAAGAAAAGCAAAATTCCAGTCTCCCAGTTCATACCTATCTTAGTAGAAATGTCAACATTTTATGTTCCAATGTCGTCTTTTCTCAAATATTTTTCTTTCTTACTGTCATGTGCTTTTTTCTTTTGCTTTTTAAAAAAGAATTTACAAAACTACTATCACCCACTGCCCCATGACATCTAGCATATATGTTTTATATTTTGCTATATCAAATTAAGCATTGTACTCCTGCTACTGCCTACCTGTGGGTCTAAGTATCCTCATTTTTAAGTTAAGGGAATTAGATGAGCCTCGCAGTGCTCAAACTATGCTATATCCCTCAGGCTTGGCACCATTGACACATTAGACTGAATAATTATTTCTTGTAGGTAGCTGTCTTGTGTATTGCAGTATGGTCAACACCATCCCTGGTTCTACCCACTAGACACCAACAGTATGAATGCTCCCACCTACCATGCCCCAGATCCGACAACCAAAAATACCTCCAGATAATGTGAAATGTCCTCTGGGGAGTACAATCACTCTCAATTGAGAACCACTGCTCTAACTGAAGCTGTGAATCTTAACCTTTGGTTAGTATCTGCATCACCTGAGAAACTGGTAAAAATATAAAGGCCCAGACTAGATTCTAGTTCAAAAATCCAGGGTCTCCACGATCTTACTAGCTTTTTCACAACACAACGAAGTTTTAGAACCATTGTTCCTAAGAAATCAGATAATAAAGTATGGGCAGCACATCATCAAGGAACAAGTTAGAAATGCAAATTTGAAAGCTCCACCCCAGGTTTAGTGAATCCGGAACTCTGAGATGGAAGTCAGTTAATTATTTAAGGAAAAAGTACATTCTTGGCACACTCTGTGAGAAGTTCAGGAGTATAAGAGACTCGTGGATGACTGTCTGTTCCAACATTGAGTAAGTACCACTGGGACAGCATGACCTGGAATCAGCTTCTTGGCACTGCATGGCTCTTATTACCATAAGGTCATGAACTTTTTGTCCTGATCCAGCCTTAAAAAGCAGATCAGATTGGCTTTCCTGGGAGGGAATATCTGGGGGATTACACAAAACCCTACCTATTCTCCAAACCCTACCTACTCATGAATTCTACACAGCACCTGGAACCCCAACTCATAGACTTATTCTTTGGGCTGTGGCATTAGCTGTAGACCTGTGGTTCTCAACCTTGGCTTCGTATTATAATCACCTGGGAAACTTCTAAAAATCCCATCGCTCAGGTCATATCCCAGACCAATAAATCAGAATCTTTCAGAGCAGAAGCCAGACACTTCTTAGGTGATTCTAATGTTCAAGCAAATTTGAGTTGTCAATGAATAGTTTCTCTCAAGTCAGGCAGAGATTGTACGTAAGGTAGTAATACAAGGCATATTACTTACTTACTACTTGTAGTAAGATATAAGAAATAAGGTAGTAGGACATACAAGAGGCTTGAAAGAACCTGGCCAATTTGGCAATCAGTAGGATGTGGTTGCATTCTATAGGCTATTGACTGTGTGCTAATGCCAATTATTTCCCTAAGTCTTTTTAGATCCTTCTAGCCAGAAGCTATCTTTGTAACCTCTGTGTTCCCAGAGCTCTTTTTTCTTTCTTCTTCTTTTTTTTTTTTCTTTTTGTTTTTTGAGACTGAGTCTCACTCTGTGGCTCAGGCTGGAGTACAATGGCGCGATCTTGGCTGACTGCAACCTCTGCATCCCGGGTTCAAGTGATTCTCCTGCCTCAGCCTCCTGAGTAGCTGGGATTAAATGTGCCTGCCACCACGCCCAGTTGATTTTTGTATTTTCAGTAGAGACGGAATTTCACCATGTTGGCCAAGCTGGTCTCCAACTCCTGAGCTCAGGTGATCCACCTGCCTCGGCCTCCCAAAGTGCTGGGATCACAAGTGTGAGCCACTGCGCCCGGCCAACACTTTCAATCTAATCTAACACGTACCACATTCTACCTTGTATTATAGCTGTATACATTATATATATCAAATTTGTTTCCTATACAGTACTGTGAGCTTCCCAAAGGTAAGAATCCTGACTTATCTTCTCTTTCACCTAGAATATTTACTTTAAGAGTAGGCATCAAAAATTGTTAATTTAATTGAAATATATTAAATGATGTAGAAATGTCACCAAATGTACAAATAGAATGTAGCAAGGTATCCTGGCACTTTGCCCTCAGTCCCACAGCAGGAGTTCCTATCCTGATGTGCTTCAAAACCTTCCACAAGTGGACTGATAACCCTGGACTAGACTCCAAAATCTTTATCTGAAAACAGACAATCTCTAGAGAAAAAGTCTGGGCAGATGACTGATGTGCTAATTCTGGAACACTGACCATCCAAGGCATTCAATATACATTCAGCTCCAAACTGGAGCTTTTTCATCAGTGATATGAGCCGAATTAGTAACGTTTGGTGGGAAAAAAAAAGAGCATGATTCATCAGTGTCTCTTGGAATTACACAGCCAGGGCTGTTCATGGCCTGAGTGGTCAAACCTAACAAAATGAATGAAGGAATCAGCATGAATCTCTGGCAAGCCCCTCAGCGTAGTGGTGATTCCACATAAAAGCCTTCTTCGGAAAAATCATAGCAACTAGATACATGCGTGAGTCTTTTTCCCATTGCCTGTCCCTCTGCTCACCATTGCAGGGGCTGAAAGACTGATGAGATTCTCACAGGCACTAGAAGACCACAGAAATGCCTCCAGGAGGCAGGCTGGGATCCAGGGTCCAACCAATATTCTTGTGAGAGTGTGAAGCCAAGGAACACGAAAGAGGGGAACACCTTGGCTAAGAATGTATTCGTGACAGAGGAGAAGGGGAGGAACAGGAAGCCTCCAGCTAGTCGTTTGGAATCTGGCAACCATTTCTGTCAGCTTTCTCATTCCTAGATTGATGCAGATTGCTTAATTCCTTGAGGTAAGGGATATACTAAATTGCCTCTTTGTTCAACTCTTAGAATAAGAATTTCCCTCTCCTCTCCCGTCCCCTCCCCTCCCCTCCTCTCCTCTCTTTTCTTTTTCTTTGTTTTTTTTGTTTTTGAGACGGAGTCTCACTCTGTCACCCAGGCTGCATGATCTCAGCTCACTGCAACCTTCACCTCCCAGGTTCAAGCAATTATCCTGCCTCAGCCTCCTGAGTAGCTGGGTCTGCAGGCACGTGCCACCACGCCCAGCTAATTTTTGTATTTTTAGTAGAGACGGGGTTTTGCCATGGTGGCCAGGCTGGTCTCGAACTCCTGACCTCAGGTGATCCACCCGCCTTGGCCTCCCAAAGTGCTGGGATTACAGGGGTGAGCCACTGCACCTGGCCCACAGCAAGAATTTTTTTCTGAATAGCATTTTACGTGTTAGGCGTCTGGCTGTTTAGGAGATGAGGAAACTGAGGCCCTCAGTTGCCAAGGTCACACAGCTGGTAAACGGACGGAGCCAGAATGCGAGTACAGCTCCTCCTGCCTCCAAAGGTTCTCTGGGCCCTGTAAAACCACGGGCTGCACAGGAAAGGCAGGCTATATATTGTTCTTCCCCTGGCCCAGCGCCCTGATCCAATGCCCGGACACACATCCACACCAAGTTGGACGAAAAGGTAAGGGAGAAACCTTCCCCAAGAGAAGAAGCGGTAAGCTTTGGTTCTAAAGGCCCTGGGTTGGGTCCGTCCTTTGCCACTTCTCAGCTCTATGCATTTAGGCAAATCACTTATCTTCTTAAACCTCCGCATCTGGGCCTACAGGGCCTCTATGGGTTTTTTTTCTATTTATTTATTTATTTATTCTTTTTTTTTTTAACTTTACGTTCCGGGATACACGTGCAGAATGCGCAGATTTGTTGCGTAGGTACACATGGCATCTACGGTTTGATTCAGTCTGAAATGGCGCTCCAGGCTTCATTTAGAAGGTGAAGCACTCTGCAAACTGCGAGGCCATACAGAGATTCCAGAATATGATTAAGGCCCTAACCTTGCTAAGCTGGATTTTCTTTATTTCCCAAAAAGAAGACTAATACTATCCACTTGTACAACCAGAAGGGAGCTCACGTGTAAAGCGCCTCGTCCCCGGCCGGCCTCAAGCGGCGCTAGCTCTCTGGCTGGCGCTGGAGTGTGCCGCCCCTGGCAGCCCCGCCGCTGCAGCGGGGAGCCTGGGAGAGCGGCTCTCGGAGTCTCAGGCAGCAGGAGGAGCGTGTGAGCTGTGGGCGTCCCTTTAAGAGCGGCTGGCCAGGCACGGCCTCCGCCTCTCAGTACGCGGAGCGCCGGCGGTCACCTGGGGCTCGCGGAGCGGCCAGATCGCGGCGGAGTCGGCGCGCTTCCCCGAGGGAAGGTGGGAGAGGGGACCCGGACGCGAGGTGCCCCGAAGCCCTCTCGAGCGTAACCGTCCCGCGCCTCTCTGAGGCGGAGGATGCGGGAGCGCATCTGGGCGCCGCCGCTGCTGCTGCTGCTGCCGCTGCTACTGCCGCCGCCACTGTGGGGCGGCCCCCCGGACAGCCCACGCCGGGAGCTGGAGCTGGAGCCCGGGCCTCTGCAGCCCTTCGACCTGCTCTACGCCAGCGGCGCGGCCGCCTACTACAGCGGAGACTACGAGCGAGCGGTGCGCGACTTGGAAGCGGCGCTGCGCAGCCACCGGCGCCTGCGGGAAATCCGCACGCGCTGTGCCCGCCACTGCGCGGCGCGCCACCCGCTCCCGCCCCCGCCCCCCGGCGAGGGCCCCGGCGCTGAGCTGCCCCTTTTCCGCTCCTTGTTGGGGCGGGCGCGCTGTTATCGCAGCTGTGAGACCCAGCGCCTCGGGGGCCCCGCATCCCGCCACCGCGTCAGCGAGGATGTGCGCAGCGACTTCCAGCGCAGAGTGCCCTACAACTACCTGCAGCGGGCCTACATCAAGGTACCCACAGAGCGCTCCTCCACTGCAAAGCCCCTGCGGCTCTCACACGCTCTCTTGAGCCCTCCCTGCTGCCCCCGTCATCTCTGTTCAGTCTTTCGAATTGGGTCTCCTTAAATATGTGTCTCAGTTTGTGAATCCAGATATCTGGTGGCCCTATCTCTGTATGCAACAATTGATTAACTTGGACAAGTCTTTTTCTCTCTTTCTCAGAGCCAGCTTCTCTCTCAAAAAGAGGACTGTCCTGATAAGGTGATGTTTAAAGTACCCATTCAGCACTAATTCATGAGGCATTGACAAAGCTGAATCTAGTACAATTTATCTTCTCCCTTCTCACTTCCCATTTCTCTTCTCCCTTCTCACTTCCCATTTCTCTTCTCCCTTCTCACTTCCCATTTCTTTTGTCTCCTCTCTCTTATCCTTCCTATACTGTAGTCTGCACCTTTTCTCTGAAGTTTAAAAGAATCTTCAAAATAGTGAAGTTGAAAGACCTGTTCCAAAACAAATTTCTCTCTCTTCTCCCCTTCACCTACAAAAAAGTAAAGATCAAAGGTTAAAGAGAAGGTATGCTTGGAGGAGGCGAAGCTGTTTGAGGCAGTCTCAGTCAAAGTATCCACCCTAAGTGTTGACTTTTTCTCCTTTGATAGAGGGCTTACGTTTTCTGGTGGTATGCATTGGACTGGGTTACTAGGCATCAGTCCTCTCTTTCTAGTTTTATTTTTGTATGCCTAACTTGCCTAAAGTTAGCGTCAGGAGGTATAGTATGCATATTGACATATTGTTCACATCCATAACTTTGAAGATCTCTCTGGATGCTTCAGCAGAGGGAATTTGAATGAGTTCTTCAACCTCCACTGCCACTCACCCAATTTTCCTTCAAATTGACACTCTTAACCCTTCTTTCTCGTTTTCTGTGTTAATATATCAATGTATCTTCTACAGCTACCGGAAAAGTGGAAGCTTTGGGGTTGGTTGTTCATGCTAGCCAATGGACCAGGCTGCTCTGCTCTGCTCTGCTCTGCTGTGCTCTGCTTTGCTTTCTTTTCTCCTCTCCTCTCCCCTCCTCTCCTCTCCTCTCCTCTCCCCTCCCCTCCCCTCCCCTCCCCTCCCCTCCCCTCTCCTCTCCTCTCTTCCTTTTCTTTTCTTTTTTTGACGGAGTTTTGCTCTTGTCACCCAGGCTGGAGTGCAGTGGTGCAATCTGGGCTCACTGCAACCTCCGCCTCCCGGGCTCAAACGATTCTCCTGCCTCAGCCTCCTGAGTAGCTGGGATTACAGGTGTGCACCACCATGCCGGGCTAATTTTTGTGTGTGTTTGTGTATTTTTAGTAGCGAAGGGGTTTCACCATGTTGGCCAGGCTGGTCTCGAACTCCTGACCTCAGGTGACCCGTCCGTCTCCGCCTCCAAAAGTGCTGGGATTATAGGCGTGAGCACGGCTGGACCAGGCTGTGTTTCTAAGGAGATGAAAGTACATACCATGTTCAAATATCCAAATGCCTTTTGCAGCTCATCCCACAAGATCTCTGCCCTCATCTGTGGTAGGGTTCTCTCAGATTGGCAACTGTTGGTGGAGTGCACGAAATTTCAACTAAGTATAAATCTTAACTTCCTTGTGTTGTGGCTAAGGTGTTGGAGTTCACTGGACTAGTATCTTGGGCAAGAAATGAGGAGAAAGTCTGAATCCTTTCCAGGACTTGTCTTCTGCTTGCTTGTGCCTCCTGATTGCTAAGGCATGTATGAAGTATAACTCTAATTTCTTCTAAGTGATTTACACAATTTCTGGTGGTCTTACAGAAATCAGTCAACACCAGGCAGAGAGGGGACCTTGAGTGTCTGACGGTGAAGTTATCATAAGCTAGTTCCCAGAGCAGAACATGGGTGGTCCCTGTAGCTTGGTCCTCCCAGGAGTCTCGGATGTAAGGTTAGCAGTCCTGCTGTTAATTCTGTCACAAATTTTGGACATATTTTCCTTTCTCATATCTGGAGAAAGAATACATAGTCAAGGTCAGTCCTATAAAAACAAATAACCATGAGGTAACTCTCAATATGTGGGTTTCCCTGGTTCTGGAATTCTGCTTGCTTCACTGTTAATGTCAGCATTTGTCAGTCATTTCCCCTCCGGTTCCCTGGTTGGAGGTCAAAGAAGGTGAAGCCATAGGTTTAACATACCTCAAATTTTTGTGGTGAATTGATTACAGGAACAAGTCACACTCTGTAAGTGAATTACTGGGTGTTGTCTGATGAATTAATGAAGTTTAAGAAGTTCTTTCAAAGATCCGTGGCTTCGTGTGTTCATTTCAGTTCTACCAGCAATATTTCTGAGAGCAGAACAAGTCTTGCGTCTTCTCCCTACTTCTCTTCTCTGGCAGTTTCTTGGATCTACATAATTGATAATCTCTTAAGAAGAAAATATTTTATCCTTTTGGAAATTCGTTTTTGAAAGTTGGAGTTTGTGAACCTCTAAAACTGCATCATGGTTTTTCTCTCCCCTTCACCCCCCTCCCCCAGCCCCCAAGAAAGCCCCAGTTTTAGCCTTTGCTTGGCTTCCTTGGAATTTCACTTATGAATACGCACACACACCATCTTTTGAGACTGAAAAAAAAAAAAAAAACCTCTCAAATAATAAAAGAACATCCTGGAGCTCTGACAGGTCTGGATTCTAGGGCATTGATTCCCTGATGTTAGGATGAGGAACTCCCTGCCATGTGACTGGATATGGTCATGGTGCCCTGTATTGTTTAATTGCTTTTGACATCAGTGATCCAGTTTGCACTTAAAAGGATAATCCTGGACTAGATCAAATTCAGTGAGGGAGGACTGGAATGCTTCATAAAGCTAAGAAAGTACAATTATTCTCAGCTAAGAGATTTTCCAACTATAGAAGCTCTCAGGAGATGTTACTGCTCCCCCAAATCCTGCTGAGTGGGCCTCCGATGAAAGCAGATTATTTGTGCTGGTGTGTTGGAGGGGAAGAAGGATGAAAAATCATGAAATCTGAGACCCAATGAGTTCAATTTCTTGGTTCACAGATGAGGAAAGGGATGTTTCTAAATGTTTAATAGAAAGGTAAAGAGGTTTGCTCAGTGTCACATATTTAGTGGCATACCAAATGATCTGTTGAAATGAGCACAGGGCTGGGAGTCAGGAGTCTGGATTCTTCCAATAACTGATTCCGATAGCTTTCCTGTGCCCACTGGCCTGTAGGTTCACATCAGGTCCCAGAGAATGCTGCATACCCCAGGGCTATCCTTATGCCAGATTTGGACAGCTCCAGGGATGAGTATATCCTTGTCTTGCAGGGTAACAGATACTCACTACATCTTTCATGAGCCTTGCTCTGTTGAATTTTTTCAAGGCCTGGCATGTTGGGAATTTGCCTAGACAGCTATGAGGCAGTAGTTTCACGTGGCTCCTAGCCATACTTTTTGTTTAAAGGCAGTGTGAGACTCTTCAAACTTTTGATTTTTATCATTTAAGATTGTTAGAGATAACCCATGATTCATAGCCTAAGACGTAATATATAGCTTTTATCATTGCATTCTCTGCTCAGAAACCTTCAGTGGACTTCCTCTTGCTACCATATAAAGCTCAAATAGGTTACCATAGCATCCACAGCCTGGCTCCCTCTCAACCTTCCCAGTCCTATCTTCCCCAACTCTGCCGCCTTCCAGCCAAAGGTAACAATGAGTGCTTTGTCTTATGCCTGACACTTCTGCATCTCTTGGCCTTGTTTAGTCTTTCTTGGGAGGTGTAGAGGCTTTAGAATGGATAGATATGGGATTAATTTTTAGTTTTCCCAGTCTCTATCTGTGTGACTGTCAGCAAATTCCATAAGATTTTTCAGCTTTAGTTCTCCCATCTGCAAAATGGGGAAATAATGGGGCCTACGTTCCTATTTTAAGTTAAGTTTAAGAGATGAGTGATGTAAAGCACCCAGCATAGGGCCTGATTCTCAGTAACCATTGGAGATACATTTATTCTTTTTATTAGTTAAAATAGTAGACCTTTCCTCTTCCTCTTCTACATGTTCAAATCATAACTATCCTAACATATAAATGCACCTATTTCTGTGAGTTCTTCCTTCACTCCATCTACAACTCCCAAAAGTATACCATTTCTCCATTTTCTGAATTCCCACAGTAACAATTTTGTTCCTCTTCTGTCATTTTTCATTTTTAACCTTGTTTTGGAAAAAGTGATAATTTCGTTATTACTTAGGTGAGCTTCCTGAAATCAAGAACTGTCTTAGTGATTCTTGTATCTCCTAAAGCAGAGGTTCCCAGATTTGGATGATTACTAAATGGATAATTATTATTAATCATCAGGGGCTTTAAAATGTGATTCAAAATTACAGATACAGGCTCAGTAGGTCTGAGTTGGGTGATTCACAACCATCTTCCCTCCAAATACCTAAAACAGGGGGTGGTTCAGTGTATGTTTGTTGAATGAATAATAACTTGGTTCCATGCATATGAAATGTTGTTGAGGAAGATTTCTGCATGGTGGCAGGAGGTTTTCTCACTTTAGTTGTTTGGCTTCCTGGCTGGTCAGTTGGAAGAGAACGTTTCAGGACTGTTGACTGCCTGACTTCTCACTATTTTCTACTTACAAGTTCTGGCTAATGTTGCAAACTTTCACCCCCTTTCCCACCCCACTTTTTCTTCTTTAGTTCTTATTACTTAAAACTATACTTCAAAATACCCTTGACATATTGTACCTGTTTCATGCACAATTCTGGAATTTAAACAAACATGAGGGATACTTTTCTTTCTTATCTGTGTCCTTTATAATCAGGAATGGTTTGACAGTGTCTGGTTTTTTTTTTTTTTCTCCCACTTTTCCCAACCATTTAAAAAAAGGAAAAAAAAATGCTGTTTATTTATTCATTTTTCTACTCAAAACAAGCTTGCCCCTGCTTGTTTTGTTTCTGTGTTGTTGCTTTGTTCCATTTGACCTTTGTTTTTCTTCTTAGGATTAAAAGGAAGGCGAAAAATAAATACACAATTACATTAGGCAATTCTGTTTTGGTCCTAGAGTCCTCTCTTGAAACTTCTTGTATCTTGACCATAATCTATTTGATTAGGATTAAAAGGAAGGGGAAAAATAAAGACACAATTACATTAGACAATTCTATTTTGGTCCTAGAGTCCTCTTGGAACTTCCTTTATCTTGACCATAATCTATTTGATTAGTGGTTCCTAGGGGAAAACAAAGTAAACTCTAGGAATTTCCTCACTCTTACTCTGTTTTATCAACTGCTATCTCTTTCTATAATGCATGCCTTAAAATGAAATTGAAAACCCAGACAAGTGCATCATATAGATCTTATTAGTTTAGAATAAAAATGCTTTCCTGAATTTCATATTTAAATTATTTTTACCTATTTGTAGAATATGTATATTTTATCTGCAAATTATTTCAAATAGAAGATTGATTTCATATCTTCTTGAAATAGCTGTTATGAAATTGTTCTAATGGTTATTTCCTCAAAAGATGAAGCTTTTCCCCCCTCTCTTTAACAACTGAACACTTTTTTGTGCTTAAACCATCAAAACTTACAGGTCACCATCTTTATGTCTCACTCCTTAGGAAGAAAACCTGAGAGATTGTTCATCTAGCTAGATTTTAGGTCCCGTGTGCTAAGGAATTAGAATCACAATTGTTCCTCCTTGGGATTGTCCCATATCTGAAAGCCTGGTCAGCTCCTTACCAGTCATCTATTGCCCGTATAAGTGATAAGTGCCACAGAGGCTTAAAATTTAATTAGATGAGGCTGGGCATGGTGGTTCAAGCCTGTAATCCCAGCACTTTGGGAGGCCGAGGTGGGCGTATCACGAGGTCAGGAGATCGAGACCATCCTGGCTAACACGGTGAAACCCCGTCTCTACTAAAAATACAAAAAGAAATTAGGCGGGCGTGGTGGCAGGCGCCTGTAGTCCCAGCTACTCGGGAGGCTGAGGCAGGAGAATGGCGTGAACCCGGGAGGCGGAGCTTGCAGTGAGCCGAGATGGCGCCACCGCACTCCAGCCTGGGCGACAGAGCAAGACTCCGCCTCAAAAAAAAAAAATAATAATAATAATTAGATGAGGGCAGCAATTGCTTGCAAGTATTCTCCCATGGTTAGTCAGCTTGGTTAATCAGGGATTCCTTCCTGGCCATTTTTTTTTTTTTTTTTTTGAGACGGAGTCTCACTCTGTCGCCCAGGCTGGAGTGTGGTGGCGACATCTCGGCTCACTGCAAGCTCCGCCTCCCGGGTTCACGCCATTCTCCTGCCTCAGCCTCCCGAGTAGCTGGGACTACAGGCGCCCGCCTCCACGCCCGGCTAATTTCTTTTTGTATTTTTAGTAGAGACGGGGTTTCACCGTGTTAGCCAGGATGGTCTCGAACTCCCGACCTCGTGATCCGCCCGCCTCGGCCTCCCAAAGTGCTGGGATTACAGGCGCGAGCCACTGCGCCCGGCCTCCTTTAACAATGGAAATTAATAAACTGCTGCCTCCCTTTCTTCATAGACCTCGTCTCTCAGAATCAAATGGATTCTGTTACTAATATCATCTGCTCATTGATAAACTCCAAAGGGGTAGCTGTGAAATTCTCTTGGAAATGCTTGATAAAATGTCAACTTCCTCATAGGCGAGACTTGATACATTTTGAAAGGTGGATAGGTTCACCTAAATGAAGACTTGCTGGATTTGATATAATGACTATTCTTTTGTATTGCTAAGGAATTAAGTAAACTGTGGATTTCTTAGAGTCACAGATTTTATAGCTGGAAGAGACTCCAAAAGAACACCTTCAAGTCAACTAACTGCTTTGGGGCAGTGACGTAAAAGCAAGGGAGGAAAGGGTAATTATTTTGTTCAAGAAATGTAATCTAACAAGGGTGGAAGTGGTAGTTATTAAAATTATAAAAATGCTATAGCTTGAAAGAGCCCTCAAAGATCATGAAAAAATCTATCCCTGTCACTTAACAGATGATGACACTGGCCTCACAGATTCTACAACAAATCAAGAAGGGAAAGCAAATGGAGCTTGGCCCAGAATAGGTTTTCTCACTTCCAGTCTCCTACTCTTTCCAGCCTCTATGTAACAGTCATGGCTACCTCCTTGAGGGGTGGTCTAGTGAATCAGTGGTGCACTTGAGACCTGCAGTAAACCCATTGCCTTCAGAGACAAAGTGGACATAAGACACATCTTCCTGGACTGCCCCCTCCACCCTGCACTTTCATTCACATGATACATAAGTTATTCAGCCAAGAGTCACAGTTGTCTGGTGGAAAATGTTGCATTTCTCATTAGGAAAAATAATTCCTCCTGTCTTTTTTTTTTCCATTCATCTTTCTTCTATAATTCTTTTTCTGTCTTTTTATTCATCCCTCCTTTCCTGCTGTCTGATTTTCTAGCCGAGTATTTTCCACCAGACCTTGTCATCATTTGCCAAATGGCCTACACATATCTCTAAAAAAAAAATTTGGTGTCAGCCTTCTGAGTGGCGTTCCTAGTGTTGTATGTGTGTTTTGCTGGTTTTAGTACTGAAGAGGACTGCAGACTGTTGTTGAAAGAAGCTATTTCTCTTGACCACACTCCTTTCTGCTCTACTGTACTATATCGTTTCCTCTAGTTATTTCTCTGTTTTTCCTTGGCCCTACCCCTGCATTGTCCTGTTAGTAGTCTACACAATGAAAGTACATCTGAAAAGAAGAGAGCAGAGGGGAAAATGGGGAAAGAGAAAATATTGGTAGACCTAAGGTCAGGTTTCTAGCTGTATTAAAATAAAAGCCATTGAGCCTTTCATTTAATCTGATAAACCGTCATAGATATCTACTTTTTGATACTGTTTTTATGTCACTTACCCTCATGTGTGTTGTGCAAGACCTGGGTATGGGTTAGAGGAAGATGTTCCCCACCAGCTCTCTATCTTTCTGCCACTGCCCGTCTGCCACATTAATGAAACATTAGTACTGCAACCATTGCATTTTATGGATGGGAAAATAAAGCTCAAAAGAGAATCGAGTTGATCAAAGTAAATGCAATCAAATGGAAGATCCAGGATTAGAATCCAGGAACCTAGACTCCCTCCAAGTCCTATGACATTGCCATTGACCACTAGTTGTAAGATCCACACTAGAACAGGGTTCCTCCCATCAATGAGCTCACATCTAATATAGAGGATTTCAAATGGCGCATAATTATAACACAAGACCCATGGGGAAAATTGTCAACCATAATACCAGTTATAGGATTATTTTTATCGCACTCCCCATTATTCCATTAATGATAAAGTGACTTAACCCTAGGGACATTAACGATTTCAGCAAGTTTTACTTTTCTCTCTCTGAGCATCTTCCATGAATTCCTGTGAATAGAAGTGGCTGGATCAGCTTAATTATTTAGGTTCCTTCAGGTCTGTGATTGTGACATTGAGGCTGTCAAGAATATTGTTTATGGCAAGAATCCATGCATCAGGTAAATTAGATGCATGGGATTCTGTACAAAATTTTCTGTGTCTTTGAAACCTCATAAGAAAGAAAGAGTCACATTCAAGTGGGGAATAGGAAGACCAGAAACTGGTTTCATGGAGGAAGTGATGTTTAAAATCTTTTATTCTAGAGGGGCCAATGCTAGTTTCCAGATTGGGGTTTTGATACACAGATGAAAGCTACAGTGTCATTTCTATATATAGTATATTAAAATAGAGCCCCTTTGACTGATTTTTTTTAAAAAAGGCATTCTTTCTCCCCACCCTTTACCACCCTATCTTTCTGCAGCTGCACCCTGCCACATTAATGGAACACTAGTATTCCAGGCATCCCATTTTACAGATGGAAAATAAAGGCCAAAAGAGAATTGAGTGGCCCAAATTTTACAGCACTGTAAGAGAAGGACCAGGGTTAGAATCCAAGAACCCTGACTTCCATTCTGTGAAATGGCCGTTGACCACTATTTGTAAGGCCCCGGTGAAAACACAAGCTTAACGAAGTTAAAATGAAACACACAGCATGCCACTTGCATTATATGCCAAATGAAAGAGACCCTGAAATAAAAGCTGCAATCTTCTTATGCAATGTTATTCCTTGCACTACTGTTCTTCCTACTTCTGGGGAAAACTCAGAAATAAGAACCTGAGTCAATGCTGTTTCCCAGTTAGCTTAATGAAAATGAGTGAGGCAAAGGATCTTCTTTGGAAGGGAAGTAGAAGAATAGGAGCCAGAAAGAGGGAGATCCAAAACGTCAGAATTTCTAGAAGTGCAGGGCTATCAGAATGATCCTGCTGGAATTCATTATCTACAAATATTAGATTCAGTTTTTGAGCACATAACAGGAAACTTCTGGGGATTGCAGTTTAATTGTACTGGGACCCTGGAAAGGAATGGATAAAAGCAAAATATGTAATAAAATAAATGATTACAAAACAAAGAAACTTCTAACAAATCTGGAAGCACAGGAAATTTGAGCCAATTTTGACATATTCTTCTTGCTTGAATGCTAAATTTGTAAGTCTGCCAAAATCAATAGATTTGCACAGAGAAATTGACACATAATTAAGACTCTGGGCATAGAGAATTACCTTAAAACCAGATTTGGCTGTTTTTTAAAAATGAGCTCAAATTATAGTATCAAAGACTAATCCAGTAGACCATACAAATTATTTCTCCACTGAAGCATGTGCTATTTTAAAATAATATTTTCATATGAAATCCAGGATCAACAGTCAGCATTTGATTCTTATACATGCCATTTATAAATGCCGCCAGGGACAGAGACTTTCACAGTCAATCATTGTTTCTATAGGATTACCAAGGGCTCAGTTAAACAGTGGGGTTTGCAGGTTTTCAGGTCAATAAGCATTTCAGTCCGGGTTTCTCAGCCTTGGCTGATTGATATTCTGGGATGAATAATTCTTTGTTGTGGCAAGCTGTCCTGTGCATTTTAGGATGGCCAGCAACATTCCTGGCCTTTACCTGTTATATCAGTAGTAACACAGTCCACTCCCCTCCAAGCAGTGATAACAAAAAATGTCTCCATATATTGCAAAATGTCACTTGGAGGTCAAAATCACCCCAGATAGAAAAACACTGATTTAAACATTTAGCCATATTTAAGATGACTGGGCCAGGTGCGGTGGTTCATGTCTATAATCCCAGCACTTTGGGAGGCTGAGGAGCGTGGATCACCTGAGGTCAGGAGTCCGAGACCAGCCTGGCCAACATGGTGAAACCCCAACTCTACTAAAAATACAAGAATTAGCCAAGTGTGGTGGTGCATGCCTGTAATCCCAGCTACTAGGGAGGCTGAGGTGGGAGAATTGCTTGAACCTGGGAGGGAGAGGCTGCAGTGAGCTGAGATCACGCCACTGCATTCCAGCCTAGGCAATAGAGCGAGACCCTGTGTCAAAAAAAAAAAAAAAAAAAAAGACTGGGCATCAAGGTTAGATGGTTAGATAAGTACAGTTTATACTAGATTATACTAGAAGGCAGTTTGCCCACTGATGAATTATAATATTTATTAAAAAAGTTTGGCTGCAGCTAGATATCTTTTAGAGGAGAAATCTATTGGAAATAGAGCTTCTCTCTTCAAGATGCAAAGCACTTGGCTTATATCCCATATCTGGTTCTCCATAGCTACAGTAACTCAGCTTATGGAAAAGACCAGATAGTTTTCTCTACTGATTGTCCTAACATGATGAGACAGCTTGCTTTAACAATACAAACTAACACATCTTAGTTGTGAATTTCAAACTCCAGAATGACTATATTTCTCATTCACCTTGTAAAGTTCTCAAACCCAATTATTTATAAATAATCCACTGCAACCTGTACGTTTTCTTTGGGTTAGCTCTGTGTCACATCTATTCTTAGGAAGCAGCTTGACTGAAAACAAAAATGCCAACTCACAGAAGGCTGGGAAGTGGGGGAAATAAGAGGAGGTCAGGTGAAAGAAAAAATATTAGAGACAGAAAGAAAGAGAAAGGGAGGGAAGGAGGGAGCCAAAGACTGATACAGAAATAGAGGAAGAAGGATGACGAGATAATGAACAAAAATGAAGCAAAGGAAAGCCAAAAGCAATTAGATTGAAGTCTAAAGGTCTCAGGCATGAAAAGAGTCTCACGAAAGAAAAGTAGGATGTTTCCCACTCTGATATCTGTCTCACGAAAGAAAACTAGGATGTTTCCCACTCTGATATCTATGTTGTATAATTAGTAATTGGGAAGCAGATGTTTGTCTTTCTTCCACTCCGTATTGCCGTAAGGCCATATTCTATTGAGACACTTCTGCCTTGCTGAAGCCCAGAACAGCAGAGTTAATCAGCTTCTTCAGGAAAGAGAAGGAAGTAATTCCTCTGGCTAGAAATTCCACGTGTACAACACTGAATATTTACCAAATGACATAATTCCCCTCTAAAAAAACAAAAACAAACGAGAAAGATCTCAAACAAAAAATGCTAGCTAATAGTTTTCATTAAATTAAACTGTTTTCTCTATCAGCAATTTAAAAAAATACTGAGGCCTTTTAGATGTAACCTTCTTTTTTAAGGCCCTGGAGATATGAAGATGAGTAAGACACTCTTCCTATCTTCAAGTAAGTCACAGTCCATTGAAAAAAACAAATGTGTATATAGCTATAATATTAATTAACGTAATAAACAGAGGCACTCCTATGTGATTATGTAGTGTCAATTCAGAGATGTTTTGTATCAAAAAAGTGAAATTAAATATGGGAAAGAAAAAGTAAAGATTTACAGGCTGGGCATAGATTGGCCACACCTGGCCCAGTCATCTTAAATATGGCTAAATGTTTAAATCAGTGTTTTTCTATCTGGGGTGATTTTGACCTCCAAGTGACATTTTGCAATATATGGAGACATTTTTTGTTATCACTGCTTGGAGGGGAGTGGAATGTGTTACTACTGATATAACAGGTAAAGGCCAGGACTGTTGCTGGCCATCCTGAAATGCACAGCCTGTAAATAATCTCAGTGCTTTGGGAAGCTGAGGTGGGAGGATCACTTGAGCCCAGGAGTTTGAGGCTACAGTGAGCCATGATTGCACCACTGCACTATAGCCAGGGTGACAGAGCAAGACCATGTCTCAAAAAAGAAAAAAAAAATTATGGTGTGTGAAACCTGCCATTTAAAAAATACTGGTAATTTTTAGGCTGGGCACAATGCCTCATGCCTGTAATCCCAACACTTTGGGAGGTAGAGGCTGGAAGATTGCTTGAGTCCAGGAGTTCAAGACTGCCTGTGTAATATAATGGGAACCCTGTGTCTAAAAAAAAAAATAAGTAAAAATAAAATACTGGTAATTTTTAATACTTAGGAAAAAAGGAATAAAAAACAAAAAATACTATTGGAAACAGAGACAGTGAAAAATTTGGAGAATTAATTTAATCAATAGTACAGGCAGTTTTAAGAATAAATTTGACTAATCATAGTTTGTAAAAGAATCTGTACTATTCTGAGGCTTGAAAGAAATGTATGTATAGTAAGATATGAAACAATGCCTTTTAGGGAATTTTACTAATAGTTATAAAATCCATTACCCAAAGCTAAATGTAAGTGAATTGTAGCTTTAAAGATTTTTTAAGTTTGATAAGGGAAATGTTATTTTGCCATTTCAGGTTCCTTTGAAATTCTAGGTGAAGCTCAACCTTCCCTTTTACAGTTCTCCAAATTGTTCACCCTCTTTGTGTCTCAATTTCTATCTCTGTGAAAAGATAATAATAAAAACTGCTCAACTCATAGGGTTGATGAAAGGACAAAATGAGGAAATATTTGTGAAAGTCATTTATGAGGGATAGGATACATAAAATTAGGAGTGAGAAAATAGAGAAATTAAAATCCTTATTCGTAGACTAAATTATTCACACAAAAATGCTATGAAAGCGCAACAAGAAGAAAATCTTCTATTCACACAGCTGAAACACAGGTCAAAGAATCTCCCTATTTTATCGAGATAACTTGTTGAATTATTTTTTACCTCAATAGGTATAAATGTATATCCATCTATCATCTATCTATCATCCAAATATATATCAAGAAAGTCATTAAACTAATAACGAAAAATGTTTTGTGTATGTGCAGGAAGAATCAGACTAAATACTCATATAGAAAAAATTGTCAGCCTTTGAAGACCATCTTATATTATCTTCTTGATACATTTTGTTTTCAAAACAGATTTTGAAGAAACCTGAAATAGCAAAATGACATTTCCTTTAACAGACTTAAAAAGTCACTGAAATCAAACACTTGATCTTAGTTTTGAAGACAGTTATGTTCTATGACTATAGTTATTAGTGATAACAGATATTATTGACTATTACTGTGTACCCGGTATTATGCTAAAAGCTTTATGTAAATTTTCTCATCAAATTCTTTCAACAATCATGAGATCCAAACTCTAGTATATTCTTCATTTTTCAATAGGGATACTGAAGCCTGAAAGATTAAATAATGTGTCTGAGATTATACTGCTAGTAAGTAACAGAATCAGAATCTGCATCCAGATTTTTCTGATCACAAATCCTGAGTTGTCATCCACTTCTCATAGCTTGAGTTTTGACATCAAACAGGTATATAGTCAAAAAAAGTTCTGACATATCGGTTGTTTGAGACTGTATGAAACTTGTCTACGTGAATCAGAATTTTGTATCGGGAAAATGACAATAATCATACCTATTTTACAAGGTACTTGTGAGAAGTTAAAAAAAAAAAAGATTGTTCCTTGCCTCATAGTTTCTAGGCAGATGGTGAATTTCTAAGGGAATATAAAGGGCAAAAGAATATTTAGGCAAATATATCATGGTAAGTGGAGAAAATAATTACATCTATAACAGGTACAGAACACTAGGGGACATATAAAACAGGTGCTTGACCCATTCAATCTGAGTAACTGGCTTCACGTTCAACACTGCGCACTGTAGCACAGACTTACCTGCCTCTCCACCATCAAGATAAAACAAAAATCATCCTCTTAATGGAAATTCGAGGCTGTTCATTTGCTATGTTAAGAAATGTTCTTTTCTTTCTTCCCCATTAAATTCTCCCATTCTCTGATTTCACAATTTCCTTGAGATTGTGTCCTCTTCTTTGTATTTTTTTTAAATGGACTCTGTTCAAACACATTCCAAATCTTCTCTGTTTCATATTAATAGATAAAATCTCTTCCCACAGACACATCTTGGGAATTTTAAACCTCTTTAAGCCTCCTTCCTACCCTGATTTCTTGTACCCATGGGAGATGACTTAAGTTTGAGAATCAACAAACATTTCTTCATCATAGACACCAAAATGAAACTGCTTTTTGTTTAGCAGTCAGGTAAATGGGAGAGTAGCTCACAAAAAGTAGTAGAGGGTTACAAGTCTAGGAATCAAGCAATTTAATCTCTACACCCAGCTCTGTCATAAATGGCTTTCTCTAGTCCTTGGGGTTTGCATTTGGACTAGGGCAGCATTGGGCCAGTTACTTAATAAGAGCTCTTCTGCATCTGCCAGCTTGAGATGCTAAAATACTTTAGTGGATTGGTACAGCAAGCCAACAGTCTACCTGTGGAAACAGAAAACTGATGAGATTATAAAATAATGGAATATAAAATGCAATGGACATAAATTAGTTTAAAAGTTTACAGGAAAGGAATTACTTCCAGTGTATCTAATGCTGGTCCTCATCTTGGGGCAGTGAATCCCTTTAAAGTAAAACTTGAAAGGAAGTTACACAAATATTTAATTTAATGGTAATTTAAGAGGACAGAATAAACTAGGCAATGTTCAAGAGAGACAAAGAAGATAGATAAAAGGCTCAAAACCATATATGAGAAACAGCTGATATAGAGGATGAGTAAGCTAATGAAGAAAAGACAAGCAACAACAACAAAAAATCTCCTTTTGCAGTTTCAAAAAAGATTATCATTTGAGGCGATTGTTCCTGATCTTTATGGCACTGAAGAATTGAAGCACTAGGACCAAATAACAGAAATTACAGAAAACAAGATCTCGGCTCAAATGTGAAAGACTTTCCTCACACTATTCTGAGATCTAATAGGAAGCCCTAGAAGGTGTTCAAACGTGAGTCAAACAAATACCTAATGTAGAGGTTGTATTTAAGGTGCAAGCACCAGAGTGATGTTGAAATGAATGAGATTTAAAATATTTTCCAATCCAAAGTCTATAAGACTCCATGATTTTGTGAAATGAAAATTTCTCTTGTACTCACAGAAAGGATCATTAAAGTCTTTTTCATTGAAAAAGGCATACAGTTTTCTAGCTTCCTTTTGAATTCTAGTTAATGTATTTTAGGCCATGGTTGCCAGCCTACTCCCTATAAATAGTTACATAATGCAAAAAAGAAAAGAGGAAAAAACAGTACCAAGGCCCTAAGACACACATGCCAGAACACACATGCATGGAATATTTAGCAGTAATAATATCCACATGCATGATTGGCATCAGTCCTCTGATTTCCGACTCTTGTCTCCATGAGATGACATCTGAGATGGATTTAGTTGTGGTTACATAGTACCACTGGGGGTTTTAAGTTAAATTTATTACAACTGATCAGGACATCCGTGCTAGGAATTGAAAGTAGGTATGCTTCTCTGAGCGAATATATCGTGATATACTAAGTAAAAGCAATTTCATTTATAGAGGCTTTGCAATCCTATTCTGATTTGCTTCCTGTATGTACTGTCCAGAGGCCAATCTTTAAACCTGGTGGTGTTCTACACTGTAGTTCATTTCTCAAACTTTGATACTGTTAAAGAAATTTAAAGGGTATTAAAATATTAAATATTTTATAATAATATTTAAATAATCCCTTTATCCAGCTCCCTCCTCTTTGAAGTTCTTCCCTCACTCTCTAGTTGGGAGCGGGAGGAGTGCCCTGATACCATCACTGGAGTGGAGGGGAGTGGGTGGAAGTCCATGCTGTCTCGGACCAGCTGACATAAAGGTGAATTGAGCCGTGGTTTTTGCCCCATGCTGTTTGGCTGGAGTAGGATAGATATTATCACTAATATTTCTGTTCTGCTATGCCTAATCCTTTGACTAGAGAGAGCATGCTTTCTAAATGATCTTTGAATGATGATGATGATGAATATAATTTGGAATGGATATGATTTCAGATCTCTAGCAGAGTTTTGTTACCAATACTTTACCACAAAAAGCTACTGAAGGCAGGGTGCAGTGGCTCACTCCTGCAATTCCAGCACTTTGGGAAGCCGAGGCTGGCAGATCACTTGAGGTCATGAGTTCAAGACCAGCCTGGCCAACATAGTGAAGTCCCGTCTCTACTAAAAATACAAAAATTAGCCAGATGTGGTGGCGGGCACCTGTAATCCCAGCTACTTGGGAGGCTGAGGCACGAGAATCGGTTGAACCTGGGAGGCAGAGGTTGCAGTGAGCCGAGATCGCACCACTGCACCCCAGCCTAGGTGACAGAGCAAGACTTCATTGAAAAAAAAAAGCTACTGAAAAACTTTTCTAATGTTGAATAAAAATCTCTAAGTCAACTTTGTCACCACTACTAAATTAACCATAAGTCGGTGAACCGGATTGTGCTATAGTTCATGTCAAGTTGTTGAGTATTCTTTCCTACCTCTGCTTTAGAAGTATGGAAAAGTCCCAGTGCTCTTTCAGCCTTGCCACCAGCCTGCCCTTTCACTTGTTTATATGTCTGTAGATGAGCTCCTCTAGAACACTGTGATTTAACTCTTCATAAATAAATACAGATTTGATCATCCTGGTCCACTTTCCCAATAAGATAGTTAACAAAGGTTTACCTAATGTGTTATTTATGGAAAACCAATTTACACAGAGTTTGGAATAGGGAAAAAAAGTTTCTAAGTAATGATTTCTTTTCCTGTAACCCATTGTCCCAGATTAAGTCTGATAGTCTTATGATCAATACCTCCTAAATTCCAGATTATTGTGTGTGAATCTTTGACCTAAACATTTACATATGGCTGATAGTACTATTTGAGTCTTGCACGTGATGGAAACTCATGCTTGTTGAATTTGAATTGTCAGTTCTCCTAGGACATAGGTTTGTCCATATGATTTTACACAGTTATTTAGAAAACTAGCATACCTCAGAAATATTGCAGGTTTGGTTCCAGACCATTGCAATAAAGCAAGCCTCACAATTTTTATTTTTTGGTTTCCCAGTGCATATAAAATTTGTGTTTACATTATAATTTAGTCTGTTAAGTATGCAATAACATTATGTCTAAAAAACAATGTACATACCTTAATTTTAAAAAATACTTTATTGCTAAAAAGTATCTGAGCCTTCAGCAAGATACAGTCTTTTTGCTGGTGGACAGTCTTTCCTCAGTGTTGGTGGCTGCTGACTGATCAGGTTGGTGGTTACTGTAAATTGGAGTGACTGGCATTTAAAACAAAAACGAAAACAAAAAAACAAGAAAGTTTGCCCCATTAATTAACTCTTCCTTTTTTGAACACTTTCTCTGTAGCATACTGTGCTGTTTGATAGCATTTTACTCACAGTAAACTTCTTTCCAAAGTGGTCAATTCTCTCAAACCCTGCCACTGCTTTATCAACTAAGCTTATGTAATATTCTCAATCTTTTGTTGTCATTTCAACAGTGTTCACTGCATCTTCACCAGGAGTAGTTTCCACATCAAGAAACCACTTTTTTTGCTCATCCTTAAGAAGCAACTTTTTATCTGTTCGAGTTTTATTATAAGATTTCAGTAATTAACTAACATCTCAGGCTCCACTTTTTATTTTAGTTCTCTTGCTATTTCTACCACACTTCAGTTACTTTCTCCACTGAAATCTTGAATTCCTCGAAATCATCCATGAGAGTTGGAATCAACTTCTTCCAAACTTCTGTTAATGTTGAAATTTTGACCTTCTCCTTATGAATCACGAATGCTATTAATGACATCTAGAATGGTAAATCCTTTCCAGAAAGTTTTCAGTTTACTTTGCCCAGATCCACCAGAGGAATTACTATCTATGGCAGTCATAACCTTACAAGGTATATTTCTTAAATAATAAGACTTGAAAATCAAAGTTACTCCTCTATTACAGGCTGCTGAATGGATGTTATGTTAGTAAGCAGGAAAACGACGTTAATCTCTTTGTTCGCCTCCATCAGAGCTCTTGGGTGACTAGAAGCATTGTCAATTAGCAGTAATATTTTGAAATGAATCTTTTATTCTGAGCAGATAACAGTGGGCTTAAAATACTCAGTAAACCATACTGTAAACAGATATGATGTCATCCAGTCTTTGTTATTCTATTTATAGAGCAAAGGCATAGTAGATTTATCATAATTCTTAAGGGCCCTAGGATTTGGGGGATGGTAAATGAACATTGGCTTCAAGTTAAAGTCACCAGCTGGATTAGCTCTAACAATAGAGCCAGTCTGTCCTTTGAAGCTTTAACATCCGGCATTAACATTTTCTCTAGCTAAGAAAGTCCTATGTGACATCTTCCAAGAAGATGCTTTATCTACAATGAAAATTTGTTGTTTAGTGCAGCCACCTTTATTAATTACTTTAGCTAGATCTTCCGGATAACTTGTTGCAGCTTCCACATTAACGCTTGCTGCGTCATCTTGCACTTTCATGTTTATGAAGACGGCTTCTTTTTTTAGACCTCATGAACCAACTTCTGCTTGCTTCAGACTGTTTTTCTATAGCTTCCTCAGCTCTCTCAGCCTTCACAGAATTGAGGAGAGTTTGACTCTTGCCCTGAATTATGCTTTGGTCTTAAGGAATGTTGTGGCTGATTCGATTTTCTATCCAGACCACTAAAGCTTTCTCCATATCAGCAGTAAGGCTGTTTCACTTTCTTATCCATGTGTTCACTGTAGTAGCACTTTTAATTTCCTTCAATCGCTTTTTTTTTTTTTTTTTTTTTTTTTTGCGTTCATGATTTGGTGAACTGATGCAAGAAACCTAGCTTTTATTCTATTTTGGCTTTTGACCTGCCTTCCTCAGTAAACTTAATCATGTTTAGTTTTTGATTTAAAGTGAGAGATATGTGACTCTTAACTTGAACACTTAGAGCCATTGTGGGATTATTAATTGGCCTAATTTCAGTGTTGTTGTGTCTCAGGGGACAGGGAGGCCTGAGGACAGGGAGAGAGACAGGTGAATGGTGAGTTGATGAAGCCATCAGAACACACACAACATTTTTCTATTAAGTTTGCCATCTTATATGGGCATGGTTTGTGGGGCCCGAACCAGCTGCAATAGTAACATCAAAGATCAGTTATCACAGATCATCGTAACAGTAATGGTAGCTATGAAAAAGTTTAAAATATTGTGAGAATTACCAAAATGTAACGTTGAGACATGGGGTGAGCACATGCTGTTGGAAAAGTGGCACTGAAAGAAGTGGCCTGATGCAAGGTCGCCACAAACCTTCAATTTGTGAAAAACAATATCTGGAAAGTGCAATAAAATGAAGCACAATCAGAAGCGGTATGCCTGTATTTACATACTTCAAAAACACCATTTTCTGCACTTGATCATAGTTTTGTAAAGACAGACCTTTCATGATGATACCAACTTCATATGTCAGTTTGAGAATAATAGCATGAAATTGGGTGGAACATTTTGGAAACTGTATTAGAGTGAGGAATATAGAAAGTGTGGCTCTAGTTTTAATTATGTTACTAACTCTGTAGGGCTTTATAATAGTTAACCTTTTCTTGGCCTCAGAGTCTTCTTTTACAAAATGAGGTGATTGTAATATGTAATCTTGGAAGTCTCTGCCAGCTTCAATATATTTTAATATTTGGCAGAATATTTCCACTGATAAAAAAATTTATTAAATGCTACTAAACTATGAAACTCTCAGCAGTTGTTCACTCCTCATTTTAATAAATCCTAGTATCTTATCCTCAATACCAAAAATTGTGACATTTAGACATTAAGATAATAAGCTTAGGTAATATAAAATATTGAATACATTGCAGAGAAAAATGACCTTGGCAAGCCTTATGCAATCATAGAAGTGTTTTTTTTGGGGGGGGGGGCGGCGGGGGGGGCGGGGGACGGAGTTTTGCTCTTTGTCGCCCAGGCTGGAGTGCAATGGCGTGATCTTGGCTCACTGCAACCTCTGCCTCCCCAGTTCGAGCAATTCTCCTGCCTCAGCCTCCCAAGTAGCTGGGATTACAAGTGCCCACCACTGCACCTGGCTAATTTTTATATTTTTAGTAGAGATGGAATTTCACCATGTTGGGCCGGCTGGTCTCGAACTCCTGACCTCAGGTTATCCACCCACCTCGGCCTCCCAGAGTGCTGGGATTACAGGCATGAGCCACCATGTCCAGCCAGAAGTGGTATTTTATAGCAGTGTCAGGGTTCTGAAGAAATATTTTAGTTTTCATCACTCAATTCTACAATTAGCCTCAGTACCTCTTCCTCTTAGATAAAGGTATTGTACCTGCCACACAGTTCTGCAGACTCCGCTCTGAAATGGTGTAAACCAGTGGTTAACATTCAACTTTCTTCACAATTTTCCTTATTTTCCATAATGCTAAAAAAGATCAAGATATATATTGTTAATACCATCTTTTTTCTATGAATAAAGCAGTTTATAGATTGTCTTTCAGGTAAGACTTCTTATTAGAAATGTGCTTTTTTGCTGCACAAAAAAGGTCAGTTCTGTATCATTCTTTATTTCAGCCAACCTTGGTTCAACACATCCATGTTCTGATTTACACAATATTGTGAATTAAACCAGAGCAACAGAATCTTTCTTGCTATGTGATAAAGAAACAAGAAGTTTCTGCTGATAAAACCTTTATAAAGATATAAAGCTTTAGTGATAAAGAAAAAAGGAGTTATTCCACACTTTCCCCCTGCATATATACCCGTTGTCCAAGTGTAATTCTTCTCTCGTGGTTTGTCCGACTATAAAGCAATATCTGTTGTATCTAAACATGTGGTAGTAATTGTCTTTCCTCATTGTGTGTATTGTATTACATTATGTGATATCCTACAGCGTCATTTGAAAATGAAGTTTTGCCAGAAGTTTATTCTTCGTTCCACGCATAATTTGTTGTTCATGTTGAGGCATTTTTTACTAGCTTCTTGGCAATAATATTTAATGTAAGTATTTTTGCTGCAAGAAGTGAAACTTGACAAAATGTTTTTATTAGTTAAATTACTTTTAGATCTAGTATTTGTTATTATTCTTATATCTACTATTAAGCTTCAGTAAATCATGAAAGAACCCTTTTTCTTAAAAAAAAGCACAGCTATAGCAAAATACAGCAATGGCATTAAAACTGCAAATGTAATAAAAGTAAACAGCGTTGTATCAACAATATTAAGTTAGCAAGATCAAATAAACCTTGACAACTAAGTGGTATGTGACAGAAAATGCCTGGAAGAATCCAATGAAGAGCTTGTATGACCTTAAGAATGTCATAATTATTAAGAATATAATGGAATTGCTAAGAAAATCATAATTAAACTTGCATTTTAATTCTGCGAAATACACCTAAATCAAATCATTGTTAAGTCTGAAACTGTTGGTGGTCCGTGTAATAAATTATGAATGATCAATGTATTTTGAGAAACACTGATCTAGAGAAATAAACGAGACACTATTTTTTGATTTGGGGCAAGTTACTCAAAGTCTCTTTTGCCTCTGTTTTCTCATCCAGAAAGGAGGGGTAAGTGACAGTGGCATTGCGAGGATTTCATTAGTGAATACAAGTTAGGCACTTAGAATAGTAACAGCTTATTGTAAGCCCTAGTAAATAATAATTGTTATTGGTGCTATCATTATCATTTTTCTAATGGGCTATCTATCATCTATTATCCTGTCTCATTTATAGCAACTACGGAAAATTATGACTGTTGTCACTTTCAGACCTCATCTCTTAATTTTTAATTTTGTAGCACGAGATTAACCTATTGTCATTTGGAACCTAAACTGTACACAATCTGATTATAAAACAATAAGAGCGATTCCACAGATCCCTGCAAAAGTCATACATTTTTTGGAAACTTAGTTTCTCCTTCTGTAAAATGGGGGCTACTAATATTGATTATGGAACACGTATGCAATAAGGACTAAGGAAAGTATTTTGAAATGTTCAAGTTCTATACAAATGTAGTGTATACAAATGTATACATTTTACACGACTGTAATTTCTCATATGAGAATTTGCATCACCTAAAATTGTTTCATTTTTAAAAAATTACTTTTACCATATTCATAAAATGTTTTTTTATTTTTCACCACAGTAATTGCTTATTTTTACTTTAACAATGACAATATCCATACTAGCCATAAGGCTTAATGTGACCTAAAGTATTTTTCCAAATGCTATTGCGCTTACATAAATTAGACATGGATAGTGCAGACACAGAGAGCATATGTAGGGTTTTTTGGGGGGCCTTGAAAGGTTTAAGGCCTCTGACCTCCTTTAATACATTCCAGACTCATGCATGCCTTTATCCTGCGGGGGTGGGGCGTGGGGATGAAAGCTGCTGCTTAAAACAACACTTCCAGTAGGAATTGTTTGATAAGGCCAATGGTTAGAATATTTGCAGCTTCTTGTTTTGAATTCTTATGATAATATCCACTGCCAAAGATTATGTAGCAATCCAACAACAATAAAATAATTTTATTGTGGGTAATCCAACAACAATAAAAATTAGGTTTTCAAGTAAGACTTTGTAGATATGATACCTGAGGCAGAAAGAAAGAAGGGGAATATGTACCTGTGAGGGAGGTCTGAATTGGCCCCAGAGCACAGTATGTGGGGGCCTCATTGTTTTTCATGTCATAACAGGTGGAATCGTTTTGTTTTATTTTTCAGTCCACAGTCTGTTTGTTTGTAGGTATAAGTCAGTCTCTTATTGACTTCTTTATTGAACTATATATGAGGAACCAGCAACATTATTTCTGATTTTCAAATATATGGGAAGAATCAGTATTGGGGAAATCATAGCGGTTTTTTTGGTTGTTTGTTTGTTTTACTTTTAGTAATGCATCACATCTGTGAGAGTCAGTACTTGCATGATATGTTCCAGCACTCAGTTTCACATTGATTCTCCTTGCTTTTGAATGGTGAGAATTACAGTGAGAAGGAAGATAATCACCTCTCATGTTTGCATTATGCTCTGAAATTCATGCTCTGAAACTTCATCACACACGTCTTGCCTTCCTCACGAGAGCCCTGTGAGAAATCGGAGGTTTAATGGCTTGTCCATTCTCAAGTGTGGCAGAACTATGGCTCAGTAGAGAAGTTTCCTGACTCCAAGGCCAGTGCTCTTGCCAAAATGTCACAGTTGCTGTCTGTTCAGATTTGAAGTTCTTTGTAGACACAAAGCTACAAACTAATAAATTTCTCTTTCAAGGCTCTCATCTCTCATGACGCTGCTTTTATCTTTTCATAAAAAGATGTCTTTTCATGATGCTGTCTTTATCTTTTCTGATAGGTGGTATTTCCAAGCTGAAGAGATTGAAATTTAGCAATTCACCCCACTCTTTAATATATGGAGACCTTTTGGCCAAGTTGGGTGTCTGTGTTCATTGACCTATGATAGGCATGGAAGAAGGTGGGTGTGAGAATACTGTTTCCAGCCAGATGCTAACACAATTGCATGACTGAATGTGGGATTGCCCAAAAGCTTTTTTCATCTGAAGTGAAAGCTACATGCTTCTCTTTCTTTCTTAAGCGTTCTGAATGTATTAGTTCATTTTCACACTGCTATGTATGAACTACCTGAGACTGGGTCATTTATGAAGAAAAGAGGTGTAATTGACACAATTCCACAGGAAGCGTGAGGAGGCCTCAGGAAGCTTACAGTCATAGTGAAAGGCAAATGGGAAGCAAGCACGTGTTACCGTGGCAAAGCAGGAGAGAGAAAGTGAAGGAGGGAGTGCCACACACTTTTAAACCACTAGATCTTGTGAGAATTCACTCACTATCATGAGAACAGCAAGGGAGGAATCAGCCTCTGTGATCAAATCACCACCCACCAAGCCCCTTCTCCAGTTCAACATGAGATTTGGGCAGGGACACAAATCCAAACCGTATCACTGAATAATATTCCCAATTGTTCATTATTGTACTTAAAGGAAATGGCAGTTGTATGGGCCTAGGTCTATTTGTCAGGTTCTTGGCGTTTGTTTGTATTGTTTGTAAACATTCTGTTTGTGCTCTGTGTACACGCTGATGTGCAGTGTTGTATTTCATTCCCTAATCAGTTAAAGGACTACATGATTTTCAGAATCCAAGATAGGGCATCAAAAGAGATGGTTTACATTACACATGGGTTTTTGTTGTTGTTGTTGCCTTTTATGCTGTATTTACTTGCCTTTCACTTGAGTCGTAATGAGTTAGAATTACAGCCTGTTTTTGGCCGGGCGCGGTGGCTCAAGCCTGTAATCCCAGCACTTTGGGAGGCCGAGGTGGGCGAATCACGAGGTCAGGAGATCGAGACCATCCTGGCTAACATGGTGAAACCCCGTCTCTACCAAAAATACAAAAATAATTAGCCAGGCGTGGTGGCGGGCGCCTGTAGTCCCAGCTACTCGGGAGGCTGAGGCAGGAGAATGGCGTGAACCCGGGAGGCGGAGCTTGCAGTGAGCCGAGATCACGCCACTGCACTCCAGCCTGGGTGACAGAGCGAGACTCCGTTTTAAAGGAAAAAAAAAAAAAAAAGGAATCACAACTTGTTTTTGTTTTTTAATTTCCCTCTAAATTACATATCTTCATGGACTTAGCTCTCTCTTATTGTTGCTCACTGTGGAACCCAAGAGAAATTTGAAATTAAATTCTCCTTGTAAACTTTTGGATGAGGTTTTTTTGGTTTGCTTACATTGCAGAATTGTAAGCAAAATGTTGAACATTGTATAACTCTTCTTGGTGTAGATATAGGTTCATTGCTTAACATTTTGAGGTGATAATCCATATATATATATATATATATATATATATATATATATATATATATATGTTTTGAGACAATTTGTCTTTGAGACATGAGTCAGCTTCAAGTTCCTGTGTATAGGTGTGTAAATTTGGGTTAGATATTTAATGTCTGTAAGACTCGGTTTTGTCATCTGTAAAATGAACATAATAATAAGTCTCAGTTTTCATGTCTGTACAATGAGCAACTTCTAAAAGTGTTATAATAATTAAATAAGCTAATACATATAAAATTCTTAGATATGCCTGTCAAAACCTAAGAATAAAGCACATGTTCACTTTTCTGTGAAAACTAATGGAACTTACTTTGGGAAATACTGGCTCTATTCTTTTACTAAGTTTTCAAACTTGTGATATTGATTATATTTGGCCTGACTGTGGCAGAATTGTCTCGATACAATGACATAATCATGGATGATCAGTCAAAAAATCTGAATAATTGTTCTAGTCATTCCTTTTCTAGCTGCCTGACTTTGGACCAGTCATTTACACCTCTGAGTCTTGTTTCTTTTGTCTTCTAGTGAAGAAAAGTGGTCCTCTTCCTTTACAGGATGAACAGAAGGATGTTTCTCTGTATTGGCTGTGTTAGGTGTTTTGCGGATTACAAAGTACTATATATGTCTTTTTATTATCTCAGTTTTATCACTTCCTGTTTTGGGTTGGGCAGAATGTCAGAGAGACCCAGTACCCCACTGTTGTTGCTGTATTGTACTCAGGACATCAAGGCTATGAGCTTGAGTCAGCCTTTCCAAGGCCACCATTGTCCCAATGGTTATGGAGCTGTGCCTGGGTTCTGTGGAACCTGTAGGGAAAATGTGAATCAGTGGGCTGTTTTACTTGGCTGCTAAATTTGGTTCACTGTTTCATAAATCAGAACAAGTCTGTCTAGAATGGTTCTGGTTGCCATCAGCAACCAGGGTCATAGAATTCAAGGACATCAGATATGTAAGAGAAATGGAAAATAACTTTTCAAAGGAATGCCTTCTGCAAGAATCCCGAGGCTAGTTGAAATACTAAAGAAAGCTAAATAGAAACTATAACTTCAAGCTTGGAATTTCCTGCTTGTTACTTGGATGTTGTCATGAGGACTTGGTCCAAGATTTTGCTTTCCTGGGTGGAAGAAATAGTGTCAGTATTGGATTACTGATTAGTGTCTTTGCAATGTACAGAGCTCCATAGTTCCAGTCAGTAGAGCAGATGTTAATTTTCCAGAGAAACACATTCTCGATTCTGGTTTTACAGTGTATCAGATTGTCACCTATTGCTCTATATCAATGTTTGTGGAATTCTTAAAATTAATCAAAATTATTTTAGTTCATGCTAGCTACATAGCACCACTTTTTTATTCTTGGGAGCCAAGTTGATAATGGGAAAAGGATGTGAAATTTTTATCATGTAAAATGAAAACTAAATGACTTCATGAGAATTTTTCAGTGAGCCATTTAAACTTATAGCGTATAATCTTCAATTTTAATGAAATTTTCATTAATGATTAATGTGGTGAATTTTTCTAAAACTTACCAAAAAAGCCACCAGCATATTAATTATTTTCAGTGTATCTACTGCAAATCATTTTGACAACAATGTTAAACCAAACCCAAAACAAAGCAAACAAACACTGTAAATAGTAGCAATCACTTTTTTTCTTCCACTCAGTCACATTTTCAGCAGTGCCATCTACTCTCTCTCTTCTCCATCCTGGACACCTTTGATGACTTCAGTTTCTGAAGATGACTTGTGGTTCATCACGATCCTTCCTTTTTATCCACTCTCCAGCTACCAATGCCTGTGAGTTCAACAACCGTGAGGACACTGCCTTAATAATTTTCCTTTAATTTTCTCAGATTTCTTTATCTGATTTCACCCTTTCTAGCTATCCAGCAGAACTTTCCTCTATGGCCTTCGTTCCTCTTTCCCTTTCTCTCCAGACCAACCCCCAACTCATGGCCAACCTCTTTAGCTAGTCACGTGTATAGAAGGGTAGGGCCATTTGCATTGCAATAAGGATTGATGATCATTCTTTTCCTCAACTGTCTGTCTTGTCAAGCTTTACAGCACTCCACCACTGTTCACTGAGCACTGCAGACAAATGACACAGAGCTATGTCTCTGCCGTCTACTATGTATTCGCACTGCATGATCACAACTAAGGTTTTAGAGTTGTTTATCAATTTTCTATTATCGTTGCTTAGTATTATTTCTTAGAATTGATGTCAGAATTATTTCTACTTCTCAAACTGTGTCCCTTCATTCTTTTCATGATTTTATCTCCCACACTACTAAGGAAAGCTCTAATAAAGGGAGGAATTTTGGGTGGTGAATTGGAGTAGGAGAAGAGAGATCACATGTATGAGACACTAAGCAGGTGAAATTAATAGGTGTTTGTATCATTTTTGGGGGGGATTAGAAAGTAAAGGAAGGGGATCAGAATTGACTCGGAGATTTAAAGCCTGGGTGATTGATGGATTGTGGTTCTATGAGCAAAAACAAGAACTACAGGAGCGGATGTAGAATAGGAAGGAAGGATATTATTTTCCTTTGCCCCTTCTTTTCCTCTTTGTCTTTTTAAAAGTCTCATTATCTTTGCTTAATTGCCTTAAATAAAATATAAAAATTTACTGCTTGAAATGAATGAGCTTTCAAAATAAAAGGGCACATACCAGTAAGACTGAAAAGAGTTCAGATCCCAGCTTCCCGAAAGAATAATCCTCTTAATAAGGCAGCTGTAAGCTCTCTAATGCTGGATAACTAGAACAGCACTCTGCCTTTGGAAAAATGCCATAAGTCCCTTGCACTTTTCCTTATTTTTAAAGATAGCCATGTAAGCAAGATGTAGCTCCTAATGAGAGTATTTTCTAGACTTCGTTCCTTGCCTTAAGCACTAGCTATTTTGCTAAGCAACTGTCTTCTTGGAGGGTTTTGCTTTTTAGCAAACCAAAGATTGACAAAGTTGGTGAGGAAGTGACTCATGGCATTGGGGTTATTTTAGTATAAACTACTTGCCCTGAGTACATGGCCCTTTTATACTATTTCAGCTGAAGTATTTCTCCTTTGATAGAAATATAGAGTTGCTAAGACCAACTGGATTTTTTTTTTTTTTTGACGGAGTCTCGTTCCATCGCCCAGGCTGGAGTACAGTGGTGCAATCTCAGCTCACTGCAATCTCTGCCTCCTGGGATCAAGCCATTCTCCTACCTCAGCCTCTCAAGTAGCTGGGACTACAGGTGTCCACCACCATGTCCGGGTAATTTTTGTATTTTTAGTGGAGACGGGGTTTCACCATGTTGACCAGGCTGATCTCAAACTCCTGACCTCAGGTGATCCACCCACCTCGGCCTCCCAAAGTGCTGGGATTATAGGCGTGAGCCACTGCGCATGGCTGGAAAACATTTTTACATGTAAGACATGGCCCCACTTATTTAATGCACATCAGTAAAACCTAGTTCCACGTTGTTCCTATTCTAATACATCAGGTTATGCTCTCTCTTCCCTTTCTTTAATATCTCAGCCTCTTTGCATGTAACATTTCCTACTTCACAGAGAATGTCAAAACAAAACAAAAGAAACAAATATGGCATCTCCAACATCTCTTTGCTTTCACACTGTCAGAATACTGTTTTCCTCTGCCAGCCTATGTACTCTTTAAAAAGCCTCATTTGCCATCATTCTTTTCAGAATTATCAGGTACTCTATTTGTTAAGGATCTGGCTTGTGCCATCTTTCCTTTGAAACTTATATTGATTGGTATTTATAAAGAAAACTTTCTAGTACAATATATATAAGCAAATAGCCATTTACAGACATTAAGATGTAATCACCTGTCCTAAATTGATATTGTAGTAACACTTCCTTTCTTTTCTTAGTAATAATGGGAAATAGGGGCATCCTATTATATCATTTCATTAACTATGAATTATGCAGAAGTGTAAAGTTGAGAGTGTATAGTCATTAAAAGAAGTTACTGTTAAGGTAACAAATGTGTCCACTTCGTGTTTCCATATGGCAATCATGACTCTTAGAACCACTTCCATCAATCTGAATGCTTTATATCAGACCAGAAAGCATTTAGCAAATTTGAGCTTAATGCTGTACCTTGGTAAACACAATCCAGAAGCTAAAATGGTCTCCACAAATCCAAATCAATACTAAAAGCCAACACATAATTTTTGGATTACTTGGCTTTTGATTTTTTGTGGCTGAAATTCCTCTTCACTTGCACAATAAAAAACTAGCTTTGATATTTATTTTATTTATAGAACAAACATTATATTCCAAATAAGACTGAATACCTGTGTTGGCAGGTAGAAAGAAGCACAGTCATACCTTATTTGTTCATAGTTTTGAGAGATGGCAGGCGGAATAAAAAAATAATACATGAGAAGGCTATGATAGTATTGATGAGGGAGTAGGTAACTGAGTGAATGAAGGAAACTTCTGTGAGAAATTGACACTGAAGTTACGTCTTGCAAAGGAGTAAAACATTCCACACAGAGGAAATGGGGTGGGGCTCTCCAAGAAAAAGGAATAATGTGTATAAAGACTTGGTAGTGTTCAAGTGCCTGGTGAAGAATTCTACTAGGTTTACAGTTTGTTTTCTAAGGTAATAGGTGGTAAATTTTTTTTTTTTTTGAGTCAGAGTCTTGCTCTGTCACCCAGGCTGGAGTGCAGTGGCACAATCTGGGCTCACTGCAAGCTCCGCCTCCCAGCTTCACACCATTCTCCTGCCTCAGCCTCCCGAGTAGCTGGGACTACAGGTGCCCGCCACCATGCCCAGCTAATTTTTTGTATTTTTAGTAGAGACGGGGTTTCACCATGTTAGCCAGGATGATCTCGATCTCCTGACCTCGTGATCCACCCGCCTCAGCCTCCCAAAGTGCTGGGATTACAGGCGTGAGCCACCGTGCGCGGCCAATAGGTGGTAAATATTTTTTGAGTCTAAAATATGCTCAGTGAGAACTGTGAAAAATATGTCCATAAAATGTTTATTTACCTTTCTGTACAGATTAATATTTTGTTTTCAGTAAGCATTTTACTCAGCATATTTTTTAGTGCCTTTGATCCGGTATACTCCACAAGGAAAAGGAGAAATGGAAAAAAATAAAAACGAATGATATCTTCTAAAGAAATTTCCAATCTATTTGGGGATGTAGCCATGTTTATTTAGTTAAGAAGCATGTTTGACCTGATGCATAATGAGAAATGGAAAGGGTCTGTTGGGGCACAGAGGAAGGAGCAATTCTGAAGGCTGGCAGGCAAAGCCCAAATAAATCTACCTACAGAGAAGATTCATTGACTTCGGTCTTTGTGCTTCATGACACAGACACCAAACCACAAGTTCTTTACCTCACTGACCACTGAGACTCTGCCAGACCCAGGAAGCCTCCCCAACAAACGTCCCCATTCATCATTTCTTCACCCTGTGACTAAAATGTGATGTGGTGTCAGGCATTACTAGCTAAATATGGGATCAAAAACCCCAATTGCACCACGGTGGTAGCCTTGTGGTATGCAAGTCTTTTTAAACAGGCCCCACAGATTGGACACCCATCTTGTCCTACCCATATTATTATGACTCCATGGGTTTGGAAAGTCCGGCATGACAACCAGCACTTGTTTCCAAGTTTCTGACATACTTGCCCTCCCATGTCTCAGATGCCCATGACTTATTCCTATAAATGCTACATCCCTTTACTGACAAAATACAGAAAGAGGGGAGGTGGAGAATGAGGCATAAGGTATGTGTGACCACCCTCTAGAGTCAGGACAGAACATCCGTCCAGTCCTCCTGTTGGGAGGGCGGGAACAGAAGGTCACAAGGAAGGAGACATTAAGGTGTTTTTTAATGAGCTAGTCTCTGGACATGTATGCCCATCCTCTGTTGCCCTTGTTTCAAACAACTACTTTGGAATTTTTGGTGAAATTTCAACATCTGATTTAACAATGAATTTTCTTTCTCTTTTTTTATTATACTTTAAGTTGTAGCGTACATGTGCACAACGTGCAGGTTTGTTACATATGTATACATGTGCTATGTTGGTGTGCTGCACCCATTAACTCGTCATTTACATTAGGTGTATCTCCTAATGCTATCCCTCCCCGCTTCCCCCGCCCCACGACAGGCCCCGGTGTGTGATGTTCCTCACTCTGTGTCCAAGTGTTCTCATTAACAATGAATTTTCAACATCTGATTCACTCATTTGGAAACTTCCTTAGTCACTTGGCATGAATGCTGGCCCTAGGAGATAAGATAAAGGGCTAGAGAATATGGTGTCAGTGTGGAGCTCCCAATATCTGCCTGGGGACACCACGGGGGCCATGGCGAAGACTTCTGACAAAACTGGGTCTATTTCTTGTTCCCTCTGGTTTTCACACACTTTAAGTACTTAGGGTGGTGTAAGTGTGGGAGAGTTAAAGTGTGCTATAGGTAGGGGTCGAACACGCTATATTCCAAAGGTAGAGGGAGTTTGGTCATTTATGAACATCTGCAGGTATTGCAGGAACTGTTTTCAAGGCTGTAGTATATATAAAAATGCTACATAAAATTTTTCATTTTAATCAGAATTAATCTCATTAAGTTTCTTACTTTTTTAAAAAATGAGAAAATCAAGTACAAGGGTCATTCTTTTCAATCTTTGACATTCTCACAAGCCCGTAACTATTATTCTGGGAAGAAAAACCTATACCCATTTGCCCTCCTTCTGATCTGGTCTCTGTTAATGTTCTATTAATTTTGACCCTAATAATTCAGTTATCAAGTACCATCCAAGAGCAGAATATGATAACAGAGTCAAATTTTATCCTTCCCTTCCCAATTATGACTAATTTTGGTAACAACCTAAATACAAGAGAGATCTATGTGTTTTCTTTATACATCAGTGTAGTGAAAGGGAACACAGGCTTACCTTGTTTGCATTTACCACTTTCCAAATTAACAAAGAAATATAGAATCATTGAGCTTAATGAATAACCTGCCTTCTCTCCCTAGACATCTAAGAATGTGTCCAGTTAAGGTTTTTCACTTAATATTGCCAAGGGAATTATCCCATAGCATGCTTATCCAGATGTATTGTACATAATAATATTCTGAGGAAATAATATTTTAGGGATTTAGTTTTTTTAAATGATGTGTTCATTTTAAGAACCTAAGAAAGAACTCCTTTAAAAATGGCTTTAAATTTTTTTATTATCATCAATGAGACTTTAGATCTATTGAAATAAAGATTATTTCCATGTGTTTCATATGAAATTTTATGTTTGGTCTCTGTTGCGCTTACCTTGAGTAAAGCCAAATTGAAAACTAGCACATTAAGTTTTGATAAGAAAACTTGCACAACAGAACTCGTGTTGAGAGGGCAGAAAGTAATCACTTTCAGGAACTTGTTGAACACTTGGACCAATTCCTTTATTTCCAATATTTGTTAATGTGTGATATATAATAAGGCATCTTTGAGATCATTTAGCTGTGAAAACACAGATGATCAGGTCTGCTTTTAACTTACAGTAAGCCAGAACAATTTTTGTTTTGAAGTCTTCCTTCTTCCACTTTTGCTTACTTTTTCCCACTCCTCTCCTACCCTCTCCTACCCAAGAATCATTACCAGAAACAAAACTAACAAAAACCCACAAAAATTGGGATCATTATGGAATTTTATAGATCTGAATTTAGAAATACTGATCGTATTCAAATACTGACTTCCCATAATGCATTTAGATATTTAAGTTATAAAGAAGAGCCAAATAAATGGATGACATTGCCTTTTCTTGATGGTTTTTTTTTTTTTTTTTTTTGAGATGTAGTCTTGCTCTGTCGCCCAGGCTGGAGTGCAGTGGTGTGATCTCGGCTCACTGCAAGCTCCGCCTCCCAGGTTCACGCCATTCTCCTGCCTCAGCCTTCGGAGTAGCTGGGACTACAGGCGCCCGCCACCACACCCAGCTAATTTCTTTTTTTTTTGTATTTTTAGTAGAGATGGGGTTTCACTCTGTTAGCCAGGATGGTCTCGATCTCCTGACCTTGTGATTTGCCCTCCTCGGCCTCCCAAAGTGCTGGGATTACAGGCGTGAGCCACCGCACCCGGCCTCTTGATGGTATTTTATTAAAGCAGATGATACAGATGTATAAACAGCAGTGATAGAATTTGAAAAGTATTTTTATAGAGTTAAATTCGGTGTGGTATAAAATATGCAGAGTAAGAATTTGTTCTACCTGGTAGTATTTGTAAGGCTAATTTAATTTAGTCTAGGGAGATGAATAGGAGTTCGCTGGATTTTCAAAGTGGAGAAAATAGCATGGATTTTCATAAAGGGATTGTAGACTTAATTACTACTGCTCTTATGTGTAAATAAGTTAAAGCTTATGCTCCACATCAGATCAAGTCTTCCTCTCAAGTTCCCATCTTAGGCTGGGCTATGGAGAAGAATTTTAAATTGCCAATCTGTCCCCTTCTGGTTTTGTTTGTTTAAATGGTGCAATCTTTTGGGGAAAATACTTGGTCTTTCAGATTTCTTCTCTCTTCTCAATGCCCCTTTCCAACACAATGCCTGGATATTTGAGAGGCTTTGTGTGACTTCTTGGTAGCAGAGAGTATGGTTCTTTCAGATCTTCATGGAGTCCCCTGGATGCTGGTCTGGTTGAGTCCCTGGGCTAGCACTAACTGAGGTATGGTGTGTCCCACTTGACCTTTAAGGGAGAATTTGGATTCATGATTTCCCTAGTCCTAACCATTTGTGAAATTGAGAAATCTGTATGCTGAAACTCTAACACAGAACCTCACGCCTATGCACATCCATGATCTAATCAATTCTGAGGCTTCTTCTGCACAAGCAGGAGTTCTGATTCTTACTCAGCTATATGCAGGGTAAGGAATCCAGCAGAACTGCTGCAGGTTGGGAATTAGAGAGATGAGCTGGGCATCTGGAGGTCAGCAACTACCCCCGGGAAACACTCAGAGAAGCAGACACCTCATGCTGTGGCACTCTCTTTTGTAAGTATCTGTTTCTTTCTACAGAGGTTTCACTCTGAGCTGTCAATCTTTGTTATGCAGTTAGAGGGTATTCAGTGATAGCCCTTAAGAGACTCCAAGTGAGAGACAGTGAGGTTCTAAAATAGGTTCTAAAATAGGATAGTGGCTTTGGGGAATAAAAAAAGACAGTGAGTCCCAGATGTATTAGGAAGATTAGAATCAAACAGATTTAGTTTGAATTTTGGGGATGAGTAGATGACCTCAACATTTGTTGCTTGGGTCATGGGGTAGCTAATGATACCATCAAGCAAAGTAATGGGTTTGGGGGAGAATTTACTGAGGGCAGTTTTGGTAATGAAGAATAATCTTTATTTAAATCTTTTAGTAAATTTTGCTGCACCCAATGGAATATTCCCATCTCTCTTTACCTGTCCAGTGAAATGTGTTACTGTAAAAATTCAAGAATTAGACCATTACATACTATTAATTTTGTAAAATTACTAGGGATATATACAAGGATGGGTTTTTAGGTTTGAGACCCAACTAAGGTAAAGAGAATATTATCAACAAAGTAAAATAATGCCATGATTTTTTGATCTATATTAATGAATAGAGGGATAATTAATAAATATATTAAATATGCCAATAACTCAAAAGTCACTTTTGTACATAAATATTAGTATTTTCTGTCTCTAGGTTTTCTAATCTGTCTCAAACAAAGGGTTAGAAGTAGTTGTTATTGAGCAATGAAAAATAAGCTACAAAAGGGAAAACTGTGTAGTCAGTTCCAGTAGGAACAACAATTTTAAAGAGTTATTTATTTACAAGGAAGGAGCATATTAATCGATCAGACTGTGTGGAGCTGCAAATGCTTAGATAATTTGTGCAAGCACATGTCAAGCAATTGGGAAATCGATCCTTTTCCTGCTTTGGCAACATTTCTATTCTCCATTCAGAAGTTTATATATTTAATCACATGTATCCAGAGACTTTTAATTAGGGGTAAGCTACCTTTGAGTATGTCTGTATCAATAAACAGAAATGTCATAATTTTGACCTTCTTAGTTAACATCACACTTACACTAAAAATTCAGTAAAAACAGCAGACATCACCAATGGCTGCGTCATTAATGTTGTGCCAACAAACAACATTGGGTTCTAGCTCCTTCTTCTTTCTCTGATTTATTATGCCCCCAAGCAAAAGTCATGATTTTTCTCTGTGCTTTGGTTGAGAAATTCTCATCCCACAGATGAGAATTTCACCAGAAGCAACACGAGAATAATTCAACGTCTGCTCCCCAAGCAAAGAACCTTAGGCCCAGGCAGCACATCCCCTGTAATTCTGTATTTGAGATGAACACCATCTTAAATTTTTATCTGAAAGCTTTATAGTTAGTTTTCTTTCTTTCTTTTTTTTTTTTGTTTGTTTCTCTTAGCTCTCGACAAAAACTGGGTAAAAGGAATTACCCTTAGGTACAGAGCTATGAACTATGTACATACTATCTTACACCAGAAAACACCTACTGAGCGAGGTATTAAGTCTGTTCCACAGGTTGTAGAGACTGTGGCTAAAACAAAACCTCAGTTCAGAAAAGTTGTACTAAGGTCTGTGTTAACCCTAAACTTGTATACTTTGCATTGTTTCATATTACTTCATTATAGGAGAAATAAAGAAATGGAATAAAGGCATTTCGCAGAGTTGGTTTATTTTTATACAATAATATTTTATTCTTCATTAATATTGATAAGATTTTAAAAATGCAAAAACCACTTGCCAGAGTAACAATTTCAGATTCAGCACCTGTGATTATTAATTTATTATTAAGTCTGCAGCATCACAGCTTTTACAATATCCACACCTACCTTTTAAATGTGCGTTTAGGTCTTGGAAGTAACGTGAGCTAAGACTAAAGGTATGTCTTCTGGCCAAGAGATGGAGAAAATTAATACAACTTTCTGAAGAAAATAAGATACAAAATAATGCTATTAGTGTGCTACTTAAAATTATGGCAAAAGTTTGTGAAATCATCAGATTAATTGTCATCCTTATTTTCTTCTTTAGCGGAGACCATTTATTTATGTCATCCTCCTATTCTGAAGGTTGTTAGCTGCAAACATGTTGAAGAGGTTTTGGCATAGTGTAAAGGAAGTGAATGGTGAGAAATTATTCGGGAAATTCTTGCTCTATATGCAATATACATAATCAGCTCATTTGAGTCCTAACTTGATGTGTAGATTCAGGTCCTTTCTCGGCTTTTTAATAGCTGCTTGACCTTGGCTAAGTCACTGAGGGAATATGCCACCATTTAAATCATCTTCTTACTGAGAATCCAAGTTGCTATAAGAAATATCTTTTGATTTGATGACTTTTTTAAAAAACATAATGAGAATGGAGTACATTAGGTACTTAGACTCTTAACCTAGAAGAATGTTATTAAAATGAAAACATCCACGTACCCTTTTAAAAATCCAGCCAAGCTTGTGGTTATTGTTCGTTCACTTTTAAACAAACATTACTCTGTCAGACACAACTACAGCCCCCATGGGAGCCACCAGGGAGGGTTCTGTTGTCTCATGTAGCCGAGAGTGGCTCTCAGGTCCAGTTGGCAAAAGGGAGAGAAAAAAGGTTTGATGTTAATCTGAAATGTCTCTGAGAGGCCATACATGATTTGAGAATGGATTAAATATCAATGGGTGACTAGGGGATTCTTATACTCAGTTAATTTTAGAAAGAACTTTTATTTAGAGCTGCCTTTATGCCTGTGATGGGGCGGGATACACCACAATTACACATTTTCAGAAGGGTGGATCCTTTGATGACAGATGTAATTTCTACCCCCTTATTTCTCCCCAGTTAAAAGATTGCCAGTTAAAAATCCTTTGAAAATGGTTTGATCCTTTTCATACATGCAAATTTTTTTCCAGTCTTTAGGAAATTTATATAGGCTGTAGTTTTTAGCCAAAAAGCACACACCAGGAGTTGAGTCTTTTCCTTATCCAAAATAGAAAGGGTGTGGATTTTCCTTCTTTGATGTGGATAAGGCACAACTTCTTCTCTAACACTTCTGATGGCTGTGGTGTTTCCTCTTTGTTAGAAATCCACTGTGAACATCCCATCCCTTCTGCAGGTCTTTCCCGTAAAATAAGATGTTTTGCATTTTTCAGACCATATGTCTTCTTGGTAAGTTAGGCTAAAGAGGCAAAAAAGGCAAGTTATTTTCATGATTGTGTTTTCAAGACTTTAGAAAATTAATTTTATCATAAGAGAAAGACCTGGACACCATTATGAGCTGCTTGGTTGTGAGAATTTGATGACCTTAGGTAAATGCAGATAAGCTGCATGATCCTCTGCATTATGGGATCCTGATTATGTGTACATATTTATTCACCTAATCTTGGAGTATTATGTTCCTTTGTCAAATCATGAGTATGATATAATTTTATTTTTGTTTATAAATATAGGTATACAATCTCTCTAAAGTGATTCTTCATTTTCTTTTACTGTTCATATTAATGGTAAACACAAGGTAATTATATTCTTCCCACTTGATTAAGTAACAAGAAGAAAACATTAAAAAAAACCCACCTCTGTTGTCTACAGCATTGGCTCTCAATACTCTATGCAAAGCATTCTGCTAAGCTCATCACCTTCACAAATTCATTTATTCCTGTTAAGAATCCTAAGGTTGAAAATACAGTTCAATAAAGGGAATAAATTTCAGTATTCAATAGTATGGTAGGGAGACTATAGTTAGTAATAATGTATTGTATATTTCAGTGTAGCTAGAAGAGAGGAATGGTAGTGTTCCTAGCACAAATAACAGATAAATGTTTGAGTTGGAGGCTATCCCAATTACCCTGACTTGATTGTTCTACCTTGTACATATATCAAAATATCATATGTACCTTCAAACTATGTACAACTATGATATATCAATTTAAAACAAGAATCTTTGGGTGGGCATTATTATTAGTCTTTTTTTATAGATGAGGAAACCAAGACTACCTTGTATGTTTTCACACAAGTAGAAGGCAAACTCAGGACTTGCATCCAGGTTCGCCTCAAGCTAAGGTCAATGTTTGTTGTTTTGTTGTTGTTTGTTTTGTTTTGTTTTTGAGGCAGAATGTTGTTCTGTCACTCAGGCTGGAGTGCAGAGGCGTGATCTCAGCTCACTGCAACTTCCGTCTACCGGGTTCAGGTGATTCTCCTGCCTCAGCCTCCTGAGTAGCTGGGATTACAGACACTCACCACCAAGCCCAGCTAATTTTTATATCTTTAGTAGAGATGCAGTTTCACCCTGTTAGCCAGACTGGTCACGAAAACTCCTGATCTCAAGTGATCTGCCCACTTTGGCCTCCTAAAGTGCTAGGATTACAGGCGTGACCCATTGTGCCCGGCCACAAGCTAAGGCCATTGTTTTAACCATGTTTAGCATGTACAGCTGAATGCCTTAAGTTTGATGTCTCAGAAAGCCTTAGCTGTTCAGCACATTTTTATACTTCATAAATTATAATTTTGCCAAAATGAGTGGCTGGGTATCATCCTACAGCCCCAGCCCTATGATTGACTCTTCAACTTGTCTGCATTTCATATTATAACTTAGTTTGTATTCTAAAATAGAAGTGGTTGAATTCATCATTCAAGGGTTTTGAGGAAGTTAATGCATGCAAAACAGTAATATGCAGGGCTAGCATGGAAACAATGCTGGCATCTGTCTCTTAGTGCCTCTCCTCCAGACTGGAACGGTAGTCACTTGTCACTAGTCACTTTGTCTCTCAGGCCTGAAGAGGAGAAAGTGGCGACACTAGATGGTAGTACACTTTTAGAAATCAGACTCATTTTCTTGAAACAATTTGAAGGCCCTTTCTCTTTTTTCCAAATCATTCTTTTTTCTTTCCATTTATATTCATTTTATTATTGTAAAGATACACTACATACATACAATTCAATTTGGAAAGCCTTTTTAAAAATAATCCACTTACTTTAGGGTTGATGGTAACATGAAGCTACCTTGTTTTTGCCCTTAATTATATACCAAAGTAAGAAAAATAATTCAGATAAGAAAGTCTTAAAGACTTCTATCTCTTTAAGTGCCTCATACTATAATCTCTATTTTATTTCTAGGCTTCCATGTGTCAAACTACCTTGCCTACACAAACGAACCATAATAATAAATATCACAGAACACATAAAATCTTTAGAGTTTACAGATTGATACATATTCATAATTTTATTTGATAATTTCTTTAGTTCTATGTAAAAGACAGGAATACTTCTGCTTTTTCTATTATACAGTTGGAGACACTAACAAAGAGAAGAGCCAAGGGTTTGCTCAGAGTATCTGTAAGCGTTAGATATTCTGAGTGTGACTATCAGCCAGAGCTGTTCACATAAACATGGTAATCTAAGCTCTGAACTTCTTTGGAAGTAAATTATTGTCTGTGACAGAAAGAAAGAGCAGCATATTTCTTTTTATTTAATTATGAGGTTCTGGAGGGTTTCTGTGAATTCAAGAGATGGGAAAGTCATTATTTTTATTTCATTCTCTTTCATGTCTCCACTACAGATGTTGCCATATGTTTTTCTTTTGTTTGTTATGTTTTTATGGTTTGCCTCTCAAATTTACAGACACCATCTACAGTTGGGGTTAGAAAAAATGCTCAAATCTCAGCTGGGCGCGGTGGCTCACACCTGTAATCCCAGCACTTTGGGAGGCCGAGGCAGGAGGATCACCTGAGGTCGGGAGTTCGAGACTAGCCTGACCAACATGGAAAAACCCTGTCTTTACTAAAAATACAAAAAATTAACTGGGCGTGGTGTTGCATGCCTGTAATCCCAGCTACTCGGGAGGCTGAAGCAGGAGAATCACTTGCACCTGGGAGGCAGAGGTTGCGGTGAGCCAAGGTCACGACATTGCACTCCACCAGCCTGGCCAACAAGAGCAAAATTCTGTCTCAAAAAAAAGGAAAAGAAAAAGAAAAAAGCACTCAAATTTAATTCTCTCCCGGCTATGCCAACATGATCAGATGTTGTGTGGCCAAAACTCTTACTATGGCACTCAAGGTCCTTCATACACTAAAGCCTGGCTTACTCTGTAGCCTCAGTGCCCTCTGCTATGCCCGTATCTTGTTATCCAACTCCAATCAAATACTGGGTTTGCCTCAATGCATCATGCTCACACATGTGTCTGTGATTTTTGTCTATGCTCTTCCTTTTATCTGTCAGGCCCTTATGCCACCTCTGAACTGATTTTCAAGATTCTACGGTTACTTTCCTTACCCATTTATGACTTTGAATTGTCACACTAATTTTTTATGCCTCTACTTAATAAGGGAAATATATAACTTGCCTTTTCCTACTCTATTATAATAACAATGATTCATTGAGTAGTTTTATTGTACAAGCACTGTCCTAATGACTTTTCATATATTATGTTATTTAAATGATGTATCACAAATCTCTGAAATTGCCATTAATACTCTCCTGTCCCCTTTTATGGATGAGAAAACTGGGCACTGACAGGTTAACTGCCTAGGTCACAGTTAGTAAATGATAGCCAGTATTTAAAGTCAGTTCTATCTGCTTTGAGGTAAAGGTTCTCACCACTGTAATATACAGCTTGAAATCAGTGAATTAAGAAGGGGGAGGTTCAATGGCTAATGCATTCCTGTGTAACAGTTGCTAGCCCCAGGTGTGGTGGTGTTAGGTACTCTGTTGAGAAGGTGGAAAGGGTGATGCACACTGGGCAGTGTCTCTGTGTTTTGGGACATTAGTGGACTTTCAATTCATAAATATCAGGTATTAAGAAAATAAGGTTTCATGAGCTTTTGGCATATATCTAAAATGATTCTGCCAAATCATAACCTACTACTAGTAAAATTTAAATTGATGTATCATTCATCTGTGCTTACATATACTAACTCAATTCTCACAATACTTCTTTGTGGTAGGTACTATTATGTCCCCAGCTTTACAGATAAGGATTATTTATTTATTTATTTATTTATTTATTTATTTATTTATTTATTTTTTGAGACAGAGTCTTGCTTTGTCACCCAGGCTGGTGCAGCGGCGTGATCTCAGCTCACTGCCACCTCCACCTCCTGGGTTCAAGTGATTCTCCTGCCTCAGCCTCCTGAGTAGCTGGGATTATAGGAATGCACCACCCTGCCCAGCTAATTTTTATATTTTTAGTAGAGACAGGGTTTCACCATGTTGGCCAGGCTGGTCTTGAACTCCTGACCTTAGGTGGCCCACCTGCCTCAGCTTCCCAAAGGGCTGGAATTACAGGTGTGAGCCACCACACCTGGCTCAAATATGGATTATTAAGTCATAGAATGTTGATGTCAGAGGTTACATAGCCAGCAAGTGACTGAGCTAGGATTGGAGCATGTGGACTCCAGAGTCTATGCTGTCAACCACTGTGCATACAGTCTCGTGTAAACAGTCCTTTCACCCTCCTGCACTTCCCAAGGGAGCTGTCTGACCACTCTTCCACCCTTAACTAAGAACATTAGGGCATCCACACGGATTTCTTTGCTACTTCCCTGGAAGAACAAAGTCTTCATGGGAAGGAAGAGAATGATGATCCTATAAAGAATAAATAAAAAACAAATAAAAAGTTTGGGTATACAGTTAGAGCTCAGGGAACTGAGCCTATTTTTTCTTACCTATGAGATTATGAGTGAGGATAATAACACTACATTTCTGTGTCCTTTTCCAGTTTGTGAATATATATGCCATTGGGTCATAGTATGTCTCCCTTGTCTCATGGGGCTATTATAGCTCGTTGGTCTCCTTTGCTTGATTAGAAGTTTCCTCATACACAATTCCCTCTAATCAGTTGCCTTTAGTAGGTGGTAATGAGTGATGGTTGAAATTGATAATAGTAGAAGATAAAACAACAGATTTCATTTATTGAAATCCTATTAAGTACTAAATGATTGACATATACTTTCTTGTTTAATAGTAACCTGTAAGTTTTAATTAAATTCATCATAAATGCAGTAAAAACTGCTAAAATGACCAATTTCATAGCCCTGACTATTGAATTTGTCCCATCTTCCAACAAATGTTTATCAAGTGACTATCAAATGCTAGGCACTGTCCTAAGCACTGAAGATACAATAAGTAAAAAATAATACAAACAGACATAATTTTTGGATTAGTGGAGCTTACAGTCCAGGGACTTTGAGTGCTAAATAAGTCTCACTCCCTCAACTTATCTACTTACAAATTTTAGTTCTACTCCATTAGCCCTTGAGAAAGGGGATGGAGAGGATTTGGAGTCGCTACCCATCAATACTTTCATCTCTTGAACTATGTTGAAAGCAATAGGAAGGGCCCTTGATTTATTTGCCTTGGGCCAGTTGGAGCAGTTTTGGGTCATGCAACAATTATTCAATTTAATGATATGTTGCTATCCCTGGTCTTATATGCCTCATCAGTTGCAATCATTACTCTCTATGGGTCCCAGGAAGGCTCTGGTACAAGTTGAAATTTGGATGATTAAAGAGAATAAATTCCATTCATATCTTGATAAGAGCTTTGTTCTTAAGTGAGTAGTGACTTTTTCACAGGCTTGCGTAGTTGCATCTCTTCCTAAATACATGTCTAAAAACATTTCCTCTGCTTATAATGTAATAACTGTATTAATCTGTATAGCCATTATTGTTACAAAACCTTTCATCCTTCATTGTATCTTTTGAGTCTCACAATGACACTTTGAATTGAGTATTTATCATCTCCCTTCTACATGATGAGGTAACCAAAGAGGCACTGGGACTTGTCTGATTTCTTCAATAGACAAGAACAATTCTATGCTTGTTGTACTAGATAGTATTCCCATCTCCAGGACAGATTTCAGGCCATTCTTTTGCTGGTTTGTGTGTGTGTCCATGTGCATACAAATGTTTGTGTGTAAAAAAGAGAAAGAAGGAGAGAAAGGGAGGTGGAGACCTAGGAAGGAAGAAAATAAGTTCAATTTCAACTGATTTTCCAGGTCTGACTTTAGACATCAGACCCCTTTGATTACAGGGAAGGTTTTTGGTTTGTCTGGACTGAAGACAAGAGCACAGCCATGAAAAAGAACCAATTGCTACAGATGACTAGGCAGAGAAAATGTTCAGTGTTGCTAGGAGACCAGGTCTGCTGTCAGGCTCAGGAATGAGAACATGTCGGATGGAGGGCACTGGGCTGGAATTTGTGTTTGACATAAACTATTGAATCATGCATGCCAGTAGGATTAAGTCAGAATCAACTGAAGCTAAAAACAGTCAGGAAAGTTTTTCTACCTCTTTTTGGTTTTTCCCTTAAATTTTTTTTCTTTTCAGTTACAAATGCCTAATGAAAGGCTCAGCAGTAGATAGGTGATGCTTAAAAGTTTTTAGTAACACCCTGAGGCAGATGGTACTGTGTGTAAACCAGCATTTAGAATGAAAAACCCTTTCCTCCAAAAGACTAAGCTGGAGGAGTTTTAACTTGCTTGTCATCAGAGTTACTTTGAGGTAGTCAAAATTATTGATAAAATGAATCATCATTACTGAGTTAGAGTCTAGACTTTTTGCAGTGTTTATAAGAGAAGGCTGTGGTGTGTCCTTACCTGGACTTGGAAGAACTCATTACTAATCCCTGTTTCCACCAAGCAGCCATGTGGGCTTGGACATGTCATCTTTCTCTAGGAGTCTCCCTTTTCTCAGATGAGTGAGGCTAGAATTGTGGGTTATAATACCTTATAAAATATTCAGCTTTATTTGGTTCTGGGACCACAGGCAAATGTCAATAACCCAGATCTGCTTATATTAATTCTAAAGCACATGGATGCTGGGATCACAAGATAGACCTAGGGAGGTGGATATGTGAATGAGTGAGCAGGCATTCTCACTTTGCTGCAGCTGTAGTAATAGCTGCCTCATCTTTCCCATCTTTCCATGATTAAGGTAGCCTGGCACTGTACTGAAGAATTGCCCAGTGTTCCATTTCCTAGAGCCAGCAAAGAACTTCAGGGAATGTTCTGGCTTTTGATAGTTTTTGGTCAAACACATTCTCTTTTTTGTCAAGTTTCCAGGAAGCAGGGAGCACTTGGCCCTGAAAATCCAGAGTGTGCTCCTGCCAAAGCACATAAATATCTCAAAATTAAGGACACTTGTGTTTAATTGTTTCTGTGTGTGTGTATGTGTGTGTGTGTGTGCATGTGTGTTTGGTGGTTTTTTTTTTTCATATCTTAATATGGCTGGAAATCACCACTGCTGACATTGAAGGTTCAGCCCAGGAGAAACAAGCCCAAATTTGTCCAATATATGAACTAAATAGACGAAATGAAATCTGCCCAATTCAGGTCTAAGAGTGACCATTTGTGTTACCATGAGGAGTACAAGACAAAGCCATGCTCAAATTTCCTGGAGGAGTTTTCTGAAAGGTAGTTGATACATCTGCAGAAAAAAGTGTTAGTTGTGGGAAGTTAATACATTTCTAATGTAAAAATTCAATCACATTATTCCTCTAAAATACAACCTGTAGTGAGTCCTCTGTAGACACAGATGTGACTGTCTTCATCTGAAAATCAAGGCTTTCAAGATCTGACCCGACCTATCTTTCAACCTGATCTCCTATTAATCCTTTTCAGGTACCCTAAGTACATACCAAATGTCTCTTCCACTTCTCTCTTTCTTGATGTTTCTCCCTCTTAATCTCCACATGTCCAAATCCCACCTTTGTTTTCAAGGCACTTCTCCAGTGCCATATATTTTGGGAAGCTTTCCCTAATTCCTGTAGTTTACCAGGAAGATTTCCCTTCTCAGAAATCACATGAGATTTTATGTGTATCTGTCTTGGTGCACTTTTTCTTTTTGCTTTTCTTTTCTTTCTTTTTTTCTTTTTTTTTTTTGAGACGGAGTTTCCCTCTTGTTGCCCAGGCTGGAGTGCAATGGTGCAATCTTGACTCACTGTAACCTCCACCTCCCAGGTTCAAGTGGTTCTCCTACCTCAGCCTCCCGAGTAGCTGGGATTACATGTGCCCACCACACTCAACTAATTTTTTTGTATTTTTAGTAGAGACAAGGTTTCACCATGTTGGGCAGGCTGGTCTCGAACTCCTGATCTCAGGTGATCCACCCGCCTTGGCCTCCCAAAGTGCTGGGATTCCTGGCATGAGCCACTGTGCCCAGCTGCACTTATTCTTTTCTACTTTGCATGACAGTTATTAGTTTCATATCCTAGCCTTTTCTTCACTACTAGACTATGAACTCCTTGAGAACAGGATCTCTGTCAGTTTTGCCTCTGTATTGGCCATAGCATCACTCTCATTATATGCTAAAAGGTGTGAGTGGAGTGGATGAATGATAGCTGAGGGAGGTGCTGTTGGTCAGATGTTCTTCAGGGAGAATTGAGAGTAGCACAGTGCAAAGTTAGAGAGCAAATCCCCTCTGACTAAGAGAAGAAGTTTCAAAAAGAAGTGATCGTAGACTGAACTGTACACATTGACCATGTATTTGATTGATTATCTGTGTATATTTTCTTCTCTCGTGCTTTCAGGTCTTTCTTAATTTTATTTTTATAATCTATTAAAGAGAACTTAGAGGATGCATAAGGAAGTGAGAGAAAAGACATAAAGCAAATTGTTGAAAATCAAAAGACAGATTGGTTAAGAAGATGTTCAATTTACATTCAGTTGTACATGCACCCTCCATCTCTTTTTAGTTTTTCCCCTCTGGTTATAATGAGATGGAACTGGGTCTGTAATAAATCTAGGAATTACATTGTGTTATGATAAATTAGGTGATATCTTTTTTTTTACAGTGATGCTTTTGGTGTGAAATTGTACCTTTAGAATCATAGTATTTTACTTTATTTTATTTATTTTGAGACAGAGTCTCGCTCTGTCACTCAGGCTGGGGTACAGTGGTGCGATCTTGGCTCACTACAACCTCCGCCTCCTGGGTTCAAGTGATTCTCCTGCCTCAGCTTCTGGAGTAGCTTGGATTACAGGTGCATGCCACTGTACCCGGCTAATTTTTTGTATTTTTAATAGAGACCAGGTTTCGTCATGTTGGCCAGGCAGGTCTCGAACTCCTGACCTCAAGTGATCCATTCACCTCGACCTCCCGAAGTGCTGGGATTACAGGCATGAGCCACCGCACCTGGCCAAGAATCATAGTATTCTAGATTTAAATTCACAATTTTTGGAATAAATGGGATCTCAAGATTAAGTTATCCAATCACACTTTACTAATCCAGAAACTGAAACACCACAAGATCAAATAATTTAGAGTCATATAGCTTGTACATGAAGGCTCAAAGGTAAAATCCAAGTGTCCTAACTTACAGTTTAAGTGTCCTGTCTTTTACTGATACGAGAGTATTTCTTAATCTAATGACAAATGATATTCTGCATGATGTGCTTCAATAGCTGATCCTTCCTCAAAAAAGTGAACTGTCCCCTAAAGCGTTATTTGTTAAGTTTTGTTTATCACTTTAAAAATTCAGGCAAAGTTCACACAGCTGCAGACATAATTCTCCAAACAGCCTTATTTGTAGCTCATTTGAGGTATGGCCTTGGCACAAAAAGAGCAAAAGTCCTTGATTGCAGTTGAATCATTTCCATTATTGCAAGCATCTCTTCTTTTAAAAGCATACATTTATTGGATGTATATATACCACTGGCTTTGAAATGAAACTCAGTTTGCCGTAACTGAGCCTTAGAAATTCTGGCCCTACTATTTACACTCAGCCTATGATCCTTGACCACACTGCAGTTTCTGGGCACACTGCTGTCAGCGACCTTCAATCATGCCCACCAGAGCTGCTGTGGCAGCCACAGTTCCCAGGCCAAATGACAGGATGTACTCTAGGCCTTGGTGGTTAATGACCCTCTTACCATCTATGCTCAAGCATGCCTGTAACTGATTAGCTCAGAATCGCCCGGAAGCTGAAAACAAGCAGATTGTTTATGGCTCATTTTGAGGAAGAGGGCTTTTATCAGGGCTGCGTGGCAATGGAATGATACTCAAGGATCACAGCACTTCTTATCTGTGGAACTGAAGAAATGGGATGAGAGGTTGGAAATGACCTCTTGGGTTTCCTGCCAGCTTTGCTGTGAATCTAGGAAATAACAGGCTGGAGTTACTTGTAATCTTTTTAATTGAAGTATAACAGACACACAGAAAAGCACATTGATTAGAAATCACAAGGTGAGCATCCATTTAATGAAGACTAAAATTCCAAATTAGGTGTATCTGTTCTTTAGTGCCAAATTCTGATAATAAATATTTTCACCACATTGATCACAAACTACTGTTTCTATTACCTCTTTTATACCACGTGACTTTGTGATTTTTAAAGTGATATGAATGCAGTTAAAATGGTACAGGAGATATGATACTCTGATACCAGACTGTTACAATAGTGATTTAAGAATGATATTTACTTTCTCTGGAATAATTTATGTTCATGGTAGATAATTTGCAAAATATAGAGAAGCAAAGTATAGATAACAAATCTCAGAAATCAGTATTCAACATCATCATCCAGAACTAATCATGGATAACATTTTCCAGTATAACATTTGAAATGCACATATGCCACATGTACATATAAATTTAAACAGTTGTTTGAATTATATTGTGCATGTTGTTTAGTAACTTTTATTAATTAAAAAATAAAATGATACTTACAAAATTTTTGAATAGCTGTAGTATAACTGTTATATGAGCATATTGGCATCTATTTAATAAATACTGATTTTTAGTTATTTGTGTGCAGTTTTGCACTAATAAATATTGCTTGATGGTCACTGTTGTATCTGAATATTAGTTTTTTAAAATTTTTAAGTACATCCTTAGAAGTAGAATTGCTGGATTAAATAGCAAACACACTTTAATATATTTGATATATATTGCTAAATCATCCTTTAGAAAGTTGGTACCACTTAATACTCTAATTCAACATCAGTGGACGAGATTGTCTGATTCCTAGAGCCACTGCCAATGCTCTAAATTATACTTTAAATAAAAGAGACTTAAAGTTTAATGGATTAAAACTTCATCTTGACCGGGCATGGTGGCTCATGCCTGTAATTCCAGTACTTTGGGAGGCCGAGGTGGGCAGATCACCTAAGGTCAGGAGTTCAAGACCAGCCTGGCCAACATGGTCAAACCCCGTCTCTACTAAAAATTCAAAAAATTAGCCAAGCGTGGTGGCACATGCCTGTAATCCCAGTTACGCAGAAAGCTGAGACAGGAGAATCACTGTAATCATGCCTGTAATCCCAGCTATGCAGAAAGCTGAGAAAGGAGAACCTGGGAGGTGGAGGTTGCGGTGAGCCGAGATGGCGCCACTGCACTCCAGCCGGGGCAACAAGAGCGAAACTCTGCCTCAAAAAAAAAAAAAAAAAAAACCCTTCATCTTGTTTTAATATGCATTTTTTATTATCAGTATAAAAAATTTTAAATGTTTCTTGCTCATTGTTTATGTCTTTTGTCCATTTTATTGAAGTATTTTTCTTATTGCTATGTTAGATTTGTTTATAGATAGGTATGCAGGTACTGTTCCCAGTTCCTCATTGTCCTTTCAATTATTGATCACCTATAATCATAGCTGAGATCAACAGACTTACCAGAACTAATTTGACGTGAATCCTAGATACTAAAAAGAAATGTTCTTTTTCATCACTCTCAAATGACTCTTTAACATCTGCAGCTTTTTCTTTTTGATTTCAATATGTATGTGCCTAGGAAAAACCCATGAATAGCACAATAAGTTGGTGACTATGATCTTTCCTCAAATGGAAAGGAGTAAAACAGCACAATTGTGCTTTTACATTCTTCATTGGAATGATTTGGAATACAATTAATTGCCTTATTTTTAACTTTTCTGCTACTGTTTATAGTGGCTATTAACTAATATTTGCTTAGTGATTAATGTTATTCAGAATTAGTATGGAAGCTGATTGGATTTACATGTTTCTAGAACTACGAGTGGATTTAACTGATTTGCCAGGAAAGAACTTAAACATATTTTAAGTTTTAATTCAATATTTATTCTAGGTGACAGATTCTTTTTAAGGACTGGCATTGAAAAGTCTGTTTATTGTGGCTTGTAATAAGACATTTCAAAATTAATGTAGGCCCTTTGAAGGGTATTTATTTCAACATTTACCTAGTAAATATTTGGATACTATCTGAGTGCCTGAAGCAAACCGTAATAGCTAAAGTCAATGTCACAGGGATTTGCTTAGTTCATCAGTTTCAATGCAAACATGTCATCCTGTAACATGATAGTATTTATTGAGAAAATTAGATACTTCACATTTGATGAATATCTTAGAAGCTAGTGGAAAGTGTTTTATAATCCGGAAAAAAGCCAAAATTATTTTACTCATTAAAATTGTTCTAATAAATTGTTTTCCTTCATTTAATTTATTCTGCTTTAAGTCATTTAAAAAGACTGTGTGCAGCCTACATGTAATATGATTATGATGTTCTGGTCGGGTCAGCTAAAAGAACAACATTTTTTCTCAATGAACAGGAGTTAATGAAGTGTGAGCAATGCATAAGCGTGAAAATGGAAGCTGTAGCAAGGGGCTGGAATGTAAGGCAAGTTTGAGGTCATGGAAATTCCCGTTTCAGGCAGACAATGTGTTGTTTAACTGAAGATAGCTTTTTTGAGAATGATGGCTGTTCATATGGATTGTTAGTAATAAGAACTTTAATGTGAGAAGGGGAATTGGCTACATATAGATAGTCAAAATGTTTTGTCTTGTAAGTCGTTGCCTCTTTGATGGAACTGTGACCACTCCCTCCTTGGACCGTGTGCTCTTGATTACAGCACTATGACTATAATGCTGGAAAAGATGAGAGGAAGCTTCATGGCTAGATGACCCTGGATACCCTCATGAAGGACACTTTCACATTTTTATGACTTCAGGAACTGACTTGATATTCCTGTGACTCGGTTACCCCAAATGCAAGGCAAGAAAGTTGAACCTGATGCTTACTAGAACCCCTTCTGTATCTTCCTATGTACTATGACTTCTAAGAAAACAAGATAGATCAGATGAGGATAATCCTATCCTCTTACCACCAATTCCTCCAATGCACTGAGCCAAAATCTGCTTCTCTTCCTCTCTCAATAGTAAATAATAATAATGATAACAATAATAATAAATCTCTATGTAAGAACAATGCAAGTTCAACATTTTTGACTAAATCCCTGGATCTGACCTATTTCCGCTAGCCTTCATAAGGACTTCATGCTTGGAACTATCCTTTTTTTCTGTTTTCCTATGTCATCAGTTTCTCCATAGCCACCACGTGATTGCCATCAGCACAGCCTTCATGCATGCATCTTAAAACAAGTAAACCACCTTTCACCTCACTTCTCCGTTACCACAACTTAAAAAGAAGAAGAAGAAAAAAAAAAAAAACTTGTCTACACTTGCTGGCTTTACCTGCTGGCTAGCTTTACCCCCAATTTTCTCCACAATCCATGCTAATTGGATTTCCATCTACACCACTGCTCTGAAATGTCACTCATAAATGTTTCCAGTTGTCTACCCCTTGCTAGAGCCAATGGTCAGTTACTGGCCATCAGCTTTCTTGGCCTGTTAGCACTATTTCACTTTCATGACCTTGCATCTTGAAACCCTTTCTTCTCCAGACATTTCTTCCCACCCTCGCTAGATTTCCTTCTATTTAACTGGACATTTTCTCTCTATTTGTTTGTTGGTTCTTTGACTGGCCCTCTGAAAGTTGGTGTCCTTCAGCATCTTGGTTGCTAAGGATATGGGTAGAATTTTAACACACAGAGATAAACATGAGGAGGACTGGGAAAAGAAGAAAAGGTAAACATGCTGTAAATCTTACAGAGAAGTTCTGTTTGGCTGGAGAGGAGGTGAAGAGGAGATTCATTTATGGGAGAAGTTTGAAACATCCCATCAAATATATAAGATTTACACTGAGACTAGAAGAAGATTTCTAGGGACTGTGAACTTTCCATTTTTTCTAGTCCTGAAATCAGTGAAATGTCAAAAGATGCTTACTCAGTGGGGTTGGTCAGTTAACTAGGCCTCATATTGAAGGTAGCAATATCCTTTTATTGGAAACCCACATCTTAGCAATGTCCCAGTAGAGAAACCAAGACTGTGTCATCATAGATTTTTTCTTCTTGGTATGGTTTATTCAGAAGACACTCTAGGGTCTGGAGCTGAGCCTATAGATATTTAATCCTTAATTACCCAAGTATTTATTGAACTTTACCATGTGAAAGGCACAGATAGGTGAGGCTCTCTTGGATTAATATACCAGAATTTTTGTTAGAATGAGCTAAGGTGCCGCCTGTGAAAATACTGACCTCACTCATATAAAACATTTTTTCTGTGGTTTTTCAGTGTACTACCAAACATGGGATGGTATCGATAGCAAACGTTTAGTTGGTTGTAATAGGATATTAAATGTGATTGTTCTCTTTTTTGTATTTGCAATTTTTTTGTAAAAGTCTTATAAATTATATATTGGTTTGAATTTCTTGTGTGCAAAAGCATCTATATGTAGAGAAGCTGAAAATTATTGCCGAAGAAGAAAACACATTATGTAGATCAACAAATAGCTGTCATTTTACCGAGAAAAATCGGTAACTCTTTTAAGTGATAAGCCTTCTCCCTCAGGAAATCGCAACTTCAGCTTTTAGGAAACAGCTCTGTCTACTCGTCCACCTTCATCCAGGAATGAACTGAGCAAGCAGTAGTTTTTCAAAGAAAACAAATCTCCTACATAGATTTACTCTATGTATTTTTGCCAGCTCCTTAGTAACTGTTCAGTTTTGATATCACTAAAGATTTAGAGTAAGCCTGATTTACCAAATCTAGCAGTTTTAAGACCCAATAACTTTTGTGGGAGACAAAGGGTGTGGGGTAACTTCCCACCAACATATGTGTGTGTCCAGGGGGCTGAGTCCACCCTCATGTGACCAGACCGCTTGGCCACTTATAGAGTGGCTGTCGAGGTTAAGGTATCTGGAATCTAGTAATATTTCAGAGGATGGGACAAGGTAGATTTCCCAGGCTTCTTTTCAGTACTTGTTACTTAGCTATTGTTTTTCATTTTAATTATTGTTGAAATTCAACCAGATTGATTTTATTTTGAAGGTCCTTTCAAATGTTTGCTAACAATGTATTCTCTTTAAATGTTTGGAGAAAATTATAAGTGATTTATAAGATTTATCTTATAAAATTTTTATAAACAATGTAATTCAGACATGAGATTATACTATCCCATTCATCTTAACCTTTCTTGATTTGAGAAAAATTATATAAACATTTTAAGCATAAATTTGACTTAAAATTAAATTAAAAAGTTGTATATTTTATTGTTATCATATGAAAAATCTAACTCATGCTATTTGTGGATGAAGCCTAATTTTTATATTTAAATTGTTATAACTATGTACATTTTTTTCTTAGGTCTTCTTTTCAAATTCATTTTTCAACTTAAATATTGAGATGCTGATGCACACAACTTGTACTTGCATGTATTATGTAAATAATGAAATGCAATATTTTATCTTTTTATTGGATTCCAGATATAGATAAATAATTTTTGTATACTTAAGAATAAAGAAAATATTCCCCCCCAGAAATACTTCATAAATAATTTTAAAACTTTTTAACGAACACTTAAGAGGAGGAGAAGAAGAATCAAAAGTATATGCTTAGTAGGTAAATGTGCCAGCACCATATGTAGAATTTTATGGCTGGAGGGGAGGTGAAGAGGAGATTCGTTTTAAATTAATATACCAGAGAGTGACACAGAATCACTAGTTATTCAAAAGCAAAACTCTAGAGAAATTGAGATAACATAGAATGGTAGCATTTATCTGAGAATTTGTCATAGGGAGATTTTGAGTGACTAATTCTTTGTTTTTATTTTGTTTGGGGTGTATGAGGGAAATACTTAGTAAAAGGGGTATGGAGGTCATGCAAGGATTTGTCTCTTTGCTTCTGTGGAAGAAACATGGAGCTCAAGTTCCTGGGTACATGAAGACTGCTTGATAATTCATATTCCTCCCACTTCTTCCTTCTCCTTTCTCTTCCTTCACTTTTTATTTAGTAAATATTTCTTGAATGCCTTGAGTCTGAAAGATGGATTAGACTCAAATCATGTCTGCAAAAGGTATGAATCTGATAGTAGAGACATCTACAAAAATACACAAATAATAGGTAAATGTAAGAATAAGGCTGGGTGTGGTGGCTCACACCTGTAATCCCAGCACTTTGGGAGGCCAAGGCAGGAGGATTACTTGAGCCCAAGAGTTTGAGACCAGGCTGGGCAACAAAACAAGACCCCATCTCTACAAAAAAAAAAAAAAGAAAGAAAATTAAAAAAGAATAAACTACATGTGAATGTAGTGGAGAGAATTATTGTCCATCCAGCGACTGTCAAAGAAAGCTTTACCCAGGAAGTGGCATTTGAGCTGGGTCTGGAAAGGTGGAAGGAGAAGGCACTCTAGGCAGAAGGAACATCATGAGCAAAAGCACAGATGAGGGGCTGTCTGACTTTTTCAGGGAGCCATGAATAGACAGGGCTAGAGCTCTGGCTTGGAGTCTGATTGTTGACGAATGACATAGTAAGAAATTTGGACTATAGATAGTAAGTCCCAAATTATTTGAAGTAGAGGGATTTCACTATCAGATTTTTTTCATAAACTTTTTTTATATTGCATTCTTTTTTCCATTTTTTTATTTCCATAGGATTTTGGGGAACAGGTGGTGTTCAGTTACATGAGTAAGTTATTTAGTGGTGATTTGTGAGATTTTGGTGCAACCATCACCTGAGCAGTATACACTGAACCCAATTTGTAGTCTTTTATCCCTTACCTACTTCCCATCCTTACCCCCTGAGTCCCTGAAGTTTATTGTGTCATCCTTATGCCTTTGCATCCTCATAGCTCAGCTCCCACTTATGAGTGAGAACATACAATGTTTTGTTTTCCATTCCTGAGTTACTTCTCTTAGAATAATAGTCACCAATCCCATACAGGTTGGTGTGAATGCCATGCATTCATTCCTTTTTATGGCTGAGTAGTATTCCATCATATATATGTATGTATATACCACATATATATATATTCCATCATATATATGTATGTATATGCCACATGTATATATCCATATTCCATCATATATATATGTGTGTATATATGTGTGTGTGTGTGTGTGTGTATATATATATATATACACACCACAGTTTCTTTATCCACTCGTTGATTGATGGACATTTAGATCTGTTCCACATTGAAATTATATCAAGTACTCTCTCAGACCACAGTGGAATAAAATTGGAAATCAATTCCAAAAGGAACCTTCAAAACCATGCAAATACATGGAAATTATATAGCACACTCCTGAATGATCATTGGGCCAACAATGAAATCAAGATGGAAATTTAAAAATTCTTCTACCTGAACGACAATAGTGACACAAGCTATGAAAATCTCTGGGATACAGCAAAGGCGGTACTAAGGGGAAAGTTCATAGCCTTAAATGTCCACATCAAAAAGTGTTTCATAAACTTTTATAAATTATAGATTATTGGAGGGGAGACTGATGAAAGACCAAATAGGAGGCTATTGCAGTAGCCCAGAATGGTTTACTTATATCTTGGTAACAGAGGCAGATATGATGACCAAATACGTGTAGGACATTTCATATAATTAAGGAAATGACAGAATAGGCCAAACAATATTTTTTTGAATCCTGTATTGACTAAGACTTTGACTAGAGAGAGTCTTCAGTTAGAAAGTAATTCTATAGGAGCAGTACTGAAAAAAAAATCTCTATGTCGTTACTGATTAACATAACACTGACTGTTGTAAAAGAGAAACTCCTAAATCTCAGTGGCTTAAAACAATAAAAGTTTATTTCTCATATAAAGTTCAAGAGGTGTTGGGTGATGGGGAGGAGTACTCTTCCTCTGACGTCTTCAACAAATGGCTTCAAAATCCTCCTGGGTATTGACACTCATCAACCAGTTGATAGACAAGGAAAGGGAGGGAGGGTAATGGATTCCATGGAAGGTTTTTATGGGCCAAGCCTGGGAATGGCATGTATCACCTGCATCCATATTCTGATGTATAACTCAGTCTTGTGGTCACATTAATGCAAAAGGACTGAACAATATTGTCTCACTTTTTGCCCAGGATGACAGGGAAACAAGTTTAGTGAACAACCAGATGGAATCTGAAATGCTGTCATTGCCTTGGGGAGACTCGGTTTTTTAATGGAGACAGTGCTCTCCTGGAGACCTTGGACATCAGTGCCTTCTGGCATAAGCAGTTTTTAGGCAGGGAGTCCTCCAATTATGGAGAGCCAGCCTACCAGAAACCAAGAGCCCAAACTCTTTACGCAACAACAGGCTTTTCCTAGAAGATGGAATTAGCTGAACAGCCCCTGCAGTCTACTGTTTGCACCTAAGGAAGCTGCTTTACATTTTGATTTTGTTGTATATCAGAAGACTGGCTGACACAAAACAAGAAGGCTTATCTTATAGCCTCTGATATGTCCTGTTACTTCCTGCTGCCAGGAAAATGCTTAAGACAGCATGTTAATTTAGGAGGGATTTTCAAAACTATACGGTATGACTCAAATTTTATATTTTTCAAATATAGACATCTTTGTTATTATAAATATGTACATTTAGACTGTTACTTCAGTGAAGCCTCAGATATACCCATTTTTGCTCTGCACTTGTCCCTGGTGACTTCCAGAGTATCTGGCATACCATTGTCTCAATAAAAATAGGCTGAATAGATAAATATATATGTGAATGCACAAAGACTGGAAATGTACATCAGATGTTATTTAAATATATTTTAAGTTACAAAATATCCCCTTGCTTAAACCTGTCGACTTCAGATTCAGAAGAGTCATACCGTGATGAGATTTACTGAGCAGCTATCAGCCTAGCCCTTCCAGCACAGCCCTATTTGTTGACTCACTCCCTAGGAAGGATCAGAAACAAAGTTACTGAAGTGTAGCCAAGAATTTAGTTATTAAGAATATTTATTCTGGCTGGGTTCAGTGACTCATGTCTATAATCCCAGCACTTTGGGAGGCCGAGGTTGGAGAATCACTTGAGCTCAGGATTTCAAGAACTGAGCAACAGGAGTTCACCCTGGGCAACATAGTAAGGCCTGTTCTCCACTAAAAATTAAAAAAAAAAAAAAGTTAGGTGTGGTGGTGTGTGCCTGTAGTCACAGTTACTTGGGAGGCTGAGGCAGGAGGATCACTTGAGCCTGGGAGGTCAAGACTACAGTGAGCTATGATTGCCCTACTATTCTCCAGCCTGGGTAACAGTGAGACCCTGTCTCAAAAAAAAAAAAAAAAAAAAAGTTTATTCTAAAATGATTTCTTAAATGTTTATTTAAATTTAAATGCTTAAATAGATATATAGTTAAGTATAAACATTCTCAAATCTAACTCATGGTGAAAAGAGCAAGGAGGCTCTTCAAATTCATTTCTCGCAGAAAGTAACAAATTGGCTGCTCTCTTTAAAGCCTCTGCCTATCTGCTCCCCATCTTTTTCTGCATATCCTGGGGTAACAGCTTATGTTCCAGAGGCAGCTCGGAAGTCTCTAATGGTCACCATACAGGCTTCACTCACTCCAAAAATAAACATTGTAATTACAACCACCACCACAGTGGGCGTGAGGAGACTTTCACACATTTATATGTCACAGAACATCAAGGGTGGAAATTGTATTGAAGCACTGTTATCTGAATCTCTAACAAAGCACACACCTGGTATTTAGTAACACATTAATCATGCAAAGGGAAGCTTTTAAACTTAAAAAATGGAAGTCTGAAAGCAACTGCAGGTATGATTTTTAAAAATAACTTTGGTAGCAAGCGGTGTCTGATGTGGTTGTCCTATTTAAAGAGAACCATTAGTACTGTCTGTAATGCAATAGCCAAACGTATTGACCAGAGCAAAAGTTTAGCAAAATGCCTTTTTCCCAAGAACATTTGCTTTTGCCTGTGGAATGCTGACAAGTAGGATGCTGTGCTCAGGCATGGAAATGATAAATACTGTCTCTTCATGTCAGATTACTGATCACATTAAATAATCCACAGCCCTTGCTATCTGCAGACTCCAGCACTAACTAACTAGAAGCAGCTTATCATTTACCAGTAGTTGTGTACACCCCATGGCACCATTTTCATAGATTATGAAGCCATTTGTAAAAAGTAGAACTCCTAAATTTAAACTAAAACATCTCAGGAGCCATTTGTTGGGGAATGTGGTTTGGGCCCAAATACACTGGCTTAATAGAAGAATAGCTTTATATAACTTCTCTGATTGATTAAAAGTCTTAATGATGAAAGCTCAGAGCTAATCTTAAACAAAATTATTCAATAGAATTTGCTCATGGCCCTCAACTACTGCCTGCTCCACATTCTTGCTCCCAATTCTGATGTTATCCCATTCTGGTATTCTGTTCCCACCAGTTCATTATGCCAGGGTCTTGCTTCCTGTTCAAGTCCTTGGTGGTGGTTAGGATATGGAGTTTGTAAATGTAAGATTGAATCAGTGGGGAATAACGTTATCTCACTGATGCAAGATACTATTATTAATTCCATTTTACAGAAGATAAAACCAAGCCACAGAGAGATTGAGTAACTTGCCCAAGGTTATGTCACTAGTTAGAAGGTAAGCTGGGATTCCAACAAAGGAAGTCTGGGTTTATTTCAAAACGCAATGCTTATACATAATAATAGTGCCAGGCTTATTATTAATCAGTAAATATTCACTGGACACCTATTAAGTCCACGACTTACAAGTGTGGATATTCTACATTTAGTGATAAAGCAGTGGGTAATGTATGGGCCACAGTTTTAGTTATTAGAGCTAGTTCTTAAGAGTGAAAAATTATTTCTTTATTCAATTTGAATTTGTTAAATGGGGATATTCTGTGCAAGGAACTTTGAGACTAGAGCATTAAATAAATGATGCTTGCATCAAGGATTGTGATGGGAGGGGATTTGTCATGTACATTAGTTTATGATATAGGACACAGAATTAGGAGATGCCAAAAGACAGGTAATTATAAGGATCCATGGATACAGGGGGAAAGATTAGGGTTGAAGCAAATAAGGAAGGGTTTGAGAGCAAAGAGATAGTATTGCAGCTTAATTTTGAAGGATGGATAGCATATGAACACAACTGATATAAAATGACTGTGATGAAGGATTAAGAAGGCTAGGGGAGAATTTTAGAGGAAAGAGTTTGATTATCTTTGATTTTGCCTGTTGAAGGGTAGAAGTAAGCTAAGGTTGGAAAAGTAAGTTAGCATATCATGGAGGACCTCGAGGAGAAAGAAAATCCAACTACCATGTATTAAGTACCTAATATATGCCAGGCATTTTATATACTTTTCTCATGTAATTCTCACAACCACAAATAGTAGTTGTGTTTTGTGTTCTACCAAGAAAAGAAACAAAAGCCTGGACAGACTGAGGAACTTTCTCAAAGTCATTTAGTAATCCACTAGGATTTGAATTCATGCTTGTGTGGATCCTAGCATCTGTTCTTTCCATTTCATCATGACCTCTTTCTTTTGAAGGCAATAAGAAACCCTTAAAGACTTCTTAGGACAGTACATGGTATCTGGCACCAGTTTGCCTGAGTTAGAAGGAGGCAAGGCTAAGGGATATGAGTGTCCTTAGCAGGAAACTGGCAGGTGAATGAAGAGTAAGAAATCATCTTCAGGACATGGCAGAAATGAACTCTAAAAGGTTTAGTACTATTTAGATTTTGTAGTATAGTAGGATGTATTGATAAACACAAACAGGGTAACCTGTTTTTAACTCTGAAGTTTGTGGTTGAACCTGCTTTCCTGTCATCTAGCTGCCAGTCTTTGTAATTCTGGACCCTTCCTTGAGCCATTTTTATCACTTTCACCTTCATATGAGGGTTTGCATTAAAAACAGAACCATATTGCACTAAATAAAATCCACCCATAGCTCCTGGCATCAACCTTTCAATGGAATGTGTGTTTTAATGGTTGTCAGTTTTCCCTCCATTGGGATTCCTATGGCGTTAATTCCCAAACACAGAACGGTATTTAAATGCTCTCCTAAGGTCCAGAGGAAAAAAAGTGAAGGAGCTATTCTCAGGCACTTGTGGGGCAAGTAAGGAGGATGAAGAGTGGAGGAAGAAGGTGTTTTAGTTTTGTTTTTAATTCCAGTTCAATCTTACTTTGTATATTCCTCTATAGTCAGAAACAATGGAATGTCCTAGAGCCCTTTAGTGAAGAATGAAGCAAGATAAGAAATTAGTAAATGAGTATAGTGTACACTATCTGGGTGATGGAATAGCCTGGAAGCCCTGACTTCACCACTAAGCAATCTACACATAACAAAATTGTACATGTGCCCCATAAATTTGTACAAATAAGAAAATAAAAAATAAATAAAGCAGGTGCTTAGTGTTCCATAAAGGTCATCAAAATAAAACAAACCATGTAGCATGGTTCCTGCCATTTCTATACTCCCCTTCCCTATATTTTTAGCATGTTAGTACATGGGTTTTGATTTACAATCAATTTTTTATTCTCAGAAGTTCTTTTAAGCATCTTTATCCATTTATGAGACAGTGGAACAAAATAGCACCAAATTATAGTTTGATGTGAAATCTTTGGTTTTCCCTTGGAGATACACTTCATTCGAGTAAGTAGAGATCATAGGCTAAATTAGGCCATTGTGACTAAGATACAGTGCATCATCCAATTCTATAAAAACAGAGTGCTTGACTGAAAGCAATGATAGCTATTAAAAAATATAAAATTGGAATTAGAAGAATTGAGAGGAAACCACTTCCAGGAGTCACTGACTATTTAAAATATCCAGGAAATTTTTCTCTTAAGTCTGGCTTGGCATTCATGATTCTTCTAATTCCCAGAAAATTAATATGTGAACTTGAACGGATTTTGTGATCACTTGTAACCTCCAGAAAATTGGCGGACTTGGATGCTGAATGCATTGTAAGCTTCCTTACAGATCTCCAGCCTAGTTTTAAAATAGATGCTTTGCATTAGGATTTAGCCAAATACTTCGTTAATAGTGGCAAATGTTGTATTTTTCTGTGACTACTATTTTTTTTTCCTTAACATCCAGGCATTTTAGGAACCTCCAAAGCAGTGAATTTCAACAAATTGGGTGCTTCATCTGCTTCAGGACAAACACTTTCAGCTATTTGTTACAAAACCTGGGTATTTTTCAGGCATTGGATTAGTCTTAAGAAAAATGTTTTCATCAAAATGTTCTAAATTCTTACATTAAGTGTCTTAGATAAAGCCATTTTTAGAAGAAAATTCTTGATGTTGGCAAAAGGTAGATACCTGGAAAAATTTCCTGTCTTTTCTCCTTAAACTGGAACTATACCAATTAGAGTTTCCCAGCGTAACACACTTCATTCATATGGTACCATGTGACTTTAAAAAATCTCAGATGACGAGAAGGAATCTTCATTTTCCAAGCTTGAAAAACAAGAAGTTAGTCAGACTTGTGAACAAGAAGACACTGTGGAGAGTGGTTAGGGCTCTTGCAGGATACTAAAAAATGATCAAGAATTATGTTTGGTTTTGTCCCCTAGCCATCATGCAGTGTTTCTTTCATATCCTAAAGATGCTACCAGGATGAGGAGGCCAGCATTCGTGGGAATTGGTGGCAAGTGTTGGAGGGGTGGGTGGCAGAGGCAGTGAAGGTGAGTGATGCTGGCGTTGGAGGAAAGCAGTGAAGTAAGGATAATGACAAATAGGAAAATGTCACTTTTTCCAATTCTGGTAGTTCAGAGCTTTCTCATTCTCTTAGTCTTTGCTTCTTTCACCATGACACTATGGCTGGAGCCCAGGAAGGAAAAGGATCCCCATGACTAAAACCAGTGACCTTTCCAATTTTCCATCCTCCAGTGTTGTATGACAATGCTGTGCTTTTGATACCTCTCGGTGCAGCTGTGCTGGGAGTCTCTTACTCATGAGACTATCTTCCTGGAATACAGTTGCCAAACACATACTGACCCACCTACTGTCTGCATCAGCTATTAAAACACAGACCTGCTACTCAAGAAACTCACCATCAGTAGGGGAGACAGACATGAAGACAGATAATTATACTATTATGGCACAGGTTGGGGGAAGTAGGAGAATCCTCACAAGGCTATGGGAGTGTAGGGTAGGAAGCTACTGCAGCCTCACCAACTGCCATGAAGCAGGGACTGCCTGTCTGAGTCTGCATCCTCTGTGTAGTCCAGCCTTTGTCTAAAGGAAGTCCTGGGTATCAGAAAATGATCGAGAAAGGGGATCAGCAAAGCAGAGATTTAACAACTGAATGTACAATGTTGGTAGCTAATAAGAATGCCCTCCTTCCCCAATCCACTAAGCTGAAAGGATAGCAGGGAAAGAAGGAAGCCATTGTGTTTCACTGTAAAGTCTCCTCAGCAAAAATCAGTTGTTTTCTCGCTGAACTAAATCTGGCTTTTGTTTAGTGAGTTTCCTTTGTGTGTGTGCCTTCTCTGGTCTTTTCCCAGCATCCTTTTATTATCAGGGACAGAACACTGTGACCTTTTGCGCAGGGTTAAAATAACAGCAGTAGCTGAAATGAAGGTTGAATTTTGCTGACTGGTTTACATCCTCCCTATAACTTGCTGTCTGCATCAGCAAAGCAGGTCGCCCTTCTGCCCACAGCTTCCAGTAATGTTGAAGCTGTCAAGGCAATTAAGTCTTTTTACCCTTTTAAGTTGATGTAACATTTCACCCTTTCCATTCCTGGACATCTACTCACTCCCATTCTGTTACCAAGTTGTTTCCAGCATTCCTGGGACCATTTACTCCCCATTCCATTTTACAACTTTGACCCATATTTGAAACTTCACAAGTTTAACCCATTGTAGTTCCTATGGCTTCCGTAGTTTTCGCCTTGTTTTAGGACAGGAATAAATACTTTTATTCCTTGGGGGCGGGGATAGGTATCATCAATACCTGGTATCTTCACTATGAGGTGAATAAATTGATCTATAGGAAACAATAAATGCTACTTACACGAGAGAGGGTAGCTTATCCCCATCTTACTGAAAAAGAACTAGGACTTCAACAAGCCAGTTGACAGATAGGGACTAAAATCTATGTACAAGGCATTTTGCTGGCCCCTTAGGGTTATGTGTTGAGGAATATATATTCTCCTAAATTATATTAAGTCAGGAATGACTGAGGTGATATTGGGATTTTCCATGCTCTTCCTTACAGTCTTTATTTTATTTTATTTTTTGGTGTTGGGGAGACCCTTTCAATCCTGTTTTTTATCTGCCCCAGCTATTCCTCTGTCTCTAATATTCCCATCTTTCACAAATAGACCCAGATTTTTTTTCTCATTAATGAGTACTTCAAGTTGAAGGTCAGCTATGCCTTAGTTCTGGGAATGACTGAGGAAGAGAGGGAAGAAGGAAGGGAAACTCAAGAACTCACCCATCTTCCTTACACTCTGAAAATAGATTCCTACTGCTGAATATGTTACCTATTCCTTCATCTTTCCTTTCACTCCCATGTTTCGATGGAAAAATGCTCTTAGTAGCCAAAGTTTGGGTTTTTATTGAAATATAGATGAATATAAAGCTGTCTAAAACAGAGGCCACACCACATCATCTGTTTGCCTCAGCCTTCCCTCTGCAGGATGATCCTGTAAGATAAAGTGTGATGGCTTTTTTCTTTCCTCTCAGCGTCCACACCATTATCCCAAATAGAAATCTATATGAAACTCTCAAAGGATAGCTTGCTTCAGGTGGAGGAGTGATGTGGGATTCTGTTTCCAGGGAACTAGGGAAAGGAATAACACTGGTAGATGGTAGGCCTTAGAAGAAAGTCATGAGAAGGAGCAGAGAATTTCATTCCAGACATGATTAGGAATCAGAACCAGCGGGGTTCAGATACATCCCTGGGACTTAGCCTTCCATGGTTCTTACTCCTAACACAGAAAAGCTGTGCTTCTCAGACTTTCGTGTCCATACAGATCAGCTGGGGGATTTTGTTAAAATGCAGTTTTAATTCAGTAGGTCTGATCTAGTTTGAGATTTGCATTTCTAACAAGTTCCCTTTGCTTCTGGTCTAAGGATCACCCTTTAAGTAACAAGACTCTTAACTATCCATCATTATGTAAAAAGAAGCAGGATAAGAAGATACTTAAAGTTAGGCCTACTAAATTTTTCAAGTTGATTTGTAGGTAATACAGACATCCCCTTTTCAAGTCATTCTCCTTCTGCTCCAGTTCCCCACTTCCCCTTCTCTCATGTCTGAAAGGTTGGCAGCCGTTTCATCAGTCCTCTCTGCTATAAATGAATCCAAGTTATCCTGGAATGAGGTCGCATTTTCCAAAAGCATGTTTCTAGTCTATGGTGAAGGGGGAGGGTCTACTTGAACAGTTGAGGCTTGGGAAGCATATTCTTTGTAAAACACAGCAGTGTCTGAGTAGAGTGTGGATCTGAGGACTTTCCCTAGGCAAAGGAAGTGGGGAGGCCCAGAGCAGCTGCGTGTGCTTTTCTAATCCAGCTCCTTGGATTTATAGAAATAGACCGCTGGCATGTTTAAGGCATCCCAGTTAACTGCAGCTGAGAAAAAGTCTCCATCATTTCTGACTGAGCTATCCAGCCTCACACCAAAGTCTCTGTCATTTCTATGGACCCCCAGAAGCTTAATCGTAGTTTGACTGGTGATGAATGGATTAATCCAGATTATCATCACGACTTCTTGAAATTACGTTCCCTGTAGATTTGGCTTTTCAGAAAGAGTCCACCTATCAAACATTCTGAATGCAATGAAAATATTTAAAGGTTTCCCAGAATTCATTTGAGAACAATCTAATTTAAAACTGCATATTTTTCCATGAATGTTTAGTGAGCCCTTGCTATGTGGACCCTGTGTTGAGTACTCGGGAATATAGCGGTGAACCAAATGAAGGCAGTAACTGCCCTCATGACCGTAGGGAACTGCCTGTGGTCTCTATCAGGGGGACAGCTTCTTAACAAGCTGTATTAGCTTGGGCTGCCAGGACAAAGACCACAGTCTGGATGACTTGAACAACAGACATTTATTTTTTCACAGTTCTAGAAGTTAAAAGTCCGGGATCAAGGTTCCAGGTGGTTTAGTTTCTGGTGAGGCTGTCTTCCTGGCTTAAAGATGGCCATCTTCTCACTACGTCCTTCACATGGACTTTCCATGTGAGAGGCAGAGAGAGAGAGCTTTCTGGTGTCTCTTCCTATAAGGATACTACTAATCTTATCATGTCATAGCCCCATCCTAAAAGACCCCACCCTAATGACCTCATTTAACGTGAAGTACTTCCTTAGTATCCCCTATCTCCAAATACAGCCACGCTGAAGTTAGAGCTTCAATATATGAATTTTGGGTGGACACGAACAGTCCATAGTACAAGTAAACACACAAGTAAATCCCAATTACAAAGCATAGTACATCCCAAGAAGGAAAAAGAGGCTCTTTTTAGAGCTACATTCCATGGAATTGTTATAGAAAGCTTACTTTTATTATCCACTAAAAATATAAATCAGAAGAGCCAGGAGTGTAAAATTGAGAATGATATTGTATTCTGTATTCTTTCTTGGAACGCTGAATCTATTTTGTTTGTACTTGCCTCAAGGCCCACATAATAATCTTTGACTTCCTTCAAGAGAATATGATCGTTTTGTAAAATGTAACTATGGCCATTGCCTGACTCTTGAAATGTAATTACATTTCTAAGTACTTCACTTTTTGGTATTCAGCGAAATGAGAGAAAGGAGAAAAAAAAAAAAAGCACTCTGTATAGAGTTTCATTCCCAATTTTTTTTTTCACATTTTGTTTAATATCTAAAGATTCTTGTTATAATGAATTTAAATCTTTTTTGTTATGGTGATTCTTTTTTAAGTAAAGGGGTAAAATTGAGAATGCACTGATGTGAATTTCAGTCTTTCAAACTGAAGTTTTAGAAATTAAATATAATGTCACTTTTTGGCAGAAGAAAATTAATGTGGGAAATTTTTAGAAGTTTTATCCAAACGAACACAAACTTGGCTAAGTACTGAGGAGACTGCTGAATGTAAGACCCTATGTTACGCACAGCTTGTAGTTATTCCCGATTGTAAGATGCACTATTAAAAGTTGTTTGTGGACAACAGGGGTCAGTGGTCTCCTTAACATCTGATGCCCATGTTACACTTTCCTGTTTCTATTGGGGAAGACGGGGGAGTCTCCTGTTCGAGAGAGGCCTGTCCCTCAGAGAACAAGAAAGATGTGCATCCCACTTTAACTGCTGAAGGAAGGAAAAGGAATTGGGAGGCCTAATGAACATGGAATTTGACTTTCACAATGTATTTCTCATGGATAGATTCTTGGAGAATGGTGTCTGTTTGGGGGCATTTAAGAGGGATATTGAAAGAGAAGAGCTGTTACAGATGGAGAACAAGATGGAGGGGGGCATACAATTCTGTAATGTGAAGAAGAGGCGGGTAGTAAGCTTAGTTCCCTTAGTTTCTACTCATAATACTGAATGAAGTGAGGTGAGGGGATGGGGGCAGTGCCTGAGTCTTTTCATATGCCTGATGCCCAGGTAGCTGAAATCCATGAAGGGATACAAGGTGTGGATGAATGGGTGAAAAATTCAGAATCTTAGAAATTGTACAACGTGAGAACAATCTTTAAAGCAGTTAGGACTCTCCATAGATAAATGAGCTGCCTGGAGTAGTGGAGGGAGTGATACTGGCATCTCTGTAGAGGTCCAATCAAAGCTTCATGACTGAGCAAAGGTATTTTACATGACTGAAAAAAAAATAAAGATCCTAGTGTCAAACAGCTGAACTACAGGCCCAGTAGTATCTCTCCCAATGTTGATATTCTATGATCTTTTTTTTTTCTCTCTACCACATTCCAAAGATATGACAAGGCTGGATGTCACTACTGACGTCGGCTCTCAGATCAGTCTGTGTCGTGGCTGATGGCTTCACCAGATCCTCAGAGACCAGGCTAGTTGCCCTGCAAATTATTCAAGATTCAATTTTCTCAGACTATGAACTTCCTTTGAATACCATAGTTATATAAGGCAGAATCTTTCATTTCCTAAACTGATTAATGATGATAAATAAGGCATTTAGAAAATAAACTATAGGTGGGGGTGGAGGGTTCTGATTAGGCATTATTTCAGTAACCTCACTGTTCCAGTAGTGGTCTTGGAGTATAATGCAGCATAGTGGCTAAGAACATTAGAATACAGTGCAGATAAAGCCCCTGCATATATGGCCAGCTGATTTTCTACTAATGTATGAAGGAAGTTCAATGGAGAAAGAATATTTTTTTCAGTAAATGGTGATGGAAACATTGATATAAAAAAACCTCAATAGATTGTAGACCTATGTGTAGAAGCTACAGTTTTGAAATTTGTTTAAGAAAACAGGGAAATCTTAGTAACTCTGGATTTGAAAAATACGTCTTGATTAGAAAATAAAATACATAAACTATAAGAGAAATAGATCAACAAATTGGGCCCCATAAAAATTAAAAGTGGTTGTTCTTCAAAAGACACTTTTGGCTGGGCCCAGTGGCTCATTCCTGTAATCCCAGCACTTTGGGAGGCCGAGGCGCGTGGATCACCTGAGGTCAGGACTTAGAGACCACCCTGGCCAACATGGTGAAACCCTGTCTCTACTAAGAATACAAAAATTAGCCGGGCATGGTGGCGGGTACCTGTAATCCCAGCTACTAAGGAGGCTGAGGCAGGAGAATCGCTTGAACCCAGGAGACAGAGGTTACAGTGAGCCGAGATTGTGCCATTGCACTCCAGACTGGGGCCTGGGTGACAAGAGTGGAACTCCATCTCAAAAAAAAAAAAAAAAACCACTTTATTTAAAAATAAAAATAAAAAGGCAGTCATAGACTGAGAGAAAATATTTGAAAAATATATACCTAACAAAAGACATGTGTCTAGAATATATAAAGAATTCTTAAAATTCAATAAGAAAATCCAATTTTACAATCAAAAATATTTGAATAGACACTTCACCAAATATGATATGTGGATAACAAATAAATACATTAAAAATGCTCAACATCATTAGAGAAGTTAAAGACTTGTATCTGAATGTTTTTAGAAAATTTATTTGTGATAGCTAAAAATTGGAAACAAGCGGCCCTCAACAAATATATAACAAAACAAATTGTGATATTGTCCTAGAATGGAATACTACTCGGCTATTCAAAGGAGTCAGCTGTTGATATGTGCCACAACATGATTGAATCCTAAAATAGTTCTTCTGAGTGAAAGAAGCTAGATAAAAAGATTTGCTGTATTTTTCTTTTCATATAAAGTTTTATAAAAATTTAAACTAACCTATAGAAATGAAAGCAGATCAACGGTTGCCTCAGTATGGACTAAGGAAGAAAGATGAATTTGAAAGTGGCACACGGAAACTTTTAGGGAGAGTGGATATATTCATTGTCTTGATCGCTGTGTGGATTCATGGGGGAATGCATATGCCAAAATTCATCAAATTATATTCTTTTACATGTACGGTTTACTGATCATCAATTAAACTCACTAAAGACAGATAGATAGATATGTATGTGTATATACACACATGCATATATATATATATATACACACACACACATTTATATGTATATATACTTATATACACATAAACACACAGCAATATGTTCTTAGACACGGTAATAACCTTTCTATCTTCGATTTACATTTGTATAAATTGGGGATATAATATTACTTACTTCATGGAGAACAGTGCTAAGCATGGAGAAAGATCTCAATCAATGTGAGCTAAAACTATTACTCTGTAGTATAGTTCACTTCTTTTAAAACATATTTTAAAAGAAGTTTGTTTTAAAAGAAATATGCTTTAAAAGAAGTGTCTATGTCCTTTGCAGGGACATGGATGAAACTGGAAGCTATCATTCTCAGCAAACTAATACAGGAACAGAAAACCAAACACTGCATGTTCTCACTCATAAGTGGGAGCTGAAAAATTAGAACATATGGACCCAGGGAGGGTAACATCACACACCGGGGCTTGTCGGGGGGTGAGGGGCAAGAGGAAGGGAGAGCATTAGGACAAATACTTAATGCATGCGGGACTTAGAACCTGAATGACAGGTTGATAGGTGTAGCAAACCACCACGGCACATGTATACCTATGTAACAATCCTGCACGTTCTGCACGTGTATCCCAGAACTTAAAGTAAAATTTATTTTAAAAATGATTTGTTTATTCTATTTCTCCACTTTTTTCTTTGTTTTTGAGGATATTCGTTACCAGGAAAGATATTGTGTTTCCTCAAGGACTATTTTGTGGTATGTAGTTTTTAGAAGGTCTGACTCCTGGGCAAGTGTGAATAGAACAGATGGGTGAAGAAGCCTTTCAAATGGCATTCCCAGGCCTGAGAGGGGAAGTCCTTGTGCTTAGAAATTTTCCATCCTCCTCCACAGCTGAAATGCCTCCCTTGGCTGAAATGCCTCCCTCAGCATTTTTGTTTTGAACGCCCTTTCTTGGGGGATCCTAACCCAGCTGCAAGAATTCACTGTGGGCTGAAACCTGGCAGATTAGATCTTGGAGAGGGAAAGTGATTTGAAAGTAATGTTTGTTCTTAAAAATGACAAACAAGTATTGCAGGTTTCTGTTATTTTTTGTGTTCCAATTAAATTGTTGAGGATTTTGAAGATCAGTTACAAGACCTTTGAATTTGCCAAATGGCAGGTTTCCTTTGCTCCTTTTAATTTTTAAAAGAAAATAAGCTGTAACTTGTAAAAATTGGCTCTTCTTTAAGCAAGGACTTCTTATTACAGCTACTAAATGCCCAGGATTTATCTCTATATGCTTTTCAACTATGGCCTCTAGTATGAAAAGTTGAGCAAATTTTTACCTTTTCCGTATTAAATTGCATTGTTTGACCAAAGATTAAATGACATCTTAATGCCATAAAATTCTATGTCATTTTTTCCTATTTCCATTTTTTATAGAGAAAAAACAAATGTTATTTTGTATTGGTTGTTCATCATCCTGACAAAAGTAACTTTTTCTTCAGTTGCCTCTTCACTCTTTTCTCATCCAGAGTAACCTCCCAGCTATTAATAGCCTATTTCCTTTAAATCCTAACCTGTACCCGCATCAAATGGCATTAGCATTGTCCTGTTTCTGCATTATTGATTCTAACTTATCAAATTACATGATGATACAGTTATTGATGTCACAGGTGAACTAACAAGACCTGCACTACCTATAGCTATGACTGGTCTGCTTCAGTTCGCAGATTAGGAAATTGCTACAGATTAATATCCTAATTTCAGAAGGCATTTGACAGTATCTTTTATATTATGACTTCATGACCAGCTAGATAAATGTATTATCATTGGTATTGTGTAGGTTTGTGAAACAATTTACTTGGTATCAAGTAATGAATTGGTATTAAGCTGGAAGGAGGTCACTAGTATAGGTAGTAAGTTTCAGGCTAATACTCTTCATTCTTCTAATGTAATAGAATTTGCATGAAGCTGAGATATTATAACTTTATAAGAGAAGGTAACTGAGAAAAGATGACCAATTTTATTATAAAGCACAGTCTCTGTCATGAAGGACGAATAAAATCTAATGGACTTGTGTTTTCCTAATATTCCTCAAAAAACTCATATATACACAAACAAATGATCATACAGATATAGAACTGTAGAGAATTGACTTAGCCACAATATTTATGAGGACTCGAAAGTTTTAGTAAATTAATTGGAATCAATGATAAGACATGCCTTCCAGAAAAAAACAAAACCTGACATCTAAGTCTGCATCTATAGAAGCATAGATACTTCTAGAGATCTGAATTTCTGTAATCATTTTGAAGCCCCATGTCTTAAGACATTGACAAGTAGAGAGGATTAATTTGATGCATTCATTTAAGAACTAGAGCTGTGTCTTCCTGCAAAATGGAAGAGTTTGTGAATATGATTGTCGCTTTCAAATATCTAAAAAGCTATTGCAGGAAAAAGGAATTGCATTACTCTTCTTTTTGTTCTTCCAAAGTGCAAAATCAAGAGCAATAGTGGAAGTTATAGAGAGATAGATTATGGTTCAGCGTAAGAAAGAAATCCCGTTTGACTTAGATCTTTCGTAGGACAGAATGAACTCTTTTGGAAAGTAGCAATTTTGTTCACATGGGGAAAATTTAATCAGAGACTGGATGAACATTTTAGATTGATTTATATTAGCATTTTTCACTGCATGTCCTGCAAATTACCACCCTTGTAAGATATTTTGCAAGTTTCTGGGTCAACCAGCTTTGAGAGATATTACAGAGTATGTTGACCTCTTGAATATTTACAATGTGCATCAGCATATTAGAGACTCTGAAAGTTCCACAATAAAGAAAGCTGTTTAACTTTGTGTAACCCGGCATTTCCCAATTTATTTAAGCCCCTCAGTTTTTCACATGTCGTGGAACAAATATGCTTCAGAACTCACATTGGGAAATGCACTTAAAGGAGGTGAACCAGATAACTTTGATTCCGTGAAACTATTTTCTCCATATGTATTGACAGGTTATTTTATAAATTCACACACATACATCTGTGTGTTTGTGTTTGTGTGTATCTATGTAGCCGAGGGTGGGTTTTAAGTCTTATTTATAGATAGGTGACAATTTTGAAAGAGTTTTTATGAAGGCCAATAAATTAATAGCATGATGAATAAATACTCCTTTAAGAATCTCAACTGCCTCAAGAAAACTACAATTCTTAATTTTCCATAGAGATGTCATGAAAGCGAAATGTATTTGTCACATATCAACAACCACTCATCAACCTGAGAATAAGGCTAAAGCTCCAGAACTTTTTTTTCTTCTTTTTTTCCCTTTCCCTCCCCTGCCATTTAGGCGAAAAGCCAATTTCTTGAAAGTGGTACAGGAGGGGATGTGAGCAAATACAGCGTAATGATTGAGCTACAATTTAAGCATCTGGTTTTATTTATGTGCAAGCACCGTGCACAGAACTTAATTAATATGACTGAAAAAAAAAACCATGTGTCTATTGAAATGTTAGGTAGTGCCTCACATATGTGTGTTTCTCTTTCCTAAACACTCCCCGATCCTGATCTTTTTATCACACCTTCGAGATTCAGTTTTGTGCAAGATTTATGAACATGCAGTTTTTCTTCCTCTTCTGACTTTCTATTTTTCTTTCCCTGTAGTTTTATATCTAGAAAACTACTACTTTGGCAAGGGTTGAGGACTGAGTCACGGACGTGCCCTTACTCACGTCTTCTGTGATTTGAAGGCAGAATCTGAAGCAAATTCCAACACAGCTGTGAGAGGCAGCCCGTTTTTGTTCTTAAAATGCTAACTACACACATTTGCAAACCTGCAAAGCTATTTTTCTCCTTCCTTTGGAAGGTGTTAAGGCTAAAAGGACATGTAGACAGGAGACAGCAAGGAGAGTCCCTTTCCTGTCTCTGTTATAGAACTTCTATTTATTTTTAGTGTTTATTTTTTCACTTGTGAATGACATGATACTGACCTGGAAGAAACATTGCTTCTGGGATATGTAGCTGATCTCCTGCTACTGTCCCTATAGTCCACCGAAAAGTTAAAAGGCTTCAATTCTGATCATCTTCTCCAGGAGAATTTTTATAGCCAGTGATGTCAAGCTTACATTTTAACTTTGTTTTCATTTGTTTGTTTTTTAATATACTTGGTTATTAATGTCATAGTTCATCAATAGCCTACCAGGTACAAAAATCATCTAGTAAAATAAAGCAAAATCTATGGTAGTTATATTATTTTCAAAACTATTTTTTGGCATTCTCATTGTGTTGCCCAGTCTGGAGTGCAGTGGTGTGATCTCGGCTCTCTGCAACCTCCACCTCCCGGGTTCAAGCGATTCTCATGCCTCAGCCTTCCAAGTAGTTGGGATTATAGGCACCTGCCACCATGCCCAGATAACTTTTGTATTTTTTAGTAGAGATGGGGTTTCACCATGTTGGCCAGGCTGGTCTCGAACTCCTGACCTCAAGTGATCTGCCCACCTCAGCCTCCCAAAGTGCTGGGATTACAGGTGTCAACCACCACACCCGGCTCAAACCATGTTTAAGTTAGCAGAAGCCATTTTTAAAATAAAATCTCTTGAATCATTGTAATTTTTTTAAAAAGAGAGAAGAAAAAATAATAAATGAAGATAGTTGTGTTGGTGAAACTGCTCCTCTTCTGTATTCAACAGTCCTTGAGGGACCTCTAAAGTACCTCCAGAAGTCATTGTGACAGCCACTTCTCTCAAATGCAAGAAATCAGAAGAAAGACCTGTATACATAAAAAAAGGATAAAACAAGGGTAAAGCATTTCTTTGTGTTGAGAACTTTCCAAATCTTACCTTCTAGCTATTTTGCAATAGATTATAAATTATTGTTAACTGTAGTCTCCCTACTGTGCTATTCCATACTGTAACTTATTCCTTCTATCTAACTGTATTTTTATACCCATTAACCAATGCCTCTTCATTCTCACCTCTCCCACTACCCTTTCCAGCCTCTGGTAGCCATCAGAGACTACTTACTACCTCTATGAGATCAATTTTTTAGCACCTGTATATGAGTGAGAACATGCAATATTTGTCTTTCTGAGCCTGGCTTATTTACCTTAACATACTGTCCTCCAGTTCCATCCATGTTGCTGCAAATGTTTCTTCACAGGAAACATGGTGTATATATACACACGAGAATATTATTCAGCCATAAAAAAGAATACAACCCTGTCATTTGCAGGAACTCTTATGTTTAGATATCTGTACTTTCATGTTCATTGATGGACACTTAGGTTGATTTCACAGCTTAGCTATTGTGAATACTCCTACAATAAACATGAGAGTACAGATACCTCTTTAATACACTAGTTTCCTTTCCCTTGGATATATACTCAGCAGTGCGGTTGCTAGATCTTATGGTAATTCTACTTTTAGTTTTTTGAGGACTCTCCATACTGTTTCCATATTGGTTTCCATAGTGGCTGCACTGATTTGTATCTCTACCAACATCATTGTCAGGTCACCATTTGCTATATGAAGTCTTTTGGATTATAGCCATTTTAACTGGGGTGAGATGATATCTCACTGTGGTTTTGATTTGCATTTCTCTGATGATTGGTGATGTTGAGCACCTTTTCATTTACTTGTTGGTCATTTGTATGTCTTCTTTTAAGAAATGTCTATTCCGATCTTTTGCCCATTTTTAGATCAGATTATTTGTTTTTTTGTTTTGTTTTGTTTGCTATTGAGTTTCTTATATATTCTAGTTATTAATTCCTCATTAGATAAATAGTTTGCAAATATTTCTCCCATTCTGTAGGTTATCTCTTTGCTTTGTTGATTGTTTCCTTTGCTGTACAGAAGCTTTTTAGCTTAATATAATTCTATTTGTCAATTTTTGTTTTGGTTACCTGAGCTTTTGAGGTCTTCTACAATACCAATTAGAGTGGCTTAATAGGGTAAATTACCCTAAAATAAATTAAATTAAATTAAAAATAAATTACCATAAATTTCTTTAATTTACATTAATATTGGGCATTTAGTTAGTTTAATTCTCTGTGGTTCAATTACAAATTTTATAGAGAAATCCATTTGCATCAATTTTGAGTTTATATCTGATTGTTTCTTAAATCTATATCTGATTGTGAGATTATAGTGTTGAAATGTTTAGTTTTAATGTTACTGGCTACTATGACAAGCTATTCTGGCAATAGCATCCACAGCTACAGTGGCCCACACATCCAAAATGGATGAGGGCTCTCTAACTCTGCTCCTCTCTTCATCATCATCTACCATTACTTCATTTGGCCAGAACAATGGAATTTGGCAGCATTATACCTGAGTAGACTGTTCTTCCTTTCATCTTCCACGTAATTGAAACCATATTGTATGGGTCACAGAAATAAAGGGATTATGTCGATCTTACCCCTTTGGTGTTTGGCATGAGTTATCTTTAAGACGTTTATTCAAAATAAGTGTGATATCTTGTGTAAGTCAGGATTCAACCAGAAAAAATAGAACCAGATAGATCACAAGAGATGTACTGCAAGGAAACGGCATACACGATTGTGGAGGCTGGCTTGGCAAGTCTGAAATCCTTAGGGCAGGCACCAGGAAGGGCAGGTTTGAACTCTTTTTTTTTTTTTTTTTTGAGATGGAGTCTTGCTCTGTCGCCCAGGCGGGAGTGCAGTGGTGCGATCTCAGCTCACTGCAAGCTCTGCCTCCCGGGTTCACGCCATTCTCCTGCCTCAGCCTCCTGAGTAGCTGGGACCACAGGCGCCCGCCACCACGGCTGGCTAATTTTTGTATTTTTATTTTTAGAGACGGGGTTTCACCATGTTAGCCAGGATGGTCTCGATCTCCTGACCTCGTGATCTGCCCACCTTGGCCTCCTAAAGTGCTGGGATTACAGGTGTGAGCCACCGTGCCCGGCCTAGGTTTGAACTCTTAACCATGAGCTGAGGCTTCTGTCTACAGGAGGAATTTCTTTTTTTTTTCAGGAAAGACGAAATTATCTTCCTAAGGTGTTTCAATTCTATTCTTAAGGGCTTTCAACTGATTGAATCAGGCCCACCAGGATTATCTAAAATACTCTGTCTTACTTAAAGTCAACTCATTATGGACTTTACTCATATTTACAAAAATACCTCCAAAGAAACACTTATATTGGTGTTTGGGGACTGTAGTCTAGTTAAGTTGACACATCACAGCTCTGTAGCTGGTTCTTGTTCTGCCTCTCTCTCTATGTCTCTCTCTCTTTCTGTCATACTTAGAACTAGGATATATGAAGGATTTGGTTGGGGGGAAGGAAAAATGAATAAAAGGCAGCAAACAGGAATGCAGAATAATGGGAAGAAGAAAATTTGAATTTTTTTCAGATGTCTCTTCTTACAGCAAGAGCCCTATTTATTCTTGCTAAGGGAAAAGAATGTTTAGAGATCTTAGCTGCCACGAAGCTTATATCTAAGTGTACCACACAATTGCATTAATTTTCTCATCATTGCAAAATAAATCCAAGCTTTTCACATTGGCCTACAATGGCTTAGATGATCTGGGCCTTGCCTGCTTGTTAAGCCTTCCCTAATTTTATTAGGTCCTATAAAATCCAGCATGTTTTTCTTTTCCTCAGAGATGCCAAAGGTCTTCCTCAAAGAGCCTTTGCACTTGCTTTTCTCTTTGCCTTAAAGATCTTCCTCAACGTATTTTCTCTCCTGGGCATTTTATTGAGTTCTTAGCTCAATTGTTATTAAATACTTACTCAGAGGCCTTTCTGGCTACCTTAGCTAAAGGAGTCTCCTCCTCCCCAAATTACTGTATCCTACCATCCAATTTCAATTTTTAGTGAGAAGTTGTATCTATATTAATCTTAGCGATTTCACACGTTTTTCTGGTTACTGCATGTCTTCACTTTATTCATGTTATTGAGAACAGAGACCCTTTTTCTTCCCTCCGCTAAATCATAGTGACAATAGCCTTACCTGACATTTAGACGAGGTTTACCTCATACTCGTGGAATAAATAGAGGCATCGCAATTCACTTTCCAAGTACAATCAATCACTCCTCCATATGTGATAGTTTTTGTCCTAGCTTGTACCATTGTATTTTCTGGCTACATATATTGTTATTGTAAGTTACCTTACACTATTATTTTTGGAAGTTGTTAGTGTATAGTGTATGATAAGTGCATGCTTTTGCAGAATTAATGAAGTGTCCCTGGTGAGGATTCTCATGCTCCAGTCCTGAGTGGAACAGCATATATCAATGTCGAGAATTCTTACTGGGGACCACAAGCGAGGCAGATGTCAGAACTGTTTTCTGTGTGCACTGCATTCTAGCGAGAGGTGTGGCAGCTGCAAAGGATTGAGAGCCCAGAGAATGTGCCTTGGCTAAAAGTTTCTGTATTACTCCACCACTCTGATTTCTCTGTACTGTAAAATGTCTCCCATTTGGCATCTGGCTCATCTGAAACTAATGTGTCATGTGTTAGGATTATGCAGAGTGGTGAGAAGGCAATGAGCATCTGGGAAACAACGTGTGCTCCTGACAAGTGCTCAAGTATTAGCTAATGATTTTCAAAATATCCTGGGAATGGAGTTGGACACCTATTCATTCTCTTACTTGTGCTTTTGTTTTGTTTTTATTTTAAAGAAACACTTATTTGACCCTGCATTTATTTTAAGAGGTGTGCAATATGCTAACTAAAAATGAAGTAAAATATAACAATCTCTCTTTCATTTTATACTTCTTTGTAAAGTGTTTATGACTACCTTGGAAGTTCAGGAAAGCAATACAGTTCTGTTGTTTTGTTTTGACATCTCCCTGGAATTCATCCAAATAACACTATAAAACTCCTATTTCAGTAATAAAAGCATGATTTTAAGGCAGATTTGCTAGAAAAATGCTCCTGAGGTGCATTGTCAGAGTCTGCTGCCCTGAGAATCTTCCATCTGACTCTGGGAGACACAGCTGTGAACTTGTGGAACATGTTGGCTCAAGGTTCATAATTCCTACTCTCATTATTGTTTCTAATTATGATATATAAACACTTGATTGATATCAACAACAGTATAAAGTCTGGATAGTGGTAACTACGGAAGGTGAGGGATGTGTTAGTTTGAGTGTAGTGATCATTTTATTATATGTATATTTCAAAACATCAAATTGCACACATTAACTATATACAATTCCTGTTTACCAGTTATACCTCAATAAAGTGAGAGGGGATAAAGATCAATAGGAAATTCTTGTGTAGTGAAATTGTGGCAAGTTCTCACGGGTGACCTGCACTCTGCTGTTCTTTCTTCCACCTGTGTAAAGTACAAGTTTAAAGAGAATAAGAAGAAGCTGAGAGTTGCGAATTACCCATAGGAAGTCAGCACTCTTTCCACTCATCACTCTGCAGCCTCATCATCTCCATTCATCAGTAGGCTCCACATGGCTTCCTGGAGGTTAGCAACTCTGGTTCCTTAATTTTGATTTGTTGCTTTGGCGCTTAAAGGATGACAACTGCCTGAATTTTCATGAAGGTACATAATAAGCCTTATATGAGATCTTACTATAATTAGGAATATGATAAATGTATATGATGTTCCATCTGAGCATGTGCACATGAACACACACACAGACGCTTCTATTATTTTGTGATAATTATAATATAAAAGTGATTTTGAAATTGTTTCATTTCTTACATTTTCAAACACTTTCCTATACTTACTCTCTCACAACCCTTTGCTAATAGGCCATGTATGGTACTCTGTTCTGCTACTGGAAATTAGTTTAGGAAGAAAAATTAACGACCATTTCTAGTGATTACATTTCAAATGAAAAAAATCTGCCTTCATTTTCAGCGTTAAAATTGACTAGCCTTTGTTTCTAGTCTGGCTTTCTACCAAAGCATTATTTTATGAGTGAAAAAAAATGTTAAGGGCTCAACAGTTTTCTCCAAAATGTGGAACTCTGGGGATAAATTTTCACTGCCTTCTCCTGACTCTTGTTTCTAAGAACAGTCAGTATGCTGGAATCCCACTTACCCCTAAAAGGGAATAGTAACTATGCCAATGTAAAATAGGAACCATTCCTTTGAATTCAGGTCAAAAGGTTTACTGTAGGGACTGGAAATGATGCAAAGTAGAACATACTGTACTTTTATTCATAAGGTTGTTCCGAAGGAAGATTCTACATTAATTTTGAAAATCTTTTATTACAAATATACTAACATCTTATATTGCTATACAGCTTTAGAGTTTGCAGTATATTCTGACATACTTTGATATATTCCACAATATGCCTGTGAGATAGATGGCCAGATTCTACATACACACACACACACACACACACACACACAAAATCTTACAAGACAATGAAGTTCTTAGGATATCCTGACACCAAGGACACACAGAGTAAACAAGTAAAAATTTTTGGAACCGTGTCCTCAGATTCCTAATACCATATACTTTCTGCTGTCAGTTTCATAGTTACTTGCCACAAACTTTGTGGACTGGATAAGTTAAACAAAAAACATCAAATATGGCAATAACCCTCAGTCCCTAATAGAGTTCAGAATCTCAACTTCCTATTCATGTCTATTAGGTTAGTTACACATCAGAAGATCCTAGTCAGGATAGGTCTTAACCAAAATAAATAATTTTCTTCCACCCCTCCCTCTACTCCTCCACCATTGCATTCAGACGATAGAAGCCAGTTTTAGAGTTTAAAGCCACTAATTACCAAAAGCCATTGGTTTAGGCACTTACAGACTTTAATCATTAAGAATAAAGAATTGCCCCGTGGGGAATGTGTTTTCCATGCATATGCTGTTCTAAACTGAAAACAAACTAGGTAAGAAAAATAAACAAACTGGGTAAGTGATTACTTTCTTTTTACTTTCTTCATATGCTTTTTTGTATGTTAAAATTTTTTTTAAGTTGAACTTCCCATGACCATGAATTTTTAAGTTCTGTTCACAGCATTGTTTTTCACTTAAAAATTAAAAATTGCCTTTGTGTAAAAAATTAAAAATTTAAAAAGCAGAGTGTCTCTTTCCTGGTACTTGAGAACATAAAAAACCATATAAAAGTAATAGGGAGAAATTAGCTAATTCAGGTTTTAACATGTTAATAGAGGGGCAACAATGACTAGACCAGCTGTGCTATTGACCTAGGTCTTTGAGGCCTTTCAGGTTGCAAAGTAGCTATTATTCTCCTTAAGCATTTGCAGGTCAGGCATGGAAACTTTTAAGCAGGCTCTGACTGAAGTACTAGTTTGCATTCTGTAATTGCAGTAAGCAGAGCCAGCTGTGAACCTCTCGGGATTTCCCCTTATTGGACTAAGAATTTAAACATTTTGCTGAGTAGGCGGTAAAGTTTTCTTCTCTTCACTGCCACCCTCCTTTAAAAAATATACTCTTAATATGCTAAAAAGAAACAGGGTATGAAAATAAAAAATGAAGAACTTATGTAAACACAAATTTTAGTGCTTTTTTTTTTTTTTTTTTTTTTTAAGACAGGTTATCACTTTGTTGTTGCCCAGGCTGGAGTGCAATGGCACAATCTTGGCTTACTGCAGCCTTAACCTCCTAGGCTCAAATGATCCTCCTACCTCAATCTCCCAAGTAGCTGGGGCTACAGGTGTGCACCACCATGCCCAGCTTATATATATATATATAGTATATATATATATATAGAGAGAGAGAGTGTGTGTGTGTGTGTGTGTGTGTGTGTGTGTGTGTGTGTGTGTATATATATATATATATAGTAGAGCCATGGTTTTGCCATGTTGCCCAGGCTGATCTTTAACTCCTGAGTTCAAGTGATCTGCCTGCCTCAGCTTCCCAAAGTGCTGTGTTTACAGGTGTGCACCACCATACCAGACCTTTAGTGCCTTCTTGAAGGTCACACACGCCAACATATGGAAATTAACTGGTACTATGTGTACTAGCTTTGTAGTAGCTGATACATCATAATCATAAATTAAATATTTGTTGAATGGATTGCATGCTAATCAGCTCATTTTTTGCATAGAGTTCATAACAGAAATGTATCCAATGTATCTGCTATTCCAATAACTTTCCACAGGCAATGATGCAGTTTGTCTTAAGTCAGGGATACTTTGTGTGAAACCAAGAAATCAGAAGATGTAAATGACTTAAGGCAATATTATCACCATTCCTGGAAAAACACTACTGTCTATGTTTGTGATAGCAAACATAAAAGCATTACCTTCCTTAGGTGATGAATATGAACATTTTTAGTCGTATATCTGGTGCCCTTAGATGACCAGTCAGATCAGATTCCATGTCTTTATGAAAAGATGGTGTTCTCGTGTCTTGACTCTGATGGAACAAGCTGCTTTTCCAAAGTTATTCTGCAGGTGGTGGATTCAGTAACCATTAGTTGGCATTCTCCCTTACAAGCCTCAGGTAATCCTGTGTGCACACCAGGTTTATGGACCGAATGAGTACCACAATGGTTTATAGACCCAATAAAAACTGTTTAAATATCTGGTGGTGCTTTACAAATATCTTCATCCCAGGTTTTTCAAATCTCCCCTGGAATCTATGCAGCCAAATGTGCAGTTGTTCTGTAACTGATGGTCGCCTGGATATCATTTGATAAAAGTGTAAGACGGGTTTTTTGTGTGTGTGTGATGCCAATTACTGAGGACTTGAAGATACGCATCTTGAATTATTACATATAAAAAGATTAAAAGGCTAAATATCTATTTAAGAAATATCTAATGCAACTATAGTCACTGCTCTCACTTCTCCATATTCCTGTGAGTTTTTGTTCTGTTCCTTATTCTTAGAGTGTAAAGTGAATCATTTTAGGAATGAATATCATAGAAAGTAAATACAGGGAACAGAAAGCTTAATGCATTCATTATTCATTCCTTTCCATCAATACTCTGAACACCTACAGAGTGTTCTAGGCTCACTGGGGAAACAAGAATCAATAAATCTCATTTTCTCCCCTTACTGACCTCATGATCAGTAGAAAATCAACCCGAATAATCTCATACTGATTCCTCCTTCCTGTGAGTCCTCATGCGTTCTGGAAACCTTTGGAGGGATTTATCATAGTCCATATTACTTAAGAGTTTGTGGGCATTTCTTTTATGCTCCTTGGTAGATGTTGAATGCCTGGAAGGCAAAGACTTTGTTTTCCCTATCTTTATATCCCTGGTTCCCTGTGTAGTGGTTACTCCATGCTATGGGCTTAACACATGTTTTTAAATAAAAGGTTCAACGGTTTTGCAATTAACAATATATAAGACTCTTAGCTAGTAATTTTGTATCTTTGGGGCCTGTTTTCTCATCTGTGAAGATAACACATGCTATATTTCATGAAGTTATCATATCAGAATTAGATGCATTAAATTTTGCAAACTGAGAAGCAAAGCATTATACCAAGGTACAGACTTATTAAAATTGAATATGTGCTTTCATTTAAACATGAGTTGCCATTTAACTATGGCTGGTAGTTGCGTTTGGGGGATTCTGTTACTATTAGTGGAGGACTCAACAATCATATGCTCCATAAAATTGTCCTTCCTTACAGTGCTCAATTCTTTTTTATTTTTTTTTTTGAGATGGAGTTTCGCTTTTGTTGTCCAGGCTAGAGTGCAATGGTGTGATCTCGGCTCACCGCAACCTCTGCCTCCTGGGTTCAAGCAATTCTCCTGCCTCAACCTCCCAAGTAGCTGGGATTACAGGCATATGCCACCTCGCCCGGCTAATTTTGTATTTTTAGTAGAGACAGGGTTTCTCCATGTTGGTCAGGCTGGTCTTGAACTCGCGACCTCAGGTGATCCGCCCGCCTTGGCTTCCCAAAGTGCTGGGATTACAAGCGTGAACCACCGCACCTGGCCACAGTCCTCAATTCTTAAACATAGAGTTAAAGAGTAGGATTTCATGAAGCATACTAACTGCAGTTTATTCTTTAAAACTTTTAACCTCTGCCTTGTCCATAAATGTGAATTATTGTGGCATATGGTTTCATTCAGTGTATGATAAATATTGTATGTCCTTTAGGAAGGAAACTATAAGGTATATTTCTGGCTTGTCTTGGGGATGAAATAAATGGCCTCTGCAGTCATTTCCACCTCTGGCTTCAGTGATTAATGCATCCTAGGGGACCAACTTTCTTTTAGCTATAATGCCAGCTTCTATCCTTATTTCATCCCTGGAGCTTTAGGCAGAAAGGGAACTAAAAAGTCATCAGCTTTTATTTTATGTGACTTTTTTCTACTCCTGTTTGGGTTTCACTTTTTTTTTTTTTTTTTTTTTTTTCATTCTGCAGTTAGTTCTTCTTGTTGAATATCTAGGTTTTTATCTAGGAGGACACCTGGGGTGATTGAGATAATGCAGGGGTGTATCTGGTGTTTGGAGGAAGACTGTATGCTCAGGAGGCTGAGAGGCCACAGCACTTCTAGTGCCAAAAGTTCTGTTTATCTCATCATGTTACTCACTCATAGTCTCCAGGAAGCTTGCAGCCAATCAGGTTTCCTTGTTTGTGACAGTTTTTTTTTTTTTTTTTTTTTTAAACCTAGTCTTGCTCTGTGCCCCAGGCTGGAGTGCAGTGGCGCAATCTCGGCTCGCGACAGGTCTTGACTTGCAGTGTGTTAGGCACAGTAGATAAGCATTTTGTGAAACAGTATGAATGGAAATCAAAAGCAATTTGATCTAATTTTCTCTTAGATTTAGTTATATCTCAATACCAACTTCTAATTCAGTTTTATTTTTGCTGATTTTCTAAAAAGATAGTTTTCATCACCAGTGTGAATTAGCTTGTCATTAGATCTTGGAGATCTTTGAGATCAGTGGAGAAGTTTCAACTTAGGCAGGAGAGTGGCTTTGTACAAAAATAAATGTTGGTGATGGCTTATCGATATTGTTATTTGAGCCCATGTGTGATGCTTTCATTGCAATAGAAATATTCTGTTGTCTCATTTTAAAGAAACTATTATTTTGCTTAACAAATATTGAGTGTCTGCAATATGTGACATAAAGGAGGCGCAAGAAATGTTTTAGACACAATAGCCATAGTTAAATTGCTTATAAATTGACTTTATTAAAATGTCTTACCATATAATCATTAACATTCATATCTCAAATAAGTGTCAGTAATTTAAAATGACCTTTAAAGTCATGCTGATCAGTAATTGTAAAAAGAAAACAGAGAGTCATGCTAATAAGGTGAATAGATGTGACAGATTGACGTGTTGACATCAAGGGACAAGAATTGATTCAGGTAACTAAGTCAAACTATTTGCTAAAATCTGAGCCACGGTATCTTATTTTCTTCTGCAGACTCTATCCAGAGCAATGATTCTTCCCTAGGGTCCATATTTTTCCTGAAGCTTAGGGATCTATGAAGCACATAAAATTGTGTAGATGTGATCATCTTTCTGGGGAGAAATCTAGAGCTTATACTAGATTCTAAAAGTAATGATCCAGTAATGTTAAGAATCATTAATATAGATTTTTACTTATAATTTGCTTCTCCTTTTAGGGAAGGCAGTGTCAGAATTCTAGAATTAAGTTGAAAAGGTATAAATTATACACCTTAATGCTCTCCTTTCCAGCTATATGATCTCAAGTTATCCAACCACAATGTTTTTTTAATATATGAAATGGGCAGATAATCCCTTCACTCCTAAGTGTCAAATGAGATGAGCTATATGATTGGCCAGAATAAACTATAAAATATTTGCAGACATAAACATTATTACTATTGTTTGGGCTTCTGCATGTGCCAATCCATGATACTATTTTGTTGTTGTTGTTAATTGAAAATTTTATTCTATTACCAAGTAAATATATATATATATTTTTATCTTTCCAACGTTGCCAACATAGTTTCTCAAAGAATGATGATTCAGTTTTTCCATGCCTTTGGAGGCCTTTGTTGTTAAATGAATCAGTGTAAGTATCTCATGTACCATGGCTGCTGCCTGGTTTACATCACAGTGGAGGAGAAGGGATCATCGCTCAAGGGCAGAGCAGAGGGTGTCCCTGGTCTTTGTCAGATTCTACAGAGGGAACTTGGGGGAACTAATTCTGTTTCCTTATAATTGAAGTCAAAGGTAGACTCAGTGAGTGAGACTGAGGGAGAAAAAGAAAAGTGGAAATGAATGTGATTTGACATTAGATTATGAGTTTTAATTTCTGTCTTGCCATCATGCAATCTTAAGCAAGTCATAATTCCTTTAAGACTCAATGTTAATTTTTTTTAAAATGGAGATTTTAAATAATAATCTCACAAGATTACGTTAAGAATGAAATTATCATGTCGACTATAAAGTGATATACCAGTTTAGATGTTATTAATTATTAAGGCATAGTCATTTGCACAAAATTCTAAGGTGCAAAATAATTTGATCACTCCCTTGGACTTCCTTTTGATGGGCTTTCAATACTGTTGTATTTATTCAAACATGTATGAAGTCTATATGTATGATTTACCATTCCTTTGGAGACACAAGAAATATGTGGAATGCATCATTAGGTAAGAGCAAAATTCTCAAATCAGAAATTTGAGACTAACTGAAAAATGAGAAAGTTTGGGAGAAAAGGCAGAGTGATGTGGTTATACAAAAAAGGGAGACAAACTGTGACTTCATTTTAGAGAACAACAGAAGTGGGAAGGAGATGGTGGTGGCAACTGAGACTTTCAGAAGAAAAAATTTCATTCTGAATATGGCAAAATGGGAAACCAAATGGTGCAGAAGTAGAGACAATTCTTGCAATTGAATAAAATAACTGGTCAGAAATATTCATCCAACTAACAAATGGTTTCCAGGGACCCTTCACTGCAGCTTACTGTGTAGAATTTAAACTAAGTAACTTAACAATTGATAACATAACCTGTATGTACCCTTTGTCCCCTGCCCCCACTCCAAATATTACTGCTAATTAGAAGCACATGTTGAAGGAAAAACTCTAATAAGACATTCCGGTATAAGATCTGGGTTTGCTTTAAATCCCCCAAGCAGCCTAAAGCCCAACAGAAGGTATTTAGCCTTTTGCCTTTTGTTTAAATGGAGATTATTTTGAGTTATCAATAGTGCAATACTCCCATCCTGCTGTCCTTTAGTGTAAATTAAGGCAAAGGACATGATAACAGTATCAATAAAAGAGCAAAAGTAAAAAATAAAACGCATAAGATTATTAATGGGTGACAGAAAATTGCTATATACATCATAGCTGGTAGATTAAAAGGGAGTGACAAAGAGATGTCCTGAGAAATTTATTCAAGGGTTTACAAGAGAAAAAAAAATGAAGGATTTAAGACTGTTTAATCTTTAAGAATTTAAAACTTTTAAATATCTCTTTAATAAGCTTTATATTCACATAACATTTTAATAGGATTTTATATAGACTAACTCAATTGTCAAATATACTGAGGCAGGTTGGGTATCAGGTATCCTCTAATACCTATTAAATAGAATGAACCAGAGAAGTTAAAATATTTTTGTAAAGTTATGCAGCAAATAATGTGGGAGCCAATATTTAAACTCTGGTCTTCTGATATAAAAGCTTTTGTTTTATGAACTATTCCTAGTTGCCAAGGAAGCAATTACAAACAAAAAAACCAAAAAAAAGAAAAGAAAAAAATAGCCATTTGGGGGCAGATGCGGTGGCTTACACCTGTAATCTCAGCACTTCAGGATGCTGAGGCAAGCAGATCACTTGAGGTCAGGAGTGTGAGACCAGCCAGACCAATACGGTGAAACACTGTCTCTAATAATAATACAAAAATTAGTCGGGTGTGGTGGTACATGCCTGTAATCCCAGCGACTCAGGAGGCCGAGGCAGGAGAATCGCTTGAATCTGGGAGGCAGAAGTTGCAGTGAGCCGAGATCACACCACTGCACTCCTGCCTGGGCAACAGAGTGAAATGCCGTCTCAAAAAAAAAAAAAGAAAAGAAAAGAAAAGAAAAAGCGATTTGGCCAGATATTTTTAAATATTTGAAATTATTTAATGTAATTTAAATAAACATACAGCAGAATTCCCATTTTTGATGTATAGATCGATTCCCATCAACAAATTCAGTCATGTTGACCACCACACAGAAACTAAGATACAGAGCAGTTACGTCACCACCCAAAATTCCCTCATGCAGCCCTTTTATAATCAACCCCTCCCTCCTTCCCAATCTGTGACAACCATTTGTTTGTTCTTTCTTCCTCAAGTTTTGCCTATTGCAAAAGTCTATTAATGGGATCAAACAATATGAATCATTTTGTTTCTGGCTTCTTTCTGTTTTATGGGTGACCAAAATCACATGGAGAGTATGTTATTATTTTCCTATGTTTTTTACATATCTGAAACTGTGCAATACTGCAGAAACTTCTGAATTATTGTGTTTATTGTGAAACTCAATGTCCAAATAGTGAGACAAATTATTGTTCAAATTCTGTCGCTTAAAGATTATACCTAATATGCCTAGAGAAAGTACTACCACCAAAAGTGCAAGTCCAGCTGTCATCTTTTTTAGGTGTCTCTCTCATTACTAAACCTGACTTTTGACAGAGTTTATGAGGAACAATTATTCATATGTGATTATTTCAACTATCCCTTTATCTAGTCCTTTGGACAGGATTATTTATAAAAGAGGTCTATGCACATTTTTAGATGTCTTTATATCATGTTGAGTCTTATCTTGCCACAATAACTACATTAAATCTTTTTTTATAACATCGTGTTCCGTCTGAATATTGTTTACGAAAGTATTCTGTAACGTGAGCTTGAAATTGTAGCAAAACCCATGTTAGGAAAGTAAATATCTAAAAGCAGAAAATATAAGCTTCCCTGGTTGCCAAGAAAACCACTGTACGCAAATTTCTGTTTATTAAATATTTGGCGGTAAAATAACAAAATTGTTGAAAAGAGGAGATTGTCTTACCCTGAGCAATAGGATATGAATATCATCCATTTTTTGTTGGAAAAATAAACAACAACATGGGATTTTAGGATAGGAGGTCTTCAGCAGTCTCTTGCAAATAGCTTAAATCATGGGGATTAAAAGGCAGCAAAACCAGGTACAGATAACTTGGTAAGAATAGTTACTTCTTTTGGGACTTTTACAGCCAAGTTTACAGGACCAGCCACATCCAAATGGAATGAAGGCCGTATGGTTTGCAAATGAAGATTGAAATGCTACGGCCAAACAATACAGAATGGATCCTGAGCTCATAAAGAAATAGACATGTACTAAACATGAGATTACTGAAAGAAAAAAATCATAAGTTTTCTTTTTGCAGTCATAAATGACAAAAATGTTTAAAAATAATAGATAATTTTCTCTCAAGGAGTATGAGAAAAGTACCCAGTTGGTTCTAGATATTTTATTTTCTTTCACAGATTTCTCTCTATATTTTTCTAAATTTCCAATATTAATTTTAATAAAGGTATATATTCTGGTTATTTTGAAAAGAGAAAACACCACAATATTACTAATTCAGTTAAATCAGGAGTCCACAACCCCCAGGTCACGGACCCGTACAAGTCTGTGGCCCATTAGGAACTGGGCCACACAGCAGGAGGTGAGCGGCAGGTGAGCAAGCGACTGTATTTACAGCTGCTCTCCACCGCCTGCATTACTGCCAGAGCTCTGCCTCCTGTCGGATCAGCAGTGGCATTAGATTCTCTTAGGAGCGCGAGCGCTATTGTGAACTTTGCATGTGGGGGATCTAGGTTCCGAGTTCCTTATGAGATCTAATGCCTGAGGATCTGTCACTGTCTCCCATCACCACTAGATGGGACCGTCTAGTTTCAGAAAACAAGCTCAGGACTCCCACTGATTCTACATTATGGTGAGTTGTATAATTATTTTATTATATATTGCAATGTAATAATAATAGAAATAAAGTGCACAATAAATGTAATCCACTTGAATCATTCTCACACCATCGCCCTACCCTACCTCCTCACAATCCCCACCGTGGTGCATGGAAAAATTGTCTTCCACGAAATCCTGGCACCAAAAAGGCTGGAGACCGCTGAGTTAAATCACACCTACCAAAAAAGCCAAAACTTGAACATTCCTTCTCAGTGACTCTGTCATAGGGTGACAATTTAATTTTATTGTAGACAAAGTTTCTAGGAGGAAATAGTAAAGCTTCAAATTCTAATCTTACAAATCCAAAGCTCTAAATGTACCCATAAATGTTCTCATGGGTTTTGAGTCTGTGTCCAAAGTTGACCTTCATGTGTTGTGAGCCAACCTGCTTGCCTGCATTTCCTCTTCTCCTCTCCTTCCTATCCTTTTCCTCTTTCTCATCCTTCTCTTCCTCCTTCTTTTTGTGATGTTACCAAAACTTTAATGTTGAATTTTTACTGTGAATTTCTTGAGACTAAATCACAGAAATTATGGAACTGAAATCTTCACATGTTGATTTAAGACATGGAATTTGGAAAATATTCAGGCTCCTAAGGCAATTCATATAGTAAATTTTATACTTGAGTGAATGAGTCAGCATTTTGACAACACACCTACAGAAATATAGTGCTTTGAAAAAAAAATATTTCTCTGTTGAAAATAAACAATGTAGACCAGGCACTGCTACCATAAACATTTCTGGAATTGTAGAGATAACAAATAATTTATAAAAATCCACTTCAGAATAGGATATGGAAGGAAGCATATCCTCCATCTCGTTGGACATGCATTTCTGGAGTTTCAGCTCATGCCAGCTAAATGCCTTGTTACTCCCATAAGACAGGGATCTTGTCCAATCATTCTTGCATTATGAGGTATAGCAGTAGGTCTAGCACTTAGTAGACACTTACTGAATGTTTTGGAATAAACTAAAAAATGATAAAGCCCATCCTGGATCCCACATTGCCCTTAATTGTTGTCTTTTTAGTCTCCTCTACACTGTGCCAGTTTCTTGGTCTATACTTGTCTTACATGACTTTGGTACATTGAGTTCTGATCAATTATTTCTAGCTGAGTCATTTGAAATATGTATGTCACAAATCTTAGCTTAAATTTTAAATTTTTGTTACCAATCTGCATTTTTTTTGCAAATTTATCTGATTGTATCTATTAGACTTTTAGTGATTTTCCTTAAAAGTTAGAAAAGATCTTTGTATATTAAGATATTAACAGAAATTACATTTCTTTTTTTTTTCGACATGGAGTCTCGCTTTCTCACAGAGGCTGGAGTGCAGTGGTGTGATCTTGGCTCACCGCAGCCTCTACCTCCCAGGTTCCAGTGATTCTCCTGCCTCAGCCTCCCAAGTAGCTGGGATTCCAGGTGCCTGCCACCATGCCTGGCTAGTTCTTGTATTTTTAGTAGAGACAGGGTTTACCGTGTTGGCCAGACTCGTCTCGAACTCCTGACCTCAGGTGATTAGCCTGTCTTGGCCTCCAAAAGTGCTGGGATTACAGGCATGAGACCTCATGCCCGGCATACACTTCTTTAAAAATATTTTTTCTAACATGATAATGTAATTTTATGTACACAAGGGTTTATTTTGGTCTTATTTTTCTTCATTTTATGTATATGCATGTTGAATGACATTTTTTGGTTATATCTTCCATCACTTTTAAACATGAGAAATCCTTTCATCTATAAATTAGAAATATCTGCATATATTTTAGTCTTGTTGTTTTATGTTTATTTTAGAGCATTTAGTATTTTAATTCATTTTTAGTTTATTTTATTGTGCTGTCTTTCATCACTTCTCAGCATAGGAAATCCATCCTTATCTAAGTGTCAGAAATATTCACATGTATTTTATTCCAGCTTTTTAAAAAAATATATAACTTGAAAAAGCATTCACTACGAATTATAGTACGTACTCTTAATTCATCTGTAGTTTATTTTTAGCAGGATATGAGGCTAAGATCAAAGTGATGTTTTCCAAATGATCAACCAATTTTTCTAACATCATTTATTGATTTTATGTAATATTCTCATTAATTGACATTGCCTCATTTTTCCTATATTAAGTTCTTTTGTAGTCTAAGATCTCTTTGGGGGCTAATTTGTTCCACTGATTATTTTCTCCCATTTTCTCTCACTAACAGATTATTTTAGTTATTATAAATTTACTATAGCATGTTTACTTTCATTACTTTTAATTTTCAAAATTTTACCTCTTCCTTTTTGCCTTTTCATTTTTCCATTCAAACATGATAATCATTTTGCCAACTTCCAATACAATCTCATTGTTTTTATTATTTATTCATTTAATTACTTATTTATTTGAGACAGGGTCTCACTCTCTTGCCGAGGCTGGAGTGAAGTGGCACAATTATAGCTCACTGCAGCCTTGACCTCCCTGGGCTCAGGTGATTCTCCCACCTCAGCCTCCAGGGTTGCGTGCCATCACGCCCAGCTAATTTTTGCATTTTTTAGACAAGAGGTTTTGCCATGTTGCCCAGGCTCATCTTGAACTGCTGGGCTCAAGCCATGTGCCAGCCTCAGCTTCCCAAACTGCTAGAATTATAGGTATTTACCACCACCCCAGCCAAAATCTCATTGTTTTTCTAATATTTTAATTTTTCATATCTCAGTGAAATTTTGTATTTTTTTCATGTAGCTATGACACATTGCTTATAAAGATCATGTGTTCAGGTTCTGTGTATGGAATATATAGATATTATCTTTTCTCATTATATGTTTAAATTTATTTTTAAAGGAATATAGAAAAGCTAAACATTTTATGTAATTATATATTTTTATACAGCTATTTAACTGAACTCTTAGCCTGATAGTTCAGCACATTATCTTTTTTTCTTTTTTTTTCTTTTTTTTTTTGAGACGGAGTTTAACTCTTGTTGCTCAGGCTGGAGTGCAGTGGCACGACCTTGGCTCACTGCAACCTCTGCCTCCCGGGTTCAAGCAATTCTCCTGCCTCAGCCTCCTGAATGGCTGGGATTACAGGTGCCCACCACCATGCCCTTCTAATTTTTTGTATTTTTAGTAGAGACAGAGATTCATCATGTTGGCCAGGCTGGTCTCAAACTCCTGACCTCAGGTGATCCACCCACCTTGGCCTCCCAAAATGCTGGGATTACAGGCATGAGCCACCGTGCCTGGCCAGCAAATTATCTTTGTTTCCTCAAATAATGATACATTTTGTCTTCTACTTTTCTGTAATTTTTTGACATCTTGTTTATTGGTCAGAATTTCTAGAACAGGGTTAAATAACAATGTGGATAAAGATTGCTTTAATATTTAATTATTAAGCATGTTTTTTTGAGTCAGAAATTATATCAAGTGCATTGGTCAGATACTTTAATTAAAAAAGCAAAAAAAAAAGAAAGTCACCAATTTCCTTTTGCCTGTTGATACTTCTAGAGGATTATCAGTTGTGACAGCCCGAAACTTGGCATGTGAATGAATAAACAGTTCTCACCAAATGAAATTGTCAAGTTGATGATATTTAAGAATAGATAGGGGTAACAGTATGGTGACTTTTAAAAGTCCCCAGATTTCTCTGAATTCTTAAAATCTTCTTTGTAATTACCAGCATGAGACTGAGACTAAATAAGAATTTCACCTTTGATATAAACACTTCATGGTGGATTGAATCAATGGTTCTCAGCTCCTTGGATAATCAACTTCTATTCAGATATTGAGAGCTCCAAACTCAATGGACACTTAATAAATACTAACCACCCCCACTCGAACTCTTAAGAGATAATCAAATATTGTCTTAAGAACCTCAGGCCGGAACACTAGAATTTGGCAAGAACCAGAGAAAATTTTTCTTTAAGTCATGTAAATGACTTTTTGAATTAGTAGTAAATTCAGGGTTTCTACCTCTACCTTAGCTTCCTGGAAATTTCTCCCTGGCTTCCCCCACACTCCTCTCCCTAGACTGTGTAGCCCAAGTACAAACATATCATCCTTTTCTTCTCTCATATCAGTCAGCAGAGGTATGTTTGGGGCTTTTAAGGAATGAACTTTCTGAGGAGACTCAGAGAAAATTCAAACAATTATTAAAATAATAAAATCATTGTAAAACATAGAGTGTCTCCATTCAAACAATTATTAAAATAATAAAATCATTGTAAAACATAGAGTGTCTCCATTCAAACAATTATTAAAATAATAAAATCATTGTAAAACATAGAGTGTCTCCATCTAAGAAGCACAGAATTTTAATTAATTCTGACAGCATTCAATGAATGGCAAATCCTATGCAGGGCACTATGAAGATTAAACCATGGCACTTGTGGTCAAAAAGATCATTGGTCTAAGTTGTGGCTTCTGATCTGTGGCTACTGAGAGAGCCCCTCAGATATGGAAATATTTGACAAGTTCCCCTCTAATTGTGTGTCAACAGAAAAGATGGAGGATGTCAGGTCTCCAGAGTTTGGCTGGGATACCTCTTCAAACAGATTTTTCTCTGTTTCTCCCAGTCCCGACCTTCACTAAGCCTCTAAACCTGAGTGCTCTGCAAGAGTAGGGCTTGAGGGGAATATCAGTCATGTGTATTTTCTCTTCACTATGCTGGATGAGAGGCCAGCCTAAAAATTATTCCCCAGTTGAGAATGGCTTTGCTATTTCTCTTGCTAAGTATGGTAATTTTTTCCTTTAAAAGTGGGAATAACATTTAATGTGTGTCTCTTATTTGGCATAGTACTGTGAAATTTTGCTTCCATATCATGGAAATTGTGAGAATTATCAATCATTCTTCTAGAAATATGTGGAAATAGAGGGAACTTATTGACAGGAATAGAAAAGCACCTTAAATAAAAGACCAAGGAATAGGGTGCAGAGGGCTCAAGAGACAATATGAGCAGAGGAGGTAGTGGAAGCCTGGTTCTTTATTTTTTTTTTTTTTGCGATGGAGTCTTGCTCTGTCGCCCAGGCTAGAGTGCAGTGGCCCACTCACTGCAGTCTCCACTTTCTGGGTTCAAGTGCCTGGTCTTAAAATGTATTCCGTGAAGCCAGAGAGGAGGTGAATGCTCAGACCCAGCACAAAGGACCTCCTGTGTGCAAAATACATGCACCAGCATTGGGTGGGAAGAGCAGCAGAGGGAAATCCTGAGCAGTGAGTGATAGAAAATAATATTTTATGAATCGATTACCCACTTAAGATTCATTAAACACTAAATGTTAACAGTACCTACAGGTTGGTGCAAAAGTAATTGCAGTTTTTGCCATTGCTTAAAAAAAAAAAAAAAGGTAAAAACCGCAATTACTTTTGCACCAACCTATATCTAAATATCTACTTTATTTTAGTGAAAATACAACAAATATGTACAAGCCCTTTTATAGTTTAATTAATGACCTCTTTCTCTATAACCTGATGTTTCATTATAAGGTCATAATTCCTCAGAGTTAATTATTTTATTCCAGTACTGTTCAGGTACCCAACCACTGTCCCTCACGTGGGTTAAGAATGGGTTACTGTATTTTCCACAGTGGTGGAATTCGCTGGCTGTGAAACCCTGTTCTTGCCCTTGTGGATAGAACACAGAGATAAAATGCCACAAGATGTGTTTACATCATCTTTGCTTCATGGTATAGTATTATCTGTTGGGTGGTTTCTCTGTCCAGAGCTAAGTGGCGGAGATTTAGTTAGGTATCATAGTTTAAAACTACAGGCCTCAGAGCCAAACTGCTTGTGTTTGCATTACATTATCTGTTATTTCCAACCCATTTGTTTGGTGAAGTTAGTTGTACTTCTCAGTGCCTCAGTTTTGTCATATGTAAGTGAGAATGATAGTAGTACCTACCTTATAAAATTGTTATGTGTATTAAATGAGTAAATGTTTCGAAATCACCTAAAACAGTGCTTGGCTCGTATTGTAGAAGGCAGTTATGTTTTAAATAAAGTATAAATATTTTCTCCTAGCTTATCCCCTTTTCATTTTATAGCTTCATACACCCAGCAAATATTCATTGAGTTTTGATAAATACTACACACTTCGCAGATTGGGAAACCAGACCTGGTTATTAGAACAACTAATACCCGTATGATATTTTCAGTTTATGAAGCACTTCTTATTTTACTTTAATCTTTATGTTACCAGAAAGGGAGGGTTCTTGGATCTCCCGCAAGAAAGAATTCAGGGTGACTGCACAGAACAAAGTGAAAGCAAGTTTATTAGGAAAGTAAAGAAATAAAAGAATACTTACTCCATGGTCAGAGTAGCCCAAGGGCTGCTGGTTGCCTATTTTTATGATTATTTCTTGATGATATGCTAAACAAGGGGTGGATTATTCCTGCCTCCGCTTTTTAGACCATATAGGGTAACTTCCTGAGGTTGTCACGGCATTTGTAGACTGTCCTAGCACTGGTGGGAGTGTAGCAGTGAGGATGACCGGAGGTGACTCTCAGCGCCATCTTGGTTTTGGTGGGTTTTAGCTGGCGTTTTTACTGCAAGCTGTTTTGTCAGCAAGGTCTGTATGACCTGTATCTTGTGCTGATTTTCTGTCTCATCCTGTGACTTAGAATGCCTAACCATCTGGGAATGCAGCCCAGTACGCCTCAGGCTCCTTTTACCCAGCCACTACTCAAGATGGAGTTGCTCTGGTTCAAACGTCTCTGACACAACAATACTATAAGAAAGAGATTACAGGAATTCCCCAAAATTTGACTTTTAAGTAAACAGGCTAAAAGAAAGGGATGAATTTATTCAAGTTCATACACATCATGTAAAAGCTGAGACAAAATTCTGTTAAATTTCATTGAAAAAATGAAATGCTGCCAGTTTTGTAAACTGACTAACAGAACCTCCCCAGATGAAAGAAAAATGTTTTCAAGGGCCCGAGAAATAATGGTTAATAAAAACAAAAAATCAAATCAAAATAAAGTTAGCAACTCTAAAAGGTACTTTCCCTTACTAAAGACAAACACTTATTATTTTGGTCTTTAAAAAGTGTACTGTAAATCCAGTAGTAAATTTCTAAAATTAGCTTTTCAAAAAAAATTTTTTTTTGGTCCATGGTCAGGATTCTGCTCTTGATTTACAGATAATTTCCATTCTTATGGGAAGCATTGATGGTTACTTCTAAGATTCCCGACTGAGGTTTATTATGTGTTAGTCCATTTGTAAATGAATCAGCTCCAAAAATATCTCGAATTCATTTTATTTTCTTTCATTCATACTTCTATTTGACTTTTATCTATTTTGGGGCTGCAATATAAAGAGAAGAAGATGTAAGTGAGACATAATGATAATAGCTTTATCAAACTCTTATATGCAAAGGAGAGTTCTAAGTTCTTAACAAATGCCAATTTACATTATCCGCATCATAACCCTCACAGGTGAATACTATTATTATGTCTTCTTTATACTTGGGGAAAATGAGGCACAGAGAGGTTAATTAGTGGTCCAAGAAAACAAACCTACTAAATTACCAGTTAAATTAAAATCCAGCCAGTTTAGTTTTAGAGTGTACAGTCTTGACTAACTCACCATGCTACTTATTAATGATTAAAATATTAAGAATTTAAAAAGTAATTGAGGGATAATGCAGCTTGGTTTTTTTAGCCTGCGAAAGAGAAAAATAAAAGATAATAATGTTATGGACTTTTGGCTTACAAAGGATGAAAAGTTACGGTCTCTGAGGGAAATTATTCCTGGAGAAACATTATGTTAGAGGCAAAAAGAAAAAAAAAAGTTCTACTAGTGACTGTGGTTGAAAAATTCAGATGAGGAAATGATTCATTAAGCAGGAAGCCCCCATTTCGTAGGCTTTACATATTCATAGGTCTATTTTAAGAGCTAAATATGACAGCATATATCAAGGACTCGACAGAGTGCCACTTGTATAGTTCCTTTAAGAGTCTTTTTAAAAGGCTTTTTTTTTGTCTTTTGATAAGTCAGTCTGTTTTTGGACTGGATTTTCCTCTGGGTATCAAGGACAAAAGTACTTGCCACATTTATGGCAGTGTTAGGGTGGAGAAGGGTTTCCATTTATGATCATGTGTAGGTAAATTGAAATGACTCCAATATTAACATTGTCTGTAAGAAAAATGTAATTCTGTGTGTTTTCTCTCACATTATTTGCTTGAAATCCTCTTTTTATATTCTCAGTCTTTCTTTTATATTGGGGACGATAGAGTTTTCTTCTGCTAGCCTTACAAATTCACATCATTGCAGATATAACAACCTGTAGAGGTACCAAAGCAGACAGAAGGCATCAGACACATTTACCAAGAGCCCCATCAATGCATATGAAAGAGGAAAGTAAATTCAGACTGTTGGAATTCATCTATTTACAATTTTTTTTCTTTCTTTCTTTCTTTTTTTTTTTTTTTTTTTTTTTGAGAGGGAACCTCACTCTATTGCCCAGTGGCAATATCTTGGCTCACTGCAACCTCTGCCTCCCCAGTTCAAGTGATTCTCCTGTCTCAGCCACATGAGTAGCTGGGATTACAGGCATGCGCCACCGCGCCTGGCTAATTTTTGTATTTTTACTAATAGTAAAGACAGGGTTTCACCATATTGGACACGCTGGTCTCGAACTCCTGACCTCGTGAACCACCTGCCTCTATCTCCCAAAGTGCTGGGATTACAGGTGTGAGCCACTGCACCTGGCCAATCCATCTGTCGTAAATAGTAAGATTTACATATTATATTTTTTGCTAACATTTATATATTAGCTGTATACTATGTGCACCATGTGTACTCTGATAGATATTTTAAAATTCAGGAACAATTATTTATACACTTAATTTATTTCATACCAAGCAGGGCCCCTGCATTAAAAAAACTGCAGGGGCACCATGCACCATGTCCTTATTATATTTAATATTATAGTATATCCTCTAAAGCACATATGTTTATATTTTACAGATGATGAAACGGGACCCTAACAGTTAAATAATTCACTTTATATCTCACCAGTAATGTGTAGTGGATGCATAAAAATAAGTGGTATTGGTAACAGAGCTTTCTGGACATCATGTTGCCTTTGTAATACTATGTAAAACATTAGTACATTAAACCTAACATAATTAAATACAGTTGAACAAAATACACAAATATTTGGCCTTCATAGCAAATCCAATCTATGGACTTAATCTTTTGGGCTTCCAAGTGTAGACTTGCACAATGCTTTTAAATACTGCCAACAAATTTTACATAGATAAATAGACTCTCATTGACAAGGTTAGGTTTTGTGTCCCCACCCAAAACTCCTCTTGAATTCTAATCCCCATAATCCCCGCCGCCCATGTCAAGGGAGAGACCAGGTGGAGGTAATTGAGTCATGGGGGCAGTTTTCCCCATGCTGTTCTCCTGATAGTGAGTTCTCACAAGATCTGATGGTTTTATAAGGGGCTCTACCCGCTTCACTCGGCACTTCTCCTTCCTGCCGCCTCGTAAAGAAGGTTCATTGCTTCCCCTTCGCCATCCTCCCTGGTTGTAAGTTTCCTGAGGCTTCTGCAGCCATGTAAACTCTTGAGTCAATTCAACCTCTTTCCTTTATAAATTACCCAGTCTTGGGCAGTTCTTTAGAGCAATATGAAAATGGAGTAACACACTCATCATCTTTATAAAAAATTGAATCACCTGCCAGTACTTTACCTCCATTCCCAAAACGGCAATTGAGTAAGGCTATTTAATTTGTCATCAGTTTCACCATTTCTTACAGCAGACTTATAGTGTAGTCCTTGGTCAGCAGCACCAGCTTCACCTGGGAACTTGTTAGAACTATATGTATATATTTTGGCTGGGCGTGGTGGCTCACACCTGTAATCCCAGCACTTTGGGAGGCCAAGGCGGGCGGATCGTGAGGTCAGGAGATCGAGACCATCCTGGCTAACACGGTGAAACACCGTCTCTACTAAAAATACAAAAAATTAGCCAGGCGTGGTGGTGGGTGCCTGTAGTCCCAGCTACTCGGGAGGCTGAAGCAGGAGAATGGCGTGAACCCGGGAGGTGGAACTTGCAGTGAGCCGAGATCGCGCCACTGCACTCGGGCCTGGGCAAAAGAGTGAGACTCCATCTCAAAAAAAAGAAATATATATATATATTTTTTGCCCTGTATTGGACTTACTTAATCGGAAACTTCGGAGGAGGGGACCAGCAGTCACCTATGACCCCTAGGTGATTCTGAGGCATAACAGAATTTGATAACCACTGCCTAATGGTTTTATAAAGTACCCACTTCATTATTGATATTATCTGCCTCGCCTCTGAAGGCATTTGGGGTTTTGATCTATTTAGAAACCCTCTAAATTGCCAACTTTGCAAATAGAGAAATTTGTGTATGTGCATTTAACTAACAAATAATGTTTCTTGGAGGATAATATGTTAAATAAAAAAGTATATACAAGTTTATTCTGTATAAAATACCTAAAGGAGACTTTCACTTCATTATTTATATTTCATAAAGAAACAAAGGTCTTATGGAATCCTGAGAGTTACTGCATTAGTTACCATGGGTTTAGAAAAGCAAAGCCACTTTGGGCTGAACATTTTGGTCCCCTGGCTGGATCTGTTTTCTTGAATGCACACCCCACCCCTGAGGGGCTCATTTGTGCCTTAAACTACAAATCTACTACTTCTTAAAAGCCTTTGGTCATTTCCAGAGAGCTAAAGTCACAAATGTTACATATGTAAATTTTAAGAATTTACTGTTTATTATATGGAATATTATTTGTGAGATGCTCTTTAATGTTTACTATAAGAAAAATAAATCAATGGTAAAATTTGTTTCTCAGTTATTGGGAGAAGTCTGGTTAGTCATTTGTAACCAAGATACTCTCAATACTCTTTAGAGGCTAATGTCATTGTACATTCCTAGAAGAACATTATTTTTATCAATGTATCCCTAAAATAGTAATTGGCACATGATATACATTCATTACATATTTGTTGAATGAATAGGCAATAAAGTATCACTGACAGCTTTTAAGAACTGTCCTGTAATGTCAGTTACATTAGAGAAACACACTATCATATAATATTGTACATAGTTGTCTAACGAAATCCAGAATTTACAAATTTAGTACCACTGGAGTAGATCCTCAAGGTCAGAGATGCTTATTTTTTAAACACTCAGATCACCAGTACCTAGCATTATGCCTGGCACATGAAAGGCACTCATTAAAGATTTATTGAAAAAGTGAATAACTGGGAAGATGGATGGAAGGATGGATGAATGGATGAGTGGGTAGGCAGATGTACAGCTAGCTGGATAGGCATCTGTTGGTATGAATATTACAAATGTGTGCAATTTAAGCCAGAAGTATGGATTTTATTTTTTAAAACTGAAAGAGAAAAGTTTACATAATTTAGGGATGAAATATTTGGAGAGAAGAGAAAGTTACTTTTTTAAAAAAGGAAATTATAAAAGAAAAAATATATTTGGCTAGAATTTATGCATTATAACATTGTTGAAAATCTATTTGTTACAGAACAAAAAATTGAAAAAAGGAAGACTTTAAAAACAAACTGAAATAGTTTAATAATTGAATTTTACTTTTTCAATCTTAAGGAAATGACAAAAAATAGAGACAAAGGCAAATTATTGTTTTAATGAGCCACATTGATGCATAAGAAAGGGAACCACTGATTGTGCTCATTTCTCCACCAGACTAAAACATCTGCATAAAGGGTGAAAAATCTCTGGAACCTCGCAAGCACTTTTTGTTGTTTTATTAATTTTTCAGACCAAGTTTCTGATTATTGGAAACAGTTCATGGTGGCTGCTTTGTAAATATTGGTTTCCAGATGGCTGTAGTTGGCATTATTTAGAATAAACATCTAGAGGACTCTAGCCTGGTGTAAGGCAAAGATGGTTACTTAGGGTCCTGGGGTCTCAGATTTTTCCAAGTGACTTTGAAAACATTATTTTGCCTTTTTGAGTCTCAGTTTCTCTTTTTATAAAACTGAAGGATTTGGACTAAACTATACTTAAAAGTTCCTTGCAGTTCCATAGCCATCCAGCTTTTACCCCAATATTTTAATAGGGATTTTGTAGACATTGCTTTCTTTTGTTTGACATTTTTGACAGATGCCACCTCTCCTTGGAAAAGGACTCCTTAGGAAGCCTTTCTAAAAGGCCAGTTAGGCTTCAAGCACTTCAGCAGGCTTAAAGTAATCAACGTGTGGGTAGCAGCCGCCCAGCCAGACCATGCATAGGAAAAATCACCACACCCCTGGATGGGCTTCACCCTAGAGACCCACGCTAAACTGTGACCCTATTTAACTTTGCTGTGTATCTGGCACTGATGAGACATAGGAGACTTTCATGAAAGGGGAAAGCTCTGACTTTTAAGATGAGACCTGGAGGTCAGGCCTATTGAGCCATAAAAAAGATGCTAGGAGGGAAAGTCCTTAAAGAACTGATCGTGGCTTCTTTGAAGTTACCACTGATATTAATACTATATTTGGGAATCCAGTAAGCTGCTTTATTTTTTTAAAAAGAAGAAAAACATGTTTGGATTAAGATGGAAAAGAGAAGGCAATCTTGGTTATTGAGACAACTCTTCCACTCTTTCGCAAAAGAAAAATTCTAATTCATTTTACTTTTTTCTAAATCCTTTGACGTTTACATTAGCAAGATCACACATTCGTGTGCTAAGACTTATTCCTGATTTCATATCCAGTGCTGTTCAGATACCTGGTGTAGGTTTCCTGAAACCTACAGTCTCTGTTTTGCCAGAAACCTGGTGTTGAACGCCTTAGCCTTTCTGAAGGTGGCAGCCACCACAGATAATGGAAGAAACTTTGAACTAATTTGATAGCTTTTCACCATATTTCAGCAGTAGACCAACTATGAACCTTTCTAATTAAAGTCTTCAGGTTTGTGCCCCCACCTGCTGGCAATGATGACTACTCGCAGAATTGTATTCATGGGGTAAGGTATGTTAAATTTTATTCTCATCATTATTATTTATATCCACTGAATGCCTACTCTTCTGAAGCACTTGAGATAACATGAAACATATGGCAAGTCCTTGTCATCAGGATGGAGACAAGACATACTTAAATAGAAATAATTACAGAAGCATCAATTGTGGGTTTGTGAGTATATATATATATATATATATATATATATATTTTTTAATTTCTAGGTAATGTCACATGGATTTTTTCCTTTTCTTCCTCACACAACTTCTTGAGGCAACCCAAGCAAGGATCATCATTGCTATTATTATAAATGAGGCTTTTGACAGGAGGGGGGCAATGGAGTGGCTTGCTGAAGTTTCAAAAATGAAAGACAGACCCAGGTCATCTGTCTTCTTACTATTAAAATGTGCAAAATTAATGGTAATAGAAACGATAATGAGCATCCAGACATCTATGGATATAGGGATAAAGGGACAGTCATCAGCATCCAGACATCTGTGGATATAGGGATAAAGGGATATGATTTAGTCTCATCATGTAAGAATAAATAAATAAATGTCACTGAATAAATGCTATTGAATATTTTGACAATTTTTCGGTTCTGAAAACTACATTTAAACTCTCTCAGGTATTCTGAATATGAAGTTTTCACAGTGGACTTTTGGAATGGAAAGAAATACCTTATTTTTTGGCATAAGAAGTGGCATTCACTCCAGGGGAAATGTGGCTAAAAATAACATCAGCATCCTTAATCTCCATTGCCTGAGAGGAGCCTGTGTTGACAGACACTGGGAGGGCCAGTCTTCTTTGGTTTCCCTCGCTTCTGTTTGTCTAACTAGCCCTTCCTTAAATGCCAAGTCAGAAAAGTGACTGCATTGAATCTTCCCAGCTATTGAAATGAATGGCAATTATCTTGGCTTTCTCAAGGCAGGCTTTGGTCAAAACATATTCATATGTGTTTTGGAGAAGGATGAGTGGCATAGGATCCAGTAGTTTCTTCCTGTGTCTGTCACAGTGACACTAAGATTTCTGCATGTATTTCTGTAATATCCTGGGCCATTACGGTGTAAGAAGTTTGCCGATGGCTGTATTATAAGGAAAGATAGAAATACTTGTTCTGACCTGAAAGAGTGAATAATTTAGAAAGGAGTACAACAGTCTTAAGTGGGGCATACATAAATACATCAACAAGCACTTACAGTTCATTCCCTCTTATGCCTATATCTAACTTAAACTGCAGCATTAAGTAGTGGAGTTAGCAAGGCACTTATCTTTTTATCCTTTTTTGAGTCAGGGTCTTGCTGTGTTGCCCAGGCTGAAGTACAGTGGCACAATCATAGCTCATTGCAACCTCAAATTCCTGGGCTCAAGGAATCTTCTGTCCTCAGCCTCCCAAGTAGCTAAGATTACAGGTGCTTGCCACCATGCCCAGCTAATTTTTAAATTTTTTATAGAGACAGTGGTCTTGCTATGTTGCCCAAGCTGGTCTCAAACTGCTCGCCTCAAGCAATCCTCCCTCCTCAGCCTCCCAAAGTTTTGGGATTACAAGAAGGAGCCACTACACCTGGCCTACTTATCTAAGCCTTGATTTTCTCATCTGTAAAAATGGGACTATTAACACCTGATTTATAATGATGTTAAAAGGATTAAATACAATACATGCATTTTAAGTGCTTAGCAAGGTGGCACAATACATGATAACCATGATTTTGTTATTATTATTATTTTGTAGAAATGTGCATCTAGATGCAAGAGAGATTGAATTAGTGGCAAATGTGAGTGATTAGTTCATCAAGGTAGACCACAATGATGGGTGAAATAAGTTAAAATCGATGTTAAAATAGAAGCAATCTTTGCCAAGTAGAACAATACTTCCTTACAAAGTTTCATATAATTCTTGACCAACTGCTTGTGAAACCTTTCATAATAAGAGGATGAATTCATAAGGAACTACAGAATCGGTCACTGTGACTTCAGCCACCTGACAATTCATGAGAAGGGTAATCTAAACACCTTTTTTCCATTGACGTGCTCAGATCTGTTGTACTTGGGCTAGTATTTCTGTGTATATACAGAGACATATGTGTCTATGGCATTAGCAAGTTCTCTTTGCCATTGAAGCACTTTTCTGCCCTCTTGGGGCCAGTTTTCACCATTCCAATGTCCTGAGTAATTTGGCTTTAATCAAAAAGTCAGGATCATTCAAGTCAAAGAGAAAAACCTTTCAGGAAATAGATTGTAGAGGTTTTCTTGTGAATCCACAAACAAAGTGTTTGCTCCTTCTCCAAGACTAACTAACAAGGGCTGCAGCATCAGCCATACTCAGCAACTCGGCACATGCATAATACATTGTGGCTTAGGGGTGTGGCTCGATGGCAAACACATAACGGTACTGCTGGTGGTGAATGTGCTGAAGAGAAATCCAGAGAAGAATTTCTGCTAAAATCCATTTCCCATTATGCAAGCTGTCTTCAGGACTTGCTTTTGTTATTGTCAGGAGTCAAATATATTTACCACGCTGTTACTGGCTCCATATAGTCAACAGTTCTTTTGCATCCATGTGTATGCTCTTTGGCCTCTGGAAATAATACCTTTTTGAAATATTTTTTGGGGGATGATTCCCAAACTTTTGTAACTGGGGAAGCAACAGTATTATTTTTTTTTCCCTGAGAGAGCAGCTGAGGTGGCTTAAATTTATATTACTAAATAGAATTTCACTGCCCCAGTCATGGCTAATTTATGAAGAACAAAGAAATGACATTGCTGTATGTATCATGTATCTCTGGTTCTCTGAACAAAATTCTTCAGGATATGGAGAGACCTTTCCTGACTGACAGGACAGCTGGAAAGGGACTAAGGAACAAATGGGAGGAAACACAGAGAAGATGCAGCAGCTCCCATAATAGAGATATGCATGTATCTATCTAAAGGTACATTAAGATATTGGCAGCTCATGATAAAAACATTCATAGAAGAACAACATTTTCTACTGAATTAACCACATTGATTCAGTGGACTCATACTTGAATGGCTACCTTAGATCTATCTGGAATGGCTGTGACCAATAGATTGAGGGAAATTTGGTAGAAATTCTAAGAAGACAAAGTATAGGACTCTGGAATGGCCAAAGCTGCCCAAAGCTAGAATGGGCTGTTTTGGAAGGTAGTGAATGTCCTGTTGCTGAATGCGTGCAAGAAGGGGGTCATGGGACAATTGACAGAACTCTGCAGAAGATGCAAGTACCAGAGGAGAGAGTGGGGTTTGGCCAGATGACTCTTAAGAACTTTTCAGTCTCAGATTCAACGGAAAAAAGCAATGAGACTACATTAAACATATGTTGGAGTTTTAATTTGCAAACTTGGCATTATTATTATTATTTTTTCTAACCAGTTTAGATCACAATTGGCATTCATTTCACAAATCACATGCCAGATTAAAAAATAAAATAAGCAGGCCGGGTGCAGTGGCTCATGCCTGTAATCCCAGTACTTTGGGAGGCCGAGGCGGGTGGATCACCTGAGGTCAGGAGTTCAAGACAGCATGGCCAACGTGGTGAAACCCTGTCTCTACTAAAATTACAAAAAATTAGCTGGGCGTGGTGGAGGGCGCCTGTAATCCCAGCTACCTGGGAGGTTGAGGCAGGAGAATCGCTTGAACCCAGGAGGTGGAGGTTGCAGTGCGCCGAGATCACACCATTGTACTCCAGCCTGGGCAACAAGAGTGAAACTCCATCTCAAAAATAAATAAATAAATAAAAATAAAAATTAGGATTTGGTGTTAATATTCCCATTATACACATGAGGCAATTAAGGTAAAACAAATTAGGATTTATCACATACCAAAACAAGAAGAATGGAAAATCCCATCAGTGATATATGTTGTGGATGTTTTCTCCTTCCAGGATAAGGAAGCCACAGATAATAAAGAGGCAAAACAGCAAGCTAAAGAGCAAGGACATTTAATAGAGGTCTACCCTCATGCCTGAACTTTACGGGAAATAGTCAAGAAGTAGAATGCAAGCACCCCCACCCTCCAACGCAGATACACACACATGCACATGCACACACACATGCACACATGCACAAATTTCTCCACCCAAATGTCCCCTAACTGCTTACTTCCAGTGGACCATTTATCTCCAGTCCTATCCTTGGGCAGAGCTTCAGTCCAGGCAGGGTGTAGCAATTATGATCTTGTCTCAAGCAGCCCTCCAAGGGCACTGGTTCAACCTTAGCTTGGTCAGGGAATAACCAAAAGATTGAAGTAATCTCTGCCCTCTTTAGGACAGTTCCAGGCTGAGTGCAATGATGCTGAGATAAATCATATCCTACCAATATCAGCTTGGGAAAATCAGAAATGCTGGACCTACTCTTGGGGAGGTATTTTATCTTGAGGAGTAGTTCAAGGTTGGTCGAAAGAAGATGATTGAGGGAGACAAAAAAAGTTCATGCCAGACTCCTGGGTCAGTGCTATTTCTACCATAGAACGCTGGTATTGGCATGAAGGGAAAACCGTGGGTTGGAATCAGTTATTCTTCAGTGAGTAAACAGAGCCAAGGGGGCTCTGAGTAAGGCTTGTTATACACTGAAGCATGCTTTTACATTTTTTCACAATTTAGTTTCTAAAGTGGATTAAGCAGATTATACTATTTAAGCCTTTAATTCTTAGAATTTATAGAAACTAAAGAGATAAACATAGGAAACTGGAAGTCATCTTAAAAATCATGTGTCCTAGGCTAGATGCAGTGGCTCATGCCTGTAATCTCAGGAAAGTAGGCAACATAGTGAGGTTTCGTGTCAGCAAATAATTTTTAAAAATTAGCCAAGCATGATGGTGCACACCTGTGGTCCCAGCTACTCAGGAGTCTGAGGTGAGATCACTTGAGCCCAGGAGTTGCCGGTTGCAGTGAGCTATGATCAGCCCTGCACTCCATCCTCAGTGTCAGAGTGAGACTCTGTCTCTAAACATTAAAAAATAATAATGAAATAAAATCATCTGGCCCAACCCTTCATTTTACAGATGAAGCAGCAGATTCAGAGATATTGAATGGTTTGCTTAAGGTCACTCGACAGGTTGCCAGCAGAGCCAAAACTAGAATTCCTCTCTTCTGATGTCTGGTCTTACACATTCCCTCTTACCAAGGCTCCCTCCTTCCTCACAAGTCTAGTAAGGAAGTTTCTGTGGCTCTGAAGGCACCAGCCGGGGAGTATGGAAAGAGTCATACAGAGCAGAATGATAAAGAGGCTTCCATGCTAAGGCCAGGGAATTAGAGAAGCCACGAGGCCACCAAGAGCGGCAAAGAAGACAGTGAGCTTTTCATTATGACTCAAGCCCCAGAAGATGTGGGCTCAAGATTGGTGTCTATGTTCACTCAAATACAACCACAATGTGAATGAAATCTCTCCTCCTTCCTAATGTCCCATTTCTCTCCAGTCGTCAGTCTCAGATGCAGCCAATTGGAGCTTCTTTCCCAGTACATAGCCTGCACTTTCTAGGCAGCCTGCTTTCATCAGTTACGATTGCTTTACCTAGAAGATAACCTTTTCACCTTAAGCTGCCAAACCCTATCCATCTGTCAAGGTTGATCCTAGGTGTCTGCTCCTTTAGGTAGAGCCTTACTTCTCTCTCCTAAATGATATGCTTCTCACGTAGCCATACCTGTGGATCACCTATCTACTTTTCTCTCAGAAGGGGTGAAATTATTTGCATCAAAATAGGAGAAAGAAATATCAATGACAAGAAATCCTGTAACTTTACAAAGACTTGAAATAGTTATTCATTCCTTCATTCAATCTTTTAGTTCAACAAGCCTGGGCTGAGCCCTGCTTCTCATATTCAAATCACATCTTTTCCTCCAGGATCAGCACAAATGTTACATTCTTCATGAATCATTCCCTAATTCCTCACCTGTAAGCAATAAATACTTCTCATAAATCAACTATTTATTGTCCATATTTTGCCACCAAATTTTTTTTTCTCGCTAGTAGACAGCAAATGCCCAGAGAGTAATTTTCTTCAGGAAAAATATCAAGAAAACATTACACCTACTTTTTTCCTACTTAAAAAAAAATAAGATCAAAGCTAACATTTACTGATACTCTACTCACACCAAATTCTTGATCTCAGTGTAATATTTCATATGCAGAAATGATGAAGTGATGATTTAATTACATCTTAATTGATTTTCTTCTCTCGTGGAGGATTTTCAAGCTATTAGCATTTGGCAGCCAGGACCATTCCACTTACTCTCTGGACCTGTAAAAGATATTTGAAAACTGAGCCTCAGGCAAAGCCAGGGTTGTTAAAATCACCATTTCCCTAAAGGATGTTAAAAGTCCTAAGGGAAAATATTTACAAGGAAAATCTGTTTTCTCTTTGGAATTTACAGATTTTTATTTGTCTATTTTTCTCTTCTTACATGTCTCACCCTTGCCCTGTCCTATGTGGCAGGAAGACACATCCACTTGTCCTTCCACAGATGTATCCATCATCCAGTAGCTGACTGAATTCTACACCTTTTAGTAAATGCCTTTCAGCTTATCAAAGTTTGCTAACAGATCTTCAACTGTCATTGGTTTATTTCTATTTTTAACTCTTTAGAATAACTTACTAGTTCCAGTTTAACTAAAGTTCTTTTGAAAAACAGCTATCAGGAGACTGCTATAGTTTGTAACCAGCTGCCATAATTTTTAAAACTTGGTGGTATAATAAATTGAGTTAGGTGTCCTTTCTATGTGTTCTCACATCATTCTCCTTTGCACTTGACTCATCACCTGATCATTGTCATGTGTATTTACTGTGTAGCCCTCCCAATGCTATAATCTCTTATTATATTCATATCAATATATATCGAAGAGCACATCCATGCCCTGTGTGCCTATCACGCATAGTTGGTAACTAGTCCACAGTAGCCCATCCAGGGCTCTCAGTCAGTGTTTGATGCGTGAACAACCATATGAACAGCTTTTCTTACAGTCCTTATTGAGAGCCCAAGGTGTGCCAAGAAGAGTTAGTCACTGGGAATACAACGATCAATCGGAGGCACATAGAGACACAGCTTTTTATGAGCTAAGCGGACTTTCAAGTTTAAAGAGAGAAACTAGTTCTGTTTTTTATACAGATGAGTTTTTATTTTGACTTACAAAATCTCTTAATCTTCTGTATACTGGTAAACAGTGTCTTCAGAACTCTGCCCCCAGAGAGCCACTGGGGGGAATACAGACATAACAGTGGATGATTATAATACTACCAGAGAGGCACCACGAGGGGAAGTCCAGAAGTGGATGGGATCATATGGGATTTAGTTGTTCATGGAAGACGTAGCAGAGGAAATGATGTTTAAGCTAGTCACTACAGATGAGTGAGAAATAATCAGTCAAAGATTTGGAAGGAGAATTGCCCAAGAAGAGGAACACTAGAAACCCAGAGGGGAGACTGAGTGGAACTGAGACAAAATTCATCAGGACCGTATTTTAGAAAACAGCAGAGAATAATGAGATTTAAGTCTGAGCAGGTAAACCACGAGCAGTCAGGCAAGAGCTTGTGAGTCATGTTTAGGAATTTGAACTTTATCCTTAGACCAGTGGGGAGCCTTTGGAAGTTTTAAATCAGAGAGGGATAAGATCAGATTTGCATTTTAGAAAGATCACTCTGGCTGCAGTGTGGTAAATAGATTAAGGACAGCAGGAATTCACAAGAAAATTTCCTACAGCTGTTTTCCTTTGTACATTTAAATATGTCCCCCGCCCCCCACTACACACACACACACACACACACACACACACACACCTTTACCTACACACAGGCACACACCTTTTTGAAATTTCACTTGTCTTATATAAACTATATAAATTAAATTGACTGGTGGCATAATTTGTCCCAATTTCAAGATGAAGCCCTTTCATGCTTGAAATATTTATTTAGGAAATCATGACTAAGCTCTACCTTTGCTTCCTTTCTCATTCTACTTCCATTCCTGTTTCTTCATATACCACACATATGTTTGTTTTTAAAATTAGAAAACAAGAAAAAAATTAGAAGTAGTCAATTATTAAGTCTCATTTCTCCATGTGGATATCATGACCATTAACATTTGATGTATAACATTTTTCTAGTGAATTTATGTTACATGAGTAGAATCATATTATCCAGAATGTCATACAATCTGCTTTTTTCATTCGAGAGTATATCATGAGCATGTTTGCATTCTAATTATTCTCAGTGGGCATATAATACTCTACCATATGATTGTGTTGTAAGTTAATCTATGCCCATTAGAAATTTTGCTTTTAATTTAATCAGACCATAGTTTATCTGGAGTCTTAAAAAATCTGCTTGACGAAATTAAGATGACATTCCCCAGGCAGCTCTTTCTGTCGGGTGCTCTGGTATTTGGGGTTTTCAGCACTTTTCAGTAACTTTACCAGCTAATCAAAATAATATCAGAAAAGTATCTTCCCTTTGGGAAGCTTTCTGCATTAGGAAAACTGTTTACTTCCAATAAAATAAGTGGAGATGCTTAAAGGAAGAGGGTCTTGATCAAACTTATTTTTTAGGATAAACCAAAATGGAAGGTTTAAGGACCATAAATAAAAACAAATGTATCACTCCAGAATGCTTACAAAAATCATTTTTCTTGAATTGTTTAGTCTTATTCTGAGAAAGTATAAAAGAAAAGCAGACATTTTCATTTTTGCATGAAACTCTATTTTTTTTTTTTTTTTGGAGATGGAGTCTTGCTCTGTTGCCAGGCTGCAGTGCAGTGGCGCAATCTCGGCTCACTGCAAGCTCCGCCTCCTGGGTTCAAGCAATTCTCCTCTCAGCCTCCTGAGTAGCTGGGACTACAGGTGCGTGCCACCATGCCCAGTTAATTGTTTGTATTTTTAGTAGAGACTAAAGGGGTTTCACCAAGTTGGCCAGGATCGTCTCAATCTCTTGACCTCCTGATCTGCCTGCTTTGGCCTCCCAAGGAACTATATTTTTTCTTAACTTTGTTTCCCATTCTGTTTTAATGTCGTAATGAGTCTACCAAGGTCACTTTTTGATACCTTTGTAGAAAGAACACTGGATTAAAAGTTAGAATACTTTAGTTGCCAGCATTGTCATTGATCATGCTGGGAGGATATAGTAGAGCTTAAGGGTGTGATTTCCGGTGTAAGACAGAAATGAGTTTAAAGTCAGATTAAATTACTATTTTTGAATTTCTCAATTGCAAATGAAGCTACTGATGCCAAACTTGTTATTTTCAGCATATATTAGTTTGCTAGGGCAGCCATCACAAAAACCACAGACTGGGTAGGTTAAACAGCAGACATTTACCTTCTGACTGTTCTAGAGGCCAGAAGCCCAAAGTCAAGGAGTCAGGTTTGGTTTTTCCTGTGGCCTCTCTCCTTGGCTTGCAGATTGTTGCCCTCTTATTGTGTCTTTATGTAGTGTTTCCTCTGTTTGTGCTCGTTCTCCTGGTGTCTCTCTCTGTGTCCTAATCTCCTCTTCTCAAAAACAAACAAATAACAAACCAAAAAACCACCAGATTGGATTAGGGCCCACCCTTATGGCCTCATTTTAACTCAGTTTCTTCTTTAGAGGTTTCATCTCCAAATACAGCCATATTCTAAAATACTAGTTGTTAGTACATAAGAATTTTGGGAGACACCATTTAGCGCAAAACACGTGGTAATACATTTATTTCAGGTCTCTGGTGTATTACATGTTTAATAATAGTGGCAACTATTATTACCTGACCTCTCTGAACTTCATTCTTCTTATTTGCAAAATTGGGATATGAATATCTGCCCAGTCTACACATGATGATGACTTAAGATTATTTATATTAACATTCTTTGTAAATTAAATGGTAGAATACTCTTGTGTATTTTAGGCATACACGCATATACTCACCATCTTCTCTTTGAGAATATGCAAGTTGCATCCAGGCATTTGCTGTTAGCTTCTTTTTACATTAAAGCTGGAAGTTGGAAGGGTGGGACTTAGGCTCCTAGTCATCTTCCTTTTATTTCTATAGGGTCTTAGCGTCCTCAGCTCCTAGACACACAGATTTAATAAGTTTCAAGTCATATAGCCTTTCCCACAGTACTTCCTCTACTCACATGGGGCAAGGAGCAAAGATTAATGAAAGTGGAACAGAATCTCTCTGCTTCACTGTCTCCATGTAGAGGCAAATGAGATTTCCTCTAGTGCCTCATGGGAGTGTTTCCAAATAAAAAAGAACAAAAGCTGCTTATATTATTTCATAATAAAACCACATGTTTTTCTGGGTAGAAAGAGTAGAGATGGCAACTCTCAGATGGAAGGCTATATTCATTTTAATGACTTGGCTAAAATTTCTCTCTGGCTTAAAATTGGGTTTGCTGTGGAGTCTTCAAAATATGAAACGTTTTAAATGAACAGAAAGTGAGTCTTCCAGAAATGTGAAATGTGGAAGTGTAGTACCTTATTGGGATGCCCTACCAACGGAACTGCTGGAGTGTGAGTATGCAGGTTGATTCCATAACACTCAGCATTCAGGGCCAGGTGGAGAACTGGTTGGAAGGAGTAGGGTATACTGCCACGCATTGCTCAGTAAGATTGATCTAATCCAGCTCTCTCGTAGACCATCCTATGCTACTCGAACAAACTAACAACATAGACTTTCTCCTCTCTCAGATGGAGATGTTTCTGGAAGGAAATTTTTAGAGCTACAAATCACTCAGTTGCTTTACAAGTTTCATGTTCTCCCCAAAATAAAACCTAATATGTGCTTAACTTTCAAACCCCACCCCACTTTGGCATCAGACTACCATGTTAGTATTCTTTGCTCTTTCAAACCCCACTCCCAACACTTGTACTCCTAGAAAACTAACTCTCAAATATAGATGACGCTTTTCCTCTGTGTCTTACTCATGGTGAAATGCCCTTCCCAGCACCTCTGCCTGTTGAAATCTCATCTATCCATCAAGGTCTGTTACAGATGCCATATTTGTAGTAAGATCCCCATGAAGACTTTTCAGATCCATCTATTCAGAAGTTCTTTCTCCTACTTTGAATACTTATAGAATTTCTTTTTACTTCTCTTAAGGGCCCTTACTTAACCCTAAATTATAGGTATTTGCCTGATTTCCCACCCCACCCCCCAGATTCACTACTAAAACACAGGAATTATCTCAGATTTCTCCCCACTGTTCCCACCTACCCAATGGCCAGTACAGGCCCCTCATTAAATGTTGCTCGGGTGGAATGGAAAGATGAAGTAAAGCAGCCTGAGCTTTAGAACCTCTAGAAATAGAAAGCTCATAGTCCTCTCTGCAGACAAAGCAGGACTCCATATGTGGAAGTGCATAGTGGCAGTCTTTTCTTAGCACAGACCAAACATGCAGCTGCTACACTCTGCCACACTATAACATTTCAAGGGGAAGGGAGCCAATGTAAACCCACAGTATATACAAAATTGGAATCAGAAACCCTCAGTTTTTTTAACCACCGAATATAATTTCACAGTCTATTTGATATAATTTTTCTAGGCTGTGGTTCAATTCAAGCCAGTCTCTTCATTTAAACACAATCCTATAGTTATCTTCTATACTTACTAGCAGTCACTTTGCAACTTTAATTTGCGTTATTCTGGGTGGCATGGAGAAACTGATGTCTGCCACCGACTTTTGGAGAGATACATTTTGGGTCTGACATTTTTATATGCACTGATTAAAAATGGTAGACTCTTAATTTCCCTGCTGAAGAAGGAAGATTGTCCACTTAGTCTCAGGCACAGCGAACTATACTAAAAAATTATTAACTTTGGAATTAAAAGACCAGGTTTCAGCTCTTCTGTCAGAACCCACGTGACCCTGAGAAGAACACTTTTCACTCTATACTTATCTTATTCATGTAAGTATATTAGGGAAGCAGATGTCACAGCAGATGAAGAGCTATTTCAATATCTGCATTCGGGATTCTGGGATCACTTAGGTCATTATTTTATAATTAAAGTCATTCATCAACGTTACTGAAGTTTACTATATATATATATATATATATGTGTGTCAACAAATAGAGTCTCAGGCAGCTGATTAGTTTTTTGAGCCAGTCTGAAGCAGACTAGAAGGTTTTTGGCCGAAAGAGTTTGAAAAATGTGAAATACAGTGTCCCATTTACACAGATTAACTGTTACAGTAGTACATAAAAAAAAAAAAATCTGAACGCTGTATCCTAAAGAAATGTGTTTAACTCTTACTACAGTTCATCATACCCTTTGTTAATTATAAAAGCATTTTTATAAGTCTTATGAACATCTAGGGCAATACATTTCTTAGCAAGGTAAGGGCTGACAAACATCAAAATAAACATTTTTTTTTCTGTCCTTCTTGGTTGCTCTAACTTATTTATAATAATAGATTGCTCCTTCATTTAGGAAACTCTTCTCTCTGGCTTTCTGTCTGGGAAAAGACCTCAAGTATGTCTCAAGTGAAGACTTTGCTCGATATTTGGTTGATCAGATCTCTTGTCAAGATGCTTGACTTCTAGGAAGATGTACTTATTTGGATGCCTTTTCATTATATCAAACACAAACTAGCTCAAAGTGAAATGAAAAATTTCTCCAACCCACAACCAAAATTTGTAGCCACCTAAAAAATACTATTTCCATTGCTATTACCACCATATTCCAAGTTAACTAGTTTTGAAATTTTAAGCATGCCTTTAGCTTTGCATTTCCCTTTGACCAACTTACTTCTCTGTTATATGAGAAAGAGAAGTACAAGGGTTTCCCCAAAATTTTGCCTCTTCTCCAGTATCCCTTTACTCCCACTTAGTCCTACAACAACCAGGCTAATGTTTCCACAACTAAAAGGATATTATAAAGTTTATCATAGGCCTCCAGTCTTACACTCTCCTCCCTGCCAATGAGGAAGTTCTCCCTGCCAATAAGTGAAATTTTACCTCACGTATTTTAGTTTTTACTTTTCACAGCCCTTTTTGGAATAAGAGAGATATATTTTTATGACTACATTCACAAACATGCACATATAGATAATGCATAGATATATCTATCTGTTTCCCCTTTTCCGGGAATAAAAAGCAAAACAACTCACCTTAGTATCAAAGATCCCCATAATCCAGTCCTGTTCCACCTTGTTTCCCATTACTCTGGAATCGAAACCTTCCACATGAGCCACGTTATCCAAAACACTATCTTATAAATAGATCTGAGACATTTCTGCTGTAACATTACTATTCTGCAGCTGGGACATCCACATGTTTTCTGTTTTTCAAGACCCTCAGTCCTACTTTCTCAGTGAGTCCTTTCCTGAACCTTCCAGGTTACTGTGATTTCACATTTCTCCTAATTTTTACAGCATTATATTGCCTGCCACCCACCCACTCTGCCCTAAAAGCTTGTAAATTCCCAGTTCTTGATATCAATAGTCTGTGTATGTCTTCTTGTCCTAACTGGGCTATATTTACTAAAAGATTAGGATCCTGTCACATTTATTTTGTATCCTCAGACACTTGTCATCTATCACAGTTCTATGACTGAAGTGACCAGCAAACCTGTTACATAAACAAGACATGCACAAACTCACCTCTACTTTGAAATAGTGGTGACTAAAATCCCAAGTGTCTATTTGTGAATGTTTGTTTTAATCGAAGAGGTAGCTTCTAATTATACTTCTGCTGCTAATATTCTAGGCAGGTTCTTTATCCACCTGTAAAATGAAACAGTGGGACTATATGATATAAATAGTCTATCCAGCCCTAGTCTTCTATAGACTTAATTGCAATTAGTATTTATAAGATCAATGCAAGTGCCACAAAAATAACAGGACTGATGCTACTCGATATGTTTAGTCAGTAAGTAGATCTCTCCCAAACTTTAGCTTTCTCTAGAATTTACATGGACTAGAACTTTCTTTCTAATATAGTCTCTTGGCTGAGGTACAAAGAAAATGTTTGAGTTTATATTTAACCTGGATATATGGTAGGGATATTTCATATACTGTACAGCCTGAAGGTTATTGCTGTGGCTGGATACTTATAAAAGTGCAGGTGTGATGCCAGAGGAATGTATGAAACATTGAAATGAAAGAACTCTATCATGAAAACCATCTCTTTAGTAAGAGCATGTGGCCTGTCAGGTTAGGAGTACCCATTAGTGAGCTTGATGGGTGACATACCTGCAGAGACCTTAGTCTCCTCTTAAAGATTCCTCCAGGAGGGGTCTTTGGAATAAAATTCCCCTTGGCTTGCAGCCACGATGCATTCCTTTGCATGAGCTGAAATGAGTGTTTGGAAATAACTTTTGAAGTAAATCTTCCCACTCCTATAAAAGCAAGAGTTTATATTTCACAGAAGAACGTGGCGTATTTATACCAAAAAGGTACAAGTGGAAAGGCTTTTGATTTACTTGTTTGCTTTTCTTGCATTGCTCACAGTAAAGCGATTTGAGTGGAATGTTAAGTTTGTTTCATAAACACAAAATGGAAGGGAGACCAAGCATGTTGGAAATTATAATGACAGAATTTATTTGTACATTCACTAAACCCTAAAAGCCTCCTCAAATAATCAAATTTGCCAAGCTATTTTCAGTGTTATCCTAGCATTGTTACAATTTAAAACAGGCCAGGGCCCAAATGATTACTTCTTCTCCCTGATCTATATGCCCCCATGCAGTCTACTCAGGAAACATGTGGACTTACAGGAGAAACACTAAATAAACCCATACTTTGATTCCCAGTGCTTGTGACAAGCATTTGATGTCTGAGGCTTTGTCATTTCACAAAACAATGTTGCAGACACAGCAACAAACTTTTGAAATTTTTTTTCATATTCTCAAGATCAGAAAAATCATTCCCAGGCTTGCATTAAGCTATTTCACTGCTGATTTTCAAAAAGCTATCTTAGAAACAGAAATCCATAGTTAATTGCCATTTTGCTATCATAATTGACAAATTCAAATGATTTGTGACATATGATTTTTGACAAATGATTTGTGACAAGTGATTTGTGACAAATTCAAATGATTGTGACATACAGTTTGAGGAAAAAATGTGATCTGGCTGCTATTGGTTGTAGAGACATAACTGTGGTAGTGAACAATTAGGAAGCTGACTTTTAGCTGTAGTAAATTGATGGCCAGCTAAAATTTTTTTTTTAATTGAGTCACTCGGGAAAGACAACGTTTTTCCCCCTTTATTATAATGAAAACCAGGCAAAATATGAGTCAAGTGTTATCACAACAAAATTTGTTTTTGTATCCTAAAGTTCATTAAGGGGAACTCTGTCCCTGGACAAGTTTTGACTTGGTGCTATAAATTATTGTTCGTGGCCAGGCGCGGTGGCTCACACCTGTAATCCCAGCACTTTGGGAGGCCGAGGCGGGCGGATCACAAGGTCAGGAGATCGAGACCATCCCGGCTAAGACGGTGAAACCCCGTCTCTACTAAAAATACAAAAAATTAGCCGGGCGTGGAGGCGGGCGCCTGTAGTCCCAGCTACTCGGGAGGCTGAGGCAGGAGAATGGCGTGAACCCGGGAGGCGGAGCTTGCAGTGAGCCGAGATCCCGCCACTGCACTCCAGCCTGGGCGACAGAGCGAGACTCCGTCTCGAAATAAATAAACAAATAAATTATCGTTTGTATCATAACGTACCCTTGTCAATAATTACCAGCCACTTTCTGCGCTGGTCCTGAAGTAGAGGTAAGGGCTCATCTAGCTTTTTGAAGCTGTCCTCTTGGGCAGACAAACTCAATAAATGGCCATTTTTATTTCTCTTATTTTTATTACTAATATTATAAAATGCTTTGCCAACTATATAAAACATACAACCTATATGACAAATGCAATTTTTATTATTGGCAACCTCACAAGTTAGATTGTGCTCACCAATACAGAGGTCATGTATAAGAGGAGTAGAGTTCTGTACTCACATAGAGAAACATTGGATTTCTATTTATTTATTTTTCAAAATCTGACATGAACTAGATTCTTGAGATGTTAAAGTAATGACTACTACCATAGTCATGGGATGCTGGCAAAGCTAAGGTATGAAATTAATGACAACTACCTTCAGAATAAACTTTGAAAAGGATTAAAGCAGATTCCAAAAACAGTAGCAGGAAACAAATGTCAGCAAGGTCTTGGCCCACACTGCTTTTCGGTAACCATTAGTCATCATCTGACACCTCAAGGGAGAGTGCTGGACAAACACTGCAGAGGTTAAGATCCCTGCCCAGTTATTCAGTCTTACCCTGTCCTAGCATTTAGAACCAAAAACAACAGTAACATACCAATAGACCATGCACACTAACTTCATTCGACCCGAGGCAGAGACGACTTGTCTACCTTCCATCACTAAGATAATGTGCTCTCCTTCTTACCCAGCAGCCATTCAAATTTTGGCTGTTCCCTTGGTAGGAAGTTAGACAATACACAGATGACTTGAGCGATTTTGTCTAATTCAAAGCACACACTTATTTCTGGCTAATACTTAGATAGTTTTTTTTTTTTTTTTAACATCAAGGGCATTTCATTTTTAATAGTCTCTAATCGGAAATAGTATGTTTAAAAGTTCTGTGTCTTCACTTTAATGTTTTCCTTACCCAGAAAGATGGTTTCTATTTAGATAAGAAATCTTCTAGAAAGCTGATGGAATCTGTTGTTTCACGGAGCTCCTAAGAGTATCCTCATTTGGCCATGGCTATTCACCATTAGTGTTTAACACTAAAATGTAAACATCAAGACTAAAACTTCACTAGAGTGTTTAAAAAAGCAGGAGTCTATTAATCAGAATCAGGACCATAAGTAATTGAGGGAAAGAGCATAAGCAGTTTGGCAAAAGAAAGCACTTTAAGAAAGCATGTTCATTCTTCCTTTCCAACTTACTCCACAGAGGAAATATTACTCTTCAGAAACGTCATTTCCATTTAATCCTTACCAAATTGCATTTTGAAAACGATAAATAGTTACTTATACCTATGACTGTATTTTAGAGTGACATTCCATAAATGCAAAGATAAGTTCATTTTCTACATTAGCATGGCCACCTAACTTGTGAATTAACATGTGTTCTTCAAAGCTAGAAATTTTAAAATGTTCTGCCTTGAGATGTAGAAAAGGAATATATTGTATAAAAATCTCCCTTACTATGGGAGTATATATTTTAAATAGGTTGTACCTTTTGTATGTCCCTGAGTTTCCTTGCTAAGGCAACTATTTGTATAGTTAGATTTTTGAAATGGAAACAAAAACACTCAAAGAAAAAAGTGAAATATGCCAGCTTTAGTTTGACACATTAGAAACCCAACATAATGCCGGGCACGGTGGCTCACGCCTGTAATCCCAGCACTTTGGTAGGCCAAGGTGGGCGGATCACGAGATCAGGAGTTCAAGACTGGCTTGGCCAACACGGTGAAACTCCATCTCTACTAAAAATACAAAAATTAGCCGGGTGTGTTGGCGCGTGCCTGTAATCCCAGCTGCTTGGGAGGCTGAGGCAGGAGAATTGCTCGAACCCAGGAGGCAGAGATTGCAGTGAGCTGAGACCATGCCATTGCACTCCAGCCTGGCAACAGAGCGAGATTCCAACTCAAAAAAAAAAAAAGAAAAGAAAAAAGAAAGAAAGAAACCCAACATAATATAATATAGTTACTGTAAATGACAGTGAATGCAATTCTGAGCTTCCCAGTAGTCAAGGCAAAAGGTGCAACAGAATATATTAGGTAGTTCTCTATGGATGTTAAAATTAATTTTATAAATTTGTCAGGAGATATAAACTGTTTTTTCTTATAACTGAATTGTGAAAATTTCAAATATGGATCTTTTTACAAGTTATATTAATGTATTAACATCATCAGTAACTGTGAAATAAAATGCAAAGTTATTTGCTATATGGCTATTATTTTACTCCAAAAATCTGACTCTGCTATATAGAAATGTTTAGGAATGTCCTAAAATAAGATTAAATTCTCATTCATAAGCCCATACTTTACATTTAAATACTGTAATTTACAGGATTTCGTTTAATTCAGTAGGTTGAACAAACTGCTTCCAAATTTTATTTCAAAATTTGATGTTTTGTAAATTTTAAGAATATTCTTTTAATATATTATTCATATTGTAAGAAATGTATTTATTTATTTGGTTCTATGAAGAAAAATTAACTCAAGTTGGCAAAAATTCGAGTAAATTTGGAGACTTTTTAGCAAGTAATGAAATGTCTACAAATGTGCCTTGTGACATGTGTATGTATATGAGTGTATACACACACACATCTTACAGGTTCATCAAAGGATGAATTTGGTTGTTTAGTGTGATATACATGCTGTAATTTGATGACTTCCTTTCTCTCTAGCTGTTGTGCTTATGCTGCTAGCTAGAGCTTAGAACTTGCGCTGTGGCTTAGAAACAGGATGTCTTCAGTGTCAGCTTACATGCTTGTCACTTGGGAGTTAAAAATCTCTAAAGTTACTATATTGTGAAATTTAAGTAAAAAAACGAAGGCAAAAACCATAGCACTTCATTAAAATGTAATGGATAAATTCCCAAAGTTAGGGTGACGAAAGTAGAAAAAGAATTCATTCATTTATTGAAAATGTTGATGTTTGAGAATAATGGAAATTACTTATTTTACGCTTGATGTTTTACTCTGTACAAAAAACCTTCAAAAGAGTAAAAAGTGCTGCCAAATATTCTATTTGAGAAGTACATAGTGGTATTTCCATGTTTTAATGTGCTTTAGAATTATTAGCCCCTTTTCTTTGTTGCACGTGCCTTACAAGTTGTTCTTAATTTCGTATTCAAAATATTTGAGCTACATATCCTAATTCAGAAAATAGGGAACTTACATATTTTCCACACAAAATCTTTGGAAATTTTAGAAGCGTTTCCTTTTGTGTTACGTGTTTGCCTTCTGAATTGAGAAACATTGTTAGAGCAAGGATGGGCAAAATAGACGAAGAGAAAGGAATCGAGGCAGGAAATGGAAGGAAAGTAAAACAGGCAACTGACTTACGCTGTGCTGCATTATTTTGCAAAGTAAAAGCATCATCTCTGACTGATTACTGCAGTGCTCTTCTGCCCTCTAGGAAGATCTGTTTTCCACAAAGAAGTTTGAATTATCATTTTAAAATGTGTATCAGATCTGATTATATCCCTCCTTAACATTTTTTACTGTTTCCTTGTGCACTTAGAATGACATTTAAACTCTACCATAGCCTATACAAATGATCCGTCCTTCTCTAACTTCTAAAATCTCCCTCCTTGATCTCTGCTCTGCTTTGAAAACACATCAAGCCTTTTTCCACTTCAGGCACCTTTCACTTGACTTTCTTTGGCCTGGAATGCCCTTCCTCTTGTTCGGTTCATGCCTGGCTTCTCAACTTTTAGGTCTCAGCTCAAAAATTACATTGAAGAGAAATCTTTGATGAATGAATCTAAAGGAGTTCTCCTTCCAGCCCAGTCCCAGTCAGTGCTCACAACTTTGTTCATTATTTCTTCATAGCACTTAATACAATCTGAAATTACTTTCCTTACTTATTTATTTACTTGGGATTTGTCCCCTTCTATGAGAATGTCAACATTTGTTATAGAAAGGAGGGCCTTTGTCTGTCTTGACCACGTAGGTATTCTGTTTAGTGTCTGATACAGAGTTGGTGCAAAATAAATATTTGCTGAATAAGTAAATGGGTGAACTAATGAACTGGGGCATGACTGGAGAATTGGACCTATGTGTGTGTTCTTGAATAGGCGGGTGGTAAGTTTTAAAACTTAGAGAAGTTCAGTTTCTCTGGAAAGAGTTGGTATAATGGCAGAGAGGAAGAAGTGATGCCAGGAAAAACAGAGCCAAATCCCAGAGTTCTTGAATGTCATGATGTGGAGTGTCTGAAATCTGTTTTCTAGTCAATGGATGACTACTGGAGATTTTTGAATAGTCAATGTGTGCTTTAGCAATCCGTCCTTTATTACTAGCTATGGAAAACTCTTTCTGTGTCAGAGGAACCTCATTCACTCACAGGTTCAAGGACAGTGTAACTTCTGAACGTCAGCAGGCTGTTGATTTAGTCAATGTTCATTTCTTTGTCCATACAGTATGACTACCACGTAGTCATGCTTCTGGGCTGGCAAGAGAAAATGTTTGCCTTAGTTCTTCACAGCTTGAGAGGAAATGGCCCTAAGCTTCTTGAAGGCATTTTTACCAGTATTTCTGACATCTCAGTGGCCTCCCCTAAACGTCAATACCATCTTCATGTCAGATTATTCCCCTTTTCTCCATTGTTCTTTATTTCACAGTTTATTTTTCTAATGCATAGAGTTACCCCCATATTAGACTTACTCGCTCCTGTGGTTTGTTTTAATTAGGTCTTAAAGGAAGTCCAGTTTGGAGCCTTTAACTGTAGTGTGCTGTTGGTTTGTTTCATTGGAGGAGTGGGTAGGTCCTTCCTTAGCTGAAACCTAGTACTGACTATGCCTTGTAATAACCTCCATCCAATCATATGACATTATATGTAGCATGCACATGTTTATGTGGACTTTTCTTACCACTTTGGATGTGTGTATTTATACAATGGAAGACAGAGGTATCAAGCTTCCAGTTAAAACAGTGGTTTATTTTATAGACCCTGGCAGCAAATTCTAGTTTCCTAAACTGGTTCACAATAATTTAAAAGCCAGGGCCAGTTCATGAAGTTTTATGGTTCAGCCTTTAGTCATGGAATCTTTTTTTATAGATTGTAGTATCTTCAATTCTGGACTATAAAGGAGGAAAGCACCAAATAAGCAAAACGTCAAATTTGAGAAAAGGACCCAGTTTGTTGACATTGACTGTTTTCAAGAGCTACGGAATCACATTCATCGTGATAACCACATTGGAAGCTCTCAGTATGAATGATGATTTCAGAGAAGTTTTTATTAAATGTACAAACTTTTAGTACCTTATAGGAGGGGTCCCCAACCCCTGGGCCATGGATCAGTACAGTCCTGTTAGGAGCGGGGCTGCACAGCAGAAGGTGAACCTTACCACCTGAGCTCTGTCTCCTGTCAGATCAGTGGAGGTCTTAGGTTCTCATAGGAGTGCCAACCCTCTGGTGAAGTGTGCAAGTGAGGGATCTAGGTTGTGTGCTCCTTATGAGAATCTTGCGTGATGATCTTAGGTGGAACAGTTTAATTCTGAAACTATCCCTGCAACCCATCCATGGAAAAATTGTCTTCCATGAAACTGGACCCTGGTGCCAAAAAGACTGGGGACCACTGCCTTATAATTCATGAAGCATATTCACATGTAATATACCTTTGAACTTATTACAAGTTACTTCTTACAAGTTTTTTTCTCTTTTCTAAGACATAGCATAGATATACTCTGTATGTAAATAGGTAGAAAATAAAAAGATTAATATACCATATGATCCATGTCCACAGAAAGCTCTAATGGGAGAAGCAGATATACTGATGCATATATAAGGTACAGAATGGTAAGTACCAGTAAAGGAACAGGTTGAGAGTATATTGTGGTACCCAACTATGGCTACAGGAATGGGAAAGGGTCTCTTAGAGAAGGCAGGATTTAAGCTTGGCCTTATAGGACATGACATATTTCAGTAAGAAAAGACAGAGGGACAAAGATTCTCTAAGTCAGTGGAATATCCTGAGCCAAAGCATAAAGTAGGAAAATTAAGAACATAAATATTTATTTGTGTTCCATTAACTTTAACGTCTAGTGCTGTAGAATCAGAGTATGTCAGTACTAATCTGTTGTACTCATAGCTTGTAGACTGGCTATTGCCCAGAGAAAATTTTCACCAACCAGAAGCACCTACTCTATCCTCTTATATTATGTGTTCATGGGAGCTATAAACTCTACTCTTCATTAATGGGAGCAGATTCACCTCCTTGAAACAGATCATTTATATATTGTATGCTATTATTTATCTTTTTCTAGTGCTCTAGTGACTGCTGAACACATTCATATGTATTTCACAGTTGAATCCTTCCAAAATCCTCCACAGTAAATGATGGTGTATAGTTCTTTTGAGCATTTTTTCTTTAGGGAAAATTAAAGCACCAGTGTTTAAACAACTTTTTCCAGGTTCACTTGGCCAATAAATGCAAACCACACATAATTTTGAACCCATTCTTTATACCTATATAGTTATTACTATGTAGATGCATACAATTCATATTTATCTGTATTGATATGTAAGAGATTGAGAAGATTAAAGTTGAGAAAGATGAAATCCAAAATTAGTGATTTTGACAGTCAAAATAATTCTGAGTGCACAGAATTGAGGACAAAGGTAAAAGTGGCAGGAAGAGCTCATTTCAGGCAAGATTTAATGGAAGGAAAGACAGTAGCTAAAAATGTGCAATTACATTTGAAAAGGGAAAGCTTTACTATTATGGGATGTTAGGTCTTAAAACAGGGCAGTTTATGTTTTTGTGTTAAGAGTTGATTATATTTCACAAGACTGCAGGGACTGGGCACTTGTGAGTCTACTACTTCTAGTTTTTAATAATTGAGTGGCAAAATGGTCAAAAGCAGATACAGTTGAATCTTACATGCCATTCTGTGATTTTATATTGTTCAGCAACAATTAGTTTTCATTTCTTCACACTAAAATGGATTGAGCATATTTTAGATTCCACCATGAAAACGATAACTAATGTGAATTTTTATTTTTCTGATGTGAGGTAAATGGATCTCTCTATTGAAATTCTCCATGACTAAAGCATATGTAAATATGTGAAGTGGGCGGATCACAAGGTCAGGAGATCGAGACCATCCTGGCCAACATGGTGAAACCCCATCTCTACTAAAAATACAAAAATTAGCCGGGCATGGTGGTGTGTGCCCATAGTCCCAGCTACTTCGGAGGCTGAGGCAGGAGAATCGCTTGAACCCTGGAGGCAGAGATTGCAGTGAGCCAAGATCGCGCCATTGCACTCCAGCCTGGCAACAGAGCAAGACTCCGTCTCAAAAATAATTTTAAAAATGTGTTAAAATGGGTAAATTAATTCCATTTTTTAAAAATATATCATTGCTTGTTACATGGAGATCATTGTATTAAGTGGTTTAGGAGACAGTTGGCAGTGTCTGTGTAGTGGTGGTTCAAAATTCTTTTTTATTAATGAGAATCAAAGTTGTAAGTTTGGAATCAAATATCTCAAAGCTGTGTGGTAAAGCATTTTATGTGCTGTTCTTAGCATCTTTATGCATTGGAATAATTTATCCTTTTAATTTTTTTAAAAGTTTTGTCTTATTTTTAATTGACACATAATAAGTATACATAATTACGGGTACAGTGTGATGTTTCCATATGTGTATTCATTGTATGATGATTAAATCAGGGTAATCAGCAAATCTGTTGCCTAAAACACTTATCATTTATGTTGGTGACATCATTAAAAATGCTTTCTTCTAGCTATTCTGAAATATACAATACATAATTGTTAGCTATTGTTATCCTACTGTGCAATAGAACACCAGAAATTATTCTTCTTCTTTAACTATAACTTTGTACTCTTTGACCAACCTCTTCCTGTCTCTCCCTTTCCTACATTTTCCAGCCTCTGGCAATCACCGTTCCACTCTACTTCTATGAGATCAACTGTTTCAGATTCCATATAAGAATGAGATCATGTGGTATTTGTCCTTCTGTGTCTGGCTTATTTCACTTAACATAATATCCTCCAGATTCATCCATGTTGTTGCAAATGATGGGATTTCATTATTTTTTATGGCTGAATAATATTTCATTGTGTATATGTACCACATTTTCTTTATCCATTCATCTGCTGATGGGCACTTAGGTTGATTTCATGTCCTGGCTATTGTGAATAGTGCTACAATAAACATGGGAGTACAGATATAGCTTCAACATACTGACTTCATTTCCTTTGGATATATACCCAGCAGTGAGATTGCTGGATCTTATGGTAGTTCTACTTTTAATTTTTTAAGGAAACTCCATACTGTTTTTCATAATGGTCTTGCTAATTTATATTCCTACCAACAGTGTATAAGGGTGCCCTTTTCTCCACTTCCTTGTCAACACTTGTTATCTTTTATCTTTTTGTTAATAACCATTCTAACTGGAATGAAGTTGTATTTCATTGTGATTTTGACTTGCATTTCCCTGGTGATTAGTGATGTGGAGCATTTTTTCACACACCTGTTGGCCAATTGTATATCTTCTTTTGAGAAATGTCATTTCAGATCTTTTGCCCATTTTTTAATCTTTCTTTTCTTGCTATAGAGTTTTTTCAGCTTTTTATATATCTTATAGATCCTAGATATTAACCCCTTTTGGATATGGATATATAGTTTACAAGTATTTTCTTGCATTCTGTAGGTTGTATCTTCACCTGTTGATTGCTTTCTTTGCTGTGCAGAAGTTTTTTACTTTGTTATAATCCCATTTATTTTGTTTTTATTGCCTGTCTGATAAAAAAAAAAAAAACCAAGGCTCCTAGTTTCATTCTTAAACTGTGAGATTTTGGATTGATCTTTGTATTTCTCTGAGTGTGATTTGGAAATATTTGCCTTCATTTTGGTCATTTTTTTTTCTCTTTAGCTTAACCAGCTCGAAAAAGCAGTGGAAGCAGCTCACACATTTTTCGTGGCTAACCCTGAGCACATGGAAATGCAGCAGAACATTGAGAATTACAGGGCGACAGCTGGTGTTGAAGCATTGCAGTTGGTAGACAGAGAAGCCAAGCCACACATGGTAAGCTCTGTGGGCCCCTGCCCTCACCACAGGGAGCTAAGTGCTCCTAAGTTTCATCTGAGTCACAGCAAATTTCTATGAATGAATATCTCATAAAGTTTATTCTCAAATTTTAGTAACATTTTTGGACTTTCAGAATTCTCAGAATATAATGATCAGGTCTGAAAAAATTGAGGTTTTTTAAAATTTTAATTAAAATTTTAAAAGTTGAAATAAAAAAACTAAAAAATTAAAAATTTTTAAATTAAGAGAAAATAAAAATTAACTTAGAAAATTGGCATAATGTGATAAAAACTAGAACATCATATAATTCTCTATAATCCTCTCTGAACCTTTCTGATACTCTTATTTTATACCTAGGAGGTGAGGCCAGTGTAAATTGTTCAGGATTATACTGTGATTTTCCAGCTCCCAGTCCAGTGGTTTGCCCATTGTACCTGTATGTTTCAAACTGGGGTTTTAAAAAGTGATGTAGTTCTTTATATAGACTAAACATTACTTGAAATCACATGTTGAAAGCCTTTTTTTTTTTTAATTTTTGACATCACCATTCTCAACATGTAGCCTCCAAAATTATCACAGAAAAGGATAAGGAAAGATTTTAGAAAATATTAAAAAAAAAAAACAAAAAACACAGGCAGGGCCTAAAAGTGGATGTCACTTCCACCCACATCTGTTGTCCTGCACTTGTTACATGGCCCTACCTATAGGCAAATGATTTCAAAAACACAGTCTTGCATGTGCTAAGGAAAAAAACGACATTGACTGATCACATAGCAATCTATTTGCTCAGTAAGACCCCTCTCACTTACAAGCATTTGAAGCCAGGAATGTTGTTCTTTATCTCCCAGTGCAACCCTTCTTTATCCCTCCGCAGCAGAAGCATCCAGTACCCCATCTACCTAGATGATCCTGAGTCAACAAAAACCCTTCTCTTTGAAAATAAGGGTTTTTTTGTTTGTTTGTTTGTTTGTTTGTTTGTTTTTTCCCGTCTGTTTCATTACAGGAGAGTTACAATGCAGGAGTTAAACATTATGAGGCTGATGACTTTGAGATGGCTATCAGGCACTTCGAACAAGCCTTAAGAGAATATTTCGTTGAAGATACAGAATGCCGGACCCTATGTGAGGGGCCTCAGAGATTTGAAGAATATGAGTATTTAGGGTATAAGGCTGGTCTGTATGAAGCTATTGCAGGTAAAAGCTTAATTTTTCATTTTATTTCTTTCTTGATTATAAAAATACTACTTGCAATTTGTAAAAAACTATTCCAGCAAAATAGAAGAATATACTGTAAAAATAAAAGACTCTCATGTGTCTATCCCAGCCTATCTCCTGTAGAGAAATGTATGTAGTTAAAATTTTGGTGACTGTCTTCCCAAACTTTTTCAGGTCCTTATGTAAATATTTATGTATTTATTTATAGTTATTATTTCATTTTTTATAAAATAGGACAATACTATATATAATGTTTTTCAACTTTTGTTGTTTTATTTTATGCTTAACAATATATTGTGGACTTCTTCTCACGTAAGTACGTAGAGCCATTTTATTGTATTTAATGGTTGGGTAATGCTCTGTTATATAAACGCATCATAATTTAATTGACTAGTCCTTTAGTGATGAGTGTTTAAGAGGCTGAAATTTTTCATTATTATAAACAATGTAGTAGTGAACACTTTTGTGTAGTCTTCAACTACTTAAAATGTTTTATTACTTAATAAGAATTTAATATATTACAAAGCGGCATTTAAAATACTAGGTAATGCACATTATAGAATAATTTGGGAGATTGGCTAGTTAACCACTTATGAGGAGAAAGTGGGGTCTCTGCTGTATGCCTTACACAAAAATAAATTGTATTTGTAATAACAATATAAGTGTAAAATATAAAACTGTTAGAACAAAATGAGGGAAGATATTTGTATAATATTAGGAGAAGAAAAGCTCTTTTTTTTTTTTTTTTTTGAGACAGAGTTTCGCTCTTGTTGCCCAGGCTGGAGTGCAATGGCGTGATCTTGGCTCACTGCAACCTCTGCCTCCCGGATTCAAGCAATTCTTCTTTCTCAGCCTCCCGAGTAGCTGGGATTACAGGCATGCACCACCAGACCCAACTAATTTTGTATTTTTCATGGAGACGGGGTTTCTCCATGTTGGCCAGGCTGGTCTCGATCTCCTGACCTCAGGTAATCCGCCCACCTCGGCTTCCCAAAGTACTGGGATTACGGGCGTGAGCCAGCACGCCCAGCAGAAAAGCTCTTCTAAGTATGACAAAAGACAAGAAAAATAAAGAACAAGTTAAACTTTACCTAAGATTTATAAGTACAGATTTATACGATAAACCAAGCTGATCTACAAACACAAATAGAAAGTATTGCAAAATATTTTATAGGCAAAGTGTTAATATATTTCATATTCAAAGAGAGCCTGTAAATTATTATTGTTCATAGTAATTTACTTCTTAATTATCAGTAGTAATAATAACCAACACATATGTAGCAATTGTAACATACAAAGCACTTAACATATTTTTATCTATTTAATGCTTTAAGCAACTCTTATAGATACTATTGTTACTTACTCTCCTCTCCCTTTTGTAAATGAGGAATTTATCTGAAAAAGATTAAGTGATGTGATTAGAGTGAAGCTGGAACTCATATTTGGACTTTTCTGAATCTAGAATCTATACTTTTAAGGTCTACATAATTGAAAAGTAGGCAAAGGATAATTTATTAATAAAATTTTCACAAATATTTTGAGCACACATTTTTTTCTGAGTTACCCATATATGAAAAGCAACATTCAACTTCATTTACTTACTGAAATGCCAGTGAATAAAATCAGTTTGCTCTCCCCAACTTCCAGTGCTTTCAGTCTTCCTAAAAAGCACTACTCATCCGGGCGCGGTGGCTCATGCCTGTAATCCTAGCACTTTGGGATTCTGAGACAGGTGGATCACATGAGCTCAGGAGTTTGAGACTAGCCTGGCCAACATGGTGAAACCCCATCTCTACTAAAAATATAAAAAATTAGGCAGGTGTGGTGGTGGGTGCCTGTAATCCCAGCTACTTAGGAGGCTGAGGCAAGAGAATCACTTGAACCTTGGAGGCCGAGGTTGCAGTGAGCCGAGATGGTGCCATTGCACTCCAGCCTAGGCAATAAGAGCGAAACTCCATCTCAAAGGAAAAACAAACAAACAAACAAAAAGCACTACTCACCTAATAACTCAAACCAAGTTACCTTTCAATCCAACATCTTCCTTAATTCCTATTCCCATATGATTTTTTACCAAACTTGGATAGAGGTTATCTCCTAATAGCACTGAACACTTCCTAACTCCCTCCACCCCTTTTGCTACCACCCTGGCTCAAAGCAACAGTGATTGCCTCCTTGTTGCTCTTCATGTCCTGTTCTGGTTTTGCTCCAAATGCCCACAGAGCAGTCTCTAAAAAAACAAAATTCTGCTCACAGATCTGGTTTAAACACCCCAAATGGTTTACACTCCACTTGGAATAAAATCCAATTCTTTAATAAGAACTTTCATGATTGGGCACTTGTGTATGTTTTCATTCATTCTCTCTCTCCCTCTCACTCTCTCTCCTGCTTTTTGATTCCTTAAATATGCCATGCTTATTTCCACTTACAGATCTTCAAAGTGTTGTTTTCTTCTATCTCTCGGCTAAAGCCTTGTCCTGTTTAGTGCTCAATCTTCAGTGCCTAAGAAGAGTGAGTGGCAAATAGTAGATACTTACTTAGTAAATACTGGTTAAATGAATGGGTTGATTAATGAATGAATGAAGGAAGGAGATGATATATCCATCTATCTCATAGCAGGGATTAAAATGGTTAAATACTCCATGTTTATGAGAATGTAGGTTTAGGATTATTGTTAAGAATTATTTTTAAGGTTTCTTATAGAGACAATTAGGGTATAGCTATCAAAAATTAGACTAGGAAGTAGACTGAAAATTAATGTGACGAATGACCAATTTGTGACACACCCAGTTACCCAAAATCAACTCAGTTCACCTAAATTCAATACAGCAATCTCAATTATTGAGGATATTTTCCTGAAAGTTTTATTTTTTTGGATCTCTGCCAGATCCAGTTGCCTAAATTTTTGGAATGTCAGTTTTATGTGTGGTTCACATTTTAATTGCTATTTCTCTACACTTGATCTTGTATTTGGGAATGGCAGATTCTTCCTTTATTATAGTTAACTGTGTTGTGGTTGTGGGGAGATATGCATCCTGCTTTCACGCCCACATTCGCCTCTACACCTGCTTCCACCAATGGCCACTGAACAGTTTTGGCCAATGTCCTAGATCTGGTTTAGGAAAATGGACCGACGATTTCCCACAGATGAATATTTAGTGATTTGCTCAAGGTCACCACAGCATGTCGGTAGCTGGAAAAGAATAGAGATCTCATAACTCAGGTTCTTTAATTTTTAAGACTCAAACTTATTAAAAACATATTAATTGCACAATGTCATTTAAGATAGAAAGGAGGCAAGGGATATACCTAATAAAAGTAATATGACAGCTCTCACTATGTAAATTCTTGTCTGCTTCAAAATTGTCCTAAATTAGGTATAAAACTGGCTTTTTAAATAGCAAATGTATTAGAAAATCAGAATATTTGAATTTTAGAGTTAGACATTAACAGTTCGGGAAAAATACAAATGGCTGCTGAATGCAGTTATTTATTACTAGCTCTGCTATGAAACCCTAAAGGATACCTTTCTGTCACTCCTATTTTGCTGCTATTTGTATCCGCTTTGAAAAAATATTTCCATTCAGATTTTGAGTTCTCGGTGGGTATCTTTCGCCTTTACCTTTTGCTTGTCACTTGGAATTAAAAGGAATGTGTATTAGAAAGTAAATAGAAATGCAAATGGTAAGTTGAGTAGGAGAAAACAGTTGAAGGTTGTTTATTTTTGTTTTCTTAAGAAATGAAACAGCTGGTTATTTATTTCTAACATGCTAATCAAATAAATAGAACTCATTCTTCCTTCACATCCCCTGACTGGGGTTAATAACCAATGGGCTTTAGGGATTCTATTAGCTGTGCTATAAATGATTCAGTTAGCCAAGTTATACAAAACTGGCACATTCCCCCACACCAGAAAATGCACGTTTCCTTCCTGTTGTGTTTTGGGGTCCCTCTGCAAAATCACCAAGATCCAAGCCAAACTCAGACTAAACAGAGAACCTTTTGAAAAAAAGGCAGTTGTGGTAAATTAAATTGCACAGCTATGAGATCAAATGATTTTATCATCATTCTCAAAAGAACCCACTCAGCGCAGCCATGAATGAATCTTTCTTGCTGGAAAATACATCCATCTTCATTGTAAAAATCAGTCAAGGTGAAACGTAGGAGGCATTTTCTTCTCTGGGACATTCACCACTTGTGTTTCCTCATCTCAGGCTTTGATAAAATAGAGTCCAGAGCCAAAGGTGGCATGAAGACCCTAACACTTCAGGACTCTCAAGCAAGAAGAATGGGAGCAATAGAAAGGGGAGTGAAGAGAAATAGGAAATAAGATGCTCATTCCTTTAGTTTACATCCTTCTGCCTGTTTTACCAGTCTCTGGTAAAGAATATACAATGTACTTAGTATTAGAATATACTATGTCTAGGCGATAGACTAATTTATAACTGGATAGAATAGGTTTCTGACCAATAGGTTTAAAAAAAAAGAGTTTTTATTTCTCTTTTAGGACAATTTGGCTTGAAAATGTTAAGAAAGAAAAAGAGCACTTTTGCTTCACTTCTCAGCCTGAATTTTCCATGCCCATGGTGGTTTCTTTTTCCAAACTGTTCCTTAACATTTACTAGCATCTGAACTTCCATTCCCGATTCCAGGGCACTTCGAGCCATCCAAGATATCCAAAGAGAGACCCCAAAGTTGTTAAATATGAAAACTGACATTCAGCTGGGTGTAGGTGGGGTAAAGTGGACTGTGGGGTATAAAAAGTGTACATGGGAAGGGAAAAGTGAGGTGTAGAGAACAGACTGTGAGCTGGAGGATTCGGAATCTACTGTCGTTCTAGTGATCGCTGACCAGGAGACCTTGGCAAGTCACCTACTTTCTTTGTAAAAAGGTTTTGCAGTCCGGAAGTGAGGATTATAATAATTTGGTCTTCCAGTGTGGTGAGGTGAGGAATGACCTGTGTAACTGTGGCTGTGACGTTGACGTTTGGGCACTCAGCAACCTGGAGGAACACACGTATTGGCTCTTGTCTTCCAGATCACTACATGCAGGTGCTTGTTTGTCAGCATGAATGTGTGAGGGAACTTGCCACCCGCCCTGGCCGCCTCTCTCCCATCGAGAATTTTCTTCCTCTGCACTATGATTACCTACAGTTTGCCTACTATCGAGGTAAAGCGTGGATCATCCGTGAAGACTTCTTGGGGGGTTGTGGTTCATCATTACAGACATCACATTTTTGTAATTGAGTTTTCTGACTTCTTCAGTTTATTATGAAAGCAATAGGAATTTATGCATTTCTTCTCTCCTGAGCTGCAGGACAAGAAGAGCAGAAGGGGATATCACCAATGGGCAAAGTACAAAATTTAATGCTGTGATAATTTACTGAAAATTATACTAGATTGACATTTTGCATGGTTTTTTAGACTTAATTTTTTTAGAACTGAATTTAAAAGGAACTTTGCAAAATCCTCTTCCTTTCCAAAAACAAAACATTATTTATTATCCTGGCGTTGATGGCACACAGTGAATCACGTGCTCAAGTCATAAACAGTGAATCAAAGATGAGAGAGTTGCTTAATTTTTATCATTCCTTTTAAAAATCAGAGTCATCTCAGAGTATATATATATGTGTGTGTGTGTGTGTATGTATTTATTATACACACATACATGCACACACACACATATATATACACACATACGTATATTGTAAATTTCCATTAGAAGAAATACAATGTTGTGAACTATTTGAAAACAAGGCATACAGACATTTAAAATTTCCCTTGTAATAGCTAAATATTTCTATAATGAAAAGTTTATATTGGAAACATCCTTGTTAGTTCCTTTTAGTAGTTTGCTACTGTAGGATGTGCTATAATTGTATAGTGAAGGATTTAAGGGGCTTCCTCCAGAACATCTGGGACTCTATGAAGGACTTTGCATTGAAGTACCAGTTTACCACAAACTGCAGCAATGAAAAATAACATTTTAAAAGCACTTATGTTACTCATACATTATATATAAAATGGTACATTACTGTTGCAAAGATCACCTTCAGGATGTTTACTTAACCCAAACTCGGTACAAAAATCAGAATTAACTCATAGAATTCTGCTGTTTATATGTGTTAAATAATAAAAGTTGTCAACAAACATCTTCAGATAGAAACTTGACGATTTGCACAAAACAACTAGTACCAAAGCAGACCAAAGGTAATAACTTTTGAATACTTGAAATCATGTCTTTCCTTTTATCTGTGACTGTTTCTGCTTTCTCTGCTGAGCCTCAATTTATCTTCCCTCTTATTCATGTTTAATGCTGACCTTTGTAGACACGTTGATGGCCTCCCTTTAAAATCCTTTGGACAGACCTAGGCTGACTCTAATGCTGCAACTCCTTTGTCTTTCAGTTGGTGAGTATGTGAAAGCCCTGGAGTGTGCCAAAGCCTATCTTCTATGCCATCCAGATGATGAGGATGTCCTAGACAATGTGGATTACTATGAGAGTCTGCTGGATGATAGCATTGACCCGGCATCCATTGAGGCCAGAGAGGTGAGACCAATGTTTTGAAAAGAAATTCTTTTTTTTTTTTTTTTTTTAAGACAGAGTTTCGCTCTTGTTGCCCAGGCTGGAGTGCAATGGCACAATCTTGGCTCACCGCAACCTCCGCCTCCCGGGTTCAAGCGATTCTCCTGCCTCAGCCTCCCTAGTAGCTGGGATTACAGGCACATGCCACCACACCCGGCTAATTTTGTATTTTTTTTTTAGTAGAGACGGGGTTTCTCCATGTTGGTCAGGCTGGTCTCGAACTCCCGACCTCAGGTGATCTGCCCGCCTCGTCCTCCCAAAGTGCTGGGATTACAGGCGTGAGCCACCGCGCCTGGCCTGAAAAGAAATTCTTGATTCTGCATGTGTTCGGGGGAGAGTTGATAAAAATATGACACTGGTCTTAAAGATGTCTAACAATTTAGCAAAGGTTGTTGAACTCGGTTCTTTCAAACTTTATTTATGCCTGAAGCACATTTTTATTCATACATGCTAGCGTGTGAAAGTATGTTGAGATGGGGCCAAGTCTTGCAGTTCTGAATATTTGTTAGCTCATTTGTGACTATCTAATGAAAATATTGCCACCTGAACATTTATCATATCTCTTACCTGCTATTTAAATAAAAAATGTCTTTCTTTACTTCTTTTTCTCTAGGATTTAACAATGTTTGTGAAACGTCATAAGCTGGAGTCTGAGCTGATAAAATCAGCTGCAGAAGGTCTGGGGTTTTCATACACTGAACCGGTAAGAGGAAAGAGGAAACGTTTATTAAAATAATGATTCAGTGGAATCCTTTTTATGTTTTTATTACCTGCCTCCATTTTTGCCATTTACCTCAAAAAGCTAAGATTTCGATGCCCTCCTTGAGGTAAAAATTGGGGGTGGGAGATATTTACTCAATATATGTGATGAACTTTATCTATTTATTTATTTATTTATTTTGAGATGGAGTCTCGCTCTTGTCGCCCAGGCTGGAGTGCAGTGGCGTGATCTCGGCTCACTGCAACCTCCGCCTCCTGGATTCAAGCAATTCTCCTGCCTCAGCCTCCCGAGTAGCTGGGATTACAGGCACACGCCACAATGCCCAGCTAATTTTTTTTTGTATTTTTAGTAGAGATGGGGTTTCACCATGTTGGTCAGGCTAGTCTCGGACTCCTGACCTCAGGTGATCCGCCCGCCTCAGCCTCCCCAAGTGCTGGGATTACAGGCTTGAGCCGCCGCACCCGGCCATCTGATGAACTTTAAAAGACTAATGGATTTCCACATCAGTCATTCCATATTAACAAGGTCTAAAGTCAAAAGCAAATCTATTGGGTAAAAGTATTTTGTGTATGACTCATTTGCCCCGGGAGTGTTTTATTTTCCTAAATTCCGGATGTGGTGTTTTAAATTTTTCTATTAATGCTTTTATGTTACCTAAACATTAAAGAGAATTCAAAATATCATCAGTCACAATGCTATCACACCCATCATGCTGACTTCACTCCGCTTTTCCATGTTGTCTTCTAATCATTGTTTATATGAAGACATAGCTTTTGCAGAAACATATACTATGGTATAAAGAGATTTGTATTCTTTTAAGAAGATACCATAAGAAATTTCTACATTTGTATAGCTTTAAAAGGTATTTTTAGCTACATTTTAGTCTCTAAAAAGTTGGTAGAATTTAGAATTTTAGATAGGTAGAATTGACATACAATAAATAAATGAACTCTTCTGCTGAACATTTGAATTATTTCTGATTTTTGAATTATACATAATGTATTAAGCATTTTTTCTCTATTGAATTATGTCCTGAAAATAAATTCTTAAGAGTGGAATTATTCTGTCATCAAAGGATATAAGGTTTTAAACTTCTTGAAACTAAATTGCTTTTCTAAGAGAATTCTCTTAGAAATTATTTATTATTAATTTATTTATAATTATATATAATTATATATGATTACTAAGAGAATAATTCTCTTGGAATTATTTATTTGCACACTATTTTAATACTAACACTATCTCATGTGGGAAGATTTAGTGACTACTCTAAAGTCTCATAGCTCACAACAGATTGAACAGGCATTTGAATCCTAGTAATGCATAAAAGTACCATTTTACCACAAATTTATCAGCGATAAGAAATAACATTTGAAAATCACTTTTATTATTTATATATTATGTATGAAATAATACATCATTTTAACTTGTAATTTTTTTGATGACCAGCAAGAATAAACCTTTTCACATATTAACTATTTTTCCTCTTCTTTTAATTACTTGGGCATGGGTTTTATTCATTTATCCATTGGTTACTATGTAAGTTCTTCAAATGATATACAAGTTAATACATTTATAAAATTATTTATAATATGTCCATTTACAACCTTTTTTCATTTCTTATGCCGTGTTTTTATAGGCACACTTTTTAAAATGGGTTAATTTTAATGTACTATTTCTAATATAACACCTTCTAATATATTAATATTTATATCGGGCCTTACTTATTATTCTTTTAAAATTATGTTATCCAAGAGACCTTAAAATATGTTATTTACTAATTTCATGATCTATACAGATGATTACTAAAGCTCAATTTTGTTTGCTTGTTTTATTCAGCAAACATAAAGAAGTTGAACTGAATGATCTTTCAAATGTTTTTCTGCCACCAAATTCCAAGTCACTTTCTTGGACAAAAGGATGGATATCTAGGCTAATTCCATAGTATTTGAAAACTCGACTTGTATTTCATTTTTTCCTTGCCAAATCTCCACTAACTTTAGCCTTCCTTTTCATTAATCTATAAAATATAAATATATTGTATCTTTACACAATATGCAAAATTCCTAAATTATAGATCTTTTGAATGTTTTGTGCATATTTTATTTTATCTTAATTCTGTAAGTGATGTTTTAGTGACAAAATTACTGCATTTTTTTTTTTACTCGATTCAAAACAGAATTATTGGATCAGATATGGAGGACGACAGGATGAGAATCGGTAAGTCCATTCAGAATGCAAACTGGTTTTTTATGAGGAGAAATACTTAGTGTCATAACCTATCATAGAGAAATGTAGCTCTATGAAATAGGCAAGGAGATATAATAAAATAATTCTAAGCTCTGAATTAGGAGCTCTACATCCAGGTCCCAGCTCTTCCTGCCACGTTTTTGTAACCTTAGGTAATATATCTTCTGCTTTCTGGATCTCATTTTTTTTTTCCAGGAAAAAAAGGGTTAAATCAGGTGCTTTCTATCTGCTAACGTTCCATGATTCCGAATCTGAGAAGGTTGGATACTGGTTTTGATTTATTAACAGAAAAACTGTGAAATGGGTTTTTGATGGTGAATTCCCTTATTGTATTTACCTAAAATAATGAAGTTCAGAAAGTTATACTAAAATAGCTAAAATATTAGGTGTCACTAACTGAATCAGAAATCAAGAAAGCTCATTTTTTTTTAAATTTTATTATTATTATACTTAAAGTTTTAGGGTACATGTGCACAACGTGCAGGTTTGTTACATATGTATACATGTGCCATGTTGGTGTGCTGCACCCATTAACTTGTCATTTAGCATTAGGTATATCTCCTAATGCTATCCCTCTCCCCTTCCCCCAAGAAAGCTCATTATTTAAAAATGACAAAAGTCAATTTACATCTTTTTAAAGGACTGAAACTCAGAAGGTTAGAAACACCTGCTTGAGATCACATGGTCCAGCTTATTCATTTTCAAATTGGGAACCTGAGGCCCTGACAAGGCAAGCAACTTGCTTAGAGTCTCATCACAAAGGAAGGACAGATCCAGATCTTCTTATTTAGAATCTTGAAGTCTTTCACGAGGCTTCAAAAACTCAACCCTTGGGTGGCATAAAATTATTTCGAGAGATCCAAGAATGTATATACACATTTGGATTTGTTTGATTTTTACGTATATAAAGAACAGCCTGCTATCATTTGTGTGTTTGCATATGACAAACCTGTGTCTTCTTTTCACAATAGTCAAGAACTACTACATTATGACATAATTTATTTCAATTCAACAGTTGTTCAATGATGCACTCCATGTTCCAGGCCCCATTGGACACTCTGAGCATTATAAAGATGCTCATGATAATTTTTTTCCTACTTGAGATTAGAGTCTAATCTGAAGAGAGTTATGTTATGCATACAATTAATTGTAATAAAGGTTGCTAAGAAGATTTAGAGGAGTGAAATAAGGCAAACTCACCGAGGAAATAGAGAACTTACTAGAGGCAGTGACATTTAATTTGACTTTAAAAGACAGGTGAACTTGTTTACAATAAAATACACAATATAGAGTCACAGACTACCTTGGTAAAGTATTCTTTGCCTTTGAACATCGTTATTCAATGACAAATTGCCATTTTAAATTTTTTGAATGGGCAGGGTCCCTTCAGGAGTGAACGTAGAGGGAGCAGAAGTTCATGGATTCTCAATGGGAAAAAAGCTATCACCCAAGATAGATCGAGACCTAAGAGAAGGTAAGTAGCTGTGCACTTTTACCCTATAAAGGAGGGGAAGGGGAAGATGGGGCTTGACCAGTTCTTTTCCAGATCAAGGAAGAACCCACTTTCTCTAGAAAATAAAGAATAAGACTAAGCTACTACACTCCCTAATAGTCTGAAAGCAAGACTTAAAAAAAAAAGTCTTAGATTTGTGTATTATTACCATGGGTTTCAAAAAAAAAGAAAAAAAGAAAAAGCCTCCAAATTCACTCCCTCATCTGTTTCCCAAGGAAACTTGCATGGTCATCACCATTCTCAGAATACCGGAGGCTTAGCAATTTCCTATGGTTTACTTCTGTTACACAGTCAGTAAGAGCTAGGTAGTGTGGGACAGACTGTATATCAGAGGAACTTGGAGAGGAGACCAGCCACATGGGATATTAGATTAGTTAACCTTAGATGCTTGAAGCACATAGATCTGAGCAGGGCCTTTAGAGAAAGCAGAATGTAGTAGGATGCATGGATGTAGAGGGAACCATTCTAGTGGTTAAAAGAAACGGAGCAAAGGCACAGAGACGAAGCGAGCGGAACATTATGTGCCTACTTATGTAAGATGAAAATTAGTAGAGACAACAGGTGGAGTGTTGCCAAAAACAGTTTTTAAGTAGAGCCAAGCATTGTTATATTAATAAAAACTATTAGCAATAGTAATACTAACAGCAGTGGTTAATTCTTAACAATTATTATTTCTATATGTTTTATGATTTCCCAGCAAATTTGCACACAATTTATTTGCATACTATTTTAATACTAACAGCATCTCATGTGGGAAGATTTAATGACTTCTCTGAAGTCTCAGAAGCTCAGAACAGGTTGAACAGGCATTTGAACCCAGACATTTGACCCGAAATCCCATTTTCTCTTCTTCACCTGCTGCATGAAACATAGAATTGTGTAGATATCAAAAATATATCACCTATTGATGAAAGAATTGCAAGACAAGAGGCTTTCAAAGTGCTGCATTGGGAAGCTGTACAGTACTTCTTTCCCCAGGAGATCTTGTCAGCACATTCCTCTGATTTGAAAACTTTTGGCTCTCTACAGCTCTCACATTTCCCATCCCTTTCCTTCCTTAGCTTCCAAGTCAGTTTTGAACCAGTAAACAGGATAATATGCTCATCTAATCTGACCTGGACCTCAGTTTGCAGCCACAAAGCCCAAGCTGTTTTACAAATGCCAGAGAGCTTCATGGTCAGCCAGAGTTCATGTTGCCTTTTAGGCTGAGAAATCACCCAGGAAGTTCATGCCAATAAGCCAACACATTGCTGTAAATGTTTGGGAAACTCCAGGACAGTTGCCAAATTTCAAAGCATTTTTTTCCCCTGGCTACCAGGGAATCTGGTGTCCAGCAACTGACTAGAAGGTTAATAGAAGAGCAGAACAGAAGACTACGTGTGATAGAGAAGGATCATGATTAATTGGGCTACACAAATCTACCATTTCCACAGAATTGTCTAGGACGAAGTGGCTAATGGGTTGTAGGATGGAATGTTTTCTGGGAACCTACTGGTCTGAAGGAAAAAAAAAATTTTTTTTTACCTACCGTACTCTCATATTCATTCAATACAGAATACTTCTGTGGCCAGATGTGTGTGAGGTTTTACCCACATGCACCAGTAATTCTCCAGTGGATAGCAACTGAGGGTGAACTAATCCAATTCAGTTCTGACACTGTCTGTCTGGAAATAGTGTCAGATCCCACAGGTTAAGGGCTTAGCCCACAACTGGCATTTCAGATGCCAATTGCAAGTATAAGTTGTTACCTATACTTCTGACCAACCCCTCATTGACCAGCTACAAACCAGTGTTCCCATGATCCTGACTTTGGGTTAGGTTAATTTGCTAGAGCATCCCACAGAACTCAGGAAACTCTTGTGTTTACTGGTTTATTATAAAGGATACAGATGAACAGCTAGATGAAGAGGTACATAGGGCAAGGTATGGGGGGATGGCAGGAGGAGCTTCCATGCCCTCCATGGGCAAACCACCCTCCCAGCATCTCCACGTGCTCAGCAACCTAGAAGCTCATCACATCTTGTTGTTCAAGAGTTTTTATAGAGCTTAATTTGCAGGCCCCAAACTCCTTTCCCAGAGGTCTGTGGGTGGGGCTAAAAGTTTCACTTTCCTAATCACTTGGTCTTTCTGGTGACCAGCCCCATTCTGAATCTTTTTAGGGGCCCTACCCTAATTCATCTCATCAGCATAAACTTAAGTGTGATCAAAAGGATCTCATTATAAGTAAAAAAGGACACTCTTATCCCTTGGGAAATTCCAAGGGATTTGGGAGCTCTGTGCTAGAAACAAGGGATAAAAACCAGTATATTTCTTATTATATCATAACTAAAAAGCCTGTTGTCCAGTCGTCAGATACCTAATTAGGATCTAAATTAAGAACAGTTGTAGATAGATACAAAGTTTCCAACCAGAAAACACTTTCATATCTCTTTTTCTTTTTTTTTGAGATGGAGTCTCGCTCTGTCCCCCAGGCTGGAGTGCAGTGGCGTGATCTCAGCTCACTGCAACGTCCGCCTCCTGGGTTCAAGCGATTCTTCTGCCTCAGCCTCCTGAGTAGCTAGGACTACAGGCACATGCCACCATACCCGGCTAATTTTTGCATTTTTAGTAGAGACGAGATTTCACCATATTGGCCAGGCTGGCCTCGAACTCCTGACCTTGTGATCCTCCCGCCACGGCCTCCCAAAGTGCTGAGATTACAGGCATGAGCCACCACGCCCAGCAACATTTTCATATCTTAATCTGACTAAAAGGGGATGTCAGGGAGGCATGTGTCGCAGAATAGAGTATACTTCAGCTTTTCTCATCTTCCCCAAAGAGACTGTCATCTACTCTGGATGCCTATCAGTGTTTAGTATTTTGTATTATTCCTACTGGACAGCTCCTAAGCATTAAGATGGGGTGACCCAGGGCTACTTACATCCCACAGTGGCTTCAGTCCATGAAACATGCGTGATATGGAAACTCACTAAAAAACATTGCTGTCACTTGTCCATTCTCCTTTCACTCACCAGATTTTTTTTTTATTTTTATTTTTTGAGACAAGAGTCTCACTCTGTCACCCAGGCGGGAGTACAGTGGTGCGATCTCAGCTCACTGCAATCTCTGCCTCCTGGATTCCAGTGATTCTCCTGTCTCAGCCTCCCGAGTAGCTGGGACTACAGGTGCATGCCACCATGCCAGGCTAATTTCTTCATTTTTTTTTTTAGTAGAGACGGGGTTTCACCATCTCGGTCAGGCTGGTCTTGAACTCCCGACCTCAGTTGATCCACCCGCCTTGGGCTCTCAAAGTGCTGGGATTACAGGCCTGAGCCACTGTGCTCAGCCCACCCACCAGATTTTTAAAGGTTGTGCTGGATATGATTCCAGAGTCAGTAGGGGGATAGTAGAAACAATGTTGGGGAATAAACTTGGAATCAGGAGGCTTAGTCTCTGGGATTATCTTATTCTGATATGCTCCACAGTGATGAAGATCTAGTGACTCAATTTTTCTGGGCCCTATGATTTTTATCTATAAAAGAAGGATAGTAACTGTTTTAAGATGGTAAACATAAAAAGTTCTTCTTTTTTTTTATTTTAGAGCCAGAGCCTCACTCTGTTGCCCAAGCTGGAGTACAGTGGCACGATCTTGGCTCACTGCAACCTCTGCCTCCTGGGTTCAAGTGATTCTCCTGCCTCAGCCTCCCAAGTAGCTAGGATTACAGGCATGCATCACCATGCCCAGCGAATTTTTTTTTTGTGTTTTAGTAGAGATGGGGTTTCACTGTGTTGCCCAGGCTGGTCTTGAACTCCTGAGCTCAGGCAGTCTGCTCGCCTCAGCCTCCCAAAGTGCTAGGATTACAGGTGTGAGCCACCGTGCCTTGCCCTTTTTTTGTTTTTTTAACTGTAAAAGGCTGTACTCATATAGGGATTGTTAGCCTGCCTACACCATCATGCTTTGTATGACACTATCGAATTTCTGATAAAGTGATTCTTCTTGCCATGAGCCAGACAGTGAGTACAAGGGAGTACTTTCTTAGATGATCCCTTCTTGTTGCAACCAGAGAGTCAGAGCCAGGCACATACTTTATAAACGAGGGAAGAATTAACTTGTTTGACTAAATCTTCTTGGGCTGTGGTTAAGAATTGGCTGAAGCCATCAAATCAGGCCCCAGAAACCACAATTTATTGGACTACATTTTTATTTTTATTTTAATGTTTTCCTCTGTCTGGTGTGCTACTAGTCATTAAGCTACCAGCTTAAGACTGGTAGTCATATGGAGGCTGGTTGACTTGCCTGTTGAATGATAGGGTTTCATTTGTCTTTTTTTTTTTCCTTTGGTTAGTTGATGGGTGATGGGTCGTTTTTGTTAAATGTACGTGTGGAAAATATCTGTGTAAAATTCTACACTTAGTAATATTAATGATTATGTTAGCTACATGAAAGGCATATTTCTAATGCAGATTCTCCCGGAACCCAAGATTCAGATATTGAAGACTCCATGTTACATTCTTCCTTCACTTGATCTTTGCATGTTACTTGTGGAATGCTAGGAGAATTGTCAATATCCCAGTAGCCTTCTCTTAAGGCTCTATGCTTATTAAGGTGTCTCAATCAGAACTTAACACAGTATTCCAGGTGTAGCTTATTAATTCAACAATAACGATAGTAATGATAATACATACTTATAATGGAGCTTAAGACTGGTAGACATTTTCCTAAATATTTCATTTTTGCTAACTTTCAAAATCATATTTTGAAAATAAGCTAATTATGTTTAAAATAATACATCTTCAATGTAGAAAAAGAGAAAAACTTGGCAAAGTATAAACCAACTTAATTCACTAAATCTCTCATCTGTCTTTCATTTCTATTTGAGTTTTTATTAGCAGATGCTTTTCAGTGAATCTACAAGTATCTTATCTTTCTTCTTGAAGGAACATTTCTTTTTATACTTCTAAATTGGAATGGAATATACAGTTCACTTTTCCAAATATTCGAGGGAATGCCTGTCTCAATTTGACTACAAACTTTAATCAGCTACATAGATTAGAACAGCCTTTTCCAAATTGCGTTCTATGCTAAGACGTTTAGGGGGGATTTTTAAAAGACTACTTGGCTGGGCGTGGTGGCTCATGCCTCGAATCCAAGCACTTTGGGAGGCTGAGGAGGGAGGATGGCTTGAGTCCAGGAGTTGAAGACCAGCCTGGGCAAGACCCTGAAAATAAAAAAATAACAAGACCCTGACAAAAAAAAAAATAAACTAGGCATGGTGGTGCGTGCCTATAGTCCCAGCTACTTGGGAGTCTGAGGTGGGAGGATTGCTTGAGGATAGGAGGTCAAGGCTGCAGTGAGCCATGATGGTGGTGCCACTGCACTCCAGCCTGAGTGACAGTGAGACCCTGTCAAATAAATTTTTTAAAGACTACTTTTTTTATTGCTGTGAAAACATAATGAAAATATAGCAGCTTATGAAAATATCCATTTATTATCTCATAGTTTCTGTGGGGTAAGAGTCTGCAGAGAACATAACTGTGTCTTTGGCTTCAGGATCTCTCACCGGTTTCAGTCAAGTTGTTGACCAGGGCTGAGAATTCAGTTCCCAAAAAGTTGTTGGACTATGGCCTTTTAGTTCCTAGTTGGTTGTTGGCTGGAGGACGCCCTCTATTCCTTGCCATGTGATCCTCTCCAGTACAGCCGCTTGCTTCATTACAGCATGGCAGCGGAGAAGGCAAGAGACTGAGAAGGCAAGAGAGAAGTTGCAATTTCATGTAACATAGTCACAGAAATGACACCTTATCACCTTTGCCATATTCTACTGTTTAGAAGTAAGTTCCAGGTTCCACTCGCACTTGTGGGAAGCAAATTGCACAGCTGTATGAATGTTGGGAGGCAATGATCATTGCAGCCCATCGTAAAGTCTCTGCTGCAGGAAGGAAGTTGGGGGAGTCGGGGAGGGAGAGAATTGTATTCAATTAAGGCTAAAAACTGCTGCATATTATGTTACTACTTAGGACATTAATAAGGCCTGTTCACATATTAAAAGTTCTGAGACGTCCTCTTATCTTTTATTTAACCCAGTACTTTCCCAGAACTTTCAATGCAACACAATTTGAGAAATAGTGAATTGTAGAAAAGCATATTTTTCTATTCAACTAAAAGATGTGATACTGAAACGAGGCTTATGGATATATTCTTGGGATCCAAAAATTCCATATTTATAAATTTTAATCACAATTTTCAAAAATTAAGAGAAGCAATTAGGGGTTATCTAAGGGATCAACTTCTAGCCAGGTGGTGTCATGGGATTCCACAGTTCAATGGGCACAGTTATGGTCATATTAACGCCAACTAATAATACTTCAATGATTAAAGACTAGAAATAAATGAAATACGATGCACTTATAAATAATGTATTAGGCTTAGATGAAAGCTGATATGGTTTAGCTGTGTCCCCACCCACATCTCACCTTGAATTGTAATAATCCCCATATGTCAAGGGCAGGGCCAGGTGGAGATAGTTGAATCATGGGGGTGGTTTGTTCTCCTGGTAGTGAATAAGTCTCACAAGATCTGATGGTTTTATAAACGGGAGTTTCCCTGCACAAGCTCTCTTGCCTGCCACCATGTAAGACATGACTTTCTCCTTCTTTGCCTTCCACCATGATTGTGAGGCCTCCCCAGACGTGGAACTGTGAGTCCGTTAAATCTCTTTTTCTTTATAATTTCCCAGTCTCAGGTATGTGTTTATTAGCAGCAAGAAAATGGACTGATACAAAGGCCAAAATTAATCGTGGTACATTAAGATTGTGTAGTAGTTTAACTAGAGAAAAGTTGTGGTAGAATAGTAATTACACACCAACAGTACTATAAGGAATCCTGGCTCAAAAGAACCCAGACCAGATCAGTGAGTAGAATATTCATGTGGAAGGTAGCTTTTTATTTTCAGAAAAATAACGTTAACCATTCCATTTGTTGATTGGAATTTAGTTCATTTTATGGTCTTGCTTTTATTTAGTCTTGTAAATTGGTTTGGGTACTGTATGAAACTACTAAAATAAATAATGTGAACATAGTTTTATGATTGCATATATAGAAGTAAAATTAGAGTGAAAATAATTTGTCAGCACTGGAGCTCCTTAGGGAACTTCTGCTTTAACAGATAACCGAACATTACTCTAGATTGAGAAACACTGCCTCATGCTTTTAATATTCCATTAATCATGAGCTGTAGTGAGTCTTTTATCCTAGCTAGACTAATAAACATTTAGACAGTGCTCTTCCCTAGGCTGACTAATCTATTTTATAAAGTAGACATCAATTTCAATTGTCTCTTCTTCCTCTGTTGGAGTGTTTTAGGCCAACGTGTTGGTGACCTTTGCTAGACCTGGGGTGGCAGGGAGTTGTGCCTTCCCTATCCCTGCTGTCTTATCTTCGGCTGTTGCTATGGACAAGCACGCACCAGGCCCCTTGGGAGTGTTATAAATGGTTAGAAGCAGTGTTTTCTTTTCTGTTCCATTTTCTGGTTCAAAATGTTTGCACTATGCTACACCAGAAGATTTCCTCTCTATCAGAGGCTTTGTCCTTCAGTCCTACTCTATGAAAAAAAGTCTTTGTCAGGTCTGGATTTTGTAATTTCACAACCTAAAATGTGACCCCAAAGCATCACCCTCTGAAGAGCCTATCTGGAGTTAATTTTATAAACTTGTGGTCTCTCTCTGGGAAGAGAGTAGGTGCCTAAGGGAAACCCTCCTGTGTGGAAATAGAAACGTGATGATTTTGCCTGGAGAACAGAGAAAAACACTCCAAAAGCAAGACAACCTAGGGTCAGTTGTGTGGTAGGAAGAAGACTGAGGCAGAGTCAAGTGACTTGGGTGTGACTACCTGAATCACCTAGTGAAGGTGTTACTCTAGACACCAGTGAAACTGAGGTGTGCATGTCATACCTGGGGACCCAAACATGCAATCTGTGGTGTTGCGACAGAGGTATGAATGAGGGGCTGTGAACAAGGGTGGACTTTCTCAGAAGAGAGTCCTATGAGATGCCCAGTCGACTTTTTGGGATCAGCATTAGAAACAAATGCAAAAGTAGTTCTATCTCTCCCAAAATAATGTACGCATGTAACATTATTATGACATTATGAGGAAACCCGATAGACATCTTTCTCCTGAATCTATATTGTGTTTATCAAGCTTCCTAATTTGCAATTTGTCTTTGCATTTCTAAATATTCATGAAGAAATGGACTCACTCGAATTGCACATTGAAAGCTGTTTGGTATTCTGTGCTTCCTTTCGGGGGACAGAGGTAACAGGGAAGACAATGTGCTCTGTTCCTGTAGGTGGTCCTCTACTCTATGAGAACATCACATTCGTCTACAACTCGGAGCAGCTGAACGGGACTCAGCGGGTTCTCCTGGATAACGTCCTGTCGGAAGAACAGTGCCGGGAGCTCCACAGCGTGGCCAGTGTGAGGATCCGGAGAAGGAGGGGAGCTCACTGCGCTGGCCTGCCAAGAAGCTGGAACTGCTTTGGTCCTGGTCTCATCTGGAGCCAGACAACAAGCCCTGAAATATTGCTTTCTTGAGGAGAAAGACATAAATTATTTTTGAGGAACTTTTATAGCCTTTGGGTTGGGATTATTTTAGTTTTCCCGGGTGGGATCTGGAATAGCTACTGGCATATTTCCTAGCCCAACAGCCATCTAGCAAGGTCCCTGCCTATCATATAAAGTTGCTGGAGAAATCCTTTTATTTTAATTAATTATTAGGCAATATATCAATAATTTACATTCTTTTTATTTCCATAAAAAGTGACAGTATTTGATAATAAAAATGTAGAATGAAGATTAAATAAAGATATCTCTTTTAATTAAAAGAATAGTTATACCAGCATCCTGGAATAAAATGGGGATGGTTCTTAGCATTGACTAGAGTTCTCAGCTTTCTGGCAGCCAAAGCAGAAAAAGACCTGATGAATTCATAGTTATCATTGATGACGTATCTTCTTGTATTTGCTTCCAGGGAATCATGCTTGTTGGTGATGGATACAGAGGAAAAACTTCACCCCATACACCCAATGAAAAGTTTGAAGGTGCAACTGTCCTGAAAGCACTCAAAGTAAAGTCTTAACTTCTTTTGGGTTTGAGTTCCTTAGTGTCAGCCTAAGGCTTCTGTAAATGGCAGATATAAGAAAGAAAAAAGTGGCCAGGCACAGTGGCTCACGCCTGTAATCCCAGCACTTTGGGAGGCTGAGGCAGGCAGATCACGAGGTCAGGAGATCGAGACCACCCTGGCTAACATGGTGAAACCCCGTCTCTACTAAAAATACAAAAAAATTAGCCAGGCATGGTAGTGGGTGCCTGTAGTCCCAGCTACTCGGGAGGCTGAGGCAGGAGAATGGCGTGAACCTGGGAGGCAGAGGTTGCGGTGAGCCGAGATCGCGCCACTGCACTCCAGCCTGGCCTGGGCGAGAGCGAGACTCCGTCTTAAAAAAAAAAAAAAAAAAAAAAAAAAAGAAAGAAAGAAAGAAAGAAAAAAGTTTTGAATATATACCTATCAGGACAGCTGAAAGAAGCAAGAGTGAAATGAAACCTTCATTGTAGTTAATCATTCCTCCGTTCAGCCATCAACTTATCAAACTTTACATTTCCTGACAAAAAATACATACAATCCCTCTTTGTAAAATCATGATCTAATAGTGAAAACATATTCAAACAAGTAATTATTCTCTACTGCAGGAAGGGTTGTTAGAGAGGATGGTAGAACATATTATAATAGAAGAGAAGAGGAACCAAGTAGCTTTTAGCTTTCCATCTGTTATTGGGAAGAGTTTATTCCAATGGCACAATGTCCTAACCGAAATCCACAAATATGTAGTAGCCTTCCCCATTAGTCAATACAGACATGACAATCCTATATTGGCTCAATGCAAGCTAGTGCCTGTTTTTCTTACGACCTCCAATGAACCCATTTGTTTCTCATGTTTTGTTTTTTTTTTTCAGTCTGGTTATGAAGGTCGAGTCCCACTGAAGAGCGCTCGTCTGTTTTATGACATCAGCGAAAAGGCTCGAAGGATTGTAGAATCTTATTTTATGCTGAACTCAACTCTGTATTTTTCCTATACACACATGGTCTGCCGAACAGCCCTGTCTGGTGAGATTGCAGTCTGAAATGGTTCCCTTTTACCCACAATACATTGGGAAATGAAACAAGGCAAAACAAAGCTCAACAGCATGGTAGATTAATATTTTAGACGAATTCTAGATTTCCAAAACAAAAGTAGCTTATGAACTCTTATTCTGCTTCTTTCTTTTTCTTCCTTTTGTTCTTCTGAAGTTCCAGAAAACCCTCGTTCTGAACATTTTCCCTTCCAAATCAATTTTCCCCAATTGCTGAAGTCTTGGGAAAAAAAAATGCTTTTCTGCTGTAGGTTTCCCATTTTGAGGAATCAGGAACATGGAAATCATAGTCACCATGATGTCTACCAGCATTAAGTGGAAGCATAGAAGATGAAGGGATGATTGAAAGAAATACTCTTAAAAAGACCGGGACCTTCTCGGTCCCTGCTCAGCATTATTTCTCCTCTATGTCTTATGCCCCTCTGAATGGGGCGGGGGGAATAATGATGTCATAGGAGTAGACTTTTACACTTGGGAAGTTTTAGCTGAATTAAATCTTGTTTTTTTAAAAAATTTTCATTTCCTTCCCATTGTTTTGCTGCCCTATGTGAAGTACAACCCATGAAACGCATGGAATTTGTTCATGTATGTTTATATCAGAAATAACTTTTATAGCTGAAGAGACAGGTGTGACATGCTCAAGGTTTCACATCCAGTTCATATCAGAACCAGACCAGAATCTCAACTACTTGTCCACTGTTCTTTTATCTGTTCTTTCCTGTTGTCTGCCTCTGCCCATTTGCAAAGATCATCAGGACTGGGAGAAGAGAGATTGTCAGTTACTTTGGTGGAAGTTGCTGCACTTCATTTCTCGTTCTTCCCTATTCCCTTTTCTGGCAGGTCAGCAGGATAGAAGAAATGACCTCAGTCATCCCATCCATGCTGACAACTGTTTGTTGGATCCAGAGGCCAACGAATGCTGGAAGGAGCCTCCTGCTTACACATTTCGAGACTATAGGTATAGCTAGAACCTGCTTCAAAACAAAGCTTTTACCTAACAGTTTTCAAGCAGTGAAAACTGGAAAGGTGCTCTGTTTTGCTTGACGTCGTGTTCATATCTCCAAGGCAGAAATTCTCAAATAATCTTCTGAAGTAGCTGCCATAACCAATAAGTGGCATTATCATCTCACTTTTATCTTAAAAATTGTGCACAGTTTGCATCCCATTTCACAAAATGTCCATTTTGTTTTAATATGAAAAGTAAATTTTATGTTCTTTTAAAAAAATTCCTGTTCTCCCTGGAACATATTCCTTGTGGTATATGTATTTCAGTCAGAATACAAGGGCATGGAGTCTTGGCCTACATAAGGACTTTATCACATCAATTATCTTTATTCATACCCAAGAAGAACTATGTCTGCATTTTATAAATAAGACACTAGAAACTCAGGAGAAAAGAATGTCCTTACCTATTGAGAGAGATTTCAGTGTGTAAGGAATCAGGAGTTATAGTCACCATGTGTTCATCCTTACTACACTGTACTCGATTCCAAAACATTTATTAAGCACCCGCTATCTGCAAGGCGTGGCTAGGCCACAAGGAACTCTTCAGCAAGTTAAAGAGAAAAACAACAACAAGAACAAAGCAAACAAACAAACAAAAATCCTTTAGAGTTATATAAGGGAAAAAGAGAGTTGTAATTAGGGTGGGCACGTTCAAAGGGCTAGATTAAATTAAAACTAGTTAGGTTTTCTGTGGAGGAAGTGAAATGTGAGACAAGCTTTGACATATGATTACAATTTTAGTAAAGGTGGAATAAGTAAACTCTTCAGAGGTATAACTCAAACTCTATCTGATCTTCTCTTTAAGAGTTTGGAGGACCAATTATATCAATGTCTAGTTCAAAGGAAACTTACTAATGGAGGCTGGACAGTACATCACCAGTCTTCAGTATTCTATGACCATGCTCTCATAAGCATATAATAATACAAATAGTTTTCTCTTCATTCTTATAGTGCTCTCCTATATATGAATGATGACTTTGAAGGAGGAGAATTCATATTCACAGAGATGGATGCTAAGACTGTGACTGTAAGTAAACCTATTCTTGAATACTTATTTAGTATGTTTTAGCTCAGTATTGCCATTTTTCTAAGTACTTACAGATGGTTAGATTTCAAATACTTCTGAGCTCAAGATTTCAAGAGGTTAAGAGAGTTTCAGTAAATGTATAGATCATAAACTGTTAGAAGTATCCATAAAAATCTAGTACGTTGTAAAGATGAGTAAATTAAAGAATTGAGATATTAATCATTTTATCATGATCATATAGCTAGTTAGTGTTAGACTTGGAACCAAAACCTAGGTCTTCTAATTCTTTGTCAAGTAATCTGATGGAAACGTAAGAACGTCAGTTCCTAAGTCACCCAAGTCTAGAATAAGTCAAATGATTCTACAAGGTGTCTTTCAAGTAACCTGGTGTTCTACGTACTTGGACTGAGCATTGGCCTTCAAATATATAGTTACCAAAATTATCATATATGTGTGTATGTATGTGTATGTGTATATATACCTATAGGTATGTGTGTATATATATTATATATATAAAAAATATATATATAATATATATACACACATATAAATATGCCCACTGCAGCTTCCTTTCCCATGCAGACATGGCCTCATATATATATATATATATATATATATATATATTTGCATATATATATGCATAGAGAGATATATGATTGTGACTGTATGTAATAAACTCATACCTGAAAATTGATACACACACACACACACACACACAAATATGTAAACAAAGAGTAAATCAAAAGTTCAATTCAACGACCATCTTCCTAAGTAAACCCGTGCCTTTGGAAAGAAGCCTACTTAAAGACCATATAGTTAGCATCCTTTGGTCTTCAAGCCAAAGAGCATACACAATGGTAGAAAAATATATTTTCGACTGCTGCCGCTCTTTGGCCCACTTCATTCCCTTAGTCCCGAGTGCTCGCCCACTGCAGCTTCCTTTCCTGTGCGGACATGGCCTCAAGCACCACCACCACTGCCATGAAGATTGGAATAATTGGTGGAACAGGCCTGGATGATCCAGAAATTTTAGAAGGAAGAACTGAAAAATATGTGGATACTCCATTTGGCAAGCCATTTGATGTCTTAATTTTGGGGAAGATAAAAAATGTTGATTGTGTCCTCCTTGCAAGGCATGGGAGGCAGCACACCATCCTGGCTTCCAAGGTCAACTACCAGGCGACCATCTGGGCTTTGAAGGAAGAGGGCTGTACACATGTCATAGGGACCACAGCTTGTGGCTCCTTGAGGGAGGAGATTCAACCTGGCGATATTGTCATTATTGATCAGTTCATTGACAGGACCAGTATGAGACCTCAGTCCCTCTATGATGGAAGTCATTGTTGTGCTAGAGGAGTGTGCCATATTCCAATGGGGGCCAAGCCCCCAAACGAGAGACGTTCTTATAGAGACTGCTAAGAAGCTAGGACTCTGGTGACATTCAAAGGGGACAATGGTCACAACTGAGGGACCTCGTTTTATCTCTTGAGCAGAAAGCTTCATGTTCTGCACCTGGGGGGTGGATGTTATCAACATGACCACAGTTCCAGAGGTGGTTCTCACTAAAGAGGCTGGAATTTGTTATGCGAGTATTGCCATGGTGACAGATTATGACTGCTGGAAGGAGCACGAGGAAGCAGTTTTGGTGGACCGGGACTTACAGACCCCGAAAGAAAATGCTAGTAAAGCCAAAAGTTTACTGCTCACTGCCATACCTCAGATAGGATCCATGGAATGGTCAAAAACCCTCCATGGCCTGAAGAATATAGCCCAGTTTTCTGTTTTAAAATTTTTGCAATTTATCCTTTTGACAAAGGGCTAATATCTAGAATCTACAGAGAACTTTAACAAATTTACAAGAAAAACAAACAAACAACCCCATCAAAAAGTGGGAGAAGGATATGAACAGACACTTCTCAAAAGAAGACATTTATGAGGCCAACAAACATATGAAAAAAAGCTCATCATCACTGGTCATTAGAGACATGCAAATCAAAACCACAATGAGATACCATCTCACGCCAGTTAGAATGGCGATCATTAAAAAGTCAGGAAACAACAGATGCTGGAGAGGATGTGGAGAAATAGGAATGCTTTTATACTGTTGGTGGGAGTGTAAATTAGTTCAACCATTGTGGAAGACAGTGTGGCAATTCCTCAAGGATCTAGAACCAGAAATACCATTTGACCCAGCAATCCCATTACTAGGTATATACCCAAAGGATTATAAATCATTCTACTATAAAGACATATGCACATGTATGTTTATTGCGGCACTGTTCACAATAGCAAAGACTTGGTACCAACCCAAATGCTCATCAATGATAGACTGGATAAAGAAAATGTAGCAGATATATACCATGGAAGACTATGCAGCCATAAAAAAGGATGAGTTCATGTCCTTTTCAGGGACATGGATGAAGCTGGAAACCATCATTCTCAACAAACAAACACAGGAACAGAAAACCAAACACCACATGTTCTCACTCATAAGTGGGAGCTGAACAATGAGAACACATGGACACGGAGGGTAACATCACACACCAGGGCCTGTCAGGGGGATAACATTAGGAGAAATACTTAATGTAGATAATGGTTTGATGGGGTGCAGCAAACCACCATGGCACATGTACACCTATGTAACAAACCTGCACATTCTGCACATGTACACTAGAACTTAAAAGTATAATAATAATAAAAAAATTTCCAATTGAGAAAGTAAGCAGATTATAGATGACCAGGTATCTCTCACCACCATACAAAATCTAAGTAGTTGGGACATGTATGTGATAAACTTCAAAGTTTTGGCATTATAGAAGCTATTTCTAAACTTTTCTTGAATTTTATGCTTGTCCCTCATAGCTTACATGCTTTTCTCATTAGTGAAACATATCTGTCATTTATGACACACATATGTTATTCATCACACAGTACTGTGATATAAGCAGGTAATATCAAAAAGTATGTATTACTGGGTTAAAAGGTGATTCCTATGAGGATTCTCGTTAAAATTGTCTAGAAACATTGTAATAACTAAGAAAAAATATTTCATGTGACTTCATACAATAATATATGTTAAAAAGTCATGATGCCTCACTTTTTGGGTAAAAAGCTTAAATGTTAATATGGGAGTACTTTAATACTCCGTAATCTGATAAATTAAATCAAGATTGACGATCTGTATTGGAGTTTAAAGTCCAGAAGGTTTTTTGCACTTCTGGGAAAGCTTGAGTGTAGGAAGCATTTTATTTCTGATCTCTGCTAACACTGAAACTGAGGTACAAAAATACTGGCATTTCGCAGTTTCAAAGAAAGTCAGACAGGTGGTTGAAAAGATTTCTTTGCTTCTCCTCCATCTAGTGGCCGTATTTGGAAATGCTTGATGCTTAAAGCAAGGGATGCCTGTTTCATTAATTTTTGAATGTCAAGTTAACTGGAATTCTACTTTTTAAAGATGTGAAAGCAGATAATATTCTCCTTTCAGAGTGCTACAATTTTAATTAAAATCTATAACTATTTTTAAAAACCCAGAATCTAACCTCCCCTAAAAAAACTAAAACTGATTTAAACAAATTTTTAATCCAAAAGCTCCTGTTTGAGAACATTTATTTCCTCAAATACTTCATATTAATGCATACAGTGGCATTTTAGGGAATAACGTAGATAACTAAAATTCTTACGTAAGGCAGTTCTTATCTTTCCCCACAGGAAGTTTATTCTAGTACCAGCAACAACAACAACAGCAACAGAAATGGGTATTTTTCTGTTTTAGTTTCCCTTTGACTGTGGAGGGACAAATGGAGCAGAGAAATGGCATAACTTGAGGCCACATAAGGAAGTAACGTCTTCTGAGTCCTTTACTTTGGAAAAATCTGGAAGTTGTGTAATTATCTGAAAGGTGGCTGAAATTTTACTTTTATTAAAGACAATTACAGCACAAACGCTTTTCTAAATCAATCATCAGTTAGACGGAAAGCAAAAGGATTATTTTAAATTATGCTTAGTATACTTGGAAGATATGTGGATTCTTTTCAATAGCGGCATTTGTTTGTGAGACTTGGGAATTCAAGGATGTTGGTTTCTCTGTGCAGGTTCAAAGAAGATAAAATTTAATGAGTTCCATTTGTTTCATGAAAAATTAAATTCAGTATAAACGGGGCTGTGTTACAAAAGTATGTTTATAATCATTTATCCAAACTTCATAACATATTTTTGCTGTAGAAACAATGTCACACATGGAAGCAGGTTCACTAAAGCTTGTTTATTCCTCCAAATACCTGACATGTAACAGATGATGTTCGCTGTGTGATGAGATGGGTCTTAGAGATCCTTGTGAATCCACGGCTATAATCAGTTCCAACCGCCTCATACAGTTCACAGCTTCTTTTCCTAAACTTTCCCAAAGTTATTCATGTTTAAAATTACTTTCAATTCCAGAAGAAAGAAAATACTAATTTGTCCCCACATCCTTTCTTTAGTCTTATAAGATGTTACCAAGACTTGGTAATCACATAGAAACATTGGCAAATGCGTGTTTGAGTGAGTCCTGACCAGCACCAGGGAGTGGGCAGCCCAGAAAACCTGAAATTCCAACATCCCAAGGCCATTTACTCAGAAGGCTTTTCTTTCTTTCTTTCTTTCTTTCTTTCTTTCTTTCTTTCTTTCTTTCTTTCTTTCTTTCTTTCTTTCTTTTTCTTTCTTTCTTTCTTTTTTCTTTCTTTCTTTCTTTCTTCCTTTCTTTCCTTCTTTCTCTTTCTTTCTTTCTTTCTTTTCTTTCTTTCTCTCTCTCTTTTTCTTTCTTTCTCTCCCTCTCTTCTTTCTTTTCTTTCTTTCTTTTTTTTTTTTTCTGTCACCCAGACTGGAGTGCAGTAGCACGATCTCAGCTCACTGCAACTTCCGTCTCCCAGGTTCAAGCGATTCTCCTGCCTCAGCCTCCTGAGTAGCTGGGATCACAGGCACCCACCAACACATCTGGCTAATTTTTGTATTTTTAGTAGAGACGGGGTTTCACCATGTTGGCCAGGCTGGTCTCAAACTCCTGACCTCAGGTGATCCACCTGCCTTGGCCTCCTAAAGTGCTGGGATTATAGGCGTGAGCCACCACGCCCGGCCTCAGAAGTCTTTTCTATCCTACTTCACAGGTTTTACCTTTCACTTATTTTGCTGCTTCTATGTGGAAATGTACAAATTCCTTCTCCAGAAAAACAGAATCACATTGATACTGAGGACACGACTAACTCGTGAACTCTCTAGATTTACATCAGAACAGTTGCCTTGGTAAAGCTGTTTAGGAAAAGCAATTCCAGCAAAGACAAATCACTCTTCAGTTATTGTGAGTAGAAGAGTAAAAAGAAACTGACTGCTTTTTTTCTGCTCTTCCCTTTAACACTCACACACAAGTCACATATACACACACATGCAGACTCACACAGACATAAACACACACACATGCCCACATAAACACATATGCACCCACCTGTCTCTCTGGCTTTCCGACTCCTCCACCTACCTCTTACCTTCCATATGTAGTCACGTAGTCCGGGAGTACCTATGTTATGTAGCAACCAAGGACTTTAGGAAATTTTTCAAATATTCTTCCTGAAGCTAGCAGTGAAAAACCAGCCAGCTCATTTTATGCAGAAGGAAACCAAAGATTTACGGGCATATGTCAACTCAAGTCAATTCAGAAAATGGCTAGTGAGAACCAGTCCATGTTCTCACCTAGTAAAATGGCTAGTGCCACTTTTTTTTGGTTTTACTTTACTTTTCTGAACTATACAGAGGAATGAATAAAGTTTCTGTATTTCCCAAGAAAGACAAAATGGATTCTACTCACATGAGACACTTCTTTAAACACAGAAGCAAGGCCTCTAATATTCAGTTGCTTAAGCTCATTCAATTTGAAGAGGCAGCTTGTTTGATCTTCTACCCTGGCTCAGTGAGCCCAGCAGTATTTCTTTTTCTCTCACTACACTCTTCTACCTAAACGCTGTGGACAGCTCCACCTGAGCAGTGCATAAGCTGCGAAGGACTGTGTCAGTCTTAAAACACTTAAGGGTGATGGCGAATAGGCCACTCCAAGGGGTGTCGTGTTCTCACCACTAGAGATGTTCAAACAATGCCTAAACGACCACTGGGAAACAATAGTGTAAAGGAAATGAAATATCATACAGAATTATGACTTTTAAAAATGTTTGTATTGTGAAAAGCACATAAACCATGAATGTACAATTTAAAAATTAGAAAGCGTATACGCTCATGTAACCACTACCTAGATCAATAACAACTTTTCCAGCACTGCAGATGTCCTGTTTGTTTGTTTGTTAATTACACAAGTATGGAATGGACACCTACCTTGTATCCGGATGCTTTGCTAGTGCAAAAGCTACAGAAATGAATTATGAGAGGAAAACTTTGCCTTCTTTGAATTTGCAGGCTATCATATATATAGCATGTATTGAATGATTACTATGTATGTGGACTTTGCTACACGTTTTACTTGAACATCTTTTTATTTTCTGAGGTATATATTATTTTGACCTTACCTTTGTTTTACGGGTGAGAAAATTGAGATAATTTACATCATCTTCAATCCCAGGATTCCTTTATTCTTCGCCTCAGGCCTTAACTCAAATAATCTCATAGCCAGAGAAGCAGGAGTTGTGGAAATGTTTATGATACAACAATTGAAAGTCTAATTTTTGCTTTCTTTCTCAGGCCTCTATAAAACCAAAATGTGGGCGCATGATCAGCTTCTCATCTGGAGGAGAGAACCCTCATGGGGTGAAGGCAGTCACCAAGGGAAAGAGGTGTGCTGTGGCTCTGTGGTTCACCTTGGACCCACTTTATAGAGAATTGGTGAGTTTCTCACCCGCCCAGAAAGCCAATTAGGCTTGCTTCATGAACTGCTTTATCTGAGAAGTCCTTTAAATTGCTTCGTCTGAGGAAAAGAAGAGGGTAAAGGCAGTTCTTAATCAGATATGTTCTAGTAAGTGAAGATGTTTGTAGAAATAGCTGTGTCAATGATATTTGATAGTCACTAATCTGTCTTGAGCTTATTAACAAATTGTAAGGCTGGGCGTGGTGGCTCACTCCTATAACCCCAGAACTTTGGGAGGCCGAGGTGGGCAGATCACTTGAGGTCGGGAGTTCGAGACCAGCCTGATCAACATGCTGAAACCCCATCTCTACTAAAAATACAAAATTAGCTGGATGTGGTGGCATGCGCCTGTAGTTCCAGTTACTCGGGAAGCTGAGGCAGGAGAATCGCTTGAACCTGGGAGGCGTAAATTGCAGTAAGCCGAGATCGCACCACTGCACTTCAGCCTGGGCAACAGGGCAAGACTCTGTCTCAAAACAAAAACAAAAACCAAAACAACTCTGTGGCATCAGGGAGGAATCACTTTTTATTGGTCACCCAGAAGACGGATTTGTTTTCTCGCAAATCATAAGAAATAGTATTGAATCATTTATGAAACGTATTTGAAAGAGGGCAAGGAAACCTAAAAGATTATTATTACTTATTACTGTTATTACATTAAGTATTTCAATATTATTATATGCAAACTAGCTGAGGACACTTAGCTAGGAGGAGACCATGATCTCATCGTTTTGGAAGCCCGTGGGCAGATGTCATAGTCTCCACCTGTGGAGCTGCAGCGGTATGAATTAAGACCAATGGGTAGAAGCCCTGGAGGGAAAATTTGGGCTCCACACAAGGAATAACTTTCAAATAGTCACCACAGTTTGGCAGAATTGTCTGCTTTGGAAGCACTGATTGGATGGCTCCAATCAAAGCCCAGGCAACTGCTTAGCATGGAACGCTGAAATGGAATCTAAAACATCGTAGCAGAGGCTTAACTGGATGACCTCCAAATCTTCTCCAGCCCTAAGTATTGATGAAGCTATGAAATTCTATTCTTAAAACTGGCATTCTATCCAGTTTTCCTTGTTAGGTTCCTAAGTTGAATCCAATTTCATCAGAAACTATTTAAAAATAATGCGTTTTTCTCATATACTTTTCACCATCAAATCTAACTTACAAAGTGTTTCCCCACATTCCCTAAGCCATTCTTTCACATATTTTACAAAAGACCTATTGTGACCTTTTATTGTACAGAAGAGCTATTATTATCTGCCTTGGAAACTCTGCTAGATAGGCCCTAGGGGTAGAAGGGTGAACAGAACAAGGTCCTGGACTATGAGGAGCTTGGACAGAACAGCTAGTAAATACGCTGTAAGAAGAGAACAGTATATGTTTTGTAGCAGGGAATCAAGGAAGACTTCTATAAGCTCAGACCTAGAAGCAAAGACGATAGCCAGGCATAGAAAAAATGGCCCTGGCTGGGCGTGGTGGCTCACGCCTATAATCCCTGCACTTTTGGAGGCCTAGGTGGGTGGATCACCTGAGGTCAGGAGTTGGAGACCAGCCTGGCCAACATGGTGAAACCCCATCTCTACTAAAAATACAAAAATTAGCCTGGCGTGGTGGCACGCACCTGTAATCCCAGCTGCTCGGGAGCCTGAGGCAGGGGAATCGCTTGAACCCAGGAGGTGGAGGCTGCAGTTGCAGTGAGCTGAGATCACTCCACCACACTGTAACCTGGGCGACAAGAGTGAGACTCTGTCTTAAAAAAAAAAAAAAAAAAAAAAAAGAAGAAGAAGAAAAAGAAAGAAAGGCCCTGACAAAAGGACCAGAGCACAGAGTCCTGAAAACCTCAAGGGAGCAGCAAACAATTGCCTTCCCCTATCATTACTTTATATCCTGGTATTTTCCATCTCCAAAATGTTAGCATTCCATCAAAGCATTTTTTTTTAAACTAAGGAACCTATGTCAATGGGTAGACAGTGAAGATAAAATTATTGAAATATTACCTCACTATTCTAGTATTCAATTCAGCAGACATTTAATCTATTTCATCATTCAGTATCCAAACTCCCTTTTCCAAGGTATTGTTCTCTCAAAATAAGCTAACACAAAGTAAGTTCTCTTTGCTCCTTTGTAATAGGAAACATCAACGCCAGCGTCCCTTCCTCTGATGGAAAAGTACTAGAAAACCTCTCCAGTCTTCAGGCCGTAGCGGCATCTAGTGGCCACAGTGGGAAATGACCAGAACTTTTTCCTCAGCTAAATTAGCCCAGGCTGTGAATCATTCTTTGCTACACGTGGAGATCATCTATTGATCGTTACAAACTACTAACATCTGTGTTTCAGGAGTTTTAAGAGCTCCCCAGGTGATTCTAACGTGCAGCAGCAGAGTTTGGGAGTTCCTGGCCTAGACGTCTTTTTGCAGATTGAATCTCAGAAAAAAAAAATGCCTACCTATGAACAAGTCATTAGAGCTGGCCGATTCTCATGCTTATTATGAATTACTTTAAAGGGTCTCAGTTCTCAAGGAGTATTTAGCAACATCCTTTTAAGGATGCAAGGATGTTCGAAGCTTCATATATATTGGTTCCAGCTCTTGAATTTCTTTCCCTTAATGAGAAACAAGATTACAATCATTTCTTGTGGTCAACAGATGTGAAAGCTTTGTATGTGTGTCGATTTGTTAAGTATCAGGATTGTTTTCCTTGGCCGGGCACGGTGGCTCAGTCCTGTAATCCTAGCACTTGGGGAGGCCGAGGCGGGCAGATCACCTGAGGTCAGGGGTTCGAAACCAGCCTGGCCAACATGGCGAAACCCCGTCTCTACTAAAATTACAAAAATTAGCCAGGCATGGTGGCATATGCCTGTAATCCCAGCTACTGGGGAGGCTGAGGCAGGAGAATCACTTGAATCCAGGAGGTGGAGGTTGCTGTAACCCGAGATCGCACCACTGCACTCCAACCTGGGCAACAGAGTGAGACTCTGTCTTGAAAAAAAAAAAAAAGATTGTTTTCCTTATATTTGTAAAGTAGTACTTGGGCTTTTTATTTAGATGTGGCAGCAACTTAATTTTCTGTTATTTAGTATATCTAGTCCTTTTAGTTGCCTTTTTGTAAACATTTTTTATTACAAGCTCTTGCATGAAAGGGGCTTTGTTTTCAATTCATAAAATAGTTATTTATTTAACTTACTGTGCGCAGGCACTGTGTTAAAGACCGCCTATGGGGAATGCACACTAGTAGGATATAATTCCTATTTTCAAGGAGCTTGAAGTCAAATTGGAGAAATAATACAAGGACCCAACTAATTAAACCACAAGGCAAGTTTTGGTAAGAATCCTTAGCAGCAAATGCGTGGTTTGAGGGATATCAAAAAGCAATCCAAAAAGGCTTCTTTGAGGAGATGGCATTTGAAAAAAAGCTTTAAAAGATCAATTTCTTTAGGGAGAGGCATTTTAGACAGAGAAAGGCTTCATCCATTTACACATTTACTCATCAAAGAAAATAGAACTCTTGCCACATGTCAGTGGCTTTTCTGAGCACTGAAAATACAGTAGTGACCAAGAAGATAAGATGCCCTGCTCTTCTGGAGCTTACATTCTAGTGGAAGGAAACAGATCCCAAAAAAGTAAAAAATAAATAAATAATCGAGAGATTTTTCACACGGTGACCAATGATGTGTGGAAAATGGAACAAGACAACTGATTCTGGAGTGAAAGGGTAGGAGCGGCAAATTGTGAGGCCTCGCCAAACAAGTGGCATGTGAGCTGAAACCTAATAAATTAGAAGTCCACTAGGATAAATGTCTGGAGGAGAGTATTCCAGGCAGAGGACAAGCTGCAAAGGCCCAGAGACAATAAGATGTTTGGAGTCACCAAGAAACAAAGAAAGCCAGAGCATCTGGAATATGGCAGACAAGAGGGAGAGTGGCTTCAGTAGAGGACGTGGAGGCGGCAGGAGTCGGATTCCACAGGCTGATTGGGAAATGCGAATTGTATTCTAACTAGTGGAAAGTCATGTAGTCCCCACACCCCAACACACACACACACACACACACACACACACACACACACACACACACACACACATATCTCCTCCAGTCCTGGAGAGTTACAGGATACAGAAGATTACTTTAGCTAACATGTGGTCTTGGACTGGAGTAGTAATAGAGAAGGTAAAAAGAGATGGAAGATTTGAGATACAATTTGGAGGTAGACCAGCTGCACCTGCTGATGGATTAATGTGAGGAATAAAAGAAAGCGTAGAATATAATGGGAGCATCCAGAGAAACACTTAATTCAGAATCGGATTAGGGAATTCTTTTGAAAGTGTTACATTCAGGGAGCTTGAGGTAAGTTAAGAAGTTGGAATATAAGGTGAGGAGAAGGGAGGCAAAATAAACCTAAAGAAGAGAGAAAGGTATGAATAAGAAGAGAGAACAAACACCACATATTCTCACTCATAGGTGGGAATTGAACAATGAGAACACATGGACACAGGAAGGGGAATATCACACTCTGGGGACTGTTGTGGGGTGGGGGGAGGGGGGAGGGATAGCATTGGGAGATATACCTAATGCTAGATGACGAGTTAGTGGGTGCAGCGCACCAGCATGGCACATGTATACATATGTAACTAACCTGCACATTGTGCACATGTACCCTAAAACTTAAAGTATAATAATAAAAAATAAATAAATAAATAAAAGAAAAAAAAAAGAAGAGACAGGTGTAAAGCAACTTCTTATAAGCACACCAAGAAAAGTAGACCTGAAACTTCAAGCAGTAGGGACCCATTGAAGAGCTGTGAGTAGGAAAGAGATATAATCAGATATAAGCCAGTAGGATTCATTAGAAGCATGTGAGGGTGAGTAGTGAAACAGCGAGAGCAATTTGGAGGCTGCGGCAGTAATTAAGAGATGATGAGGGCTTACAATGGTGGCTCTCAAGAGGGAGCGATTGGCCGGGTGCAGTGGCTCACTCCTGTAATCCCAGCACTTTGGGAGGGCGAGGCGGGTGGATCACCTGAGGTCGGGAGTTTGAGACCAAGCCTGGTCAACATGGTAAAAATATAAAAAATTAGCCGGGCATGGTGGTGAGCGCCTGTAAACCCAGGTACTTGGGAGGCTGAGGCAGGAGAATCGCTTGAACCCGGGAGGCAGAGGTTGCAGTGAGCCGAGATCGCGTCACTGGACTCCAGCCTGGGCAACAAGAGCAAAATTCCATCTCAAAAAAAAAAAAAAAAAAAAAGAGGGAGCAATGTTGCCCTCTAGTGGACATTTGGCAATATCTGGGGGTTGGTGGGGGAGGTTGTTACTGACACCTGTGGTAGGTAGAGAGGACGGGGTGTCGCTGAGCATCCTGCAGGGCACAGGGCAGCACCACCCTCCCACCCCCCAACAAATAATTATCTGGTCTAAAAATGTCAATCAGACCAAAATTGAGAAACCCTGACCTAAACTCCGGCAACAATAGTGCATTGAGGAGAAAGGGGCAGAGACAGCAGATAGAACAGAATAGGTGACTTATCAGATGCAGGAAACCATGGTCGGGCTTTTAAGGCAAATAGGTGAGCGATGTTGGTCTTTACCGAGAGAGAGCCTACGTGAAGAACAGAGCAGGTTCTTGGGGAGAAAATGGTGAATTCAGCTTGACCACTGAACTGAGTTGGAGATGGCTATGGGGCCATGAATTAGAAAGAGTAGGAAGCAGTTGAACATACAGTCGTTCTTTGCAGGAGAGAAAATCTTAGAAAGTAATTGCTTAGGACCCAGGAATGTTAGGAGAAGGCATCTGTCTGGGGATGAAGAGGAGGTGTTCAATGCTTAACTGGATATAGCATCAACCCATGTACAGATGGATGCCAGGAAGTGTTTGGGAAGCGTCTGCTGATGAGACTGATTATTATGCTTGTAACAGAAATGTGTAAATTGTCTTTTTTGCAGGAGCGAATACAGGCTGATGAAGTGATTGCAATTCTGGATCAAGAACAGCAAGGGAAGCATGAACTGAATATCAACCCTAAAGATGAGCTATAAAAATGAGAAAGAATGTTCTATCAAATATTTATTTAAATTGTTAATCTTATGAGAACCTTTTTATTTTTGTACAGAGCCATGGTATAAATTAACAGGTTAATGTCAGTCATCAGATCTTCCTTCTCTTCCTAAGGATGCTTGTGTTGCCTCAATCTATCAATCTATCTTTCTTGTTTTGGGTTGTTTTCTCTCTCTCTCTCTCTCTCTCTCTTCTTAGAGACATGGTCTAACCATGTTGTCTAGGATATAGGGCAGTGGCTATTCACAGATGTGATGATAGCACACTGGAGCCTCAAACTCTTAGGCTCAGGCGATCCTTCAAGCCTCCCGGGGAGCTGGGACCACAGGCACGTGCCACCACACCCAGCTCTCTTTCTTGGTTTTTCATCATTTCATGTATCTATCAAAGCCCAGTTCACCTCCTCCCCCAAACACACACACACACACACACACACACACACACACACACAATTAAGTTGCTGCAAATTCAAAAGCTTAGAGAGAATAAGCTTCTTGGTGGTGAAACTACAACTCTCACGTGTGCTCCAGTTCTAAAATTAACCTGTGCCTGGTCTCTGAAGCCCTTTCTTGCTCTGTGCCTTTCAGCCACATCCTTAGGTGCTAACGGCCATGAGCTCCGACTCTCCAAAGTGAGCTCCACTTTGGGTCTGAGGAGCCCCTGGCAGAGTCCACGCTGCCTCAGGTATCATGGGCGTAATGATCACCCAGGCTCCGGGAGATCTCATGGATGATTACTGTATGAGACAGAGGGGACTTCAGTCTTTCCAGGGCCTTGGTGGAATTTTTGGCTCTGGTGTTTTCGCCAGACAATAAACTTACACTGGAAGCTTTGATTCACCCTCCACAGTACTCCAGAAAGGACTGTCCTATAAGTTGTACACTTTAAAAGGTCATGTAGAGGTTGTAGTAGAATGGCTTTTCACCCTGGTGACTTTGGAAGAAACTCTTGAATACTGCCTGCATCCGGGCACCATGGCCAGGTTGCCTAGGAGTGGGGTCCACTGATGAAAAGAGGTGTTTTGTACTTACATAAGAAAAATAAATTTCTGATTGATTTTAACCGTCATCTGCTTATATTTTGGGGGCCCCTCCTCATTGCTGCTATCCAGCACACAGATTTGTGCTTGTGTCTGATTTGTTTAATAAAGGGAGGCTTATTTTAATATCTGGCATTTATTTTTGTTCTCCCAAATGTTTGCTTTATCTTCACAGAATGGTTTTGTAATTACATAGGAGCTTTTGGGACCACTTTAGGGGCAACATTGGGACATGACTAGTGTTGCTGGTGCAGTGGCCTCAGGAAAGGTGGGGACACTGCTCTTGAAGAACAGAGATGGAGACCAAACTGGGCATTGATCCAGAGAATGCTTGGTTCCAGGTCCCACTTCTAAGAAAGACACTACAAAGGCATAGTTCATGGGGGATGGGGTTCTTCTAACCTAGGGGAGACTTTATCATTCGCCCGTGGGAGATCACATGCTTTTATGACGGGCAGTGGTGGAGGGAAGATTTACTTTCTGCCGTTTACAATCTGGTGAGTGGTAAGAACATTCATCCATTGAAATTGAAAATTTGAGTTAGTGATGTATGAACCATCTGTTTTTTACTGAACCTTCTGGTTGTATTTTAATCATGGGAGAGTGGAAAGAGCATTGGATTATCCTCCCAGTTCTATCAAATATGCCCTGCTGTGTGATATGGAACTACTCTCTTTCCCTTTCCAGACTTTAGTTCCCTTCTCTGAAAATGACATAATTGATTGTAACAAGGCCCTCCCTCCTACTCAAAATACAAACAAAGCAAAAAGAAAAAAAAGAAACCAAAACCATTTTAGAAATAGTCACAACCAAATTTATTTCTGCTAACATTTAGAGAGTTGTGAATGGTTTTGTTTTGTTTTGTTTTGTTTTTGAGACGGAGTCTCACTGTCGCCCAGGCTGGAGTGAAGTGGTGTGATCTCAGCTCACTGCAGCCTCCACCACCTCCCGGGTTCAAGCAATTCTCCTGCCTCGGCCTCCTGAGTAGCTGGGATTACAGACGCCTGCCATAATGCCCAGCTAATTTTTGTATTTTTAGTAGAGATGGGGTTTCACTATGTTGGCCAGGCTAGTCTCGAACTCCTGACCTCAGGTGATCCACTCGCCTTGGCCTCCCAAAGTGCTGAGATTACAGGTGTGAGCTACTGTGCCCGGCCGTGAATGGGTTTTTTATGTGTGTACCTGATTTTTAAAAACGTAAACCCAAATTTAGACCTAAAAGTTCTTGAGCTTTGCAAAGGTAGATTGCTATTTGTCCTCCCACTGTGAAGAGCTTGTT